>NC_000023.11:114331198-115738949 GCF_000001405.40 Homo sapiens
ATATTATGTATAATATCCATTATATATAATATCTTTTATATATTATATATAATATCTTTTATATATAACATATTTTATATATAATATCTATTATATATAATATATTTTATATATTATATATATCTATTATATATATTATATTTTATATATTATATATAATATCTATTATAGAAAATATATTTTATATATTATATATAATATCTATTATAGAAAATATATTTTATATATTATATATAATATATACATTATAGAAAATACATTTTATATATTATATATAATATATACATTATAGAAAATATATTTTATATATTATATATAATATATACATTATAGAAAATACATTTTATATATAAAATATATAATATATATTATATAAAATACATTTTATATACAAAATATATAATATATATTATATAAAATACATTTTATATATAAAATATATAATATATATTATATAAAATACATTTTATATATAAAATATATAATATATATTATATAAAATACATTTTATATATAAAATATATAATATATATTATATAAAATACATTTTATATATAAAATATATAATATATATTATATAAAATACATTTTATATATAAAATATATAATATATATATAAAATACATTTTATATATAACATATGTAATATATATTATTTAAAATACATTTTATATATAAAATATATAACATATAAAATGTATAATATATATTATATAAAATATATAATATATGAAATATATAATATGTATTATATAAAATATGTTGTACATATGAAATATATAATATATAATATGAAATATATTATGTATATAAGGTATATAATATATGTTTTATAAAATATTTTATATAACATATATAATATAGAAAATATATATAATATATAATATATATCATATATAATATATATAATATATATCATATATAATATATAAAATATGTATTATATATAATATATAAAATATATATTATATATAATATATAACATAATGTGTAAAATATATTTTGTATATAAAATATATAATATATAATGTATAAAATATATTTTATGTATAAAATGTATAATATATACTACATAAAATATATAAGATGTATTATATATTATATATAAAATATATATAATATATATTATATATAAAGTAGATATATAATATATACTATATATAAAATATAGTATATATTATATATAAAATATATATAGTATATTTAAAATATATATCATATATTTAACATATATTATATATTATGTATAATATATAATATATAAAATATATATTATAATTTATATATAAATTATATTTTATGTATCATAGAATTATATAATATATAAATATATATTATAATTTATATAATTTTATAATATTTATATATTTATTTATGTTTAATATTCTATTTTTATTTATAGTTAATATTTATTTATATTTATATATTGATTGTATATTTATATATTTATATATTGTAAAATATATATTATATATATTTTATATATTATATAATATATAAAATATATATTATATATACTATATATATAGTATATATATTCAGAAGTACAGTTGCTGGTTCATATGGTAGTTCTATTTTTATTTTTTAAAAGAACCTCCATACTGTTTTCTATAGTGGATGTACCAATTTACCACCCCCACCAGTGTATAAGGATTTCCCCTCTCTATATCCTCACCAACATTTCCTATCTCTTGTCTTTTTGATAATAGACATTCTAACAGATGTGAAGTAATAGCCCATTGTAGTTCTGCTTTGCATTTCCCTGATGATTGGCAATGTTAAGCATTTTTTTGTATAACTATTGGCCATTTATATGTTTTCTTTTGAGAAATGTCTATTCATACCTCTTGCTCATTTTAAAATCAGGTTATTGGGATTTTGTTTTTGTTGAGTTGTTTGAATTCCTTGTATATTTCAGATATTAACTCCTTATTGGATGTACGGTTTGCAAATATTTTCTCCCAATCCATAGGTTGTCTCCTCACTCTGCTAATTGTTTCTTTTGTGCAGAAGCTTTTTAGCTCGACACAATAGCATTTCTCTATTTTTGCTTTTGTTGCTTGTGATTTTGAGGTCACATCCAAAAAATCAGGGCCTAGACCAATGCCAAGAATCTTTTTCACTATGTTTTCTTCTAGTAATTTTGTAGTTTTGGGCCTTACATTTAAGTCTTTAATCCATTTTGAATTCATTTTTGTATATGTTGCAAGGGTCTAATTTCATTCCTCTGAAAGTGGATCCCTAGTTGTCCTAACACCCTTTATTGAAGAGACTATCCTTTCCACATTGCGTGTTCCTGACCCCTTTGTCAAAGATCAATTGACTTTAAATGTGTGGATTTATTTCTGGGCTCTCTATTCTGTTTCAGTGATGTATATATTTGTTTTTAATGCCATTATCATACTGTTTTGATTAATATAGCTTTGTAATATATTTTGAATCAGGAAGTATGATGCCTCCAGCTTCGTTCTGTTTGTTCAGATTTGTTTTGGCTATTTGGATTCTTGGCTATTTGGATCTTTTGCAGTTCCATATACATTTTAGGATTATTTTTTCTATTGCTGTGAAAAATGCCATTGGAATTTTTATAGGAATTGCATTGAATCTGTGGAAAGCTTTGGGTAGTATAGATATTTTAATAATATGAATTCTTCCAATCCATCAACACAGGTTATCTTTCCATTTATTTGTGTCTGCTTCTATTTATTTCATCAAAATTGAATAGTTTTCAATGCATAGACCTTTTACCTTTTGAATTAAACTTATTTCTAAGTATTTTACTTTTCTGATGTTATGGTAAATAGAATTATTTTCTTAACTGTTTTTGGATACTTCATTGTTTGGATGTAGAAATGCAGCAGATTTTGTATGTTGACTTTATATCCTGAAACTTTGCTGACTTAGTTCTACCAATTTTTTTTTGGTTGAGTCTTTATGGTTTTCTGTATATAACACCATGTCATCTGCAAGCAGAGACAATTTCACATCTTCCTTTCTGATTTGGATGTCTTTTATTTCTTTTTCTTGCCTAATTGCTCTGGTTAGAACTTCTAGTACCATGTTAATAGGAGTGTTGAGAGTAGGTTTCTTTGAATCATTCCTGATATTACAGGAAAAACTTTCATGTTTTCACCATTGAGAAAGGTGTTGGCTGTGTGCTTGTTATATAGGGCCTTTGTTATATTGAAGTACATTTCTTCTCTACCTAATTAATTGAGAGTATTTTCATGAACAGATATTGAATTTTATCAAATGCCTTTTCTGCCTCTATTGAGTTAATCATATGATTTGTATCTTTCCTCCTGTTAATGTATCCACTAGGTTGGGCCTGTTTATACAGTTTATGGTGACAGGTGTGGAGCCTGGGTTCATGGAGGGGCGCCTGCAGCCTTTTTCCATGGGGTTTGGCCTATAATCTAGACCCGTGGAAGCCATCTCCCACTGGGGTAGGCCTGTAAGCTGGGTCCATAGGTGCTGCCCTGGACCCTGGAGCTGTAGTGGCCAGCCTGGAGCCTAAGGCCAAGAGGACCAACTTAGCACTGAGGTGGGCCTGGAGCCTGGCACCACAGGGGTGAGCCTGGAGCTGGAGTATGCAGGCGTTGGCCTACTCCTGAGGCAGGCCTGGAACCTGGGTCTCCTGGGGTAAGCTTGGATCCTGGAGCTTGGAGACCATCCTGGGCTAGGTCAGGCCTAGAACCTTGAGCCACAGGAGCCAGCCTGGAGCCTGGGGCTATGGGGACTGGCTTGTTACTGGGTATTATTGGGACAGGCCGAGTGCTGAGGTTTGCAGTAACATTGGATGCTTACTTCACTCTCCTTTCCCCATGGGTAGATGATATGGTTTGGCTGTGTCCCCACCCGAATCTCATCTTGAATTGTAGCTCCCATAATTCCCATGTATTGTGGGAGAAACTGGGTGGGAGATAATTGAATCATGAGGGCGGTTTCCCCCATACTGTTCTCGTGGTAGTTAATAAGTGTCACAAGATCTGATGGTTTTATAAGGGGAAGCCCCTTTTACTTGGTTCTTATTCTCTCTTTGCCTGCTGCCAAACATGTGAGACTTGACTTTGCTCCTCCTTGCCTTTCACCATGATTGTGAAGCCTCCCCAGCCATGTGGAACTGTGAGTCCATTAAACCTCTTTTTCTTTATAAATTACCCAACCTCAGGTATGTCTTTATCAGCCACATGAAAACAGACTAATACAGGAGAGTATCTCTCTCCACGCTGTGCTGCCTAGACTTGGGGGAGAGGTGATGTGGGTAATCTGAAACTGTTCTTCTTACCCTTTTCAGTGCATTTTTTTTCCTATTTATGTGTTTCCTCTAGGTGTTGTAATCTCTCATCTGGATTCCTTAGCGCCTATGAAGGTGTTTTCATGTGTGGACAATTGTTCAAATTGAATCCTATTCCACCATCTTGCTGATGTCACTTCTGAGGTTGTCTATTCATAAAAACCACACCAATAATGTGTTTACAACATTTTAGGGAACATCTGGTTAAGTTGCAAAACCTAAAATTGTGTGTTTAGTAGCCTCACTACACTATCTTCTGAGTAGGTAGTTGAGCATCAATGACTAAGACTGTATTTATATCAATGCTGGTGACAAGTCTATCTGCCAATTTTGCCATACAGAGGCAAAGTTATGATATGTACTCCATACAGGAAAAAAGGGGGGGGTAATGTTTTCATGCTAAATTACTGTCATGTTAGCAGGCCATTGTACTCATATCCTTATAATGAAATAGGTTCATCCTCCCTTTTGTGTTCCTGCTATAGTTTATTCCAGACTCATGCAAATAGTATAAATATAAGGTCCCTATATAGTATACATATAAGGTAATACCTCTCTTGTTCTTCCAAATGAAAAGCCACTGAAGAATGTAGTATGAGTATGGGGACTACGTGCTATTTATTACTGTCTTCTGCCTTTGTTATAGATGCTGTTTAGCTTTCCTTCAAATGAATAATATTTCTTACATATCAACTCTATTTTCACAGTTTGGTCATGCACTTTCTAGTATTTCAGAGAGAAGCACGCTGAAGAGATCATGAAATCCAAGGTGGTATTTTCTTCTCATGATGAAAGATTATATATGTAGCCAATGACACAACACAGGAATAATTAAGAAAACATAGCCTATCAATGAGAGTTATCACAGAGAGGTGGCATTTTTCCAAGGTAATAGCACTCATGCCATTTATTCAGATAACCCATCTGGATCCATCCTTTCTTAGTAGTTAGTGCCCTGTAAAACTGGCATATTTTATTATGAATGGACACAATGCCATACAAACACATGGACAAAACTGTAGATAAGCCAGAGATGCGTAATTGGTACTTTGTTCAATAAGGCTGGATTTCTGCCAGAATTTCCAATACAATTGTCTTCTACTAGTTTATGTTTCCAAATCAAAGGAATCGTAGTTTTATAGCTTCAGAATTCAAGTTTAAACTCTGAGGCTCCTAAAGTTAGTAGACAGAGAGAGAGAGAGAGAGAGAGAGAGAGAGAGAGAGATCATATAAATACATTTCTATGTGAGTGTCAATTTAAATCAGATAATGAAAAGAATGAAAAAGTCAAGTTCACATGGAAAAAAGATCTTTGCTTTACACGGTGAACATTTTTTCTTCAACTTTACTATATAGTTAAAGCCTTATCCATTCATATGCTTCTTTGAAACCTCAATTTAAGTGTAACATTTAGGTAAAATTCTTCCACTCACTCAGTCCCAAGCTGCAAAGGAAAATAGGCTTTAAGAAAACTGTTCAGCTTGCAAATTAATTATATGCAATAAAAGGGTCACAAAACTTGTAGTAGACACCTGCAAAAATGAGAAACTCAAGATTATGGTTTCCTGCTTTCCAATCTCTTCTAAAATAATACCACACACACATAAAAAAAATTGGTGAAGAATACATATAAAACTCATTTTCTGATGTTGTTAAAACACTTGTTTCCTATCCCCACTGACCACATATTTTGATTCATTGCTACAGGTGGGGGTAATTATATTATGTTTCAGGAAATTTCATTGTTCACACACTTGAATTATTTTAATGCACTTTGAAGAAAGTGCATTAAATCTTATTGTCAAATAAGATTGTCAAAGTGCATTAATCTTATTGTCAAATAAGATTGATTTCAATCATTTAAAAAATGTTTATTTGGGGTTTCTTACTGGCCCTTCAGTAGCAAATCCAATAATAATATTTTTACCTTTTTAGAAAGAATTTCCCATGTTTTCTGTGTGCCCTTGCCAAAAGTCCCAAGGAGACTGAGGGTAGTAAAATAATTTTTATCTTTGAACTGCACACACACAAAAACTCAATTTAATTAATTTCTCCTTTAGAGAAGTTTCAATTTGTCTTTTCTGGTCTGTGTGACTTCAAATAAATGGTTTATGCCACACTGTTTACTTTTCAATTTATTATTTTGTTATGGCTTTAAATTAGGATTAATAGGGAAGAAGATTCACAGATATCATTTATATGGTTTATATAAAGATATGAGGGTCAGAATCTGATCTTAGGCTCTCCAGAACCATTCAACCTGAGGAATAGATTGTGAAATTCTTGATTGACAGTCTATTTGCATACAGCATAAACAAAAGAAATGAAACAGCAAAATGATGGTTAGGCATATATTCATAATATTTTAGACCACACATTTAAAAAAAAATGTTAAATTCTATATTTTGCTTTTCACCATCATACAGAAAATTTAAGTTATAAATTATAAATTAACTCATCAATCACAATAGAGCAATAATATAATTAATCCAAGCATTGCATTGGCAAATAATGATTTAATAATATATTTTGATTAATAACTTTAGTCTATATTTGTCTTCCTGACTTTTCTATATCAACTCAGAGGGTTTTTAAATTTATTTTTATTTTATTTAATCAATTAATTTATTTTTTTTGAGACAGAGTCTCACTCTGTCTCCCAGGCTGGAGTGCAATGGTGTAATCTTGGCTCATTTCAACCTCCGCCTCCCAGGTTCAAGTGGTTCATCTGCTTCAGCTTCCCGAGTAGCTGAGATTACAGGCACGCACCATCACATCCAGCTATTTTTTGTATTTTTAGTAGAGACAGGGTTTCATCACGTTGGCCAGGCTGGTCTTGAACTCTTGACCTCAAGTGATCCACCTGCCTCGGCCTCAAAAAGTACTGGGATTACAGGTGTGAGCCACCACCCCCAGCCGGGTTTTTATTTATTTTTATTATTAAAGTCAACATATATCACTTAGAGTTCAAATTTTATCTGGGAAATGTCTTTGATAAATCAAGCATTCACAAAGCATAATGAAATTACTATACTTCTGAAACTACACGATTTAAGCGTTTGGAAATAAGAGAACTGAAGGAAAAGAGTCAAGTTCTTTTTTCTTATTTATGTAGGTACTTTATTACAGAATTCTGAGGCTAAGAAGCACTTTAGGCTTGTTTGTTTACTTTTTAATTATTTTCTTCTGAGGCTGCACCTTTAATATGCCATTTTCACCAGATGTTGCAAGCTCATTTGGTATCTAGTGAATTTCCTACTGGAGATCTCAAACAACTTGATGCCATGCCATATATTTTGTGCTGTAGTTCCACGAAATAAATATGGTTTAGATATAGTGTTAGGGCCTTTGGGTGGCATATTGGAATTGCCCTCTTGAGATGCATGAGACATACAATAGGAATGTTCATTATACTTGTTCTTCAGCCTATAGGCACTTCCAATATTGTTAGTCCCTTACTTTATCCCTTTTGCCATTAACTTATTTCCGATCCAAGTTAGTTTCCATAGACTATCACTTTATTATCTTTACAATATTTTCAAGTTCCTTTCTTCTTTATCCTTTCACTGTATTCACCTGGCAAGAAGCCAATTTTGTCAGGACTACCAAATATACTTATGCGGGTTGTTCAGAGGTTGTGTGGTTCAGACCACTAAAGGCCCTAACACAGTCCCTAAACCATATTGATTTTGTGGAACCACAGCACAAAATATATGGTATAGTATCAAGTTGTTTGAGGTCTCCAGTAGGAAATTCACTAGATACTAAGTAAGCTTACAACATCTGATGAAAATGCCATTTTAAAGGTGTAGCCTCCGAAGAAAATAATTGAAAAGGAAACAAACAAGCTTAAAACATAAGTGTTACTCTCTAGGGTAGTTTAATGGACAACTTGCATAATTATTTGATGTAGCTGTACCCGGGTCTAACTTTGTATTCTCTGTACTATCTTCTGATTACTGAACATGAGACAAAACTCACACCATCATACCAACTGCCACCAATACAGATCCAACCTAAAGAGAGCCACAGTAACAATAAATAATCTTTTTACCTTCATCAACTATGTCTCCCATTCTCCACAGTGGCTATTCTCCATTCTGCTCAAATTTCTGCTTTGCCATCTATTTCCCTCCCTTTGATCAGATGAATGTGAATTCTTCTTCATTAAGAAAATATGAGAAAGGTATTGCGTTACGGTATTGCCATCAGTTCTGGAATATTATCTGTATATTCTTCCCCTCCTCACTTTTTAGAATCAAAGCAATATCCGGCATCCTTTGTAACAATAGTAACAATAATCCTTCCACCTATAATCTGCCTCCTATTTCCCCCCTCATTTCAGCAACCTATCTTTATTATCCTCCCTCCTTGATCTTCAGTCTCTTCTATATTGACACCTTCTCATCACCACTTATATCTTCTTAAACCTCTTTCCATGTAAAAAACAACAGCAAAAAAAAAAAAAATCAATTAAACAAACAAACAAAAACCCTCCACATTTTCCACGTATCTCATACTTGTAACAACCAAACCTCATGAATGGGTTATCTGGTCTTATGATCTTCATTATTTTACCTGTTCCTTATTCCTAATCCCGCTACCCTCTGGCTCCAGCCACTTCTATGAAATTGCTTGTGTAAAGGTCACCTAGAAATTTTTCGTTGTGTACCTAATGAATACTTCTCTGTATTTACCTTATTTGATTTCTCCATTTCATCTGTCAATGCTGATCGTTCCCTTCTTCTTACATTGCCTTCTTTAGATTCTGTGACATCACTTTCTCCTAGTTTTTCTTCTCTAGCTGCTTAGTCACTTTCCTTCAGAGGCTCCTTATTTCCTCTCTGCCTCTTAAATAGTATTGTTTTCAAAAAAATTTTCTAAGCCCTCTTTTGATTCTGCACATTCTCTCTGAGCTATATCATCCATTTCTATACCTTCAATATACTGATGATGCCTACATCTATAACTGCAGCCTACATATCTGTCCTTAGTTATAGAGGCAAAAATGCACATCTCTCAAATGGACATGTTCACTTCAGTGGTCCACAGATGCGTAACACTTAACATGACTCATATTAAACTCCTTCAACTCAAGCTTCCCATTAGGATCCTCCTTCATTGTAACAAAAGGAACAGGATCTTAAGCCACCCAGTAACCCCCATGAGAAACCTGGCTTCTTTGTCTTCCTCACCCTTCCTCCATAATAGTTCACCAAGCAAGCAGCCATTCGTCCTGTTTAATATCTATATAATCAGACTCTTACTTTCTTCCATTGCTGCCACTGCCGTAGTTTACTTGTTTCAGCCTGAATTATGCCAACAGTCTTTTCCTCTACATCCACTGTTGCCCCCAACTTTCTCCCCGGTCAGCGAAGGTCGGCATTTTTTTTTTTTAATTGAGACAGGATCTCACTCTGTCACTCAGACTGGAGTGCAATCTCGGCTCCCTGCAACCTCCTCCTCCTGGGCTCAAATGTTGCTCCTGCCTCAGCCTCCCGGGTAGCTGGGACCACAGGCGTGTGCCACCACACCCAGCTAATTTTTAAAACATTTTTTTGGTAGAGACAGGGTTTTGCTATATTGCCCAGGTTGGTCTCAAACTCCTGGGGTCAAGCAATGCACCCGCCTAGGCCTCCCAAAATGCTGGGATTACAGGCGTGAGCCACTGCACTCGGCCCAAGGTCAGCATTTTAAAATAGCATTTTAATAAGGCTCCTTATTCCTCAGTTCCTTAACCTTGCTGCGCTATCTCTCATATCCAGGCCTTTGCTGTTCCCTCTACCTGGGACACTATTAACCACCACCGTTCCTTCCTGATATCCTAGCTAATGCCTTGTCATTCTTCATGGCTCACATTTTCTGGGAAGTCTTTCCTGAATTTCAAAGTATGCTTCAGAGGTTTCTCTTAGCGCTCATGTCATTTATAGCACTTAACACCACAATTTTTAATTATCTATCCAACTGTAAAATTTTCTGTTTACTTCTCTCAGATTTCACACAGTTTCTGGTCTGTGCCTACCTCTCCAGTCTCTTGGCCCACCATTCTCAGCACAGTGCTCTATGTCCTAGCCACTCAGACCTTCTTTCATTTCCTGGATCATTAGACTCCCAGCCACGCCTGAGTATTTGCCCATGATATTCTTATGGCTCGAATACCCCCACTCCCAATTTTCCTAGTTTACTCCTTCTTTTCCTTCATTTGTGGAGACAAACTTCACTTCCACAGGGAAGCCCTCTCTATCTAATCCACCAGATTGTCACTGACCACCCTGTTTTGCCTTCATAGCATTTATCAGAGTTTAAAGTTATATGTGTCTATGAATTATTTGACTAATGTCTATATACTCCACAAAACAAAGTTCTAAGAGATCTCTAGTCCCCATCATGTAAATTGATTAATGAGAAATTAAATACAAGCTGTGTCTGCAGAAATCTTCTGTTTAATGAGTAAATATTTTCAAATAAGGGTGACACGCTAACCTCCAATCAAGCATAAATACCTTTCTACAGATTAACACACAACCTTTGAAAAATGTACATGCTTCTAAGGGAATAAATGCACAAAACATTTTTTTTTTTTGAGATGGAGTCTCACTCTATTACCCAGGCTGTAGTGCAGTGGCATGATCTCGGCTCACTGCAGCCTCTGCCTCCCAGGTTCAAGTGATTCTCCCGCCTCAGCTTCCCAAGTAGCTGGGATTACAGGCGCTCGCCACCACACCTGGCTAATTTTTGTATTTTTAGTAGAGATGGGGTTTGGCCATGTTGGCCAGGCTGGTCTCGATCTCCTGACCTCAGGTGATCCACCTAACTCAGCCTCCCAAAGTGCTGGGATTACAGGCATGAGCCACCGTGCCTGGCTCATAGGACAAAAACATTTTCATAAAAGTAAGAAAGGGGACAAGAGCGTCCAGGTCATATATGTAGTAATTAAAGAGGCCCCCACTAAGTAGAGCATCAAAGTGTATTTTCTCATTTGTAAGATGAGAAACATACTAGTACCTATCTCAAAGGGTAGCTGTGGAGATTAATGAGTACTTCGCATAATGCATGTAACTAAATAAGCAATCAGTAAGTGTTATGCACTCAATTTTCTTCACCAAATATTAATTGGAGTGAGTTGGCAACATAATGGAATCAGACACTCAAGATAAGTAAAAAGGAAACTCCAAAGTATGGTAAGAGGATGCTGGATAAAAACTCCAGCATCTGAATTTAGGGCTCACTTTGAATAATAAAGCAAATCCTGGGACCTTAAGTCATTTCCTCAAAATGCTACTGTTCTTCCAGACTTCATTATCTTCAGATATGGCTCATTCAAGAAAAGTCAGGATAAATACTTGACATTTCTCTTTACTCCTCCATTTTCAGGATGGTACACATGGGAACAACTCAGACCAAGGGTCAGACTTTTTAAAACTAGGCTTTGAAGACCTTAAAGAATTTCATGATCTGACTCAATAGGGCTTCGTTTTGGTCATACTTCTTGTGTTTTTAAGTAACCTCTAGCAGTGGGAAATTGTCTTAATGAATGTCTGACACCATATGGTTGTATATGTGTGTATATATTAGATTACATATACAGATATTATTGTATTATGCCTTGCTTTTCACTTATTGTAATTTGGAGAGCTTTCTATATGAGCACGTAGAATTCTGCTTCATTCTTTTTAATAGATACATATTATTCCATTGTAATGAGGAATTTTAACTTAAATTAGTATAACCTTATCACTGTCAATGGATCATTAACAGTGTTTTGCTATTTCAAACAATGTTGCAGTGAACATACTGGTAACCATATCTTGCCATACTTTTGTGAGTATAATCAAACAGTAGATTCTAAGCAATAGGTTTGCTGGGTCAAAGGTATACATACATATATCTTTAAATTTTCAAGTGCATTTAGTAGCTGCTTGTTGAATGAATGTCCAGTGACATTCATTCAAGCAGAGAGCAGTTCTTACTAAAAAATCGAACCTGCTGGTGCTTGGATATAGAGTGATTATGGAACACATGTATCAAAATATTTTGAGGTGGAGGTGGGAGGCCTTCTGCATTTGGCTCATTTTAGGGTAAGTTTTCTTTTTCAATTTGTAAATTTATATAAATGGTATGTATAACTGGCTACACAAAAATAGTTCAAACGCAATACTGCTTGTTAATCTGCTACTATTGAAAATGTTTCACTACCTCTAACTTCACCCACTTTTTAATATTTTCTTTACCCTTCCCAAGGCCGGCATGACTGAAGGAAAAAGAAAATTCTGTGTAAATTTGAATATCAGCTCAGTTCTTAACAATTTTCACAGCTTATTTTTGAAAGAATGCTTCACCACCCCCACACACTTCATCTCTATATTTACTGACTCTCCCAAAATCTGAGCATCTTCATTGAATGTCTTAAGAGAGAATTTCTTGTACAATTTGCATGGTCTACATTCTCAAAATTGTATGTCATTTGACTAGGTTGAAATAATTTGAAAAAAAGTTAGAAAGCAGATAGAAAGTTACCAATCCTATTTATTCAAAGAAACAGTAAATCTGGGCAACTGTGTTTTCATAGCACATTCTATTTGACTGGAAGTTAACTCAAACAGACTGCCAGGAGAGAGAAAGAAAGGAACATTACAAGATGGTAACTAAAAGATCTGAGTCTCATATTAAAACAATCTACTAATAAACACCCAGTCTCTATAGCAAAGCAAATGAGGTCACTTTCTGCTATGGTTTGAATGTGTAGCCTCCAAAATTCAGGTGTTGCCAATGTGATGGCATTAAGAGATAAGGCCTTGAAGAGGTGATTAGGCCGGAGGGCTCCTCTCTGTCTTTAATGGGATTAAGGCTCTTATAAAAGTGACTTCACACGACGTTCAGCCTCCTTGACCTTCAACCTTCTGCCATGTGAGAAAACAGCATTTCTTCCCCTCTAGAAGATGAAGCAGTAAGGAGCCATCTTAGAAGCAGAGAACAGTTCTTACCAAACAACTGAACCTGCTGGTGCTTTGGTCTAGAAATTCCCAGCCTCCAGAACTGTGGGAAATAAGTTTCTGTTCTTTGTAAATTACCCAGTCTCAGCTATTCTAACAGTACAAACAAAGACATCTTCCCTTTTTCCATGCATAACATCATGGTGCCCTTGATGATTTGTTTTAAATTTCAAGGCTAACCTTAATTTTCCTTTGAGTCTGATTTCACTGAGAACAGTGAGTTTTTGGGGCATAGGAATAAGGAGGTAACATTTGTTGGGAAAAAGCTCTGTGATATCCTCCGAGTTCTATCTCCGTTTGGCACAGGCTCTTCTCCTAACTGCACATAGGTACATCCTGTATAGCAATCCTACCCATCCTTATTGAGTATTATTGACAGTTTGTGCTTTCCACCACTATGGGTTTCTTGAGAAAAACAGGCTCTAAGTGTCCTCTTCCCCCAACTAGAGAGAGGGTGTAAGTCTGCAATTTTTCACTTTAGCCACTAGATGGCAAATGTGCAACAGTAAGCCATAATGCTGCTGGGTTTTCAAAATCCCCCAAGGGAATTCTAATAGGTTTAGGATTAAGGCAGTGAAAAGTGAAATATTGGTGTTTTAAAACACAAGGCAATGACTGTTTCAGTGAAATAAGGGGTAAATTGAACACAGCCCAATGCAAACATAATGAAGACATCTCCTTGGCAATTTGTTAACACATTCTTATTGACAAGCATCCAGATTGCCTCATTGCTTGACAAAACTGCCTCAATTTCAGAGTATAATTAGTGGTTCAGAACAAAAGCCATACACTGCAAGTGGGTAATGGAGTTCCTCTGGGTTATGTTTCCAGGTTCATGTTATGAGCTACTTGTGCGGACCAAAATGGTCTCATCAGGCTAGATATCCCTAGATATCTAGATTTGTTCTAATTCTTAAAGATTGCTTAAGAATGTCTAATTTGTTTATATATCTTCATTTCATTTGACCCAGTAATTCCACACCTGGGAGACTATTCTGAGAAAAAAAATGCCAATTACAGAAAAGATATTTACAATCTGATCTTTAAAGTGTTATTATATCTAAACATCAGAAACAACTGAATTGTCTAATACTAGGGGAAAGGTTAAGAAAAATGTTGTTGTTTCCATGTAATGGAATTTAATGCCTCTATTTAAAATAATGTCCGTTAAATTTTGTAGTAATACGGAACATCTTTATAGTGTAAAAGATTAGAAAACAAGATTTAAACTGTCTACATGGTATATTAAAAATAATATACTTAGAAGAATGACTAGAGGAAAACATACTAAAACATTATGAGTCATCTCTGAGGGTTGAGCCTGTGAATTATTTTTCCTTCTTCCTATTTGTCCTTGTTTCCCAAATGGTCTATAATTTTTCTAAATGTTCTATCATGAGCATGTATTATTTTTAGCCTGAAAAATAATGCAAATATGCAAAAAGGGGAAATGTATTTGAAAGGCAGTTCAGCAAGTTGAAGACAGAAGCAAAATATGACAGAAGTTGCATATTTTAATTTTTCTCTAATGATCTATTTTTAGGGGTGATAATTTGGGAAAGAAGGGACATAAAGTAGTGGCATCTTGAGGTAACTAACTTCCACCTGTTCAAGCAAAGTTGACTTCTTCCTCTTTGCAAGAGAAGTAGTCGTTCTCTCCAGATATATGTGAGTTTATTGCTAGATAAATCATTTCTTCCATTTTTTTTAAGAGACAGTCTTGCTCTGTAGCCCAGGTTGGAGAGCAGTGGCACAATTATGGCTGCAGCCTCGACCTCCCACGCTCAAGCAATCCTCCTACCTCAGCCTCCTTGAGTAGCTTGGACCACAGGCACACACCACCATGCCAGGCTAATTTTTTTGTTTTTTTTTAAAGAGATAGAGTCTCCTTATGTTCCCCAGTCTGTTCTTGAACTCCTGGCCTCAAGTGATCCTTCCACCTCAGCCTCCCGAAGTGCTGGATTACGGGTATGAGGTGCCATGCCCAGCCTATTTCTAGATAAATCTAAATTGGTATGGAAGAAGAGGTAGAGTGTCACCGCCCTTTAAATTATTGTTCAAAACCTGTACTTTCATTGCAGATGAGTGAACAATTACATTTCCCTTATTATGTCTTCTTCTTGTAATCTCCTTTCATTTATTAATTCATTTAAAATAATTATCAAGCACCTACAGCCAGTCAGACATTGTGCTAGGTACTGAGACACAGTAGTGAATGAAATAATTCTTGAGGGACAATGATAATAAACAAATAACCAAACACATCTGTAATTTGGAAGAAAAGAAAGTTATTTTTGTATGTTTTTTAAAAATTCACATTAAATGTGTCCTAGCTAAGAAAAAAATAACTGTTTTATGCAATTTCAGAATTCTAAGCAACCACACAACTTAATTCCCTATTCATATTGATTAAATAGAGTTTATGATGTTTGATATTTAAGGGAGTTTATTCAATATAGTCAACTTAGTATAAACAATTTGCTGTTATGATTTTTAAATAGGCATTTTCCTGGAATTATCTTTAGGATTCTCTTAAGAATTTATTTAATGATACACAGCTTTCTTGAATAAACAATACCCCAAAGTAGCTTGTTTAATAAACTACAGGTCTACAATTTGTTATCCATGATTCCCATATCCAAAAATACTCTGGAAACTGAGTTTTATTTATTAAGCATTTGGTGGCAAAAGCAGGCGTTACCTAAATTAATCTGACCACAAAACCTGATCTGGGTTGATGTGAGGGTGCTTATAGTTTTATTTATCCCATTTAGTATATTCATACATTTTGCTCCAGAAATATTTCTTTGATTATGTGGTACTATCCCAGAGCTGATGGATGATATTACATAATATACAGCATATACACCCATTACCTTTCTAAAATTCACAAAAGCCTAAACTCTGGAAACACCTGTCCCCAAGAGTTTCAGAAAAGCACTTAAAGACTTAATGTTATCTTCATAAGTCCCTTTGAACTCTCCTCCTCTTATTCAAGTCATAAGACGAGTCACACAGTATACTAGCATTAGCAAATAAGTTGCTGTGTATTGGCCTAAGCAATTCATAACACTCTTGGTGTTTTATTGCCTTGGATAATAACGGGAAGATGAGATAGTAGATGAAAAGCTGGCTTCACAATATAGAATGGAAGAAGCCACCAAAAATTCAATGGATAAAAGGCACAAAAGGCTTAAACAAGTTCATAAAAAAGATGTATCAGTTAGTTTTGAACATAGAAAAATTGCTAAACTCCACACATAATAAGGGAAATGCAAATTAAAGCTTTCAAATACCATTTTTTACCTCTCAGTTTGGCAAAAATTCAAAAGCTTGATGGTAAGTTGTTTGGAAGGTTATGGGAAAACATTTACTGTCATACATTGCCAATGGGAATGCAAAATGGTACAAACCCTATGGTGGAGAATTCAGTAATATCTATCAAAATTAAATATGCATTTACCCTTTAAATTGCCAGTCTTCTTGGCATTTCTCAACTAATTTTGGGAGAAAGGCATGCACGAATTTATTCATGGTGGCATTAGGTGTAATCACAACATACCAAAAACAACCTAAATGCCCACACTTGAAAGATTACGTGAATGAAATATGGTCAATCGAAGCTATGAAAAAATAGGAAAATAACAATTAACTAACACTGAGTAACTTCCAGATCATGTGATTAAGTGAAAAAAGCAAAGGCTTCATAGTACATATTACATTTTGTGTAAGGATGAAGGGATAATGTGTGTGTGTGTGTGTGTGTGTGTGTGTATCCTCTTATTTTTGCAAAAACAGACACAGGAAAAATAAACCACAAACTAATTAAATTGGCATCTACAGCAGATGGGTGGTGATGATGTAAAAGTAAAAGAGAAGAGAGTGAGATTTCTCAGAGTATCCCGTTTGTATATAGCTTTGGATTTCAAACCATGTTAATGTTTTGCATATTCAAAAAATAAAACTTAATTAGCAAGAGTAACAAAAGCTACAATTAAATACTAAGATAAGCAAATTGATTTAATTATTAATCATATTGATAACAAAACCACACACACGAAGAATTAATCCAAGCAACATTTGAACATAGTACTGTGACTATCCTCACTGGGATATATTCTAAGGACATAAAGAACTGTAAAGACACTGCACTGACCCTGGGTGACAGAGCAAGACCTGGTCTGAAAAAAAAATTGAAGACAAACATTTTACAAACACCATCATAATAATTGCTTCAATCAACAATATTAAAAATCATCAGTGAACAAAGGCTTGAAGAACAAGACATTCACATAGTCTAAAAGTATCATGTGAAAAATTAGTTACTAATTACAAAGAAGAGAGGTAACTCGACAAGAAAAATCTACTGGACACTGCATTAACCAAGTGATCTAAATTGTAACTACCAATAAGGGAATAAACTTACTTTGTTTTGTGATGCACTAAGGAGGACAAAACATCAACTATGTGGTATTTCTGTCACATTTAACCTAAACCCAATCATGAAAAAACAATGAGACTAATCCAAATTGATAGATGTTATGCCAAACAGCTGACCTGGACTCCTCAAAAATATCGGGTTCATGAAAAAAAAGAGAAAATGGCTGGGCACGGTGACTCACACTTGTAATCCCAGGATTTTGGGAGGCTGAGACAAGAGGCTCTGTTGAGCCCAGGAGTTCAAGAGTAGCCTGAGCAACATAGTGAGACCATGTTTCTACAAAAAGTGAAAAAATTAGTCAGGCATGGTGGCTTGTGCCTGTGGTCCCAGCTACTAGGGAGGCCGAGGCAGGAAGATTGCTTGAGCACAGGAAGTTGAGGCTGCAGTGAGCCATGATCGCATCACTGCACTCCAGCCTGGGTGACAGAGTGAGACCCTGTCTCAAAAAGGAAAAGGGGGGGGGGGAGAGAGAGAGATAGATAGAGAGAGAGAGAGAGAGAGAGAGAGAGAGAGAGAGAGAGAGGGAATGGCTGGAAAGTTATTGCAGATTAAAGAGGTTAAGTATGATAAACAACTGCACTTCATGATCTGTGATCGGATAATGGATTAAGAAATAAAGACCTATAAAAGACATTGCTGGGACAATTGAGAAAGTACAGGTATGGACTGTATATTAGATAATAGTATCATATCAATGTTAAACTTTCTGAATGTGAAAATTGCATTGTGATTATGTAGGAGAATGCCTTTGTTCTTAGAAGATACATGATGAAGAATTTGGGAGTGAATTTTCATGAAATACAGTATTCAACTTGCAAAGTAAGCACTAAATACATATGCAGGGGGAGAAAAAGACATATATAGAGGGAATGGGAATGCAAGAAAGACAGGAAGCATAAATGTGGAATCATTTTACATTAATAATTGATAAATCTAAGTGAAGAGTATGTGGTAGGTTATTATATTATCTTTGCAACCTTTGTGTAGGCTCAAAATTTTTCAAAATAAAAAGTGGCAGGAAAACATAGGTAGGAGATATATGTATTTTGCTGATTAGCCTCACTACCAAATGGTATATTACAATTAAAGCAAAGCTCAGGCTGCATTCTGCCCCACTTAAAGACATTAACAATCACACAAAAAAAAATGTCATACAACTTGTTCTTCTATGTTCTTTGAAGTCCTTATCAACTATTTCCTTGGACACTGGCACTTTGCATGAAAGGCTTACTTGGAAATGGGTGCACGAACATACTGATGGCACAAACAGTAAGTCTTCTAATCACATCAGACAATAAGTATTAGGTAGGGGGCTGTGGGTGAAGGATTGGCATTAGTTCAAATATTATCTTGGACATGGTAGAGGATGGAAGGTGGAAAAGGAAAGAGGCATGAGAAATTATCTAACGTGTACAATGTACAGTATTCGGGTGATGGTTACACTAATAGCCTGGATGTCACCAGTATGCAATATATCCATTTAACAAAACTGCACTTGTACCCCTTAAATTTATATAAAAAAGTAAATAAAGCCAGGGTCTTAGATGTAAGTAGTTTGAAGTTGTTAGTTGGCTGAGCTCACCAGATCCTCAAAGACAAAGTGGAGGTTCCAGTACAACAACCACAAAATTTGAACTATTTTAATTTCACCAATGAAAAATTATTTTGTATACTAATTAAAAAACTCTATTTTGTACACTTACATAGAAATATTGAAGAACTGGAGCATGTCCTTGGAATGATAACTACTCACCATAGGAATGTGGATCCCTGAATCTAGGTGAAGGGTATGTGGTAGTTTATTATACTTCAAATGTTAACTAACTGTACCTTGGTTATAAATTAATATTGACCATGCCTATGTCTTTATCACATTGTATTAATATATACCAAAATGTTTTAAAAGAAATTACAGACCAATTAATGTAGGCTCAATGTCTTTCTTTCTGCAAATAATTATATTTTTAAGTGTGATATTTGCTGACCTTGGTTGTTCATTTATTCATGAATTTATTCATTTATTTATTCATGAATTCATGGATTCACTCAGTCATTATTTAAGACATTTATTCAGTGGTTATTATGTACTAAATATTGTGCTATGTTTTAAAGAGGATACAGATGGAGATCAGACATAGTGCTTGCTATCAAACTAATGGCAGAGACTAAGATGTTGATATGGTTTGGCTGTATCTCCACCCAAATCTCATCTTGAATTGTAGCTCCCATAATTCCCACGTGTCATGGGAGGGTCCTGGTGGGAGGTAATTGAATTATGGGGGTGGGTTTTTCCCATACTGTTCTCGTGATAGTGAATAAATCTCATAAGATCTGATGGTTTTATAAAGAGGAGTTCCCCTGCACATGCTTTTTTTGCCTGCTGCCATGTAAGACGTGACTTTGCCTTCCACCATGATTGTGAGGCCTCCCCAGTCATATGGAACTGTGAGTCAATTAAACCTCTTTCCTTTATAAATTACCCAGTCTTGGGTATGTGTTTATTAACAGTGTGAGAATGGACTAATACAGATGTGTAATGTGCTAAGCCCTAGCCCTAGGAAGAGTCAGGGACGGTTTCACAGAAAATGTGAGCTTTGCTCTGGTTCTTCAAGGATAGGAAGACAGGCAACAGGTGGATAAGGTGAGGAAAGCATACCAGGAAAAGGAAAGTTGATGTGCAAAGGCACATTGACAAAAATAAAGGGTGTGGCAAATTCAAAGAATGGTGAATAGTTTGATGTGGTTGGAAGATACGCTGCATGAAAAAAGCAGGTTAGAAAAATAAATTGGGGTCAAATTGTGATGTCCCTTTTTGTGTCATCTTAAATCATTTGATGCCTTCCTCAAACAAATATTTTCAAACTTGCCTGTTTATAAAAATCATCCGGTATTTCTAGAAAATGCAGATTCCTGTGACCTGCCCGCGAAAATTATGCCTAGGAAGTCTGGAATGAGACTTTGGCAAGTGCTACTTTTAACTGGCTCCCCACACATGCGGAGACTCATAATAGGGCAAGTTTGGGAATTTTATCCTATCTTTTTCTGCCTGATATACTGGGCTTCCACAAGATATCTGACTTGAGAAACAAACATGAGTCCTCTGATTTTTATATTATTATATTTTAATTTTGCTTCTGAAATCAGTGCTTTAGACATTAGAAGAGGAGTGCAACATACAAATTCATGTTTCAGAAATATATTTGGCAACAGTGTGAAGGATATACTGGATATGGAAAAGTAGAGGCAAAGAGCCATCTTAAGAGCCCTCTATAATAGATTAGGTAGAACATAATGAGGTCTTCAGGTCACATCTTAGCAGTGGAGGAGAGGGTGGGAGGATAGATTTAGAGTATATTTAGAAGGTAGAATGGATAGGACTAGTTTTGATTGTAGTGAGGTGTGAGTGAGAGGGAGATTTTGAGATGACTCCTAGGATTTTAGTTGAGTAATCAGGTGGATGGTGAATCCATTAACTGTGAGAAAAGGAAAATAGGGCGAAGTGGCAATTTCGGTATGACAGCTTAATTTGAAGTGACTCCAGTACATGTAAGTAAAGTTTTCCCATAGAAAGTTGAAAATAAAGGTCTGGAACTCAGGAAAGAGGGGCTGAAAAGAAACAAATTTATTAGTCATTCATTTCTAGGACAAATGTTCTTAATCTAATATTGAGAGTATATAAAAAAACCTCTGCAAATGTATGCAAAATTGTGTGCATGCGTGTGTGTGTGTATGTGTGTATATATATATATATATATATATATATATATATATGATCTAGCTCTCTTTATAGTTACATAATCTGATAAAAAATCATGAAAATCAGATAAAAATGTGTGTGTATGCATTTTTCTGGGGAGATGGATCTAGATTTCATCAGATTTTTAAAAAATTCCTGGCCTCCAAACAAATGTGAACTGATCTAGTTAGTGTTCATAAATTTGCATAAAGTTGAGCATTGTTTGGACTTGGATTATTTTGTCCTTGCTTTGGAGTGTGAGAACTCACTTGGACTTTCCCCCAGAATGTAATATCTATTTGTAATATTACACAAGTAAGAAATAATGATTTTTTTGTATAAAAGTAACATTATTAGTAGTATAGCTAACCTAGGGATTTCTTCCTATGTGTCTTGAATTTCTGAGACTACTTGGAAGAAAATTTAAGGATAAACTTATTTGACTGGTTCCTCAAATTAAAGAAAAACTCAGTATTGTAATTTAGTAATTAGTCTTTAAAGAGGTGTGTTTAGAGAGGGCTTAGCGTAACTTAGAAAAGAGTAGAAGAGCTTGCTTTATTCCATACTTTAACCTATGAATAAAAATGCATCTCTGAAAACAGGTGATTTCCATCTTCCTTTATTGAAGAGACTTTCTTTTTTGGGAAGTTTTTATTCTTTAATCTGTTTGTTATTATTATTATTATCATTATTCTTTGAGACAGGGTCTCACTCTGTTGCCCAGGCTGGAGTGCAGTGGCACAATCTTGGCTCATTACATCCTCGACATCCCTGGGCTCAGGTGAATCTGTTTGTTACTAAAATTGCTATTTTTACCTTCATTGTAAGTTCACTGCAAGCAATATTTTATAATAAGCTTAAATACATTTAAAACTTAATATTTATATTTAATAGTAGAAAGCAGGAATATAATACAATTTCCAGTCTTCAGATTTTGAAGAGAGTTCCAGTTTCTGTTAATATGGAGTAAGCACACCTCACTCTGACTCCCCCCACTGAATGCAACTAAAATCCCTGGGCAGATTGAGTGGTGCAGCTATATGGGGCTCCAGATCTGAAAAGTAAATGGCAGCAAAAATATTGGGGTAAGAAGTAGGAACAGGAATAATAAACAATCTGGCACTGAGTTACCAATTTTTTTTTTTCATTTCTATATGTCCTGATTTGGACTCATGCAGTCTGTGTCCTGGAACTGCATCAACTGCAGACAGAAAGAAGTCCAAGGGAAGCCATCTCTTTCTAGTCTAAGTTGGGAAGGAGAATGCCTAAGGTACAGAAAGAGTGGAGTGTATTATTTGTAGTTTTCCCTCCAGGCCTGGCCTGTAAGCAAGTTTCATTCCTGGTGCTGCAACACTATGGTAGTGGTGCAGCAGCAGGCAGGCAGACACCTAAAATTCTGTGGAAGGAAGATCTTCTTGCCAGAAGAATGGTGGCCCAAAGAGTATGGGGGGAAAGTCTGTTGCTTACTTTCTCTTTTTACTTTCCTATCACTTGGCCCCAGAGACAGAGACAGATGCAGGGAATTTGTGAGAAAGCAGAGAAAAAGAAAACCCTGGCTCTCTAGTGAGATAACCAAAAAACACGGCTTTGTCAGATGGAGAACATGGGAGAGTCAAGGGAGAAGGCGAAGCACAAGAATGGGATCCCATAAAGTTGCCAATCAATTCTAGACTCATATCCAAATTGTGTACACATTGATATAATAATACACAGCATACCAAAGGTCTCAGACTGACCCCTGGGTGGTGCACACAGTGGAAAGATCTAAATAGTACTGCTAAAGCTTTCAAAACTGAAAGCTTTATATTGGAACCCCAGCGAAGTGAAGGCAAGTTGAAACATGGGGACTGCATATAACTGGCTCAATTGTTTAAAAAAAGCTTCATAGAATTTATTTATATACCTCAAAACTTAAAATATCAACAATGCCCAAAATACAATCTAAGATTACTAAATATACAAAGATTATGAAATTCTGACAAATTCTCCAGGGAAAACACAATAAACAGACATCGGCTCTGAGATGAATCAAATGTTGCAATTATTCAACACTATAGCAGCTATTACAACCATACTCCATAAAGTAAGTGCAAATAGTCTTAAGAGGGATGGAAAGACAGAAAGTCTCAAAAGAGAAACAAAAGACAAAAAAATCAAATGTATCTTTTAGAACTGAAAAATACAGCAAGAAAAATAAAAATATTACCAAACAAGGTCAATAGCAAAACAAACAAACAAACAAACAAAACAGAAATAGCCACCTATTCCTCCATGTAATGGTGGGATCTGAAAAACTTCTCCTCTATAAAGGCAATGAAGGCACAAGCAAAGATTATCAAAATTAACTATTTCAGAAATCTGAAAATTAGAGAAAGATTTGCATCCATCTAAGGTGTATTTATAGAAGAAAAATGAGGGTATCTTGGTAAGAATAATTTTGTGCCATTTTAACATGCCCCTTTTCAACCTGCTTCTCCCCAGTTCTATGGTAGCCTTGAAAACCAACAGCCTTGCAATTATGGTAGCTATGACAATCAGTGGCCTAGAAACCACTGGAGAGGGGAGTATTGAGTTTGGTGCTCCCCAACAGGCCCCATTCCTAGAGAACTGTTATTATTTGACCTGTGAGGTAGTTCCCTCATGCTGTCACTCACAGGAGTTGTATTTATGTTACCTAACTCAAAGATTTCTCAGTGCAAACAGCCCTTTCCCTGAAAGCATATGTTGAAAAGCAATCAGAGACAATTGTCTAACATCACAGCTACGTGACATGGTGATAATATGGCAAACAAGAACAGATTCTAAAAACTTTAAAGACCAGGGGTGGTGGCTCACGCCTGTAATCCCAACACTCTGGGAGGCCAAGGCAGGCCGATCTCTTGAGGTCAGGAGTTTGAGACCAGCCTGGCCAACATGGTGAAGCCCTGCCTCTACTAAACATACAAAAAATTAGCCGGGCATGGTGGTGTGCGCCTGTAGTCCCAGCTACTTGGGAGGCTGAGGCAGGAGAATCACTTGAACCTAGGAGGCAGAGGTTACAGTGAGCCAAGATCGCGTCACTGTACTCCAGCCTGGGCAACAGAGTGAGACTCTCTCTCTCAAGAAACAAACAAACAAACAAAAACTTTAAAACATGGGGAATGAAATGTAGGGGGCTTCGAAAAATTCCAAAATATTCTTAGGACCCTAGAAGACCATGCATATATGTTGGGCTGTGCACATGTTCAAGGAAGACCTGAAAAGGCCCAAATCTCTCACCTCTGACTGACCTGGAGGCTCTTTGCAAGCAGGAAGTGAAAGTTAAGGGGAGGAGGCAAGATTCCTGCCTTGGAATTAGAAAGATGCTCCAACACACATACACAGAACCACTTAGCAATTAGTGAGAGATAGATACACTGGTTCTAACCATTTAAGGAAATATCTGTCCAATCACTAGATAGCTATGAAAAAAACTAAGCAAGGATTCCAGTAGCTACTCGAGACAAAAACATAAACTTTACAGAGTTAGTCTAGGAAAGTCACTAAAAAAAAAAAAAAAAAAAAACCCACAAACAAAAAACAAAGCTAAAAACAGACATCAAAAACAACAAACCCTGGAAGGGAGGGATGTGAATTACAGAATTGCTATATTATATTATTTAATATATGCAATTTCAACAACAAAAAATTCACAAGACATGTAAAGGACAGGAAAATAAGACTCAGACACAAGGGGAAAAGCATAATATATATTAACTGTCTCTGAGGAGACCCAGAAGTTTTACTGACTAGGCAAACTTTAAATCAGCTTTAAACATATTCAAAGAACTAAAGGGCAGCACTTGTAAAGAACTAAATAGGTGCATGAGAAGGGTAACTGACCAAAGAGAGTATATCAATAAAGAAATACAAGTTATAAAAAATGAGCCAAATGGAAATTATGGAGTCAAAAATTATAATAACTGAAATGAAAAATGCACCAGAGGGGCTCAAGAGTAGATCTGAGTTTACAGAAGAAAGAATCAATGAACTCAAAGACATTGACCGAGAATACCCACACAGAAGAAAAGGAGGGAAAAAGGATGAAGAAAAATGAATAGAGCCCTAAAGAACTGTTGGGACACCATTAAGCATATTGTCACCCACATAATGGGAAGAGAGGAAAGAAAGGAGGGGAAGAAAAATATTTCAAGGCCGCCAATTTTCCCAAATTTGATGGAAATCATTAATCTGCACAACTAACCTCAGTGAACTTACATATTTGAATGTTTTCATCATGAACTTGTGTTGAACTTTGCCAAATGCTTTTTCTACATCTATTGAGATAATCATGTGATTTTTGTATTTTTAAAAATGCGATGCATTAAGATGATTCACATTTTACATGTTAAATCAAATGTACATACATTTCTGTTTTTAATTTTTTAATTTTTAATTTTTGTGGGTACACAGAACAGATAAAGTCAATGTGGTACACATACACAGTGCAGTACTACTCAGCCACAAAATATAATGCTATCCAATCATTTGCAACAACATGGATGGAACTGGAGATCATTATGTTAAGTGAAATAAGCCAGACACAGAAAGACAAACATTGCATGTTCTCATTTATTGTGGGATCTAAAAATCAAAGCAATTGAACTCATGAACATAAAGAGTAGAAGCATGGTTACCAGAGGCTGGGAAGGGTAGTCAGTGGCTGGGAGGAAAGGTGGGGATGGTTAATGTTACAAAAAGAAATAGAATGAATAAGACCTAGAATTTGAGTGCAGGGTGTCTATAGTCAATAAGTCTGCATTTCTAAGATAAATTCCACTTGATCATGGACTCGCACTGTTCTTACCAAGATTTAGTAGATTTTTTAAATTGACATTTTTTTCTACTTCCTGTATTACCTTAAGACAATTTCCATAGACTTTAAGTGGTTATTGTTTTTAAAAAATAATTTTTAAAGTTATGAATGTCTTGCTGGGAGGAAAGACTGTAGGGCTCCTTATGCACCATTTTGTCTCAATTGATTTCAATTCAATGGAGAAAGAAGAGCCTTTATCCACAAATGGTGTTGGAAAAATTGAACATCCATATGCAAATAAAGTGAACCTCAAGCTATACCTCACATCTTACACAAAAATTAACTGGAAATGGATCATAGATATAAATGTAAAACAAAAAACTCCAAACACTGTTAAAAGAAACTGTGCAAGAAAATATTTATGACTTTGGGTTAGGTAGAGTTCTTAAATATGGCCGCAAAAGCATGATCCATTATAAAATGATAAATTAGACTTCATCAAAACTTAACTTTTTTTCCTGCAAAAAGACACTTTTAAGAGGTTGAAATGACAAGCCAGTGCCTGAAAGAAAATATTTGTGAACCTCATATCAAACAAAGGACTTTTATCTGGAATATATAAAGAACTCTCAACAGTCAATGTTTAGAAAACAAATCAACCAATAAAACAATGAAGATGATTTAAACAGATATCTCACTAATAAGCTATATGGATGACAAGGAAGCACATGAAAGGAAGTTCAATGTAATTAGTCCTCAGGGAAATGCAAATTAAATCCAAAATGTGATATCACTACACGCTTATCAGAATGGAAAAAAAAAACTGAAAATACTTAATGCTTGTGAAGATGCAGAGCAACTAGAAGACTCCTACATTGCTGGTAGGAATGCAAAATGGTACAGCCACTCTGGAAAGGGACTTCTTGTAAACTGAAATGCACAATTACCGAGTGATACAGAAATGGTACTCTTTTTACATTAGAGAAACGAAAACTTGTGTTTACATAAACCATGTATAGGTGTTGATGAGAGTGGGAAGAATTTGGAGCTTTCATACACTGATGGTAGGAATGTAAGGGGGGCAGCCACTTTGGAAAATAGTATGACAGTTTCCCAAAATTTTAAAGAATTATCACTTTGTCCAACAATCCACTCCTAAGTATAAAACCAAGATAAATGAAAATATGTCCATATAAAAACTTGTACACAAATGTCCATAGTAGCTTGATACATAATCAACAAACTAGGAACAACACTGAAGTCCTTTAAAAAGTAAACAGAATGGAGAAACAAGCAGCAGTATGGCAATTAAAAGGTCTGAACTATTGATCTATAAAACAACATGAATAAATCTCAAAGATATTATGCTGAGAGAACCCAGTTTCAAAGGGTTATATATTTTGTATGAATCCATTTATATAACATTTTAGAAAAGGCAAAACTATAGTAACAGAAAGCAGATCAAGGATTTCCGGGGTTTAAGGGCGGGAAAAGGCTTTGGTTACAAAGGGGCAGCATAAGGGAAGGTTTTGAGGTGATGGAACTATCTCGTATAGCAATTGTTACGATGATTATAAAATACATTCTTATATTAAATTCAGAACTATACAACAAAAGTTGTTCTATAGTATAATTTTTTAATGTTTTAAGCAATAATTCTAAATTTTAACTGGTGTATTAAGCACATTGGAGGGAAAAATTCTATAAATCTGAATTATACTAATTGATAATATAATTGATTGCTCCAATAAAACTAATGTTTCCAGTACCCTGAAATATCATACATTAAACATGCAAACAGTATTTTTCTATAATTGTACATGATCCCAAGAGGATTATTTCAGATTGTATCGTTGCTTTCTGTTTTGTAGTTCTTATGCAGTAAAGTTGAAACTGAAGACATTCCCATTGACATCTGATAATAGGGTTTTCATAAGCAGTCATGCTCACTTTAAACAAGCGTGCTATGGAAAAGTATCACAAGTACAAAGCCAACTAATATGAACTTTAAGTTAAGTAAATAATTTTTTAAGCTAAATTAGTGAAAAACACAAAGCAGCTGCAGAAGAAGTGGCTGGAGATGTTTTAAAGTGGGGAGAAGACTTTCTCATTCTAGAGAAGTGATTCTCAAGGTGGAAGGGCTGTAAGAGGAAGAGAAGAGAGATGAGGGAGACATATCAGAATCTTGGGGTTGGGGACATGTTCACTTTGAAAACACAGAGCAAGTTCTAAATTATCTTTGTTTTATTATAAATTTGAAATTTTCAAATAAAACTAAGTATAGGTATGAGATTTTCTACATGGATTCTAGGACATGCCTTTGGTAAACAGATTCAGCTCCATTATCTCTCATTCTGAACAGTAGTAAAATATCAAAGGTCAGCCCCAAGGTGTTACAAAGTCCATGGCAATAACAAAGATTTGCTCAGCATGCTCTATTTTTCGAGGTAGTTAACAATTTTAAAAAAAATTATCAACGAGGAATGAGAAAAGAAAGATAATTTTCATTGGCATAAATTCAGTTAAATAGAAGTTACCTTCTTCAGCATTTTTAATGGAGTTTTCACTCTGATAATATGAATGTAGTGACATTCAAACATTATGTTGCCAGAGAATCAAGATGATGCGGGGGGTGTAGTGGCCATAAAATGCAGATCTCAGGCCCTGTCCCCATTAATTCTTATTTTGCAGTTCTGAGATGGGGTCTGTGAGGAGGGTCTAGGAAACTGATCATTTTAAACGATTCCTCTATGATTCTTATGTAGATGGCTAGCAGACCACAATTTTAGAAACACACATTTAGAGGGTAGTTGCTCATTTTATAAGATGATTGTTACTTGTAGCATATGTTTATTAGATTCCTTTAAAGAACAAACTTTCTTTTGCAATTTTGAAATTAATTGTATGTATTAATTATATTAATTAATTAATTATATGTATTGCCCCTACATATACATGTTTGTCTTCCCAAATAAAAGTCCAATTCAGTACAGCTTTTGAGGTTGTATGAATATTATTTTGTATCCATTGAGCTTACTTGTGACTTTGGAGCCCTTAACAAAATATAAACCTCCATTCTTAATTATAAAACCCTATTGATATAATTACCCCACCTTCATCATTTTAACCTGTAGTTTAGCATTCTAGCCTTCGTGTCAATTATTCTTTGTTGTTTTATAATTACAAAAATTTTCTATTATAATAAATTAATTTAATTAATTATTGCTGTTTAACAAAATACAATAAATTCAGAGGCTGGGAAGGGTAGTGGGAAAGTGGAGGGGAGATGGGGATGGTTACTGGGTACAAAAAGTAGTTAGAAAGAATAAATGAGACCTAGTATTTGATAGCACAACAGGGTGGCCATAATCAATAATAACAATTGTACATTTAAAAATAACAAAAAGAGTACAATTGGATTGTTAGTAACAAAAAGGATAAATGCTTGAGGGGATGGATACCCCATTCTCCATGATGTGATTTTTATGCACTGCATGCCTGTATAAAAACATTTCATGCGC
The DNA here is from genome assembly GCF_000001405.40 of Homo sapiens. Taxonomy (NCBI): domain Eukaryota; kingdom Metazoa; phylum Chordata; class Mammalia; order Primates; family Hominidae; genus Homo; species Homo sapiens. The sequence continues at coordinate 114,360,961 of NC_000023.11, forward strand.
CCCATAAATATATACACCATGTACCCACAAAAGTTAAAACAATAAACTGAGTGTGAGCACAAATAAGTTCTGTCAACGGGCAAAATTTCAACAAATTTAGTTTAAAGATCTAATTGGCTTTTACTTGTGATTCTAGAATAAGGCAACACCTCAGTCTATAAAATGAAATGTGTATTCCGAGGGACTGAGTAGAGGAGGTTGGTTTCATAGGAAGAAAGTAGCTGAAAAAAGCAAAAACAGAATAAAAAAACAGATCGTTTCTAAGTTACTTTCCTTATGGATTTAAAAATAGGGGTCTTTCTTTTTACGCTGACTCAGGTTAACTGGAATCTCCTGGCTTTTTCTTTAAAAAAAAAAACAAGAAAAACAAAAACAAAAACAAAAAACACTAGCCCATTTCAAAGTTTAGTTTGATTACATGGCACTCAGCACAAGTGACTTCATTCTGATTTTGTCTGGTCTGCTTGGGCCTAGTGCAAGAGCCCAGTCCAAAACAATGACCTCCCATAAAATTTAGCAGTTCTATCTTGACATTTGCCCAGCTGTGTGAAATCAGTTAAGTCACAGATCTTTTCTGGTGTCCGGTTTTTATATGTTTGTATATTGGGATAGATGACTTTTGGCATCTTTTCTATCTATAAAATTCTCATTCTTTAATTTGTTTTGGAAAAGATTAAACTGTCTCTTCAAACGTTTTATTCAAAGTGTTATTGCTTAACTGTAAACAAGGTACAGTATTTACTAAAAAAATTATTCTTTTTGAACTCTCCGAGATGATAATCTACAGTCTAAAATAGCCAAAACAAAATAAGAATTCAAAACCTATAAATCATATAAAATCTGATACATACAAATTTATATAAAAGTTCCATTTCCCTCATCTTGTAAAGCTTATTTGCTGCCCTTAACAAATCTTTTTAAGAATCAACCAAGTGAGAAACAATATTATATTGGTATAAGTCTGCCCCAAGGCTGAACCATTTATTAATTTTCTTTACAATAAATAACAAAAATTCCTTCTGTTGTCAGCAGAACTCATATTCAAACACAGGGTTTGAGCTGTGGGGTTAGAGCTGTCAATTATGCTTCCAGGAAATTATTATGATCTTGAAGTTCTGGTAAACTGTTTCCTGAAGATATTGCCTCAAAGTGTTGATGTAGTTACCAAGGCAAGAAAAATGTTGACTATTTTCAGGAAATTTTGTAGAAACAAAATGTATTTTCCTTTTGAGTCTATAAACTCATCAAGAATATAGTTTAAAATTCTGGTCAACATATCTACCAATGTCAGAGTTAGAGAAGATCCAGGAAAGAACCTTTAAAATGACAGAGGGTCTGGAGAGACATCCATTACAGTTAGACTAAAACAAATGTGACTCTTCCAAGCTGATGGCTGAGAGGAGAAACACAAATTTTTGAAATGAATAAAATGATGAGATCTCTCAGAAGTGAGGAATAATTCTTGGAGCATGAAAGAAGTAAAAATAATAGCCAGCATTTATGGACTACTTGCTGTGTGTCAGATAGTTTTCTAACGATTTATTTTCTTATTTAATCTTCACAAGAATCTTAGGAGGTAGATTCTATTATTATAACTACTTTAAAGATAAAGGACCTAAAGCACAGACATGCTTAAGTAAATTGTTTGAGGTCACATAACAAGCTGCAAAGCCAGAATGTAACCTAAAAGTTCTGTTTCCAGAAGGGGTGTGTTGCAGCACTATATTATGTTGCATATTACTAATAGATACAAATAAATATTATGTTACCCATTATTTATATATTCACTCAACAAAAATTTTGAACTTATACTGTGTACTGGGAACTGTGCTTGGTGCTAGGGATATAGAGATGAACAAACTAAATCTAGAGGAGGAGACAAATAAATCAGTGAAAATTTTCATGATGGCTTGATACAGTCAGTGGAGGAAAGGGATGGGACAGCTTGTTTCTTAAGCTGAAAATTATTAGTTCTCTAAAACTGGGATAAAATGTGCCTACGTGGAGAAGGAAGAGTGGTAGGAAAAATGATTAGAGAGATAACCATTATCATAAGGAGTAGTATGAGAGTTTAATAAATGTGGACATTATCTTATTGATTATAGGGGACCGATGAGGAGGAGTTTAAGCAGGGAAGTTACATGATCATATTTGTATTTTAGAATGATTACTCTCACTGCTGATGCATGGAGAAAAGTTTGGAGGGGGACCAAGGGGAAGTAGGAAAAGTAGTAAGGAAGACGTTAATGTTGTCTAACAAGAGATAATAGTGGCCGTTAATAAGACAGGGGCAATAAGAATGAAGAGGAAGGTAGATGAATAAAAAACATAGAAAAGGTAAAATTCACAGGGCTTAATTAAGTGGATGTGGTTGACATAATGCTGTAGTGCTTGGTTGGCATTAGGCTTCAAAAGAAGGAGAACAGGTAAAGAGGGAAGGGGCGTGTGTATGTGTGTGTGTCTGTGTGTGTTGTGGGTAAGGTGGAAAAATAAAGCAATCACTTTGTAACATGAGGTCTCAGTTACATGAGCTAAGCAGGTCTATATGCAAGTGTGGATTGCAGAAGAGATTTTTGCTACAGATACAGCTTTTGGTGCCATCAGCATATGAATGAGTGTGGTTGAGTTTCCTCAAGAAGAATGCATACAGGATATTGTCAAAACCCTTACCCTTAAGACAGTGGTTCACAAACTTAACTGAGTCTCAGAATCATCCTGAGATCAGAAAAAAAAAAGTGGATTCCCACAACTTGAGATCCTGATTTAGTCCATCTGATGTAGGACCCAGGAATCTTCACTTTAACTGATATCTTAAATGATTCTAATGCAAGTGAATTGCAAAATACAATTCGAGGAACACTAAATAAAAAGCTTAACGTGTAAAGGAATAAAGAATCATTAAGTATACTAAATGAGAGATAGTTTGCTTATTTACAGTCATATTGTTCTTATGTCCATTCTTTGGAAAACCCATGGAAGTGCTATTATAAATGACTTACATTTAGGATTCCAGCTAACCCTTCAAAAGAAAAAGTAATTCGTATTGATGTTGCAGAATTAATTCCTGTGATCATTCTTTGATACTAAGTAATGAAATTCAGAAGTAATCATTGTTAGGGCAAAGAAGCTGTAGAAAAGTCTGTTTGAATTTAAATTGCAGTTTTCTTACATTGCACCATTACAGCACCAACAAAACCATCTTTCCGTCTACTGATAAAAGTACTTTATAGATCTACTTCCAGGTGGTTCTGAATTTTTTAAAACCGAAGTCAAATTTGAACAAAGCCACCTTACAAGAATTTGTTTTTTAACTTTGATGCACATTGTCATTAACCAAACATATGTTATATTATCCCTACTTTATTGACAAAATCAAGTATATGATAAGAAGGTATCAAAAAATATTACTGATCCAATTTACTCCAGCACCACTTGACAATCTTGGAAAACATGAGAAACAAGGAACATTAATTGCTGCTCACACACAGTGACTTATTATTTCTGTTGTACTTGAAGTTCTAAATGTACAACATAGAAATATGGCAACAGGTAAAAATAAGCCTAATATTTATTTTAAATCTGATTAATTACCTCATTAGATTATATATTATAGCATTTGTTGTAGGCAGACTTAGAAGCTCACAAAAGATATATATTTAGTGCATTATTTTGCCTCATTTTAAAATTTGTCATTAGAAACAGTTTATTTTGCTTTATGAATGTGAAATTGATGTATATTAATACTTCTTGGATTTATCTCTAAGTCATATTTTGTGACTAATACTTTATAATGGAAGCTCTTACAAAGATCTTAACAGAAAACACTATTTTGAATTAAGAAAATGCATAGATGATTACAAAGAAAGATACCACGTTGAAATTTCTTCCTTTTTAATAATTTGCCAGACTAAGAATATAATCATTTACTGCTCAAGTGGGGCTTATCCAATATCATTAAGGTGAATATTTGCAATAAAATCTAGATGGAGAAAAACAACAAGTGTGTGTTGAAGCAATATGCTACGTGTCAGGATGTTTAGTCATTTTCCTTATAAAGTTAACCACTTTTAAATGCAAACTTTCTTAAGAACGCTTAAAAAGAAACTTGCCGTTTGAACAAACTAAAAGCCTAAATAATCATGGTACTTGACGGAAGCTTAGAAAACTAACTGAATGATTTAATCATTTTATTTCAGTTAATTATTACAAAAGAATAAATAAACTAAGGAGTGGGAATCTGATTGACAGATGAGAATGGGACAGAGTTGAAAAGGAATTGAGTTGATGGTGAGGCACAGAGTCCTATGTTCCCACAGTAACCTTCATTGTGTTCGTTATAGTAACATTTGTGTTCATTATAGTAACTTCTGTTGGTTTTTGGATTCTCTTGTTTTCCAGGACTTGGAAGAAGAAGTACAAACAGCCATTCAACAGGATAAACAGAAATGTGTAACCTAGGAAACCCCAAAATGTTCCAGTGGGGCCTGGAATCAGTTGGACAGCAACACTGATAAGCTAAAGGAGAAGAGAAATGTTTATGTTCTAAGTGACAAAAAATAGTTTACATAGCATGCACATAGGTGAGCACTGACAGGCATAAAAATATGTATATGCGCCCCCAAGAGGACTTGTAAAACAGCATATACATGAGTGAAAATACTTTAACAGAGCACTTCCTGATAGATTAAAAAAATACACAAGGACAGATAAGAAGGGCAATATAGCAAAGATTTCCTCTTGCCTTTTACAGGTCAAAACCTCACCCAGCAACCTTTCAGATTATGCATTTCCATAAAAGATAATGGCAATTATATTTATAATCTGTTGTTTCACAATATGTTTCGAAGTCAAGTTTATCCATATGTAGTCCTTAAAATGTATTACCAATTTAATAGACTAAAAAATTCAAGACATTTTTTAGAAGAATAGCATGGATGGTAAAATATAGGGAAGTCTGATTCACTATGTTTAATTTAAACATTATCACAGAAAGAAGAAACAAGTAATAATGTTGAGTGACACTAAAAACCTATTTGATAAAATTCCAAATCAATTCTTAGTTAAAAGCAGTTAAATTTTTCACAGATTAGACGGGATCATTCTTGACATAAAAAAACATATATTCTAAACATAAAATAAACAATAACTTATATAAGAAGGACTACAACCACTCCCATTAAGTAAGAGAAGAGAAAAGATAATGGGATATGATGGCATTTTGGTTATTAGATATTAATATGTAATATGTTGGAGATTCTTGCCAACATATTAAGATTAAATAAATAAATAAGAAGTATAACTATCAATTATCATTAGTTGCAGATAATGTGACTGCATACCAGGAAAACACACGTAGAAATAAAAGAGCCATTACATTTAATTTGTTGAAGTACTGTGTATAAATTAAATATGAAAGGTCAACAGCTTTCCCATATATCAGAAATAAAAGTTATAAAATATAACAAATAAAAATAATCTCCTTCACTTTAAATACACACACATACACACACAGAGGACAGTTCTGAGATATTAACCTATAATGTGCTAGACTCATAACAAAGACCCAACAATATTACTAATGGATGTACAAATTTGAAATAATTAAGTATATTTGAAACTATAAATGACAAGTGTCAGGAAATGTTTTTAAGAATAATACAAATTAGTGACAGGCATTCAAAACATACCATAAAAGGGAAGGAAACACTTAAAATCATGTTGTTGCAAGAACGAAATTCTGGAATGGACTAGAAAGGCCCCAAACAGAATCGAATACATGAAAGTTTGTAATATATGCTAAAAGTAGCTTAAAATCAGTGGGGAAAGGGAGGATCATTTAGTATGTGGTGCTGTAAAAACTAATTAAATACTTGACAAAAAGTAAAACCCTTCCTAATATGACATATCCAGACAAGTTCCATGTAGAATAAAAAGACAAAAATTTAAAGATGAAAATTGTTAAGAACAAGAAAATATTGGTGAATATTTTTATATAAAGAAGAGGGCAATGGACTTTCTAAGCATGGCTTTAAACGCAAAAACAATGAAAGAAAATGACTGATGGATTACAGTATATGAACATGCTAAGCAGCTTTGTGATGTGTGTCCAAAAAGAAAATCAGCAAGGCTCAAATGCAAATAACTAATGTTATGTATTGTACATGCAAAAAACTATTATATTATTATAAATCCAAGAGATAAAAATTAAGTCAATGGAAAAATGCCCAAAAGGCATGTATGGAAAATTTGCAAAAACAGAAAAAGAAAAAAATACAGATGACCAAAAAATGGCATAAACTTGCTTGATTTCATTGTTAATCAAATACAAATTAAAACAGACTGAATAATTGCCTTTCACCATTTTATTGGTGGAAGGATGAGGAAGTAAGTGATCTGATACACTGCTGATTCCAGTATAAATTGGTATGAACTTGCTGTGGAGCAGTTTGGCCATATGCATAAAAATTATATATGGTCATTGACTGAACAATTCTATAACTAGAAATTTACCATATATAGATAATTCCATTAAAAAAGACAACTTTACCAATGTGCAAAGATTCATGTGCAAGGATATTCAAATACAGTATTGCTTTTAGTAGAAAATATCTAAACATTCTATATCAGTGTAGTTCCAATCAAGTAAAAAATACAACATAAATCCGATGTAGCTGTTAAAATTATTTACACACACACACACACACACACACACACACACACGGAGAGAGAGAGAGAGACAGAGACAGAGAGAGAGAAATAACTCTTCAACCTATCGTTTTGTTTTTAAACCAACTTTAAGGAAGTAAAAATTACATAAAAAAAATTCACCCATTTTAAGTGAACATTTTGATGATTTTAACAAATTAATTGACATATATAACTGGTATTTTTCTAAACTTCCTAGATGTTCCATTGTCTGTCCTTACACTAATACCTTACTCTCCTGATTACTGTAGCTGTAGAGTAAATTTTGAATCAGGTAGTATAACTACTCTAGCTTTGTTCTTTTTATTTTTTTTTGGCTATTCTATATTCTTTACATTTCACATAAATATTAGAATCATTTTGCTAATTTTTACCAAAAAGACTGCCAAGATTTTGATTGGGATTGCATTAAATCTCTAATTGGTATATTAGAATGAAACAATGGTACCAAAACCAGGCAGAGTTATAAGATAAATATCACAACCAAACCAATATCAACTCTCCAAATACATCTTCCTGCCAAGATACCAACCCCAAGATCCAGCTCTGGCTGAGGGAGTGGAGGATGTCTCTGGTGTCTAAAAGCTTCTAGTAAAATACTTTATCTCCTGGTTCATGATAAATTCCTTTCTGTTCCATGGCAAATTCCTTTCTGTCCCATGGCACTTTCTCCTTTCTCCTCACCAACAATCAAAGTCCCCAAAGGGGATCCAGACATCCAGTTTATCTATACTCCTGCCAAGGACAATGACTATGGTTACAGCCAGAGGGCTTCTTACTATAGAAATTTAGTCATCATGGATGAGTTTGTCCATTCCTTGGCATTTGCTGTTGCTGGACCCTTCTTTCATCAATGCCAGGACCACTCTTCCCAGAGGATTTCCACACCAACCAAGGAATTCAGGTTTCCTGATTTTCAAGGCTCTACTGTCATCAAATCCCCAGCTCAAAACTGGGCTACCAGAATTGGGTTGGTGTCTTCCATTTAGGCTGCTATAAAAAAAACCCATAAACTGAGTAGCTGATAAACAATAGAAGAAATGTATTCCTCACATCTCTGGAGGCTGGGGATTCCAATATCAATGCACCAGCAGATTTGGTGTCTGGTGAGGGCATGATTTCTGGTTCATAGACGGGCACCTTCTAGCTGTGTCCTCACATGGTGGAAGGGAGAAACTCTGGTCTCTTCAGCCTCTTATAAGGGCACTAATCATATTCGTGAAGGCTCCACTCTCATCACCTAATTCCCTTTCAAAGGACCTATCTTTTAATACCATCACACTGAGGATAAGGTTTCAACATATGAATCTAGGAGAGACACAAACATTCAAACTGTAGAAATTAGTTTCTATAAAGACACCAGAGTGCCAAAGGTCTTTACAATCACCACTCATGGAGCACAGATTGCCTTTGCCAGGGATATGTAGGCATGCTATACTAACCATAGGGCCATTATTTTGTCGTCTACTACTTGTCTTAAAAGAACAATTAATAAAAGACCACACAGGCAAATTAGATTTTCTCAAAGTTTAAAACATCTATGCATCAAAGGACATTATCAAGAAAGTGAAGAGACAGCTTATATATTGCAGAAAATGTTTGTAAATCGTATGTGATAAGAATTTAGTAAAAGCAATAATAAAGGCATCTCTTATCAATAAAAATACAATTAATGAATAAAAAAGGACAAAGAGATTTGAATATTTATTCAAAGAAAATATAGAACTGTCAATAAACACTTGAAAAAATGCTCAATATCAATGGCATTATAGAAATGCACATGAAAACCATAATGAGATACTGCTTTTTACTCACCAGCATGGCAATAATGTAAAAGATGGATAATAACAAGTGTTGACAAGGATATGGAGAGAATTGAATCCTCCTACATTTTTTGTGGGAACATAAAATGCTGCAATTGCTTTGGAAAACTGTCTGGCTTTCTCTGAAAACATTAAAAAAAGAGTTTGCATATAACCCAGCAATTCCACTCCTAGGTACATACCCAAAAGAAATAAAAATATATGTCCACACAAAAATTTGTACATGAATATTCATGGAAGCATTATTTCACAATAGCCTAAAAAGTGGCAACAACTCACATGTCTGTCAACTGATGAGTAGATAAACAAAAATGTGATATATCATCTTACTATGTAACATTATTTGCCAATAAAATGCAATGGAGTACTGACACATGCTACATTATGGATAAATTTTCAAATCTTATGCTATGTAAAAGAAACCAGAAAAGCCTCCTATTATGTGATTCCATCTTCATGAAATATTTCAGAATAGGCAAATCCCTAGACAGAAATTTGATTAGTGGTTGCCAGAAGCAGGAGGCAAGGGGGAACAGGGAGAGACTGCCGATGGATAAGCAGTTTCTTTTTGAAGTAATGGAAACGTTCTGAAATTTGATAGTGGTATGGTTGTAACATTTTGTGAGTTTACTATAAACCATGGAATTTGAAAGTATGTGAATTATATCCATCAACAGATGAATAAGTTAACAAAATGTGTATATACATACAATGGAATATTATTCAGCCATAAAAAGGAATCGAGTAGTTGCACATGCTGCAATTTGGATCAACCTTGAAAACATTATGCTAAATGAAAAGGCCATATACGGTGTGATTCTACTTATATACTGATGGTTCCAGAACATTGTGAGTGTAATTAATGCCACTGAATTGTACACTTAAAAGTGACGAAAGTGGCAAATCTTATGTTATATATTTTTACAACGATAAAAAAGTAGTAAAAAAATGCTATTAGATCAAAAAGAAGAAGATAGTGATAACACCAAATGCTACTGAGGACATAGTGAAACTGGATCATTTCTACTTTGCTTTTAGAAATGTAAAATGATACAGCCAGCCTGGAAAATGGTTTGACAATTTATTTGAAAACTAAAAATGGCCTTGCCAATTTGAGCCAGCAATTTCACTCTTAGACACTTACCCAAGATAAGTGAAATTTTATCTTTACAGAAAAAACTGTACATGCATGATCTTAGCAGCTCTTAATAACCTGAAACTAGAAACAGGCTATATTTGTTTCCTATTACTCTTGTAAAAGACGGAAAAGAAAAAGAAATTGTACTAGATTCTTGCCAAAAACAGCAAGAAAAACTTTATTCAAGGCTACTGTAGTAGGGGTTGAGGGAGTACAGGGAATTTTACCCCAAAATATGTCTCCCTGCTTTAATAAGTATTTTGAATTAAAGGCTCTTAGAAATCAACAGGCATTGGAAGAGAATTTTCACCCATCTACATAAAGACCAGAGAAACCCACCAAGAAGAACAATTGATTTTTTCTTCTCTTCCCTGTTATCCCATTTATTGCAGAAAAGAATACCAAAAATGTAGTCACATCTGAACAGACCTTTTCAGAAGATAATGTCCATCTCTCAGGCTCATTCAGTTTCCAAAAAGAACCATTTAAAAGTTAATCTCTATTTCCAGATCTATTCATTCTCCCTAGTAATCATTTGTTGTCCCTCAACAGAATTACTTATATTTCCTGTCTCCTACCTCTTTTCTGAAATAATGATATGTAAGTATTTGGGCCCCATTGAGATACTGGATCATCACTCTGTGCTTCTCCCTTGTGTGCGTGTTAATAAATTTGCATGTGATTTGTCCTATTAATCTAACTTTATGAGTTGATTTTTCAGTGAACCTTCCAAAGGCAAAGGGGATGTTTTCCCTTCACCCCTACAGGGTCAAAACTACTGCAATAAGGGAGAGAGACTAAACCCAACTATAAATACAGCAAGGAAAAGTAGGGACTTACACCTAACAAGCAAAGTGAGGGAATAGATGGAAAATTACTAAGAGGATCTTGGCTATATATCAGTGATTGGGGGAAGAAGAGCTTGATCATTTGTCAAGGGTAGGATATTCTTGAAAAACTTGCTTAGCAGGATTATTTGCTAAAACTGGGTTTGGTAGGCCAAGAATGGGGCCCAAGGATGAAGCCTAGTTGAAAAGAGCCTGACTGAGGTTTGGTCAAGGAGGGAGTCCTTGTCACAATTTATCACAAACTTAGTGGCTTAAAACAATATAAACTTATTATCTTACAGTTCTGAATAGCAAAAGTCTCAAAACAGGACTCACTGGGATAAAAATGAAAGTTTCACAAGGCTACATTCCTTCTAGAGGCTCTAGGGGAGCATTCATGTCCTTACTTTTTCCAGCTTCAAGAGGCTTTCTTCATTTCCTGGCTCCTGGTCTGCTTTTATCTTTGAAGCCAGCAATGGCCAGTTGTCTTTCTCGTATCACATTACTCTGACACTGACTCTTCCTCCTTGTTCCAGACTGTGAGGAATAAATTACTATTGTTTATAAGCTACTCAGTTTATGGGTTTTTATTATAGCAGCCCAAATGGACTAAGACACCAACCCAATTCTGGTAGCCCAGTTTTGAGCTGGGGATTTGATGACAGTAGAGCCTTGAAAATCAGGAAACCTGAATTCCTTGGTTGGTGTGGAAATCCTCTGGGAACAGTGGTCCTGGCAGTGGTGAAAGGAGGGTCCAGCAACAGCAAATGCCAAGGAATGGACAAACTCAACCATGATGACTAAATTTCTATAGTAAGAAGCCCTCTGGTTGTAACCATAGTCATTGTCCTTGGCAGGAGCATAGATAAACTGGATGTCTGGATCCCCTTTGGAGACTTTGATTGTTGGTGAGGAGAAAGGAGAAAGTGCCATGGGACAGAAAGGAACTTGCCATGGAACAGAAAGGAATTTTTCATGAACCAGGAGATAAAGTATTTTACTAGAAGCTTTTAGACACCAGAGACATCCTCCACTCCCTCAGCCAGAGCTGGATCTTGGGGCTGGTATCTATTTGGAGAGTTAATGTTGGTTTTGTTGTGATATTTATCTTATAACTCTGCCTGGTTTTGGTAACATTGTTTCATTCTAATATGCCAATTATATCTCAGCTGCCTATGACAGCAATAACAGAAAACAAAAAGCTGGCTAAAAAATCTGAAGAGAAAATTAGGGTATCAGATGTCCACAGGGGGCTCTGAAACGATTGGATGTAATCCTGCAGATAAAGAAGGACATATATATGTGCAAAGCAATACACATGCCCATGAAAGAACTGAGAAGGTTGTGTCACCTCTGGCTGACCTTAAGGTTCTAGTCTAAGACAGAGATGTAAACTGTCAGCGAGAGCATTGAAGGTGGGCCCCAACATGCACACAGAAGCTCAGCAAAAACTGGAGAGATATAGGTCCAAGGTGTTTAAGGAAATTTCTATACAATAATGAACTGACCACTAAACTAACTGAACAGAGACTTCAGTGGTCACATATGAAGATTTATACATATTTTACAGAATTTATTCATTTTAAATGGCCAACTTTTGACAAAAACTTAGAAGACATGCAAAGAAACAACAAAGCATGGCTCAAACAGGGGTAAAAAAAAGAAATAAATATAAAGTGTTGTTGAGGAAGCCCAGCTGTTGGATGTATTAGGCAAAGATTTAAAACAAGCTATCTGTAATATATTCTAAGAACTCTAGGAAAGCGTGCCTTAAAAAAGAATGGAAATTGTGAGAACAATGTATTACCAAATAGAGAATGTAAGATTAAAAATTTTTTTTTAAATAGAAATTTTAGCGTTTTAAGTACCATAACTGAAACAAAAGAATTCACTAGAAGATTTCAGCTTCAAATTTCAGCTGGCAGAATAAATAAGCAGCATATTTAAAGATGAGTCAATAGAGATTACCTAGCCTGAGGAACAAAGAGAAAAGATAATATAGAAAAATAAACAGTGCCTCAGAAACCTATGGTGAACCATCAGGCACACATAATTGGTTTTCAAGGAGAGGAGAGAAAGAGGCCAAAAATTTTTTTGAATAATGGCCAGAAACTTCTTTTCATCCATAATATTTGTCTGTACATCCAGGAAGTTCGGCAAATTCCAAGTAGGATAAAATCAAAATGACACAAAACTAGACAAATTATAATCAAACTATCGAAAGACAAAATTTTGAAAGCAACAAAAGCAAAAGATTCATCACATAGAAGACCCCCTCAGTAAGATTAACAGCTGATTTTTAATTAGAAATTCAATGTTTTTTCATTATACAAAAACACTGTAAAAAATAGGAATAAGAGAAAATGTCCTCATCCTGATAAAGAGAATCTATAGAAAATCTATAGAAAACATCATATTCAATTATGACAGACTCTAAGCTTTCCAACTCACGAACAAGACAAGGATGTATTCTTTTGCCACTTCCATTCAACACTGGATTGGAATTTCTAACCAAAGCTAAAAGCAATTTCAGCAATGTTGAATAATGCATTACCAATATGCAAAAATTAATTATATTTCTTCACACTAGCCATGAAATAGCAAAAGATGAAATTAAGTAAGCAAATTCATTTACAATAGGATAAAAAATACTTAGAGATGAGTTTAACAAAAGAAGTGCAAGGCTTGTACACTAAAACTACAAAACATTGTCAAAAAGCAGTTAGAATATATAAATAAATGGAACAATATCCTGTGCTCATGGATTATAAGATTTAATTTGGTTAAGATGGCAATAATCCCCAAGTCGATCTAGAGATTCAAAGAAATTACTATCAGATCCGCAGCTGACTTCTTTTTAGAAATTGTCAAGATAATCCTAAAATTGATATGGAAACTCAAAGGACCCATAGTAGCCAAATAATGTTGAAAATGAACTCAGTTGGAAGACATAATTCCTGATTTCAAAACTTCCTGCAAAGCTACAATGATTACGTTGATGTGGTACTGCCATAGAAATAGAAATATGGATTAAAGGAACATAATTCAGAGTCCAGAAGTAAACCTTTATGTTATGGTCAATGTATTTTTCACCAGGATGCCAAGAAAACTCAATGGCAAAAGACTGAAATTCAAAACATGGTGCTGGCACAACTGGATATTCACATACAAGATGATGAATTTAGATGGCTACCTCATACCGCTATAAAATTAACCCCAAATATATCATAGACATAAATATGAGGTAAAAGTATAAAACGCTTAGAAATAAAACATAAAAGTAAATATTCATGACCTTGGATTATGCAGTGGTTTCTTAGCTATGACATCAAAAGCACAAGTGACTGAAGAAAAAAATAGATTGGACTTCATGAACAATAAAAACGTTTGAGCTGCAAATGATACCACCAAGGAAGTGAAGAACAACCTACAAAATGGCAGATGATATTTGCAAATCATATATCTGTAATGAAGCTTGTGTTCCAAATATAGTAAGAACTCTTACAACTCAAAATTTAAAAGACAATAATCCAATCAAAACTTTGCAATGGATCTCAATACATATTTATCCTAAAAAGATATACAAATGCCAATAAGCATATTCAAGGATGCTCAATGTCATTAGTTATTAGAGAAATGCAAATAAAAAATGATATATCACTTCCCTTCTACTAGGAAGGCTAAAGTAAACAAGACATAACTGGGCATGGTGACTCACACCTGTAGTCTTAGCTACTGAGGTGGGAGGATCACTTGAGCCCATGAGTTAGAGGTTACAGTGAGCTATGATCACATCATTACACTCCAGCCTTGGTGACAAAGTGAGACCCTGTACTTTAAAAACCATAAATAAAGTAAACAAGACAGACAGAAATGAGTGCTGGTGAAGAAGTGATGGCATTGAAAGAAACCCAGAGGATGAAAAAATGTTTTTAAATCATTTATCTCTTAAGTGTCTAGTACCTTGAATATATAAAGAGCTCATCATTCAATAATAAAAGGGAATAACTGAATTTAAAATGAGCAAAAGACTTAATGGACATTTATCCAAAGAATATATAGAAATTACCAAGAAGCAGCATTATTCATAATAAACAAAAGTTGAAACAACCCCAATGTCCATCAGTTGATGAATGTGGTATATCCATATACATTCTAATGTTATTGAGCAGTAAAAGAGAGTGAAATACTGATACAGACTACAACATGGATGAACCTTGAAAATATTATGCTTAGTGAAAAAAGCCAGACACAAAAGGCACTTACCGTATGATTCCATCTATATAAAATTTCCATAACAGGGAAATACATAAAGAGTCATTATCACCTGAGGGTAGGAATTAAGAGAAGCAAAGAATGATTGATAATTGGCATTAGGTTTCTTTTTGTGGTGATGGAAATCTTCTAGAATTATAAAGAATTATATAGTGACAGTCGTGTCACAACTTTGTGATATACTAAAAACCACTGAATTACACATATTACATTGGTGACTTTTGTTGTATGTGAACTGTATCTCAACAAAAATTGTTCAAAATCATAACATTTATGAGATATATCCATGTTTGTGTACATGCCAATAATTAATTTTATTTCTGAGTAATATTTTAACATATAAAAGTACTAAAAATTGCTTATCCATTCTCCTATAGGAGGTCACTTTGGATCGTTTTCGATCCTTGGCTATTATGTACATGTGAATATATGAAAATTATTTACAATTCTATTTTTGGGCCTACATCTTCATTTCTTTTTGGTAAACTCCTGTGGATGAAATTGCTGGATCATGGGGTAAATGCATATTTAACACATAAAGAACTGCCATACTGTTTTCCAGAATATTTGCACAATTTTACAGTCTCACCAGCAAAGTGATAGAGATCAGTTGTTCCAAATCCTCACCAACACTTAATGTGGACAGGTTTTAAAAATTTTAGTCAGTCTGGTAGGTGTATAGTCATATTTTATTGTGGCTTTATCTTGCATTTATCTGATAACTAATAATGTTAATCACCATTTTGTCTGCCTATTGGACATTGTCATATCTTCCTTTGTGAAGTGTATGTTCAACTATTTTTAATTGGGTTCTTTGTACTTTTTAATTAAATTTTAGTACTTCTTTATATATTCTGGACATAAGTTTTTGTAAGATACAGCTATTGCAAATATTTTCCTCGAGGCTGTAGCATACCTTTTCATTTCATTAATCATGTTTACTAGTAGCTTTTTATTTTGAAATAATTCCAAATTTACAGGAAAATTTCAAGAATAGTGCAAAGAACTCCCATATAACTTTTAACCAAATTTTCCAGTTGTTAACATTATACCGATTTTTCTTTTTCCATTGTCTATGTATCTATCAGAGCTATCTGTTACAGCTGTCTCTCTATCATAGTTCCTATCTCCGTGTAGTGTTTTCTCAACCAATTGAGAATAAGTTACAGACCTGTTGCCCAGTTGCATCTAATTACATCAGTGCGTTTTTCTTAAAATACAAGAGCACGTTCCTACCAAATCACAGCACAATAATGTAAATCAGAATGCTACCATTGATACGTTGATATTTCCTTAGATTGATAAAAATATAAATATCTCAACCCAAATGCCAATATCATGCTTAATGAGAAAATACTGAAGCCGCTTAATAGAAACAAAAATGAAATGATGTTCCTTATCATCATGAGTATTTAACATTGTTATGAATGTACTAGATAACACAATTAGAGATGGAAAAAATAATTGGCATAAAATGGAGTTGTTAAATTTTAAAGTTGATAAAATTTGGTAAACTACCATTATATCGAAGATACTTTTTTTTAAACCTGGAAACTCAAAAAAAAAATCAAATGATAAACTATTTAAAATTGTTAAGGGAAATCAGAAATTTGAATGAGTATCAAATTAATATACAGAAAACTATTATTTAAGTATGTGTTAAAAACCTTTAAGGAATATAATGACAATAAACAGCTTATTTGAAATAATAAAAATGAAATAGGCTGGCCGGGCACGGTGGCTCACGCCTGTAATCCCAGCACTTTGGGAGGCCGAGGAGGGCGGATCACGACGTCGGGAGATCGAGACCATCCTGGCTAACATGGTGAAACCCCGTCTCTACTAAAAATACAGAAAAATTAGCCGGACGTGGTGGCGGGCGTCTGTAGTCCCAGCTACTGGGGAGGCTGAGGCGGGAGAATGGCGTGAACCCAGGAGGCGGAACTTGCAGTGAGCCGAATAGTGCCGCTGCACTCCAGCCTGGGCGACGGAGCGAGACTCCGTCTCAAAAAAAAAAAAAAAAAAAAAAAAAAAGAAATAGGCAAGAATAAACCAAATACAAAATATACAAGATCTATATGGATAAAACATTATAAAGCTTTGAAAGATACACAAGAATACTTGGTGATCTGAAAAGATATGGATAATATGCCTCAATATTATAAAGACGCAATAATTCCTAAATCATTCTGTATGTATAATATAATACAATTGTAAGTAGTGCAATATTTTTTGGATCTAAATAAGCTGCTTCTAAAATCCACACGGAAAATAAGTGTGCAAAGATAGCTGGAAAAATTCTGGAAAAGATGAATAATTTCATTGTGACATTTCCTACAAGGTTTCAAAAATAAAATGTATGTGAAATAATTAAAATTTTGGTTCTCACACATTAATAGATGTACCTATGAATAGAATAAAAGGTCCAGAAACAGATCCATACAATATAAATTATCGATTTTCTTTTCTAGATTCCTGTGTTTTATATCAGACTTAAAACAAGTTTTCTCCAATCTATGACATGAAGAAAAATTCTGTAATTTTCACATTTCATTTTTTAATTAAAAAATAACTTCATGGCAACAGAAAATCCATAAAGTCAATAGACAAATGGCAAACATGAAAACATTGTTGCACTGCATGTCACAAAGTCTAATTTTCTTAACAGTCGTTTCTAGAAGAAAGAGGTTAACAAATATTTTTGACAGACTTTTGGGTGTAGGGGAAGAAAAACCTGAGTCCAAGGCTTTCCAAGGTGGGGTGTGACATGACCCCACACTTTGGATTGGGAACCAAAAAGGCTAAATATAGAAGAGCTTCTGTAAAGAAGAACATAAACGTAAAAGGAAAATGAAAAGTGAATATAAACTGAGTTCATAGAAAAATATAGAATAGGCTATTTTATATATATATATAAAATATATATATATAATGTAACTCAGTTTATATTCATGATAATAAAGTGGCAAATTATTAACCAGAGATACAATTATACTTCACCATATTACCAAAATTTGAAGGGCTTGATAACATGTTCTTAGTTGGTAAAAATGTGGAGCAACAGGCATTAAATTTGCAGAACTTGTATGAAGCACAATTTAACATTATCGATCAAATTTTTTGAATGGACATAACTTCTATGTCCAATAATGACAAGACAGAAGACTCAGACCAATAATCCAACTGAGAAAAAATATAAAAGCTAAACAAAATATTTAAATACATTTCTCATACTTAAATAGATGTATCTAAGAGTGTATATATTGATATAATTAGAGACATTGGAGAGCTATTAGGATAATGAAGAATTAAGGATCCAAGACAAGATATGGGAAAGCAGAAAACCCAGAAGATCCAGAGCAGTAAGCCCAGCTGGAAATGTCCATCTATTTCAGAAGAGGGAGGTTGAGGAATATTTCAGTAAGTTTGTGGCATGTGGAGACAAAAACTTGAGTTCAAGGCCTACCAAGGGGAGTGTAATAAATGCCTACAGTTTGGTTTGGAAACACAAAAAGCTAAACACTAGGAGTAAGAGGAAAACAAGAAGTAGATGTGCTCCCACAAGGGATGAGGTCAAACTTGAAATAATCTCAATATCTGAAAATGGTCAGATGTGATGCAAGAATGTCAGTGTCCCTAGCCACTTGCCAGAAGCAAATGTAACTCTTCTCTGAAGGAAGATATCATCATATGCCAGAAATTATTTCCATAATTTTTCATATACAATTAGAAGTATTTGTATTAGTCAGGGTTCTCTTAGAGGGACAGAACTAATAGGATATATGTGTTTATATATATGTGTTTATATATATATGTTTATTAAGTATTAACTTATGTGATCACAAGGTCCCACAATAGGCTGTCTGCAAGCTGAGGAGCAAGGAGAGCCAGTCGGAGTCCCAAAACTGAAGAACTTGGAGTCTGATGTTTGAGGGCAGGAAGCATCCAGCAGGGAAGAAAAATATAGGCTGAGAGGCTAGGCCCATCTCTCCTTTTCACGTTTTTCTGCCTGCTTTATATTTGCTGGTGGCTGATTAGATGGTGCCCACCAGATTAAGGGTGGGTCTGCCTTCACTAGCTCACTGACTCAAATGTTAATCTCCTTTGACAACACCCTCACAGACACAACCAGGATCAATATTGCATCCTTCAATCCAATCAAGTTGACACTCAGTATTAACCATCACAGTATTCAATCAAACATAACTAAGGAAATTAAAAGACTAGAAAACATTAGTGAAATCAGAGAAACAATGGATAATGGAAATCGATATGTAGTAGCAGAATATAAGAGTTAACAGAATATATTAGCTATACTGAATATGCTCAAGGACATAGAAAAAAATATAAATTTTTGTCACAAGCTGAAAACTTCAACAAATGATTAAGCGGAAAGTGTAGAACTATAAATCTAAAATAAACATTAATAACTCAATAATTGGTTTAACAGAGGGTTACACAGTAAAAAGAGAATTTAGCAAACTGAAAGATAAATCCTAAGAGAATATTCACAAATACATAGAGGCAAATGGATGGAAAATATATAATAAGAGACATAGAGACTATAGCTAAAGATGGCAACAATATGTAATTGGAATCCCAGAAGGAAAGGAGATAAAGAATGAGGCAAAAATCACTATTTTAATAAATAATAGATGAGAATTTTCCAAAACTGGAAACCGCGAAGCTACAGATTCAAAAATTACTATGCACATCAAGCATGTAATTATAAAGAAAGCCACAAATAAATACACAAAAATATATTCAACATCATCCTTCAGGGAAATACAAATTAAAACAGTCTGAGATATCACCAAATAATATCAGCATAGCTAAAACACAAAAGAGTGACAATACCAAAAGCTGGCAAAGATGTGGAGAAAGCAGATAAGTCATATATTGCTGGTGGGGATATAAAATGGTACAGTCTTAAAGTATTCTGGATCATATCCAGAATGCAAAAAGAATTTATATAATAAATTAAACTAGAAGACAACATTCACAAAAGTGAATATCCAAATGTCCAATAAATGTAGGAAAAGATAGTTAATCTAATTAGTCATTAGGCAAATTCCAATTAAAATCACAGTGAGATAATGGTACACAGCATTTAGACTGTAATTCTGTAATTTTCAATAGTGACATTACCAAGTGTTATAGTATACAAAGCAATACAAATCCTATACACTGCTGGTGAGTTAGAAAATTGGTACTACTCTTGACAGTACTTGCTAAAGCTGAACATACGTCCTATGACTAGAATATTGACTTCTACGTGTATACCTAATAGAAACATTTATACACATGCACCAAAAAACTGATAAGAATATTCATAGCAATATCCTTAGTAATAGACTAAAACTTGAAATAAGCGCAATATCCCATCAATAGTAAGATAGATAAATTATGGTTATTCTTATATTTGAATATTATATAGCAATGAAAGAGATGAACTTGCAACAACATGGAAAAATCTCACAATTGCTATATTAATTAAGGAAGTAATACATGTAATAAAATTGTACAGAACTAAACACACACACACACACACACACAAATAAGTACAAGTAAAACTGAGGAAAGCTGAATAAGATAGGTGGATTGTATCAATGTCAATATATTGGTTGTGATTTTGTACAATAGTTTTGCAAGATCTTACCATTGAAGGGAACTGTATAAAGGTATGTGGGATGTCTATATTCTTTTTTACAATTTCGCATGAATCTATGATTATTTCAAAAGAAAATGTATAGGAATAAAAACGGGCCACATTATATGAAGTCATTGCCTTTAATGGTAATTATCATACTAGCAAAAGACTATTTTCAAGGGAATAATTATACTCATGTATTTGTATTCATTACCCATAGTTGATGATACCACTGATAACTAGATTCCATCTTTTTGCTAAGACATTACTCAGATATTTTTGAAATTAATAGAGGTGATCAAGGATTTCCATTCTTGACCTATCTGACAGTCATTGTTCTTTTAGATTGCAGGATATTCCCCAAAATAAAATAGATGATTGGAGATCATTTAGCTGATTCCTAGTATAGTGACTTTTGGATACATGCAACCCACAGTCTATTCCCTGCAAAAGAATTCTTATGGGTCCACAGTCCTCATATTGGGAGTCCATTTTTTTTCAAAACTTTAAAAAATGTAAAATCATGTGTATTGAGATAAAAAATGGCAAGGGCATTATTTTGTCCTAAAATATGTATATATCTGCTAAAAGACATAATTGGAAATTATCAAAACAAAGAAGAAAACAACACACAATATTTATTTTGGGTCTCTGAATCTGTTTTTACTATATTGGAAAAAAATAAACAAGAATTATATTTCAAAATATCTTAAGACTCATCTTGGTATCTCATTCATAACCATACACATAACAGGTGAGTTTCTGTTATTGAATGAATAAATAATTGAACATATTTCTTTTTTTTTTTTTTGAGACAGTGTCTTGCTCTGTAGACCAGGCTGGAGTAGAGTAGTGCCATCACTGCTCACTGCAGCCTTGACTTTCCAGGCTCAAGCAATCCCCCGACTTCAACTTTCCAAGTAGCTCAGACTACAGGAGCACACCACTACAACTGGCTAGTTTTTGTAGAAATGGGGTTTCTCCATGTTACCCAGGCTGGCTCAAACTCCTGGGCTCAAGCTATCTGCCTACCTTAGCCTCCCAAAGTGCTAGAATAACACTCAGGAGGCTCTGTGTCCAGCCAATTGAACATATTTCAATTGACTTTATAAGACTAGGCAGTCTGATGAAAAAAATATTTTTAAAAAAAATTTCTGGAGGGCTTAGGAGCCTGGCTAGATTAAAGAAGTCTCATGAACAGCAAAAGTAGAAGGTAATGCTAGACAGTTAAGGACCTGGATTGCATAGACACATTGAATACCACATTGGAAAGGTTGACTTTTATGTGATAGACACTGGGGAGGCCCGATTAGTGAAGTAAAAATATAATAATTTTCTTTTAAGTAAAATAACTGATGTGTAGGAACTTCATCATATGTGAATCCAATAGGAGAATGAATAAATCAGAGAAATTTCACACATTCTGCTTCTCCATTTGTGCCACTGGTCTTTAATAACATTATATAAATAAGGGACACATTCAGGGAGAATTTTAGTTCCTGAAAACAGCAACAGTTTGGTAGAGAAGCTTCCTTCTGTCTTACATTGCATATAGCCCAACCCCAGCCAAAGCCAGTGATGGATATTGACTGTAGTGATCATGGATTCTCATCTTTGGGAAAAATAATACTCAAGATTTTAAAAACAATAGTTATTTTTCAAACAAACTAAAGCATTTCTCAGCATTCATGCCTCTGTGTGTGTGTGTGTGTGTGTGTGTGTGTGTGTGTGTATACACATATATGTATTTATACTTTTGGAAAATTAGGGAGCATAGAATGACACTAGGAGCCAGATTTTGCATGAGCAAAGGATCAAGGGAGAAACTAAAGAAATCCCTGGTACTTAAGTATTACCAAAAAATGATAATTCCATGATCACTGCTTATAATAGTGTTTTATAAGAAGATTCCAAGAAACAATAAGCCAGAGGACTCCTGCATATTAATTGACAAACACTGATAATACATGATTTTATAGAGAGAGACTTGAGAATGCAGAGAATATGTGACATCTTCAAATACACACGGTGACTTTTAACATTTCTAAAATCAGGATAGAAAGAATCAAATCTTACTCTACCCCACCCAATTGATCACTGACACTTGCTCTGAAAATTACATGGTAAATGTGGCTATTTTTTTGCCACAAAATATAAAATTCTATTAGATATTGTTACTGAACAGAAGGATAGTTGATAGAAAAGTCCATAATGCATAATAATTACCAAGGATTCAATATAAAACTCTTTAGAAGTCAGGATAAGGTAATTGATGTTCTTCAGGTATTGAGCATGGTCTATAACATGATTTAAGATTGTGGCTGACTTTTGGGGATGAGGAAGTACTATGGTCTGAATGTTTGTGTCACCACCTAAATTAATATGTTAAAGTTCTAGCCCCCAAACTAAGTGTATTAGGAGGAGGAAACTTTGGGAGGTGATTAGTGCGCTATTCTCATAAAGGGGATTAGTGCCCTAATAAAAGAAGCCTGATAAAGCTCTGAGAGAGCTCCCTTATCCTTCTAACCTGTGAAATTACAGTGAAAACATGGGCATCCATGAAACAGGAAGTAGGCCCTCACCAGACCACCAAATCTGCTAGCACCATGATCTTGGACTTCCTAGCCTCCAGAATGGCGAGAAATAAACGTTTGTTGTTTATAAGCCACCCGGTTTATGATATTTTTGTTATAGCAGCCCTGATAGACTGAAAACAGAAAGTATTCTTTTCTCTTTATGTTTGATCTTCTTGGCATAACAAATTAAATCTTGTTGTAAGAAATTAAATCCGCCAAATTAAGTTGTACACAGTAGAAATTGTGGAAAACAAACTAATAAAAGGCTTATTGTTGGAGAATAAAAAACACCAACCTCAGTTATCACAAAAGGAATGATTAGTTTAATTCAATTAAAACTACAGGCAATTTAAGAATATCATGATGATCTGCAAAAGGACCATGTACCAGATATATCACCTTGTTTGCACTCTTTCCCCTGTCCTCACCTAGTACATTACCAAATCCTAGCCATTCTTCCTATATATTGAATAAAGTATTTTTAAGACATATTTTTAGTCCATCTATTTTTCTGATTCCACCAGGAAACAAGCCATAGTCATCTCTTTCTTGGACTGTGGTAACAGCCTCATAATTACTTTCCCCGCTTTCTCTTTTGCTCATCTCCAAGCAGTTCTTTCCAATTCAGTCAGAATTATCTTTAAAATGTGTAAATCTCAACATATAAGCATCTCATTTAAAACCCTTCTATTGTTTCCCATCATATTTAGTGAGGAATGAAGAATTTTGGCTCTACGACCAGACCACTTGAGTTTGAATTCTATCTGTGCTATTTTACCAGTGACTGGGGGCAAGTCACTTAACCTCTCTGTTCTTCGCTTTTCTTATCTTGAAAATGAGAATAATAATACCCACCTACCAGGGTTTTTGTGAGGATTGAATGTGATGATACAAATAAAGCACTTAGAGGTCAGGTTTGGTGGCTCACGCCTGTAATCTCAGCACTTCGAGAGGCTGAAGTGGGATAATCCCTTGAGCCCAGGAGTCCAGGACCATCCTGGGCAACATAGTGAGACCCCATCTGTACTACAAAAAAAAAAAATTAAAAACCAAGTAAAGCACTTAGAACAATTTCTGACACTCTTATAATCTTATTACTCTAAACATGAAAACACCTACCAGTGATATAAGATCTTATATGACTTGACAGTTGTCCACCTCTCAGAACTCATCTGTGCCCCTCTTCCCCTCACTACACTGCAGTCACACTGGCCTTTTTGTTCTTTTTGCCCAAATTCACATAGCACATTCCCATGTCAGAAAATTTGCTCATACTCTTCTTTCTGCCTAAATACTCTCTCCCCACACTTCACCTGCCTGGCTCCTAGTCATCTTACTGGCTTCATCTTGAAAGTTACTTCCCACAAATAGGCTTTTTCTGACCATCTAATCTAAAGTGGGTCATTGCACCTATTTCATTTCCTCCTTGAATATATTTACATTTTTATTTGCAAGCTTATGTGTTTAATGTCTGTCTCCTTTACTAGACTGTAGTATCAACTGAGGTAAAAAAACAAAACAAAACATGTTTTTAATTGTATTCTTAGAACTTTGAAAATTATCTGATACAAGGCGTTTTCTCAATAAATATTGGCTGAAATAGAAAGACATACTTAAAAGAAATAAATATACTACCGTTTATACAAGCCAGAGAGGTGGTATACTCCAGAAAAATAATCTAAAATGTACAAGTTAATTCTTTTGTTATCAGAATTGGTCAGATCCTAATTAAATATCAGAGCCATAACAAACAACTGTGGCATCTGAGGCAGGCAGCAACAAATTCAACCATAACTCTACAGAAAAATGTACTATGAGAAAAAAAAAGTAGAGGACAAAAAAAAAAAAAAAAAGAAATCAAAGAAACCCTAGAACATTAGCCTTTCTGCCCTTGACACAGGGTGTCTGGCCTTTTCATCATTACTGGCTGCCACGAAGTCTGGCTTAGGGCCAGAGACAAGCTCACCACTGTGCTAGTGCAACTAGAGAATCCTGATTGAGGGAAAGGTGATGTTTCTTGAGGCAATAAACCTAGTATGTACATTTACTTTTTAAAAAAATAGGTGATTTTTAAAGCAGTTTTAAGTTTATAGGAGGAAAAAAACAGAAAGTACACAGTTCCCATACCTCCTTACTCTCTTGTCAGTTTTCCCTATTATTTACATTTTGCACTGGTATGGGCCATCTGTTACAGTTGGTGGGCCAATATTGATTGTACATAGTTCCAGTGTGTGTATCAATGTTTATATTTTAAATTGTGGTAAAATATAGATAAAATTTATAATTTTAACCAGTTTTAAGTGTACAGTTCAGTGACATGAAGTACATTCACATAATTGTGCAGCCACTACTACCAACCATCTCCAGAATTTTTTCATCTTACAAAACTGAAACTCTGCACTCATTAAATAATAACTCCCTTTTCCCCACAAACACCATTCTACTTCTGTGTCTATGAATTTGACTACTTTAAGTTCCTCAAATATGTAGATTCATGCAATGCTTGTCTTTTGTGATTGTCTTATTTCACTTAGCATAATGTCTTCAAGGTTCATCTATGTTGTAACATGTATCAGAATTTCCTTTGTTTATATAGCTGAATAATACTCCATTGTATGTAAATACCACATTTTGTTTATACATTCATTCACTAATGGACATGTGGTTTGCTTCCACGTCTTGGCTATTGTGAATAATGCTGCTATGAACATATGCGTGTACAAATATCTGTTTGAGTCCTTGCTTTCAATTGTTTTGGGTATATACCCAGAAGTGGAATTGCTGGATCATATGCTATTTCTATTTTTAATTTTTTGAGGAATAGTCATACCGTTTTCCATAGTGGCTGCATCATTTTACATTTCTAAGAGCAGTGCACAAGGGTTTAAATTTCTCCACATCCTTGCAATCCTCATTTATTATTCTCTGTTTTTAAAAACATATATATATGATATATATCATATATATGATATATATGATATATATATGATATATATCATATATATGATATATATGATATATATATGATATATATCATATATATGATATATATGATATATATATGATATATATGATATATATATGATATATATGATATATATATACGATATATATGATATATATATACGATATATATGATATATATGATATATATGATATATATATGATATATATGATATATATATGATATATATGATATATATGATATATATGATATATATATGATATATATGATATATATATGATATATATGATATATATGATATATATATGATATATATGATATATGATATATATGATACATATATGATATATATATGATATATATGATATATATATGATATATATGATATATATATGATATATATGATATATATGATACATATATGATATATATGAGATATATGATATATATATGATATATATGATATATATGAGATATATATGATATATATATGATATATATGAGATATATATGATATATATATGATATATATATGATATATATGATATATATATGATATATATGATATATATGATATATATATGATATATATAAATCATATATATATCTCATATATATATGCCATCCTAGTGGGTGTGAAGTGGTACCTCACTATGATTTTGATTTGCATTTGCTTAGTGATTAGTGATGCTGAAAATTTTTTCATGTGTTTATTGGTTATTTGTATATTTGCTTTGGAGAAATGTCTATTCAAGTCCTTTGCCCATTTTAAAATCTGGTTGTTAGCGTTTCTGTTTTTGAGATACAGGAGTTCTTAATATTTATTCTGGATATGAACCTCTTATCAGATATATGATTTTCAAATACTTTCCCCAAGTGTGTGGGTTGACTTTTGCTCTTGTGATAGTGTCATTCATGCACAAAAGTTTTAATTTGATATAATTCAATTTCTCTTTTTTCTTTTTCTTCTGCTGCCTGTGCTTTTGGTGTCATGTCCAAGAAATCACTGTCAAATCCAATGTCATGAAGTTTTCCAACTATGTTTTAAGAATTTTATAGTTTTAGCTCCTATGTTTAGGTCTTTGATTCATTCTGAGTTAATTTTTTATATGATGTAAGGTAAGAGTCCAATTTTATTCTTTTGTATAATTATACATATTTTTAAAAAAAAACATTTCTAGCCCTATGTACTTTAATGCCCTTAAGCAACATGTTTCGTTTTTGTGTTTGTTTTTGTTTTGACACAAGGTATCATTCTGTTGCCCAGGCTGGACTGTGCTGGTGCAATCGCGGCTCACTGTAGCCTCAACTTCCCAAGTTCAAGTGATCCTCCCACTTCAGCCTTCGAATAGCTGGGACCATAGGTGCCCAACACCACACCCCAAGCCTGGCTAATTTCTTGCATTTTTAAAGGAGACAGGGTTTCACCATGTTGCCCAGGCTGGTCTAGAAACCCTAGGCTCAGGCGATGCATCTGCCTTGGCCTCCCAAACTGCTGGGATGACAGACTTAAGCAACTTTTTGATAACCCTGCCTAAGTTACAGCTCTGCAACTGAGATTTATTTCCAAACAACCTAACTTTGAAAATGAAGAGAGCCATGAGCAAACACAAATGATACGTAGTTTGATAGGTGGTAACTTGAAGGAAAAGTTCTAACAATTGGAGTTTTCAAAAGCAGAAGAGAGAGTTTTGGCATTAATTTGGAATTTGATTTTACAAGGCTTTTTTCCATTTAGTTTTCCTTTTTTATTTTCTTGAAATTATTTTTCCTTTCAGAAATAAGTTTGCCAGGAAACCACCTCCCCTCCCACCACACCAGGCAGGCCACAGCCGTCTTTTTTTAAACCTCCCTGATTTTCCCTCACACCCCCAAACAGGAACTCCCCAGGGTGGCCTTCAGAAGCCTGGAGTTTCTTTCTGTCTGGCAGGACACCCTGGTGGCGGTGAAGGCCCCTCTGCCACGACAGAGGTTTCTGATTGTGGGACACATTCTGGTTTTTGTTTTCTTCCAGTCTTCTAATTTAAAAAGACATTCCTGGGTGACAGGCACAGTGCAGAAGCATGAGCTATCAAAAGAACCTGGTGAGGTCTCACAAGGCCCAGCAAACTTGGTTACATTCCTCAGCACTAGTGACTTGCTTGTGGAAGTCTGTAAGTTGTTTGTAAGTCACGGTGACGGCTCCCATGGTTGTCTCCTTTGGCAAACCCTTTAAGGAATTCTCTAACTATTGACACTGTTCTTAGATCGCCTTGCAGTGATATTTAGCCATACCAATTCCACTGTGGAAAACAGACAGACTCATAGGTGCCAAAAAGTCATACGGGAAATATGACCAATTTTATGCGAGACACTAAATAAGCACCGAGTTCATAATCAGATTGCAGAGCATTGTTGCAGGTGCCTGCGCTTTGCTGTTCGCTGTGTAGGCAAAGGATCTGCCATGCTGCTGTAACCACTAGAATGATGAATGTGTGCCATGTACATCAGCATTCTTGTTTCCTATACCTTGGCATTATCCTCGTAGATGAGTATGGCATGGAAGAAGGCTGTGGGCAGGGACCACTAGACATGTGCAGGCACTGTGCATCCCCACCTTTCAGCTCCTAGAACAGCAGAATGGTCTCCATAATCACTCTGACACTGTAGACGACCTGTTCAGGCTATCCACCAGGTTTATTCAGCGTAGCCCTGTCACCTTGCTGAGAAGCCAAGTAGTCATCCCTATCTTACAGTGGGCCATTGCTTCTACTAACGTGGACCACTGGGATGCCAATTGTAACGTCGTGAGGCTCCTATAAGAGCTCATTGTTGCAGGGGTAGCCAATGATCATGAAGACTTTGATTTACGGAAAGAACCAATGGAAAGAAGATTAACCAGCCTGGATAGCAGTTTGTCAGCCAGCTGCCTCACACATGCTGCTTTTGTCTTCCCACCCCATACTCACATGGGGTCGAAGTGTTCTGGGAGATCATGCAGGTGGACAGACTGACGTTTTGGTGATGGTTATAGAATTCCTTAAAAGGCTTTTTAAAAAGCATTCAATTGAACTGACAATAAGACTTTCGCTATACAGAAAAAAAATATATTATATATATTATATATTTATATATTATATATATAACAAACAAAATATTATATATTTTGTTTGTTTGTTTTTTGTTTTTTTAAGATGGAGTTTTGCTCTGTTGCCCAGGCTGGAGTGCAATAGCATTACCTTGGCTCACTGCAACCTCCACCTCCCAGGTTCAAGTGATTCTCCTGCCTCAACCTCCCGAGTAGCTGGGATTACAGGCATGCGCCACCATGCCTGGCTAATTTTGTATTTTTAGTAGAGACGGGGTTTCTCCATGTTGGTAAGGCTGGTATCGAACTCCCGACCTCAGGTGATCCACCCACCTCAGTCTCCCAAAGTACTAGGTTACAGGCGTGAGCCACCGCGCCCGGCGGAAGAACAATTTATGTGTTAAATGTGGCTGGGCTGCACCTTGTGGAGCGTGGGAGTGGCTGTGCAGGCGCCAGCCGCCAACCATCTCAGAATGCGTTCATTGCCTGAGCCTGGATGCCAGCATACCTGCGGCGCGGCACTCGGGGCTTGCGAGGAGACTGGCAAGCACAGACGCCACGTCCTATATCTCCCGCAACACGGTCGCCATTTTTGGTCGCCATTTTTGGTCGCCATTCTGTTGGTACTAAGGTGTTGTGGTTGGTAGAAGCTTAAGTGAGAGCATCGCGAGTAGTGTGGTCGCAGCCATGTCATTGTCACCGCTGCGGGTGGCGGTGGTGTGCTGGAATAACCAGAACCAGAGCATGGAGGCACACAGAGTCCTCAACAAACGAGGATTCAGTGTCCAGTCCTTTGGAATAACACCTCATGTGAAGCTTCCAGGACCAGCGCCTAACAAGCCAAATATTTATGATTTCAAAACCACATATGATGAAATGTACAATGATCTTATCACGAAAGACGAAGAATTCTATACACAGAATGGCGTTCTGTATATGTTAGACAGAAATAAGAGAATCAAGCTCCGGCCAGAAAGGTTCCAGGATTGCAAAGATGTGTTTGATCTGATCATCACTTGTGAAGAGAGCATTTATGACCAGGTGGTGGAAGATCTAAATTCCAGAGAACAGGAGACCTGCCGACCAGTGCATGTGGTGAACATGGACATCCAGGACAACCAGGAAGATGCCATCATAGGGGCGTTTCTCATCTGCGAGCTCTGCCAGTGTATCCAGCGCTCAGAGGATATGGAGAATGAGATTGATCAGCTGCTGCAGAAGTTGGAGAAGAAGAGAGGCCAGGCCTTCCTGCACACGGTCTGCTTCTACTAATGGTCCTGGCCTGGAGCCCGCTGCTGTTACTGCCACTTGCTGCTGCTGCCACCACCACCATGGCCAATTTCGCCACTGCTGCTGTCGTGGCTGCCTCCCTTGCCACTGCAGCCCTCCAGAAGCCATCGTGTTGAACTTACTTCTGTTAACACTTTTTACTTCCTGATATTTGTTAATAATTTTAGGTATTTGGTTGATGATTCTTTACCCAAAGGAATTGTACTTGTAAAATGAGAGGAGATACATAAATTCCAAGTTTCTTTTATCCCACATTTACTTATGAGTAGCATATTAATGATAAATTGCTGTTGTTGTTGATTTCCTTTAACCAAGGAGTTTGAGAAGAGCTGCCAGACCTTCACGCACAGGCCCCCTCACCCAATTTTTGAGTTGTTTGCTGTCTTTTTTTTTTTTGGAGACACAGTCTCACTTTGTCACCCAGGCTGGAGTGCAGGGGATGGGGGAGGGATAGCATTAGGAGATATACCTAATGCTAAATGATGAGTTAATGGGTGCAGTACACCAATATGGCACATGTATACATATGTAACAAACCTGCACATTGTGCACATGTACCCTAAAACTTAAAGTATAATAAAATAAAATAAAATAAAACAAAATAAAAACTCAGCTCACTGCGGCCTCGACCTCTGGGCCTGAAGGGATCTTCCCATCTCAACCCCCAAAGTAGCTGGGACTACAGGTGCACACCACCATGCTAAGCTAATTTGTTGCATTTTTGGGATAGAGACGGGTCCTGAACTTTTGGCCTCAAGTGATCCTTCCACCTCAGCCTCCCAAAGTGCTGGGATTACAGGTGTGAGCCACCATGCCTGGTCTGCTTTCTTATAGTTGTATTTTAAGAGGTCTTTATATATTTTGGATAACAGTCCTTTATCAGATATGTGTTCTGCAAATATTTTCAACCAGGCTGTCACTTATATTTTCATTTCCTTGATAGAGTCTATAGCAGAGAACAGGTTTTTAATTTTAATACAATCAAAATTTCCAATTGTTTCACTTGTGTCTTGCTTTTGGTGTTGTATCTAAAAGCCACTGCCAAACCAAGGTCATCTAGACGTTCTTATATGTTAACTAGAATACCATTCTTAATAACCTTTGTATTTTTGTATGTGATTTATACTTTCTATTATTTTCTAAAGAAAATGCTTTGGTACTTATCTGGAGATTGAATTGAGAGTATATGTGAGTTGTTGCCTTATAGAATACATTACTTTGAAATTCAGTTATATATAAAGGCATGACATATGGGTAAAATCATATAACTACAAATATATTTGTAGGTCTATAATGACATATAACTGTACCTGTTTATAGCACAATAGACATATAGTTTTACAAGGTGATCAAATATTTTAGAACCAATTATCAATAAAAACTTTAAAATTATCTATCCTATTCCAAGATATATAGGTCCAGCATATTCATAACACTTATATAGAGACACAGAATATGAAATAAGCATATAAGGTAGCTATAAAACAATTGTTGGAATTATGTCAAAGAAGCAAAGTTATTAAATACATCTTAGTTTTATTGCTTTCACTTTTATCCAAACTAAAATTTGCTAACACCTTTGGCTTAGTAGGAAAAAATAATCTTTTGGGTGTGACTGTGACTGTGATGGTTAATACTGAGAGTCAACTTGATTGGATTCAAGGATACAAAGTATTCATCCTGGGTGTGTTTGTGAGCGTGTTGCCAAAGGAGATTAACATTTGAGTCAGTGGGCTGGGAAAGGCAGACCCACTCTTAAGCTGAGTGGGCACAATCTCATCAGCTGCCAGCATGGCTAGAATATTAGCAGGCAGAAAAATGTGAAAAGAGAGACCGGCCTAGCCTCCCAGCCTACATCTCTCTCTCCCATGCTGGATGCTTCCTGTCCTCCAACACTGGACTCCAAGCTCTTCAGTTTTGGAACTCGGATTGGCTCTCCTTGCTCCTCAACCTGCAGACGTCCTATTTTGGGACCTCGTGATCATGTGAGTTAATACTTAACAAGCTCCCACATATATACATATTCCATTCTTTCTGTTCCTCTAGAGAACCGTGACTAATACAGAGACTAAAGTGTCTCTGGCAAATGTCACTGCATTGATTGCCTGAATTGATACATGTTACATAAAAGATTTTCAGAATCTATGTTGCTATTTGGAAGCCTGGACTAATATTCTTTCTCATTCCAAAATGTGTTAGGCATGTTTGAAAAAAAAATATTTGATTAGTCAGGGACAGTATTCTACCCTAGGTATAAAATGTGTTCTACTAGAATTTCCAAACCAACTTTAAAAATACCATTTGTGTGTCTCTTTCTGGCAGCCCCTTATATCTGAAAATAAGGGATAAGCCAGATGTAAACTGACTACAGATCGATTGCTACTTTAGTAGTGTACATTGATGCTACATTTTTGTCTTATAAATCTCTCAAATTTTTTTTTGTTTTGATTAACCTTTTTTATTATATTTTAAGTTCTAGGGTACATGTGCACAATGTGCAGGTTAGTTACATATGTATACATGTGCCATGCTGGTGTGCTGCACCCATTAACTCGTCATTTACATTAGGTATATCTCCTAATGCTATGCCTCCCCCCTTCCCCCACCCCACAACAGGCCCAGGTGTGTGATGTTCCCCTTCCTGTGTCCAAGTGTTCTCATTGTTCAATTCCCATCTATGAGTGAGAACATGCGGTGTTTGGTTTTTTGTCCTTGAGATAGTTTGCTGAGAATGATGGTTTCCAGCTTCATCCATGTCCCTACAAAGGACATGAACTCATCATTTTTATGGCTGCCCATGGTGTATATGTGCCACATTTTCTTAATCCAGTCTATCATTGTTGGACATTTGGGTTGGTTCCAAGTCTTTGCTATTGTGAATAGTGCCACAATAAACATACGTGTGCATGTGTCTTTATAGCAGCATGATTTATATTCCTTTGGGTATATACCCAGTAATGGGATGGCTGGGTCGAATGGTATTTCTAGTTCTAGATCCTTGAGGAATCGCCACACTGTCTTCCACAATGGTTGAACTAGGTTACAGTCCCACCAACAGTGTAAAAGTGTTCCTATTTCTCCACATCCTCTCCAGCACCTGTTGTTTCCTGACTTTTTAATGATTGCCATTCTAACTGGTGTGAGATGGTATCTCATTGTGGTTTTGATTTGCATTTCTCTGATGGCCAGTGATGATGAGCATTTTTTCATGTGTCTTTTGGCTGCATAAATGTCTTCTTTTGAGAAGTGTCTGTTCATATCCCTCACCCACTTTGTGATGGGGTTGTTTTTTTCTTGTAAATTTGTTTGAGTTCATTGTAGATTCTGGATATTAGCCCTTTGTCAGAAGAGTAGATTGCAAAAATTTTCTCCCATTTTGTAGGTTGCCTGTTCACTCTGATGGTAGTTTCTTTTGCTGTGCAGAAGCTCCTTAGTTTAATTAGGTCCCATTTGTCAATTTTGGCTTTTGTTGCCATTGCTTTTGGTGTTTTAGACATGAAGTCCGTGCCCATGCCTGTGTCCTGAATGGTATTGCCTGGGTTTTCTTCTAGGGTTTTTATGGTTTTAGGTCTAACATTTAAGTCTTTAAAGTCTTTATTCCATCTTGAATTAATTTTTGTATAAGGTGTAAGGAAGGGATCCAGTTTCAGCTTTCTACATATGGCTAGCCAGTTTTCCCAGCACCATTTATTAAATAGGGAATCCTTTCCCCATTGCTTGTTTTTGTCAAAGATCAGATGGTTGTAGATGTGTGGTATCATTTCTGAGGGCTCTGTTCTGTTCCATTGGTCTATATCTCTGTTTTGGTACCAGTACCATGCTGTTTTGGTTACTGTAGCCTGGTAGTTTAGTTTGAAGTGAAGTAGCATGATGCTTCCAGCTTTGTTCTTTTGGCTTAGGATTGTCTTGGAAATGCGGACTCTTTTTTGGTTCCATATGAACTTTAAAGTAGTTTTTTCCAATTCTGTGAAGAAAGGCATTGGTAGCTTGATGGGGATGGCATTGAATCTATACATCACCTTGAGCAGTATAGCCATTTTCACGATATTGATTCTTCCTATCCATGAGCGTGGAATGTTCTTCCATTTGTTTGTGTCCTCTTTTATTTCATTGAGCGGTGGTTTGTAGTTCTCCTTGAAGAGGTCCTTCACATTCCTTGTAAGTTGGATTCCTAGGTATTTTATTCTCTTCGAAGCAATCGTGAATGGGAGTTCACTCATGATTTGGCTCTCTGTTTATCTGTTATTGGTGTATAAGAATGCCTGTGACTTTTGCACATTGATTTTGTATCCACTCCTCAGCAAATGTAAAAGAACAGAAATTATAACAAACTGTCTCTCAGACCACAGTGCAATCAAACTAGAACGCAGGATTAAGAAACTCACTCAAAACCACACAACTACATGGAAACTGAACAACCTGCTCCTGAATGACTACTGGGAACATAACGAAATGAAGGCAGAAATAAAGATGTTCTTTGAAACCAATGAGAACAAAGACACAACATACCAGAATCTCTGGAACACATTTAAAGCCGTGTGTAGAAGGAAATTTATAGCACTAAATGCCCACAAGAGAAAGCAGGAAAGATCTAAAATTGACACCCTAACATCACAATTAAAAGAACTAGAGAAGCAAGAGCAAACACATTCAAAAGCTAGCAGAAGGCAAGAAATAACTAAGATCAGAGAGGAAATGAAGGAGATAGAGACACAAAAAATTCTTCAAAAAATCAATGAATCCAGGAGCTGGTTTTTTGAAAAGATCAACAAAATTGAGAAAACCGGCTAGCCATATGTAGAAAGCTGAAACTGGATCCCTTCCTTACACCTTATACAAAAATTAATTCAAGATGGATTAAAGACTTAAAGGTTAGACCTAAAACCATAAAAACCCTAGAAGAAAACCTAGGCATTACCATTCAGGACATAGGCATGGGCAAGGACTTCATGTCTAAAACACCAAAAGCAATGGCAACAAAAGCCCAAATTGACAAATGGGATCTAATTAAACTCAAGAGCTTCTGCACAGCAAAAGAAACTACCATCAGAGTGAACAGGCAACCTACAAAATGGGAGAAAATTTTCGCAACCTACTCATCTGACAAAGGGCTAATAACCAGAATCTACAATGAACTCAAACAAATTTACAAGAAAAAAACAAACAACCCCATCAAAAAGTGGGAAAATGACATGAACAGACACTTCTCAAAAGAAGACATTTATGCAGCCAAAAGACACATGAAAAAATGCTCATCATCACTGGCCATCAGAGAAATGCAAATCAAAACCACAATGAGATACCATCTCACACCAGTTAGAATGGCAATCATTAAAAAGTCAGGAAACAACAGGTGCTGGAGAGGATATGGAGAAATAGGAACACTTTTACACTGTTGGTGGGACTGTAAACTAGTTCAACCATTGTGGAAGTCAGTGTGGCAATTCCTCAAGGATCTAGAACTAGAAATACCATTTGACCCAGCCATCCCATTACTGGGTATATACCCAAAGGACTATAAATCATGCTGCTATAAAGACACATGCACACGTATGTTTATTGTGGCACTATTCACAATAGCAAAGACTTGGAACCAACCCAAATGTCCAACGATGATTGACTGGACTAAGAAAATGTGGCA
Organism: Homo sapiens; assembly: GCF_000001405.40. Lineage (NCBI taxonomy): Eukaryota > Metazoa > Chordata > Mammalia > Primates > Hominidae > Homo > Homo sapiens. The sequence continues at coordinate 114,396,918 of NC_000023.11, forward strand.
CATATACACCATGGAATACTATGTAGACATAAAAAATGATGAATTCGTGTCCTTTGCAGGGACATGGATGAAATTGGAAATCATCATTCTCAGTAAACTATCTCAAGGACAAAAAACCAAACACCGCATGTTCTCACTCATAGATGGGAATTGAACAATGAGAACACATGGACACAGGAAGGGGAACATCACACTCTGGGGACTGTTGTGGGGTGGGGGGAGGGGGGAGGGATAGCATTAGGAGATATACCTAATGCTAGATGACCAGTTAATGGGTGCAGCACACCAGCATGGCACATGTATACATATGTAACTAACCTGCACATTGTGCACATGTACCCTAAAACTTAAAGTATAATTAAAAAAAACCACCAAAATTGATAGACTGCTAGCAAGACTAATAAAGAAGAAAAGAGAGAAGAATCAAATAGATGCAATAAAAAATGATAAAGGGGATATCACCACCAATCCCACAGAAATTCAAACTACCATCAGAGAATACTATAAACACCTCTATGCAAATAAACTTGAAAATTTAGAAGAAATGGATAAATTCCTGGATACATACACCCTCCCAAGACTAAACCAGGAAGAAGTTGAATCTCTGAAGACCAATAACAGGCTCTGATATTGAGGCAATAATTAATAGCCTACCAACCAAAAAGAAGTCCAGGACCAGACGAATTCACAGCCGAATTCTACAAGAGGTACAAGGAGGAGCTGGTACCATTCCTTCTGAAACTATTCCAATCAATAGAAAAACAGGGACTCCTCCCTAACTCATTTTATGAGGCCAGCATCATCCTGATACCAATGCCTGGCAGAGACACAACAAAAAAAGAGAATTTTAGACCAATATCCTTGATGAACATTGATGCAAAAATCCTCAATAAAATCCTGGCAAACTGAATCCAGCAGCACATCAAAAAGCTTATCCACCATGATCAAGTGGGCTTCATCCCTGGGATGCAAGGCTGGTTCAACATACGCAAATCAATAAACGTAATCCAGCATATAAACAGAACCAAGGACAAAAAACACATGATTATCTCAATAGATGCAGAAAAGGCCTTTGACAAAATTCAACAGCCCTTCATGCTAAAAACTCTCAATAAATTAGGTATTGATGGGACGTATCTCAAAATAATAAGAGCTATTTATGATAACAAACCTACAGCCAATCTCATACTGAATGGGCAAAAACTGGAACCATTCCTTTTGAAAACTGGCACAAGACAGGGATGCCCTCTCTCACCCCTCCTATTCAACATAGTGTTGGAAGTTCTGGCCAGGGCAATCAGGCAGGAGAAAGAAATAAAGGATATTCAATTAGGAAAAGAGGAAGTCAGATTGTCCCTCTTTGCAGATGACATGATTGTATATTTAGAAAACCCATCGTCTCAGCCCAAAATCTCCTTAAGCAGACGAGCAACTTCAGCAAAGTTGCAAATCTCTTAATTGAAAAATGATTTATATTTCTGCCTAAGGTGTCTTTCCCCCTGTCTAATTTTTGTTAAACTTGACAAACTGTCCCCTTCTCAAGATCTGGTTCTAATGTCATTTCTGTGATGGCTTCCTTGACAACCACAACCTAAAGATCACCCTGTCTCTGGGATGTCATAGGACTTTGATTATGCATGATTTCTTCACTTTTGGCAGTGTATTCTAGTTGGTTATATCCTCATGTACTTTCTTGCTTGGCTTTAAGCTCCTGAAAGGCCAGGGCTATGTCTCATATCTAGACAAGAGCCAGCCCATTGGAGGAGCGTAATAAATATTTATTGCATAAAATAATGAATTACAGCAGTTAGAACATTAATAATCAAATATATGTAGTATTGTGAGCTGTTGAGGAGACTATTTGAAGGTTTGTCTCTGGATGAACTCAACCAGCCAGAACATAGCCCTTAAATATCTGAAAAATACTTTCAAGTTCCTAAAAGGTAATTACAAAGCCTTGGACTTTGAGGCCTGTAATTACAATTCCAAGATTTACAATTCCAATTATAGTAGCCTTTCTTCAATATTTTATTGACTTTTAACCAGCAGAAAATTCTTAAGTTTATTTATCTAGTCTCCCTTGTCATAGAAGAGGAAAAAAAATCAGAAATCTGGAGACTTGAAGACAAATTCTCATCAGTAACAGTAACATTCTAAAAGTGGAAGAAGGTCTGGTGTGGTGGCTCATGCTTGAAATTCCAACACATTGGGAGACCAAGGTTGGAGGATTGCTTGAGTCCAGGAGTTCAAAACCAGCCTGGGCAACATAGGGAGATACCATCTTTACAAAAAATAAAAATTAGCCAGGCATGGTGGTTTGTGCCTGTAGTCACAGCTTCTCAGGAGACTGAGAAGGGAAGATCATTGAGCCCAGGAGGTTGAGGCTACAGTGAGCTATGGTTGCACCACTGCACTTCAGCCTGTGTGACAGGACAAGATTCCGTCTCAATAAATAAATAAATAAATAATGGGAAAAGACACAAAACAAAAACCCGTCTTCAAACTGGATTATGACACTCTTGAATGTTGGATATTTGTAATTATTAACCCACGTTAAGGCAATTTATGTTCAATGTCATTTATTTGGGAAGGCAGGGAAGCATACAGATTTTAGGTATATAAAAGATTTTAGATAGATTAACCATAAAAAGTTACATTTTTAAAATAGTGTTGGTGTTTTAATGATAAGTTGCCTTGAAATGTATTTCATGCGGAAAATTTCATTCTTAAAAGACAGTGGATATCATTATACTATTCAGCTCTTGTTATATCCAGGCCATAAGATCCTATTTGAAAGAGAAAACACATATGTTACCTTCCTAAGGATATAGGGAGAAAGAGAAGTAGGCTGTCAACGTATTGCCACAAGTCAAGGCAGAAAAGTGTTCTGCCAAAGAATGTGGTATGAGAAATTAAACCACTGACAATGCCTCTCATGAGGATAGGTGTTGGAAAATACCAAAGACAAAAGGACTACATAAATGCATCCCCCTTTTTTACAGATGAAATAAGTAAATGTTCTTAGAATATAACTTAAAAATTGTTATCAACCTGCTGGTAATGAAAACTGTTGTGCACTGACATCAAATTATACATTATTATACTAGATATATTTTACAGTACCTCCCCACCCATACCCCTGTTGAAGGTAAACTGCCTTACTCAGAGAACTGTACAGGGATGGTGACCATGTTTTATCCATAACCATTTCTCCTTGCAGTTGATTGGGCTAAGACTTTGAACTTGACCCAAATGTGGCCCATTTGTAGGTTTGCCAGTGGTCCATGTGGTCTGACAGTAAAAGAGGAACAAGTACAGTTAGATTTCTTTCTTAAAAATTTTGAACTGGGCCATCATGAAGTTGAAGCAATTACTAGCATGGGTTGAAGCTGAGAGAATGCCATGAAGGAGCATAAGGGACTAAGCGATCTAAAACATGGCAAGATGCATCTATGTGCAAGACAAAGATATGAGGAATAGAAATGTTGTGATTCTGTAAATTATGCAATACAACTGGTCAATGAAGTGGGCAAAATGAAGCCAATTACCAAATATCACCTTTTAGAAAGAATTTAAGTGCTATTATAACCAATCAACAATGTCTTATATAATGAATACATTTCCCTGATACTCGACTATAAATCCAGAGGTTAGTTTCTGAGGTTGATCATTGGCTCTGCAATGTCATAAAAAAATGCAGGCCTATTTTATCTTCTAACTCCATCATTCTCATAAATAATTTCCATCCTTAGGCCTGTTGTCTCATATTTGGAAGATGTTTGCTGCACCTCCAGGCTTCATATATATATAATGGTACCCAAGGAAGGGAGGGAGAAAGGAGGAGAAACAAACTGAAATTTCCCATTTCCCTCTCTTATCAAGGGTGAAAGTCATTCTCAGAAGCCCACAGCGAGTTTCTCCATTCCTCTTGGTCAGAATATAGTATAATGTGCATTTCCAGTTCTACCACTGCCTAAGAGGAATGAGAGGGCCATGATTGACTTAGACCATAGTTTCTCTGGAAAAGTATGGTGCACACCTATTTTTGAAAATAATGATTTATTGGAACACTACTATGCACATTTATTTATATATTGTCTAGGGCTGTTTTTATGACACAACAGGTGAGTTGAATATAGTTGCAACAGAGACCATATGAGCCATAAAGCCTAAAATATTTATTACCTGGACCTTTATGTAAAGAGTTTGCCAACTTCTAACTTAAATCTATCATGATTCATCCACTGGAACTGAACACATTTTGCCATTTGAATAAAGTTGAACTCCTGTTAGCAGGCAAGATGAGGGAAATGGCTGTTGGGTAAAATATAACACCACCTCTGTGAAGGAATTGGTGAATGAATGAGAGAAAGAGTGAGAGTGAGCATGACAGAGGGAAAACATATGAGGATCAGAGCTTCTTTAGTTCCCAATAAGTTTTCAAATCACAGTTCCAGTAATGTTTTTTTGGGGGGGAGACATGCCAGAAATATAACATAATAGCAAGTTGAGTGTATTCGCTGGAACTAGAGTTAGTAACTCTGTTTAGATTGAAAATATGAGAAAATTGAGTTTTGCTTCATGACAATTTGGTATATATTTGTACAACTTTTATTCTCAGTATTTACAAAAGAATGCTGAGATAAATACTACTTACAGCTAATGCCCTGGGCCTTTCCGAACTCTTCCAATTATGAGACATAACCCCCACCTTTAACTTGAAATAGAAGATATACTTTGTTTTAAATAAAAATAGGAAATATACCATAATTATCTTTCCTATCAACTTTTGATGTTTCTACTTTCTAAAAAAATTAATGATGTGTCAATTATGCTACTATATTATACTTTAAGAATTAAATCTTTATGAAAGAAACATATAGTTTCATTTAAATTTGTTAACTGTAGTTCTTAGGTGAATTTGACTTCTTGCCTCTTCCTAGCAGCAAAACTGAAATATTTTATAACATTCCATCATACTTTCAGAGTAGATATTTTATGAAGATAGGTGCGTATATATAATTGAAAGAGACTAGAAAGGCCTATCTTCCCCAAAACACTTTTATTTTTTCAAAATGAACTAAAAATCCACAAATAGAGTTTCATTGTTTGGAGTCAGATAATTTTACTTCTAGACTCGGCACAAATACTTACTTACTGTTTGATCTTATTCAAGTTATTTAAGCTTTCCGGGTCTCATGTTCCTAATCAGCAATAGGGAAATAATAACATACCCTTCCTGCCTACTATACATATAATAAGTGATAGTTATGAAAGTACTGAGAATGATGATTTCCAATTTCATCCATGTCCCTACAAAGGACATGAACTCATCATTTTTTATGGCTGCATAGTATTCCATGGTGTATATGTGCCACATTTTCTTAATCCAGTCTATCATTGTTGGACATTTCGGTCCAAACACCGCATATTCTCACTCATAGGTGGGAATTGAACAATGAGATCACATGGACACAGGAAGGGGAATATCACACTCTGGGGACTGTTGTGGGGTAGGGGGAGGGGGGAGGGATAGCATCAGGAGATATACCTAATGCTAGATGACCAGTTAATGGGTGCAGCACACCAGCATGGCACATGTATACATATGTAACTAACCTGCACAATGTGCACATGTACCCTAAAACTTAAAGTATAATAAAAAAAAAGAAAAAATACAGATCAAAAAAAAGAAAAAGAAAGTACTTTTAAAATGCAATCAACATACAAATATAAGGACTTGACATTATGCTGCAAGTACATCTCAATGAGTGAATCACTATGTTAGCATACATAATTTACATATTTTAAGAAACTACCTTTTATTGCTTTTTTACTGGATATAAGCAGGGGAAGGGGCACAGGATGGGAAGAATTAGAAATCAGCAGTTTAAAATGTGAATTGTTTTTAACTATCTTCCAAATTCTGGGTGGGATAGTGAACTGGCATAGTCTAGTAACGCAAATAAGTTAGTTACTGCTAGTTTCCTAAAGGAAGAGAAACAGAAGCAAAAAATTCAAAAGGGAAATGGAAAGATACCAAAGAAAATTTTCATCATTTGTAATTATGCCCAAATCTAGTAGTGCTTTCAAAATCATAAGCATTTTAATTTAATTATATACATATTGAGTGTGTAAAGAACAAGCTAAGGATACATAAATGGGGAATCTGATATAGGGGAATATGTTGCATTTTGAAATAAGACAGGTGACAACAGTATGGGTAAATCCTGGAGGGAAAAGATCTTACATCAAAAACCAAATGTGAATGAAAGCATAGAGGGAGAAAGATAGAACATATTGTAAAATAGACAGTAGTTGACCAGTCTGGCTAGATTAAAGGGTATAGTAAGAGCATGTATAGTAATGTACAAGACTGGAGAGCTGAAAGCCAGATCAAGGCAGGTTTTGAAGGAATTGTTCCTACATGTATAGTCATATATGTATCATATGAACTATGTATCATCTACAGACACCTATAACATGATATACTACAAATCATGACAAAATAGAATGGTTGCTAATCCTTTGTGTACTAAATGTTCAATCACAGACTTTTGTCATCATTATGGCCAATATCAATTTTCCTTTCCCATTTCTACATTTAACTGTTTTTATTTAAATTTCTAAATATCTACAGTGAGTAGTTCACTTTTGAAAATTTCATAATATAATGTTTTCATCATCATACATGAGATAAGAGAGAAAAAAATGACAACTTCATGTTTTGTAAATTCCCTTAGTTATAAATGGACTGTGAGTTTTTTCATAGCAGATCTATATGAAATGATTTTCTGGTTGCTGTTGATTTCCAGGGTTGAGTCTTGGAAGTTGATGGGAGTCTGAGTGATCCTTCAGGGATTTCTATTGTGCAGGCAAGCATGGGCAGCCTTAGCAGTTTTATATAGAGGAACATTATCCTTCATTAAAATAAAGTAGAAAGATATTGCAAGTGTTTTTGCTGACATTTCCAGATGCACTGTATTTACTCTGTATCCCAGGGGCAAAATATATTAAAGAATCTTACTGCTAGAAAGCACTTGGAGAGTTCAAATAGTCCAGCCATCTTTTCCCAGGTGAGACAGAATCTAACTAGAGTTATCTATTCTACTATTAAATACTACAGGAGAAGGGAATACTGGTGCTGCTTTTGACCTCTATAAATAATGTAGCAGATTATTTTGATTGTTTCTGGAAAAGGCAGATAGGGTTCTCTTTTTACTTATTTGTTTTAAATGAGATTATTCTATTCAGCAATTTGCATCTCTTTTCAGGTTACTTCCATATATGCTATTCTACTTACTTTCTCTGAGGCTAACCAACGCCTTACAACAGCAATCTTCTAGCCCAATTCTGTGCCTTATGCTCCCAAACTCTTCCCCCTTTAGGATATTCTCACTCAGCATCCAATTCTTTTAGAGAAATATTGGTTACTAACATTAAGATGAGTGATAACAAGGTGACCAAACAAACAAATCCTGGCTCATGTGATGGCTACCTAACTTATTGCCTTTAATGTTTTTATCCTCTTAACGTGCAATTAAAGTTTCTAAAGAGTGACTAATGCTGACAATAATATTTTTAAAACATGTGGTGTAAAATTTTAGGTAATAAGACCTCTGCTTTTCAAATCATTCCACCTACTTTAGGTTGAGAAACTTAGAGGTGATTTCAGAAAGATAATATTCCCATATTAAACTATATAATTAACAAAAACAATACCATTTTCAAGGAAACTGTTCAGTTGAATATATCATGATGGCCTTTCCTAGAAATACTTATTCAATTGCATTCACTTAAAGAATGTTAACTTTTCCTTGATTTTAAAACAGTTTCAAATCTATTTTTAATGGATAATATCAAGAATAGTTTTTTAAAATCTCGTTATTTCCATATCATAATTTTATTGAAAAGATGGCATGAATTTGTGTGGATTAATAATAGTAGAGTATCATCTATGTTTCAGGATTTTATTAATTTGTTTTTGATGACTTCATGACCTCCAAATGGCATGTACTGGAAACTTAATCCCCAAGCAACAGTGTTGGGAGGTGGGGCTTAATGAGGGGTGTTTCATTCATGAGGGTTCCGTCTTTATAAATGGATTAATGTTGATTATAAAAGGGCTTGAGGCTGTGAGTTCAATCTCTTGTTCTCTCATGTGCACGTGCTCTCTTGCCTTTCTGCCTTTCAGTGTGAAATGACGCAGCAAGGAGGCCCTTGACAAATGCTGGCCCCTTGACCATTGACTTCCCAGCTTCTGGAACCATAAGAAATAAATCTCTGTTCTTTATAAATTACTCTTTCTTAGGTGTTCTGTTATAGCAGCACAAATTCGACGAAGACGTCATATTTGTTGAGTATGATTCAAAATAATTTCTTTAAATGATAACTAATTTGGAAATACTTCTCTTTGCTGGCACCAGCAGTTAAATTTACCCAGGAAATATTTTATTTTACTAGATATATGTTTGAAATATGACACTAAAAAATAGTTGAAATGTTGGCTTTTAAAGGAATTTCTGTTACCATTGTTACCATTGGAAGAGACTTTAAATATCACCTACTTCAGATATTCTTAAGTAAAATTCATGATGAGTCCCAGTCACCACCCCCCCATTATATGCTCTTCAACACCCTCAATTATATACAAAATTGTATATGTGTATGAATTATGCATTGTTTAAATAAGAGAAATCATAGTTGTTTTCCAAGATCACATAGCGAGCTACTGGAAGAGCCTATATTAGAACCAAGAAACCAGTCAAACTCCAATGCTCTATCATTAATACCTGCTGCCTCCAATTCACGCACTTTGTATTTTGCTCTATATTAAATTCATGGCTGTAATTTTAATTTCAATCTTCTGGAATGTATTGGAAGTCTCATGTACTGCTGGTGGGAGTATACATTTTTACAAACGTTTTGGAAAACTTTGGTGATATTTACTAAAATTGAACACACATATACTCAGAAATTCCACTTGTAAGTATAACCCAATATAAATGAATATATATGTTCACCAGAGGATATGTTCATGAATGATCATTGCAGGGCTTTTCATTATGGCCCCAAACCAGAAGCTATCCAAATACTCACCAATACTAGAATGAACAAATAAACCATTGTATAGTCACATAGCATAATACTATACTATACTATACTATACTATACTATACTATACTATACTATACTATACTATAGCAATGACAATGAATGCTTGCATACAATATTACTCCATACAATAATTACACACAATAATTACAATTATTGTAATACTACATGTCATACAATATTACTTCATACAATGATATTGATAGATCTCACAAACATAATTTGAGCAAAAAGAGTTCAACACAGAAGAATATGTACTGCATGTTTTTATTTACATGAAACACCCCCGATGAATAATGAATGGAAGCAGATATGGGAATATCTTCTGGGGTTCTAGTAATGCTCTAGTAATGCCCCGTTTATTAGCCTAGGTACTGATTACCCAGGTTTGTTCCACTGTTAATGTTCAGCAAGCTGTATACTTAGAATTTGTGTTCTTTACGCTATGTTATAATCCTTAAAATACACAAAATGTTTTTAGCAAATAGGACAATACTATCTGTTATGGTTTGGCTGTGTCCCCACCCAAATCTCATCTTGAATTGTAGCTCTCATAATCCTAATGTGTCGTGAGAGGGATCCAGTGGGAGGTAGTTGAATCATGCGGTTGGGTCTTTCCCATGATGTTCTTGTGATAGCAAATAAGTCTCACAAGATCTGATGGTTTTATAAAAGGGTAGTTCCCCTGCACATGCTCTCTTGCCTGCTGCCATGTAAGACTTGCCTTTGCTCCTTCTTTGCCTTCTGCCATGTTTGTGAGGCCTCCCTAGCCATGTGAAACTGTCAGTCCATTAAACCTCTTTTTCTTTATAAATTATCCAGTCTCGGATATGTCTTTATTAGCAGCCTAAGAACAGACTAATACACTATCATAGATATTATCATTTTTACAGATAATATTATCAGAGAAATGAATATAAACTAACATTTACTGAATACCTAATATGCATTGTGTAATAAGCTCTTCTCATGTGTAACATCTCAATTAATACTGACAAATAACCTCGTGAGAGAGGTATTATCCTGATTTTCAAACAGAATATGTGCTCAAGGCCATTCAGCTAATAACTTGTTTTATGAAAGACCCTAGTGATCTGATTACATGGTCTTTAGGAGAAAATAAGTCCCTTGAAAAGCTCAATGGACTGAAAAATATGAGTCTTGAGTCCTAACACTAGCCTTACTCACTCATTCATTTATCTGACAATATTTAACTAGCCACTATGTGTCTATATGCCAGGGATATACGTGTGTGTGTGTGTGTGTGTGTGTGTGTGTGTGTATCTCATGGAACTCAGTCTTCTTATCTGTAAAATACTAAAATGTAAGTGTTAAACTAAATGATTTCAGAGATCTCTTTTAACTTTAATATCAAGTTTACCATTTCCTTCACAGCAGCATTCCCTAAATAAGTTGACTTACGTAGGGCTCCAATTTGTTGGCTGTTAAAAATAATCTTAAAAAAAAGATGTATCATGGTCAAATTACCTTGAGAAATGTTGAGAAATTTGTTTCACTTCTCAAAGTGAAACAAATGTCTTTATTGGAGCATTTCTAGAAGCCTATAACATGCTCGAATTCACTGAATTATCAAGAGGGATGATAGAGTATGCACAATCTCTCTAATTTGACTATGTAACTATTGGCATCTCATGAAATACACTTCTCAAGAAAAAGTTCTTGGCGAAAAGTACTAAAGTTTGAGCCACAGAAAACGTATCTGGAAGTTAAGCTATTTATTTATTTATTTAGAGACAGAGTCTCACTCTGTCGCCCAGGCTGGAGTGCAGTGGCATGATCTCAGCTCACTGCAACCTCCGCCTCTTCAAGTCATTCTCTTGCCTCCTGCCTCATCTCCCGAGTAGCTGGGATCACAGGCACTCCCTGCTAATTTTTGTATTTTTAGTAGAGACGGTGTTTCGCCATGTTGGCCTCGAACTCCTGGCCTCAAAGGATCTGCCCGCCTAGGCCTCCCAAAGTGCTGGGATTACAGATGTGAGCCGCCATGCCCAGTTGTTAAGCTATTTCTTATTAATTGTTTTTTTGTGAGGTGATCACTAGTAAATACGTTATCTTTTGCAAATCAGTTTATAGCTCTTCTATATATTCACAGAGTAGAGATACACACACACACACACACACGAAAAACAATGCAAACATACCATTTTAGTTTTCCAGGTTGGCAGACTATTGGTTCTAATTGATTTGAAAACTTTTCAAGTTGCCAACTACCTAACCAGCAACCCACAAACATATGACGTTTACAAGTAAAAACATTATTTTGATTTATATGCCATTTACACCTTGTGTTTCCGACTGATCATGAAATATTTTGAGTTTTACTTCTTCACTACTTCGGAAACTATTATTAGGACTATTACTCTATGTATCCCAAGGGAAATCTTATAGAAATATCAAAGTGAGATAATTCCCTTAGTTTGTTTTCCTAGAGGAAATTATTCATAGTTCTAGAAATATAATGCAATAATGTTATGATTTACATTTTCAGGCAATTCATGAAAATTTAAACAGAGTACATTTTTAAATGTATTATTGGCTAGTAGTTGATTGAGGGAGTGGTACAGTCCTCTCTATCAAGAAATAAAGAGTAATAGGGAAAATATTAATTTCAATTAAAATATCATAGATGTAATAGCATATTTTAGTTGTAGAATGAAATATTAAAATATGCATTGAAGCTTGAAGCTAGTTATATTAAAAATAAAATTGATCGAAATAGTATTCGTTTATCTTTTAATAGCTCATACTCAGATAAAGATTATTAATAAAAATGAATTTTATTTCAAATGGTAGAAGAAAAGGAGGGTTGTGTTTTACACATAAAGACAAGTAAGAGCTACTTTTACATCTGGGTCATTCATGCAAATTTCCAAGACCAAAATAACCAAAAATAATTAAAACAGGCTTTGTGGTCATAAAATTAAAGTCTAAAATGTGGACCATCACTCACCATTTTAAAAGGCAAGCTTGCACCATCTCAAATTGCTATATCACTTCTTCATTCCACTGGTCACTCCAAGTTAGATTTTGCTCTGACAACCTAAATTTGCAGTCTTCCTCTGCAGTCATCTATCAACTTAAGGATTCAGACATCAGAATATTAAGATAGGACTTGTTTTTTTGTGAATTTTCTCTGATTTAAGTCAGTATGCCATCTTTAACAGAAACTTCATTACCATAACATTGATTACTCTGCAAATATTTAGTCCAAATATTTCTATTTGGCAGTTTTTGTGAATCTTCAGGTAGATTTTTTTTTCCTTTTAAATGATCTTTCTATTGTCAAGGTTTTTGAATAGTTAGAAATGAATTTTAAGTAATACTATAGGGTTATGTACCAGCTTGTGATGTGGTATTTACTGAATCCTTTTGCTAGTGATTCTTAAAATACATTTTATTCCTTACTGTCAACTTCACCGCTAGCTTTGCAACATTTAATTATCTCATGTAAATATTTTCTCGTTGGAATTACAATTGAAATTTTCTTTTCTTGTGGGGAGAATAATAAGTGTTGTTTAGATGCCCTGAAGTTTCATAGTCTGATCTGATTATGAAATGGAAAATGCCTTTATTTCCTTTATGAGCATGATGAAAACATTTTGAAAACTGGAAAAAAATGTAATTAAAATTGATCATTCAAGATATAATTGGATTCAAAGAACACTAGGAAAGCCCACCTATTGTTAATATAACATCAGGACGGTTCCCCAACTGATAAAGAAACATTTTGTATCCTTGTAACTAAAGTGATTTGCTGCATAGTTGGAAAGCAATATTTTTGTTTTGTTTTTGTTTTAACCAATATTTCGTTATCCAAATCCACCTTCTTCCCATGAGATGAGTCATGTAGCAATTTATGCCACTCAAAAGAACAGAGACAGAACTAATATTCTGCCTGAAAGCCACTGACTTAAGAGAATACCCATCCCTTGCTCTTTGGGATTTGAAGCAGGAATCACAACAGTTAATAAAAAAAAAAAAAACCCTTATAGGAATGAAGAATTTTTAAAGGAATTGACAAGAAAAGAAGAAATGTGAAATTATAATGGGTTGCAAAAACTTAATTTCCAGTCAATTGACTAGAAACGCATTTAGGCTTATTCTTTTTCTTTCTTCTATGTCTCAGGTCATTAGATAACTACCTATGGATGTAAAAGCACTGATAAAAAGTAAGTTGAGGATAGAAACACTTGGAGATAACTTGAAAACTCTGGATAGCATTTAAATCAGCAGGCCCTAATGATTGGTGACTAAGGATTCTAAAGGCAATGGTGCATGTTATTGCAAATCTCTTTGCTGCTATTTTGAGAAAGTTGCTCAGAACAGAAGTGCCAGAAGTCTGAAATAGAGCTCAATGTCCAATTTTACTAAAAGGATGATCTCGGAAAATTGTAGACCTGTTAGCATAACGTCAGTACCTAGGATCATAGTGGAAAAAGTCATTATACTATCAACTTGAAAATACCTATGGGGCACAAAATGCTGAATAATGAGCAAAATGGTTTCACAAAGAACAAATAACATCAGCACATTTCATTTCTCTCTCTACCAAAGTAATATCATTTATAGAGAGGGAGGAAAAATCATTACTTGCCTGCAAACACCATTTACGTTTTTCTATCTAACCAAGTCTTAATTTTCCCATGCTTTTTTCTCTAAGGCTAGTCTTTAGTTACTTATGGTGTTATTTTAGAAACTTTGGGGCAATTTTGCTCCTCTCCAAAACAATTAATATTTGGTTCTTTATTCCTTTAACTTAAGACTTTTTGACACTACCAACAAGCTCTGTGACTTTGAAAAAGTTACTAAACTTCTCTGAGTTTGTTTCCATATATTTAAAGCTGAAGTTCTGTTTTAGCTCTCTGGACCTATTACTGAAAATAAGTATTATATTCAAGATAACATTTCAAGTTGATTCATTAAGTATGAGAGGCTTAGTAAAGTATAAAGTTATACAAATACTGTGACACAAACACAAATAAGTGGAAGTAAAAATTTTGATGAAGATAATGAGGATGACATTACATCCATGCTAACATGGATGTAATTAGTGTCAGGCATTAATTAGAGTTTTTACATATTAACATTAAAAAGACAAAAGACAAAGAAAATTACTTAAGTGTAAAGAATGTGCAGTCTACAGGATTTACGGATATAATGATTGAACCTAATGACAGAAGTAAGCAAAATCCAGTATGAAATCTGTCTATACTTGGCTTGACTAAATCTTCACTATTGAACTACATTTAGTTTAGGATTCTGTAGTTGAAAAAGAATACAGGTGTTTTATAGTTGTTGTTTCAGAGGACTACAACTTAAAAGGATTAAATATAGCTAAGAGGCTGAAAAGAAATTTAAAGCACAATTTTTCTTTGAGTGGAAGAGAGAGGGAGAGAGGAAAGTGTCTACTTGCTTTATAAAAATAGCTTAGGGCAGACTAAATAAAATAGGGAAAATGTTAACCAATTAATTCAGTAAATATTCATTTCCTATCTAATACTGCTTGTTATTGTGATATAAAAAAATTCCAAGGCCATATCTCTGCTAACAAAAAGTTTGTACTTTTACTAGGAAGACAAAAATAACATAGTCATCTAAACAAAGTAAGGCTGCATAAGATACATTTATGATCCAGTGCTAAAATGAGTAGTGCAGACAATAAATGAGATCAGTATCTAGAGAAGAGAGCAATGAAGGTAGTCCAAGCCATATGTATTTTTCCCAAAGCTTGGATTTCCCTTACTCTCTGCTCCCTTCACATTGTTAATAGCAGGCCTCTGCAATGACAGAACCTCTGGAAAGCCTTCTCTGAGCAACTATGCCCTCTCCCATCACCACAATGCACAAATACAACTGGCTTAGGTGCCCATTCTGTACTCCTTCAGCATCTTGCACTTGCCTGTAACTCAGTTCTTCTCAGTCTGTATTATAACAGCCTATTTGCTTGTCTGTGCCCCTCAATAAAATGTGAGTTCCTTAAGAGTAAGCACCAGTTTTTATTTATTGCTCTGTCATCTAGTGCATGGCTTAGTATATATCAGGATGTTAATTAATATTTGAGGAATAAAAGGGAAAAATGAATGCTGTATCAGTGCCAAGAGCATTTTTTCTATTATTACAACTTAATAACAAAAAGTTGCCAACAAATTTCTCTTGACATTCTCCAACTGATAAGTAGGACTAATGGGTCTAAGATCCTGCCATGAAAAATTTATGAAATAATTTATGATTCTTTATGTACATTCCAATCTCTTCAGGTTTACCTCTTACCTCTCTTTTCTTCTCACCATATTCCACAGTCACAAAGAACTATTTGTGGTTCTCTTAAATGTTCTTTGTTCTCTCTAATCTCTGAGGCTTTTGCATATACTTTCAGAATACACTCTTCTTTCTCACCTCTTCCTGCTGGCTCTGTCCCTGCTACCTTCTTCATCTGGTTATCTCCAACTTATATATTAAGTCTCTTTCAGCTCACCAACCTGAGCAAATATTTTCCTGACAATTCACTCTCCAATCCTTACACTTGGTTGATTTTGGTGCCCCTGCTCCATGTTCCAAAGCATACTCTACCTATTTCTTAATAAATTATGTGAATTCCTTGAGCTTCCTTGTTCATTGCTTTGCAAGCAATGCTTAGTGAAAGGTTTGACACAAAATAAGCTCACCATAAATATTGGGAGATGGAATGAATGAATGGAATTGGAAGGCTTTATGGAGGAGTTGCATATAGCTAAAAAATATTGATGTCTAATACACCAGGATCCATTCTGTGTACTTTTATATATTAAATCATGAAGTCATCTCAAAGGCGTTACAGAATAAGCTACTCTTATTATCTCAATTTTGCAAATAAAGAAATGGAGGCACTGAAATCTAAGTAATTTGTCCAAAGTTATACACAGCTGGCAAGTGACAAAGAAAATGCTATTAAGTACTACACCACATTGTCTCTGTACTTAGGTCTTATGCTGACCTAAGTCAAGCATCAAGGATGGAATGGATTGGGAATGAGAGAATCAAGGGAGAAAAGTGCTACAGATGAGCAGCATGATTTAAGCTGAAGAATAGCACATGATATGCAAAAACAAAAGGCAATTGGGAGAATAGTCTGATATTGTTTGGAATGTTTGTATTGGGAGGTAGTGGAAGACAGACTTGGATAGGTTAGTAAGTAGGTTGTAGACAGGATATAATGTCAAAATATAAAGTTTAAGCTACAGTACACAAGAAGGGGTAAGAACATAGTGTGTTCTTGAATAAGTGAAAGACATGATAGAATCCCTTTTGGTAGGGGTAATATAAGGGGATGTGCATAATCAAAAAGACTGGGGAAAACTGCCAGCTAGTTGGGGTTTTCAGCCGAGCATTATCCTGGTAATGTCACCAATGTTCAAGGTCTAGTTCTTATACCAAAAGGTTTATAAAAATCTATGTGCCCCAAAGCTTATAAGATTCTTACGTGACTAATTCAAACAAAATAATCAGCAACTATATTTTGAGCACCTTCTCTATAACAGGCATTGTATCAGTCTTTGGGAAATGGTGATGAAGGAAAGACATGGTTGCTATCACCATGGAGTATAGTAGGTTAAGCGTAATGTGCATAAAGTGAGATGTGTCATAAAAGTGGAAGAAGAGGTCAATATAAAAGATATGGGGGTCCATTACTGGTCTAAGATGCCAAGGGAAAATGCCTGGCAGAGGTTACAAAGAAGCAGAGAACCAAAGAATGACTAGAATTTGGTTAGACAAGGGTGAAAAAGGAGGAACTCCAAGCAGAAAAAATAACACATAGAAAGGACTTGAGATAGGAGAGAGCATATCATATTCAAAGATCTGAAAGCAGTTCTATATGGCTGGAGTAGAGAAGGAAAGTGACACAAGATGATGTTACAGAGGAAGACTAAAGCTAGATTACACAAGTTCTTACAAGACATTGAAAATAATTTATTTTTATCCTAAATGTTATCAGAAGTTATTGAAGGGTTTTAAGCAGTTCAGTGATCAGTTCATATGATTTGATTAACTATCTTTTTTTTTTTTTTTTTTAACGAAGAAACCCTTGTCAGATTTCCTCTTCCAACAGATTGATAGACTAGATGAACTGACTGGCCCTTAAATTCATACTAACTAAAAATGCTGGATTAATTTTTTCCTATGTGTATTGGTAAGAAACATGGAATACACAGTTTAAAAAAGTCAAAAGTTAAGGAAAGTAGGAAACTAAAAAAGTGAGTGAAGTGACCAGGCACAGTGGCTCACGCCTGTAATCCCAGCACTTTGGGAGGCCGAGGTGGGTGGATCATGAGGTCAGGAGTTCAAGACCAGCCTGGCCAAGATGGTGAAACCCCATCTCTACTAAAAATACAAAAATTAGCTGGGCGTGGTGGTGGGCACCTGTAATCCCAGCTACTTGGGAGGCTGAGGCAGTGAATTGCTTGAGCCTGGGAGGCGGAGGTTGCAGTGAGCTGAGATCGTGTCTCTGCCCTCCAGCCTGGGCGACAGAGTGGGACTCTGCCTAAAAAAAGAAAAAAAAAAAAAAAGGGAGTGAAGCACTGACTAAAGCTTTTACATGAGGGGATCTTTCAAATATGGTGAATTTTAACTTCAGTTTTCATAACCTCATGGGAACTAAGAGACAGGCCATAAGTCTTATGGCCCACCCAAGAGACTAATGTAAGATACCCACATAAAGCTTGAACCCCAAAGGAATGAAGCCACCCTGACAGCGTGATCCAGAAATAAACCGTACGAGCATTTTCAAATTTAGGCTCTAGGTCGTACTTCTGAATGGCTTGATAGATTACATTAGATCAACTATTTTGCAGATAAAAGCTATATACTCTGCAAAATATATTAAAAAAAAAAACACTTGTAGCCATTGGCAAGGGAACAAAGAAGGAAGACAACAGAGGTATCTGATATCTGCATAGAAGAAATGATAATAAATGAGTTCTTAATTTTGCTTGGCTCTTATCCTGAGACAAAGCCCAGTTGTATTACTGGGGGGCTACATGCATATAGAAATCAGACAGTTTTACTGGATTGAATAACCAGAGAGCAAAGTCTGAGGCAATCACAGTAGCTAAAAAGTGAGGGGAGAAATCTCCAAGGGACAAAGCCATAGGTAGGGAGCCCCAATTCTGCATACGAGCTCTACTCAAATCTCTGGTTGATTTTTGAACCATGCCTGCATAGGATATGGTTCAAGTAACCAAGCTAAAGGCTAGAAAAACTGATCTAATATTTCTGAGTCTGTGGTTTTTGTTAAGAAAAAATCAACTGTTTACCTAAAAAAAAATTAATACACTTCAGAGGAAGAAAATAGCAGAATCCAGAATCTTCCATCACCCAGAAAGTACAGCATACAATAAAAAAATTAACAGAAATATGAAGAAACAGGAAAACATGGGCCCATTTTCAGGAGAAAAGATAATACAAAGGCCAAAACCAAGATAACCAGAAATGTAAATATCAGACATAGATTTTAAAAACAGGTTTTGTAATTGTACTTGAAGTCATAAAGGAAAATATGCTTATGATGTATGAAATATAGGAAATCTCAACAAAGAATAGAAACTATTAAAAAGAATCATGTGAAATATCTAGAGCCTAAAAATACAATACCTGAAATAAAATGTCACTAGAGAGGCTTAACAGCAGATTGAAGATAAGTTTTAAAAGTGTTAGGAAGCTTGATAGATCACTACACATAATCTAATCTAGAGGAGACAGGGAGTAAGAGGAAAGACTGAAAATAAATAAATAAACCCGTTTACTCATTGGTCTTCAGGGAGAAATGTATTGAGTGAAGAAGGAAACAATTTATCTTGGAATTCATAACCATGACCTAGTTCTCTAGAACTCATAGTACCCACAGATAACTCCATCAGAAGCAACCATAAAAATTTTCTTCAGAAGAATTCATGTTCATTCATGCCCCAAGAAATAACAATGGATACTTTTCTAAGGAAAAATCACTAATACCACAAAGCATGCAAAACAAAACAAAAATATAAAACAATAACTCTTTACCATTGATATGCTTTGGCTATGTCCTCACCCACATCTCATATAGAATTCCCGTGTTATGGGAAGGACCTGGTGGGAGGTAACTGAATAATGTGCGCAGGTCTTTCCTGTTCTGTTCTCGTGATAGTGAATGTCTCATGAGATCTGATGGTTATAAAAAGGGGAGTTTCCCTGCACAAGCACCCCTCTCTCTTTGCCTGCTGCCATCTGTGTAAGACATGACTTATTCCTCCTTGCCTTCTGCCATGATTGTGAGGGTTCTCCAGCCACGTGGAACTGTAAGTCCAATTACAGCTCTTTCTTCTGTAAATTGCCCAGTCTCGGGTATGTCTTTATCAGCAGCATGAAAACAGACTAATACAACCATGAGAAAGAGTTAGCAGAAATAGCAATCAGCAAATCAGACTTACGGTAACAGATACTGGAAACCTTAGGTTCAAAATATAAAAGTTGTATATGTGATAATTTCAAAGACTTTTTTAAAAATTAAATTTGATAATGGAGGAAAAGACTACAAAAATTAACCCAGTAGATTGGAATACAATTTAAATAGAATCACTATAATTAAATATAGTAATATAAAATAATAACTCAATAGGTAGGATAAATGTTAGACTTGATTCAGCTGAGGAAAGAAGTGGAAAACTGGAAAACAGATCCCAAGAGATTATTCAGATTTGCAGCACAAAAAGACAATAGAGAATATGCAACATGGAGGAAGAGAGTGAGATTATACGTGTAAAAATTTTTTACTTCTCAAGAGCAAAAAAGGAAGCCAGCATACAGTGAAATAGTAATCCAGTGTACTAAAAGATACCGGTAACCTAAGATTCTATAACTCACACAAATATATTTTGAAAAAAATGAAATAAAGTTATTTCTGGAAAATTAAAACTGAGAACATTTGTTACTGACTGAACCTAAGTAAAGGAAATTCTGCCAAATATACTTCAGGTAAAAGGAAAGGGATTGTGGATGACAAGTGAGAGAATTAAAATGACAGAGTAACAGAAATTGTTAAATACGTAAATAAATCTGAAAAGATGTTCTGGTTATCAATTTTGCATAAAATCACCCCAAACATGGTGACAGAAAAAAGTGACCCTTTTATTATGCTCTTGCATTCTGTGGAACAAGAATTCAGACAGGGTACTGCAGGGATGGCTTTTCTTTCTTCTAAGGTATCTGTAGCCTCAACTAGAAAGACCTGAATGGCTAGGGTTAGTTGAACAATCAGGGTCAAAAATCATCTGGAGGCCTCTTTATTCACATGTCTCTTGCCAGAACTGGTATGACTCAAAGGCTGGACTCATGTGGTACTGTATTTCAGAGAGCATGCCCGTAGCTTCACGTGTTGTGTACTTTTTACAACACAGCAACTGGATTATGAGAGGGAGTGACCAACAGGGAAGAGCAGAATAAGTGTGTCAAGATGCCAAAAGAAAACCTAAAGACTTTTTCAAAGGTAAGCTGATTTGTCACTAAATGTTACTCCTACCACATATTGGTTAAGCAAGCCACTAATACTAGCCCCTAAGCAAAAGGAGGCTAAATAAACTCCAGCTCTTAAGGGTGGAGTAGCAAGATCACAATCTGCAATGAACCATAAAAATAATGTCTTGTATGATCAAAAAGCAAAATAGAACTACAACATATTATAATGAAGGCATGTAGGTCAGGTGAAAGGGTGCTTAGCATTAAAATATCATAAAATATTTAGGATATCATTTAGGATGTAATTTCAGAAGATAAAAACATCATTTAAACTTAGAGCTTGATACGTTATGTATACATGTTAAAATTATAGCATAACCACTAAAGGAAAAGAAACAGAGTGAAAACATCGCAAAATTTAACAGGAGAAAGTTGGATTTTTTTTAAAAAATTGATCCAAAATAAGCCAAAATAAAGTGAAAAAAACATAGAAAGTGGGAATAAATGGTAAGCACCAACAGGGTGATAGAAATACCATATTACTAGTCACAATAAGTAAAAAGAGACTAAGTTTTCCATTTAAAGAGAAAAAATTGGAAAAGCATGTAGTAAAACAAAATCCAGCTATATATTGTCTAGAAGAGATATACTAAAAACATAAGGATACAAAAAGTTTGAAAGTAAAAAAAAATATGTAAAGCATTTACCAGGCAAATGAAAGAAAGCTGGGATGACCATATTAATATCAGATAAAATAAATTGTAATGCAAAAATGTATTAGTTAAAAAGGATCATCACATAATGATAAAATGTTAACTTCAAGACAAAAATGTAACAATTCTAACTTTCTAAATTCGGTTCCCTGAAAAAAGTAAATAAAACTGACAAAGATCCTAGCAGAGCAATATGGAAAAAAAAGAGAGGATACTAATAAATAAGATTAGGAATGAGAAGGAAGACATAAGTATAGATGTTACAGATATTATAAGGATTAAATGGAACTATTATAAACTTCATGCAAATAAAAACTCAGAGGAAATATTAAAGTTCCTAGAGTGTATAATTTGCCAATCCTGAATGAAGAAGTAACTGAAATAATTCAATAATTATTAAAATATTGGACCAATAATTTATGTTTCTATTAAAAGTTTTCAATCCTAAAAGTTTTGACCAGAAAGCCCTAACAAACATTTACAGAATATTTAATTAGTCAGATGTAAAATTTTCCTAGGCAATAGCCCAGATAGTCACTGAAATAATTTCTTTTTCTTTGAGCAATAAGAAACTACCTTTTCCAACCAGATGGACCTAGGTGGGCCCATGTGACTATTCTCAACAATGGAATGCAAGATTAAATGATATGTCACTTTTATTCCATATTAGTTAGGAGTCAATATGTCTTTTCTGCACCCTCTGTACTTTCTTCTCCTCATTTTCTAGCCACGTTTTGAGGATCCCAGAGGCAAGCCATGGAAAGAGCCTTAGTTGTTTAATCAATAGCCAAGGTATTGCCAAAGAGGAACAATCTATAATTATCATAAAGGTAAAATAAGGCTTTTTAGTCTTAGTGCAGGAATAGATAAGTTAACTAAAATAATCGAGCAGAGATTTTAGAAACAGATGTATCTATGACCGAACATATTTTATGAAAATCCTGTCAGTAGGAAATAAGATTTCACAAAATGTAGTTGAAACTATTGGTTAAGCATGTGGAGAAAAATGAATTGGACCTCTACTTCACGTGATATATTAAAATTAGTTATAAACTACAAAATATTCATAATTCTAAACTAGAAAGCATTTTAACACAATATAGAAGAATATCTTTATTACCATGTGGGAAGTAATGATTTCTTAAATGTGACACAAAATTTGTAAATCATAAATTAAAAATCTAATAAATTCAACCACATTAAAATTAGGAACATCCATTCAAAATGCAACATAAAGAAAGAAAAAAAGACAAGACAAAAAAGAGAGTAAAGGATTTATAATATATATGAAGGAATTAATGTCATACACACACACACACACACACACACACACACACACACATACACATATATATATAGAACTCCTTTGAATTAAGCGAAAGACAAACCTAGGAGAAAAAAATTATGAACAAAAGACCTAACAAGCACCTTGTGGAAGAGGAAATCCAAAGCCAATAAACGTATGAAAATATGCTTAGTCTCAGCATTAATTAGAGAATATTGCTAAATAAAAATGTAATGAAATAACATTTCATACTATCCAGATTGGCAAAATTAAGAAATCTGTTAATACCAAATGCTGACTAAGATATGGGTCAGTGGGAACTCAAATACTGCTGGTGGGTGTTGCTATGGTCTGAATGTTTGTTTCCTGCCAAAATTCATTATGTTGAAACCTAATCTCCAATGTGGTATTACAAGGTGGGACCTTAAGGAGGTGATTAAATCAGGAGGGCTCCATCCTCATGAATGGAATTAGTGCCTTTAGAAAAGAAACCTGAGGGAGCTTATTAGCCCCTTTGCCCTTCTACCATGTGAGGACACAGCTAGAAAGCACCATCTCTGAAGCACAGAGTGAGCCTTCACCAAGGGCTTGATCTTGGCAACAAGATCGAGGTGCCACCACTTAATCTGTTGGTGCCTTGATCTTGGACTGCCCAGCATCCAGAACTGTGAACAATAAATTTATGCCTTTTGTAAATTACCCAATCTAAGGTGTTTTCTTATAAAAGAATGAATGGGCTGAGAGAGATGTATAAATAGGCACAACAGCATTGAAAATCTATGTAAGATGCCCTTACTACTATAGAACAATTCCTGTCCTAGGAATGTACCCCATTTTTTTCCCTTTTTTTTCACTTCCATAGTCTAAGCCAAGTAGGAATATAACATAGAATAAAGGTTTCTGATCTTAAAATCCATGGTTAGAATGTAAAGGCCATGTAAAGTTGAATGGAAAACAATTACTTCTTTATTTCTAGCAGTCCTTAAATGAAATCTAGCATTTCCTTTATTTATTTCCTTTGTTTGTGAATGTAGGCAACAAACCACAGCAGTCTTAGCAGTACCAGTGACTTTGTCACCAAGGAAACAAAAATATTTTTGTATCACATTACTACTATTGAAGATAACTGAGTGTAAATATCCTCTACATTAATCACTACTTCACAACCAGGGAAGTTATTCGACCTACCCCTAGATCACGTTATTTAATGGATTAATAAAGAAAGATATTTAATACTATGTAAAAATTTATTAACATTTTTATAACCATATTTCAGTATAACTGGTGTCATTTATAAGCCTATTATTTTATTTTGTACTTTAAAAACTTAATCTGAAAAGGAAGCCAATAAGCTTTACCAGATTTCCAAAAAAGTCCATGGTGCAGTTAAAAAACCCGTTCTATAAAATCTCTTGCTCAAAATGCACAAAGCAGGGCTGTTTAAAATAGAAAAAAAAAAGTCTGTGATCCAAACGTCCATCAATGTATAGATGCTTTGTGATATATTCACACCATATAGGAATATTTTGCTGCAGTGAAAATGAATGATTTATAATTACACACAACAGCATGGATGAATTTCAGGAGAGCAAAAAATGGAAGTTACAGAAGAATGTATAGTATATGATTCTATGTGAAAAAAGTAGAAAACAGGCAACCTAAGCAACAAACATGTAGTGAAACTATAATGAATGAAAGGAAACAATAAGCACAAATATCAAGTTAGATATTTCCTCCTGACTCAGAGTCAGGAGGAAAAGTGTGGGATCAGAGTAAAAACATAAGAGGCAATGTTCTTTTTCTTAACCTGGGTGGTAGGTACATAGATAATTATTTGTCTTTGTCAACTTGGGCTTCTATAACAAAATATCATAAACTGAATATCTTAAAAAACAAACATTTATATCTCAAAGTTCAAGAGTCTGGGAAGTCTGAGATCTGGACACCAACATGGTCAGTTCTGGTGAGAGCGCTCTTCTAGGTTGCCGAAAGTGGGCTTCTCCTTGCATACTTACATGGCAGAAAAAGTGAGCAAGCTCTATGGGGTGCCTTTTACAAGGGCACTAATCCCATTCATGAGGGTTCCACCCTCATTGCCTAATTTTCTCTCAAAGGTCCTACCTTCTAATACCGTAACTCTGCAGGTTAGGATTTTAATATATGAATTTGGGGGAACATAATCATTCAGTGTATAATATAATCATAGAATTATTATAATTTTCATGGATTTCTTTTTCTTTTGTCTGTTCAGTGCTTACTAAAAGCAGTTTTTAAGTGTGCATAATTCTGTCTGCTTTGTGAAGAATAGAATTAAGGGGATGCATAGTAGAAATGGTCAGCTGTTTAAGGAAGATGCTGTGGTCTGGGCTAAGGTTTGGGTAGTGAGTAGGCACAAAGAGAAGTAGTCACATTTAGGCTATATCTTAGAAGTAAAAGGTAGAAGTTGTTGTTGAAGGAAAGAAGAAAAGAAAGAAGAATTTGCCTGAGAAAATGCATGGAGGTAGAGCTGTTGCAGATGTGGGAGATACAGTACAAGGAATGTGTTTAGAAGAGAAATGAAGAGTTCTGTTTCAGACCTTAAATTCTGAGAAGTTGATGAGACATCCTAGTAAAAATATCACTAGGCAGTTGCTATTTGGTATTTGTTACATAAACAGAACCATAGGAACCATAACATTATTGAGCCAGAAAATAACCCTGAGTTCATTTCCCATTCTAAATCTGAAAAAAAAAAAAAAAAAAAGAAATCCTGTTATTTCTTAATGTCCATACCTCTCCAATGATTATGGGTGAGTTTGGGAATTGCCAGCAGCAATTAATTCTTTTAGGATTGTCTCTATTTTTTTTTTCCAGTAAACTGCCAAATCAAGGAATACTTCCATTTGAGACTTTCTCTCTTGAATGAATTCATTTTTATTTTTAAATTTTAAATTGACAAATTATACTTGTATATACTTATGGAGTACAAAATGGTGTTACAATTTTTTATTATGTTATGCTTAGCTTTTTAAAATTTTTATTTTTTATTTATTTAAATTTATTATTGCTTTTACCTTTTTATTCAGGTATAAAAACAATAGAGTGTATTAATCTTTAAAGGTACAATGTAATAATCATATGTATACACTATTCAATCACAACTTCCATGAAGACCTTGGAAATTTCTGTTAGAAGGTTTCCTCTCATGGTTCTTGCTGAACTCCAACCTGCCACTTAATCCCTTCCAACCAACCCTCATTCCTAGAGTAACTGCTATTCTGCTACCTTTCTCTATCTCTTAGTTTTGCTTTCTATTGGATCTTACAAAAATGGGATAATACAGTATATAGTCTTTTTTGCCTGGCTGCTTCTTTTGTTTTGCCCAACATCCATATTGTTACATGCACCAGTACTTCATTCTTGCTGTGTAGAGACTGGTGTTATGATTTCTGAATACATGTGGAATAATTACATCAAGCGAATTAATATATCCATCACCTCAAATAGTTATTTTTTTGTGGTGAGATCATTTGAAATTTATTTTCAGCAATTTTGATATGTACAATATGTTAACATTTACTATATTCACCATGCTGTGCAATATATCTCAATGTAAGGGAAAAAAAACTTATTTCTCCATCATCTCCCCACTCCCCTAGCCTCTGCTAGCCACCGTTCTACTGTTTCTTCAAGTTTGATTGTTTCTGTGGATAAAAGGGAATGTTTGTACACTGAGTAAATTTGTTTACTGCTTTTATTCAGAATGCTCCATCTCCTCTTCTCTAACTTCCAGGGCTACTTCACATTCTAGTCAGGTTACAGCATCTAATTTATAATACCTTATATTGGGATTGTGCTTTAGAGATTACAATGAGCTTTCACATACATTACTACATTTACACCTTCTAGCCCTTCTTTGAGATAGTTTGGAAGAGTGTTATTATCCCTATATTTAATATGAAGTAATCAAGACACCTAGCTCTAATGCGTTGCCCAAGATCGTATTTACTAAGTGGCAAGGCATAAACTCAACCCAAAGCCTGCTGGCTCCCTGTGATCTTGTGTTTATTTTATATCTTATACTGGTTTGCATGTTGAGAAAAAATACCAGTTCTTGTCTCCTGGGTAATTATACTCCAAAGACATTTGCTTTAAGTTTTTAGATTTGCATAATGAAATTGGCAATTAGAATGCTTGCTTCAGGTAACTAAACTAACATCACCAAGATTGCAATTAAAATGAAAAGGAGGGCTATAGTTATTCATGATTTTTTTCTTAAAATAATTTCAAAACACTCCCCTACCTATTACTTATTTGCTACCTATAACACTCTTATAAACTATCATGACAGATAACAATATTATCATTTAGAAAATAAAGAAATGGAGCCAGAAAAAGGTGAAGGCAGCTTCAAATCAACTACTAATAGATCCCCATGATTCCCAAGATCTACCGTTATTTATGATGGAAATTTTCTTTGCAAAATCCCTACATCATGTTAAAAGTCATACTGAATCAAAAGTGTATTCTAGGTGTTTTATGCAAAATTTTAAGGCTTAAAGAGAATGCTATGCTAAGTAAATTCTCAATATTGATATACTCAATATGAAGAGCACTGTCATAGGTAATAAGTCCTCAAATAATAGAATATATTTTAATGTGTTAGCTGAATAACAAATAATTTTTTGTTCAAGAAGCATTTGTCTCTCCATGCCACGGTTGTTTTAAAGATAGTCTCATCAAGAAAGCCTTAATTAAAACACTTCCCTGCCTAAGCTTCTTCCAACTAACCTCTGGTAGCCTGAGTTTGAAATACTGTTTTGAGTGATCATTTAGGGTGGAAATGACAGAGAACTCTCTCTCTCTCTTTTTTTTTTTGCCTTATATATTACTCCTGTGTTTTTAGTTAAATTTTCAGGATCACTGTGTATCGCTTTTGTAATCAGAAAAAGCAGACACCAAAAGGTCATTTAAAATGTTTTAAATTGTAATGTCTTCTCTAAAATTTCTCAGAAAATATTCTTTCATTTTGTTATAATAGCCAAATGTAAAATAATGCACTGAAAGTTACTAGATCGGAAGTAAGATAATTGCTATAATTCAATATAAGCATTCTGATTCATTGAATGTTTCATGTGTTTTTATGCTAATCTAATCAGACCATCTTAGAAAATTTTAGGCCCAGGAATCCTTAATGATACACTTTGAAACAACTGTAGTCTTTGAAATACACAAAAATAGATGCCATAAAGATTTTATGGGATGTATTTCTGACAGCAGTGTGGTTATTCCATAATTTACCCTTAAACGTCACAATCAGGAGAACATCCATGCTTAAAATAGACCCTAGAACATATATGCTAGAAAATGAAAAACATTTCTAGTTCTAAAATGTTGAATCTGGATTTCAGTTCTGAAACTCTGATTGAACACCTTTACATTAAGCCCATGAATGAATGTTTGATTCAAGTTATTTCAAATCTGGCTAGAAATTTATGAGTTAAAACCTGGCCTCCGACGCCATTAAAGAAAATGGTCATTTGGGGAAGGTGGATAGAATAGAGAATGAATACTTTATTATGAAGCCTTAGGAATGTAGTACTTTCCTTTGAAGGGAAAATGTTTTGGATCCTTTGTAATGTATCTGTTTTTATTTTTTTAATCAAATGCACCCCAAATCTCATTGGTCTTATAATGTAGTTGCACTCATTATTAAATTTGATTGGGAGCTATGGAGCTTGTATGGGGAAAACAAGAACATATATTTACACTTTATGGTTGATTTAGGAAAAAAAAAAATTGTGGGCCGGGCATGGTGGCTCATGCCTGTAATCCCAGTACTTTGGGAGGCTAAGGCGGGTGGATCACTTGAGGTCAGGAGTTCAAGACTAGCCTGGCCAACATGGCAAAACCCCAGTCTCTACTAAAAATACAAAAATTAGCCAGGCATGGTGGCATGTGCCTGTAATCCCAGCTACTTGGGAGGCTGAGGCAGGAGAATCGCTTGAACCTGGGAGGCAGAGGTTGCAGTGAGGTCGAGATGGCACCACTGCACTCCTGCCTGGGCGACAGAGCGAGACTCCGCCTCAAAAAAAAAAAATTGTGGCCACAATGTTAATGCAAAATAAAAGTTTAAACTAAATTATAAGTTTTTCAAGACCTATGATATCTTAGTTATCCAATCATGCGATTGTTTGAAGCTCACATGTTTTCACTATTGGTAATACTTTGCTTCCCTCTACCTAGAAAAGGCTGCCTCCACGGGCCCCATTTATTGGGCAGTTTATTCCAAAGTTAAAAGGTAGTTACCTACAAAGTAAGGTAAAACAGCTTGATATGTGATAACAAACGTATAATTCTAACAACAACCAAGTAGAGCCTAGGTAGACGATGTTGCTCTAGTACTCGCCCATCAGTATTGAAAATGTAAGATGAGGATGAGCAGAAGAGCACAAACTGAAAACGAGGCTGGGGCAAATCTTCCATACAACCAAAGAATTTTCCAAATCCGGAGCAGTGCAAGCCTATATAAAAGTCTATTATATGGAGCAAAACTTGGAGTTAACAGAAGGTGTTGGCAACTTTTAGCTTTTAAAAATGATTATAATTATAATTTGTTTCTTAAACCCCACATCAAGATGTTTTGCCTGCTTGAATAAAACTATTCTGTTACCATTTCGCCACCTGTAGTTGTTACTGTAGATAAAACGCCTATGATATAGTACCTAGACAATGAAATAATAAAAAAGACAATAACGTAACCCCAATTGTTTAAGACCATTGTTACTTTGAATTCCCATTTTTTCACACTTCCCCTCATATTAAAATGGCTCCAGGTAATTTTAAGTTTCAGCTAAGGGGAGGTAACACATAAAGTGATTTAGTTTGGCTTTAGTGGAATATGTTTGTTTCTCAATCACTCTGGTGAATAAATTATTGCTAGCTGATCCAGTGTAAGAAGGTGCCCATGAATGCTCTTGTCCACTGTGCCACTCAACTACCATGGCATGAAGGTGCAGGGCCAGAGATTATTTTCCCCGGCACCAGAAGTACCTAGATAGTAGAGGCGCAACAAAAGCTAGTGTGCAAAAATTTTTCCTTAATTTTTTAACTTATTTAGAAAAGAAACTTGATAAAGGCTTTCTACATTACACAAGAGTTTAAAATGTGTTATAAGACATTAAATAACAACTTGTGATGCTTAAAGAAAAATGTCTATCAATACAACAACAAATTTGTACAACAAATTTTGAACAACTAGTTTAAAGGAGAGAAGCATCTAAAGGAGGGGAAGGTAAATAGATATGTAGGACAACATTAAAACACATTTTTTCTTCATTTAATTTTTATATCATAGGAGGTTGTGAAAAGTGCATTTGTGATTATAATCTCTACCAGCAAAAAACGTTGTATTGTCTTAAATAATTTTCCTTAAGGAGTTGATGTGGAAACAAAGTGCTAATGCTAAATTTTCAAATCTCCACCCACCTCAAAGAAAAGGCAAGTGTTCTTGAGTCTACAATCATAGACACCAGATTCTGATGTATACAGTAACAAAAAATTATCCCTAAAGATAATTACTGTTATGTCTTTTATATATCTAATGGATTTTTTGGGGGGGAGTGCAAAGAAATGCAGAAAAACTTATTCAGAATAAGGCTTTTGAATTCCAGGTAGAAAAAACTATGTTGAAACTTTATGCATTTATATATCAAGAAATATCAGCTGTATTCTGATGCTTTAAGATTAATTTAGAACAAATTTTATTATTCGGAACTGGGAGATTCAACAAAGTGAATTTGCTGTGGTATATCATAGGAAAACTTTTAAACTTTACTTTTAGAGTGTGAAAGTTGTATTATGGATGTTATTTTTTTCTGGGCCGAAAAGCTGTCTTTTCCTGGCTTTGGTGACATTTATATACCTTAGAACTAACTGATATTATTTATTATTTATTATTTTTTGCAAACATTGGTACCTTTTACTTCAAATTTTGTGAATAAACTGATACATATTTCAACGGGCTTTCAAGCAATTTTACAACAAAGCACATACTTCTTAGCAACATCACTATAAGACAGCAATGTATTCTCTTTAATGTTTACCTGTTGTAATCCTCTATAGGGTTTCCAAAACTTCTGCACATTGTGCTTTTCATATAAAATTTTTATTAAAGATCTTAGCTATTTTCTAAATGAATATCCTTTTTATTGGATTTTTTCCAATTACAAATGAAATTTCATTTTACATCTATAATTAGAAACAACACTTACAATGGGACTGTACAAATTTAGGTCAAAATAAAAATATATGTATTTTGTGACTTCATAAGACATCCTTTACTATATCTTTAAAGAAAGCAGAAGTAACAGCAATATATGTGAAAGTAATGATTTAATGACTATAAGCAAGACAAAGTAATAGAATTGTGCTTCTTTTGCAGACTGGGGACAATGAAATGTTTAGCTACAATTTTCCCATCCGATATTATTAATAAAGAAATGAAAGCACTTTTTCCAGTATGATCCTTTTTTTTCCTTTGCTTTTTGGTGGTATGCAAACTGCAAGCTATTTAATATACTCAAAATTCTGTTAGAAAAAGCTATCATTAACATTTTGAATGTCTTTAAAAATTCTATGCAGTCTGATGGTATATGTATAAGATTATAATAAAGTAAAAGAAATGAATAATTTCTTTCTATTCATAGGCACTATATCTACAATGACCATGACAGGTGGGTAAATAATCACGGAATAGTTTTATTCAAGCAGGCAGAACATTTTGATATGGGGTCTGAGAAAAAAATAATAACTGGAATTCCTCCAGTGTTGTGCTAGGTATGAAAGGTGACACTATAGGATAAGACGCCTTGCTGGGAAATACCAATCATTATTGAAGTGTGCAAAATGCATTTTTCCTTACTGGTTATAAAAACAAACTTGAGCTATCACATGGCTTAGGAAGAAAGGGGTGGGAAAAAGTGAAGTTTTTCATATTAAAATTAGGCTGGATGCAGTGGCTGACACCCGTAATCCCAGCACTTTGTGAGGACAAGGCAGGAGGATCACTTGAGGCCAGGAGTTCGAGACCAGCCTGGGCAACATGGTGAGACCCGTGACTCTACATAAAATAAAAATAAAAAATTAGCCGGAAGTGGTGGCGTGTGCCTGTTGTCCCAGCTACTAAGTAGGCTGAGGTGGGAGGATCACTTGAGCCCAGGAAGTGGAGTTTGCAGTGAGCCCAGATCATGTCACTGCACTCCAGCCTGTGTGACAGAGCAAGATCTTATTTAAAAATATATATATATATGTACGTTAAATTTAATACATATGTATCACACATATATAATTACATAATTATATTTGGGTATATATGTTAAACATATATTTTATATATACATACACACACACCACAATTTCTTTACCCATTCATCCATCAAGGGACACTTATGTTGTTTCCGTATCTTGGCTCCTGCAAAAAGAATGGAAGCACAGATAACTCTACGAGGTACTGGTTTCATTTCCTCTGGGTATATATCCAGAAATGGGATTGCTAGATCATACGGAAGTTTTATTTTTAATATTTGGGGGAACCTCCATGCTGTTTTTCCATACTGGCTGCACCATTTACAGTCCCATAACGAGGGTTCAGTTTTTTTTCACATCCTCTCCAACACTTATTATTTCTTGTCCTTTTTTTTTTTTTTTTTTGATGGAGTCTCACTTTATCACCCAGGCTGGAGTGTAGTGGTACCATCTCAGCTCACTGCAACCTCCAGCCTCAGCCTGCTGTGTAGCTGCTACTACAGGCACGCACCACCATGCCCGGCTAATTTTTGTATTTTTTAGTAGAGACGGGGTTTCACCATATTGGCCAGGCTGGTCTTGAACTCCTGACCTCATGATCCATCTGCCTCGGCCTCCCAAGGTGCTAGAATTACTGACGTGAGCCACTGCACCCGGCCTCTTGTCCTTTTGATAATAACCATCCTAACAGGTGTGAGGTGGTATCTCATTGTGGTTTTGATTTGCATTTCTCTGATGATTAGTGATGCTGAGCACCTTTTCATTTACATGTGGCCATTTTTATGTCTTTGGAAATTATTCAGCCTTAATAAAGAAGGAACTCCTGCATTTGTGAAAACATAGATGAACCTAGAGGCATTATGCTAAGCGAAATGAGCCAGAAACAAACAAAACAAATACTGCATTTCAGTTATATATGAAATCTAAAAAAGCTGACTACATAGAAACAGGGAATATATAGTGTTTACCAGGGGTGGGGGAAATAGACGGATGTTGGTCAAAGAGATCAAAGTTGCAGTTATGTAGGATGAGAAAATCTAGAGATCTAATGTGCAGGATGAAGACTATAGTTAAGAATATTGTATCCGTGAAATTTGCTGAGTTGATTTTAGGAGTTCTTATCAGAAAAATAAAAAGGTAACAATGTAAGGTAAAGGATAACTGAATTTACTTGACTCTAGTAATTATTTTACTATGCATATCAAAGCATCATATTTTACACTTGAAAATATATATACAATTAATTTTTTTTAGAATTTAACTTTAAAGGTAAATTTAAAGTGTCATACTCAAAATATATGAATTTAAGTAGAAGGGAAGATAATTCAATATTATTTTGCTACTAAATCAGTGTAGGTTCCCCACAAGGCTAAAAACAATAAAGTCAAAATGAAATGATAGAATTCAATCAACCAGAAGATATGGAAAAATTCCCTCACTATGACCACGGAATATATGGGTACAAATGTACACTGTCGGCAAAATCGAAATGTTTTGAAGAAAAGGGAGTATTATCTAACAGTACTTACTTTAAGGAATATCAGTGTTGTCATCTTTTTAGGCAAAAGGGCTATTTTCTTAAACTACTTCGGGTTTTTTTTTTAAATGAGAGAGTGGAATAAAAACAAACGACTGCAGCCATTTCAGTTACTTAAAAAAATGCTTCTCTTCTCCTGTCTCCTGTCTTTTTACTGGTACTTTTAATTAAACGCTACAATCCTAAAAAAGGATATTATTATAAGTCTCATTCTAATGACAAATACTATAGGCTATATAAGTAGATATCATGATCTGTTGTAGGACTTCTTGCTTTGATGGCATACTTAATTCTGATTATGCAAATTGTAATGGTTACACTTTCGCATAATGCAGTTGGAAAAAACATGGTATCATATTTACCTATTGTGATACTTTATTCTCCCTTCAAGTATGCAAATACTGAGTAAATGGCAGTGATTTTCCTGTTTAGGTTTCTTTCCTGTTTTATAACTGTAGTCTACTTCTTTTGCCAAATAGGTAAAAATTTAACAGTTCATAGTTATTTGTATTGATGTCAGAATTTTTTTCCCTCTGTCATGTAAGTAACCCTTTTTAATTTAAAAAATAAGCAGTTTTATCTCAAAAAACAGAATAGCTCAAGGTGCATAATAAGTAGCATTATCTCAAAGAAAAATATGGCAGTTATAACACCCAGATAACTTGTATTTTCTAAGACCAATTTGTTATACACTTTTTTTGGCAAAAGCGTTTTTTCTTTTCTTTTGCAATCATAGAAACAAAGTTGGTGTCCCACTGCTATCGATGCTGGCAGGAAGAAAAATCTAAGAACATTTACAAGGAACCAGTATTTTAAGACTTTTCTTATGCACATTGTGGGTTTCATTTTATGAAAATTTAAAATGTGTTGACCTTTGCATTTGATTGCTGGTGTTTTCATTAAAATGGAAACCTTCAATTCTTACAGAGCTATTTCATAATATCACTGGTTGGAAATTAGATTTGATTATGTCGCTGTCTCTCTAAACTTAACACCTACAAAACAGAAAAGTTCAGTATCATAATATTCACCTCTCTTTCAAATGTAATTGACTTTTCCTGACATCAGCATGGCAAAGAACAATCATTTTGTTTCTGATATATTTCTGTGTAATACGTCTGTTTATTTACCGCTCATCATGCAGGCCAGGAGAGAAATTAAATTTCATTCCTTCTTCAGACATGAATATGCAGATTTGATAGTGGCCGCATTTCAGAGCAAATAGACCTCTTTAACGTAATAGTTTTACAGTCAACTCTTTGAAACAGAGTATATTCTTCTTCCTTATTTTTCTGACAAAGTAGAACTTTCAAATAGTTCAAATAATAATTTGTACACATATAAAATTAACACATGTCAAATATTTTACTAAAATCATTCACTATTGTGGGAACCAGTAAGGTAGCAAACTGATTCTAAGAGAATCTGGAGAGGTGGGTTTTTATAAGCAAATTAATAACAGAAAGCTAAGATACGATCATTAAATTAGAAACAAAACTAGTCAATGCTCTTCAAGGTTCATAAAAATAAACTTTGGGGGGTTATTTCTTATTGAAGAGAAATAATTTTTACATCTGCCAGATATACCAAGTTTACTTGTAACATGTAGCTTTACTACACCTGGGAACTTTATTTTTCTTTTCTTTTCTTTTTTTTTATGAACTGCAACTAGAAAGAGAAAAATCTGGGAACTTTAAGCTATAGCAGCAGTGAATCATGTACACACCCTAAATAATCCTGTAGTGGGTCTGAAAAACATCGCCTATATGATATTGAAAAGACATTCTGTCCCTTTCCTTTTGCCTTATTTCCTAGTATTGAATAAAGTTGCTTAACAATTCTCTTTATATGCAAAGCTTTAACAAAGATATCAGAAGACAAAGTCCCCACATTTAAAGTACAGTTGATTTTCCAAATGTTCACAAATCTGTCATTCTAACCCTGGCTTTCTACACAATCTATTTGGTCCTATAAGTGAAGTAGAGACAGCTTCCTCGAAAGAAACATAAAGGAAACGGGCCGCTGAATATGGTACACAATAATGTGAACAAAAAGATCAGGTTAATAAAGTTGTGTCCCGTCCTTTAAATTCAATATAATTTGTTGTTTTCTTTGTGGTGTAACATGTGTTGTTGACTGCAGAAAAGTTAACCTATAAAGACAGAGCTCAGATATTCTTTTAATAGAAAATAAACTTTGGCGAGTTTCAGATAGAAATGAATAGTATGACCTTTTACCAGAAAGTCACTACAAAGTTGAATCTTTCCTCACAGATTTTCAGAAAGCATACCCATAGCCTGAAATATTTCAATCCCATGCTTCCCTAGCTCCTAACATATCTCTCTTCTTCTTCACAGTTACCAATAAAAAAAAACCATAGAAACTCACATAGGCAAGAATTTTGTCTTTATTTATGTGCTCCCAGGACCTATGACCAAAGCTTGATCCATAATAGGTACTCAGCAAATGTATAGCAAATGTATATTGATGTGAGGGTGGATGAAAATAGGAATCATAGACATTGATAGTTCTTTCCCATGCTGAAGTCAGCCTTTCCTTCTCTGAGTTCATAGCAGTGAGAGTCCCATCTTCTTTTTTTGCCATATATAGCTATTAAATATAAAGAGTATGTTGC
The DNA here is from genome assembly GCF_000001405.40 of Homo sapiens. Taxonomy (NCBI): domain Eukaryota; kingdom Metazoa; phylum Chordata; class Mammalia; order Primates; family Hominidae; genus Homo; species Homo sapiens. Next base: position 114,432,974 of record NC_000023.11, read on the forward strand.
CTAATCTCTACATATTCATGGCTGTCTATCTTTCCTTCCTAGCCTGCCTGCCTGCCTTCCCTCCTTCCTTCCCTCCTTCCCTCCCTCCCGCCTTCCTTCTTTCCTTCCTTCCTTCCTTTTTCTTTCTTTCTTTGCAATGCTAGGCCTTCATCCCCAAGAAATAATCAATCTGACCCCAAATAATAATTCATAACACAGACTTTACTAAGTTCTAAGGTTTTAATGGGAAGGAAAAGAGAAGACAGAACAAAGAATGGAGATACTAGCATTCTAAAATACAGGCAGAGGAAACACTCTTCTAGTCATGTTGAGGACTATATAGGAAATGCAGGTGTGGAGCTCTGATGAGAAGCCACCTATATACAATTTGCCAAAGATTGACTTTGACTCTCAACGTCAAGCTGATTTTACAAGGACAACTATTTCAAATTATTATTGGTGGTGCATGGTATCCAGAGTACATAGTAATGTATTTTATTTGAGAAGCTTCAAACACACTCAATGTTTAACCCCTTCTGCAGAATCCTAATGCTTGAGACTGCAGATATAGAAAATAAAAGAACCAAAGAAAAAGATTTGTACCAGGTGTAGGATAAAAAAAACAAAACAAAACAAAAAACAAAAAAAAAACCCCTCATCTACCTTGGATAATGAACTCAAGTATGACGTTTTTTGGGTTGTTTGTTTGTTCGTTTGTTTGTTTGAGATGGAGTCTCATTCTGTTGCCCAGGCTGGAGTGCAGTGGCGTGATCTCAGCTCACTGCAACCTCCATTTCCTGGGTTCAAGTGATTGTCCTGTCTCAGCCTCCCGAGTAGCTGGGAGTACAGGCACGTGCCACACTCCTGGATAATTTTTGCATTTTTAGTAGAGGTGGGGTTTCACCATGTTGGCCAGGCTGGTCTCCAACTCCTGACCTCAAGTGATCCACCAGCCTCAGCTTCCCAACGTGCTGGGATTACAGGTGTGAGCTACTGCACCCGGCCGAGGTTTTTTAAAAATTAGTAGAGTAGTAGACATTGCTAACTCTCTGACATCTGGTTCTCTTGTACTTCTGGGTACACAGAGGACTATATACTCCCTTAAAGTGAAGTGTGATTATGTAAATAGTTTTAACCAATGAAATATGAATGAAAGTAACATGTCATTGTTGGTCAGGAGCATTTAAGAGCTGGTGCATGACTTTGAAGTTTCCTTTTCCACAGAATCATAGAAACATATGCAAATACAGATGCTGTAAGAGTGAAGCAGTATGGAATAATAAGCCCCTCACCTTCAGGAAAGCTGCCCTGAAGAATTTTCCAGACCAACAGTGGACCTTATGTAAATGAAAATAAAATTCAATAAGCTGCTGAGATTCTGAAATAAATTGTTCCCACAGCATAACTTAGCCCAACCTGACTAATGTAGAGAACATGATAAAAATAGAGACATGAAGGCAAATTTGTCCAGCTGTCTGGTTAGAAGGATCTAATATACCCTTTTATTAATGTGAAAGTATGGTAAACATGTTAGTGTCTTCCACCAGAGATTTTTTTTTTAAGTTACAAAAGAACTTATTAGACAAACACACCAATAGATTGAATCTAAGGGTTTGGTTGGAAAGCCGCTGGGCCATTTAAAGCAGCAGAAGCCCAAAGCCACATGCTTCAAGCATTACTCTGAAAATTTGTGGAAACAAGAAGAGTCCTGCCCTATCCTCTCTCTTTGACTGAAGTCTGTGATTCTGATACCTGAGAGGACTGGAAGGAAATGTTTCCCACTTTTTACAAAAATTCAACTTTTTTGTTACAAAGGAATTGTACACTTGGATTACCTGTTCATACACATGGGATATTGCCTTTGAGAAACCAACAAAAAGTTATTGAAGAAGTATTTCATAACATGTAAAGTGAATAAAATAATATTCTCTATTAAACTGTATTTTTAGTCTCATCTGGCACCAACTGTCAGAAAGTTATAACGGGTTGTTTGGAGGACATTCTTCTTCTTTACAATAGAATGAAAGAGTCTAATTAGCAAATAATAGATAATTATATAATATATATGCTCAAATCTTATGAGAGTCACATGAACATAAAGTCTTCAGTTAATTTAGGAAGAAGGGAATATTTTCAGTCATTTCTGATAATAGCACTAGATATTTCAAGAGCATAATTGTAATGTGTCATAATCACATACAGTGTGCTTTACTTTGAAGCCATTGATCACTAAATTTAATTGTTAATGGCACAGGCTACCAAGAAATAGCAAGGAATGTGACATCTATGTAGACCTCAGCTGGCCTCAAGAAATCAAAAGAAAATGAGAACAAAATGCACAAGACATAGTTGGAAGGTCTGGGTTTCTGAGATGTGGGCTACAAGACTATATTACATAGAAAACTAAAAGAAGAGTTTTCAAGCAAAACTGGCAAGGGAATTTCACAGAACTAATTTTTTAAAGGAGATAATAAAAGCAGCAGTTAAAATGCATGTCCATGTATTAGGTTCCTGCAGTTGAATCCATTATGAACATGATAGCTCTTCACACCCAAGAAGTATTATCTTCACAGCCCCTTACAAACTTCTGCTTGTTCACCACCACGGAGAGTCTATTTGGAACAAGAATCGCTTTCCAGTCAAAATCCTAGATGAAGATATAAAAATGTTGACTTTGTGCTTTTATAAAATAGCCCAATTGTTCACATGTAGTGTGTGCTGGTAGAACTAGCTCTCCCCAAGCTTGGCTCACTATTGGGAGTCCAGAACTCTCTGGGATAGACACATTGGCCAGGACTGAAGTTTTAAAGCATCAAATACTGCAAATAAAAGTAGGCAGTTTCACATAGAGACTTCATGATATTAGTTGAGCCATCACTTCCTTCATTATCATTTTTGTGCCTTTGGTGCCACTCTGCGGTTTGGTTCAAACTCTTCTCAAAACTTGCAGTGCAGCAGACAGTAAATCTAGCTACAAAACCGAGTCACATTTCCTAGCACAAACTTCTGGCCTACTCAGAAAAACAAGGTACTCCCTCAAAGAGGGATTTTCTTGAGTAATACTAAGCAAAACTGCCTTTGAGGAATGCCTAGTAGTGTGAGTCTTGATTTTGCTTCAAGTTCCATTGCTGAGTAACTTTGGGGAGGTTATAACATCTGTTTAGAAGAGTAGAATAATGGCACCATTTCCCTTCTTAGCAAGAATAATTTCAAATCAACATTATAAATGAAATTACACAACTATTTTCAATTCAATTAAAACAAATATTTATACAAATTTTCGTATGTACCATTGACTGAGCTAGGTAATGATATCTCAGTACCAAAATAACTCATGTGACCAGGGATAATCATTTTCAAAAAAAAAATTAAGTTAGGCTATTTCAGATATAATTTACAGAAAAATTCATCCTTTTTGGTGATATAATTCTATGAAATTTGGCAAATGTACACACTCATATAACCACCCCCACAATTAAGGTTTAGAATACGTTCATCACCCAAAAGGTCTCCTCATGCCTTTTTGTAATCAGTTCCCTCCATCCGCCTCTAGCCCCTGGCAATACCTGACCCCTTTACTGTCCCTATAGTTCTGCCTTTTCGTGAATATAACATAAATGCCATCATATGGTATGCAGCCTTTTGGATCTGGCTTCTTTCCACATAGCATAATATTCTTAAATTCAACCACATTGTTTCATGTGCCAATAATTTGTTCCTCAATGATAAGACATGGACATAGGGAGGGGAACATCATACACCATGGCCTGTCAAGTGAGGGGGCGCTAGGGGATAACATTAGGAGAAATACTTCATGTAGGTGACGGGTTGATGGGTGCAGCAAACTACAATGGCACGTGTGTACCTATGTAACAAAACTGCATGTTCTACACATATACCCCAGAACTTAAAGTATAATAATAAAATAATAATAATAATAATAGTAATTTGTTTCTTTTCATTGCTGAGGCATATTCCATTGTATAGATATATGTCAATGTGTTTATCCATTCACCAGTTGATGCACGCTGAGTTGTTTTTAGTTTTTTTTTGTAATTATAAAGCTGCTTTATATAAACATTTAAGTAGATATCTTTGCATTACCATATGTTTTCATTTCTCTTGAGTAAATATCTAGGAGTAGGATTGCTTTATCATACAATTAGCATATGTTTAATTTTATTCAAAACTGCCAAACTATTTTCCAAAGAGAATTTACTATTTTCCATAAAGAGTAATGCCTGAAAATTCTATTTATTCCACAACCTCACCGGAACTTAGTATTGTCAGTTTGTTAAATATTTTTGCTTATTGTTGTTGTTGTTTTTGTTAGCTATCCTAATAGGTGTATATAGTTGTATCTCTCAGTACCATTAATTTCCATTTATCCATTGCTAATGATGCTGAACGTCTATTCATGTGCTTTTTGCTATAATTATCTCTACCTTGGTAAAATGTTCATTCAAGTATTTGCCCATTTTTTGATAACAGCTTTATTGATATATAATACACATATCAAGTCAGGCATGGTGTCTCATGCCTATAATTCCAGCTATTTGGAAGGCCAAGGTGGAATTCGAGACCAGCCTGGGCAACACAGGGAGACTCTATCTCTTATATATAAGCCAGGCATGGTGGCACACGCTTGTACTCCCAGATACCTAGGAGACTGAAGTGGAAGGATCACTTGAGCCCAGGAGTTAGAGATTGCAGTGAACTATGATCACATTATTGTACTTCAATGTGGGTGACAGAGTGAGACCCTGTGTCTAAGAAAATAAATAAATATTCAAATATCATATAATTTATTCATCTATAGTGTACAATTCAATGATTTTTAGTCTATTCAGGGTTGTGCAGCCATCACCATAAACAATTTTAGAATATTTTCTTCACCTCAGAAAGAAATCTTGTACCCTTTAGCTATCACTCTGCAATACTTCCACAACCCTCACCCTAAGCAACCACTAATCTATTTCCTGTCTTCATTTATTTACCTATTCTGGACATTTAATATAATTGGAATCATATAATAGGTATGGTCTTTTGTAACTAGCTACTTTCACTTAATCTAGTGTCTTCTAGGTTCATCCACATTGTAGCATGCATAGCTACTTCATTCCCTTTCATGGCTAAATAATTTTCTTTTGTATGAATATACCATATTTTGTTTATCTGTTCATCAGTTGATTGACATTCGGTTGTTTTAACTTTTGGGCTGTTACATATAATGCTGCTATAATCATTCATGTACACATTTTTGTATAGACATAATGTTTTTAATTCTCTTGTGTACATAGTTAGGAGTGGTAACTCTGTGTTTAACTTATTGAAGAACTACCAAACTGATTTCCAAAGCAGCTGCACCATTTTACACCCCCAATAGAAATGAAAGATTGTTGGATTTCTCATGCATTTTCTCCAACACTTGTTAATTTCCTTATTTTTGAATTATGGTCATCCAAGTAGATGTGAAGCAGTATCTCTGTGGTTTTTATTTGCATTTCCCTGATGACTAATAATGTTAAGTACATTTTAATGTATCTATTGGTCATTTGCATATTTTAGTTGGAGAAATGCCTATTTAAGTCATTTTTTTCATTTATTAATAGAGCCATATGCTTTTATATTACTGAATTGAAGAGTTCGTAGTTATTGTAGATACAGATCCTTTGCAAAATTTCATAAGCATTTTCTTCCATTCTGTGTGTTGTTTTTAATTTCTTGAAAGTGTCCTCTGAAGCAAAAAAGTTTTTAAATTTAAATTTTTTCAAATTTAATTTTGATGAAATCCAATTTATCTATTTTTCCTTTTGTCGTTTGTGCTTTTGGTGTCATATCTAAGAAATCATTGCCAAATCCGAGGTCATAAATATTTACCCCTATTTTTTTCTAAGAGTTTTATAGTTTTGCCTCTTACATTTAGATCTTCGATAAATTTTGAGCTAATTTTTGTTTGTGATGTGAGATAAAGTTCCAAATATATTATTTTGCTTGTGGATATTCAGATGTCCTAGCACCATTGGTTAAAATGATCATTATTTCCTCATTGAATGGTCTTAGCATCCTCAACAAAAACTGATTAACCACAGATATATTGTGTGCCAGGTGTCCCCCAAACCATCTTCAGTCTTTATGATTTTCTAGAAGGGATTATAGGACTCAGAGCCCTGTTATGTTTACAGTTTATTACAGTGAAAGGATACAGACTAAAATTGGCAGAGATAAAACACTCATGGGGTGAAATCCAGGAAAAACCAGGATCAGGCTCCCCTATGTCCTCTCCCCGTAGAATCACAGAGAGGGCTTAATTATCTCAGCAATAATATGTGACAACCCCTGTAAAGTGTTGTCAACCAGGAAAGGTCACCTGAGCATTGGTGTCCAGAGTCTGTATTGGGGATTGGTCATGTAAGCATACAACACTTTTATGACTGACTTCAACTACGCAGACTCCAGACACAAGAGCAAAACCTGACATTCACCATATATCACATTGTTAGCATAAACTATCTGTTCAAACTGGTAACATACATCTCCCAGGAGCCAGTAAAGTGGCAGTAATGAAGACAGGCAAATTTGGGGGCTATTTGAAGTTTGAGCAACCCGGGCATTCTGAGTTAACACTTTCCCTTATACATAGGTTTATTTCTATAGTCTCATTTCTATCGCACTCATCTATGTCTATCTTTATATTATCATCACACTGTTTTGATTACTGTTGCTTTGCAGTAAGTTGTGAAATCAAGAAATGTAAGTCTTTCAACTTTGTTCTTCTAATTCAAGATTTTTTGGCTATTCTGGATCCCTTCAGTTTCTATATAAATTTTAGGAGTGAATTCTCAATGTACACAAAAAAATGCAGCTGAAATTAAGAAAGAAAATTGCATTAATCTGTGGATCAATTCAGGGAGTACTAACATCTTAAAAGTATTAAGTCTTCTCATCCATGACTGCATGATTTTTTTCCATTTTTTATGTTTCTCACTTTTTTTAGTTTTCAAAATATGTGTTTTTTATTTTTTAGTAAATTCACTCCTCAGTATTTTATTATTTTTGATGCTACAGTAAATGGAATTGTTTTTTAAGTTTCATTTTCAGATCATTGCTATTGTATAGAAATAAATCTGATTTGGGAATATTGATCTTGTATCCTGCAACATTTGTGAAGTTGTATATTAGATCTAATACTTTTATAATGGAACTCTCAGGATTTTTTTTATATACGATATCATGTCGTCTGTGAATAGAAACCTTTTACTTCTTCCTTTTCCATCTGGATGCCCTTTATTGCATTTTTTTTCTCTAATCGTTCTAGCTAGTACTTCCAGTACAATGTTCAATGGTAAAGGTGAGAGTGCACATCCTTGTCTTAGTCCTGACCTTAGGGGGACAGCATCCAGATTTTCACCATTAAGTATGATGTCAGCTTTGGGCTTTTCATAGACGTCCTATGTCAGGTTGAAGAAATACCCCTCTTTTGATAATTTACTGAGTGATTTTATCATGAGGGGGTGTTGGATTTTGTTACATAATTTTTCTGCATCTGTTGAGATGATCATGTGTCTTTGTCTTTTTTTTTTTTTTTTTTTTTTTTTTTTGCTATAACAGAATACCACAGACTAGGAAATTTATAATGAACAGAAATCTGTTGGATCGTAATTCTGGAGGCTGAGAAGTCCAAGATTGAAAGACCAATCTTGTGAGGGTCTTCTTGCTGCATCATTCCATGGCAGAAGGGCAAAGAGAGGGCAAGAGAGAGAAATAGGGGGCTAAATTCATCCTTTTATAAGGAACCCAGTCATTCCTGTAATAAAAAATTCACTCTCACAATAACATCATTAATCTATTCATGAGGACAGTTTTCCTGGCCTAATCACCTCTTAATGGTCCCACCTTTTAATACTGTTACAATGTACATTAAATTTCAGCATGAGTTTGGGAAGGGACTCACATTCAAACCATCACATTATGTGGTTTTTGGACATTATTCTCTTGATACAGTATATTATATTGACAAATTTTCATATATGGAGCCAACTTTGCATTCCTGGGGCAATTGGGTTGTATAATCATTAAGCTGGATAATATGCTTCGTTTTTTAAAATTTTGCCAATATTTGTTTTTCTGTCCTCTGTTTCATTAATTTTAATTTTATTGTTGATTATTGATTTTCTTCTTTTTGCTTTAGATTTTACTTGCTATTTTTTTTTCCAGTGCCTTAAAGTAGAAAGTTAGATTATTGACTTAGGATCGTCCTTCTTTTTTAATACATAGAGTCCCCGACTTATGATGGTTCAACTTATAATTTTTTGACTTTTTGATGGTACAAAAGTGATACATACTCAGTAGAAACTGTGCTTCAAGTACTCGTACAAACATTCTGTTTTTCACTTTCAGTATTCAATAAATTATGAGATATTCAACATTATTATAAAAAAGGCTTTGTGTTAGATGATTTGCCCAACTGTAATGTAAGTATTCTAAGCATATTTAAGGTAGGCTAGGCTAAGCTATAATGTTCAGTAGGTTAGGGGTATTAAATGCATTTTTAACTTACAATATGTTCAATTTATGGTGGATTTATTGGGATGTAACCTCACTGTAAGTTGACAAGCATTTTGTCTAAGCACTTTTTAAGCTGCATTATGTAAGTTTTGGTATTTTATGTCTTCATTTTTTTCCATCTCAAAGTATTTTCTAATTTCTCATTTTTTTCCATCTCAGAGTATTTTCTAATTTCTCTTGTGATTTCTTCTTTAATCCATTGGTTAGTTAAGAGTTTGCGGCTTTCCATTTATTTGTGAGTTTACCAAATTTTTATTATTGATATCTTATTTTATTTCACTGATGTTAGAAAGTATACTTGGTATTATTTCAACCGTTTAGGCGCCACTGCACTCCAGCCTGGGTGACAGAGCGAGACTCCCGTCTCAAAAAAAAAAAAATTCATTAAGGTTTATTTTATGGCCTTGAATATAGACGATTCTGGAAAATGTTCCATGTGCACTTGAGAAGACTGTATATCCTGCTGTTGTTAAATGAAATGTTTTATAAATGTCAGTTAGATCTTAGTTTATAGTGTTGTTCAAGTCTTCTATTTATACATTTATCTGTTGATGAACATTTGGGTTACTTCCACCCTTTGGCTATTATGAATAATGCTGCTATAAACGTAAGTTATAAATGTTTGAGTGCCTGATTTCAATTCTTTTGGGTGTACATCTGGAAACTGAATTGCTATATCAAAAAGTAATTCAATTATTAATTTTTTGAGGTACCACCTTACAGTTTTCACAGTGCCTGCATCATTTTATATTCCCACCAGCAGGGCACAGGGTTCAAATTTCTCCACATCATCGACGAAGTATGTCATTTTCTGTGGGTTTTGTTTGTTCATTTATTTATAGTAGCCATCTTAATGGGTGTGTGGAGTGCTATCTCGCTGTGATTTTGATTTGCACTTTACTAATGATTATGTTGTGCATCTTTTCATGAGCTTATTGGCCATTTGTGTATCTTCTTTGGAGAAATGGTATTCAATTTCTTTGCCCACTTTTTTGATTGTTTGTTTTATGTTGTTAAGTTGTAAGAGTTTTTATATGTATTCTGGAAATCCCTTATTTGATATATGATTTGCAAATATTTCCTCACATTATGTGAGCTGCCTTTTCTCTCTGTTGAGTATTATTTAATCCACAAAATTTTTAATATTGGTGTTGTCAAATTTATCTATTTTTTCTTTTGTGCCTTATACTTTTGGCTTCATATTGAAGAAATAATTGCCAAATCCAATGTCATGAAGCTTTTGCCTAAGCTTATTTTAAAGAATGTTATAGTATTAGCTCATATGTTCAGGTCTTTGATCCATTTGGGGTTAATTTTTGCATATGCTCTAAGGTAAGTTTCTGTCTACATTCTTTTGTGTGTGAGTATTCCATTTTTCCAACACAATTTGTTGAAAAGACTGTTCTCCATTGAGTGGTCTTGGCATCCTTATAGAAAATCATCGGACCATGAGGGTTTATTCCTGAAGTCCCTATTCCATCAGTCTATATGTCCGTCTTCATATCAGTACCACGACATTCTGATTACTACAGATTTGTAGTAAATTTTGAAATCAGAAACTGTGAGAGCTTCACTACATTCCTGCTTTTCAAGATTATTTTGGTTATTCAGGGTGCTTTGAGATTCTATATTAATTTTGGAAAGAATTTTTCTCTTTCTGCAAAAATCATCACTGGACTTTTTATATGGATTGCACTGAATTTCTAGATTCATTTGGATAGTATCAACATCTTAACAATATTAATTCCTCCAATTCATATATAGGAGTGTCTTTCTGTTTATTTGTGTCTTCCTTCATCTTATCAGAAACATTTTGTGGTTTTTAGTGTACAAACCTTTTCATCCTTAAATTTATTGCTAAGTAGTTTATTCCTTTTAATTGATACATAATAATTGTACATATTTTGGGAGTACACTTGATATTTTGATATATGTATACAATGTGTAATTAACAAAGTATTTCATTCTTTTTGATACTATTGTAAATGGAATTGTTTTCTGAATTTACGTTTTGGATTACTCATTGTTAGTGATAGAAATGCAATGGATTATTGAGTGTTCATTTTGTATCCTGAAACTTTACTGAATGCATTTATTAGTTATAGTTTTTCATGTGGAATCTTTAAAGTTTTTTACATATAAGATTATGTCACCTGCAAACAGAGATAATTTTACTACTTCCATTCTAAAATTGGATGGAACTTTATTTATTTCTCTTCCCTAATTGCTCTATCAGTATTGACCCAATACTATTGTGAATAGAAGTGGTAGACTCTCAGAAATATATACACCTACCAGGTACTCACAAAAATTATAAAATAGGCAAAATTTAAAAAAAAATTAAAAAGAAGTGGCAAAACCTGGCATTTTGCCTGAAAACTTTGCATCCTTTCACTTTTGAGAATGATGTTAGCTATAGGTTTTTCATATGTCACCTTTATTATATTGAGTTAGTTTCCTTATATTCCTATTTTGCTGATTATTTTTCATCGTGAAAGTCTGTTGAATTTTGGCAAATGCTTTTTTCTCTGCATCAATATAGATGTTTAGGTGAGTTTCTCCCCTTCATTCTGTTAATGTAGCATATCATTATTTGATTTTTCTATGGTGATTCAATCTCACATTCTAGGAAAAAAATCCCTCTTGGTCATGGTGTTCAATTATTTTGATATGCTACAATTCTGTTTGCTAATATTTTCTTGCATATTTTTGGATCAATATTCATAAGGGATATTGATCTCTAACTTTTTTTCCTTGTAGTGTCTTTTCTGCCATGGTATCAGGGTAGTACTGGCCTCACAGAATGAGTCTGTAGGTGTTTCTTCCTCTTCAAATTTTTAAAAGAGTTTGTAAGGCATTGATGTTAATTTTTCTTTAAATGTTGGAAGATTCACCAGCGACACCATCTGATCCTAAGGTTTTCATTGTTGGGATATTTTTAATTATTTATTCAATCTCCTTACAACTGTAGGTTTGTTCAGGTTTTATATGTATTTTTGATTCAGTCTTGATAAATTGTGTATTTCCACCAATTGGTTATTCATCTGTGTTATACATATATCTATGTCATACATTTCGCTGACACATGATTGTTCATTGAAGGTGGGATATTTAAATCTCCTACTATTATTTTAGAACCATGTATTTTCCCTTCAATTACATCAATGTTTGCTTCATATATAGGAGCTCTGATGTTTTCTGCACATATGTCTATAATTTTATAACTTCTTGACGAACTTATACTTTTATCAATATATAATGTCTTTCTTGTTTCTTTTAACAGTTTTTATGACATAAAGTCAATTCTGTTTGATACTAGTATAACCACCCTTTGTCTTTGGTTACTAATGGCATGGAATATACTTTTTCATCCTTTAACTTTCAAATTATATGAGTAGTTTTTGCTAAGTGATCTTTTAATAAATAAGGAATAGTTGGATCCTGTGTGTTTTCTTTTTGTCACTTCTGCCAATCTATGCATTTTGATTGGGGAATATAATTCATTTACTTTTAAAGTACTTACTAATAGGGAAGAACTTACTGTAGCCATTTCGTTGTTTTCTGTATGTCTTATAGCATTTTTCCCCTTCATGTCCTCCTTTATTGTCTTCTTTTGTGTTTAGTTGACTTTTTGTGACATATTTTGTTTCCCTCTCATTTCTCTTTGTTTATATTCTATAGATATTTTCTTTGTGGTGACCATAGGGATTGCATCTAACCTCTTAAGGTTGCAATATCTATTTTAAACTTATACAACTTAACTTCCGTTGAATAGAAAATGCTACTCCTTTACAAAAATACAAAAAATACAGTCTGTGTATCCAATTAGCTACTATTTTTGTGAAGCAGTTTTGTATCTATGTTTCAGAGGAATAATTTTCCTCCATCAGTTTTTGTTTCATCCTTCGGTAGCCTTATATAATGAGGTCAGAAGTATTCAATTCTCTCATATATTTGAAGAACTTTGTATGTATGTGACATTATTCCTTCTATTAATGTTGGTAGTATTAAACAGGAATACCATCTTCCTTCGGAGTTTTCATTCTTGCAAAGGTTTTAACTACAAGTTCATTTCAACTTTCTCAATAAATTTAAAATGATTTCTGAGATCTATTTATTTTTGAGTGAGTTTGGGAATCGGTGTGTTCTAAGGAACTGGACCAGTTAATATAAGTTGCCAAATTTATTGGCATATAATTGCTAATAATATCCCCATATTATAATTTTAATACATAGGATCTGTAAGATCAGCAAACATGTCTGCTTTTTCATTCCTGATATTTACAAATTGTGTCTCCTCCATTTTTTCCTTGTCAATCTGCATGAAAAATTATCAATCTTATTGACCTTTTGAAAAAATCAGATTTTAATTAAATTGATATTTGCTATTGTTTCAGTTTTCAACATCATTGATCTCTGCTGTCGTCTTTATTATTTTCTTCTTTCTGAATGATTTAGCTTATTTTTCTCTTCCTTTCCTAGTTTCTTAAGGTTGAAGCTTAGAGTGTTGATTTGAGAACCCCGTTTCTTTCCAACATAAGCATGTAATTCTTGTAATTTTCCTGTAAGTACTGCTTTAGTTGCATCCCACAATTTTGATATGTTGCATTTTTATTTTTTTAATTCAAAATATTTTCTATTTATCCTTGTGACTCCCTATTTGACTCATAGGTTATTTAGAAATGAGTCGTTTAATTTCCAAACATTTCAGGCTTTCCAGGTAAGTTTCTATTATTGCTCTCTAGTTTATTTCTGTTGTAGTCAGGAAACACATTTTGTATGATCTCAATACTTTTAAATATGGTGAGATATGTTTTATGACACATAATAGGGTTTATTTTCATTAACGTACAAGTCTACTTTAAAAGATTCTGTACTCCACTATTGTTGGGTAGAGTGTCAATTAGATTAAATTCGTTGATAGTATTCTTTCGATTTTCAACATTCTTTTTCCATCAATTTTTGAGAGAGAATATTCAATTTTTCAATTATAATTGTGGATTTATCAATTTGTCCTTTTGAATCTATCAGTTTGGGTTTTATGTATTTAGAAGCTCTCTTATTAGATACTTAAATTTTTAGAATTTTAATTTCTTCTTAGGAAATCAGTCCATTTGTTATTATATAATATGCTTCATTCTCCCTATTAGTCTCACTGTACTGATTACTACTTTGTCTGATACTAATATATCTACTATAGTTTTCTTTTGATTAGCATTTGCATGTTATATCATCTTCTATGCTTTTACTTTTAGCCTATTTATGATTTTAATTTCCAAGGGAGTTTCATGTAGATAGCATGAACTTAGGTCTTGCAGTTTATCTACTCTCACAATCTCTAACTTTTAAAGCACTTAAGCCATTTGTTTTAAGGTAATTATTAATATGCTTGGATTTATATCTACTATTTTTCCAGCTGTTTTCTATTTGTGTTGTTTTCTTTGTTCCTTTTTTTCTCTTTTTTTGCCCTTGTCTGGGAAAATTTAGTAGCTTTTTATGATTTTTCTTTCATCTGAATTATTAGTTTATTATATTTATACAACTGTTCTAATTTTCTATAGTTGCCTATAGATTACAATGTACTTCTTTAATATGTCATAGTCTGCCTTCAAATAATATGTCATTTCATATATAGTATAAGAAACCTAAGATGAGATCCATTTTTTCTCTCTCCTCTTTTGTTTTTCGTTGGCATACATTTTACTTTTACATGTAATTAACCCCACAGTACATTTGTTACTATTTTGCATTAGAATATTTATTATCCTCTCAAATGATTAAAAATAAGAAAGCAGTGTCTTTTATATTTACCGTTTTTACCATTTTCGCAGCTCTTCAATTCATTGTTTCATTCAAAGTTTCTGTCTGGTATTCCTCTGTCTGAAAACTGTCCTTAGCATTTTCTTTTGTAGCACAGGTCTACAGGTAGTGAATAGTCTTAGAATTTGTTTTTAAAAAACTGATTTGTTTCATCATTTTGAAAAACATTTTAACTGGGTATTAAATTCTGAGTTGATGGTGTTTTTTTTCTTTCAGCTCATTGGAAATGTCAGTCATTTTTCTCCTGACATGCATATTTTCTGACAAAAAGTCTACTATAGCCTTTATCTCTTTGTATTGAAAATAGTTCCTTTTCTCCAATCGCCTTCAAGGTTTTTTTTTTTTTAATTTTCATTTTTTCAGCATTTTAAGTATGATATGTTTAGATGTGGTATTTTGTTCTCATTCTTATTTGTCTGATACATTGTTTTCTGAGATTCTTGGATTTGTGGTTTGATACCATTCATAATTTGGGGGCAATTGTTTCTCATTATTTCTTTAAATAGTTTCTGCCATGTTCCTTCTCTCTTCCTTCTTTGTTAAAACCGTTGCTATTGTTCCATGTTTTTTAGATACCCTATTACATTTTTTCTTTCTTTTTCCTCTGTTTCAGTTTGGGTAATCTGCATGGAACTATCTTGAGGTTCATATACGTTTTCTTGACTGTGTTGAGCCTACTGATGAACTTATTGAAGACATTCTTCATCTCTGATGTTGTCTTTTATATTTCTAAGATTTACATTTGACATGTTTTTTATAGTTACCATCTCTGCTGAATTTCTCCATTTGTGCATGCAATTATTCACCTTTCCCACTAAATCCTTTAATATATTACAGTTAATTTAATGTTCCTGTCTCAAAGTTCTAGCATTTATATCTCCTCTGCAGCTGGTTCTGTTGATTGATTTGTTTCAAATTTTTAAATTTAATGCCCAACATCATGTGTAGAACAGAAGAGACTGAGGTAAATGTTATTCATGTCCAGGAATGGGCATGTTTTTTCTTTTATTAGGCTGTTAGTATAGGGGGTTGAAAAATGTAGTCAGGAATATATCTGTGTTTGGGTTTTTCTGCTGCTGTTGTTTTCTGCAATGCACACAGCATAAAATTCCTCTGGTAACGGACTGCTGTAGATTTATGCCTAGGCTGAAGGCAGATTTGGCACTGGGTATTTTTCTCTGTTGGTGCCCAATTCTAAGTTTACAACTGTGTCCACACACTTGGTGCACAGAATGGCTCTCTCTTTGGCTCTTGCTCCTCCCTAACGATAGGTGGCTATAATTTATTGGTCGGTGCTAGGTTTATGATAAAGGTTCCAGGAAGTGGAGTCTGTTTTCCTTATCTGGCCTTATACTTAAGTAGATGCAGTGTGCCTAGGCCTGAAAGGTGGAGATTTCTCAGCATTCCTGCCCTTCATTCTCATTCCAGAAAGCCAAACTCTGCTTTGTATTTGAGTTAGGTTTCCATGCAGGAGAAACTCTCCTGCCCCTCACCCAGCGGCAGGAGGCATCTAATGGTATTGGTATAGGATCGTGTGCCCAGAATTGTTTCATGCTCTAAGAAATCTTTTTTTTATTAATTCCACAGGTTCACTAGCCACAACACAAAAGTTTTCCTGCCGTTTCCCTATTAGCTTAAATCTTCCTTTGTAATTAAACAGTTAGGAGTGACATCAGTGAAAATGGCAGAGTAAAAACCTCTGACAATATTTTTCTTCCAAAAAAATGGCAAAAGTTGTCAGAAGCAACTTTTTTAGAACTCTGGAAATTAACTAAATCTTTGCAGCAATCTGGGAGCATTTACTCTATAAAAACAACTTAATCTCAGTAAGAAGAGTGAGCTGGGCAGTAATATGATTTAAGTTTGTTATTGTGGAAAGTTCTCATTATCAGGGCCCCATTTACTTCCCCAAAAATAGTGTTTGCACTAGACTATACCATCTTTAGCAGCATGATTCTATAACCAATGACTCTTTCTAACAGAAAGAATTACAGTGCTCATGACCTTGCAAAGAGAAAGACAATTGCTGTCTGTATGTATCACTAATGTCACATATCTGTTGTTGTCAATCTGTGAACCCAGCTATCTAATTCACTAGCAAAAATATTCATAGTAAAAATGTTGAATTATCAAAATAGTTTCTGTGAATTATAATTCCTACTTTGCTTAATTCTTTATATACAATTTTATCTCAAGTGGAAGGAATGCTATTAAAACTTTGTAACATAGCATACACAAACTAAAGGATGTTTGATATATTTTGCCTGAATTAATATTGAGCTATTAGACAAGTCTTACAGGCAGACATTTGCAATTCTACTAAATTGCTGCAATATATCAAATAACTTTTTGTTACAGGAATAGAAATTCATTTAGCCAATTTTGGCATTGCATAACATATCTCTTTATTGTTACCATCTCTCTTTCCCTCCTATGCTTCATTAGTTCAGGAAGGAATCAATGTCATAACTGAATTGTAAAATGGAGAGAATTTAGTTGCCATTTCTTCCCAAATGTTTCAACTCATTCATATTATTTTAAAAATCAGCGTGCAAACTTATTTGATGTCTAACTTTAAAACTATTTTAGCAATCCTTCTAAAATTAATATAAATATTTAAAACTCCATCATGGGGTAATTCCAGAGAAAAGTAATCATGAAGTAAAGAATTAGAAAAGCATCTACTCTTACAAAACAGAGTAAAACAAAGGGATCACATGGGATCATCTTAGTTCTTAGCAAATATTATAGCGGAAACCACCACTATATATGTATATAAAATACATAGACACACACACACACACACACACACACACACACACAGAAAATTGACTAGAATTTGCCTTTAGCAATTTTAAACATATATATTATTAAAATATAAATACACATACTTTTATATAGTAAAAAATAATTACATTTTAGAATCACTGGTTCAAATAAAAGTAATCAGTATTTTTATCCTTTTCTCAGTTAATGAATGCTTTAAAAACTATGTCTAGGGAAGATAACCCTAAACCATGCATAGTCCCAGCTTCTATCACTGGGTTCAGAAGATGTTTATTTCAAAGAAATAAATCCCAGCCTTATCCAGAGGGAAAGAAATCAGACGCAGAAGAAAAGAAAATAAAGGAAGTTATAAATTAAACAGCTAGATTTATTGTGTGAAGAAATGCAACTGAAGATAAATATAATATGTTTGCTTTTGGAAGGAACTACCTGGGGTGGCCAGATAAAATATAGGATGTTCAGTCAAATTTTAATTTGAAATAAAAAGATGAAAATAATTGTATAAGCATGTTTCTTTCATGCCATGTTTGGGACATATACTAAAAAAAATTATTCATTGTTTATTCTGAAATTGAAATTTAACTGGTCATCCAGCATTTCTATTTGACAAATCCAACAACCCTAAATCTACTCCAAGTGTATAAATAGCCGAATAATTATATCCTGATTTGTACTTGCTAAAATATTTTCCTGTAATAAAAGTAGTGCTGACAATCTTCCCAATTATAACAGATTCTATCAATGAGAACTTATTTATGGGAGAGTTATAGGAGACTGCATTTATTCATCACAAGATTTCCCCAAAGATTTTGTTGTTTTTCTTCTTTCTGCCATTTTCAGAAAATGGATAATTTATGCAGGAACAATTGGCCACACTGGCTTGTTGAATACATGGTAGATTTAGGAGAAAATATTCTAGTTTCTTAGAGAGCAGAGCAATTACACAAATGGTGTCCTTGGGTGACCACGTGAATTAAATACTTTGACATTCAAGTTGTGGCTTTTTTTCTTCTTTCCTATGGCAATTAAGCTGATTTGCAAAACAAAAAAGAAAGCCTACTTAAAGAGTTTAATATTAATATATTAGTCCCTCCTAAGCTGCTTCAAATCCTGTTGCATATTTCTATAGATCTACACTGTAGGAGACTCGTTTTTTAAAAATATTGCCAAACTTTGCCAATATTAATTTTAAGATACTTGAAGTTATTCATTCTCATTCAGCATTCACTTAGAAGAAGCTCCTCTTTCATTTCTCAACTTCAGATTTAATTTTAATTTTTTTTTGCTTAAAATGTTGAAAACTTGGCAAGAGTGTAAAACCAATGAGAGAACAGAGACTTTTAGTGTATGTTGATCTCCCTAAAAGGGGCTGAATGTTGTCAACTTTTTTTTTTTTACTGTTTGCTCTTTGAAAGACTGGAGTGCTCACTGAGTCCCTTTTACAAATAAAATGCCGGGCCTTTAAAAGCAGCAGGAATAAGACAACATTAGAGGTTCCAAAGGGCAGTTGCAAGGCTATACAGTCAGGTTAGCAGAAGATGAAGGTAGAAATTGGGACAACCAGAAGTTTAGGCAGGTAGCCTTCAGAAAAAAATCTAGAGGTAAAGGAGCTGTCTGTTTCCAGCAGGAGAAAGGACAGAATCCTCAACAAGATTAAGTGCTGAAAACCTGGAAAGCGTGCTTAAAGGTGACAGTATCTCTTTTTTCTATACCTCTACCTCCCACTCTACCATTCCCTTTCTCTTTCTATTCTTCTCACTGCCCTCACCTTGCTTTCTATTTGATGCCCTCACTTATCTTTTCCTACAACTGGGCCATAGCTTTCAGTTAAAAGAGCACCAGCACCTATCTGCAGTACTTTTGCTTAGCTTTCCCAGGAACATTCAGTTTATCAGACCTTTATGGAGAAGCAATAAGACAGAAAGAGATCACATTTGACACACGATGCCTCACTGCATTTAAAACAGAATCTTAGGATCTTACTCTTGAAATTTCAATCTTGATTTATCCACAGTACAAGTTTGCCAAGCTCACCTGAGGTTCCCTTGGCAGATTATAAAACATAATTTTGTACTGAATTTGGGAATTAATTTGGGTAAGATGGGGGTTACAAATGAGAGTTTCTTGTATGTATTCATTACATGCATTGTCATACATTTTGCTTAATATAACTTTTGAGTACAAAATACTGTTACCCCATTTACACAAACTTCCAGAACATAATTTGAAAATGACTTCTTTTTGTGATGTTGATCTCTTTTCATTTCCTTTTTCTAGAGCTAAAGCTCTACATTCACCAGATAAAATGAACTAAAATATGCATTAACTGTGTACATTTTAAATGTGCATTAAATGTCAATGTTGGAAAGGTTCATTAAAATTTAAGCATTCACAGGAAAATGATTATTGTCTGGAATGAAAAAGTAAAGCTCAGTTTTTCACTGAAAACGATAAACGATTTTCCAATGATTTTCCATTCTATGTTCTACCTCTTTGCTAAAGCCTAGAAGACGGCTGTGGCTAGATGGAGATTTAGCTACTGCCCTGGTTACTAACTACACTTAGTTTTCTACTTCTTATCTGTTTTGAAGGGGTTTATGTTCTTCCTTCGGAGATGATTTTTATCTTTGCCATTTTATTTGATTTATGCAAGTAAGTCCAACTATTCTTTTTTTCCTATGAACAAAGAATGTACAAAATTCAACTTTCTATTTGTACATGTCAGTACAAATGCTAGAAACTGTAAGGCATCTGAAAGGCTATTTTGACCCTAAATATCACTTACCCACATTTGCCACTGAGTCTAAATGTTTTCATTTTTTCATCCTTTGTAAGCTAAGACATTGAGTTGATTAAATAGACATGTTATCAGGGACTTGATCATACAATTACTCATTATCACCTCAGTTCCAAGAGTATCTTCTTTCAGCAACCCAGGAGAGATTTAAGAGGATAAAATAAAGGGAAGGAGTGTGAATCTTGTTACAGGGAAATGCTCCAGTAGGATATTGCGAAAAGGGGAGGTTATAAAAATTCCTTTCTCCAGTCATCTAATCTTATTACTTCAGAATTAAGGTGAATATTCTTCTTATCATTACAACTCTTAAAACATTGAATATGTAGTGTCAGTGGCTACCTCTTTCCTCCTGAAGATATAATAATACCAATCTCTTTCTCTATTTTTTATCCCCCATCAAACCCACATACCTTCATTTACTATAAATTAACAAACTGTATACAGTAGGGAAAACAAAACAACACCAAATTGAAATTGAGCAAAACAAATTTACCTAAAACAGATTATCTTAACAATGGAGACAATGTATGACAAGAAAATCTTATTAGGATAAATATATAGCAAGTATGGTATACATATCTAGTCTCCCATTGAATCAACTTGAAGTTTCGGATACGATTTTTTACCATCAGTGAAGAATGTGTAGAAATGTTGTGAGCTGATTCTAGTGAGAAGGATTCCTGCCAGTGGAAGGACAGAGGATATGGCTTTAGAGGGGTACAGAGGAAGGATGTTGCTTGATTTACACAGAGAGGAGAAGCAAAGAAAGCAAGTCATAAGGAGGTCACAGAGAACAAGACAGTATCCCTCACTGAGTCAAGAAGGAATAAGAACTAGAAGAAGGAGGGAGGAGCAGAAAGTATAGAAATTATATCAAATTTTTGCTGGAAGAAAAAGAAACACATAAAAATGGTCAATTTTGTATAAAAAGCAATAGATTAAACAGGAACTTGCAGCATTAAAAATTGTATATTAAAATGTTCATTTTGCTCATTTTCTAACTCTCACTTAATTCTGCATGAGCATGCTTTCCTTAAAAGTCATTTGCATCTTGGATGTTTCTTTAATGCCCTGGTACATGGGGAGGGAAGAAATGAAAAGATCAATCAGTTTTTATAGTTAAAAAAATAGTGTTTACCAGTAAGTAAAGGATTTAATAACGATTAGTGTTTATTAGAAGTAATTTATGTCTGGTATGTTTCAGAACCAAACATACAGGGGAACACTAGAAGACAAAGGAGAAAAAGACCATTTTGTGGTTGACAGAAATAATACTGATTACTATGAAAAAATGGTTCAGCAAAAAGTCTTAACACATTTAAAAGTGAAATTGTTCTGAATAGAGAAGCAAGATAGGGCAGGAAAGTTACATCATGACATGTCCCACCTAAAACCCTTTAGTGGCTCACCATTTAGGGCTGTGCATGATTTGGTCCTTATCTACCTCTCTAAATTTCATGTCTTGTGGTCTTTATCCTCCCACTCAACACTCCACCTCCAATACCTTTGTACAAGTTGCTATCTTATTTTGCTCCTCTCCCTTTTCCAACTCAAAGCCGGTTAAAATTTATTTATTCTTCGGATATCAGTAAACAACATGCTGAAATAGATTTGCTTCCTATTACACCATTAGGATAGAAAGGGAGATAGATAGCTAGATAATAGAGGTATCAGTTATACAGTATATTTAATTAATCGGGCATACAATTATTGTACAAACATGCCAATTTATCAGATAGAAAACAGCTTTGGAGAAACAATTTCTTTTTTAATTTTAATGCTTTAATTTTTATTTTTATTTTAATAGAGACAGGGTCTCACTATATTGTCCATGCTGCTCTTGAACTCCTGAGCTCAAACGATCCTCCTGCCTCGGCCTCTCAAAGTGCTAGGATTACAGGTATGAACCACTATACCTGGACTGAAGAAACAATTTCTTACTTAATCTTACTATGTGACAGAATCTCGGAACAGTACAGCTGGGAAGAAGTTATATTTTAAACAGAATGACAATATTATTGTGTTCTCGTTGGAGTTTGTCATTCAATATTGTCATTGAGTATTCTCACTATTCCATACAAAATACTACAGAAAGTTTGTTGGAGAGCAGGTATAGTCTTGTACTGAAGCTCCTATACAAAGTACATGGTGATGATGTGGCTGACTCAAATGGCTTGAACGTTGCCATCTTAGAATAGGCAGCAGAACAAGATATGCAATGCAACTTCTTTCTCGATAGATATTTTTGTGTGCTGAAAATAAATGATTCAGAGGTCCCTACCACTGAGTTGGATGATACTTTATTATTAAGTACTTAATGCGGTCAGATCATTTTAATCTCTTTATACAAAACTGACCCTGAAGGTTTGCAACAATTTGCAATTAGTAGCAGATAGTTTAATGAGAATAAAACCGTTTTTTAAACAAAATAAGTACCAGATACTGCTAAACATTTTTTAAGGAAGGCATGATATATGTATATAAAGGTTGTTCATTTTATCCACTTTTTTCCACAGTGTATATCATATGGTGTTATTCAATCGTATTTGTTAAATGAAAGAATGAAGAGTGATTGGTTCTCATAGAAATCAGGAACATATGGATATAATAACTTGCCCAAGATCACACAGCTAGTAAATGGTGGACTATAGTCATGTTTGATGCTCAAAATATTCTAGATTTTTTCCAAAATGCTTCACTACGCTGCCTTCCTATTATGTGTTCATCAGATAAAAATAATGACGAATTGGTATATTGTCTTAATTTATGAAATATTTCATTTAAAGTGTTTGTATATCTTAAAATTATCAAATCTGCTTTGCCTGTCACTATTATCACTTCTTTATAATTATTCCTTAGACATTATAACCAGAGGGCATATAATAGATTGTAATTTATCATTCAGGAGACTAGTCAAATGAATCATATTATAAGTTTTCATGTGTATCAAAAAAAACTTTTATTGTCACGAAAATGAATTTATGAGTTTATTATTGGAGTCAATGGTCCTGTGGAAGCATAGCTATTTACATCCTCATACCTTCTACATAAGGAAAAGTAATCAAATGCACAACCAATCCACATATATTATTTACTGGATCATATATTTAATTATTGCTTCCCTTGAAGTACCCATTAATGCTGTGTAAATAAAGGTTAAGCAGCCACACTGGCTACCATTGGTTTCAGCAACAAAATAACATTCAACAAACAACTAATGAGTGATTGTTATGTGTGTGTCAGACACTGACTCTACTTGGCACTTTACATCCCTCAGCTTTTTAATTTTCATAGCAACTCTAAAAAAGTAGGTACTATTATTATCATCTCTATTTTAAAGATTAGGAGTTTCAGACTCAGAGAGGTTAAGTGACTTGTTTAAGATCAAACAACTAAATTGTAGAATCAAAGTAGAATTTAGTAAAACTATTTGGCTACATGAACATGTTTTTTTAAAAACTATAGCCACTACTCAGATCAGAATCTGAGCTCAGGTTCAGAGGCCAGATAAAGAAAAATATGTATATAAAGCTGGCTTTGATACCTTAATGTTATTTGCTGAATTTTTAGACTCAGTTATTTTTACTATTTAAATTTTGCTCTAATCAAGGGCTTACAAGTTAATTACTCCTTAGTATACTTGTTCTTCATAATTGTAGCATTGTTTGCTTGTTTTGTTTTGTTTCCTAAGGGCACGGTGACCAGACTAACTCGGAGATAGGGTCTGATATTTTTATATATTTAGCTGAGAGGTAAACTAATATCCAAGTTCTAAATGTACAAATCTCATGTAAAGTAGAACAAAGAAATTATATTAAGCTATCATGTACAAATTCAAATTAACCTATCATTTTACTTAGAGTACAAGACAAGATCAAATTTTGGAACAGACACTAAAAAGCTCTTCTATTAATGACTCTCAGCGAAAGTGTATTGTTTTCATTTATGCCTGAATTTTCTCCTGAAAGGTAAGAAATGTTTTAAGCGATTGTGTTTTAATGAGAGTTTTACTTCCATCAAGATATTTACAAACACTTTGTTAATTTAAGAAATACTTTAAAAATTACACTGGAAGGAAATAAAATGATTATATTGAACGAAGAAGTGTTATTTGAGTTTTCGGATATCTACAGTGTATCTGGTCTTTTAGACTTTTAGATACTGCTGGGCCTATATCCAAAGAAAAGAAGTATGTCAAAGAGTATATCTGCACTGTTATGTTCATTGCAACACTACTCACAATAGCCAAGGTATGAAATCAACCTAAATATCCATCAACGGATGAATGGATAAATAAAATGCGGTATATATATATATATACAACGTAATACTATTTGGCCATAAAAAAAGAAGGAAATCCTTTTGTCATTTGCGGATGAATCTGGAAGATATAATGTTAAGTAAAATAAGCCAGGCACGGAAATGCAAATACTCAGTGATCTCACTCATATGTAGAATCTAAAAGAGTTGATTTCATAGAAGTGGAGTAGAATGGTGGTTACCAGAGGCTAAGGTGGTTAGAGGGGAGTGTAGGTTGGAGAGGTGTTAGTCAAAGGATACATAATTACAGTTAGATAAGAGGAATAAGTTCAGGAGCTCTATTGTATCAGTCCCCAACCTTTTTGGCACTAGGGACCGGTTTCATGGAAGACAATTTTTTTCCACAGATGGAGATGAGGGAGATGGTTTCAGGATGAAACTGTCCCACTTCAGATCATCAGGTATTAGTTAGATTTTCATAAGGAGCATGCAACCTAGATCCCTCGCACGTGAAGCTCACTATAGGGTTCGTGCTCCTATGAGAATCTTATGTTGCCATTGATATGAAAGGAGGCAGAGCTCAGGTGGTAATGCTTGCTTGCCCACCACTCACCTCTTGCTGTGTGGCCTGGTTCCTAATAGGCCACCAACATGGACCAGTCTGCAGCCCAGGGGTTGGGGACCCCTGCTCTATTGTATTGCATGGTGACTATAGTGAATGACAATGTATTGGAAGTCAGTGTGGCAATTCCTCAGGGATCTACAACTAGAAATACCATTTGACCCAGCCATCCCATTACTGGGTATATACCCAAAGGACTATAAATCATGCTGCTATAAAGACACATGCACACGTATGTTTATTGCAGCACTGTTCACAATAGCAAAGACTTGGAACCAACCCAAAAGTCCAACGATGATAGACTGGATTAAGAAAATGTGGCACATATACACCATGGAATACTATGCAGCCATAAAAAATGATGAGTTCATGTCCTTTGTAGGGACATGGATGAAATTGGAAATCATCATTCTCAGTAAACTATCGCAAGAACAAAAAACCAAACACCGCATATTCTCACTCATAGGTGAGAATTGAACAATGAGAACACATGGACACAGGAAGGGGAACATCACACTCTGGGGACTGTTGTGGGGTGGGGGGAGGGGGGAGGGATAGCATTGGGAGATATACCTAATGCTAGTTGACAAGTTAGTGGGTGCAGCGCACCAGCATGGCACATGTATACATATGTAACTAACCTGCACATTGTACACATGTACCCTAAAACTTAAAGTATAATAATAATAATAATAATAAAAAAGAAAATGCAAAGAGAGTGGATGTTAAGGGTTCTCACAACAAAGGAGAACTACATCAGGTAATCCATTTGTTAACCAGCTAAATTTAACCATTCTACAATGTATATACATTTCAAGACATCATGTTGTACACAATAAATACATACAATTTTGTATGTCAGTTTTTTAAAAAAAAATTTTAAAAAGAAATATATTTAAAAGGGGCCGGGCGCGGTGGCTCACGCCTGTAATCCCAGCACTTTGGGAGGCCGAGGCAGGCGGATCACGAGGTCAGGAGATCGAGACCATCCTGGCTAACAAGGTGAAACACCGTCTCTACTAAAAATACAAAAAATTAGTCAGGCGCAGTGGCGGGCGCCTGTAGTCCCAGCTACTTGGGAGGCTGAAGCAGGAGAATGGCGTGATCCCGGGAGGTGGAGCTTGCAGTGAGCCGAGATCGCGCCACTGCACTCCAGCCTGAGCGACAGAGTGAGACTCCATCTCCAAAAAATATATATATATATATTTTTTATATATATATATATATATTTTTTATATATATATAATATATATATATTTTTATATATATATATATAATATATATATATATTTTATATATATATATAATATATATATATTTTTTATATATATATAATATATATATATTTTTTATATATATAATATATATATTTTTTATATATATATAATATATATATATTTTTTATATATATATATAATATATATATTTTTTATATATATATAATATATATATTTTTTATATATATATAATATATATATTTTATATATATATATATAATATATATATTTTATATATATATAATATATATATATTTTTTATATATATATATAATATATATATATATAAAATATATATATATATTTAGAGATTGATCCAGCTCTGATATATCTGTACAACTTTGGCCAAGTTTGTTTTACTCACTGAGCCTTAGTTTCCTTATCTGATAAATGTGGATAGTAAAAGAACCTACATTACTGAACAGTTTTGAGGATTAGTGATCATAAAATGGAGCTTAGCACATTGCTTCAACCATAGTAAGCAATATATAAATGGTAGCTAGTCTTATTAGTAGACACAAAGTGGTTACAAACACTAGTTAATTCCATTGTATGTGTGTCTGTATGTTTTGTCTAACTCTACACAGGAGTTTCTTCTGCTTTAGATTACTATTTAATAATATAATAGAGAATCAGTTAGCTTTTGCTGTGTAAAAAACAACGTCAAGATCCCAGTTGCAAACAATAATAAGCACTAATTATTCATGCATCTGAGACTGGGCTGGGCAGTTCTACTTGTCTGGATTTGCTCATCTGTCTGTGGGTTACATGGCTGGTCGCTATCACAGTTGGGGTGGGTAAGATGAGTGAGCTTTGCTCCCTGAACCTTTTCCTCCAGTATACGGATTAGTGAACCAAATTCAGCCCACTACCTGTTTTTGTAACTAACATTTCACTGGAACACAGACCTGCCCATTTTTCTATGTATTGTGTATGGTTGTTTTTGCACCGCAACAGCAGAGTGAAGTCATGGCAACAAAGATCATATGACCCGTAAAGCCTAAAATATTTATTACCTGGACCTTTACCGAAAACGTTTGCCAATCACTGCTCTAAAAGGCTAGGTTCAGGTATGTCCTCCTGCTGATGATAAAGAAGGAAAAAACTAAGCACCAATCCATACATCCTTTTTTGAGCCGGTTTGTGTCCTATCTGCTTAATGCCCAACTGGCCAAAGAAAATCACAAGCCTGAGCCCAGAATCAAGCGGCAAGGCACTGCAGTTACATAGTAAAGAAATGGACACAGAAGGGTCAAATGATTGGGGCCAATAATGCAATCTACCACGACTAATTTTCACAATCTTTTTTTTTAGGAATATTCGCATGTGAGTGCATATTTGGAACTTGGTACTTTCTCCTACTTTCAGCAAACTTTGGGTACATAAGGAAGCAATGATCTCCCCTAGTAGTTGACAAACATTTTTATCAAGGGCCAAATATTAAATATTTTAGGTTTTGTGGACCATATGATCCCTATCAAAACTACTCAAATCTGTTGTAACATTGAGGGAGCCATAGAACATATGTAAACAAGTGGGTGTGGCTGTGTTCTAATAAAGCCTTATTCACAAAACAGGCCATACTTTGCCTGCTCCTAGTCTACCCCATATGGAGATAAGAAAATTGAGGCACAAAGAACTTAGACGACTTGCCCAGTATCAGACAGCTAATCAATGATTAAACAGGATCAAGAGCTACAGTCATACAGTAGCCAACCCAGCAGATGTAATATGCTTGGTCCACACAAAGTTATAAAAAGATTTGAACTATTTGGCAACATGTAAAAATTGGGAGAATTCGCATAAATATCTGGCTGTCAAGTTTTGTTAAAGATTGGAACATATAAAAATATTGGACTCATATTCTCACAATACAACAATTGGTTAGAGCCAAGTAACTGCCATTCCATTAGATGTACTCTCAGCTTCACCATTTCTTGTGACCCTGCATTTGGCCCAGGTTACTCATTTACATGATTTCTCTGGCCCCTGTGGGCACATAAATTTACTACCATAGACTTGGAACCCAGGTAACCTAATTTCCCAGTTTCAGATCTTTTCCTCTTGACTACTTTATCTGGCCAAGCCACTCTGATATGGTAAGTTTTAGGTTTTAAAACTTGGTTTTAAATTTTAAGAACTCCTTTGTCTAAGAAGAAGTATCTTCCTCCTCTATGGATCTCTGGAGATAATCAGACTTTCTGATTTAATTAGTTTAGAATCCATAAAGATGTGTTTCAGAGAAGTGATTTGTGACCAAATCTCTCCTTTATTACAAGTAGAAAGTATAATTTGCAATGTCTACTGAGGTGATTTTAAACTGTGGATTGTCTTTAATAAATATTTCTTGGCACCTGAGCTAGAAATATTGGGAGAGAAAGTGAAAAAAAGTGATTTAAGAGCAAGTGCTCTTTGCACACACTTCTGTGCCTATCTTATTAAAATTTTATGGTCATTAAATGAATTTAGGCTTGGAATTATTTGGTGCCACAACAGTTAATAGATTTACATTCATAGAGATTTCTTGTCTTAATTTGAAAATAGGTGAAAGCAATGACATCCTTAGAAAATTCCACCTCATGCACTGAGATTTGTACGTGACATGTATCTTCTGGTAAGTAGCTTCCTTTCTTCAGGAGTTCTAAACAACCACTTGACTATGATTAAAGATAATTCAGCACACACATTTACATCATACAACCAATACCTGTAATAACACCTCCCAAAGACTTGTAGTGGATCCCGTATTACAGACTGAAGGTCATGCCTGTGGAAAAAAAGAAAAGAAAATGGAATGAAACTATCATTAATAAGCTTTTATTATAATAGCAATCAACATGCTAGCTGCTTTACAGAACTTTAGCTTCATTTAGTCCACAGAACAATCCATTGGAATAGGCACTTTTATAATTCCCATTTCACAGTGGAGGTAACTGAAGTTCAGTGTGCATAAGTAATCTGCCCAAAGCCATGCTAAGTGGCAGGGCTGAATTTTTTTTTATTTTAACTTAGATGCAAGGGATATATGTATAGGTTCGCTACATGGGTATTTTGCACCCAGGTAGTGAGCATAGTACCTAATAGGTAGTTTTTCAACTCACACCCCTCTCCCTACCTTCCCCCATCTAATAGTCCACAGTGCCTATTGTTCCCATGTTTATGTGTAGGTGTAGAACTGGATTTTTCATGCAAGCCTCTCAGATTACTGTGTAGGGAGTTACTTGAGGGTAGAATAATTGTAATGGATGTGTCTGGTAGATAGAAAAACTAAAAAATATAGTGATGGCTTTCTATTTAGCTAGCTAGCTCAACAAGATTAGAGCAAGGCCAAACCAGGGCTAAAGGCAATGATCAAAGATAAAATAAACAAAGCTACTATAAGGCTTCCACATTACAAAAAGGTATCTCTTTGTCATTACACACAGAATGAGGCTAGTGCTATTATGCTTACTCTGGCAGTCAAATGAAAAATTCTTGCTTTGGGAGGTTTGTTCACAGAAGTGTTCCCAATTTGCAGAATTCTAATAAAAGGCTTTCAAACATTCATCAATCCATTCTGAGCTATTGTGGCATTCTTTTTGTCAAGGATTTTGAGTGAGATTATTTGCCTGTGGTTATTAAGGCTCTTGTAGAGGCATAAAAAGTAAGCTCTCTTGAAAAAGGATTTAACTCATTAAATTCTGTTCTGCCTGACGTACATACTTGCATTGTTCTGTCCTCCCCTTAGAGAAAATTGATGTATATTCCCCTTGTCCTGCAAAACTACTGGCAATTGTGCTGAGAGAAAATTTCTAAGAATGCCTCTTGGCATGATATAAGGTGAAGTCTTACCTGAAAATAAACAGAAGTTGTTTTCCAAAGAGCTATTTAAGCGGTTGAATGCAATTTGCAACAGGATTTTGTATACACAGTTGCATGTCTGATTGAGCTTGAAGATTGCATGTGCAAAGCATCAGATGTTCAAAAAAGATTTTATGCACAAACATTCTGATCATCACCCATTTTATCGTTGGCATAAATGACCCAAAAGGTAAGCATATAGCTTTAGGTATACTTCTTGTTGCATCAAATTCTTCTTTAACATTTAAAAGAGTTGCTGTATAAAAAAGAGTGGAAGGTCACTTGATAGGCTAGCCATAATCAAATGGTGACTATCATCCAATTTTTTATTTTTGTTTTGACTACCAATGTCTATCTTCTTCATTGTACACTGATTATTTTTTAATATTTCTATAACTCATTTTCTGCATTTCCTGATCCTTTCCAGGTTACTTTTATTACATTAATAGTATCAGAAGAGTAAAGCAAGGCAACAGAGCTTAAGTAAAATAGAGATTTACATATGTGAGTTTCACACTACCTACTTGAGGCCATCCTAGCTAACTGATACTTCTTTGTTGTTTTTGTACATGCAATTCGAAGTAGAAGAAAAACTCAAATCTTAATAATATACTGAAATTAGGATGCTTGGATATTTTTGCATGTGTGACATCATTAAAGCCTGAAACCTTAACTACAAGGGAGACTGGAAATGTAACTTATAATTTTCCAGCATCTGCCATTCAAGAAGATACTTTAAGAGTTGAAACAGTTATTGAATAAATCAGTCTACCACATCTGCTATACAAAAGACTGGAAAAAAAAACTTGCCACAAGTTCTAGTTTTAAAAAATTGAGAAACAGAGGTTAAGAAGGGGTTTAATACTTATAAATAATTTAAGCATACGAATGTGTTATTTAATAAATCACCATTAAAATGCTGGCACATTTTGGACATACCCTTAATTGCTGTTCATAAGAATCAATATTCTAATAATATTTATTGAATACCTACATTATTCAAGGAATTGTGTGAGAGTAGTTAGACATGGTTCCTGGAAATTTACATTCTAACAGCTAATATAAGAGCTAGGAACAATTAACAATACAAAGTAAAATGTGCATGTATTGATGAAATGTTAACTGCATTAGTGAAGACTCAGGAAAAGTTTCAGGAAGGATATGGCATTTGAATTTGGCCTTAACAAATGTGTTAGGCAAAGAAAAATCAAATTAATACTTGTAATTTTATAGCATTTCTTCAGTTTACAGAATACATTTACATATATTTTCTCATTCCGATTTCACAGCAATTACCTCATATAACTAGCTAAATGTTTTCCCTGTTTCATAGATAAAGAAATTGAGGTTCAGACCACACATCTGGGAAGCAGCAGAGATGAAAAATGAACTCATCTGTTTCATGGCAATCCTACTGACGGATGGTATCACATTGGCACTACCACAGGAATTTAAAAACATAGGAATATAGGAATGGGTATTTCAGGTAAAGAAAGCAGTATGAACAAAATTACATTGGAATAAAAGCTGTTATTCATTAGAGACTGCAAACAATTTAGTTTGGCTGAATTTTAAGGGACACAAAGTAAAGAGACAAACTAGCAATGGTGGGTGAAAGCGAGACAGTAGGTAATTTTGAATATCAAACTAAAGCGTCTGTAGGCCTTAAGCATATGATTAAATTTTTAGAAAGACACGATTACTGCAGTGATTTATGAAACATCATGCATCAATTTGTAGGACTGAAATGCAGTGTGTGAAAGACAGGAAGATAGAATAAGAAGAAATAAGGATCTCATAATTGCCTAGGAAAGAGCAATGAGTGTAAATTAGTCTGGCTGAATTATGAATCAAGACTTTCATCTGTAGCAATATGATTAACTAGATGCTTTGACACACACCTCAGCAATCCCCAAAATACAGAGATGATGGATAAAATCTAATAAATATATTTTTCAAATCAACACATAACTGAGCTCATAGCAAAGTAAGGAAAATGCCCAGGGATTAAAACTGAAGTGACAGCTGGAAAAAAAAAATGGTACACCGAAGCTAAACCTACTAGAGCCCTGGGAGTGTTTGCCAATCTTGTTAACTAAAAGGCTTGTTTTTTAATAATCCACTACCTAGGAAGAGGTGACACATTCTTGGGCTCATACAAGGTATGGAGCTGGAAGAGAATCTCCTCATTTCTCAAAACCTGAAACAACTCAGTGAATGAGTAGATTGGAAAAAAAAATCCACCCGATGGCAAATAAACAAGGAAAATAAGCTTAGCTCTGAGTAGATAAGGCTCCCTGAGAGGAGTATCTTATCAATAGGACTAACTATATCTAGTTTTAGGGTTTTAATTTATAATAGCTGCATGCTCTAGGAAAACATAAACTGAGAAATTAATTTAGCTCAATCCTTGGTTGGTAGTACACTGGGGTATCTGTCAGAATCAAGCACACATTTATGGAGGTATGGACCCTATACCAGGATTTCCAGGATTCCACAAAGTCACAATTGATCATACATTCGTAATCCAAAATTATCATACATATTATACACCTCAAAGACAGTGGCAGTGGTTGAGGCAGTAACAGCAGCATGATTTTTGCTTCTGAATAAATTTCCTCATACACACACACACACACACACACACGCACACAGCAACGAGGCTCATAACAACAGTAATCCATAGACAATAAATCCAGGTGATAAGGTATCACCTCAAAATCTAGAATATGAATGAGTGGGGCCAAATCATTTAGCAGTAAAACCCATGAAGGAGTAGCAGTTGTGTGAGAGACATTAAAGGCAACATTTGGCAATCTCAAGATCTGGAAAACACAGAAATCACCAAAAAATGCTCACTCTCAGAAGAATGTCTCTGTATTCAAACTGGAGCACTCTGAAGGCAGCTGTGGCAACAGCAGTTGAAACTGAGAGGGGACTTGCAGGTTCCAATGTAATGAATGCAAGAAAACTGAAAGGTGCTAGGGTGTCATGAGCTCTTAAGGCTTTGGAAATGCCCAATGAAAGAACTCTCCCAGAAGACTGTAACCCTATACAAAAAGAAACTGCTGGGAGTAGAAGACAGAAGTATTGCATGAGAGGAGTTAGACATGGATACACAGCATTCAGATAACAGTGAAAAAAAAGGAGGAGAAGAACTGGTGATGCATACTACTGAAGATATACATGCAGTGAGAGGGTATATTTTTATTACTTTACAATATAACAGAAGAGGAAGTCCTAGGGCAATGAAGCTAGGGAAGCTATTCTGGCGCATCCCAAGAGGCTGCGGTGTGAAAGTGTTAAGAAACCCCATGTCACTTAAGCATGGGCAAGAAAAAAAGGAGGGTGATTGAACCCCATATCAAGATATGGTAAGAAAAGGATAATGATCCACAAATCACAGTAAGAAAATGATGACACATGAGAAAAAAATACATAAATTTGGGACAAAGCTGATGAACCTATTATTTCAAGCTAAATGTAATTACAAAAAAATATTAGAACAGAACAATACACATCATAATTAGAAAATTTAATAAAGGAGGTAGTAGCCAGGCTGCTGTAGCTGACAAAGCTCAGTTAAGAATTTTACAAAGAAATAAAAATTAAGAAAGACCACAAGGGACACAAAAGAGGATGGATGGGCTGAAAGTACAATAAGTGAACTAGAGAGTAGAAAGCAAAAGCAAAGATAAATTAAACATATATGAAGAAATATTTTTTCTTTATTTTTGAAAGTGATAAATGTCAGGCCTCTGAGCCCAAGCCAAGCCATCGCATCCCCTGTGACTTGCACGTATACGCCCAGATGGCCTGAAGTAAATGAAGAATCACAAAAGAAGTGAATATGCCCTGCCCCACCTTAACTGATGACATTCCACCACAAAAGAAGTGTAAATGGCCGGTCCTTGCCTTAACTGATGACATTACCTTGTGAAAGTCCTTTTCCTGGATCATCCTGGCTCAAAAGCACCCCCACTGAGCACCTTGCAACCCCCACTCCTGCCCGCCAGAGAACAAACCCCCTTTGACTGTAATTTTCCTTTACCTACCCAAATCCTATAAAACGGCCCTACCCTTATCTCCCTTCGCTGACTCTCTTTTTGGACTCAGCCCGCCTGCACCCAGGTGAAATAAACAGCCACGTTGCTCACACAAAGCCTGTTTGGTGGTCTCTTCACATGGACACACATGAAATTTGGTGCCGTGACTTGGATCGGGGTACCTCCCTTGGGAGATCAATCCCCTGTACTCCTGTTCTTTGCTCTGTGAGAAAGATCCACCTATGACCTCAGGTCCTCAGACCGACCAGCCCAAGGAACATCTCACCAATTTTAAATCGGGTAAGCGGCCTCTTCTTACTCTCTTCTCCAACCTCTCTCACTGTCCCTCAACCACTTTCTCCTTTCCACTCTTCAATCTCTCCCTTCTCTTAATTTCAATTCCTTTCATTTTCTGGGAGAGACAAAGGAGACACGTTTTATCCGTGGACCCAAAACTCCGGTGCCAGTCACGGACTGGGAAGGCAGCCTTCCCTTGGTGTTTAACCATGGCAGGGACACCTCTCTGATTATTCACCCAGGTTTCAGAGGTGTCAGACCACGCAGGGATGCCTGCCTTGGTCCTTCACCCTTAGCGGCAAGTCCCACTTTTCTGGGGGAGGGGCAAATATCCCTCAACCCCTTCTCCTTCACTCTTAGCGGCAAGTCCCACTTTTCTAGAGGAGGGGCAAGTACCCCAACCTCGTATCTCTGTGCCCCAATCCCTTATTTCTGCACCCCAGCCTCTTATATCTCTGCGCCCCAATCCCTTATTTCTGCACCCCAACCTCATATCTCTGTGCCCCAATCCCTTATTTCCGCCGCCAACCTCTTATATCTCTGTGCCCCAATCCCTTATTTCCACACCCCGACCTCTTATTTCCGTGCCCCGACCCCTTATTTCTGCACCCCATCCCTTATTTCCATGCCCCAACCTCTTATCTCTGCGCCCCAACCCCTTTTCCCACTTTTCTGGAAGGTAAGAACCCCCGAACCCCTTCCCTCTGTTTCTCTACTCTCTCTTTTCTCTAGGCTTGCTTCCTTCACTATGGGCAACCTTCCACCCTCCATTCCTCCTTCTACTCCCTTGGCCTGTGTTCTCAAAAACTTAAAACCTCTTCAACTCACACCTGACCTAAAACCTAAATGCCTTATTTCCTTCTGCAATGCCGCTTCACCCCAATACCAACTCGACAGTAGTTCCAAATAGCCAGAAAATGGCACTTTGAATTTTTCCATCCTGCAAAATCTAAATAATTCTTGTCGTAAAATAGGTAAACAGTCTGAGGTGCCTGACGTCCAGGCATTCTTTTACACATCAGTCCCTTCCTAGTCTCTGTGCCCAGTGCAACTCATCCCAAATCTTCCTTCTTTCCCTCCCGCCTGTCCCCTCAGTACCAACCCCAAGCATTGCTGAGTCTTTCTAATCTTCCTTTTCTACAGACCCATCTGACCTCTCCCTTCCTCCCCAGGCTGCTCCTCGCCAGGCGGAGATAGGTCCCAATTCTTCTTCAGCCTCTGCTCCTCCACCCTATAATCTTTTTATCACCTCCCCTCCTCACACCAGGTCTGGCTTACACTTTCATTCTGTGACTAGCCCTCCCCCTCCTGCCCAGCAATTTACTCTTAAAAAGGTGGCTGGAGCTAAAGGCATAGTCAAGGTTAATGCTCCTTTTTCTTTATCCCAAATCACATAGCGTTTAGGCTCTTTTTCATCAAATATAAAAACCCAGCCCAGTTCATGACTTGTTTGGCAGCAACCCTGAGACACTTTACAGCCCTAGACCCTAAAACGTCAAAAGGCCATCTTATTCTCAAAGTACATTTTATTACCCAATCTGCTCCCGACATTAAATAAAACTCCAAAAATTGGAATCTGGCCCTCAAACCCCACAACAGGACTTAATTAACCTCACCTTCAAGGTGTACAATAACAGAAAAAAGTTGCAATTCCTTGCCTCCACTCTGAGACAAACCCCAGCCACATCTCCAGCACACAAGAACTTCCAAACGCCTGAACCGCAGCGGCCAGGCATTCCTCCAGAACCTCCTCCCACAGGAGCTTGCTACACGTGCCGGAAATCTGGCCACTGGGCCAAGGAATGCCCGCAGCCCGGGATTCCTCCTAAGCCGCGTCCCATCTGTGTGGGACCCCACTGAAAATCAGACTGTTCAACTCACCTGGCAGCCACTCCCAGAGCCCCTGGAACTCTGGCCCAAGGCTCTCTGACTGACTCCTTCCCAGATCTTCTCGGATTAGCGGCTGAAGACTGACGCTGCCCGATCGCCTCGGAAGCCCCCTAGACCATCACAGATGCCGAGCTTCGGGTAACTCTCACAGTGGAAGGTAAGTGATTACCTTCTTAATCAATACGGAGGCTACGCACTCCACCTTACCTTCTTTTCAAGGGCCTGTTTCCCTTGCCTCCATAACTGCTGTGGGTATTGATGGCCAGGCTTCTAAACCTCTTAAAACTCCCCAACTCTGGTGCCAACTTAGACAATACTCTTTTAAGCACTCCTTTTTAGTTATCCCCACCTGCCCAGTTCCCTTATTAGGCTGAGACACTTTAAATTATCTGCTTCCCTGACTATTCCTGGACTACAGCTAAATCTCATTGCCGCCCTTCTTCCCAATCCAAAGCCTCCTTTGCGTCCTCCTCTTGTATCCCCCCACCTTAACCCACAAGTATAAGATACCTCTACTCCCTCCTTGGTGACCGATCATGCACCCCTTAACGTCTCATTAAAACCTAATCACCCTTACCCCACTCAACACCAGTATCCCATCCTGCGGCACGCTTTAAAAAGATTAAAGCCTGTTATCACTCGCCTGCTACAGCATGGCCTTTTAAAGCCTATAAACTCTCCTTACAATTCCCCCATTTTACCTGTCCTAAAACCAGACAAGCCTTACAAGTTAGTTCAGGATCCTGGCCTTATCAACCAAATTGTTTTGCCTATCCACCCCATGGTGCCAAACCCATATACTCTCCTGTCCTCAATACCTGCCTCTATAATCCATTATTCTGTTCTAGATCTCAAACATGCTTTCTTTACTATTCCTTTGCACCCTTCATCCCAGCCTCTCTTCGCTTTCACTTGGACTGACCCTGACACCCATCAAGCTCAGCAAATTACCTAGGCTGTACTGCCGCAAAGCTTCACAGACAGCCCCCATTACTTCAATCAAGCCCAAATTTCTTCCTCATCTGTTACCTATCTCGGCATAATTCTCATAAAAACACACGTGCTCTCCCTGCCAATTGTGTCCGACTGATCTCTCAAACCCCAGCACCTTCTACAAAACAACAACTCCTTTCCTCCTAGGCATGGTTAGCGCGGTCAGAATTCTTACACAAGAGCCAGGACCACACCCTGTAGCCTTTCTGTCCAAACAACTTGACCTTACTGTTTTAGCCTAGCCCTCATGTCTGTGTGCAGTGGCTGCCACTGCTTTAATACTTTTAGAGGCCCTCAAAATCACAAACTATGTTCAAATCACTCTCTACAGTTCTCATAACTTCCAAAATCTGTTTTCTTCCTCATACCTGACGCATATACTTTCTGCTTCCCGGCTCCTTCAGCTATACTCACTCTTTGTTGAGTCTCCCACAATTACCATTGTTCCTGGCCTGGACTTCAATCCGGCCTCCCACATTATTCCTGATACCGCACCTGACCCCCATGACTGTATCTCTCTGATCCACCTGACATTCACCCCATTTCCCCAAATTTCCTTCTTTCCTGTTCCTCACCCTGATCACGCTTGATTTATTGATGGCGGTTCCACCAGGCCTAATCGCCACACACCAGCAAAGGCAGGTTATGCTATAGTACAAGCCACTAGCCCGCCTCTTAGAACCTCTCATTTCCTTTCCATCGAGGAAATCTATCCTCATGGGAATAACTTCTCAGTGTTCCATCTGCTATTCTACTACTCCTCAGGGATTATTCAGGCCCCCTGCCTTCCCTACACATCAAGCTCGAGGATTTGCCCCACCCAGGACTGGCAAATTAGCTTTACTCAACAAGCCCTGAGTCAGATAACTAAAATACCTCTTAGTCTAGGTAGATACTTTCACTGGATAGGTAGAGGCCTTTCCTACAGGGTCTGGGAAGGCCACCACAGTCATTTCTTCCCTTCTGTCAGACATAATTCCTCAGTTTAGCTTTCCCACCTCAATACAGTCTGATAACAGATGAGCCTTTATTAGTCAAATCAGCCAAGCAGTTTTTCAGCCTCTTAGTATTCAGTGAAACCTTTATATCCCTTATGGTCCTCCGTCTTCAAGAAAAGTAGAATGGACTAAAGGTCTTTTAAAAACACACCTCACCAAGCTCAGCCACCAACTTAAAAAGAACCGGGCAATACTTTTACCACTTTCCCTTCTCAGAATTCAGGCCTGTCCTCGGAATGCTACAGGGTACAGCCCATTTAAGCTCCTGTATAGACGCTCCTTTTTATTAGGCCCAGTCTCATTCCAGACACCAGACCAACTTAGACTGTGCCCCAAAAAAACTTGTCATCCCTACTATCTTCTGTCTAGTCATACTCCTATTCACCGTTCTCAACTACTCATACATGCCCTGCTCTTGTTTACACTGCTGGTTTACACTGTTTTTCCAAGCCATCACAGCTGATATCTCCTGGTGCTATCCCCAAACTGCCACTCTTAACTCTTGGAGTAAATAAACAATCTTTGCTGGCAGGACTATGCCGAATCTCCTTAAGCACTCTCTAATTAGATGTCCTAGGTCCTCCCAATTCTTAGACCTTTTATACCTGTTTTTCTCCTTCTGTTATTCCATTTAGTTTTTCAATTCATCCAAAACCGTATCCAGGCCATCACCAATCATTCTATATGACAAATGTTTCTTCTAACATCCCCACAATATCACCCCTTACCACAAGACCTCCCTTCAGCTTAATCTCTCCCACTCTAGGTTCCCACACCGCCCCTAATCCCGCTTGAAGCAGCCCTGAGAAACATCACCCATTCTCTCTCCATACCACCCCCCAAAAATTTTCACCGCCCCAACACTTCAACACTATTTTGTTTTATTTTTCTTATTAATATAAGAAGGCAGGAATGTCAGGCCTCTGAGCCCAAGCCAAGCCATCGCATCCCCTGTGACTTGCATGTATACATCCAGATGGCCTGAAGTAACTGAAGAATCACAAAAGAAGTGAATATGCCCTGCCCCACCTTAACTGATGACATTCCACCACAAAATGGCCGGTATTTATTTATTCCACTGGTAAATGGCCGGTCCTTGCCTTAACTGATGACATTACCTTGTGAAAGTCCTTTTCCTGGCTCATCCTGGCTCAAAAAGCACCCCCACTGAGCACCTTGCGACCCCCACTCCTGCCCGCCAGAGAACAAACCCCCTTTGACTGTAATTTTCCTTTACCTACCCAAATCCTATAAAACGGCCACACCCTTATCTCCCTTCACTGACTCTCTTTTTGGACTCAGCCCACCTGCACCCAGGTGAAATAAACAGCCATGTTGCTCACACAAAGCCTGTTTGGTGGTCTCTTCACACGTACGCGCATGAAAATAAATACTTACAATAGACGAAGAAAATGCAACATATATGCGAAAAGAGTGTTAGAAGCATAAGACCAAAGAGAAAACTACAAATATTAAAAACCATAACCAAGAGTACTTTCCTGAAATTAAAGAAGATTTGAAGTTACAAGTTACTTGAGACAATCAACCCTGAATGACCAATGTAAAGGTATATTCTAGCAAAAGTCTCATCTACTGAAAATAAAACATCTTTTGGGAATACAAGTAAAAGTATCAAACAAAAGGGTTTTAAAAATTAGATTACCATTAGACTTGTTGACTACAATGCTTTAAACCAGAAATTCCTAAAGCAATTTAAGAAATTCAAAGAATTTGTGAAACACAATACAAATTGTTGTGAATATGCAAGAATTCAGGAAATACTACACCTACAAGTTTTTCCTCGATAATCTACTGAAGAATAAGCTTCACACTACCAAAAACAATATTAAAATGGCTGTGAGCATTAAGTATATTCAGTTACATGACGAAGGTTAAATAATGGTGATAAGGACAAATGGGTATATGTAAATGATGTTGGCTCTTCCAACTATGATATATTACAACTATTTAAAATGGTGGGGAGAAGAAGTAGATTCAATGTTGAGAGTTTAGGGATATAGTTGGAATTTGGGGAAAGAGAGGAGAAGAAAAGAAAAGAGTTTTAGCTATTTTTAATAGTGCTTATTGTAAGAAATGAATAGAAGAAAGTATCTTGAAAGAAGAGATACTATATAAGGGAATAACATAATGGCAATTATTAGAACAAAAAGTAAAATCTTCCTAAATACCAACATTAATACCTAAGAGAAGGAGAGAGAGGGAGAGAAAGGAGGGTGGAGGGTACAAAAAACCGTCTAGAGAAAAATTTTAGAGCTTGATGAAGAACAGAATCGAGACTAAATATATCACAGTTATTAATAAATACAAAAAATCATGACTCACAAATTAAAGGAACAATATGTTTTAGATTGACTAAAAAAGTAAAATCAAACCTACACTTTATACAAAGACACATCTAACATAAAGAAATTCAAAAGGTTAAAAATAAAAGATGCCAGTTTTCCTACCAAACAAAAGTAAATGAAAAGAGAGTAACAGTCAAGAACTTGATAGCTAACAAGGTAGAATTCAGACTAAAAAGTAAGAGACAAATAAACACTTTAAATCAGTAAGTTTACGATTCAGAATGATGAGGCATTAATATTTCTGCATATAATATAAAAACAAAATTTTCTATAAATAGGAACTATAGTTGGTATGAAGATAAATAAACATAGACACACTAGTAATGGGATATATTAGTATGCCAATATCCAATTCACATGAAATGGACACAAATTTAGAAACTATAAAGAAGGTACAAACAGCATAATCAATATCATATGGAAAAATATTATCCCTTGTGCCCTGAATTATAGAGAAGTTTTTGGAGTGCTTATAAAATATTTCTGAAAACTGACTACATATAAGGGTGCTGTAAAAATGTCAATAATTCTAAAAAATCAAAATGTTATAGTTGGAATTCTCTATTGTCATAAAACAAGAAAATATATATTTAAACAAATTTTTACCTAAATATATTTAAAAACGTGCTAGCAAACAACTCTTAGGTCAAAGTAGAAATATAAAACATAATTGGAGAATTTCTTGTAAATATCAATAATGAAATACAGCAAAAGCCATTATCAGAAGAAAAATATGCAATTCAATACCTATATAAACAGAACTGAAAAAAAAATAAATAAATTACTCATGTTAAAAGACCAGAGAAAAAATGAAAAATAAACCAAAAGAAAAAATAATTAAGAAAATAATAATAAAATCAGATGTTAATGAGTTAGAAGATAGAAAACTGTAGAAATCATACATAAAAAGGCAAGCAAGCAAGCTAGTTCATTGGGAAAAAGTGCAAAAGATTGATAAATCATTAAGTAACCTAATAAAGCAGAGAAAGGAGCCACAAGTGCAGATAAGTAGAAGTGACAAGTGGAAAATAACTATCAATTATTTTACGTGAGACTATTTTGCATATATCTATGCAATTCCATTTTAAAATCTAGAAAAATAAATAATTCCTTGAAAATATAGTTTACCAAATTTAAGTCAAAATAAAAATACGATACAGACCATTTTTCATAGACAAATAGAGACAGTTGTAAAGAATTCACCTGCAAAAAAGCACTAGACCTATATGGCTTCCCAGGGGAGTTCTACAAGACCTTTTAAAGATCTGCCCATCTTAACGCTTCCAAAACTATTAAAGAGCATGTAAAAAGAAAAAAAATCCAAATTCACTTTATGTAGCAAATATAATATTAATATCCAAATGAAAACTATAGTCTGGTATCACTTATAAATATTTGATGCAAAATTCTTAAATAAAACATTAGCAAACAGAATCCAGAAACACATTGAAAAGTAACACATTATTTGGGATTATGTAACTAACTGGGGTTTATTTAGGAATGTAGTGGTGGTTCAACATTAAGAGAAAATTTACACAATTATCATATTAATAGAACTAGAAAGAAAAAAGCATTATCATCTTTATAAGAAACCTAAATCTATATCACTAAATTCAGCAACCATTAATTTAATTTTTTTTTTTTTTGAGACACATTCTCACTCCATCACCAAGGCTGGAGTGCAGTGGCGCAATCTCAGCTCACTGCAACCTCTGCCTCCCAGGTTCAAGCAATTCTCGTGCTTCAGCCTCCAGAGTAGCTGGGATTACAGGTGCGTGCCACCACACCTGGCTAGTTGTCGTATTTTTAGTAGAGACGGGGTTTTGCTTTGTTGGCCAGGCTGGTCTCGAACTCATGACCTGAAATGATCCACCTGCCTTGGCCTCCTAAAATGCTGGGATTACAGGCATAAGCCACCGTGCCCAGCCAATTTTTAAAAATATTAAATTAAGTAGAAATCAATGGATACTTTAATACACATGGCATCAGCCCCCAAACCAGTATATTTCTCAGTTGGTAAACATCGGAGACTTCCCCCGTTAAAGTACATTCACTATCTGCAGCACTACTCAATTTGCATTAGATGCATTAGCCAGTGTAGTTGTAAAAGAGAAAGCAATTGGGATATCTGAATCATATAGTAGCTTTTTGGTTTTGTTTTTTTTTTTTGTTTTGTTTTTTTTGTTTTTTGAGGAACCTCCGTACTGTTCTCCATAGTGGTTGCACTAATTTAAATTCCTGTCAACAGTATATTAGGATAACTCTTTCTTCACATCCTCACCAACATTTGTTGCTGCTAATCTTTTGGATAAAAGCCCTCTTAACTGGGGTGAGATGATATCTCATTGTAGTTTTGATTTGAATTTCTCTGGTGAGTAGTGATGTTGAGCATTTTTCCCACATACTTGGCTATTTGTATGTCTTCTTTTGAAAAATGTCTATTCAGATATTTTGCCCAGATTTTAATCAGATTGGTTTTTTCCTGTTGAGTTGTTTGAGCTCCTTATATATTTTGATTATTAATCCCTTGTCAGATGGGTAGTTTGCAAATATTTTCTTCCCTCTGTTAGTTGTCGCTTCATTTTGTTGATAGTTTCCTTTGCTGTGCAGAAACTTTTTAGCTTGATGTGATCCTATTTATCCATTTTGATTTGGTCGCCTATTCTTTTGAGGTCTTACTCAAGAAATCTTTGCCCAGACCAATGTCCAGAAGTGTTTACCCAATGTTTTCTTCTAGTAATTTCATAGTTTGAGGTCTTAGATTTAAGTGTTTAATCCATTTTAGTTTAATTTTTGTGTGGTGTGGCAAAAGATAGGGGTCAGGTTTCACTCTTCTGCATCTGGATATCCAGTTTTCCCAGCACTATTTATTGAAGAGATTGTCCTTTCCCCAGTGTATGTTCTGTTAGATGTATATCCAAAAGAAAGAAAATCATTATATTAAAGAGATATCTGCATTCCCATGTTTATTGCAGTGCTATTCACAAAGGCCAAGATGTAAAATCAACCTATGTACCCATCAATGGATGAATGGATAAAGAAAATGTGGTACATATACGTAATGGAAAATTATTCAGCCATAAAAAGAATGAAACCTGTCATTTGCAACAATATAGATGGAGTTGGAGGACATTATATTAAGTGAAATAAGCCAGGCACAGAGAGACAAATATCTCATGTTCTCACTCATATGTGGGAAAAAGAAAAGAAAGAAAAAGAAAACGGAACTTATGGAGACAGAAACTAGAATGATCATTACCAGAGACTGGGAAGGGTAATGGGGAGGGAAAAATAGAATGGGGATGGTCAATGAGTATAAAAACACAGTTAGATAGAATAAATAAGATCTTGTATTCAGTAGCAAAATAAGGATGCTATAGTTAATAATTTATTGTATATTTAGAAATAACTAAAATAGTAGAATTAGAATATTCCTAACACAAAGAAATGATAACTGCTTAACATAATGGATACCCCAAATACCCCGATCATCACACGTTGTATGCCTGTATCAAAACATCATATATGCCCCATAAATATATACAGCTATCATGTGCCCATAATAATTAGAAATTAAAATTTTAAATAAATTTTAAAAATAAAAAGGGCAATTGAAAATATAAGTCTAGAAGAGATAAAATTATGGGTATCTCTACTTTCAGATGATATGATCCTATAGCTGAAAACCCAAAAAGAAACAATGCAAAATATTATAAATATTAAAAGAAATTAGTAAAGTAGCAATGTATAGTAAAGTTAACACATTGACCAAAACAGGCCTCATATATAAAACCAATCAGTTAGAAGATGTATAGGAAAAACAGACCATATTTA
Organism: Homo sapiens; assembly: GCF_000001405.40. Taxonomy (NCBI): domain Eukaryota; kingdom Metazoa; phylum Chordata; class Mammalia; order Primates; family Hominidae; genus Homo; species Homo sapiens. Next base: position 114,477,348 of record NC_000023.11, read on the forward strand.
CAACACTCATAAAATATTCATATGAACTTGACAGGTTGTACATAAAGCATAGGGTTTCTTAATTTATGAGGAAGTGTATAAAATACGCCTGAAAACAAACAAGTAAACTTGAACAAGCTGATGACTTTACATTATAAACATGTAAATTATTCCCAAGTTAACTTATAAAATTACTATCAGGTGTTTTGTGTGCTAGACAAGTTATTCGTACAGTTCATTTAGAAAAATAAATAAGCACAGATGTCCAGAAAATTTGCTAAAAGGAAGAACTGGACGGAGTGGGGCAGAAAGTGGCCAGCCATACCAAAATATAAAATATGGTATAATACCTTTCTACCAAAAACAGAGAGACTATGCAATAGAGAACATTCTGAAGGAGACCCAAATACCTACTATCCAATGTAGTATATGCTGAGGCTAGTTTCTCAAATCAGTGAGAAAGAGAAGAATTTTTAATAAGTGATGTTTGGGCCACTTGGTAATATAAAAAATGATGGAACTGGATCCATTTTCTTCACACATTAGACCAGGATAAATTCCAAATAGATCTGATATCTATTTATTAAAAATTACTCAGGCTCAGTGGCTCATACATGTCCTTTCCCCAATGTATGTTCTGCTAGGTGTGTATCCAAAAGAAAGAAAATCAGTATATCGAAGAGATATCTTCACTTTCATGTTTATTGCAGTCCTATTCACAAAGGCCAAGATATAAAATCAAACTACATGTCCATCAATGGGTGAATTGATAAAGAAAATGTGGCACATATACACAATGGAAAATTTTCAGCCATAAAAAGAATGAAATCCTGTCATTTGCAACCATTTCCTTGCAAATGACATTTTGTTGCAACCATTTTGTTGCAACCAAATGATATTTTGTTGCAAATGACAGGATTTCATTGGAATTACATGCTGAAATTCCAGTACTTTGGGAGACCGATGGGAGAGGATAGTTTGAGGCCAGGAGTTCAAGAACAGACCGGTCACCATAGCAAGAGCCTCTTTCTACAAAAAATTTTAAAAATTATCCAGGCATGGTGCCATGTACCTGTAGTCCCAGCTACTTGGAAGGCCAAGGCGGGTGGGTCACTTGAGCCCAGGAGTTTGAGGATGCAGTGAGCTATTTCAGGCCACTGCACTCCAGCGTGGTAACCAAGCTAGACGCTGTCTCTAAAAAAAAATTAAACATTAAAAAATTGAAAAATGAAAACATTTGAGTATGAGAAGGAAACATTGGCAAATTTCAGTATAACCTGACAGTCAGAAACTCTTTACTATTAATAAAAATCCAAAAGCAATAAAATACTGAAAAATATTAAAATAAAAATGTGTACAAAAAAATAAGCAGAATTTTTCAAAATACATGACAGATAGGGAAATGTATTCTCAACATACCTAACAATGAGTTAATATCCCTATTATGTTAAAAGCTTTTGGAAATTGAGAAAAAATTTTAATTAATAGCAAAGATAGGAATAGTAGTTACACAGAAATATAAATATAGAAAGCCCTAAAGCATGAAAAGATGATCAACTTTGCCTATATTAAAAGAAATATCAAAGTGAGCAAAGTGATATTACGTATCATTTTTCACTTTACTGATTGGTAAAACACCAAAACTTCTACAACAAAGTCTATTGGTACTATAATCACTCACATATTACTGATATTGAGTCGTAATACTATAAACTAGGTGAAGAAGAGTTTGACAATATCTAGCAAAATTTCATATATGCATTTTCCTATTGAACCAAGAATGCCACTTGTAAGAGACAGCCCCAGAATACACTGCCAAATATATGAAAAGTCATGCGCAAGGCTATTCATTTCAACATTATTTGTAATATCAATGAACTGGTTGCAACTCAAATTCCATTAATAAGTAATCAACTGAATAAAGTGTAATACATACACACAATGGAGTGCTATGCAGAGTTTGAAATTGAAATGAAGATTTCTTTTCTACTAAGGAGTGATCCCAGTGATATAATATTAAGAGAAACACAGAAAGAAAAAGAGGAAAAGAATAAATAGATGGAGGGAGAGAGGAAGGAAGAAGGAAAAGAGGAAGGAAAGGAGGAAAGAAAGGAAGGGAGAAAGGAAGGGGAGGAGACACTGATATGATATGCTACATTTGAGAAAGGGGACAGTGGATATAGGTAATCGATGCATTAGGATTAGATTAATGGAAGTTCAATGATACAGAAATACTAAAAAAATTAAATTTATTTTTGAAAAAGATTACGTAGAGGGACTGGAGAAGACAATAAGAGGGGATCAGATATGAAAGTTAAATATCTCAGAATGTACCCTTATTTAGAGTTTTGACTTTGAAATCATTTAATTCTTTTTCATAATTGAAGAAATAACTAAATAAAAAGTTAAAAGAAGAAATTCTTATAAGTCAAAAACAAACTAAAACAATGAACCTAATAATATACCAAATGGATGTCTTCACCTACACAGGGAAAAATAATTTCAAGCAACCTTACAAAACAGTATTTTGAATGTAGATCCCTATATATGAAGATATATGAAGGGAAAATAATAAAAAATCTTCAACTGTTTTTAGCTGTCTTATTGTTGATGATTATGTTAGTATTGCTGTTTTGAATCTCTTGTACATTGTAGGATAAAGCAAATAAGCAATACTGCTAATGTTGCGAATACTGATTTTTCATCATAAGAGAAGAGATAGAAATCAGACCAGTTAAGCAGAAGCCTTGCAATATTACATTTGAATAGGAAATATCAGTATGAGCTCATGATTTGTTTTTCTCTTTCTTATTTTAAAAATATATACTTTCTGGGCCAGGTGCAGTGGTTCACACCTGTAATCCCAGCACTTTTGGAGGCCAAGTAGGGCAGATCACTTGAGGCCTGGAGTCTGAGACCAGCCTGAGTAACATGGCAAAACCCCATCTCTACTAGAAATATGAAAATTAGCAGGGCGTGGTGACACGCCTGCAATCCCAGCTACTCAGGAGGCCGAGGCACAAGAATCGCTTGAACCCAGGAGACGGAGGTTGCAGTGAGCCGAGATCATGTCACTGCACTCCAACCTGGGTGATAGAGTGAGATTCTGTCTCAGAAAAATAAATAAATAAATACACACACACACACACACACACACACATACATATATATATACACACACACATACATACATATATACTGTCTAGCTCTTTTCAATGAAAGGGACCAGAAGAAATGGCAGTGCTGTAGCAATGAACACCCCTAGATCCCAGATTGTGGTATTCAAAGACCATCTTTTATTAAAAGAGTTCCTTGAAGAAATTGTGTTTCCAGATCTGAGGAATAAAATATGCACAAAAGACCAAATGACTTCTCCAGTTAGAAAGTTAGGAATTTTTATTTTATTTATTTATTTATTTATTTATTTATTTATTTATTTAAGAGAGTTTTGCTCTGTTGCCCAGGCTAGAATCTCGGCTCACTGCAACCTCTGCCTCCCGGGTTCAAGCAATTCTCTCACCTCAGCCTCCCCAGTAGCTGGGACTACAGGTGTGTACCACCATGCCCGGCTAATTTTTGTATTTTTAGGAGAGACAGGGTTTCACCATGTTGGCTGATCTCAAACTCCTGACCTCAGTTGATCCAGCCCCCTTGGCCTCCCAAAGTGCTGAGATTACAGGCATGAGCCACTGTGCTTGGCCTTGAAAGTCAGGAAATTTTGAAAGATTACTGGTGTTGTTTCAAAAAGACACTACCCTGAGATGAGACAATTAGTTTATCACAAGGGATAATGACAATTAGTTAAAATACAGCAAATAAATAAAAGTCCATGCATTCATACTTACACTTTTAAAAATGATCATTGATCACTTCAGGAGATTGTTGTCACCAACTCATTATTTTGAAAATTGGCAAAAAGGAAAGAAGCATTTAGCCTGCCTTTCACATGTTAACAATTTCAAAAGATTGAAATCATTGATGAGGGAAAGTTTTTCTTTACAGATGAATTCCAGCTAATGAATTCGGAAGAAATAATAGAACTAAAAAATCACTATTTTGCAATACCTAATGAAATAATGGATAGGGGCAATAACCATAAATGGCTGCTATACTCTTTTGTTGAAATGTTGATTGCAAACTTTACGTTGGTGTTACAGGTTGAGTTGTATTCCCTCAAAATTCATATCTCGAAGTCTTAGCGCCCAGTATCTATCAGAATGAGCTCTTATTTGGAATTAAGGTTGCTGCAGATGTAATTAGTTAGATGAGGTCATAGTGGAGTAGCATGAATCCCTAATCCAATATGACTGGTGTCCTTATAAAGAGGGAAGGTTTGGAAATTTGGAGAGACACACAGGGAGAACACCATGTGAAGGTGAAGGCTCAGATTGAGGTGATGCCTCTACAAGCCAAAAAATACTCAAGATTTCCAGAAAACCATAAGAAGCTAGGCGAAAGGCTTGGAACAGATTCTTTCTCACAGCCCTCAGAGGGAACCAAGCCTGCTGGTACCTTAATCTTGGACTTAATTATCAACCAAGGATTTATACTCTGATAAACTACTCTTAAAAATGACCCTCAAATAGATTTTCAAACAAAGAAAAAGTGACATATATTATTCATAGTAATGTGCTGGTAAAATTTTAGCCACTGCCTGTGGAGAAGGGAGGTGTTACCAATATGAAGGTCACTGAACACAGATTTGGGAAGAGATTTGCATTAATACGACATTTTATAATATTTCCAACATGCAGATAAAATAGATATAAACAATCTCAAGACCATAGATCATAGAAAAATCTAGTAAAATAATTCAGAAGATTAAGTTTTAAATATTTATGACCTTTCTTTTAAATACAATTGATTTAGTTGCAAGCGTACCTAACTCGAATGGCTGTGTTTTACAACCAGCTTGCAAAATTGCTGAAAATCTAGTAGTTGGCTCTTGTTAACTGATACACACCAGCTCATGCACAACACCAGTTATTACCAAGAAATGTTTACTAGAGGAACTTGTAGAGAATGTTAATGCTCCCCAAATTTAGTTCTGAGATACAAAAGCAATGATTTGCAAAGAAATTGGTAGCCATATGAGAAAATGTAGACAAATATTGATAATTATGCCTACTTTGGTGGATAACAAAACAAGATAAAACTAAAAAAGAAGCTCACAATAATAACACCAAAGATTTGAGAAGTGAAATTCCTTAAAATTTTCTAGAATTTTTGTGTAATTCTGGAGAAGAGAGACATTAGATTTTGATATGTGTTTCATGTTAAAATTTTAATTAAAAACTATTATAAAGAAACAGAATATATAACTGCTAAAACAATAAAGAGGAAAAATTAACTGAGCAAACAAACAAAATAGCTTGAACAAGGCACGGAAGGAGACCAAAATAAGCATAGAAATGTATGCTAAATAGAAAAGACCAGTTTTCACTACCTATAAAATCCTATGATGACAGTAATCACAACAAATAGAATTGAAATGAACAAACCAACTTTTAAAAAGCACACATTCTTAGGTTGGACTTTGTAAAAATGTAGCTATATGTTATTGTCAACTAACATGCTTAAAACATAAGGACATAGAAAAACCAAATTTAACGAATGGGAAAAGATGTACCAGAAAAATACGTCTGAAGGAAACTCAATGCAGTCAGGTTAATCTCTCTGTGCCTAAATATTCTCATATTGGAAGCACAAATAATAAAAAATTGGATCTTAGAAGGTTCTTTTGAAAGGTTTCATTGAATTAATATATAAGCACTTACAGTATAGTGTGTAATGTAGTGAATGCTTGATCAAATTTAGCTATCATTATTATTCTGTCACACACATTGAACACATTCAAAAATTAGTCATCCATATCATAATCCATATCATAAACCATCTCATTAACTACAATGCAATTTAAATACCACTGCTAAAATGTCCCCATATTTTGGGGATATTTAATGACAGCAACAATAGCATATTTCTAACTAATCCATGAATAAGAGAAGAAATTATCATGAGAATTTTTAAAATGTGCAAAACTCAAATATGAAAAATAATGAAAGATAAAACTCACTGGATGCAACAAAGATTACATATACATAAATGCACAACTTCAAATACTTTCATGAGGAAAAGAGAAAGGCTAAAACTAATGAACTAGACAGTTAGAAGTTGGGACAAGAAAATTGAATAAGCACGAAAGTACTAGTAGAAGATAATGAAGATAAGAGCAGACATTAGAGAAATAGAAAACAAAAAGGACACAATCAAAAGAATTAACACAACCAAAAAATTGTTCATGAAAAAGCATAATGAAGTAGATGAACCTCCAACAAGATCAGTCTAGTGAAATAAAAGGGATCCTTCTACATGTAAGGTAGAGATTTAAAATATGAATATAATGCTATAGAAAATACGTCAATTAATTTGAAAATTTAGATAAAATGGGCAAGTTTCTAAATAAATGCATTTTAAAAATATTAACATTTTAGTTAAATGACATACAATGTAAAACAAAAAGCTAATGTTTATTTAAATATAGTTTTTTTCTTTTACAGTAAGTGCAGAAATAATCAGGTCAGAACTAGAGAGGCAGCTCAGAGGCATTATCAGAGATGCAGGGCTATATCCTTTATTCTAACATCCTAGTATATGGCTGCCGTCTTCAGGGTCAGCTCATCGTTGAAAATGGAGTTCAAGTCATCTGGTCTGAGTTTCAGGCCAGCAGATGGAGAAAAAGCAGAAGAAGCCAAAGAAAGGTCTTCTGTCTCCTAAACTAGCTTTCTTAAAGGAGTCATCCTGAAAGTCCCATACTGCACTCTGATTTGCAATTAATTGGCCAAAATCTAGTCATTTGGCTACAAGGAAGAATGAGAAAATGTCCTTTGTTCAAGGTGGTATTGTGTGTATTTTGTATATTGGAGTTCTGTTACTTAACTGGAAGGAAAGTATGAATGATTATTAGAAACTACAACACTTAAAAATAGACTTAAAATAGGAAGTTTAACAGATCTGGCCGGGTGCGGTGGCTCATGCCTGTAATCCCAGCACTTTGGGAGGCCGATGCAGGCTGATCATTTGAGGTCAGGAGTTCCAGACCAACTTGGCCAACATAGCGAAACCATGTCTCTCCTAAAAATACAAAAATTAGCCGGGCATGATGGTGCGCTCCTGTAGTCCCAGCTACTCGGGAGGCTGAGGCAGGAGAATTGCTTGAACCTGAGAAACAGAGGTTGTAGTGAGCTGAAATCGCATCACTGCACTCCAGCTTGGGTGACAGAGCAAGACCCCGTCTCAAAAAAAAAAAAAAAAAAAAAGAAAAAAAAAAAGAAAGTTTAATGGATACCTATACCCATTAAATAACCTAAACCAGCAGTTTAAAATCATTTTCCCCATAAATGCATACACTAGGTCTAGATAGCTTTACATAGAGCTCTACCTTTAACACCAAGAGAGAAGATTAAAATTTATACACATTATTCCAGATAAGAGAAAAAAAACCTTCTTCTCAACTCATTTTACAAGGTTAATATAACTTCATACTGAAACCAAAATACAGGGACTGCATAGAAGAGAGAAATTACAGGTTAATCACACCAAATAAAGATAAAACTATCCTAAATAAAATATTAATAAGATGAATACAGCTTTATTTTTATATGTATATTTGTGTGTCTACATATTATGTGTGAACTTAATTCTAGGAATAATAATAAATGACATTAGACAATAATACACCCACCACATGACCACATTAAAGAAAAATATCTTTATGATTAGGAGAAAACTCATCTGATATAATTCATTTAACAGGAATATGATAGATCTTGGCAAAGCAGAAATCAAAGGAAATGTGAAAGGTACACTGCAAACGAAAAGATTTTAGGGAGTGGGAAAAATGGGGAGATGTTAGTCAAATAAAACAAGCTCTCAGTTATAAAATGAGTGAGCTCTAAAAAACAAATATACAGTATGGTGACTATAGTTAATAATACTGTATTGTTTACTTGAAATTTACTAATAAGGCAGTTTTAGTGGCCACGTACACAGCACACATACACATACACACACACACCTATCAACAATAATGGATGTGCTAATTAATTTGACTGTGATAATCAGTACACAATGTATACACATATAAATCATCACATTGTATACCTTGGATATATACATTTTTATTTGTTAGTTAAATATTTCTTTTTATTTTATTTCCAACTTTTATTTTAAGTTCAGTTGTACATGTGCAGGATGTGCAGGTTTGTTACATAGGTAAATGCGTGCCATGGTGGTTTGCTGCACAGGTCATCCCATTGCCTATGTATTAAGCCCAGCATCCATTAGCTCTGATGCTCTCCCTCCTCACCCCGCCCACCCTCCGACAGGCCCCATTGTGTGTTGTTCCCCCACCACCACCCACGTATCCATGTGTTCTCATCATTCAGCTCCCATTTATGAGTGAGAACATGTGGTATTTGGTTTTCTGTTCCTGTGTTAGTTTGCTGAGGATAATGGCTTCCAGCTCCATCCATGTCCCTGCAAAGGACATGATCTCATTCCTTTTTATGGCTGCATAATATTCCATGGTGTGTATGTAACACATTTTCTTTATCCAGTCTTATTATCCATGGGCATTTAAGTTGTTGATTCCATGTTTTGCTATTGCGAATAGTGTTGAAACAAACATATATGTGAATGTATCTTTATAATAGAATGATTTATATATTCCTTTGTGTCTATGCCCAGTAATGAAATTGCTGATCAAATGGTATTTCTGCCTCTAGGTCTTTGAGGAATCGCCATACTGTCTTCCATAATGGTCAAACTAATTTACACTCCCACCAACATTGTAATAGCATTCCTTTTCCTCCACACCCTTGCCAGCATCCATAGTTTTTTGATTTTTTAGTAATAGCCATTCTGATTATTGTGAGATAGTATCTCATTGTGGTTTTGATTTGCATTTCTCTAATGATCAGTGATGTTGAGCTTTTTTTCATGTTTGTTGGCCGCATGTATTTTTCTGAGGAATGTCTGTTCATGTCATGTGCCCACTTTTTAATGGGGTTGTTTTTTTCTTGTAAATTTGTTTAAGCTCCTTGTAGATACTGGATATTAGACCTTTGTCAGATGCATAGATTGCAAAATTTTTCTCCCATTCTGTAGGTTGTCTGTTCACTCTGATGATAGTTTATTTTGCTGTGCAGAAGCTCTTTAGTTTAATTAGATCCCATTTGTCAATTTTTGCTTTTGTTGCAATTGTTTTTGGTGTCTTCATTATGAAATCTTGCCCATACTTATGTCCTGAATGGTATTGCCCAGATTTTCTTTTAGGGTTTTTTTTTATACTTTAAGTTTTAGGGTACATGTGCACAATGTGCAGGTTAGTTACATATGTATACATGTGCCATGTTGGTGTGCTGCACCCATCAACTCGTCATTTAACATTAGGTATATCTCCTAATGCTATCCCTCCCCTCTCCCCCTACCCCACAACAGTCCCCGGTGTGTGATGTTCCCCTTCCTGTGTCCATGTGTTCTCATTGTTCAATTCCCACCTATGAGTGAGAACATGTGGTGTTTGGTTTTTTGTCCTTGTGATAGTTTGCTGAGAATGATGGTTTCCAGCTTCATCCATGTCCCTACAAAGGACATGAACTCATCATTTTTTATGGCTGCATAGTATTCCATGGTGTATATGTGCCACATTTTCTTAATTCAGTCTATCATTGTTGGACATTTGGCTTGGTTCCAAGTCTTTGCTATTGTACAAGAAAAAAACAAACAGCCCCATCAAAAAGTGGACGAAGGATATGAACAGACACTTCTCAAAAGAAGGCATTTATGCAGCCAAAAGACACATGAAAAAATGCTCATCATCACTGGCCATCAGAGAAATGCAAATCAAAACCACAGTGAGATACCATCACATACCAGTTAGAATGGCGATCATTAAAAAGTCAGGAAACAACAGGTGGTGGAGAGGATGTGGAGAAATAGGAACACTTTTACACTGTTGGTGGGACTGTAAACTAATTCAACCATTGTGGAAGTCAGTGTGGCAATTCCTCAGGGATCTTGAACTAGAAATACCATCTTTTAGGGTTTTTATAGTTTGGGGTTTTACATTTAAATCTTCAATCCAACCTGAGTTGATTTTTGTATATGGTGTAAGGAAGGGGTCCAGTTTCATTTTCTGCATATGGCTAGCCAGTTCTCCCAGGACCATATGTTAAATAGGAAATCCTTTCCCACTGCTTGTTTTTGTCAGGTTTGTGGAAGATCAGATGGTTGTAGGTGTGCAATCTTATTTCTGGGTTGTGTATTCTATTCCATTGGTCTATGTGTCTCTTCTTGTCCCAGTACCATGTTGTTTTGGTTATGGTAGCCTTGTAGTATATAATAGTTTGAAGTCAGGTAGCATGATGCCTCCAGCTTTGTTCTTTTTGCTTAAGATTGTCTTGGCTATTCGGGCTCTTTTCTGGTTCCATATAATTTTTTAAATACTTTTTTCTAATTCTGTGAAGAATGTCAATGGTAGTTTAATGAGGTTAGCGTTGAATCTATAAATTGCTTTGGGAAGTATGGCCATTTTTACGATATTGAAATTTTTTAAAAAATTAGTTTACTATAGAATTTTACAAAATAACACAGATTTCAGAAGAACTGGCTCTTAAAAACAAACAGGTAATTTAGGAAATGCAAAATTACCCCAGTTACAGTCAGGTTCTTCATGGTAGAGAGACAAGTTTTCTTATACCATTATGAATGGACTTCACAATTCAGTATTGTCAATTTTGGAATAAAGACATGTGCAAGAGTGTTCATAAAAAAATTGCTCTAAATTTTAAAATCTACAAAAAAACACTTAAATGTCCATCAATAGGAGAAGACATAAGTTATGATTTTATTCATGCAATGGAATACTATGTAGCAATGTAAATATTACACAATTATACCCATAAATACAAATGCCAAAAACAGAAAAAAGCAAATTGCATAAAAGCGCATATGGAATAAATCCATTTAAACTAAGTTTTAAAACATTTGGAGTAACATTATTTGGAGACACATATATATGTAGTAAAAGTATAAAAATAAATATTAAAAATAAATACAAAATTCATGATAGTTTTCTGGAGGACAGAGGGGCAATTGAGGGGGATAAAGGGGAATGTGACTAGAGAGTGGAGGGTACACAAGTGGTTCAACAGTATTTGTACTGTATTATATATTTTTAAATTTTTTTAATTTTTAATTTTTATGGGTTCATATAGGTGTATATATTTATGAAGTACATGAGATGGGTTGATACAGGCATGCAATGTGTACAATGGGGTATTCATCTGCTCAAGTAATTTATCCTTTGTGCTACAAGCAATCCAATTATACTCTAATTTTAGTTATTTTAAAGTGTACAATTAAACTAATTATTGACTATATCACCCTGTTGTGCTATCAAATACTAAGTCTTAATCATTCTAACTATTTTTTTGTACCCATTAACCATCACCACCTTGTCTTAACACCCCAACCACCCATCCCAGACTCTGGTAACCATCCTTCTTCTCTCTATGTCTATGAGTTCAATTGTTTTGATTTTTAGATCCAACATATAAGTGAGAACATGTGATGTCTGTCTTTCTGTGCCTGGCTTATTTCACTTAACCTAATGATCTCCCATTTCATCCATGCTGTTGCAAATGACTGGATCTCATTCATTTTTATGGTTCAATCGCTCCACTGTGTATATGTACTACATTTTCTTTACCCATTCATCTGTTGATGGACACTTCCAATCTTGCCTCTTGTGACCAGAGTGGCAACAAACGTGGAAGTACACTGCATTATATTTTAAGTCACTTAGTTGGAACTCAGATGCTCATTATGTTATTCTTTATGCCTTTTTGTATATACAAAGCATGCATAATATATAACCCATTCATATTTGTGAAATGAAGTGTAAATTATGAGATTTTGATATAAGGGATAGGATTAAGAATAAGCTGTTGAATTTGGCCAGATCATTGGTGATCTTTCAGAAAGTGATTTCCATAGAATGATAGAGCCAGAGGCCAGATTGTAAAGGTTGAAGAAATGTTTTCAAGGCAAGGAAATAAAAGCATTGAGTGCATTTTAGTATTCCTAGAAGTTTGCTCCAAAAGTATCTATACAATTAGAGGGTAGGAAAGTCAAGGCATGGATTTTTAAAGCAGGAGATTGTAGATGTAAGCTGAGGAAAACAAACAAAGTAACAAACAAATCTTTGCATAGGAAAAAGTCCAAATCCTAAGAGTGATATTTGATGGGCCCAGATAGTGGATCCATTCAATACGGTGGCAGTTTCACCTTGAGAAAGAGTAGAGTTTCTACTCTGAACTTCTAATAGTAGAGAGGAGAGAATAAAGATACAGACACAGATACCAATTACGGTTGTTGAGCATCATGTATTTAAAAAAAAAAAAAAACTTCTGGGGATGATGGGGCCAACCTTCAAAGGAGTAAATTAATAACATTTATCAAACAGTCAAAATATGACTATTGTATACATGCAAATGTAAACACACAGGCTATATTTATGGGTCTAAATGTTTCTTAAAATGATAAAATCTCTCATATAGTACAATCTATAATGAGAGTATAAATCCTTTTTCTTAATACAAGCATAAAAATTATTTCTCTTAGATAACTTTATTCAGACAAAAATGTATCTTAGGGTTTAAATAATGCCGTGGTATTTGTGGTACTTTGCACACATCCTGTTAAATTTAAGATCCTGGGAAGGCTCTGTGTTCTTTTTGAGATTTTTGCTGCTAGATGGTGATGCTGAGAAATAAGGACTTCAAAAAGGTCTCTGATAACAACCACTTCCCATCAGGGGATTTTCATCAGATTATGAGCTGTTTATCCCTGTTACAATAAATATTGCTGTGACTTTAGTATCCAATTATTAAGTAGCCAAATCTATGAAGAGAATAATAATATGCCACCCCAAAATATGTCACTTTGACATAAGGATTATTTTGAGCTGAAAGCAATTAAGAAGCAACAAACACAGAGCCCCTTGACCTCTCTCATCTGCCTAAAAGCAGATGATAAATTTCCCTTTGTGAAGATGTTCTTCCTTCCTTCTCCAATGCAAGTAGGGGAATGACCTTTATCATGGGAGGCAGAAATCCAGCACTGAGATGAGTCCACATGAATAAACCTTATTAAAATAATTCTTATTTTCCATTAGTTTCCCCCATATATTTACCTTCCCACAATTTCCCACCCCTAGACGTTCAAATCTCTTTTCCTTTATTTTGTCACTTCTCTACAATTTATCACCCCTTGTTAAAATGATATATAAGCTCGTGGGTCTAACCACTTCTTTGGGTCTTCATTTCTTTTCCATGAAAGCCTCTATGTGTGTAAAAATTAAAATATTAACATTAAATAAAATTTGTATGCCTTTTCTTCTGTTAATCTGTCTTTTGTCAGTTTAATTTATAGGCCCTAGTAGCAGAGCATGTTTCCTTTCCAAATGTATACTAACAGGAGAAAACATTCGTAAAAGTTCTTTGGGTATGGTGACTCTCGTGAATTTTGTTTTGAGTACTCATTGGTTATTGACCCATTCCCTCCCAGGGGTAGCCATAATTTTCCTTTGTCTATACACTTTGTGCCATTTGTCATAAGAAGGAGAATTACATGGCAGAACATAGGCATGGGCCCTAAAAGCCTATTGTTCAAACTGGCCTCATAAGACTGGTGAGTTTATGGTTCTTACTGGGCCAGTGTCCATTTGGACACTGTGGGTCTCTAATTAATAAATAAATGAGATTCTCCTTCTGTCTGGTTTTATGTCCTTAGAGCTAGACTTAGATCCAGTAAAATCTTTCTCTCTCTCGCTCTGATTTTCTGCCTGCCAGGGGTATAGGTTGTGAGGTCTGCGTGTACAGGTGGCCAGACATCAGGCTAGGGGCCCAAGACATGTGCCTACTAATTGTGCCAGCTCTCAGGAGGAGTTTGTCTAACTAAAAGATATGGTGCATAAGGGGCCCTGGTAATCTCTTTCCTCATTGTCTTATTAGTGCTGGGAAAGTCCCATTTCAGTGTTGCCTGCCCAGTATCACAGATTAGCAGGTCCATGATAAGAGGCATCTGACTTTCATGGAAGACTGGATCACAAACACCATTCATATTACCTGTGGCAATGGGAATCTTAGCTTTCTTTCTTTTTGGAGTGACTTTGAGTCATGGGAGTACATCTTTTACACACTTTTTGAGGACTTCTTTTGCATCCATGGTTAAGCCATAAAAGGCTTATTGGTTTTAAGTCATAAAAAGGCTTTTTGGTTTTGGTTTTGAGTCACATTGGAATAGGTATACCTTTAGAAAAGAAAAAGGTTGGTGGGGGGTGGTGTGTGGAAGGGTCAGAAGAGTGTCATGGTTGTCCTGAAAAACTCCCTTAACAATCTTAGGAGGCAGATATCAGACTTGGAACAAAAGTTAAGAATTACAAAAATCACCCTGGCTTACAGGGCATACAAATTACTTACATAAATGCTGACAGGTAGAAAATAACTGGCCAGGCCAGGTGTGGTGGCTCATGCCTGTAATCCCAGCACTTTGGGAGGCTAAGGTGGTGGATCACCTGAGGTCAAGAGTTCGAGACTAATCTGGCCAACATGATGAAACCCGATCTCTTCTAAAAATACAACAAATTAGCCGGGCATGGTGGCAGGTGCCTGTAACCCCCATTACTTGGGAGGCTGAGACAAGAGAATCACTTGAACCCAGGAGGTAGAGGTTGCAGTGATCCAAGATCACACCATTGCACTCCAGCCTGGGCAACAGAGCAAGACTCTGTCTGAAAACAAACAAACAAATAATAATAATAATAAAACAAAAAAAAAGAAAATAACTTTGGCCGAGGCAAGTAAATACTGGAAAGGCTGCTGAAAGAGGATGAAGGAGCTCTCAACATTAAAATATCTCACAGAAAAATTTCTCCCATTTTGTAGGTTGCCTGTTCACTCTGATGGTAGTTTCTTTTGCTGTGCAGAAGCTCTTTAGTTTAATTAGCTCCCATTTGTCAATTTTGGCTTTTGTTGCCATTGCTTTTGGTGTTTTAGACATGAAGTCCTTGCCCATGCCTATGTCCTGAATGGTAATGCCTAGGTTTTCTTCTAGGGTTTTTATGGTTTTAGGTCTAACGTTTAAGTCTTTAATCCATCTTGAATTAATGGGAGAAAATTTTCGTGACCTACTCATCTGACAAAGGGCTAATATCCAGAATCTACAATGAACTCAAACAAATTTACAAGAAAAAAACAAACAACCCCATCAAAAAGTGGGTGAAGGACATGAACAGACACTTCTCAAAAGAAGACATTTATGCAGCCAAAAGACACATGAAAAAATGCTCATCATCACTGGCCATCAGAGAAATGCAAATCAAAACCACAATGAGATACCATCTCACGCCAGTTAGAATGGCAATCATTAAAAAGTCAGGAAACAACAGGTGCTGGAGAGGATGTGGAGAAATAGGAACACTTTTACACTGTTGGTGGGACTGTAAACTAGTTCAACCATTGTGGAAGTCAGTGTGGTGATTCCTCAGGGATCTAGAACTAGAAATACCATTTGACCCAGCCATCCCATTACTGGGTATATACCCAAAGGACTATAAATCATGCTGCTATAAAGACACATGCACACGTATGTTTATTGCGGCACTATTCACAATAGCAAAGACTTGGAACCAACCCAAATATCCAACAATGATAGACTGGATTAAGAAAATGTGGCACATATACACCATGGAATACTATGCAGCCATAAAAAATGATGAGTTCATGTCCTTTGTAGGGACATGGATGAAATTGGAAATCATCATTCTCAGTAAACTATCACAAGGACAAAAAACCAAACACCACATGTTCTCATTCATAGATGGGAATTGAACAATGAGAACACATGGACACAGGAAGGGGAACATCACACTGTGGGGACTGTTGTGGGGTGGGGGGACAGGGGAGGGATAGCATTAGGAGATATACCTAATGCTAAATGACGAGTTAATGGGTGCAGCACACCAGCATGGCACATGTATACATATGTAACTAACCTGTACATTGTGCACACGTACCCTAAAACTTAAAGTATAATAATAATAAAAAAAATTTAAAAATTTAAAAAAAAAATAAATAAATAATAAAATATCTCACAGAATGACTTTTCATATAAGCTATTAGCTATTGATGGACTATTTAGGATATTTAATATTCCAAATATTTCATACTCATATGAATATTCAATATTGACAGATGGCAAGTAAAAGCTAAATGACCTTTTAATTTCTTTTTCAGTACTATGATTAATGCATCTACAAAGCTTTGTGCTCACAAAAGCCCAGAGTAGGCAAGTAGTCCATTGAAAGTACTAGGAAAATATTTTCAAAATTTCATGACTTGTGGGGAATATATTGAGCCTTTGAATTAAATCAAACTGTGGCCGCCTATAAGACAAAGTTACTTTACTTTTGATTAATCTTGCAATTTATTTTCATCCTCCACAACAATGTGGTCCATTAAGTTCTATTTCTTAGCATAACTAGAGATGGCTTTATGTGTTACTCTGCATTGCCATAATGGAATACGTGAGATTGGGTAATTTATAAAGAAAAGAAGTCTATTTGGCTCACAGTTCTACAGGCTGTACATGAAGCACAGTGCCGGCATCTGCTTCCAGTGAGGGCCTCAGGAAGCTTACAGTCGTGGTGAAAGGTGAAAGACAGCCAGCATGTCACATGGTGAGAGAGGGAGCAAGAGAGAGAAGGAGGAGGTGCTCTTTTAAACAACCAGATCCCATGTAAACTCATAGAGTGAGAACTCACTCATTATCACAAGGACAGCACCAAGCCATTCATGAAGTATCCACCCTCATAACCCAAAACCTCCCACTAGGCCCACCTCCAGCACTGGAGATCACATTTCAACATGTGATTTGGAGGGGTCAAAATATCCAAACCAAATCTTTAAACAATTCCCATATAAATGCAGCATAGAATTTGGAGTACTTGTTAAAATAATGTTGCAAAGTTCCAGACTACTGCTGCTCCAAATAAAAAATTTACCTGTATGATTTAAAATTTCTATCCGTGGGCCGGGCAAGTGGCTCACGCCTGTAATCCCAGCACTTTGGGAGGCCGAGGCGGGCAGATCACAAGGTCAAGAGATCGAGCCCATCCTGGTTAACATGGTGAAACCCCGTCTCTATTAAGAAGTATAAAAATTAGCTGGGCGTGGTGGCGGGTGCCTGTAGTCCCAGCTACTCGGGAGGCTGAGGCAGGAGAATAGCTTGAACCTGGGAGGCGGAGGTTGCAGTGAGCCGAGATCACGCCATTGCACTACAGCCTGGGCGACAGAGCGAGACGCCGTCTCAAAAAAAAAATAATAATAATAATAAAATAAATAAAAAAATAAAATTTCTCTCTGTGTCACAGTAGTTCTCTTAAAGCTTTATCAAAATCTAGCTTTGAAAGAGAAAGCTCCATTGATGTTTGTTTCCATGATTATGAACCTAATTTCTATATTTTTTAAAGAAATGTAAATTTTCTCAGCCCTGAGCAAGTAGAGTGAGATTTCTCTTACTTAATCGGATTGAATTTTGGAGGTGGGCCCAATAGAAATTACTAATTTTCCAGAATCACATGATCTATAATTGTGGTAGCTGATACCAGAAAATACAAGGACCAATAAAACATTTCCACTCAGTTGAAGATAATATCAGGAGTGGGGACGAAGCCTGCATGTCGATACGTTTTTCTGTTACAAACTTTGTGATGATGATGATGTTGAAGAGTATTATAATGATGATGATACAAATAACTGCCATTCATTAAGCACATTATTCATGTATCAGGCACTGTGCAAGATGCTTTACATCTGCTTTTTCACATATGTGGGTGCTCCATCTCACATCACAACAGTACCCCGTCAGCATTTTGTCTGACTTTTAGTAGAAAGCTCATATTTTTTGCCCACATTATTCACATCAACATTATTGATATAAGGTGGGTCTATCACATTCTATCCAAATAAGTTATCTCATAAGAAGAATTAGCCTCAAATTAGCCTTTTAGCATCATCCAGAATTCATCTTTTAAAAAATCCAGTTTTGTAGTATAATTTACATAGGAAAAACTCATCCATTTGAAGTGTACAATTCACTGGTTTTTAGTGTATTTTCAGAGCTGTGCAACTGTACCATAATCTAATTTGGGAATATTTTCATTACCACAAAAAGAAACTCCATCTGTACCAATTAACAGTCCCTCTCCATTTTCCCCAATGATTCCCCAGGCCTAGGCAACCATTAATCCACTTTATATACAGGCCTGCCCTTTCTGGATATTTCATATAAAATTCAGTCATTCAATATGGGATCTCTTGTGACTGGCTTCTTTCACTTAGCACAATATTTTCAATGTTCATATGTGCTGGAGTATGTATCAGTGCCTCGTTCTTTTTATTGCTGGAAAATATTCCATTGTATGGACATGCCACATTTTGGTTGCATTTACATTCACATACTTTTTTTCCCAAATTGGTCTGTGTGTCTTTTAAACTTCAAGTGAAAGGTGGATGGTTTCAAGACAATTAAATAGAAAAATGCAAGTCCAACTCAGGAATGGTGATGTTAGTTTATAGTTGTGGTACTTTTCAAGGTGTAGCAAAGAATACAATTGGAAGATTATGTGGGACTAAAAAAATTAAAACTTTTAATTAACCTCCTTTCTAGATAGCATGGGGATTGATATTATTAAATGTATACACACACACACACATATATATAGTATTATATCAATATTGCCAAATAAATGTATTTCATGTATATATATATTTGATATTTCTATTTATATATTTGGTAATACCAATCCCATTACACATACACACACACACATACATATAATTATTTTAAGAGAGCACTATATAAATCACTATATAAATATGTAAATTCATTGGAATGTTTTACATGAATATGACTCTTGGCTTGATACTTAAAATTAAGTTTTGATTTTTGAACTGCTATTAAACTTGGTGTTAAAGAAAGGTTTTCCTAGGTGATAGTATCGTAGAAAGCATCTTATAATCTTTACTGAGTGAATAACATTTTAATTTCAAATGAAATTACATATAAATGATATAAATATATAACAGGTGTGAAGCTTGCAGCATAAATTGAAACATAAGTGGTGTTATTTTCTGCTTAGACTGTAGGATCCTAAAAAGAGATAATGAGATGACATAGAGGTAAGTTTAAAAATATTTTTTAAAGTTTGTGGGTTTTTTCAAAAATTGTTGTTGTAATCAACACAATGTTCTTTTTATACCAAACTTCATATTAGACTGGAAAATGATATACAGGTATACCTTGAAGATATTGCAGGTTTGGTTCCAGATAACTGCAAAAAAGTGAGTCACACAATTTTTTTGGTTTCCTAATGCATATAAATGTTATGTTTACATTATACTGGAGTCTATTAAGTGTGCAATAGCATTATGCCTAAAAAAGCAATGTGCATACCTTAATTTAAAAATACTTTATTGAAGACATATGAATGACCAGTAAGCCATATGTATGAAAAAAATACTCAACATCACAAATCATCAGAGAGATGCAAATTAAAAATAACAGACATGTTATCTGACCTCAGTTAACAGATAAGAGACATGTTATCTGACCCCAGTCAAAATGGCTTTTATCCAAAAGACAAGCAATAATCAATGCTGGCAGGGATGTGGAGAAAGGGGAACTCTTGTACAATGTTGGTGGGAATGTAAATTAGTATAACCACTATGGAGAACAGTTTGGAGGTTTCTCAAAAAGATAAAAATAGAGCTACCTTATCATCCAGTAATCCCCTGCTGGAAGTATATCCAAAAGAAAAAAATCAGTACATGGAAGGGATATCTGCACTCCCATGGTTTTGTTTGTTTGTTTGTTTGTTTGTTCGTTTGTTCTGTTTTTGAGACAGGGTCTCACTCGGTCACCCAGGCTAGAGTGCAGTGGCACGATCACAGCTCACTGCAGCCTCAACTTCCTGGACTCAGGTGATTCTGCTGCCTCCGCCTCTCAAGTAGCTGGGACCACAGGTGTGCACCTTCATGCCTGGCTAATTTTTGTGCTTTGAGTAGAGATGGGGTTTCACCACATTGCTCAGGCTGGTCTCAAACTCCTGGGCTGAAGCGATCCACCTGCCTAAGCCTCCCAGAGTGCTGGAATTACAGGTGTGAGCCACAGCACCCAGCCCTGCACTCCTACGTTTATTGCAGCATTATTCACATTAGACAAGATATAGAATCAACCCAAGTTTTCATCAAGGAATGAATGGCTAAAAAAATGTGGTACATATACACATGGAATATTGTTCAGCCATAAAATAGAATTAAATCCTGTCATCCTGTTCTTAATGGCATCTAGAATAGTGATTCATTTCCAGAAGATTTTCAATTTACTTTGTCCAGATGTATCAGATAAATCACTATCTATGGCAGCAATAGCCTTACCAAACGTATTTCTTAAATAGTAAGACTTAAAATTCAAAATGACTCCTGATTTATGGGCTTCAGAATGGATGCTGTGTTCACAGGCATGAAAATAGCATTAAAAAAGCGCATCTCCATCACAGCTCTTAGGTGTCCAGGTGTATT
Organism: Homo sapiens; assembly: GCF_000001405.40. Taxonomy (NCBI): domain Eukaryota; kingdom Metazoa; phylum Chordata; class Mammalia; order Primates; family Hominidae; genus Homo; species Homo sapiens. Next base: position 114,498,035 of record NC_000023.11, read on the forward strand.
GTGAATGAGCAGTAATATTTTGAAAGAAATCGTTTTCTGAGCAGAAGATCTCAACAATGAGCTTAAATTATTCAGTAAACAATGTTGTGAAAAGATAAACTGTCATCCAGACTTTCTTGTTCCATTTATAGACCACAAACAGAGTAGATTTTGCATCCTTCCTAAGTACCCTAAGATTTTCAGAATGATAAATGAGCATTGGCTTCGACTTAGAGTCACTGGCTACATTAACCCCTAATGAGAGTCAGCCTGTCCTTTGAAGCTTTGATGCTGGGCATTGACTTCTCCTCTATAGCTGTGGAAGTCCTAGATGGCATCTCCTTCCAACAGAAGGTTGTTTTGTCTACACTGAAAATAGGTTGTTTAGTGTAGCCACTTTCATCAAGTATCATAGCTAAATCTTCTGGATAACTTGCTACAGCTTCTACATCAGCACTCGCTACTTCACCTTGGATTTTTATGTTATGGAGACGGCTTCTTTTCTAAGTCACATGAACCAAACTCTGCTAGCTTCACATTTTTCTTCTGCAGCTTCCTCACCTCTCTCAGCCTTCGTAGAATTGAAGGGAGTTTGGGTCTTGCTCTGAATTAGGCTTTGCCTTAATGGAATGTCGTGGCTGATTTGATCTTCTATCCAGACCACTCACACTTTCTCCAGATCAGCAATAAAGCTGTTTCACTTTCTCATCATTCATGTGTTCACCAGAATGGTACTTTTAATTTCCTTCAGGAAATTTTTGTTTGCATTTACAACTTGAGTGACTGGTGCAAGGGGCCTAGCTTTGGGCCTTCCTCACTAAGCTTAGTAGTTTCTAGCTTCTGATTTAAAGTAAGAGATATGCACTCCTCCTTTCACTTGAAAACTTAGAGGCTATTGTGGGGTTATTAATCAGCCTAATTTCAATATTGTTGTGTCTCAGGAAATAGGAAGGCCTGAGGACAGGCAGAGAAAGGGGATAGCCAGTCGGTGGGGTGGTCAGAACACACACAACATTTATTAAGTCTGTTGTCTTATTTAGGCATGGTTTGTAGCACCCCAAAAGAATTAGAATAGTAACATCAAAGATCAATGATCACAGATCACCAAAACAGGTATAATCATCATGAAAAAGTTTGAAATATTGTTGGAATTACCAAAATGTGACACAGAGACATGAAGAGAGCACATGCTGCTGGAAAAATAGCACGAATAGACTTGCTTGACACAGAGTTGGCACAAACCTTCAATTTGTAAAAACTCCGGATCTGCAAAGCACAATAAAGCGAAGTGCAATAAACTGAGTTGTGCCTGTATTAGAAAAGTACATGTAAATATAAAATAACAAAAACAACATTAGATAAAATTATTTGAAATTATGTAAGTTTCAAACCGAAAGTTACACACAAAGAGATATATGGGCAAAACATTGTGAAAAAGATAACTGGATGGATTAACACTATAGTATGTGCTTGGAGAAAACACAATATATGTATAATCTGTTTTTTCCCCTACGATGTTTATTTTCCTGTGTGTTAAAAAAAAGTCTTCTTGCACTCAATTTAAGAGCTTTTTTATTTTTATTTATTTATTTTTTTTTGAGACAGAATTTCGCTCTTATTGCCCAGCCCAGAGTGCAATAGCACGATCTCTGCTCACTGCAACCTCTGCCTCCCGGGTTCAAGCGATTCTCCTGTCTCAGCCTCCTGAGCAGCTGTGATTACAGGCGCCCACCACCACACTTGGCTAATTTTTGTATTTTTAGTAGAGACAGGGTTTCACCATGTTGACCAGGCTGGTCTCGAACCCCTGACCTCAGGTGATCCACCCACCTCGGCCTCCCAAAGTGCTGGGATTACAGGCATGAGCCACCCTGCCCGGCCTCAATTTAAGAACTTCTATTATGTCCTTAGGAAAGTCATTCTTTCTATAAGAGAGGTTCATTTCTCCCATTTGTATTAAATAGCTAATATCATTTATATCCTTTTGGCTATATATTGGATTTTAGGACTGGATAGCTAATATTGTTTTAAAAATATGATTAGATCTAACCCACATAAAATGTTTGGTTTTAACCTTGCTTTATATCTCAATACAGCGCCAAAGTATATAAGCCTTATCATCTTTCTTTGTTTCAATTCTCAAAATTACGACTTAGTTATTTCCAATATGTCTTTCATATACTTAAAATTCTTCAAAGTACTTTATCACCACAGGTATACATTTTTAGGTTAAATAAACACAATCTTCTTGGACAGTGTTTTTCAAACTTAGCTGAACATTGTCAACATCTGGAAAGCCTTAAAAATTCAGATGCCTTAGTCACACCCCTAGAGAGTTTTATATAATTCATTCAAAGTGGAGTCTGTCATCAGGATTTTTCATAGCACCTCAGGTGTTCTATTATACAACCAAAGCTCAGAACTACTGTTCTAAGAGTTTACATAAAACAGAGTCAAGTTTCTGCAGCAACTTTATGACTAACAAGATACGACATAACAATATTGTCTTATGTGTTGGAGACCCACCAAAAATAGGAATTGATGTTGACAGAGTGAATCTCGTCTGCATGTAATCTAGTCGTTTTGCTATAAGACCCAAAATTTTAATCTAACAATACTAAGTAGAAGTGAAGGTTTTTGTTGTTGTTTAATTAGCTATGATTAAAATGCTTTTAAAAGACAGCATCGTTATTCAACAACCTGAAGCTGTTTATTAGGACATTCTTGCTTTGGATTTATAGGGCAAAATTTTAGAGGCTTATTACTTCCTCTGTGCCATCTGGATAAGTGCCACCAGATGGCATGTGGGTGGCAGTAATCATATGGCTTACATAGAAAATTTCAAGTGGTAGGTAACAAATCAAAGAAATTATATCTTTCCAGAGTCTCATTTTTTATTGAAATAGGGCTATATTAACTGAAGCCTAATAATAAATTAAACTCTAATAATTTTATGCTAGAAAATGGTATACAGTTTTAATAATTAATTGTATTTTTATTTTAAAAATATTTTCTCAAAGTACTTAATAAATTTGCTCACAAATAAAGGGCTTATAATAAAAAGTAACAGATTCTTGCTCACCAATGATAAGCAATTTAATTGTTCTTTTGTTGGTTACTTACATGTTTCTTAATTTGTCCAATTTGATAGATAAGGATTTCGAGTATTTTAAAAGAAAAGCAAATATATATGCAGAAGTCACATTTCCAAAATATTTTAATTGCCAGCATTTACTGCTTAAATGTAACACTAGCCCTATTTCTAAACTAGCGAAGAAGACATCTTGATTTCACACTGACTTTTCTATGACAAAACTCTACTTCTGCATACCTTATTGCATCTTTTTGAATTATTGAAAGCATATATTTCTTCTGCTCTTCACAGAAGTCTTTGTCTACCATAGGCTTTCTCTTCTGCTAACTGGAGCTTAACTCTTTTCTTATATTTAAGTAACTCTCCTCTAATGTACAGCATGGTGACTATAGTTAATAGTACTGTATAGTTTTCTTGAAATCTACTAAGCGGGTATAATCTTAAATGTCCTAAACACACACACACACACACAAACACACACACAGTAAGTGTGTGGTGATGGATGTGTTAATTAATGCAGTGTAGTAATCAGTAAACAATGTATGCATACAACAAATGCTGTACACTTTGAATATATAAAATTTTTGTTTGTCAATAATACTTCAATAAAGTTGGGGGGAAAAAGTAATTATCCTTTGTTTATTTACCCAATGTAGAAACTGTCTTTTGCTTCTTATAGCTTACCAAAATCCAGTGGTGAGATAGCTGTGGTTCACTTTCCATATGATGATTATTATTGTTTTTTCTAATAAGGGATCATTTTCCCCACTCCGGGGATTTGGTTCTTTCTCTTCCAATAAGATATCACTACTAGGTTTTTACTGCTTAATTAACTAATCCACATAGAAAAGTCATCTCTCCACAAGAAGTTTAGCAAGATTTACATTCTTTTCCACATTTTCCTTTAGCATACTTTCTAAAAAAGTTTCCAAATTATAAATCTTGATCAATTATGTGTTTTTGTGTCATCACCAGCATGAATTTTTTTTGTTTCACACACACGTACACACATACCCCATATATGTATATGTGATATTCAGTAAAAGTCAAAACATTTTGACACCCAATATTCTAGAATATAAACTTTAAAAAACATGTAAACAAGGAATCCATTTTTCTACTGTCATAACAACAATTTCTTTGCAAGAGTCAATCAAGAAAAAAAAAAATCTGCAAGAGAAGAAGAAACAATGTAATCCAGTAGAGCTATAGTAAAGTACAGGTAAAAGCATTAAACCTTAATCTCTGGAAATATATGAAAATAGTGTCGGTGCCAAAGCAAATAGGATGAAAAAACTTAAAACTCATGAATACTGTCCACCACAAAATTAGGTGAAAAACTTTTCAGTAAATACCTAAAAATGAGTTGCTAGAAACAGACTACCAACAGCTGCAAGGCCCACATGGTATCACTGCAGAAAAATGTAGAGGCAAGCAAAAGAGCATATGACAGACCTGAAAGCAGAACTCCCAAACTTTATAGGTTCTCACTAGAAAGTATGATGGGAAAATTTGAAAACAGGCATTAAAATTGGGAGGGATTTTTGTGCACTCTTATTCACATACGTTATAAAGGCAAAGTGTCCTTCATAAGATCAGAAGGTGTTGTGATAGTTTAAAATTCAAAAACTATATATATAAAAAAAACAAAAGAAAAACCAGCTGAATCTCCCCTAGAAAAAAGGGAAAATTCACAAATATATGGAAACTAAACAACACACTCTTGAGAAACCAGTGGGTTGAAGAACAAATAAAAGGGAAATCAGAAAATATCTTGAGACGTACGAAAATGAAAACACAACATATCAACACTTACGGGATGCAGCAAAAGCAGAGCTAAGAGGGAAGTTTATACTGATTAAGGCCTAAACTGAAAAAAAAAATAGACCTCAAATTAACAATCTAACTTTATACCTCAAGAAACTAGAGGAAAGAAAACTAAATCTAAAATTAGCAGAATAAGAGGGAAAAAAAGATTAGAGCAGAAATAAATAAAATAGAGAATAGAAAAGCTAGGAAAAAAATTGATTAAACTAAAAGTTGGTTTTTTGAACAGATGAAAAAAATGACAAACCTTTAATAAGACTAAAAAAGTGATATGATTCAAATAAATAAAATTGAAAATAAAAGAGGAGGCATTACAATTGATATCACAGAAATAAAAAGGATAATAAGAAATTACTGTGAACTATACACAAATTAGAAAACTTAGAATAAGTGGATACTTCCTAGAAACATACAACCTACCAAGATTGAATTTTAAAGAAATGAAAAATCTGAACAGATCAATAATAAGTAAAGAAACTGAATCAGTAATCAGAAACCTCTCTAAAAGAAAAGGCCTGGATCAGACGGCCTCACTAGTGAATTCTACCAAACATTTAAAGAATTAATGTCAGTCCTTTTTGAACTCCTCCAAAAAACTGAAGAGGAGAAAACACTTTCAAACTCATTTTAAGAGGCCAGCATTACCTCAATACCAAAATTGGACAAGGACACTACAAGAAGAGAAAATTACAGGCCCAAATCCCTGATGAACATTGGTACAAAAATCCTCAACAAAATACTAGAAAACCAAATTCAACAATACCTGTAAAGAATCATACACTGTAATCCAATGTGACTTATCCCTGGGATGCAAGGATGGCTCAACACAGGCAAATCAATCAACACAACACATTACATTAACAGAATGAAGAATAAAAGCCACATGATCATCTTGACAGATTCAAGAAAGGCATTTGACAAAATTCAGCACCACTTTATAATAAAAACTCCCAACAAACTATGCACGGAAAGAATTTATCTCAACCTATCAAAGGCCCACAGCTAATATGGAAATAATATATGAAATAATATATGAAAAGCCCACAACTAACATTGTATTCAGTGGTGAAAAACTGAATGGTTTTTCTCTAAGATCAGAAACTAGACAAGAATGGCCACTTCTATACAACATAGTACTGACATTCCTAGCCAAAGTAATTGGCCAAGAAAAGGAAATAAAAAGCACCCAAATCAGGAAAGAAGAAGTAAAGTTATCTCTGTTTTACAGATTATATGTTCTTATGTGTAGAAAACTCTAAAACCTCTGCAATAAAACTGTTGAACTAATAAACATATTCGGTAAAGTTGCAGGGTATAAAATAAACATATAAAAATCAGTTCCATTTTTATAAACCAACAAAGAATTCTCAGAAAAGGAAATTAAAAAGACAATCTTATTAACCATAATGTCAAAAAGAATAAAATACTTAAGAATAAACTTAACCAAAAAGGGAAAGACTTGTACACTGAAAATTACAAATCATTTCTGAAAAAACTTAAAGACACAAATAACTGGAAAAACATCCTGTATTCATAAACTGGAAGAGCTAATATTGTTAAAAGGTCCACACTACCCAAAGTGATCTACAGATTCAATGCCATCCCCATCAAAACTCCAACTGGATATTTTACAAAAATGGTAAAAACAATCCTAAAATACATAAAGAACAACAAAGGACCCTGAATAGCCATAACAATATTGAGAAAGAAGAGCAAAGCTGGAGTCATCACACTTCCTGATTTGAAAATATATTACAAAGCCACAGTAGTTGAAAAATTGTGGGAACAGCGTAAACACAGACAGTTACACCAATGGAAGAGAATAAAGAGCCCAGAAATGAGTCCATGCATATACAGTCAACTGATAGTCAACAAGAATTCCATGAATACACAATGTGAAAAGGATAATGTCTTCAACAAATCATGCTGGAAAAACTAGATATATAACTGCATAACTGCAAAAGAATGAAATTGAACCTTTATCTTACAATATACACAAAATGTGGTTAAAATATATTAAAAACTTAAACTTAAGACCTGAAATTATAAAAGTCTCAAAAGAAAAGGTAGGAGAACGATATCTTGACATTGGTCTTGGCAATGATTTCTTGGATATGACACCAAAAGGATAGGCAATAGTAGCAAAAATAGACACTTGGGACTACATCAAACTAAAAAGTTTCTATATAGCCAAAAAAAAAAAAATCATCAGAGTTGAAAAGACAACCTATGCAATGGGAGAAAATATCTGCAAAGCATATATCTGATAAGGGGCTAATATAAAAAAAAAAGGAACTTTTACAACTCAATAGCAAAAAAAGAGAAAAAAAAAACAACAAATAACCCTCATTAAAATGGGCAAAAAATTTGAAAAGACATTTTTCCAAAGAAGACATACAAATGGCCAACTGGTACATGAAAAGAAGCTCAACATCACTGATGATCAGGAAATGAAAAATTGAAACCACTGTGAAATATTATTCACATTAGCCAAAATATGCATACGAACTAAATGTATACTGATGGATAAACAGATAAACAATAAATGAGATATATATGTATATATAATATATATACATACATACGCACAATGGAGTATTTGTCAGTCAGTCTTACAAAAGGAAATCCTACCTTATGCAACAATATGGATGAACCTGAAGAACATTATACTAGGTGAAATAAGTCAGTCACACGGACAAATACTGCATGATCCCACTCATAAGAGGTATCAGAAATAGTCAAATTCATACGTGCATGAGAATAATGATGGTTATCAGGGTCAGGGGGAGGGGAAAACAGGGAGTTGTAGTTCAAAGGGTATAAAGTTTCAATTATTCAAGATGAATGAGTTCTAGATATCTGCTGTACAACATAATGCCTGTATTTATTGCACACTTAAAATTTACTAAGAGGGTAGATTTCAAGTTGTGTTCTTACTACCAAAAAGGGGATGGGAGCAAAAGTAAACTTTTGTAGATGATGGATACATTTATTACTGTGATTGTGGGGATGGTTTCATGGGTGTATAGATATGTACAAACCTGTCAAATTGTATACATTAAATATGTACAACTTTGTATAACAATTCACCTCAATAAAGCTGTTAAAAAGTAGATATCTGCTGTCCATAGTTTTGTCCATAGCTTGGAAATCTTAATATTGTTAAGATAGCAATATCACTCAAATTGAACTACAGATTCAATGCAATCCCTGTCAAAATTCTAGCTGTCTTAATTGCAGAAATTGATAAGGTTATCTTAAAATTCATATGGAAATGTAAATGACCCCAAATAGTCAAAATAATCTTGTAAAAGAACAGTGTTCTTTTACATGCTTTTGGATTTCAGAACTTTCTACAAAGCTACAGCAATCAAGACTCTGGTGCTGGCATTAAAATAGGCATATATATCAATGGATTAGAGTTGAAAGTTAGGAAATAAAATCTGACATTTATGGTCAATTGATTCTTGACAAAGATGTCAAAACTATTCAACAGGGAAAAATGGTGTTTTCAACAAGTGGTGCTGGAATAACTGCATATCAACGGGCAAATAAATTAAATTGGTCCCCAACTTCACACCATATACAAAAATTATCACAAAATGTTAACAAAAATGGAAACTATAAAATCAAAGACCTTAATGTAAGGCTAAAACCATCAAACTCTCATAAAAAATATAGGCATAAACCTTTGTAATCTTCAATTAGTAAATGATATCTTAGAAATGACATCAAAAATATAAGCAACAAAATAAAACATACATAAGGTTTCATCAAAATTAAACATTTCTGTGCTTCAAAGGACATTATCAATAAATGGAAAAGACTACCAACAGAATGGGAAAGAATATTTGCAAATCATATTTATTATAAAGAATTCATATGCAGAATATACGAATAACTTATAACCCCAAAATTAATATATAACTAATGCAACTTAAAAATGGACAAAGGATGGGCCGGGCACGGTGGCTCACACCTGTAATCCAGCACTTTGGGAGGCCAAGGCGGGCGGATCACGAGGTCAGGAGATCGAGACCATCCTGGCGAACACAGTGAAACCCCGTCTCTACTAAAAATACAAAAAATTAGCCAGGCTTGGTGGCGGGCGCTTGTAGTCCCAGCTACTCAGGAGGCTGAGGTTGGAGAATGGCATGACCCGGAAGGCGGAGCTTGCAGTGAGCTGAGATTCTGCCACTGCACTCCAACCTGGGCGACAGAGAGACTCCGTCTCAGAAAAAAAAAAAAAAAGGACAAAGGATGCGAATAAACATCTCTTCAAAAAACATACACAAGTGGTTAATAAGGACTTGATTCCCTAGGGAAATACAAATCAAAACCGCAATGAAATACTACTTCACATCCCCCCAAAATAAAGAAATCAGCAAGCATTAGAGAGAATATGGAGAAAATAGACCCTTCCTGTAGTGGTAGTGGGGACGTAGAATGATGCAGATGCTTTAGAAAATAGTTTGACACTTCCTCAGTAAGTTAAACATGGAGTTCCACTCTGTTATAAACACAAAAGAATTAAAAATGTATGTCTATACAAAAACTGGTACATAAATATTCATAGCAGCATTATTCATAATAGTCAACAAGTTAAAACGACTCAAATGTCCATCAACTGATGAAAGTATAAACAAAATGTACTATAGCCACAAAACCGAATATTATTCCATCATACAAAGGAATGAAGAAGTGCTTATACTTATACAATTTGGTTAAACCTTGAAAACATTATGCTAATTGTAAGGAGTCATACACAAAAGGTCATACATTGTAAGTATCTATTAATATGAAGTATCTAAAATAGGCAAATAAGCAGAGACTTAAAGAAGATTAGTTATTTCCAGAGGCTGGGAGGAAGGATGAATAGAAATGACTACTAAAAGGGACAGGGTGGGTTTTTTTTTTTGGAATGATGAAAATTTTCTGGAATTAATAGTGGTCATGGTAGAACATTTTTGTCAGTTTACTAAAAGCTACTGTATTGTTCACTTTAAAAGGGTGAATTTTATAGTGTGTGAATTATATCTCAATAAATATACCACGAAAGAAGACACTCAAAATTATTTTAGAACATGAAAGTTTCAAGAAATAAATATATCTTAGACAAAAATAATAAAGTCATAATAAACAGAACAAATAATGTTAACTTTGGCCTACCATTCACTCTTTATACAAAAATTAACTAAAAATTGATCACAGACTAAAAGGTAAAATAGAAACTATAAAATTATATATATATGTGTGTATATACATATTCATATATATATATATATATATATGAAAATACTGAGGACTGAGGACCACGCATAAATTTCTTGGACTTGACACCAAATGTATGATCCATCAAAGGGAAGCTTGATAAATTACATTTCATGAAGATTCAAAATGTTTGTTTTTAAAAAGATGTAAAGATGAAAAAAACTAAAAAATTGGAAATAAAAAACATTCGTAAATGACATAGCCAACAAAAGACTAGTATTTCAAACATATAAAATGTCTGAAAATTCAATAGTTTAAAAAATATACAGTAAGGAAAAGGATAAAAGATGTACATACATTTTTCCAGAAAGTATATACAGATGGTACATAAGCACATGAACATCAATATAGCCATTAGGAAAGTGCAAATTGAGACCACCATGAGATAGCACTACATGGCTATCAGAATAGCTAAAATAAAAATAGTGAAAATACCAAATGCTGGTGAGGATGTGAAAAAATTGGACCCATCTGTTGGTAGGAATGTAAAATGGTACAGCTACTCTGGAAAATAGTTTGACAGTTTCTCAAAAAACAAAACATGCAACTACTATATGACCCAGAAAATGCACTCCTGGGCATTTATCCCAGAGAAATGAAAACTTATGTTCACACAGAAATCTGTATTTATAAATATTTATAGTAGTTTTATTCACAATAGCCAAAAACTGGAAATAACTCAGATGTCTTTCAATTGGTGAATGAATAAACAAACTCTTTTACATCCACATTTTGGAATACATACTACAGAATAATAGAAATGAATGAACTATTGATACAGTCAGCATCTTGGATGAATCTCAAAAAATTTTCGCTGAGTAAACAAAAGAGCCAATCCCAAACGCTTACTCACTGTGTGATTCAATTTTTATAGCATGCATTCTTGAAAGGACAAAACTATATAAATGTAGGACAGATTTGTAGTTGTCAGGGTTAATTAGGAGTTGGAGGTGAGAGAGTAAGTGGGTGTGGCTATAAAAGTACAACAAGTGGGATCCTGTGGTGATGGAAACGTTCCGTATCTTAATTGTATTAATGTCAATATTCTGGCTGTGATATTATACTAGCACTTTGTAAGATATTACTAGTGGAAAAAACTGGATAAAGGATACACAGGATCTCTCTGAATTGTAGAAACCACATGTATCTACCAATTACCTCAAAATAAAATACATAATTTTTTTAAGTCTTAAGAGACATTTTTTCAATACCATTTTGTGAGCTTTATTTGCACATGGATTCAAACAAACTCTAAAACAAAAATAAATTTATGTCAGTGGCATGTGACAATTCGAACACCGATTAGACATTTGATTATATTAAGGGGTTATTTAAAATGTTTAATTGTGATAATTGCCTTCTTTTGATGATTAAAAAAGCTTTTATCTTTAGGGATCCATGCTGAAACATTTATTGATATAAAGATATAATATCTATGATTTGCTTCAGAATATGAGATGGTAGGGAACGGGTGAGAGAAGAAACAAGGTGTACCATGAGCTAATGATTGCTCAGTCAGTACAATGAGTACCTGAGGGATTAATAAATTATTCTATTTCTGTGTTTGGTTAAACTTTTCCATAATAAAAAGACACAGTTTTAATGAACTAAGCAAAACATTTGATTTCTAAAATCCAGAGGGTTTTAAAATTAATCATTTATTAGGCTTTATTGTACAGCCAATGAGTCTTGTGCAAAATCAAGAACAAACTAGACAAAAAAAAAATTTTAGAAGAATGTTCCTTGTAAAGTGCAATCTCCTCCCTGTTTCTTGTATATACCATATCAGTTCCAACTCTGCATAACTTGTTTTCCCAACCTCTTGTATCATCCTTCCTACCAAGTCTCCAATTAGCAAAATTCTAGCCATCTTTCTGCATTCATCATAATAAAGAACAAATGATTATGTCTATTCATAAACTTCATAATTAGTTTAATATTAAATTCACAACAAAATAAGCTACACTGGAACTTATTCCTTAAAGAGCACACTGCCTTGAAAGCACAGTCTCTATGTTGCTAAGATTATGTAGGGTCCCAGGTTTAAGCCACTCTGAATCACTCAGATCTTATTCTTTTTCAGAGGCTCAGGAAATCTGCCACCCCATCACACTGAGAGGGTTAGCTAAATTAGCTATTCTAAGGAGGTAAACCTACGAACAATATAGGGGGAATAAGGCAATAAAAGGTTACTCATAGTGAAAATGCCAATGTGACATTTTCATTCCAGAGCCAAATTCAACTGAATCCTATTTCAAATACTAAAGTAGAGAAATGCATAATTTTATCTTAATGAAGTTTGTGCACTTTGCTAAGAACATTTATCGAGATGTGAATCCTCTCTCTTTTTTTTTTTTTTTTTTTTTTTTTTTTTTTGTTCAAGGAGTCTCATTCTGTTACCCAGGCTGGAGTGCAGTGGTGCAATCTTGGCTCACTGTAACCTCTGCTTCTTGGGACTAAAGCAACTCTCCAACCTCAGCCTCTCGAGTAGTTGGGACCACAGGCGTGAGCCACCACACCCGGCTAATTTTTTGTATTTTTGGTAGAGACAGGATTTCGCCATGTTGCCCAGGCTGATCTCGAAATCCTGAGCTCAAGTTATCTGCCCTCCTCGGCCTCCCAAAGTGCTGGGATCACAGGCATGAGCCACCACACCCAGCCGGAATCCTCTATTGCTTTAATAAGACAACATGATCTCTGCATTTGGGGTTAGTGATTCCTCCAGAATGGTTGGAAATTCTGAAAATTTTGAGACACTCTAGTCATATTTCCATAGATAATTTAATTTCTAGAAATTCTCTGCATTGTGGTACAATGATGAATGAAGTATTCCAAATATTATATATTCTGAAAAACACCAACTTAGCCAGAGATTTAGGAATAAGTGCCAAAGAATGTCAAAAAACTGGACACAGATTCTATGAAGAAAAGCCCAAAAAGGGCAAACACAGAATATAAAGGGTAAAAGGTCTTGGTGTTTCCCAAGTAAAAGGTGGACCCAGGAATAGTTAGTGATCTCTACTAGGGTAAAGAAATCCATATTGTTAATGAAATCTGGAGAGAGTTAGCTAAAGAATCATGGCTAATTTCAGAACTTAGCTGATTACTTGTAGAAAAGATTAAAAAAAAAAAGACACTGAGTTTGTGAAATGAAATCACAAAAGATCAATAAAGAAGATATGGAGTAAAGTATGTATATCTCTTTCTTTCAAAAGATAATGTTGGCTTATACATATGACACATTTTGAAGGCTCTCAAGAAGCCAATCTTGATAATTCACTTATTTCTAATTATTCATATTCTTTCAATGTGTTTTTGCCATCTCTGTTCAATGTTCTCCTGCCATTCCCCAATTGTGTAATGTAGTGTAAAAGACTTATTAAATTATAAAAATAAAAGTTTGAACGATACTTAGCAACAATGTGTTTTGGTTCTGAGCAGATGTACATCCATTTAATGAGTTTTCAGTACTTGGGCACATTGGGCAATTCTGCAATGGATTCAGGTATCTGTGGGTTCTTATAAACCCATTACCATAGTCAAAATTGCATAATTTGGTAAAGTCCTCCTCTGCATAGGGCAATAAGTTTTGTGACATCCAATTCATCCCGTGCAACATTATCAAAGCAAAAAAATCTGATCAATCAATATATCTGTTTGTTGTACTTCAGATCCTGTATAACCCCTTTTACTCTAGTGTGCAATAGTTAAAAAAAGATTTCATAGATTTTAGACTTGTTTAAAATCATCTACATAAACATGACAAAAGTTAATCCATGGATTAAGGTACAAATTTCTTCAGCACATCATCCATTCCCATTTGATTAATTTCTCCAGTAATAGATATTACAGTCTGTAGCTTTTAGTAGCAGTGAATATCAATACTACAATTTTGCTACGAAGCCTTTTCTTGCATCAACTGTGACTCTGTCAAAGAACTGAATAAAAATGAAAAAGGTAAGTAGTACATGAATATAATTTAATAGAGTCTGTTGGAAGAGTCACCTGAGATCCATCTCAACTTCTGAGAGAGGCAGTGCAGGCTGATGTGATAGCACTGACTTCAGCGTCAGCATCCCAGAGTTCTACCCTGGGGTTTTTACCAACTAGTTTTGTGACCCTAAGCCAATGACCTCTCCTTTCAAGACTCGAGGTTCTACATTTGGGAAATAAGAGAGCTTGATCTCCAAACCCTAACACTCTATAAATTTGAGAATATTATGTTTTGACAGTATGTGATCTGGTAATTCTAAGAAAATACAACTTTTAAAAAAATATAAGGCACTATCATTTGTATCATCTGTATGCTTGAACATTCTAATCTGAAAATCCTTCTTAAAAGTCTACTGCATAATTGCATACATTATAGAGGAAAAAGAAGACCCTTCAGAGAAGATTACTTAGCAGAATATAGTAGAGGAATATATATGTATGCACATATATAATACAGATATACATATGCATATATACATATGTAATGCATTTCTAGTACAGAATAAATGATAAATATCATGAGACAAGTAGAAATAAAATGCTTTGGAAATACAAGGAAGTCATTGCTTTCAACTAGTAAGGTGGTTAAGAACTTTATGAAAAAGGTATTTGAACTGGATCTTGAAAGTTTTTATATCTGGCAAAAAATGGAGAAGGTAGAGGGAACTGGGTAAATAGAAGATGAGTGGTGGGAAACTGAGGCCTACCCTGCAGGTGCAGTTTAGTGTACTGAAATTATTACAATGGTAAGAAACTGGAGGCAAGGAGATTAGTTATTTTTTTATAAAAAGCAGCAGGTTTTGCTCTGCAGATTTTAACTCATCTTCCCTACAGAGCATACTCAATTATTCTTTATTTGTATATATTTCTCCATATTACTTAAAATGAACTCTGCTTGAGATACATACATTCATTATTATATAAATAAACCTGAATTTTTTCCATTTATTCTTTCAACAACAAAAATTTCATGGGTAAAATGAGATAAATACATGAATGCAACTTGAAAAGCAGAAATGCTTTATAGAAACAATGTATAATGATCTATTTTCTATCACAAAAATTGTCTTTCTACATTGTCACGTGGAGTGTTACTTAGTCAGGTGTGTAGTTGAAAATGATTTACAGTTGTTCATATTTTTAAATTTGTTAGCCCTCTTAGTTTAATCAATACCTAGTTGCAGAGATTTTTTTGAAGAACTTTGTAACCTAGGATTCCTGGTCCTTCTGCCTCCTAGCATAGAAAAAAAAGTCTTCACCAGAAGTGAAGCAGGCCACCCAAGATATTAGAGGAAAGCAACCATTTGACTGAAGTTTAAGCAATATTCTACACATGATTAATTACACTTTGTCTTGGAGTCTATCAGACCTAGATGTCAAGGAGATCTTCTCTCTTCCCATTATTCCTATTCCCACAGACCTTTTGGAGAAATATCATTCTATACTATTCACTAGGAATGAGCCTATCCTAAGGCATGTTCACTTTTACCCTACTCTTTTTATTTATTTTTTATTGATCCATAATTATTGTATATATTTAAGGGTACATGTGATAGTTTGATTTTTTTCTGTTTTTTTTTAATGTAAATTTAAGGGGTAGACATGCAGTTTTGTTATATGGATATATTGCGTAGTGGTGAAGCCTGGGTTTTTAGTGAAACCATTACCTGAATAGTGTACATTGTACCTATTAAGTAATTTCTCATCCCCTACTGCCTCCCCACCCTCTCACCCCTCTGGGTTTCCAACCTCTATTATTTTATAGTCTAAAAGTGAATTAATATTGCTTTCTTTACTCTGGTTGCTAAGTCAAAGGTTTTTGTAGGAGAATATGAAAAATGTCATTTTCTCAGATGCCAACAATGTTTGCTATAAGTGTATGTGTATAAGTGTGTGTAGGTGAGGTAGAGGCCTTCTTGGATCACCTCTTTCCTTCCAGCTAACTCCATAACCTTACGTCTGTTTTTCAAACCGTCCAACTTCAAAATTCTGAACAAGTTTATTTGGATGAAAAAGCAGTACATTCAGCACAAAAGGAAACAAAAGGATTTGGAGAGAGGTGGTTATCTATAAAGAATGGATATTAATTTCAGGACCCCAAAGCCATTTGATGCTACAAAGCACAGACATTGAAAGATCAGAATCTTCCAGAAGAAGCCACTTTAGTGGTTTTCATTTTTGACTTGTGTGAACACCCTAACTTTCAAGAGTGAATGCTCTAAACCTTGAATGTCTCTAAGTGTTTGGAAGCTCACAAGCTTACAGTCAGGATGGTCTGAATTTAGGTCGGAGCCTCTTTTTGAGAAAAAATACATCTTCTACATCTCCTCTGTGCTGTTTTGCCAGAACTTAGAACTGTTAAAGTGCCCAGAATTTTAAGTGACAGATATTACAGAGCGGTTTCTGAGAAGCTCAGATATCTTCTTTAAAATTGCTGGCTCCTCTAGCATAGATGGTGTTCATTGTACTGAGATGAGTACTCACTGCTCTATGGATTTATTGGAAGAGTTCCGGAGTGCTACATTAGTAACACTTTAGAAATGGTTCAATTCCAGTTCAGTGTTCTTCTCAGGTACCTGTGGCATTTTTTAAAGGACTTAGCCACAGAAACAGGTACTCACTGAATGTCAGCTAAGTGAAAAGCATTGATCCAAACATTGAGGTAGAGTGATCCAAGATGAACTTGAGATGTGGTCTCCTTGCCAGGAATGTATACTCTGAGTAAGATGATGAGGCAGCGATATCTGAGAGAATATCTGTAATTCCAGTAATACATGCTTAATATCTAGATAAATACTAAGCATGTGTTCTATTAGCACTCTGAGGAGATAAAAATAATACTCCATAAAGCTGAAGAAGGCTTCAAAGAGAAAGAGAAGTCCAAGATGAGCATTGTAGCATTTGTAAAGGCCATGGATAGAAAGGTGAGTGATTTTGATGGAGGGTAATTGTGACAAGCATTCTCTAACATGGCCCTCACCGATCCCCACCTTCTGGTACTCATGCTGTCATGTTATACCTTCCCCTTAAGTGTGGGCAGGACTTATTGGCTTGCTTCTATTTAATAGAATATGGCAGATGTGATGGTATATCACTTCCAAGATTAGGCTGCAGAACCACTGTGGTTTCCACCCTGGAGATGCCCACTCTTGCTTCTCTGTCTCTCTCTTTCAAAAACCTTGCTCTAGGAAAAGTTACCTTTTTATTGTGAGAAGGCCCACACAGCAAGAAACTTATATCTGCAGACAATACTCAGTGAGTCCCTAAAGCCTGCTAACAGCTACAGAAGTGAACTTGAAGCAGATCTGCTCTCAGTTGAGCCATGAGATGACTGCAGCCTGGCCAACACCTGGATTACAGCCTTCCAAGAGACACTGAGCCAAAGGTGCCCAGCTAAGCTACGCTCAGATTCCTGGCCCACAGAAAGCAATCTAATAAACATTCACTGTTTTAAGTTCTAAGCTTTGGGATAATTTATTACACAGGAATCGACAAAAAATACAGGATTGGGCTTGTAATAGTTTAAACCAAGGCTCAGAAGTTTAAGAAAAAATAAGACAAATCTCTGTAACTAGTCTTGGCACAGTGAGAATAACAGTTTTTTGTTTTCTTTGGCTTTTTCTTATTTTTTTCTTTTCTTTTCTTTTTTTTTTTTTGTTTTAAAGTGGGTAAGTCCATGTAAGAGAATAACACAAAGCAGAGATAATTTTCTTTGTCCTAAGGACTAACATAAGAAAATAAATTGTCAACTTAAGCAGTTCAAAGGTTGCAAATTTGAATAAGTAAATACCAATTTTGTGAGCACCTAGAAAAGGAATAAAATCAAATTTGCAAATACTGGGGCCCTGGGTACAGGAAGATTGGAAGGCACAGAAAAGTTTTACTATTTTTAATGCAGCTTTGTTTATTTGTGTTCATTAAAGAAAAACTTAATTTTCTTCTCTTTATCTAAAAAAATAGTAAACCATATTTTGTTTCATATTGATTATGTTTTTGCTAGCGCTCACAAATGAACAGAAAAATGAAATGCTTGACATTTTCCTCTTCAGTGCTGTTGCTTAAAGGAATTAAACAACCAGGCCCAGGACAAGAATAAAATAAAAAAGAAGGCTTTTGTACTAAGCTGACTTAACCTGTTGAGTAAAATTTCTTAGGCAGTCAAGAACTCTCTAGTACACGCCCAGCACCAAAGCCCAAGATGCAGATTATATCTGCTTGATAAAACATAACTTCAACAAAGGTGATTCCATTAAAATTCCTGGTATATTTGCCAAAGTTTAGGCTCTGCCATTCCTGGGAGAAATCAAGGACAGGCAGGTATTTACTAAATCCTATCTTTGTGTCTTACTGCTGATGGTGTCACGTTTTCCTAACTTCAGTTACAGCACATTGATTTTTATGTTTTAAACTATCTAATCCTCACAGATAGAACAGCATGACAGAAATTCAATTACATTTCAAATTGATGATATACTTTGGGCCAAAGCGATAGAACCATATCTTGGTTGTCTCAGAAGCAGCACATCACTAGGAATACTGAAGAGTTAAGAAAGTTTCCTCCATGTTGAAAGAATATGTCCCACTAGTTTAGAGGTACCTTGGCCCTATTTATGTTTCAGACTGGAACAAGAGTGGTTTATATTTTAGTGCATCCAGAACTGCTGTTGTAATTATTAAAAAAAAGTTTAGCTCATTTATCACCAAATATATGCTCCACTAATGGACCCACTTATTGCTAAAATTTAGAAACTAGTAAAGCATAACTTTGACTCTTCCTCCCTACTAATGTTAAATATCATTCCCACCTGGTGCCCTGGGACACGTTATTCTCCGTTCTACCTCCAATCCTAGGTACGTATCTTTCTTTCAGTCCCCAGGTAAAGCAAATAGCCCAAAGGTAAATAAAATATTGTTAAAATGCAATATTCCCTTTTCTTCATTTTTTCCCTTAAAACTGAGTTCTTCAATCCTTAACCATAAATACTATATATTTCCTGCAAACTAGAACACACTGTGGATATTCAGAGTAGTTATTGGGTTAAAATTGCATATATACAATGTCTATCTCTATATGACAGGTATGCCTTATAATCACTACTCACCTCATCCTATATCATCCTTGAGAATGAACAAAAAGAATAAAAAGTCCCTACCCTTATATTTATATACCTATTGTCACCATGGCTCTTCAGTAATGGTAATTCCCTTCTCATTACTGTAATGAGACCCATAATATAATAGAAAGTTAGAGTTTTGAGGTTTTGCTGTCCAATACCTTCCTTCAAAAAAGGTCAAGTAATCTTTCTAAGGTTACGGAGAAAAAATCCGAGATATCTGGCTCCCAGTCTAGGGCTCATTTAGTTACATCATTTTCCATTACAAAATATTTAGCAGTTAACTAATTTAGAATTCATGAAAATTTCAGGATACATATTATTCCATTAACAACTCTCAGCCTGATTTCCCTCAGGCTACTTAGTAAATGAAAATACTTGCCAGTTTTCTCATTTATTCATGCATTGATGCCACAAATATTCATTAAGCCACAATCTATGGAAAAAATTATGTTTGTGATACAGGAATGAGTAAAGCATATCCCCCTGTCCTATATATCTTTCATGGTAAATAAAATGGTTGCTTCATTTAATCTTTTTGCCACCAGCTTTTTAAGCTACTCAAACAAGAACAAGCCAAACAACTAAACAAAGGACTTTTAGAAGTTCCCAGAACATTATTTTTCTTAATCCATTTGAAGTGGCTTCTTCTTGTTAGAGTAGCTAATATCGTACTAACCAAGAGGCACTATGAGGGAGGCATAAAAATATAAACAGCTATGTTCAGGCCTCAGAGAAACATAAAAAGCTAAAACTTGAGGGGTAACATTCTAGAGAGAATAAAAACACATTAAGGCGATCCATGCATTCTTAGTAAATGTTTCCCTCAAGGCATTTTCCAGTTAACTGTGTGGTATATACGGAGGCTTAAAAAGATGCTACATTATGTGTCATTATCACTGATATTTGAGATTGTGTCAATAGTATCAAGTAAGAAGAAGATAAAGGGTGAGAACTGAAAAAAAAATCAGTAAAAGCTGAGAACCTCCCAAATTTAACAAAAGACATAAACATATATTCCAGAACCTAAGAGAATCTCCATAAAGGCTACTGTATGCTTCCAGCCCTGGCTCCCACAACTGTACGTGCACACACACTTTTAGTTTAACTCTGGAGCTGCCCATACGCATGCAAACAGCCTAACCCCTGTCACCAGCCCAGATGGCCTCTGTAATGGTGTACGTGCAAGCTGACAGCCCCCGATGTCATATTTGCACCCATAGTCAGGCCCAACCCCTGCCTTTGACCTCAGTCTTCATCACCATATGCGAGCCTATAGCTGGCTTCTGCTGCTATGTATGTGCCTACAGATGACTACTGGAGTGAAGCATGTGCACGCAACTGGCTCTGGCTTCCACTGTAACTAGACCTGGCCCCTATCACTAGGCAAAGAAACATAGCTGATAACCCCCCTAACAAACCTCCCAACCTCTGCAGCCCTCCCACAGCTCCTACGACCAAGGTCCATGCAGGTACTAACATCAGAGACCCCAGTTGCTGAAGTTGACAAAACTCAGTGCCCCACCCCCAGAACTGGAGCCACTGTGCACACCCATACTTGGTGCCTCACACAAGTAGAAACAGTACCACAGCATTCCCCAGTATGTCTCTCCTCCACTACTTCTCAGGTGAAGGTCTTTCCTAACCAGAGTCAGTCCACAAAGTCTGGAAGAAGCGACTGCTTCTTCATATTCACAGACATTTGCATAAAAATACAAGGATCATGAAGAATCAGGAAAACATGACACCACCAAAAAGCACAATAAACTTTTAGTAACTGATTCTAAAGATTTGGGAATACACAAATTGCCTGACAAAGAATTCAAAATAATTATTCTAAAGAAGTTTAGAAAATTATAAGATAATACAGATTAAAAAAGTAATGTAGTCAGAAAAACAATAAAAGAAAAAAATAAAAAGCTAAACAGAGATTGAAAAAATTACAAAATAAAAGTTTTGAGGCTGAAGAATACAATGACTAAACTTAAAAAAATGCAACAGCAAGCTTCAACAGGAGACTAGATCAAGTAGAAAAAGGATTAGTGAACTTCATTTGAAATCATTCATAGAAGAAAAAAATAAAAAAGAATGAAGAAAGCCCATGAGATCTATGGAACAACATAAAGAGAGCCAATTTTCGCATACTAGGAATTATAGAAGCAGAAGACAAAAAGAAAAGAATAGAAAAATTATTTAAAGAAACAATGGTTGAAACCTTCTTAAATCTAAGAAAAGATACATTCAGGTACACAAAGTTTGGAGGTCTCCAATCAAATTCAGAACAAAGAAGAGTTTACCAACACAAATTATTATGAAATTAACAAATGTTAAAGACAAATAATTCAAAGAAGCAAGAGAAAAGAAGCATACTACATACAAGGGAGACTCAATATGGCTATCAGCAGATTTCTCAGCAGAAATCTGGCAGGCCAGAAGAGACTGGGATGATTTACTTAAAGTGCTGAAAGAAAAAGAAAAAAACTGACAACCAAGTGTACTTTACCTGGAAAAGCTGCCATTCAAAAATAAAAGTGAAATAACGACTTTCCAAGACAAACAAAAGCTGAGGGAGTTCATCACCACTAGATCTGTCTTAGAAAAAATGCTATAGGTAGCTTTTTAAGTTGAAAGAAAAGTATGCTAATTAGTAACATAAAAGTGTAAAAATCACTGCCAAAAGTAAGCACATAGCAAAACTTAGAATATTCTAGTACTATTATTATGCTCTACCAATCAATTGTATCTCCAGTATGGAGGTGAAAAGACAAATCTATTAAAAGCAACTATAAGTACAATAATTTATTAAGGAATACACTTTATACAATGACTTAAAGTGTGGCAGCAAAAACATAAAATGATGAAAGGGGAGTAACAATGTAGTTTTTATGCAATCAAAGTTAGTTGTTATAAGCTTAAAATAGCCTGCTTTGAGTAAAAAAAAATGTTTTATGTAAGTTTCATGGTTATCACAAAGCAAGGACCTATTGTAGATACACAAAAGATGGAAAGAAAGGAATAAAAATATACTACTACAGAAAATCGTAAAACCGCAAAGGAAGACAGCAAGAGAGGAAGAAACAAGAATCTACAAAATAGCCAGAAAAGAATTAAATGCCAGAAGTAAGTCCTTACCTATCAATAATTAACTTGAATGTAAATGGATTATATTCTTCAGTCAAAAGACATGAAGTAGCTGAAAAGATTTAAAAAAACTAACACCCAAGTCTATACTGCCTACAAGAGATTCATTTCACTTTCAATGACACATATATACTAAATATGAAGGGAAAGAGAAAGATATTCCATACAAATAGAAATCTAGAGAGAGCAGAGGTAGCTATACTTATACCAGACAAAATAGACTTTAAGTGAAAAAATGCAAACAGAGACAAAGAAAGTAATTACATAATGATAAAGAGGTCAATTCATCAAGGGGATATAACAATTGTAAATGTGTATGTACCCAATATCAGAGCTTCTAAATATATAAAGCAAATAATGAAAGATCTAAAGGGAGAGATAGGCACAGGAAGACAAATACTGCATAATCTCACTCATATGTAGAATCTAAAGAAGTTAATCTTTTAAATGGGCTAAATGCTCCAATTAAAAGACACAGACTCGCAAATTGGATAAAGAGTCAAGACCCATCAGTGTGCTGTATTCAGGAAACCCACCTCACGTGCAGAGACACACATAGGCTCAAAATAAAGGGATGGAGGAAGATCTGCCAAGCAAATGGAAAACATAAAAAGGTAGGGGTTGCAATCCTAGTCTCTGATAAAACAGACTTTAAACCAACAAAGATCAAAAGAGACAAAGAAGGCCATTACATAATGGTAAAGGGATCAATTCAACAAGAAGAGCTAACTATCCTAAATATATAAGCACCCAATACAGGAGCACCCAGATTGGTGACCTACAAAGAGACGTAGACTTCCACACAATAATGATGGGAGATTTTAACACCCCACTGTCAACATTAGACAGATCAATGAGACGGAAAGTTAACAAGGATATCCAGGAATTGAACTCAGCTCTGCACCAAGCGGACCTAATAGACATCTACAGAACTCTCCACCCCAAATCAACAGAATATACATTCTTTTCAGCACCACACCACACTTATTCCAAAATTGACAACATAGTTGGAAGTAAAGCTCTCCTCAGCAAATGTAAAAGAACAGAAATTATAACAAACTGTCTCGTCTCTCAGACCACAGTGCGATCAAACTAGAACTCAGGATTAAGAAACTCACTCAAAACCGCTCAACTACATGGAAACTGAACAACCTGCTCCTGAATGACTACTGGGTACATAAGGAAATGAAGGCAGAAATAAAGATGTTCTTTGAAACCAATGAGAACAAAGACACAACATACCAGAATCTCTGGGACACATTCAAGCAGTGTGTAGAGGGAAATTTATAGCACTAAATGCCCACAAGAGAAAGCAGGAAAGATCTAAAATGGACACCCTAACATCACAATTAAAAGAACTAGAGAAGCAAGAGCAAACACATTCAAAAGCTAGCAGAAGGCAAGGAATAACTAAGATCAGAGCAGAACTGAAGGAAATAGAGACACAAAAATCCCTTCAAAAAATCAATGAATCCAGGAGCTGGTTTTTTGAAAAGATCAACAAAATTGATAGACCGCTAGCAAGACTAATGAAGAAAAGAGAGAAGAATCAAATAGACGCAATAAAAAATGACAAAGGGGCTATCACCACCGATCCCACAGAAATACAGACTACCATCAGAGAATACTACAAACACCTCTATGCAAATAAACTAGAAAATCTAGAAGAAATGGATAAATTCCTCAACACATAAACTCTCCCAAGACTAAACCAGGAAGAAGTTGAATCTCTGAATAGACCAATAACAGGCTCTGAAATTGAGGCAATAATTAATAGCTTACCAACCAAAAAAAGTCCAGGACCAGATGTATTCACAGTCGAATTCTACCAGAGGTACAAGGAGGAGCTGGTACCATTCCTTCTGAAACTATTCCAATCAATAGAAAAAGAGGGAATCCTCCCTAACTCATTTTATGAGGCCAGCATCATCCTGATACCAAAGCCGGGCAGAGACAAAACAAAAAAAGAGAATTTTAGACCAATACCCTTGATGAACATTGATGCAAAAATCCTCAATAAAATACTGGCAAACCGAATCCAGCAGCACATCAAAAAGCTTATCCACCATGATCAAGTGGGCTTCATCCCTGGGATGCAAGGCTGGCTCAACACACGAAAATCAATAAATGTAATCCAGCATATAAACGGAACCAAAGACAAAAACCACATGATTATCTCAATAGATGCAGAAAAGGCCTTTGACAAAATTCAACAACCCTTCATGCTAAAAACTCCCAATAAATTAGGTATTGATGGGACGTATCTCAAAATAATAAGAGCTATCTATGACAAACCCACAGCCAATATCATACTGAATGGACAAAAACTGGAAGCATTCCCTTTGAAAACTGGCACAAGACAGGGATGCCCTCTCTCATCACTCCTATTCAACTTAGTGTTGGAAGTTCTGGCCAGGGCAATCAGGCAGGAGAAGGAAATAAAGGGCATTAAATTAGGAAAAGAGGAAGTCAAATTGTCCCTGTTTGCAGATGACATGATTGTATATCTAGAAAACCCCACTGTCTCAGCCCAAAATCTCCTCAGGCTGATAAGCAACTTCCGCAAAGTGTCAGGATACAAAATTGATGTGCAAAAATCACAAGCATTCTTATACACCAATAATAGACAAACAGAGAGCCAAATCATGAGTGAACTCCCATTCACAATTGCTTCAAAGAGAATAAAATACCTAGGGATGCAACTTACAAGGGATTGAAGGACCTCTTCAAGGAGAACTACAAACCACTGCTCAATGAAATAAAAGAGGATACAAACAAATGGAAGGACATTCCATGCTCATGGGTAGGAAGAATTAATATCGTGAAAATGGCCATACTGTCCAAGGTAATTTATAGATTCAATGCCATCCCCATCAAGCTACCAATGACTTTCTTCACAGAATTGGAAAAAACTACTTTAAAGTTCATATGGAACCAAAAAAGAGCCTGCGTTGCCAAGTCAATCCTAAGCCAAAGAACAAAGCTGGAGGCATCATGCTACCTGACTTCAAACTATACTACAAGGCTACAGTAACCAAAACAGCATGGTACTGGTACCAAAACAGAGATATAGATCAATGGAACAGAACAGAGCCCTCAGAAATAATGCCGCATATCTACAACCATCTGATCTTTGACAAACGTGAGAAAAACAAGCAATGGGGAAAGGATTCCCTATTTAATAAATGGTGCTGGGAAAACTGGCTAGCCATATGCAGAAAGCTGAAACTGGATCCCTTCCTTACACCTTATAGAAAAATTAATTCAAGATGGATTAAAGACTTACTTGTTAGACCTAAAACCATAAAAACCCTAGAAGAAAACCTAGGCAATGCCATTCAGGACATAGGCATGGGCAAGTACTTCATGTCTAAAACACCAAAATCAATGGCAACAAAAGCCAAAATTGACAAATGGGATCTAATTAAACTAAAGAGCTTCTGCACAGCAAAAGAAACTACCATCAGAGTGAACAGGCAACCTACAGAATGGGAGAACATTTTTGCAACCTACTCATCTGACAAAGGGCTAATATCCAGAATCTACAATGAACTCAAACAAATTTACAAGAAAAAAACAAACAACCCCATCAAAAAGTGGGCGAAGGACATGAACAGACACTTCTCAAAAGAAGACATTTATGCAGCCAAAAAACACATGAAAAAATGCTCATCATCACTGGCCATCAGAGAAATGCAAATCAAAACCACAACGAGATACCATCTCACACCAGTTAGAATGGTGATCATTAAAAAGTCAGGAAAAAACAGGTGCTGGAGAGGATGTGGAGAAATAGGAACACTTTTACACTGTTGGTGGGACTGTAAACTAGTTCAACCATTGTGGAAGTCGGTGTGGTGATTCCTTAGGGATGTAGAACTAGAAATACCATTTGACCCAGCCATCCCATTACTGGGTATATACCCAAAGGACTATAAATCATGCTGCTATAAAGACACATGCATGCATATGTTTATTGTGGCACTATTCACAATAGGAAGGACTTGGAACCAACCCAAATATCCAACAATGATAGACTGCATTAAGAAAATGTGGCACATATACACCATGGAATACTATGCAGCCATAAAAAATGATGAGTTCATGTCCCTTGTAGGGACATGGATGAAGCTGGAAACCATCATTCTCAGCAAACTATTGCAAGGACAAAAAACCAAACACCACATGTTCTCACTCATAGGTGGGAATTGAACAATGAGAACACATGGACACAGGAAGGGGAACATAACACACTGTTCTGTTGTGGGGTGGGGGGAGGGGGGAGGGATAGCATTAGGAGATATACCTAATGCTAAATGGCAAGTTAATGGGTGCAGCAAACAAACATGGCACATGTATGCATATGTAACAAATCTGCATGTTGTGCACATGTACCCTAACACTTAAAGTATAATAATAATAAAATAATAATAATAATAATAATAAACCACAAAGAGATACCATCTCACGCCAGTCAGAATGACGATTATTAAAAAGTCAAGAAAAAACACATGCTGATGAGGTTGCAGAGAAATAGGAATGCTTGTACACTGTTGGTGGGAATGTAAATTACTTCAACCATTGTGGAAGACAATGTGGCAATTCCTCAAAGATTTAGAACTGGAAATACCATTTGACCCAGCAATCCCACTACTGGGTATATACGCAAAGGAATATAAATCATTCTATTATAAAGATACATGCATGTGTATGTTCATTGCAGCACTATTCACAATCGCAAAGACATGTAATCAACCGAAATGCCCATCAATGATAGACTAGATAAAGAAAAGGTGGTACATAGACACCATGGAATACTATGCATCCATAAGAAGGAACGAGATCACGTCCTTTGCAGGGACATAGATGAAGCTGGAAGCCATTATCCTCAGCAAACTAACACAGGAACAGAAAACCAAAGACCCCTTGTTCTCACTTTTAAGCGGGAGCTGAACAATGAGAACACATGCACACAGGGAGGGGAACAATACTTACTGGGGCCTGTTGGGGAGGGTGGGGGAGAGGAGAGCATTAGGGAAAAGAGCTAATGCATATTGGGCTTAATACCTAGGTGATGGGTTGGTAGGTGCCACAAATCACCATGGCACGCGTTTACCTATGTAACAAACTTGCACATCCTGCATATGTACCCCAGAACTTAAAAAAAACAGAATTACATGTAAGACCTGAAACTGTAAAACTCCTAGAAGAAAACATACGGGATGGCCAAGCACAGTAAAATGGTGAACTGACTCATGCCTGTAATCTCAACAATTTGAAAGGCTGAGGTGGGCAGGTTGCTTGAGCCCAGGAGATTGAGACCAGCTTGGGCAACATGGCAAAATCCTGCCTCAATTTAAAAAAAAAAATATATATATATAGAAAAAATTAGCTGGGCATGGTGGTGCATGGCTATAGTCTCAGCTACTTGGGAGGTTGAGGTGGGAGATCACCTGAGTCTGGAGAGGTCAAGGCTGCATTGAGCTGTGATCGTGCCACTGCACTTCAGTCTGGGAGACAGAGTGACACTCTGTCTCAAAAATAAAAATAAAATAAGAAAACATAGAGGAAAAGCTCCACAGCACTGGTCTTGGCAATGATTTCTTGGATGTGACCCCAGAATCACAAGCAACAAAAGCAAAAATAGGTAAGTTGGGACTACATCAAACTAAAAAGCTTCTTGATAGCCAAGGGTATAATTAAAAGAGTGAAAAGACAACCTATGAAATGGAAGAAAATATTTGCAAAGCGTGTATCTAGTAAGGGGTTAATATCCAAATTATATAAGGAACTCCTACAACTTAATAGCAATAAAACAGCCTAGTGTTAAAATGGGCAAAGGACTTTAACAGACATTTCTCAAAAGAAGACATATGTAATGGCCAACAGGTATATGAAAAGATGCTGAACATCATTTATCATCAGAGATACACAAATCAAAGCCACAATGATGTAACACCTCGCACTTGCTAGGATGACCACTATCAAAACAACAGAAAATAACAAGTGCTAGTGAGAGTGTGGAGAAAATTGAAACCCTAGTGATGAGAATGTAAAATTGTGCAGCTTATATGGCAAACAGCATAAAGGTTCTTCAAAATACTGAAAATAGAACTTCTATATATTCCAGTGATTGCACTTTTGCATATAGATCCAAAAGAATTAACATTAGTATCTTGAAGAAATATTTGCACTTTCATGTTCTTTGTAGCGCTAGTTACAATAGCTAAGATATGGAAGCATCTTATGTTCATCAATGAATGTATAAAGCCAATGTGGGCTGGGCACAGTGGCTCACGACTGTAAATCCCAGCACTTTGGGAGGCCAAGGCGGACGGATCACCTGACGTCAAGAGTTCGAGACCAGCCTGACCAACATGGAGAAACCCCGTCTCTACTAAAAATACAAAATTAGCCTGGCGTGGTGGCACATGCCTGTAATCCCAGCTACTTGGGAGGCTGAGACAGGAGAATCGCTTGAACCTGGTAGGCGGAGGTTGCAGTGAGCTGAGATCGCACCATTGCACTCCAGCCTGAGCAACGAGAGTAAAACTCCATCTCAAAAAGACAAAAAAAAAAAAGTCAATGTGGCATATACATACAATGAAATATTATTCAGCCTTTAAAAAGAAGGAAGCTCTGTTACATGCTGCAACATGGATGGACCTTGAAGACATCATCCTACATGAAATAAACCAATCACAGAAGGACAAATACCACGATTCCACTTTTATGAGGCATCTAATTTAATCAAACTCATAGAAGCAAAAAAAAAAAAAAAAAAAAAAAAAAAACCATAAAACAACAAAAACAGAAAGTAGAATGGCCTTCCAGGGACTAGGGGAAGGGAGAAATGGAAAACTGCTGTTTAATGGTATAGAATTTTAGTCATAGAAAACAAAAACGTTTTAGTGGTCTGCTGTACAATACTGTGCTGACAGTTAACAATACTGTACTGCACACTTAAACATTTGTTGAGGGTAGAGCTCATGCTGTGTGGTTTTTTTTTTTTACCACAATAGAAAAAAAAGCAGATGTCACTTATTAAACCATCCTAAGGCCTAAAGAGTTATTGCCAAAATTTTTTTATTGAACACCTACAGTATATTAAAGCCCATCAAAGAGATTTGCGGAGTTTTTCTACTCATTTAAAAGAGTGTTTGAATATCTCTGGGTTGGTTGTAAATTAATTTTTTAATTTAAAAAAATTGTAACCCCTAAACTGTGATCAAAGTAATCATTTTTCTAACCATAGCATATTTTAGAGTCTAATTCACCCGTCAATCTGAATTTATGCCTTCAAGATTTTAGGAGATAATCTGCAAAAGCATCTTGTTATTGCCACATGTGAAAGAGGATTATTACTTCCCAAGAGATGCTTAAAACATTTTTGGCTTCACTAAGTGGAATTTATATCTTTGGAATCTGGAATCTCCATTGCTCTTAATTGAAAACTCCAGTTTATTAAAATGGTTTTAAATGCTAAATCCCAAACATGGTTAGTCCTGGTAAATTCATTTCCTGAGAATATAAGATTAAAGAATTTTCTCCCTCTTTTCCACTTAAATCTCAATTTATTTGGTTTTGGCTGTAATGGTTTGAAATAATAGGCATTTCATTGACTTTGCTGTTAATTTATTCCAATCTCTAAGATCCTTAACTTCTGACATTATATCACATTGTCCTATTCAGTTGGAAATGATTTTTTTGGAAATGCTCTAAACAAGGTGAGCCTGTATCAAAGAAGTAAGTAAAAAAATAGAGTTGAGTATTGATTGAGATAACTACTTCATGTCCATTAGGAAAAATTCACCTTTGGATGATTCTCTGAATTTCTGAATTTGTATCTCTTATAGAGCTAAATACATTTCTTATCCTTGAATGAATTATAATAGTAACTCATATATATGGTTAAAATTTTTTGTGACTATTTTAGTCAGGTTCCAATGAGGAAAGTTAAAGTACAAGAAGAGATTAGACAAGAGAAATAGAAAGAAAAGAAACAAGATTAGATCATAAGACAATTCTACACTCAACTAATGAATATGCAAGTAGATGTTGACTTTTTAGTTTATGTATGTTTTTATATCTAACTGGATCTAACTTATTCTAATATAATATAATAAGATATAATTGTACCTATAGCAAGACCTTTGAAATTATAGTTATTCTCAAATGCTAGTGTATGAATTAACATTTTGTCGATCCATGGTGAAGTTTTAAAAAAGTTAACATACAGCATTTGTTATTGATAACAGTCCGAGTTAGACAATTGGGGAAGCTGAAGCCCACTGACATCGATTTATGTGCCCAAAGTATGCAGCCACCAATTTATGTGACCAAAGTATGCAGCCACCAATTTATGTGACCAAAGTATGTAGCCAGTGAGTTAAGTCTGTTGATTCCTAGATTCCTACAGATTTTTGATACTTGCATTGCTGTCAAAAAGTTACAAGTATAGCCCATTTGCTTGAGTAATTGTTATTAATGATAGCAGTATATTGCCTGGCAATGGAAGAATAATGGAAACTATTTTCTGAAAGTATAATTACTTCTTTCAAAAAGATGCATATGTCATTTACTACAAAGATTCAAGGCATATTGATTGAATTGTATAAGCTTGAAATATGATTAATCAGAAAGCATTAAAAATTAATCTATAGAAATTAGTGGGGGAGAGTTTGTACAAACCCAAGGAACTCCATTTTGTCTGTGCTTTAAACATTTTTGCAGATTGAATTGTGAGTTTATGTTGATTAATTGGCAAACCACAAATTCTTCCTATAGGAAAGGCTGTGTACCACCCATGCTGATTTTTGAAATGCTAACAGGTCAGTCCTACACTTCATTTTGGATAATAGAAGGTTAAGAAAGTCAATTAACAGTACCACTCACAGGAAAAGCAGGCAGCAAGGTTGACTAGCTGTGAGAGGGCCAAAATTATTCAAATGGAATGTATTTAACAGCATTTTTGGCTAAGGAAGAAAAAGGTAATGCCAATTTTTTAAATAATTATATAAATTGGCAGAGAGCACTACCACGCCCCGCTAGGCAAACAGTACAGAGAATTCAATATTCCCAGGTGTTCCCAATTGCAGCCTTTTAAAATTGGGCTTTTTTTTTTTTGTTCTATTGATAATAGCAGCCTATGACTAGTAGTTGACCTTCAGTACACCTTCTCCTGGACCTTCTTACTGGGGCGGGGGTGGAGGATATGTTCTCACAAACACCCGTGTTGTGCATAGTATTGATGGTAATTTCACTGATAGAATACTATAATTGGAGAAGGAAGAAAGCCTAACAGATGCATACACGTGACTGCTCTAGGGGCCAGAAGTTCTCAGAAGAGTCTTAGTGTAACTGAATAGATACAACCTTGCAATTGGAAATGTCAATTGGATAATGATGGACATGTTCATTCATTTCTAATAAACCAGAATTTAATAGCAAAGAGAGATTTCCTGCAAAATAGTGCTTTGAAATTAGATTGTTGATTTTAGGAACTCATTGGCATGGCATTTATCTAACTCTTTCACTTAATATGCTAGATAAAATAGCATCAAAATTTAGTGGATCCCACAATTAGATTGATTTTGACATAACCATGTCCAAGATTTTGTGGTAGCAGAACAAATTGTGTCTCTATTCATTTCTAGCCTGGCACAAAATAAAAACATATGCTACAAACAAAATTAATTTAAAGGAGAAAAACTTTTCTTTTGCTTGCATATATTGTGTGGTCTAAATTACACTTTGTAGAATAATGAATTTAAGCTACCTGTGACTCATTTTGAAATATGCAAAAGAAAACAGTGCCATGGATACTGCCAAAATCATCATTATTTTTAAGCAGTTACTTATTTGCATTTAAGGGATACTTTTAAAGGTTTTCTGTTTGTCTGTTTGTTTTTAATTTCAGTGTCATACACCTCATTGCTGTTTCCATTTTACACGTGGTTATGAACCGAATGGTTACAGTAATTACCAAAAGTCTGAGAAAAAAAGTCAAAGGTCTGGGAAAAATTGGTCCTAGGAACTGAACAGATTGTGTTTTCATTTTCTTATATATGTGGAAAAGTTGGCTACATAAAATAGCCAGAGTACACGAATGTTTTACTGTTAAAGAAAAAGAACAGCAGCAGGCTCTCTCTTTTCTCTCTTTTCTCCATCTCCATCTCACTCTGTCTCTCTTTTTACTTCTCTCTCTGTCTCTCTCTGTCACACACACACACACACATGCATATGAACACACACAGACTCTCATTACTCTTGATCACACTCATGGACCAATAACTTAAAAGAATGAATTTTATAATTCCGATATATATGTGGAATATTTATGAATTTATAATTCTGTTTCAAGTCATTTACTATTTTTCTTTGGTAATGGAAAACTAAACCAAAGTTCTTGGGTTTTTTAAAAATCAGTTTAGAAAATTAGTTCATATTATATAGTATACATTACCATGAAATACAAGGTAATCATATTTTTCCTTAATATTTCAAGTATATGTAAGTTTGATCCCATAGGATGCTGGTATCTTACATGTTACACTTTCCAAGTATGTTATCCAAATGTGATTTCTATGGAATTGCTTACTTTTGGTGGCTCACATGAATGAATGCTTATGGTAGATAACAATTTCCCTTCCAGTGAACAAAAATAACTACCGTTCGTAAATCAGATTGTCTAAGGCTTTACTTTATCTAGGGGTAGCATATTATCTGAATCCAATACCACTGCAAGAAAAATCTAAACTGTACTGTTTCTAAATTGTTAAGTGTGTCATAGTTATTTTAGACCATGCCCTGACTGTAATTTCAAAAGCATCAGACCTGTATGATGGCAAAGAATTATTTTGGAGGAAATATTTACAGTTTTAAAGAGATTTTGATAATCAACCTGTAAATGTGGATATTATTTCATAAAATGTACGCTATTTTAAGAGAAATGTCTCAAAAATTTTACCTGGTATGATTGTCAATAGGCCAAGTCATGCTTATGTTCTGAAATATTTTGTTTTTTCCCCATGTGAAGAAACAATAATGAGAAAATTAGATTGCCCAGATAAAACAATTTTGTTAGGAAATGTTGACTTTATGTTGGAAAAAAAATCATATAAATTCAGATTCTGGTAATTGTGGATTAACCCTTGTTGCAAATATTATCAACTGAGCTCAGAGAATCTTGATTTTTTAAATCGTACTTGGGATTATTATACTTAAGGCCAACATAGGTGAAAATGAGAAGAGATATATTGAAAACAGAAATGTCCTGGAGTGTTCCCTCTGAACTTGTCACTAATGTTTTGAAATATATAGCTTGATTCAGATAGCAAAATATTGGCAGGCAGGAAAAAAACAGTCACCCAAAGAAGTCATAGCAACTCAAGCCAGAGTTATAGGCAGGGAGGAGAAATGGAAAACTAGCCTTATGAATAATTAATATAGACAGCTCAAAATCAATATAGATTCAGGGATTGCTGTTGTTCTTACTAAAAATTAGCTGGTAGAAGTATAATATGTAGATATATTTTTAAAAGCAACTCTAGTTTTCTAACCACAGTTTTCATTTTTCCATTTTTCCCAAGCTCTATATTTCCATTTGTTTGAAACAGCTTTGGCACTGTTTCTGACAAGGTGTCTGTGAAGTGTGTGTGTGTGTGTGTGTGTGTGTGTGTGTGTTGTCTGTGTGTGGGGGGGGAGAGAGAGAATGTGTATGTGTGTTTGTGTGTGTGTGTGTGTGTGTGTGTGTGAGAGAGAGAGAGTGTGTGTGTGTGTGTGTATGTATGAGTGTTCTGTTTTGTCTCCGGAATCCCTCAGTGTGGGTTGGCAGCCACAGATCCAAATTATCTTTCAATGAAATGCTGCCAAGTAAATTGTGTTTACAGTCAGCCTTAACTTATGTTCGAAGCTTAGTATTACAGAACCTTCCAATACCTTCACATAGTTTTCAATATCAGTCTGCAATTACTTCATGCTATTCATTGATATAAAAGTTTGAAAGAAGTTCAATATCTTTTAATTAAAGTTATCAGAATCCCCTTGTATGTGATGGTAATCCTGGGAGTAACTCTCATCAGTGTTCCCCTGTATATGTTTAGAAGTTGATAATACAGGCTTGTGACTCACAAGAAAAGGAAGTCAAATACTGAGCTAAGTGCTGGCACCAACTGCAGTGGGTGATTTATGAAAGGAGTTTCATTTGTAGTTCTCAAAGGCCTGTTATGGCTTTTAACAAAGCAGTATATCCTTTCTTTTTTTTTTTTTTAGCTAGTTTGAGCTATGACATTAAATATTCTCTTTTAGGCCTCTAATCAGAAATAATCCTTCTTAGTTAAGTTGATATGACTGCATTGGTTGCTACAAACAAGGCCGACAATTTCCTCTGATCATATTTGAAATGTTACATAAACCGTGGGTTTGTCTTTTTTAATTTAGTAAATGAAGACAGGGATAAATCTATGGAGAATCAAAATGTGTCAGGTGGCAAAGAACAACTTGGGATTTTGCATGTATAAAATGACCTTTCAAATAATAATAGTGAATAAATTATGCTTCTCCTTTACATAGAAGGTATTTCTGGAAAGCATTTATTTTGTTGGAGAAAAAGTAAAAATTAAACATTTATTATATAAGAATTTGAATCTGGTTTTCTTATCACAATTGAGCATCAGGAGTCCTGAACTTGACAGATTCCATTTTTCTATGCGTATCCAAACCACATAACATAAGCAAACAGTGGCTGATTCAAAGTTTAGCCTTACACATTCAGAACAAAACTATTAGGTTGATGCAAACGTAATGACGGTCTTTGCCATTAAAACTAATTTAATGACATTTTGCCATTACTTTTAATGGCAAGGGCCACCATTAAGTTTGCACCAACCTTTATTTCTTTAGTTGCTTTAAATACTGCCTAAAATCCTACCATTAGCACAGTATTATGAAAGTATAACTAGGCTTCACAAGAACTGGATTTAGGTTCATATTTACAACTCCTGAGTCACATGCAAATTATGTAATCTCTCTAAACACTAAATTTCCTTATCTGTTGTTAGAATTAAAAGACAATATCTTATGTAATTATTTTCATGCAAAGAGTAAAATGCAACAAAAATTTGGCTATGTTATAATTATTATTTTGGGTTAAGGCATTTTAACTCATAGTTTAAAATCCTAGAAAAGGGGTTACATCTTACTATTACAAGTCATTAGCCATTGCTGCCATTATTAACTACTCATTTTGATACCAAGCACAAGACTTACATTATTACATTAAATCTATTTAATCCTCACCACATTTGCATGAGATAGTAATATTATTATTCCAATTTAAACATAAGGAAACCAAGACTTTGAAACATCTGACCAGATAGACACCTGCATTTGAATTTTAGCTTTATGATAGCTGTTTTACACTAAACGGTTGTTTAATTGTTCTCAACTTTAAAATATATTTATATGTTATCAATAGATAAGCATTACAAATTTTTAAAAGAATTGGAAATAATGATATATAGTGGTTTTTAAGAACTATAATACAATAATGGTAGTGGTAGCAGTAGCAGTGATCACTTGGATCAAGCCAGCCTTGCTGGCCCCTTCTCTATCCCCCTGACAGAGCATCTACAGCCACACTGTCCAATAGAACTTTCTGCAATGATTGGAATGTTCTATGTGGAATGTTCTATGTCTGTGCTGCCCAATACAACAACCATGAGCTACATGTTACTATTAAGCACTTGAAATACAGCCAGTGCCATTGAGAAATTTATAATTTTTAGTTAATTTCAATTATCATTTTAATAGCTACATGTACCTAGTGGCTATCAAATTGGATGAGGATCTAAGGATCACGAGATTCATTATTTCAGAAACAAATGAATAAAGCAACTCTTCATTTCCTAATAAAACATTTGAAAGGGCATGTATATATTACAGACACTTACAATAACTGATACATTATGTGTTTTTCTTTTATTTTATCTAGATAATTAAGATACTATACAATAATGAAAAGGATAGTGGACCAGAAGGAAAGTGCCTGGAAAGTCCTACTTCCAGACCTGGCACAAGGTAGCTGTATGATCTTGAGCAAGTACCTCACCTTCCCAGGCTTTACTTTTCCCTTCCTACTTCGCTAACTATACAAAGATCCTTTGATGAGCAAATTTTACAGGACTTAAACTAATTACATATGGATTAGTTTTCTTTTACACAATACTAATATACACTGTCTTTTTTTTTTCATTTCAACAAACAAAAAAAAAACCCACTACTTAATATTAAAAAAAATTTCTCAGTTTTGTTTCTGTTGACATCTGGAGTAATAACTTTAATATTCCAAGTTCCAAGTAGACTTACCATGCAGAGAGGCTTATCATTTTTGCCAAGCATTAACTCTATTAATACATGCATTATTTAACTGGACCTTATTCTTTTTTATCTCTGCAAATAGTTTATTTCTGATGCCCATTTATAATGTGTCCAAAGCAGTAAATCTCTATTAGGGTCCTTTCTGTACATTACTTACGTTATAATTTCACTGATATTATAAAGTACTCCTAAAAAAGTGGCCAAAGAATACAGGTAAATCCCATATAAAATCCTTCCTGACATACACAGCTCATCCTTAATAAGTAACTCATGTCTTGTCTGCATATTGACTCAATTATGCTATTTTGCCTGATTTTAGCTAAGACACATATTGTTTAATCTTCATTTTTGATGTTGCCTGTCTAATAGCAAACACAAAATAGGCATACTATTATTAAAAGGACTTTGCCACAATATATATTGTCCTAGAATATGTCACAAAATGTTGCCATTATTATAATCTCCCCATAGTTTGAAAATTATTACATAAAATAACATTTGAATAGCAGCCAACAGTTTACAAAACAGTTTTATCATTCCTTTGATTCTTCCCAACAATCCTTGATGTAGGTTTTGTTATTCCCATTTTAAAGATAATGAAATTATATATCAGAGTGGTTAACTCTTTTGCACAAGGCCACATTGTTAGCAATTTTTAAAAGATAAATTCAAACCTAAGTTCCTTTTTATACCAATATAAACTACTTCAGGAAAATGTATCAAGTATCTCAAATATCACAAGATATTTTAGTCGTGTATGACTTAAATTTAAGCTTAATGTAGGCAATTGCATCTTTATATTCTGAAACCAACAGATTTCTAAGGATCTCTTTATTTGATTTACCTTATTCTGAGGATCCAGTTCAATCATTTTACTGTAAAAATAATTTCTGCCTTTTTATTAGGCTTTTTTCTCTTCATCAAATGGTTTACATCCCTTTTCTTGGCTTCCTTGTTGAAAACTTTGATTAAATAACAATTTCTCATCCTCTTAAATTCCATACAACATATATTTTTATTTCTAGATAAAAGCATATTGTAAGGAAGGAGTTAATACTGTGTCATTTTCAAACCTAGGTGAGATGGAAAATAGGATATTAAACACCCCCCTATCACCACCACAACAGCTATCAATATACACGTGTATGTATGTGTATTGTTTATATTGTAATCTTCTGAGAAATCTCTGCGATAACTTATAACAAACGCTGGAGTCTACATAAAAACTTGTGGAAGTTCAGTTTAGTTTATAAAAGAAAATAATGAAGAGAAACAGAGAGTGGTATTATAGCTTATTAGTAAAATCAGACTACTCTAGATTATAATTTTAACACTGTTTTTAATGTGTCAATAAAATCCTGTCAACATTGGTATCTTGCCGAATTTCAAGTTTAAGACATTCATTTCTAAGCCTTGGATAAAAGAAAGTTTAATTTCACATAAATAAATACTAACTTTATTTTTATTTCTAATGTACATTGGTATATTTTAATTTATGTTTAGTTTCTTATAAGCTTATTTTCTACTGTATATGAAAAACATATAAAATATACAAGAGTCTTAAAGGCAAAGAATAGATGTTCGTTTTTCAGTTGAAGGGACAAATGAAGTTCTTAAATAGGCTTTTTTCCTTTTTAAAAATATTTGTGTTAATAAAAATCAGAAACTAATTTATGGGTAATAAATGTAACATTGCTTAAACGTAAATTACAAATATTGAAAGATTATATCCTATGGCTAGTCAGAAAACTTAGAAGTCCAAAATTAGAAATATAAAAGAAAAAGAGTGAGAACAATACTCTTGCTTTCCTTAGAATTTTTTTAAGCAGAGGGTAAAGAGAAAAATATCTGTGGTGGACCAGACATATTAAACATTTTAATTTGCTTCTCTCCCTCTCTCTCTCTCTCGGGCAGTCTGTAACCAATAACTGCTATAATTAAAGTAACCTGCCATTTTTTTGTGCCTTCACGCTACTGACTTAAGTTTTTGTAAATTTTTAAAACAAAATTAGATTTATATTATAAGAGCTATTCTGTATTGAAACATAATACCATGTATTTTGTTCTGTGCAGAGTTTATATAATAAAGTACTTTTTGTATAGGGACATAGTCTAAGTCACTATGATATTCCACACAGAAATATTGCAATGGTCCCTAATATTTGCATATCACTTTATAAGAGGTTTCATTTGCATTATTTCATCATGCCCCTGCAACAACCTTATAAGGAAGGACAGTTATTATTTATTCTCATTAGCAGCTGAGGAAACCATGGCACAGAGAGGTGAGAAAACCCAAGAGTATTCAATAAGTAAGTGAAAGAGCTGGAATTTAAGTATGCGCTCCCTGGAAGTTCAGCCTGTATCACAAAAAGTCTGGATTGTAGATTATAGAAGTTTAAATACTTTTTTTAAAAAAGCTTTGTGCAAATGCCCTCAGCCCAATTGCTATTTTACCTGTTTTACAGAATGTAGGGGATCTTTTTTCTGTTTCATTAGCTAAATAATGCATTTAATTATATTAATAAGTTAAAACATTATATTTGCCATGCCTTAGAACTATACATATTATTTTAATCTCTTCCACTGAGATAATTGGTAAAACTGACTTTGGCATATTATTAATTTCTTGTGCTTCTATACAAATTTTTTCCTAATTGATGAATGTGATTGGCAAATCAAAATATGACACAATAACAATCTAAAAGTTAAAGGAAAAAGAATAATGCTAGGCAACAAAAATTCTGTGAAAAATAAGACCATGTTGCTAATGTCAAATGTAAAATGCTTATGATATAAAAAACAGTTATAACAGACTTTCTATATCCATGTATCTTTTCTATAGTGATAAATATTAGACATATAAGTGTGCAGTTTTAGATATATGACAACCAGATGACAGATTCTTTAAGATAAATTTATAATCAAATGAGATTATAAATTTCTGATACGGCAGTGTAAGGAGTACTACAGATCCATTCCTCAGTGAAACAAGCGTAACTGGTAAAATCTATTAAACACACACACAACCATTTAAAGTCTCTGGAAATTGTCCCAAGGGCGTACAGCAAATAAAGAAACGGTTATTCAGGAAAATCCCCTAAAACTTGGTAATAACAGTAAGAGTGTGTTGCATTTGAATTGTGAACTGCTCCCTCTCCCATCATTACCTCAGCTTAACAGAAGTTCAAATCTGGGCTTGTGTGACTAAGAAGATGGTCTTGTTTCTCTCTTCAGTTCCAGTTAAAGAATAGGGTACCTCATCAGGAGGGGCTGGTTACTAACATTTCTCACCCTCTCCAAATCTATGTTGCAGAGGCTAAATTCCTACAGAGTGAAGCCAAGAGATCTGGGTCTCCCTTTCTCCCCAGCTTCCAGAAACAAGACTAAGAAATTTTGGTTTCCCAATTGCCATCTTGCTAGAAGGACAGAGGTTTTACAGTAACTGAAGAAAGTCAAGAAAACAAGAGACTACCACTCTAGACAGTAACTGGATAAGTGGCTCAGCGATTTTGTGCAGAAGAAGAAGAATCAATAAGAGGAGAACTCCAAAACTCTCCCGCAAAGAGCTGACTATTTGAAAAGAGTGTGGGGAAGTTGAGGCCTTAGGGCATTCTAAAAAAAAAATAATAGCTCCTTTTAGTTAAAAGCAACAAGCTAAACTATAGGCCGGCTAGTTCACCAGAGAAAGATATGGAAAGAGACAACTAGAAAGAGCCCCTCTGATGTCAGAACAAACTGCCAAAACTACTTCTGCCTAACGTTAATGTGATCAGACTGTAGAAAAATGTATACCACAGGACAACGTGAACAACAATAGAGAAATTTGCTGGGAATTAGTGCAAGCTAACAGCTGTGTGTGATACCAAACAAGGCCGACTGTGGAAAATAAAAATCAGTGAAAGAAACAGGGCTAAAACCAGTCATACCATGATGACTGTGTGCATGCCAAAGGGTCTGCCCTCTGAGGAGTGATAACAAAGACTTCATATAAAAAGGCAATAGGCACCATTACAATAATCTATTCAAGTAATTAAATTAAAAAACAAGCAAACAACAGCAAAAATAATTCCCTGAAAGGAGGGAGGAGAATCAGAATCCATATTTGGCATACTACATTACCTCAAATAGCCAGTTGTCAACAAAAAAATTACAAGACATGCAAAGAGACAAGAATGTAAGACCCATACAAAGGAAAAAAAAAAAGCAGGAAACATCCTATATCAGGGCTTGAATTTAGGATTTAACAGACAAAGGCTTTCAATAAAAAGTATCTTTCAAATATGAAGAGAAATAAAGCTATTACCAGAAAAACAAAAACTGAATTTGTTACTATTTGACCTGTCCTACAAGAAATACTAAAGTACATTATTCAAGCTGAAAGCAAGAGATCTCAGAATGTAATTTAAGTCCTTACAAAAAAAACAGAGAAGTATAAATGACTTTATAATTGTACATTCCTTGTCCTTTCTTTTCTTAATTACTATAAAAGCAATTGTGTTAAATATGCATATAAGTATACTTTTGGCCATATAATATTAAAGATGTGATATATTTACAATAAAATATTAAGTTGGGTGCAGTGGTATGCAACTGTATTCCCAGCTACTTGGGAGGCTGAAGTAGAAGGATTGCTTGAGCCCAGGATTTTGAGTTAAACCCAGGCAACATAGCAAGAACCCATCTCTAAACAAAAAATTTATATAACAATCCATAAATATATATTTATTACTTCTTCTCGGCTTTCTTAAAGGATGTAAAATCATCATATAAAGTGATAATGACAAGATTATATTCAGTTTATAACATAGTTACATATGTGTATTAATAATAATACAAAAAAGACAGCTAGATACAGTAAAGTCTCTATCTCACTGTAATTAAGTTTGTATGATTCTGAAGTAGATTATTTTAAGGTTGTATCATAAGCCCTAGGGCAACCACTAAGCAACTATCTCAAAAATACATATTTAACATGATTAAAATAATTAAAATATTACATTAGAATATATTCACTTAATGTAAATAAAAGAAGAAGAGAGAAAAATCATAAGGCATATAAAAAACAAAAAGTAAAATGTAAAATAAAAGGTAAAAAAATCCAATTACATCATTAATAACATTTAATGTGAATATATTAAACAATTCAATTAAAAGGCAGAGACTGCCAGACTGGATTAAAAGGAAATGCAAAAATATTCTGTCTAGAGAAGATATACTTTATTTTCAAAAACATAAATAGTTTGAAAATAAGGAGGGAAAAAAGATAAATCATTCAAATAT
Source organism: Homo sapiens (assembly GCF_000001405.40). Lineage (NCBI taxonomy): Eukaryota > Metazoa > Chordata > Mammalia > Primates > Hominidae > Homo > Homo sapiens. The sequence goes on from NC_000023.11 coordinate 114,540,116, forward strand.
TAGCCATAAGGAAGCTGCAGTAACTGATATTAATAATCAGTCAAAATAAAATTTAAAATGTTACTAAGGATAAAGATACTGGCCTGGGCAACATGGCAAAACGCTGTCTCTACCAAAAGAAAAATATGAAAATTAGCCGGGTATGGTGGGGTGTGCCTGTAATTCCAGCTACCCAGGAGACTGAGGCGGGAGGGTTGCATGAGCCCAGGAGGTGGAGGTTGCAGTGAGCAGAGATTGCGCCACTGCTTGCCAGCCTGAGCCACAGAGCCAGATCCTCTCCCTCTCAAAAAAAAAAAAAAAAAAGGTAAACTCAAAATAAATCAAAGACCAAAGTGTAAGGGCTAAAATCATAAATATCTTAGAAGAAATCATAGGTGAAAATCATTGGTAATGATTTTACCAATGATTCAAATCCTTAGTGGTGTAAGTCAGGTGTAGTTACATAAATACTATGTAATTTTTTTTTTTTTGAGATAGCATCTCATACTGTCGCCCAGGCTCAAGTGCAGTGGCATGATCTCGGCTCACTACAACTTCTGCTCCCCAGTTCAAGCAATTCTCCTGCCTCGGCCTCCCCAGTAGCTTGGATTACAGACATGCGCCACCACGCCTGGCTAATTTTTTTATATTTTTAGTAGAGACAGGGTTTCACCATGTTGGCCAGGCCGTTGTCGAGCTCCTGATCTCAGGTTATCCACCTGCCTCGGCCTCCCAAAGTGCTGGGATTACAGGCGTGAGCCACTGCACCTGGCCAAATACTATGTAATTATTTTACATAGGTGTTTTACCAATGATTTACACCTATGGTAAAATTGGTAAAATCAAAATTGGTAAAATTGATTTTACCAATTTTACCAACGATTTACAGTTTTACCTATAATTTACATACTTAGGTGTAAATCACCTTAAATTAGGAAGTGTTTTCTTAGTTATGACATTAAAAGCACAAGCAACACAATAAAAAATAGAAGAATTGAACATTATCCAAATTAAAAACATCTGTGCTTCAAAGAATACCATCAAGAAAGTGAAACATCACCCACTGAATGGAATAAGGAATAAAAATCATTTGTCTCATAAGTGTCTAGTATCCAGAATATATGGATAATTATTTCAATTCAACAATTAAAAGACAAGTAATCAAATTTAAAAAGGGCCAAGAAACTTAATAGACATTTATCCAAAGGTCATATAAGGTCATCCAAAGGCTAATAAGCACATGAAAAGATGCTCATTATTATTAATTAGGGTAATGCAAACCAAAACCACAATGAGATACCCTTCCCGCATACCAAGATAGCGATAATTTTTAAAAACAAAAAATAACGAGTATTGGAGAGAACGTGGAAAAATTAAAAAGTTAATATGCCGCTAACGAGAAGTGGAAGATGCTTCCACTTTAGAAAACAGTCTGGCCATTCTTCAAAAGATTAAACAAAGTTATGACATATCCCAACAATTCCACTCCTAGGTATATACCCAAGGGAAATGAAAACATATTTTCATACATAAACTTGTATACAAATGCTCATAGCAACATTATTCATAATAGCCAAAAAGTACCCCCCAAAAAGTCCATCAAATGTTGAACGAATAAACAAAATATAGTATATTCACACAATCAATTTTATTTGGTCATAAGAAGGAATGGTGTCCTGATACATGCTACAACATGGATACACTTGAAAAACAGTATATTAAGTAAAAGAAAACATCACAAATGACAACATATTATACATTTCCATTTATAGGAAATGTCCAGAATAGTCAAATATAGACAGAAACTATATTAATTGTTGTCTGGGAAGGGGAATGAGGGAAATGAGGGGTGATAACTGAAAGATATGGGGGATCCTATTTGCAGTAATGAAAAGATTCTAAAACCAATTGTACTGATGATTGCACGACTCTGAATATGTTTTAAAAAGCAACATTGTTTCTTTTTAATCTGACAACAACGTTTATTTTTAATTTTTTATTTCAATAGGTTTTTAAGGAACAGATGGTGGTTGGTTACATGGATAAGTTCTATAGTGGTGATTTTTGATATTTTGGTGCACCCATCACCCAAACAGTGTACACTGTACCCAGTGTGTAGTCTTTTATCCCTCATCCCCCTCCCACCCTTCTCCCTTGAGTCCCCAAAGTCCATCGTATCACTCTTATGTCTTTGCCTCCTCATAGCTTAGCTCCCACTTACAAGTGAGTCAATACAATGTTTAGTTTTCCATTCCCAAGTTACTTCACTTAGAGTAATGGTCTCTAACTCCTTCCAGGTTACTGCAAATGGCATTATTTCACTCCTTTCTATGGCTGAGTAGAATTTCATGGTATATATATATATATATATATATATATATATATATATATATATAACATTTTCTTTATCCACTTGTTAATCGATGGGCATTTGGACTGGTTCTATATTTTTGCAATTGCAAATTGTGCTGCTATAAACATTCGTGTGCAAGTGTCTTTTTCATATAATGACTTCTTTTTCTTTGGGTAGATACCCAGTAGTGGGATTGCTGGATCAAATGGTAGATCTACTTTTAGTTCTTTAAGGAATCTCCACACTGTTTTCCATAGTTGTTGTACTAGTTTACATTCCCACCAGCAGTGAAAAAGTGTTTCCTTTTCACCACATCCATGCCAACATCTATTATTTTTTATTTTTTTTAATTTTATTATTATTATACTTTAAGTTTCAGGGTACATGTGCACAATGTGCAGGTTTGTTACATATGTATACATGTGCCATGTTGGTGTGCTGCACCCATTAACTCGTCATTTAGCATTAGGTATATCTCCTAATGCTATCCCTCCCCCCTCCCCCCACCCCACAACAGTCCCTGGTGTGTGATGTTCCCCTTCCTGTGTCCATGTGTTCTCATTGTTCAGTTCCCACCTATGAGTGAGAACATGCAGTGTTTGGTTTTTTGTTCTTGCGATAGTTTGCTGAGAATGATGGTTTCCAGCTTCATCCATATCCCTACAAAGGACATGAACTCATCATTTTTATGGCTGCATAGTATTCCATGGTGTATATGTGCCACATTTTCTTAATCCAGTCTATCGTTGTTGGACATTTGGGTTGGTTCCAAGTCTTTGCTATTGTGAATAGTGTCGCAGTAAACAGACGTGTGCATGTGTCTTTATAGCAGCATGATTTATAATCCTTTGGGTATATACCCAGTAATGGGATGGCTGGGTCAAATGGTATTTCTAGTTCTAGATCCCTGAGGAATCACCACACCGACTTCCACAATGGTTGAACTAGTTTACAGTCCCACCAACAGTGTAAAAGTGTTCCTATTTCTCCACATCCTCTCCAGCACCTGTTGTTTCCTGACTTTTTAATTATCGCCATTCTATGGAACCAAAAAAGAGTCCACATAGCCAAAGGAAGACTAAGCAAAAAGAACAAGTCTGGGGGCATCACATTACCCAACTTCAAACTATACTACAAGGGTATAGTCACCAAAACAGCAGGGTACTAGTATAAAAGTAGACATATAGACCAATGGAACTGAATAGAGAACCCAGAAATAAAGCCAAATACTTCCAGCCAACAGTTCTTCGACAAAGCAAACAAAAACATAAAGTGAGGAAATGACACCCTATTCAAAAAATGGTGCTGGGATAATTGGAAAGCCACATGTAGAAGAATGAAACTGGATCCTCATCTCTCACCTTATACAAAAATCAACTCAAGATGGATCAAAGACTTAAATCTAAGACCTTAAACCATATAAACTCTAGAAGATGACATTGGAAAAACTCTTCTAGACATTGGCTTAGGCAAAGAGTTCATGACCAAGAACCCAAAAACAAATGCAACAAAAACAAATGTAGATAGACAGGACTTAATTAAACTAAAAATCTTCTGCACAGCAAAAGAAATAATCAGCAGAATTAACAGACCACCCACGAACAACCCCATCAAAAAGTGGGCGAAGGATATGAACAGACACTTCTCAAAAGAAGACATTTATGCAGCCAAAAAACACATGAAAAAATGCTCATCATCACTGGCCATCAGAGAAATGCAAATCAAAACCACAATGAGATACCATCTCACACCAGTTAGAATGTGGGTGCCCTTCATTTCTTTCTCTTGTCTGACTACTCAGGCTTAAACTTCCAGTAGTATGTTGAATAGAAGTGGTGAAAGTGGGCATCCTTTTCTTGTTCCAGTTATTAGGGGGAATGCTTTCAATTTTTCCCCATTCAGTATAATGTTGGCTATGGTTTTGTCATAGATGGCTTTTATTTCCTTAAGGTATATCTCTTCTTTGCTGTTTTTGCTGAGGGTTTTAATCAAAAAGGGATGTTGGATTTTGTCAAATGCTTTTTCTGTGTCTATTGAGATGATCATATGATTTTTGTTTTTAATTCTGTTTACGTGACATATCACATTTATTGACTTGCACATGTTAAACCAACCCTGCATCCCTGGTATGAAATGTAATTGATCATGGTGGATTATGTTTTTGATATGCTGTTGAACTCGGTTAGCTAGTATTTTGTTGAGGATTTCGGCAGCTATTTTCATCAGGGATATTAGTCTATAGTTTTCTTTTATCATTATGTCTTTTCCTGGTTTTGGTATTAGGGTGGCACTGGCTTCACAGAATGATTTAGGGAGGGTTTCCTTCTTCTCTATCTTTTGGCATAATTTCCGTAGGATTGGTACCAATTCTTCTTTGAATGTCTGCTAGCATTCAGCTGTGAATCATTCTGGTCCTGGACTTTTTCCTGTTGGCAATTTTTAAAATTACCATTTCAATATTGCTGCTTGTTATTGGTCTGTTCTGAGTTTTTATTTCTTTTTGGTTTAATCTAGGAGGGTTGTATATTTCCAGGAATTTATCCATCTCCTCTGGGTTTTCTAGTTTGTGAGTGTAAAGGTATTCATAGTAGCCCTGAATGATCTTTTGTGTTTCTGTGGCATCAGAGGTAGTATCTTCCGTTTCATTAAAATAAAAACACACACACACGGAATTGTATAATTTTAAAAGATGAATTACATGGTATGAGAATTATATCTTAGTAAAGCTATTTTTTAAAGGAGAAATAAAAACACTGTCCAAGGACAGAATGGAATAGACAAAATGGACAGAATCAAGAAAGAATAAATGCTGAGAAACATGTAGAGTACCTTAAAATCATTAAAATCTTTCTGATCTGTATCATACACAGACTACTAAAGAGTTTAAATATATTTACATGTTCTAAAAATTTAGATAAAATTTCTAAGATATACAGTTATAGGATTAATAATGCATTTTTCCTCCCGTTTCTATAAAATTTATTTTGCTTATTCATCCTCATTTTTGCTTGGTTCTATGCATCTCCCCCATCACGTCACCACTATTGCCTTTATACCTTCATAGTTAGAACATGACAATTTAGCAGAGATAATTATAATATTATTTAGAGGAATTATTTTAAATTTATGATTTCAGAAGTACTAGAGCCATGTTACTTTTTAAACAGCTACTTTGTCATTAGTGTCATCAAGGGTATCCCAGGCAAAAATTGTAGCTAATGTTAAGAATGAGAGTCTCAGCACACAGCATGGATGTCAGGTAACAAAATATTTGCTGCTACCCCTGCCACTGATGCTGCTAGCTTCGTATTATTATTTACTAAATTCTGATAAAATTTTGAATACGCTACTCGACTCCTTATTCTTTTTATCTGAGGCAATGATGGAACACTTCAAAAATATCTAAGAAGTATTTAATCATAAGTTTTAATTCTGATGAAATAGCTTTGATTAAAAAGTTTAATTCTGATTACCCAATAACCATACGCTACTTTAACTCCTTTCCCAACTCATTCTCAAACCACCACTATTTTTCCATCCATAAGTCCTGTTTCAACTTAGCTAAAATTTCATATTCTCATTCTTCTACTCACGTGTAAAAATAATAGGCATGCATATTACAACTACTTGTAAAAGTCATTTTAATTGGCTCCGTGCACCTAGTGAGTTGATAGTGCATATGTTTTTGTTTGTTTGTTTGTTTGTTTGTTTTAGAATCAATGCTTTTTTGACAAACACACAAACATTTGTTGAACTATAACAACCCAAAATGTGAACTAGATCTCTTATTGGGAGTAAATATGCCATTTTGGTGTCAAACTAACAACCAATTTGGGTGTTGAGAAGTCACTTCAAAATTTTAACTTATTTTTTATTTTACTACTGTAACATTTTGTCTAAATTCACTCTGTTCTAGTGACATGTTTCTATGTCAGAGACATCATATCCTAATGGAGAAATAATCTAACAAGCACTCTGGGCATGAAAAGTCATTAAATTTTCATGGAATCAATCACAAAGTGTCAGTAAAAATCAAATATGTATCTGGGAATCTCTGACAGAGGGAGGGACGGGCAGAGACTGAGGGGAGTTTGGAGATGTGGACAAGAAAAGCCAATTTACATTCTAAGCTACAAAGCGGGGAAAGGCAGTGAAAAGCTCAAGGGACTTGGGTTGATCTAGGTCCTTTACAGAAGAACCTGTGACAAGGGACTCAGGTTCTGCTTTCCCCAGAAGCTCCAAAGATGAGGTTGCATGTCTTCTCCAGAAAATGTGGATTGTAATTTCTAAAACATTGAGAAAAGTTTAAAGCATAAGGTGACAAAATTTACAGTGAAGCAGTCCAACAGCGTTTTAAGTGTCAAGCAATTGCAAGAAAATGAGGACAAACTGTGAAAACAAATCATGAAGCTTTGTATCAAACTTATCAAGGAAACTATATAAAGCACCAGAAGCATAAAAATCAATCACAATGAAAACAGATGAAGGGAAGAAAATACACTTTTTAAAAGATTAGAATAAAGAATAAATGACAAAGTGCAGTTTATTTTTAAAGTTGAGGAATTTAATAAAGAGAAGTTGCACATTCCATGATGCCACCTAATAATATTTCTTTCAGATACTAAGATACAAAGAAAACACTAGTGGCTCACTGTGCACACCCTTTCAACTCTTTTCTAAAAGCAGCAAAATATTTGTATTTATCTCCAAAATCTTTTGCTCAATTGTCTTTGTTACTTCCTTTTAAGGGAGGTGGCCAGAGTTTCAAGTGAACCTGGAGTCTAGGACTACAATAGCTCTTATTTACATCACTTGATTGGCAATTTTTTATACTGCTAATGGTTGTTACAGTTTTATGCATATATCTTTTCTCCATAACTATGTTGCTAAAGGATGAAGACTATGTATTTTACCTAGTATCTTCAAACCTAGTTATAAGGCTTTAATCAACATTTGATGATGGTGATGAGGAATAATGCTAGAGACTATGTAGAAATCAAAACCTTGATGACATTTTATTAGTCCTATGATATAAACAGTAAGTTGAATAGCTACAGATAATTTTATGACCTGTCAATGTGGAAACCCAAGCCACTATCTCAGGATATACAAGTTGTCTAGGCCAATAATATGGATAATAAATACAGATATTTCTGCACACCCTATTTTTCCTTAAAACATATTTTGTAGTCATGCGTCATCCAAATAATTGGTTTAAATCTTCATTCCATTCATTGCACCATATGCATGAGAAAAGTTCACCCTAGGCATTCATGATAAAGATGAAGCATTATGGCCAAAAGAAGTAAGTCTTATAAAAAATTAATGGTAAATTCCAAGATAACTTTTAGGGTAGTGATTTAAATCTCAGCTTGCTCTACAGTATCTCTCAAATGAGTACCTGGTTCAAAGTTATATGTCCTAATTTGATATCCAAAAAGACACATACAAATTTTCCAGAAGAATACCTTTACCTTAACCAATAAATAGCAGCAATTATTTACCAGTTAATTCAATAGGTATTAATGGATAATCCCAGCTAATGAAATGTGCATTTGTGCCAGTCAATCTATGAATAGTAGGAGCAGTGCAAATCATCCACTAACCAACCTGGCTGAGGGGCCAAAAAAGTTGAATTCCTGCCTTAAAACTGTGCCTCTCTTTGCAGCTGGGTAGCAAATTTACATTGAATAATTACTTTTCTGACCTCCTGCCCAAATAAAATTCTCGATTGAGAAAATAATATAAATCTTAAATATGGGTGATCACCCTTAGATCTTGGTTTTCTGTTTTATAATTCTCATGGAAACAGTGGACTTCATTAAGCAAATCTAATGCCTCACCAACTCCTTGAACTTCTTAACTTTATGCATGTTCTTCCACAGGCCATTCAGCTAAAATGAGTTTATGATAAAATTGAATACCATTCATTTTGTCCCATTCAAAAGATAATATCCAATATTCTTGCTTATATTTTTAGAGAGGATCCACCTTCTACTAAGCTAAAGCTGTATCTTGCTTGGGGGAAGTTCAATGTGACTGAATCAATTTGCTTACAGTTATTCTAGAAAGCAAAGTATCACTAGTGAGTTTTGATATATTTGAAGAAAGGCACTACTGCAATGCATACTACTCATGAGTATACTGTGTAGACAGCTTAAGTGTTTTTTTAAATTTAATTTTAAGCTCCTGGATACACGTGCAGGACAAGCAGGTTTGTTACATAGGTAAATATGTGCCATGGTGGTTTGCTGCACCTATAAACCCATCACCTAGCTATTAAGCTCCACATGCATTAGCTGTTTATCCTGATGCTCTTTCTCTCCCTTCCCCCCGACAGGCCCCAGTGTGTGTTGTTCCCTTCCCCATGTTTATGTGTTCTCATCATTCAGCTCCCACTTATAAGTGAGAACATGTGGTGTTTGGTTTTCTGTTCCTGTGTTAGTTTGCTGAGGATAATGGCTTCCAACTCCATCCATGTCACTGCAAAGCACGTGGTCTCATTCCTTTTTATAGCTGCATAGTACTCCATGGTGTGTATGTACCAGCTTAAGTGGTTTTGTTGACCAAGTTCTGATATTCAAAGCTTTCTACTTTATGCTTGCATTCTATTCAAGAATAAAACATTTTAAAATGTTATTTATTTTCACTTAAACCATGGTGGTTCACAAAAATAAGTGATTAAGATAGCAGAAATCAATGGCCAGGACAGTAAGAGAGTTCATTTATTCTCTATCACATCCTCATTTTCTGCCTGTAGAGAATAAGAACACAAATAAAAATACTCCTTTCTCTAATATTGCTGAAAAATAGACCTTGTACAGAACCTATTCAACTACAGTAACAAACCTCTCACATGAACAACGGAATAGAAATATGTTTTCTGGATATCCACACATCAGAAATTTTGACCCAAATTTTAAAATAAAATTTGTCCTTTCAACTCCATAGCATTCTCTGTAGTTTGAAACTATTTGTTCTCAAATGACTTCTGCACATATTTTCTCCTTCATATAGGGAATCTTAGTCACTTTAGAAGAGAAAGGCTTCTTTTACCACTTTTTCAGGCCTTTCCATAACTTTTGGTTGACAAAATCAAGAAAGGATGACTACTTCTTTTCCATATTATTTTATATATATACAATAAACATGGTCGAGATGAATTTTACACTAAGGTAATATCTTGTTGTTTTTGTTACTTCTTCCTTATCTACGAATTACTACAAAGCTATTTGTATTTTGTTTTGTTTGAGACAAGAGTCTCGCTCTGTCACCCAGGCTGGAGTGCAGTGGCTCCATCTTGGCTCACTGCAATCTCCTCCTGAGTTCAAGCGATTCTCATGTTTCAGTTTCCCTAGTAGCTGGGATTACAGGCGCCCTCCACCATCCCTGGTTAATTTTTGTATTTTTAGTAAAGACAGGGTTTCGCCATGTTGGCCAGGCTGATTTCAAACTCCTGACCTCAAGCGATCCGCCTGCCTCGGCCTATCAAAGTGTTGGGATAACAGACATGAGCCACCGTGCCCAGCCACAAAGCTATATGTTGTTAAACATAATTCAGTTTAATAAGCATTCATTGAGAACTACTGTGTACAAGGATTCACCGTAGCTCTAAGAAAAAGTAAGATGTAGCTCCTGCCTATGTGATACTCTCAATCTATTAGGCTAGTGCAAAAGTCATTGCGGTTTTAGCCATTGAAAGTAATGGCAGCTGGGCGCGGTGGCTCATGCCTGTAATCCCAGCACTTTGGGAGGCCGAGGAGGGCAGATCACGAGGTCAGGAGATCGAGATCATTCTGACTAACACGGTGAAAGCCCGTCTCTACTAAAAATACAAAAACAAAATTAGCCGGGTGTGGTGGTGGGCGCCTGTAGTCCCACCTACTCAGGAGGCTGAGGCGGGAGAATGGCGTGAACCCGGGAGGCGGAGCTTGCAGTGAGCCGAGATCAGGCCACTGCACCAGCCTGGGAGACAGAGCGAGACTCCGTCTCAAAAAAAAAAAAAAAAGTAATGGCAAAAACCGCAATGACTTTTGCACCAACCTTAATAGTAAGGTAATAAGACAAGTATGCAAATGACTACAACAAAATGTTGATTAAATTAAGTACCAATAGAGAGACAGGGACAAAGTTCCAAAGAGGCTCAAAGGAGCAAGTTTGGTGCTTGGAGTTAGCCTCAGAAGATACAGGAACTTTGACAAGAAATAAAGACAATAAAGGCAGATGGAACTGCACGAACCAAAACATGAAGATAAGAAATTGCAAAGTGGGTGTGAAAATTCTTAGTGGAGACCAAAAACAGAGATTTGAGAATAATCTTCTGAGGGACAGAATATAAAGAAGGGATCCTGGGACTGTCAGCCCATTGGTATACATGTCTTTACCATAAATTCATTCCTCATTCAGAAGCAATGCTGTATGGTAAATCATGGTAGTGACTAAGTTATGCATAAATTCATAGAAAGTGATGCTGGCAGAAGCATAGCAAGCAATGAAGGAAAATCCACATCTGAATTATGTTTCTATTCCAATGAAGACAACTCTCGTCCACAACCCCTCCCCACCATGATGATAAATAGCTGACAGAGTCTCCAAGATGTGGAGGGGGCTCAGGATTAGTCACTGCTATTGGTTGCCTTGGGACTCAACGGTGATGATAAGCAAAATTGTGTTGGAAAGTGAAAGTCTACGTAACTGAGCACATCCATAAACTCCATCTCTGCTACTAAGATCATTTTTCTCATGAGGCATTTTAAATAACCCATAGAGTGACTGGGGTTAGAAACTGACCAACATCCACTACATGGGTCATATTGTTTACCTGATTATTGAAAGCCTCCTCTGCAGTAAATGCCTTTTGGTGAGAATTCACACAAGAACAAATATCTGCACATTTAATACCATTCTAAGAGTTCCATTCAAATTTCTCTTCCTCAAATGTCTTGTCTTTAGTCCTTGAAACTTGTTCCTGTCAAGTCCCTGAGCATGGACAATACCTGTTGTCCACGAATTAGTGTGGTTACATTCTTCAGGCCATTTGCCCTCCAGGCAAACTGGACCTCCAGATACATGCTTAGAGTTCTGCCCTCTTGAAGGACTTCCTTTCCCATTCTCCCTGAGTAAAGTTGTCATGTGAAAATTGTTCACATCTGCCTTGTGATAGCATACTGTGCAGAACCTTGCGTAAATCAAACTTGGATTTTCTTCTCCTAAGCCAAATGATCATGGTGATCTCCTCATGAAGCTATAGAAGTACGCTGAAGAAGAAGTGGCAGCTAAGAGGAGTACGTGCTATTGGGATGTAAGCAACATGTTCTTGCAAATTATTTGTGACTAAAGGGCTAATTTGAGAGTGATCCTACATATTTCACTTTTATTTGATGATGGAGGACTGGAGCACATAACTAATTTCATGTCTTGGTGGATCAGCTATCATTTTTTAATGACGGGAAGCTCCATGTGCATAGTTACATGGTGATGTCCCATAGTCAGTCATTCTGTCTCTACCATGACTGCTGTATGGATGGTAGAGATAGAACGGCATGGATGCTGTAATGGAAGTTGTCAGAGTGCCTTAAAAGAAGTTCCTTTTAAGTCATCTTAGCAAACCGGTAATATATAATAGAGCATTTCTAAAGCACTCCCATTAATTAAATAGCTTTCCTATAAAAATTGAATACATTAAAATTGTAAGTAAAATGTTTCTTTATGATGGCAGTAATTAACACCACCACAAAACCCCTATATCTATAGGAATACATTGGGTTTTATTTAATGCAGTAGCCTGCATAATTGCTTTCATAAATAAAGCAAAGTTGAGGGAGGATGTAGTCTGAAATGGAAAAACTAGCACGTCTTGGCCTTTCAGGGAGTGTCCTATCCCAAGTAGTAGTCTCCTAGAATACATTTAATTCACCACGATGGCTGTCACTACTTATTACTCAGAGCTTGGCAAGTAATATGTGTATGCTTTTGGATGGATATGTTGAGCTTTCTAATACACTTTCGATTGACATTTATCCATCATAAAATACTGAAAAAGACTCCCTGATGTGATAAGAGAGTAAAATGTATATAGGACAAAGCTTTACATGAAATAGCTGGAGTACTGAGGATTATATAATTCAGGAGACACTGTTGGTTCCTCTTATTGCCTTCACCATATTGTACATTCATATGTAGCTCAGTTTTTTCTAAATGATTCCGGTTTTGAAAGCCTATCTTGGACCCAGTATTTTCCAAAACTCCTTTTAACATATGGAAGCAGGAGAGGAGAAAGCAAAAATTTCAAGTTGTAACACTACTATAGAAAACTGGTCTCAATCCAAATTTTTCATAAAAAGTTATTCTATGTACTTTTTTGTCTTTATGTGTGCAATGAATTGTTGACGTGTGGAAGGATCAAAATCTTCAGCAACAGTCATTCAGTTATCCAGACTGGAAGACATGGCTATTTGGGCAGCCCCGAATTTTTTCTTAATTTATACCAACTTCCTTGCAAAACATGCCACATTGTGAAAACCTAGCGGGTATAAATCTGTTGTGAGTGAGGAAAACTCCCACTGGCACAGTGGATGTTTGTTTTCAGATATAAAATTGATTGAGAAAAAAAATCTCCTTTTCTGAGCGACTTTGCATCAAGGAGACTAGGTGATGCAGAACAAAAAAATTATATATTCACTGGCTGTGTCGGTACAAATGAAAGTGTCAAACTTATCTTTTGGCAATGTAAATTTACTCTACAGGCAAATAAACTGCAATAATATCAACAGGCCTCACATAAACTGAAGAAAATTGCCTTCCTAGAGTCATATATGCCAAGCCTGATTCAGAACATGGCACATTGCCTTGGAATTGTTTTTTTCTAGGTGTCCTTCACTCATAAAGGTTAGCTGCAGGTACACATACAGCTACTCCTCAGTCTGATGATGTAACAGAAATATGATTTATGGATCAAGTCAAGTAACTTAATTTTATTGGAATGCTAAGAAAATAGGGCCTTCTGAATTAATTTGTGATTAATAGGCAACTGAATAAAACATTTTTCATGTGGTTCTTATAGCTGTGAGGCTTTCTGAAATATGCTGGTTTACATTCCCACTTATCAGACACAGAGTAGAGGGTCTTGCAAGACTTTTTGATTTCTGTCAGTGATTCATTAATTTTGCCGTTCACACCTTCTACACCAAGATTGCCTTCCAGAAACATAATACATATTAACTCAATTAATCTTCACAAGGACTTCATAAGGCAGACTCTACCATAAACTGCACTTTACAGTTGAGGATGCTGAAGCAGGAAGAGGTTGAACTCAGACAGCTAAACTATATCATGCAACCTCTCAAAAGCATCGTACACAGTAACTCAGATTTCAAATACTGCCTGTCTTTGTTTTTCTCCCTTGGTTTCTAGAACCAGTTTTCAAGTCATAATACCATGCCATCCTTTACATTTCCATTGCTTCTAGTTTTTTTGTTTTTTTGGGTTTTTTTTGATGGAATCTTGCTTTGTTGCCCAGGCCGCAGTGCAGTGGCATGATCTCAGCTCACTGCAACCCCTGCCTCCCGGGTTCAAGCAGTTCTCCTGCCTCAGCCTCCCAAGTAGCTGGGATTACAGGCGTCTGCCACCACGCCCAGCTAATTTTTGTATTTTTAGTAGAGATGGGGTTTCACCATGTTGGCCAGGCTGGTTTCAAACTACTGATGACAAGCGATCCTCCCGCCTCGGCCTCCCAAAGTGCTAGAATTATAGGCATGAGCCACTATGCCTGGCCCTAAATTGCCATTGCTTCTAATAACTGAATTCCTGGACATTGTCACGTGTTGCCAGAAGAAATAGAGAGTATTCAAATTGGGCTGATTCATCTCTATTCACTCTTCACCCCTAGATCATCATATACAGTGCTACGAGATTAATTTTTCTGGAGCACAATCTGATTTTAGTGCCTAAATAGCTAGCTGCTCCTTGCTCTATTCCTTTGCTCCCGCCAAACCCATATTCTACTTGTATCTTTGTGTCTTTGTCAGTTAGCCCCTGTTTATACCACTATACCACATTGGAATGCCTCCCTTCTCTATCTGCTGGAAACTAATACCCATTTTTCAGGTTGCCTCTTTAGGCTTCTCTGATCTCTATAAAGAATCTCAGCCCACACCTACTATCTCATTACACCAAACATTCAGAAATCATTCAGTGTAAGATCTAGCTCTCTGCTCTGACTTTGTAGGTAAAAGCTGAGTTTAGAATTGATGTTAATGTTCAATTGAATATTAATTAACCCCAAAATATTCAGTAGATCTTTTCCTTTATTTAAATTCCTTCTTCTGAAAGAGAACAGAAAATTCAGTTTAATTTACTATTAATTTGTGTTAAGTTTTGTTAAAACAAAAATTATTCTCTTAGCTATCCAGAATCTACTTCTCTAAAATTATTATATTTTACTGTATGAAAATTACTTAGTACTAATAATTGTTTGTGTTTAACAGTCCCCTTTAAAAATTGAGCTGGACCATTTAAACATTTAAAAATTATTAGCAGTATATTCATCTGTTCTATGAAAAATGCTCATTACCTAGAGAAAGTAGAATCTAGAAATGAAAACACTTCCAGATTTTCCAGATTTGAGAATCGCCATAAACACAGACATTTTAATGTGTGTGTTTTATGGAGGGATGGAGAATTCAGAGAAGTGGTAAAAAGAAAATGGAGTGACTGAAAAAAAAATAAACAACATCCATTTCCAATCTGTGTGCCTAAAGGGTTTTTTTTTTTGGCTTGTATATGTAGTCTTAATTTACTAGTCTTCATTTAATGATAAGCAAGGTACCCACAATCTTATAAAACAATAAGAAAATCAGGACCACATTTATTGTTACAGAGGAATTTAACAGAAAATGTTTTATTCTTGCGAATAGGTGAAGTAAACCTCATAAACATTTTGGGGAAAGATCAACACAATGAAACCCCATTTTCAATGAGGTGAAATGTAATTTCAAGAGCTTTCTTTTATGAGAAGCTTTAACTTACACTAAATGTCTGCAGTTAATAAACCTGAATTATTTAATGCGAGATTATCATAGAAACATTGACAGAAGATTGAAATGTCACAAAAAGCACCACCATTATCTAATGAGGTCTTCACACCTAGAGGCAAAAGAAGTAACAATTAAAGTTACACATTCTCAAAATGATCTGTCACTCCCACAGGTTCAATTTTCCAATGTAGTATAAAATGCCTGTGATAAACATATCTGTCACATGTCAATTAAAGAAAAAGAAGGATAAAACTCCTCCAATAATGTCCTGGAAAAAAAGTGCCATGTTTTTATATTTTAGCATTACTAAAGTTCATGTTTCACTTCAAAACTGCCAGGAAAATAATGAAAAGTGCTGTGTGAAAAATGTAGTCTTTAAATTAAGTTTCTCACTGATGTGTTAATGAACTTGAAAAATTCAAAGTACAATATAAAAGGCACAAGGCAAGTTACACATAGGGCAAGACATTTTTAATAACATACTTCAATAAAAAGTAGATATTACTTTTTAAATATTTGCATTACTGAAATTTTTACAAAGATATGTTCAATCAGCAGCAAATCTGCCTTTTCTGTCTTCCATATCCTTGGGATTTAGAAAAATTTATCCAGAGTCTAAATGGAGCTTTTAAAAAAGTCAATATAAACAGATTTTTCTTGAATGAATAGAAATCTCATGCTGGTTTTCCTTGCTTTGGGTAATGAATATGCAACTAAAAGTGTAGTAGCTTATCTTTTTTATTTTGCACTTTAAAAAAACGAAGAAAAAGTATGTAATAAGTTTTTTTGTGTGTGTAAAGCATAAAACATCGGGCTACTTTTTTTCTAATCAGTTCAGATTTTCATATCAAACAATATCCCTGTTAACCAGTAGGACATGTTTCATGGATAGAATTTTGCCAGAAACTTTATTGTTAAAATTGAAATAATATAGGGAGTACAGAGATTCATAGCATACTTTCTGTACTGGATGCAAACATAGGCATTACATTTTCAAAAATTAATTATTCAATTAAGAACATATTTCTACCTAACAAACTGCTTCAATACAATTTTTTTCTAACTAAGAGTCTCCTTTTGCTCTATTCTTAATTAAGAAAGCAAAATTCTCTTCTCCTGATAATGCTTTTTATGTGGCAGCTATTTGCTAGCTGTTACTGGACATTTAAATCCTTTTCTTCTTATCTTAAGCTTCTTTACTTCTTTACTGCTTTACAGGTTGTTGATACCATAATGGTAAAGTTTCTACAAGGTGCTAACTCAGCAGGAAAACTTCAAAAACTATTTTAAAATATGTTAAACACTGGTAAAGTGGGGAGGGAAGGTTCATCTAAAATGAAGCAGATTAAAGCAGTCAGAACTTGCAACAGTGGAAATTAATTAGTTTCAGATTTAAGGAAAACTTCTATAAGAAAGTGTAAAAGAGCTTGAAATAGAAACTGAGTGAAAGTGACCTACATTTCCATACATAAATCAAGTTGCATTCAGATATTGCTTCTGAGAAATTCACATAATTACCAACTATTAATCTGGAATTAGGCTTTGGTCACATACATAAAATATGATTATGAGTCGCAATAGTCCCACCACAAGATAGACCACATCTGCAGTATGACATGCAATTCTCGGCACCATATTTTAAAAACAGGTATTTCCAGAGGCAGGCAACAAACACTGTGAGGTAGCTGGGCACCCCACAATGTTTAAGCTGAGGAAAAGAAACTTAGGATACACTTGATATCCGTTTTCCAGTAACTCAACTACCATATAGGAAAAGGAATGTACTGACTCTGTGAAGCTCTAGAGGATGAATCCAAAATAAATGTCAGCTCAGTGTGAGAAACATCCTTTAAACATCAAAAGTATAAACCAACGAACAGACTGCTCTCTGAAATAACCAGTAATTCAACAGTGGCCGTGACTAGCAGAGACTGAAAGCCAATGCATCAGAGATGCAATGATTCAGTAAGAGTAATATCACTTGATTGCTGTTTTGAAAAAGGAAAGTTTATAGGACTACCTACAGGATTGCTATGAAAAGGCCCAAATAATCCCATATGGTTTATTAAATTATAGAAATTTTGCAATCCCTTCCCAGTGTCAAAATAAAAATGCACTTTATGAGGAGGGTGATTCTGGGAAGATGATGGTGCAGGAAGCAGCAGCAATCTGTCTCCACCTACACAATTGCACTGGCAGAATCTAATGTAACTATTTTGAAACTGTAGAGTCTATCATAGGATTGCAACTTGAAAGGAAGGCTTGGATGCTAAACTGTGGGTAATTTTGGTCAATTTCAGCTCTTTACAGAGTGGTTTAGCTACATATCCCCTGCCTCCAACCCCATGGGAGGCGGCTGTGCACATGTTCCTGAAACAACCTGTCTTGTAGGAACCTGGATGTGGAAAAAGGACCCTGTCCTCCACATATCATGGATCTGGGCTCTGACCGCTGATTGCTGCTTTTGATCAAATAGGTACAAAGAGGAGAGGAGCCATTGTTGCCCTTTCCCCATTGTTGCAAGCCCCTCCCTCTCTGGCTGAAGTGACTTCCAGAGTATTTAAAGGGCCAGTAATCTTTTTTGACTCCCTTCATTTTAATCTTTTTTCCCTTTTGGGAGGCAGACAATAAAACATTGCATATGCAGGGAAAATTAGAAAGTGACTGTGCATGTTCAGGGAAAGAGTGAGACTCAGAATAGATCTAAGAAGACCTGAAATTTACACATCAAGCTGATCCTTGACACCAACACAGCCTACAATGATTAAAAAGACAATAAAAACAATAACAAAAACAGAAAACTCAAGGGAGGGAGACAATATGATTTCCAGAGTTACTATATTATTATATTCAAATGTCCAGTTTTCAGCAAACAATCACAAGGCATACAAAGAAGCAGAAAAGTATGGCCCTTTCAGAGGAAAAAATCAATCAATCAACAAAAACTGTCCCTGAAAAAGACCTGATGACAGATTTACTAGACAAACACTTTAAAACAACTATCCTAAAGATGTTCAGAGAACTAAAATAAGGTGTGAAGAAATTCAAGGAAATTATGTATGAACAAAACGGAAATGTCAATAAAGAGATAGAAAACCTTCCAATTTCATCCATGTCCCTACAAAGGACATGAACTCATCATTTTTTATGGCTGCATAGTATTCCATGGTGTGTATGTGCCACATTTTCTTAATCCAGTCTATCATTGTTGGACATTTGGGTTGGTTCCAAGTCTTTGCTATTGTGAATAGTGCTGCAATAAACATACTTGTGCATGTGTCTTTATAGCAGCATGATTTATAGTCCTTTGGGTATATACCCAGTAATGGGATGGCTGGGTCAAATGGTATTTCTAGTTCCAGATCCCTGAGGAATCGCCACACTGACTTCCACAATGGTTGAACTAGTTTACAGTCCCACCAACAGTGTAAAAGTGTTCCTATTTCTCCACATCCTCTCCAGCACCTGTTGTTTCCTGACTTTTTAATGATCACCATTCTAACTGGTGTGAGATGGTATCTCATTGTGGTTTTGATTTGCATTTCTCTGATGGCCAGTGATGGTGAGCATTTTTTCATGTGTTTTTTGGCTGCATAAATGTCTTCTTTTGAGAAGTGTCTGTTCATGTCCTTCACCCACTTTTTGATGGGGTTGTTTGTTTTTTTCTTGTAAATTTGTCATTCTCAGTAAACTATCACAAGAACAAAAAACCAAACACCGCATATTCTCACTCATAGGTGGGAATTGAACAATGAGAACACATGGACACAGGAAGGGGAACATCACACTCTGGGGACTGTTGTGGGGTGGGGGGGAGGGGGGAGGGATAGCATTGGGAGATATACCTAATGCTAGATGATGAGTTAGTGGGTGCAGCACACCAGCATGGCACATGTATACATATGTAACTAACCTGCACATTGTGCACATGTACCCTAAAACTTAAAGTATTAAAAAAAAAAAGAGAAAACCTAAAAAGAAGTCAAAAAGGAATTCTGGAGCTGAAAAATGCATTACTGAAATGAAAAATTTGCTAGATGAATTCAAAGATGGTATTCAGCAGGCAGAAAAAAAGATTCAGCACACTTGATGATAGGACAATAAAAATTATAAAGACTGAGGAACTGAAAGAAAAAAGATTGAAGAAAAGTGAACAGAGTCTAAGGAACCAGTGGGATACCATCAAGCAGACCAACTTATCATAGGAATCTCAGAAGAAGAGAGAGAGAAATGGGAAAAGATAGTATTTGAAGATATAATGGTGGAAAACTTCCCAAATATGATGAAAGACATACAGATAAACATCCAAGAAGCTCAAAAAACTCCAAGTAAGGCCGGGCGGGGTGGCTCACACCTGTAATCCCAGCACTTTGGGAGGCCGAGGCGGGCAGATCACGAGGTCAGGAGATCGAGACCATCCTGGCTAACATGGTGAAACCCAGTCTCTACTAAAAATACAAAAAATTAGCCAGGCGTGGTGGCGGGTGCCTGTAGTCCCGGCTACTTGGGAGGCTGAGGCAGGAGAATGGTGTGAACCCGGGAGGCACAGCCTGCAGTGAGCCGAGATAGCGCCACTGCAGTCCGGCCTGGGCTAAAGAGTGAGACTCCGTCTCAAAAAAAACAAAAAAAAACTCCAAGTAAAATGACTCGAAGAGACTTGCACTGAGACATATTATAATCAAACTTTTGAAAGACAGAGAAAAATTTGAAAGTAGCCCATGAAAAAAGTAATTCATCATATACAAGGGATCCTTAATAAAATTATTAGCAGATTTTCATCAGAAACTTTGGAGTCCAGAAGGCAATTAGTTGATATAATCAAATTACTAAAAGCAAAGCAAAACAAAACAAAAAATTGTCAGCAAAGAATCCTACACGAGGCAAAACTGTCTTTGAAGAGCGAGGGAAAAATTAAGGCATTCCCAGATAAAAAATGAGCAAGTTTGCTACCACTAGACCTGTCCTGAAAGTAATGCTTGAGAGGGAGTCCTACAGGGTGAAATGAAAAAACAAAACAAAACAAAACAAAACAAAAAAAACCACGAAAGAGTAGCTCAAAGATGTATAAACAAAGATCTCAATAAAGTAAAATACATGAGCAACTATAAAAGCTAGTGTTGTTATAACAGTGGTTTGTCACTTCACCTTTTGTTTTCTACATGATTTAAGAGATTATACATTAAAAACAATTAGTTGAAAAGTTAAAATCATTGTAACTTTGGTTTGTAACTTCACAATTTATTTTCTATATAATTTAATGAAACAATGCATTTAAATTAATTATTAGTTCATGTTTGGGGAGCACACATGTATAGATATATAATTCTTAACTTCAACTACTGAAAGAGGTGGAGACAGAACTGTAAAGAAGCAGAGTTTTTGTATGTTGTTGAAATTAAGGTAGCATAAATTAAAATTAGTCTGTTACAACTCTAGGATGTTAAGTGAAAGCCCCATGGTAATCACAAATAAAAATACCTATATAATGTACACAAAAGGAAATGAGAAAGATATTTAAATACTGCAAAAACTCAACTAAACACAAAAGAGGACAGTAATGCAAAAAATCAGGAACAGTAAAGCTAGAAAGCATGTAGAAAAAAATAGGAAAAGGTCAAAAGCAACTACATTCTTATCAGTAGTTACTTTAAGTGTAAATGAATTAAACTCTCCAATCAAAAGACAGAGATGGCAGAATGGACAAAAAATCAAAAATCATAATCCAACTATATATGATCTATAAGAGATTCACTTTAGATCCAAAGACACAAATAGACTCAAATCGTGAAAATTTCACAACTTCAGTTGTGAAAGAATGGAAAAATGTAGTCCATAAAAACAATAATCAAGAGAAAGCAGGGTTACTATATTAATATCATACCAAGTAGGTTTTAAATTTAAAAAGCTTACAACAGACAAAGAAGAATATTATGTATTAATAAAAGGTTCAATACAGCAAGAAGGTATAGCAATTATAAACATTTACACACCTAATAAAAGACCATCAAAATATATAAACTAATAAAATGACAGAATTGAAAAAAGAAATAGTTCTACAGTAATGGTTGGAAATTTGAATAACTTACTCTCAATAATGAATAAATCAATTAAAAATGAGTAAGGAAACAGAGGACTTAAAAAGCACAATAACTCAACTAGATCTCGTAAACATTTACAGAATGCTCTACCCAACTGCAGACAACTGCTGTGGAAAACAGTATGACAATTCCCCAATGATTTAAAAAAATTACCATATGATCTAGCAATTCCACTTCTGGGTATATACCCAAAAGAATTGAAAGCAGAGTCTGAAAGTGATATCTGTACCCTCAGGTTTATAGCAGCCTTGTTCACAAAAGCTAAAACATGAAAGCGACCTAAGCATCCATCATCAGATAAATGGATAAGCAAATGTTGGGTATATATAAAATGGAATATTGCATAGCCTGAAAAGGGAAGGAAATTCTAACATATACCACAACATGGATGAATCTTGAGGACATTACGCTACAGGAAACAAGCCAATCACAAAAAGATAAATATTATATAATTCCACATATATGAGGTAGTAGGGTAGCCAAAATCATAAAGACGGAAAGCAGAATGGTGGTTGCCAGAGGCTAGGAGGAGGCGGGGATAGGAAGTTACTGTTTAATGGGTAAGGATTTCAGTTTTACAAGATGAAAAAAGTTATGGAGATGAATATTGGGGATGGTTGCATAACGTTATGAATGTATTAATATTTAATACCATTGGAATGTACACTTAAAAATGGGTAAGATGGTGAATTTTCCTTTATGTGTATTTTACCACATAAAAATGGAAAACAAATGTATTTCATGAAAGTGAGCATAAGTAGCTTGCAAAATTACTACATGACATGAATCACTTGGCAATTTGATCATTATTCTTACTTGGTAAAATTTGACTTTTACAGATTAATTTCTTTTTGAGCCATTGGTCAACAGATGAATGACATTTAATTACATTAAGCTTAGATTTAAACATTGACTTCTGAAGTGAAGAATGTACTCATCTGCATAGACTTAAGAAACTTTAATTTTCTGTCTTCAAATATCCCAAAAATGTTTTTAATTTAGTAATTTTTGACAAGTTCTTTCAGGAAAATCCAGTGCTCAGTTTGCTGGAGACTGAGTAGTCTTCAGTTATTCATGGATAAAACCAGAGCCAAGTACTGCCTGGGAGAATTTAGCCTGATTTACAGCTTTATGTCTATCATTATTGCTACAATTCAGTCAATTTATTCTTTAAGGTGACCATTTTAAAGAGGTAAATATTAACATGAAACTGAAAGAAAGCCAAGGAATCATATGAATCCCAGAGGACATGAAGCTCAGCCCCCTCCAACTCTTAGACAAATTCTACTTGATCAATAATAATGTTAATGAACATATTTAACCCCAACTATGTTCTAGATCTTTGCAGACGCTGAAGATACAAAAATAACCATTGACATCACTATGCACCCATGCAGCTCAGTGTAGTGAGAAAGACAAGTGATGATAGCAATGTTATGCAGTATGTTCTACAACAGAGGCAGTTACCAAGGGACTGTATGAGCATAGAAAACAAGAGTGAAGAAAGGTGTTACAGGCCGGGCGCGGTGGCTCAAGCCTGCAATCCCAGCACTTTTGGAGGCTAAGGCGGGCAGATCACGAGGTCAGGAGATCAAGACCATCCTGGCTAACACGGTCTCTACTTTTAGTACTACTGCTACTTTTAGTAGTAACCCTGTCTCTACTAAAAATACAAAAAATTAGCCGGGCGTGGTGGCGGCGCCTGTAGTCCCAGCTACTCCGGAGGCTGAGGCAGGAGAATGACGTGAACCCGGGAGGCGGAGCTTGCAGTGAGCAGAGATCGCGCCACTGCACTCCAGCCTGGGCGACAGAGGGAGACTCTGTCTAAAAAAAAAAAAAAAAAAAAAAAGAAAGAAAGAAAGAAAGAAAGAAAGAAGGAAAGGTGTTACAACAGAGGTTATACTTGAAGATAATTAGGTACACAGAAAGAGAAGACAGTTTCAGACAGAAGAAACAGGTTACAAACAATCACAACACGTGAAAGAACATGAGTTGTTTTTACAGTGTAAGTGAATTTGGAGAGTACATATGGAGAAGCAGTAGATGAGGCAAGAGATATAGTCAAAGGTCAGATCAATAAGAGATTTTTTCAAGCAATAGGGAAAGGATTCCCGATTAAATAAACAGTGCTGGGATAACTGGCTAGCCATATGCAGAAGTTTGAAACTGGAGCCTTAGCTTATACCATAAACAAAAATCAACTCAAGATGGATTAAAGACTTAAATGTAGAACCTAAAACTATAAAAACCCTGGAAGACAACCTAGGCAATACCATTCTGGACATAGGAACGGGCACAGATTTCATGACAAAGATGCCAAAAGCAGTTGCAACAAAAGCAAAAATGGACGAATGAGGTCTAATTAAACTAAAGAGCTTCTGCACAGCAAAGGAAACTATCAACAGAGTCAACAGACAACCTACAGAATGGGAGAAAATATTTGCAAACTATGCATCTGACATAGGTCTAATATCCAGCATCTACAAGGAACTTAAATTTACACAGAAAAACAAACAGCCTCATTACAACAAGTTACAACAAATTTACAACAGAAAATCAAATACCAGCATGTTCTCACTTAAAGTGGGAGCTAAATGATGAGAACACGTGGGCACATAGAGGGAAACAACACACACTGGGGCCTATCACAGGGTGGAGGGTGGGATGAGGGAGAGGATCAGGAAAAATAACTAATGAGTAATAGGATTAATACCTGGGTGATGAAATAATATGTACAACAAACCCCATGACACAAGTTTACCTATATAACAAACCTGCACATTTACCCCTGAACTTATTTAAATGTTAAATTAAATAAATAAAAGACTTCAAAAAAAAGATTTTTAAAAAACTCATAATTAGGATTTTAAACTTTACCCTACACATGTAAGTGGGACCTTGACTTAATCTGTTTTGTGCTGCTGTAACAGAATATCTGACACTGGGTAATTTCTAATGAACAAAAACTTATTTGGCTTACAATTCTAGAGGCTAGGAAGTCCAAGACTGAGGGGCTGCCTCTGATGACAGCCTTCTTGTTGGTCATAATATGGTAGAAAACATCATATAGGCAAGAGAGGGCCAAACTCACTTTTATAACAAACCCAATCTCTCCAAAACAAACTCACTTCAACAGTAATGACATTCATCCATTTATGAAGGCCGAGTACTCATGATCTAATCACCTCTTAAAGGTCTCATGTCTCAATACTGTTGCATTGGAGATTAAGTTTCCAGCACATGTACTTTGGGAAACACATTCAAAACTTAACCGACACACAGTCAGATTTTAAGCAGTAACCATTTGAAAGGTCACTTTAGAAGCAATGTGGAGAAGTAACTTGAAGAGGTGGGACTGGAAGCAAGAAGAAGTGCTTGGACACTAAAGATGTAATATGCCAGGTGAAGGAGAACATGTAGCTGAAGTAGAGCAACAGCATTGGAGATGAAGAGAAAGGGATTTATTTGATCAGGTTCTGAGATAAAGGTGCGGTAGCTCATGCCTGTAATCCCAGCACTTTGGGAGGCCAAGGCAGGTGGATTACTTGAGGTCAAGAGTTCAAGACCAGCCTGGCCAACATGGTGAAACCCTGTCTCTACTAAAAATACAAAAATTAGCCGGGCGTGGTGGCGGGTGCCTGTAATCCCAGCTGCTCGGGAGGCTGAGGCAGGAGAATTGCTTGAACACGGGAGGTGAAGGTAGCAGTGAGCCAAGATCGCACCACTGCACTCCAATCTGGGCAACAGAAAGACTCTGTCTCAAAAAAAAAAAAAAAATTATAAAACAATTGAAATTTCGGATGAGAATGTGGAAAAGCATGATGCGATGATGCCATGTATGATTCATCTTTCTCTCTTAGGCAATTGAGTAGGTGGAAGAAGCATCAACTAAAGATGAACAACCAATTTGAGAATATTATACATAATTTTGCTTTTGAAATACTTTTTGTGGTTTTGAGGTACCTGTAAAACATGCATATATTTTAGTAGAAGTGTTCAGTAGGAAGTTGGAATTATAGACCTAGAGTTTAACATTCCTTCCTCAAAGTGGCTTTTTAATTACCCGGCATTGGTATCTTCAAATAGCTGTACAGTTTAATGCATTTGCTGTCCTGAAATACATCTCCTACTTCTGATGATGACATACTACAATTAAGCAAGATATTTATTATAATAAAATGTGCGTAGAATTACAGTGCTTAAAAAAACTTTAGAAATTATCATAATCTTCTTTTTGTTTTGAATTGAAAATTTCACCTAATGCATTCCCAGAAACACAATTGCTTTCATTAAAATCTCTGGGATAGATGACGAACAACTCCCTTGAGAACATGTCCTAGCATCTCCCTAAACTGATAGGAAGGTTTGGCTAACCTCAGCCTATATCTTTCATGCTGTAAGTGTAGTTCCTTCTTTCTGACCTTATCTTAGTGGAAATTGAGAACTGCTGTCTAATGCTAATGGAAAAATTAGCAAATTTAAAGTTGTTGAATGTAGAGTTTAGATATTAACTGAATTATGAGCTTGGAAATATTTATGAATTTAAAGCAGGAAAATATAAACTAGATTCATCATTATATTTCTGCAATTGCATGGAAGTGTGATAAAAGAGTTTAAAGAATTTTTGGCCAGGTGGGATAGTTCATGCCTGTGATCCCAGCACTTTTGAAGGCCAAAGAGGCCAGATCACTTGAGGTTAGGAGTTCGAGACCAGCCTGGCCAACATGGTGAAACCTGTTCTTTACTAAAAATACAAAAAATTAGCCAGACATGTTGGTGGGCACCTGAAATCCCAGCTACTCCAGAGGCGGAGGCAGGAGAATTGCTGAAACCTGGGAGGCAGAGGCTGCAGTGAGCTGAGATTGTGCCACTGCACTCCAGCCTGGGCGACAGACAGAGAAACTCCATCTCAACAACAACAAAAAATAATTTTCAACAATTTATGTCTCAAAGCACTGTCATAGAATTTATATTCTACGAATCACAAAGTGGTTAAGCATAATATTTTTGGACAAACTATCTGAAAGTAATTTGTACACATACAGATCTTATATATAATGTGTTGCCATAAAAAATGAAAATAAATCACTATTTACATTCCTCATTGCTCTATTAGCCAACCACAGTCTTTAGAATCTACAGTATTGTATTCATCTATAAAATGTATTTATGCTAGTTTATGTGCATTCTAAATAAAATATTAATAAGTTATAATCATTTTACACAATTCCAAAGGGTAAATATGATAGATTTTTGCAGTCCTGAAAGCCATCTCTACTTGTGCTTACTTATCCTAACATCCACTAATTTCAAGGATGGGTAATAAAGGAAGATAGCAATGAAGAAGAAAAATAATTTCTTGACTTTGATGTCATTTATTCCCTCTTGCTGACCCTGACTAATTGAGTTTGAGTAAAAATATTTCCCATCTTCTAAACCTATCCAGCAGTGTTTTTTCCTAAGAAAATACAGCACTACGGTCATTGTTCACTAAAGTTGGCCACTTCCAACCTCTTACCTACTTAAAAAGTCCAAAGGGAATATACAAGGAACGTAAATCTTATGGCTGACCCATTTCAAACGTTGTAGTATTGTTTATTTTTAAATTTTAGTGATGTTTATGGTGTTGCAAATAGGCCATACAGTAGTGAATGAAGGAAAAATGTTTCTTTTGAAAATGCCCCATCAAACAAAAGGCCACATGGAAGACAAATACATATACTACAAATATAAAAAATATTACATGGATGAACTTATTTGCTATATAAACTTATTATCTCCTAAGTATGTGGGATATGGGAAGTAGAGGGGCACATAAACAAAGCCAAAACAACAACAACAAAGAAACACATGACCATGGCAAATACCTCTAGATTATTACATGACTTTACTGAATGTCCTCTATCAAGTAAATTGCTTAAATGTATCTAAGAATGCCAATACTGGAGTATGATACTTGAGTATGATAGACCTGGGTTTATAATCCAACGTACTGCCTTGGTGATCTTAGTTGGGTCACGAACTCTAATCTTTGGTTTCCTCATCCATAAAAGGAGAATACCAATGTCTACCTTGTAGAGTCATGTGATATCTAAATGTTATAATGCATGCAAAATGCCTAGCACATAATACTAAATTATTATAATAATTATTATAGCTTCATTGTATTTCATAAAGCCTACAGTCTCCTAAGTGGCTTAGTTTTGTTGCTTATTTGGTACTACATTTTCCACTGTTCCTTTCTGACTGCAGTATTCTTGAGTACATGATCACACATCTGAAGTACTCCCACACCAACCCATATACAAATATCTCACTACTAATGCAATGTTTTAGTAGCACATCCATGTGCATCTGCCAATATTCTTTCCTTCAGAGAATCTTCTGCATGTCAACTAAGAAAAAGACTTTTGAATTCTAAATCACTCTTGGAAGTGACCAAGGCGAGGTGCAGTGGCTCACTCCTGTAATCCCAGCACTTTGGGAAGCCAAGGTGGGTGGATCGCTTGAGGATAGGAGTTCGAGGCCAGCCTGGGCAACGTGGTGAAACCCCGTCTCCATAAAAAACTTAAAAATTAGCTGGAGATGGTGGTGTGTACCTGAAGTCTCAGCTACTCAGGAAGCTGCGGTGGGAGGATCGCTTGAGCCTAGGATGGGGGTGAGCTTAAATTGTTT
Source organism: Homo sapiens (assembly GCF_000001405.40). Lineage (NCBI taxonomy): Eukaryota > Metazoa > Chordata > Mammalia > Primates > Hominidae > Homo > Homo sapiens. Next base: position 114,568,255 of record NC_000023.11, read on the forward strand.
CACTGTAATCCAGCCTGGCAGCCTGGGTGACAGAGCGAGACCCTGTCTCACAAAAAGAAAACAAAAAGGAGAGAGCAAACTACCATAGCTCACAACATGTACTATTATGAAAGGAGTAATGACTAACAGCATCTTTGAACCCCTTTTCAAACTGCCCTTAAAATCTGTGACACGTTAAAGATTGGCATCTTAAGTCTACTGCTTCTGTTCTACCTACCAAGCTGTTATGATGAAATTAGCTCAGCGTTATTCCAGAGGAAACAGAGATGACAACAGATAGGGTAGGACTATATACAGCTATTGATTAAAGCAACAGATCATCAAAAACTATATTTGACAGAGCATTAAAGCTACTGAATATGCCAAATTCCTATTCATTATCCAATACACATTATATTTCTATGCACCAAAGGATAAGTTCTGCAATAATTAAATATTCTTAAAGGTTGAACTAAATTTTAATCTAGAACCTTAATCTGTCTCTCTAGGTTTGATAGTTAATTTAAGAAATATGATGTTGTTAATTATTGCTCAATATTTTAAGATGACCATGAGTAAAACAAAGAGGTAACTATTACTAAAATAAGCTGTTATCTTTATGAAAGCTTCTAAAATTCATGTCTCCTATAAGATGTATTACATTTTAGTTGTTTATCTTGAATTTTTAATTTAGTTCAAATTTAAAGTTAAATTAAATTTTTCAGCTTTATTGAGGTACAATTAGCAAATAAAAACCATATATATTCAAGGGGTACAACATGATATTTTGATATATGCATACATTGTGAAATGATTGCCACAAAGTAATTAATATAAGTTGCATTTTAAAATTTAGAAACCAAAATTGGAGGCCGGGCGCAGTGGCTCACACTTATAATCCTAGTACTTTGGGAGGCCAAAGCAGGCAGATCACCTGAGGTCAGGAGTTCAAAACCAGCCTAGCCAACATAGTGAAACCCGGTCTCTACTAAAAATACAAAAATTAGCCAGGCGTGGTGGCACGTGCCTATAATCCCAGCTACTCAGGAGGCTGAGGCAGGAGAATCACTGGAACCTGGGAGGCGGTGGCTGCAGTGAGCTGAGATCATGCCACTGCATTACAGCCTGGGTGACAGAGTAAGACTCCGTCTCAAAAAAAAAAAAAAAAAAAAAGAAACGAAAATTGGATGGTGGTGATAGTTGTACAACTCTGCAAATATGTTAAAAACCACTGAATTATACACTTTAAAGGGGGTGGATTTTATGATTTGTGAATAATATTTCAATAAAGCTGAAACTGAAAACTAAAGGCCTGGCCGGTCGCAGTGGCTCATGCCTGTAAACTCAACACTTTGGGAAGCTGAGGAGGGTGGATCACAGGAGGTCAGGAGTTTGAGACCAGCCTGGCCAACATGGTGAAACCCTGTCTATACTAAAAATACAAAAATTAGTCGGGTGTGGTGGTGCATGCCTGTAGTCCCAGTTATTCAGGAGGCTGAGGCAGGAGAATCTCTTGAACCCAGGAGACGGAGGTTGCAGTGAGCAGAGATTGCGCCACTGCACTCCAGCCTGGGCGACAGAGTGAGACTCCGTCTCAAAAAAAAAAAAAAAAAAAAAATCAAAGGGCTGTGGCACAGTGACTCATGCCTGTAATCCCAGCACTGTGGGAGGCCAAGGCAGGTGGATTGCTTGAGCTCAGGAGTTCAAGATCAGCCTGGGTAACATACTGAGACCCTATCTCTATAAAACATTTTAAAAATAGCTGGGCATGGTGGCACGTGCCTGTGGTCCCAGCTACTTGGGGGGTTGAGGCAGGAGGATCACTTGAGCCATGGAAGTCCAGGCTGTAGTGCACTGTGATTGTGCCACTGCACTCCAGTCTGGGTGTCACAGTGAGACCCTGTTTCAAAAAAAAAAAAAAAAAAAAAAATGGAAGTCAGCTTTGAGAGTCATAGAAAAAAATCTCATTTGAGTACCCTGAGAGAAAAAATTTGTCACCTGTGTTTTGTAAATTTAAAGATATAGGATAATTTCAACAAATCTTTCAAGCATATTAAATATATTTTCCACACTGACATTCATCTTAAGTAAAATCTAGCTGAATTACAAATGATCTAGGTCTAATTGTTAGTATCTAACAAATTATATAAAACAAAAACACCAGCTGTTTCGCCTGGCCTTACTTTTCTGTCATCATTTGGAAGGCATGGGGATTGCAGAGGAGAGGAGAAATAGGAGGAAATGACCAACTATAATGAGTCAAAGTTTTATTAACAAAGAATCAATTAACATTGCCCAAGATGGTCTACAGAGCTTTTATTGCTTATCTTCTTCTTTCTAAGTTCAAATCTGAAGCTAGAAAAAACAAACAAACAAACACAATATGCATAAATCACTTTCAAAGGACAATGTAGAAGTAGGGGCCATTAAGTTTAAGAGTAGAGGCCATAAAGTCTAAAAAAGAAAGTAGGGAATGATAAATTGAAGACCACATCAAGAGAAGCCATTTCAAATTTAAATTGCAATTTACACATCCTGGAATCAATCTAAAATTAAGGATATATTAACAGTCCTACATTTTCTAACTTGAAAATATGGCAAAAGTATTGAAGTTTTCTACGCCTTCTTAGAAGTGTTTAAATGCAATTAGCATTATGTAGATATGGAAATTCAGCCTTTTCTTCTCTTAAATTACTAGAGTGAATCATCTGAAGTTTCTTATGCTTAACATGTGGTTGATTTACCTTCAAATCTGATTAGCTTTTGACTTCTGGCCTGGTTACTAGATAGAGGATTTATCATGGGAGATATCAAGAATACCAAGTTTTTAGAGTCTTTGTTGGGAAAACTTCCGTATACATGTTCTATAATTATTTTCTGGTAAATATTCTGTAGCTGAGAACTCTCACTAAGTCTTATAGGTGTTATCCATGTTAAGGAAAACAAGAAACTTAATGAATTTCAAATTCATCTAAGAAAGGCCCTAATTAAATTCAGTCCTCCCACTGTGCCAGAATTTATTAGCCTCTTTGAATAAAAACATAATGGAAGCTTAAGTTGTCATCCGGGTTGACTGCAATGTATTAAAAGTACTTTTTTCCAATAGGGTCCAATATTACATTTTGGAAAAGTAATTGTACGTTTTATGCACTAGTGGTTGGAACACAAATGAGAAATTGTTGCTGTTACTCATGTAATGTTGATTTCAAAAGATAGAGGGACCTATAACTCTATAAATAGCTGTAGATGAAGAGTAAACAAGACACTTACACATCAATTAATAGACTCTGCTCAAGAGAAAGTTGTCAAGTCTAATAGCCCCAACTTGAAAGTTAAATCATCTTCAAAAAGAAAAAACAAAACTTGGAAAATGTAAAAATAGGCGGAAATTAAAACACTCTTGAACCACCATTGTGTCAAAGAAGGAATCAAAAGGAAAATTAGAAAATACTTTGAAACTGGGGCTGGGCACAGTGGCTCACACCTGTAATCCCAGGACTTTGGGAGGCCAAGGCGGGCAGATCACTTGAGGCCAGGAGTTCAAGGCCAGCCAGGCCAACGTCAAGACAGCCTGACTTGTCTCTACATTTAAAAAAAAAAAAAAGAAAGAAAAAAGGAAAGAAAATACTTCAAACAAACAAAAACAAATATAAACTATCAAAACCTATGAGATGTAGCAAAGTCAGTAGTAAGATGGAAGTTTATAGTAATTAATGACTATAATAAAAAATTTCAAACAACTTAACTTTATACCTCAAATAGCTAGAAAAACAAAGTTTTTAAATCCAAAGTTAGAAAAAGGAAGAATTAACAAAAATTAGAGAAGATAAACAAAAGAGACAGTAGAAAAAAAGTCAACTAAACTACGTTTTTTTTAAAAAAGATAAAATTGGCAAACTCTGAACTAGACTTACAGAGATAGAGAATCCATACCAATAAAATCAGATATTAAAGAGGAAAAACTACAACTGATGATATAGAAATAAAAAGGATCATAAGAGACAATTATGAACAATTACACACCAACAAATCTGAAAACCTAGAAGAAATTGATAAATTCCTATAAACACCCAATCTACTAAAACTGAATCATGAAAAAACAGAAAACTTGAACAGATAATAACAAATTAGGAGTCTGGGGCCAGGCACAGTGGCTCACACCTGTAATCCCAACACTTTAGGAGGCGGAGGCTGGCGGATGACTTGAGTTCAGGAGTTCTAGCCCAGCCTGGGCAATATGGTGAAACTCGGTATCTACAAAAAGTGCAAAAATTAGCTGGCCATGGTGGCATGCACCTGGAGTCTCAGCTACTTATGAAGCTGAAGTGGGAGAATCATTTGAGCCTGGCATGCGGAGGTTGCAGTGAGCTGAGATCATGCCATTGCATTCCAGCCTGAGCAACTGGCGTGAAACCATGTCTCAAAAGCAAAACAATCACGCCTGTAATCCCAACACTTTGGGAGGCCAAGGCGGGTGGATCACCTGAGGTCGGGAGTTCAAGACCAGCCTGACCAACATGGAGAAACCCTGTCTCTACTAAAAATACAAAATTAGCTGGGCGTGGTGGTGCATGCCTGTAATCCCAGCTATTCGGGAGGCTGAGGCAGGAGAATCGCTTGAACCTGGGGGGTGGAGGTTGTGGTGAGCTGAGGTCGCGCCATTGCACTCCAGCCTGGGCAACAAGAGTGAAACTCTGTCTCAAAGAAAAAAAAAAATTAGGAGACTGAATCAGAAATCAAAAACTCTCCCAACAAAGAAATGCCCAGGAACTGATGCTTTCACTGGTGAATTCTACCAAATATTTAAGGAAGAATTAACACCAATCTTTCTTAAACTCTTCTAAAATATTGAAAAATGGGAAACAATTTCAAACCAATTTTATGAGGCCAGGACTACCCTGATGCAAACATCAGGTAAAGACACTAATAAAAAAAAGAAAACCACAGGCCAAAGACCCTGATGAAAACAGATGCAAAAATTATGAACAAAATACTAGCAACCCAAATTAAACAGCACATTAAAAGGATGATACATCACAACCAAGTGGGATTTATTCCTTGGATGCAAGGATAATTCAATATACATGAAGTTATCCATGTGTTATATCACACTAACAAAATGAAGGATAAAAATCACATGATCATCTCAATAGATTAAGAAAAAGCATTTGACAAAACTGAACATGCTTTACTGATAAAAACTCTCAAAAACAAGTAGGTATAGAAGGAATTTAATAAAGGCCATAAATGAAAAGCCCATAGCTAGCATCATACTCAACTGTGAAAAACTGAAAGCTTTTCCTCTATGATAGAAACTAGATAAGGATGTTCACTCTCAGCACTTCTATTCAACATAGTACTGGAAATCTTAGAGGGATTAGCCAAGAAAAAGGTTAAAAGCGTATTTAAATCGGAAAGGCAGAAGTAAAATTATCTGTTTGCAAATAACATTTTATGTAGAAAATTCTAAAGACTCCACAGAAAAACTAAAAAAACAAATTCAGTAACATCACAGTATACAAAATCAACATAGAAAAATCAGTTGTGTTTCTACACACTAGCAATAAACTATCTATCTGAAAAGGAGATTAAGAAGACAATTTCATTTACAGTAAATGAAATAAAAAGGAATAAAATTCTTATAAATTAACATAACTAAAGTGATGAAAGACATACACTGAAAATCACAAAACTTTGCTGAAAGAAATTAAAGAAGATAAACATAAATGGAAAGATATCTTGTGTTCATGGATTAGAAGGCTTAACATTATTAAAATAGCTATACTACCACAAACAATCTACAGATTGTTATTCCAATCCAAATCCCCAAAGTATGTTTTACAGAAATAGAAAACACCATCCTAAAATTCAGATGCAATGACAAAAGAGCAATAGCCAAAGCAATCTCGAGAAGGAAAAACATAGTTGGAGGTATCACATTTCCTGGTTTGAAAATAGATTACAAAGTCATGGTAATTAAAACAGTATGGCACAGGCATAAAGACACATATAGACCAATGGAATAGAATACAAAGCCCAGAATGAAATTCACACACATATGGTCAACTGCCTTTGACAAAGGTTCGAAAAGTACACAACAGGGAAAAGATAGCCTCTTCAGCAAATGGTGTTGGTAAAATTGTATATCTGCATGAAGAAGAATGAAATTGGACCCTTATCTTATACCATATACAAAAATAAACTCAAAATGGAATAAAGACTTAAATGTCAGTCCAGAAACTAGAACTTCTAGAGGAAAACATAAAGGAAAAGCTTCTTGACACCTGTCTTGGCATTGATTTCTTGGATACAACACCAAAGGCACAAACGACAAAAGCCAAAATAGATAAGTGGGATTACATCAAACTAAACAGCTCATGCACAGCAAAGGAAACAATCAATAGAATGAAAAGGCAACCTACATAAAGGGGAAACATATGTAAAAATAAACATATGTTTATTTTTAAACATAAATGGAAAGATGTCTTTATTAACATCCAAAATATTTAGGAACTCCTATAAGTCAATAGAAAAAAGAAACCAACTCAATATAAAAACAGGCAACAAAACTTGAATAGGCATTTTTCCAAAGAAGACACACAAGTGGCCAAAAAATCTATGAAAATATATTCAACATTGCTAATCATCAGGGAAATGTAAATCAAAATAACAATGAGGTATCATCTCACATCAGTTAGAATGGCTACTATAATAAAAAAGATGTGTTATTGAGGATGTGGAGAAACTGCAACCCTTCTACATTGTTGAGAATGTAAAAATGGTGCAACTACTATAGAAAACAGTATGTAAGTTCCTCAAAAACATAAAACTAGAACTGCCATATAATCCAGCAGTTTTACTTTGGTAAACGTATCCAAAGGAATTGAAATAGGTATGTCAAAGAGATATCTGCATTACCATGTTCACTGTAGTACTATTCATGATAGCCAAGTTATGGAAACAACCCAAATGTCCATAGACAGATGAATAGATAAAGTATTCATACAATGAAGTATTACTCTGCCTTAAAAAAGAAGAAGGAAATCCTGCCATTTGCAGCAACAAGGATGAACCTGAAGGACATTATATTAAGTGAAATAATTAAGTTATAGAAGAACAAAGTCTGCATGATTTCACCTACATGACATATCTAAAATAGTCAAACTCATTGAAAGAGAGATTAGAACAAGTGGGGAGTTGTTTAATGGTATAAAGTTTCTGTTATGCGAAATAAATTAGTCCTAGAGATCTGCTGTACAGCATAGTGTGTACAGTCAACAGTACTGCATATGCACTTAAAATTTGTTAAGAAGGTAGATCTCATGTTAAGTGTTCTTACCCCCCCACTCCCCCCCACACACACACAAAAGAAAAACAAACAAAGGGAAACAAGGAAACTGTTGGAGGTGATAGAGATGTCTATTACCTTGATTGTGGTGATGATTTCACAGGTGTATGCAGATGTCCAAATTGATCGGCTTGTATACATTAAATATATGCAGGTTAATGTATATGTATCATAACTCAATAAAGCTCTTTTTTAAAAAATAAAATGTCATAAAACTTTCTTTTATTAAATGATGAGAGGACTCTAGTAAATATTTTTTATTACCAAGAATTATTGCACTTCTGAAATATTTCACAATTCAATTCCTAGTTTAGCAAGAAACATTACGAAGCCAGGAAAGCTAAGGTCTACACTAGTAGTCATCAGTACAATTGTCAGAAAACATAAGGAAAAGTTATTTGATAATGTAGTATTCTTAATTTTAATAACTTTTAAAATTCATGGTTCTTTAAAAAAGTAATGGGTTGCATTTCATCTACAACAGGGGTTGGTCTACTTTGATTTGCATTTTAATCTGGTATCTGATCAAACTGTCTCTGTAGTCATCATTTTTTGTACCACATGGTGTATATTTTAGCTTTCTTAGATAAGCAGTCAGAGTTTAGATTGCAGCAAAGTAAGAAGTCACGCACTTAAAAAATCTTAAGGATAGAGATGATTGAATTGCGGCACACTATCTGCAATAACATAGAGGTCACTTTTTCAGACAAAATGCCTCTTTAATAAATCCAATATCGTACTTTAAGCCTCTTTTCTGTTCTAAATGCAGCCAACAGATGAACCGACATATTCAAGATCAAAACCATAGGTTAATTTGTGTACTAATTTGGAATTTGGTCGCTAAATCACCTGGTGTTCATTTCTTCCTAGAGCAAAGCTTTCTTAAATAAATTTATTGATCAGCTTTGTGAAAGATTATATACATATTATTGGTTCTTCTACAAATTTCCAAACCATATGCACCAACATAATTTTTTGAACCTTCAAATTTAAAAGATTTCTAGCCATGGTTACACTGTGAAGTTATAAATAATACAGATTACACAGCATGTAATTGAATGCTGAGTTCAGAAGTTCTAACTTAGATCATTAATCCTTCCATTCTTCTGGAAGAGAGTGAGGGAGACTATACTCATTCTACTTTTACTATATTAATACAGTTAATAGCCAGATTGGTGACATGTACTTCCATGGAAATACTATTTTTCTCGCTTCAGTTTTTGAAATATTGCCTTAAATATTATCTTTGTTGTGCACAAGCTTCCAGGCAAACTTACATTTTGAGTTTCTACTAGAGCAGACACATAAGAGGATAGAACAAATGGAAGAAAACTCTCACCTACTCCAGGGTAAATTGTCACTGTCAAGAATGACATAAGCAAGACACTGGTTTTTGTTTTGGTTGTTCCTCCAGAGGGTTTTAAGGTCATGTGCTTTCACTTGATTCAACAAAATATTCGGATCATAAAATGTTAATCACCAGACACAATTCTCAATGACATAGACTTTTGCCAAAAATTGAAAACAATGTGGCATATTCTGAAGGCAATTTCAAAAGAGATGTTAAGAAATATTTTGACGAATCATAGCGTCACTGAAATGTCTAGTCTTTGAAAGGCAAACCATTTTTAGATGTATGTTTTACTGTAATGTTCTGAATACCACATTACTTGATATCACAGACTTTAAAAAAATTAAAAACTCTCAAAATATCAGGACTACTGATATAACTCAACCATTATACTTTGTAATCAAACCAGACGATAGTAATACTGCTCCCACTGTGTGGCTTGGCTTGAAAGAATATGAGAGGTACTTCTCTACATTTTTTCACCTCTGTCCTTGTATCTTTGGAAGTTCAGCCAAGTTATATTGACAATAAGGTTTTTTTGAGGTCATAATGAAATAAAAAATGCATAGACAAAATTAACAATGATAGACTAAACTATCTAGTCCCTGATTTATCAGTGCTTTTCTTGATTATTGAGTATGACACTCTAAAGGATAAAGGCTTATTTTTGAATCTTATCTTGGTAGATGAAGAATGCTGGTCAAATTGGAAGACCAACAAAGTTGTGTTCTCTGGCAAATCTTGCCCCACAGCTTTGCTCTATCACCAAGTAAGAATTCATTACTCTCCCTTACAAGATCACCTATTAAAAGTTTACTATCATTTTCCTACTAATGACTAGAAGATGCATAAACAGTAAAAATAATTTTGATTCAAAAATCAAAAGGCCAGAAAATAAACTTTTACTCAGGTACTTCTACTGCAGGGCTGCCATTAGATGACAATAGGCATCTAGTCATTACTATATTGGCTTTTGCTTCAAATTAAGCTCCACTTGGAGAAAATGAAAGATTTCTATACTTGTCTATAAATAAAATGTGTATATATGGTAAGAAAATGTTTATTTACCATATTATTTTTCTTTAGTTTTTGATGACAGGGAATTTGCTATCACTTGTTTTTAAAACATCATCTTAAATGAACTTTTGTTGTTTCAGCCTTTGAAATGTGTAGAGACTTGGCCTTCAAATTTGTTGGTGAGGAAAAAGGAAAATTGTTAAGAAGCATACTGAATACGTATCACTTTCGCATCATCTTAATGTCAGAAAACTGTAAGTCTAATCTTCGTAAGTCGGGGACCATCTGTAGCATTCTAGACTTGTAAAGAGTGATAGTATACTAACATGATAATAAGCTTCCCAGAGATTATTTTCCACCGAAGTCAGTAGCTATCAAGTGCAACAGGCTCAACAAAAGTGTCTTGTGACTTGGTAGGAGGCTGCTTCTTTCTTATGACAAAGCTGAATCTATATGGCCAGTCTGCAGTACATAACTTTTTTTGTCTCTGTTTTTAAGAAAGTTCAATATCTATTTATGTCATAAAATTAGATTAAGATAGCATTTATTCATTGTGCAAGATTTTGGATTGGAAAGAGCTTTAAATGTCATTCATTAGCCACGTGTTCTTCTCTTTCCTCACACATAGTTCTCCTTTGTAACATCCCCACCAAGAGATTAACCTCTGTAGCATTGAACATCTCAAGAGTGGAGAACTAACTACCTCCTGAAACAACTTATGCCATCTTTGGATAGTTCTGAATGCTATAAAATCCTCCTCTAGAGCCAGAAACTGTGGATTCATTAAATTCAGTTTTATTCTCTTCAGAGTTTAATGTTTATAGTTTCATTCAGTTCACAAATATTTATTGAATGCTTAGTTTGTGTCAGACATTGTGCAAGACACTGAGGTAACAGATACAAATAAGACATGAATAACAAACTTGGGAAATAAATTAAATCCACTTTCCTTAAGAAAATCCCTTGAATATTTGAAGTCAGCTAGCATGTAACCCAAGAGTCATGTCTTCCAGATGATACAAACCCATCTAACATGATTCCAGCACTCTACTGATCTGAACATTCTTGTGAATGAATTCCCATCATTCTGATAAATGAATTCCAATCTTCATTCTTAAAGTATGTGCCTGAAAATACCGTATATAGCCCAACTGCATTTTGACTCTTTTTATGAAAGTTGCAAAAGCTCAATATAAAATTATGTTTCCCAGCAACCAGATCACACTGAAGGCTTGTTGATCTTGATGTCAACTAAAATCAATAAGTATTTTTTCACCAAATGTTCCCAGCTTCGGTGACCTAAATTTGTGCAGAGAAGTTTGATACTCAAATTGAGCATCTCACATTTATTACTATTTATTACTATTAAGTTTCATCTTGGTCGGTTCAAACTGTCATGATCTTTTTGCATGAAGGGCCAATTTGGTAAAACATCTTTTACATTTGTATTCAGGTCATTGAAAAATTCGAGTTTTAGAAGTCCAGCCCTTCTTGACCATTCATCTTAACCTCTTGCATAACAACAATGGTAGTTATCATTGTTGCTTATATTCTTTGTGCGAAGTATTAGGATAGTTGTGGAAAAAAGGAGAAGAGAAGCTTATGGTTAAATGCTTCCTCCTGAGATCCTTATAATTTGGTTGAGGGAATAGTTCTTACAAAAAGAAAAGAAGGGATTCGGTAGCAATGAGTGATGTTGCGACTCATTTGAAATAATGTAATGATATTGATTTACAGACCAGAGAAACCAAGCCCATTACTTTACTTTAGACATAACTCCGAAACAAGGAAATGTTTGGTTGCATGGTTATAGCTCTAATTATTACAGAAATGGGAAGTAGAAATCATAATGGTCTGAAAGAGTCAGAGTAAGATATATGGGTAGCAAGACTACTGGGCTTCAGCGACCAGTAGTCTTGAGCTAAGAATGAACAAGAAATCACTGTAGTCCTGGACTTTCAATCTCAGTTTAATTTAAATAAAAGGTCCTAATTGCCATCTTTGTTATCCTAAACTGGAAGAGTGAAATGCATGCCTATAATACAAAATGCATTCGTCATAACACGAATGCGCTCCAAGACAACACATATTTCCCTACAGAACTGATGTCAAAGTAGCTCCTAGCTCTTTCTCCTTTTTGAGGCTACAAGATTCCATTCCCAATCCCTATTCAAACTTGCATGCATGTTGCTATTTTTTCAAACATATACTTGGTTACTGGAAACTACACAAAATACATATTGTATTACTAGAAGGATGTTAGATAAAATTAATTAAATACGGTTTTTTGCATAAAAGAAATAAGCACAGATTTTTAATTGTGATATACCTTTTTTTTTCCTTAGACGTGGCAGAAATATGTGATGGGAACTTCCAACTCCCCCTCCCAAAAGGCTTCCAGTCTTTTTCTCTTCCCTTCAATGGGAACTTCCAACTCCCCCTCCCAAAAGGCTTCCAGTATTTTTCTCTTCTCTTCAATGAGAGCGTCAGAGAACCAGTGTTGATTGTTGTTTTTCTCTAAAACAGAAGATCTTTCCAAACAGAAGTTTCACTTACAGAGACTGACACGATCAGAGACTGCCCCCTGCCTTCCTACACAGCACACAGAGTTCTACTGCGTTATTTTTTTATTAAAAATAATCCTACCAACTTTAAAAAGACTGTGTATAATAAGCTATCTATGTCTAAGATTTTTTTCTAAGTCTATGACCATGTTTGAGGCACAGTAAGGGAAAAGTCAATTGTGTTCGATGTCATAAAAGTTTATTTCTAGGTGTGGCATGCCTCAACGATGGACATTATGGATCTGATGCTGGGTTTTTACGATTAAGTAGTAATAGCGAATGCTGAAAATATAATTTGATACAATTGTATTACTACCAAAAACATATCTGGCTATGATAATTTGCTTTAAAACTGAAAAAATATGGGTAGAAGTATTATCAAAATTCCTTGCATTTATGTCCGGTGGTAAATAAGAAAAAAAAAAAAACTCCCGGTAGAATTCTTGTGTAGCTTCTTTTGATCTGTGAAAATACCTGCCTTCGAGAATTTTGCTAGAATCCTGTCACTCATTTTTTAAACCTGTCTGTCATCCTTTAGGTGTGTTAAAATAGGGCTCTCTGGTCAAGAGGGGGAAATAATAATGAGTAGAGAAGTAAACTTTCTAGTCAGTTTATTTTTTTAAAAAGTTCCCAAAGTTTCAAATGATGAGGAACTTTTTCCTACGTAGTAACAATCTTCTTTAATTCTTTCCCGAATTTCTAAATCAGTAGTTTTGGAAACATATGTATTTGTAGTAGGAGGAAATCGCCCCGGTTCGAAAGTTGTAAAAACAAGTCCACAGCCTTAGAAACCGGGAAATATTTGGAAACCGTGTTCCGGGGGGCACTGGGGATTTTAATCAAACCTGAGGAATTCACTGTAAATAACTCCTCTTTCCAGGGACAATTTCCATACACCTGAGGAACGGAAAGGAAAGCAGTGAAAACCCTGGGCTGACTCCCCAGGCCTCGTTAGGCAGGGGTTCCAGAAAACCTCTCTGGCAATGACAGAGCGACAGAAAGCGCCAGCATGTGCTTGTTTTGAGTTTGCTTCCCCAGTCCTAAAGTGCGCCCTAAATTTCTCCTTACACTAAATTCTCTGGTCTGGTGTTGCCAAAATCTCCAAAGTCCGTCGGACCTTGCAGCGCTCTGCCGAGCCGCAGCCTAGAGAACCTGAAGAGGCAGTACGCGCCGCAAATGCCAAGAAAGCAGAGCCTTCGGTCCCGGCGGAACCCGGTACCCCGAGCCTCGCCGCGGACCGCTCCGGCTCAGTCTTACAGGCTCTGGGCCGCTCGGCGAGCGCCGCTCAAAGGCTAACGTGCCTGCTTGTTTCTACCCGACCTCCGAAGCCCAGACGTGCTTCAGCAAGCCGCGTGGCTAGCAAACTTTCTCTCTGCTGCTGCGGGAACCTTCCCAACGACCACGTGGGTTTCACCCCTGGTCGCTCTCGGCACTTTTGCCTTTCACAAGGAGAAGGAGAGAACAGCCTTTAGAGCGAAATATATAATAATAAAAACTATTATTACCATCATCCTCATCCTCATAATTGCTATTATCATGGTCAATTTCTCCAAGCCGGTTCCCCCGGGAGCCGGGGAGCGAGAACAGGTTTTGGCGGATGCTAACTTCCACTCGCTGCTCGGCAGATCCATTTTGGCTTAGCAAAAATATCACAGGGATTTATATTTACATTTTTTGAAGTAATATAAATGTCTCAGCCTCTGACAAAATAAATACGAGTCCCGCCAGAAAAGGCAAGACTAAGCATTCCACATTCATAGAGTAAGGGGACACTTGGGGAGTTTTTAAAGATGAGTGCTTAATTATTTAAAGAGAAGACATACGTTTTCTCTTCCATATTTATAAATTACTGTTCGCTACCAAAGCATTTCTAAAGATGCGAGCGTTGTGCAGTCGGTGGACTTGGCAGCGCTGTCGCAGCCACCTGTGCGGCATCATACAGCAGCATTCAACAGATGCTTCAAGAAAACTGCGATGGGTTTTTGCTTTTCGAAACAGAACTTGGGTGCCGACAGTATGTTCACTGCCAAATTAAATTTCAAAGCCTGAATTCAGTGGCGATGGAGGGAATCAGAGGATTCCCAAAATGCCCCTTTTGGAATAGACTGGACAGCTCCTTTCACAAATATGGAAACAGAGGCACAGAGAGAAATGACTGTTCCTAGGGCATCCAGAATAAGGAAGGGGCCTGACCCTTATCATTGCTTCCACTTCCTTCTCCATCTCTAACTTTTGGGGCTACTGAGGCAAACTTCGGCCTTCAGAATAGCCGGCAGCTCCCACCCCTTTTGCGTTCTGCCGGGTTAGGTCCTCCAAGCCTCTCTCTGTACGGCCTCTCTGTAGCCTCTTCTATACACTCGCTGCGCTGCCGTCCGGTCCTAAGTAGCCAAACCGGAGGCTCGATCTTTTGCTTCGGTCCAGCTACCTCCGACAGGCGGGGAGCCAATCTCCACTTTTCCCACCCCGGTCCTCGGTACAGGGCCGAGAAACCTCGGCCGCGACCCGAGACCACCACCCCCGCTCGCCCCTTCGTTCCCTCTTAGGAGAGATCTGCTTCTGTCCCCATTCTCCGTGGGATCATCTCCATTACTCAGCTTGGTTTTGGTGCCTCTGAGCCAAGGGGGCCCCGTTCACCCTTCTCTGCGCTGCCGCCAGGACACCGCAGGCACCTGCCCGGTTGCGCCTGGGAGCCTGTGAAAAAGAGCTCTGCCTGACCGGTTAGAGCTCTGCCTGACCGGTTGCAGCTCGGCATCCCAGCAGTTGCCAAAAGAGAGCCTTTGTGGTTCACCTCTTGCTGCCTTGACCTTGCATTGACAGCACCCCTCCCTCCCCCACAACGACTGGGCAACCGACTGGCTGTGGGCCCAAGGCCCTGTGCCAGAGAGATATGTTCACCCCCTTGGAAACCCGTAAGAGCTGCCCTCAAGGTGTCTTTCTAATGAGGCCTGTGGGGTCAAGAAAGGAACTAAACTGTGCCTTCCCGGGGCTCGAAGGCCAAGAGCTTTTCTTTCTCCTTTGGGGTTAGGGAAAGGATGGGGAGACAAGGATGGGGAAGTGGGCCTTATAACAGGATTGTGGCCTTTGCGCACTCACCAAATGTTTGACCCTGTGAGTGCCTCAGTTGCTACTGTTGGAGGAATGGGCAAGAGTCGGAACAGAGACCCTTGAAGGGAGTTTCAAAGCTTGATGAAATTTGCAAGACTTGAGAATGCTGTTTGTTGAAATGAAATGTACAGGGGTGTGTGTGTGTGTGTGTGTGTGTGTTTGGGGAGGGGTATGCTATGAATCTTTGAGGGTACATTCTTGAGAAAGCCTTCCCTCTCTCTCTATCCGGTGCCATGGCTGATCCTGGTTCCCCCTACTCTCTAGGCCTTGTGAATCAGATTAATCATCACCCCCACCCCCATCTCCACCATGGGGTCTCGCGCCCCCTGCCAGCAGGCTCCAGATGCACTAAGAGACCGGTCCAAACAGGCCCGGGGGCCACGTAATGCTGAGTGCTGATTGGCTGCTCTTGGCTCCTCCCCTCATCCCGCTTTTGGCCCAAGAGCGTGGTGCAGATTCACCCGCGCGAGGTAGGCGCTCTGGTGCTTGCCGAGGACGCTTCCTTCCTCAGATGCACCGATCTTCCCGATACTGCCTTTGGAGCGGCTAGATTGCTAGCCTTGGCTGCTCCATTGGCCTGCCTTGCCCCTTACCTGCCGATTGCATATGAACTCTTCTTCTGTCTGTACATCGTTGTCGTCGGAGTCGTCGCGATCGTCGTGGCGCTCGTGTGATGGCCTTCGTCCGTTTAGAGTAGTGTAGTTAGTTAGGGGCCAACGAAGAAGAAAGAAGACGCGATTAGTGCAGAGATGCTGGAGGTGGTCAGTTACTAAGCTAGAGTAAGATAGCGGAGCGAAAAGAGCCAAACCTAGCCGGGGGGCGCACGGTCACCCAAAGGAGGTCGACTCGCCGGCGCTTCCTATCGCGCCGAGCTCCCTCCATTCCTCTCCCTCCGCCGAGGCGCGAGGTTGCGGCGCGCAGCGCAGCGCAGCTCAGCGCACCGACTGCCGCGGGCTCCGCTGGGCGATTGCAGCCGAGTCCGTTTCTCGTCTAGCTGCCGCCGCGGCGACCGCTGCCTGGTCTTCCTCCCGGACGCTAGTGGTAAGTTGGAGCCCCGGGCGGCATTGCTAGCCGAGACCCCAACGATTTAGGCGGGGGATGGGGTGGGGAGCGGGGACAGGTCCCGGATGGCTGCAGCCTGCAGGACCGCACTGGCCCTAGCGGAGGTTGGGGGGAGGGACTCTGAACGCGCAAATCGCGAGGAGACTGAGTCTCTGGAAGAAGAGAGGAGCTTAGGTTCCACGGAAGGAGCATAGAAGTCTCTAAGGGGATTGGGAGCGGGGGCTCGAGATGAAGACGCTGGGCGGAGGCGGGGGTCTAGAGAACCTGGCGCGGGGGAAGCCGAGACAGAAACGGAAGGCGGGGGTGGGGTCTCAAGAAGTGAGGAGTGGGAGGAGAGAAAGGAGGGAAACTGAACGCAATGTCGCTGAGTAGAGGGTCGGGCTGCGGAAGATGCAACTGAGTTGCAGGACCGACTACAATTTTAAGAAATCCGACAGCAGGCAAGTGGGAGGGGGCGCAAGGTTTGGGACAGTGTGTGCAGAGGGGGAACCAAGGATCCTTTATTATGTTCTCATTGAAAAGCGACCCTAATTTTTCTGGCGGGTCTCAGCGAACATCCGTAACTCTGGGGAGATAACACACTGCGGATCTGTGTTTGGTCTAACAGCTGTTAGCTGAATTTGAACAGCGCTGCTGGTGATCACGTAAGCTTAAGAGGAGAGGATAAAGGCATCCAGTGAACCTTTTTTTAAATAATTAATTAGCTTATCTAAGTCATTTGGTTACTGTTCTATATTTTGAAAAGGATTGCGAAAAAGTCTCCAGCGCTGCCTCTTATTCCTGTACTCAGTTTTACCTGACAAGCAGTCTTTACAGCGTTCCTCGGAATTGCTAAACATGAGAACAGGTTGCCGTTCCTGATGTCACATAAAGTTCGTCATTGCAAAACGTGTCTGTGTGTCTGTTTCTTTTCTGCGCCATGCCCTTTGCCTTTTGCTTCCTGTTGGGTAGTATGCGACTTGAGGTGACAAACACTTGCATTGTGTTTGAGAACCCTGTATTTTAAGCAACAGAGCTCCCCAACTCATAATTCAGCGAGTGACATTCGGCAGTTAAAAGATTTGGTCTGGAATCACTGCCAGTACCGCGCAGCTTCTTCATTAATATTACCAGTATAAGTCCCATCCAAGGAAGCCTCTGATTGCTGAGCCACTAAGTGCATATGCCCCTTACCTCATACCTTTTAGGCAGGCTAACCGAGGGACGCTCATATATGGTTGAGCTAAGATGATTTGGGGGGCGGGGGGTGAGGAAATGCGGCGCACTGAGTAACCTCTGAGCTCCCCAGTTTGCAGACAATTGCGACCTCACATACACGGTAATGAAAAAAGATATCTGGGCTCCAGAGTTTAAATTTTTCATGAAGAAGTTTACGTACATATCAGCCATTCTGACAATCAAAATATGAGTGCAATAGAAACAAGGTGTTACTGTGTAGTTGGCTACATATGTGTAGAGACAATGACAAAGGCCAACTGACATGCCCCACAGAAAATGATATCTACCGTGATCATTGCATCTCTTTTGCAGTACTGAAATCATACTGAATATTGTCTGTTCTGAAGAGTATAATCTCCTTAGCACCTGGCTGTTTGGGAATCATCTACAATGCCCCCCCATTCCACCCCACAGGTGGGGGGAAATAAATAATTTTGTCCATATTTTGGGGAGGTAGGTTATAGAATATTTAATTATATTTTTCATTCCTTAAATAAATTCTCCTGATCCTCCTGGGGAGGGAAGAAAATATTTGTTTCATCAACATGATTTCTTTCCTAATAGCGTCTATCATCTACAGCAACAAGCCCAACGCAAGTCCTGAAATTCGGAAGGTGGATAAGGCTTGTTGATTGCAATGTCAAGGTAGGATTTGGGGTGCTTTAGCAAAAATGACGGTGTTTTTCTATCTGCATTATCTAGAGAGGGTTATTAACCCTTTCTATGCTTTCTTGAGGGGTTTATCTCCATCTAGAGGTGTCATGGATGACAGTGATGACTTTTTCAGATAATGTAACAGGCTTTTGTGCAGTATGAATTCATCAGAAAAGAGGTGAGAACTGATATTTCTGGGAACCTCCTGGATGCCAGACGTGGATCCAGGACTATTACATATATATACATAAAATATATATTATTTCATATAGTCTTCATAGCAAGTCTATGAATGACGGAGATATTATTATCCTCCATTTTATCGGTGCCATTAGATTTTTCCCCTCAATTTTTCAAGGTATTCTCAAAAGTTAATTTAAGGCAAGAGAATAAGAAATATTTATTTGTGCTTCCAAGTCTACTTGGGAAGAGCAATAAAAGTAAAATCTAAAAAGCCTAACATTCTAATAGATTCATCCAACATTATAATTGAGTCAAGCCTCAATAATTTTACTGTTCCATGTATTTCCTTCAAGGAAACGTCATCCCTCTCCAGCTAAGGGAAACACAAAAATTAAAACAAAATTTGGGGGAGAGATTATAGTAACCAACATTAAATATCCTCAGCTATTCTTATTAAATTGTTCAAGGCCTGAGATTGAAGGAGGTTGCAGTTTGCTGAGCCTGCTGAAAGATAAATTAATTCCCAGGTTTTAATGGCTCCTGAAGCTCCAGACTATTTGTCCAGTATTATTAAGGAGCATCTTACCACCTCACTTTCATAGCAATGGAATACCTCACAAAAGGATGATGTACGTGTACTGAGATTATTTTAGTAAAGCATCTGATACAGCTTAGTATTGTCTAGTGGAAGAACTGCTAAATTATGTTCCTCTAGCTGCCTGGTAGCCATGAGCAAACTAGGAAAACTTCATCATAAATTGAAGTTAATAATATATTATTGTGATATTTTATGTCAGTATCATATATAACCCCACCTGATTGTTGTGAAACAGATGGGTATTAAGCACTTTGAAAATTTTAAATTATTGCACTAAGCAACATTTATTATTTATTTGTTAGCATTCTAGGCTACCTATGTCATTTCATCTACATATTGTACTGTTGAACCTCAAAAAGAAATCATCAATCTCCAGTCTAATGTGTGCTCAAGTTATGGATCTCTCCAACACTGCCATTCTTCAAGACATTTTAAGAAGGCTTTTTCATATACTGAGAACATTGCTGCAAGACAGTCTAGTCATCTCCATTCTAGACAAACAACATTGAAAACAACCAAGTGGTTAAGCTGCATCATCATTTGGCAAGTCATTAGCAGATTTAATACTAATGCTCACCTGCAACAACTCTTTGCTAATCACTTCTGACATTTTAATGCACAAACGACATAGTGAAATCAGGATTTCAAATAAGATATACACAAGATGGAATTTTAATTCTGTTTTTGTCTCCTACCTGGCATCTCTACTTCAACCTCGCTATTCATTCCTCTTCTCAGCTGTGGCTAAGACAGTGTCATCTGCAGTTTCCTAAAATAGTTGCGTATTATAGCATTGTACATATAGCTGGCATTTGAAACAGTCATTCTTCTTAATTATGGTTAACCTTATGCATAGATGACCACTTACATGGTCTAATTTGAGAAGCACTCGAAAGGCCTTCTGGTCCCTAAATTAGTAGCCTTCATGGTTTTCCATATAACTTGAAATTCTACATTCAGGAATTTCCCTCTTTCATCTTAGTCACTGTCTCCTTTAAATACAAGTACACCTTTGGGTAACATACTGTTATTATTACCTATTAAGAACTATGCATAAATTTATTGAAAGCTATTAGAAAGCCTTTAGAACTGCATTGTCCAGTGCAACAGCCACCATATATGGGTATTTAAATTCAGAGTTGAATTAGCGTTAATGGCAAGGTGTGGGGTTGAGCTCAATGTAAAAATAAAAAGTGAAAACTGAACACCACTGAAACCAAAGATAATGTCAACTAATATCTAGACAAGGATAGCAATGAATGAATTGGCTAGGATTTCCTTTACTTTTTCATAAAACATGATGTCTTCTTTAAACTAATCAGTAAACGCTTACGAATAAATGTCAGTGTTCAAATCTTTTGCAAGTGTATTTTAAACTTACGTATCTCCCATTTTATCTCAGTAATCAAGACTCACTGAATACTCTTCAATTATAGCTTCCTGTAATCAAAGTAGTAAGACTTGCCCAAATTAGCAAGTAATTATTCTTAAGAGGAGAGGTATAAAAGATGGTAACAGTGGCCACTATTTATTGACATTTACCATGCACTACACAGTTCTAAGAGGTTTACAGGTATATAACCATACAAGCCTGATGACTACCCCATGAGAAGGTACTACTATTATCCAGTTTGCAGTTAGGGAAACTGAGGCATACAAAGAGGTTAATCTGTTCAAACTGAATGAACAAAACCAAGCTTGAAACCAGGCAGTTTTATTCCAGAGGCCGTGGTGTTAAACAACAAACTATTGCCTCTGTTTAGAAATTGGCTAATTTTTCTTTCATACTGTAACAACTAGTCTTTTAACAGAACAAATTTGCATGTAAATGTGAGGATATTAATGGACAATGTCCATTAATCCTCGATATGCTGCTTGGCAAGGCAATGAGACAGACATGCAACATTTCATCTAGAGATTCACCTACCAATAAAGAAGTAGAGCAAATGAGAATGTACTGTTAATGCTGAGAGACTGAGGGACAAGAAGCTGAGTGAAGCTCAGGGGAGTTACAGAGATAATACAAAGACAGAAATGAAGTCAGGGAAATAATGCTATTGTATGTAGAGATGACTGGACAGGCAGATGTTACTACTGTGAGTTGGACCCACAGGTTTCTACTACATGTAACACCACAACAAAGGCCATTCATATTTGTCATTTATATAATATTGCCTACTTGAAATTCAAGCAGTAAAATAGAAGCTCTGAAGGTCTAAGACCGACTGACAGAAGGATCAGTAAAAATCGTTTATCTCTTTCCGTACCGATAGTGCTCCCGAAAACATGGTGAATGTTCCTAAAACTCACAAGACTTAAAGAAGTGTGGCTAGCACCAACCCCACAAAACGACACAGTACAAGAAGGGCAAAGATTCTCTGTATGCCCAGGGAAAGCAGCATTATGACAGGCAGCGCAGTGAATATGGTGGGCAGACTAAGCCAATTTTTCGGAAAAAAGCTAAAACTACAAAGAATATTGTGCTAAGGCTTGAGTGCACTGATCCCAACTGCAAATCTAAGAGAATGCTGCCATTAAAAGATGCAAGCATTTTGAACTGGGAAGAGATAAGAAGAGAAAGGTCCAAGTGATCCATTTCTAAGTGTCATCTTTTGTTTTATTATGAAGACAATAAAATCTTGAGTTTGTGTTAAAAATTATTTATCATATATCAGGAAGGTTTCAAGTCTTGTCTGATCCCATTTGCCATGTATTTCCTTTTCATACTAGAGTCAGGAAAAGTAATTTGATAGCTATGACTTGGAAAATAGGTGCTATAAAAAGTAACTGCCAGTTTTTTAGTTTACTGATCTGAGCCCAGGTAGAAAAACCATATCTGAGTACAATACTTAGACTAAAGTTATTTCAGGGTAGAAAGACCATACTTGGAAAAATTCTAAATATGATTAAAGTCTTTTTAAAAGTAGGTTTTTAAAAATTCAAAAACCAAACCAATTACTTCCATTTCTTACTTCCATTTTAAATTGACAAAAAACCTGATCCGTGATTAAAAAAGAATTTATTGCTAGAAAGATTGGAGAAGTCCAGTACTGTGGTATGTAGCTTTCTCTCCCAAATGTATCTATATTCTGTCTGATCTTCAAGGTCCGTTTCAAGCCCCACCTCTTGCAGGAAGCTTTTGTTGACTAGCCCACATATATGATAAGTGCCTTGCCCATAGTAGGTAATCAGTTAACATATCTTGATTGATTGTATTGTATTCCAATGGTTAAAGTAAAGGTGAAAGAAGATGAAGGAAGAGCTAAAATAGAATTTTTAGCACATCTGCACAATAATATTCAAGAATTCAAGGCATCTAACAGAATAACAGTTTCCCCTGAAATGATTTCAGGTAATTTCTCTGAACATATTTTAGGGCAATAAAAATATTATAAATCTTCTTAAATTAGTTTAGCTAAAGCTTAGCCCTACCACACTGTTTTATTTTCCATTTCACAGTGAAATACACCATTATATATACATATATGAGAGAGAGACCATTTCATTGACCACATGCATGGCTATAGAATTCTCTTTTTATTAGCAAACTGAGTTCTGCACCCATTTTGCGGTATGGGTTGATGGCTCAGAAAGAAGCGCAAGTTTTCTTTTTAAAATAGCAATTCCTAAATGCCTTTGCAGCAAATAAACTTGTAAATAAGAGCTTTATTTCCTTCCTTTTTATACTGTTAAAGGAAATCAGACATTAGTATTAATGAATTGCTCTGAGTGATCACGTCATGAATCTATTAGTTTTTTTTATCTTAATTAAACAGTTAATTTAATGCTTTGTGGCTTGTGGGTAGATTGTTCTAGCATTTTTGGTTGGTCAATGACTCCCAGAGGTCTAATAGGCCTGTATCTTTTAGTTTTAAATGTAATGTTAGTCTAAAATAGATTCAGAAAGAAGTTGATTACTTCATTCTTGAAGGAAGTAAAACAAGGAAGATCTGGTGTCTCTCCAACAAATATTTTTTGAAACTTCATTTTGAAAAAGCAGAAATGAGCTGGTTTCTCAATAGATTTATTTATTTAGTCATTTCATCATACCTCTATATCTATTTTTAAAATCACTATGTAAATGGAAAAGAACTTGTATGGTAGAATTATGCGCCCAAATGACTATTCATTGATACAATGACTTGCTCTCCAAAGTATTATTTAAGTTAGCAAGGGCAGATTCTTTAGTTTGGAGGATTATTACCCACCTCTCACTGGGTAACTGTCTGTGTCAAATTTTCCTGCTTCTACTACCAAACCTCAGCCAATTTCCTAAATTTCACGTAAGTAAATCTATAAAATTCACTGTCCATATTTATCTGCCAAATTAGTGAACTGTAAGATGAAGATGAATAAAGAAAAGCCTGTAAGAATTATGGAATTTCAGCAATGGCTTAGTTGAAATTCAGCAAGAGAATTTCAGTTGAGGGCTTAATGTACATTTAACACTTTGTTGGATGCTAATGAGGTGAAAAACATATTCTACAATACTTCCCTAAGGAAACAAATAAGTACTGTTAGACAGTAAAGGCAATTCAATGTAATAATGTAGTTTTGCAATTTATGGTATAGGCAACATTGATTTCTCTCTTTCCTACTCTCTCACTCAGGATGAATGAAGAAAAAAATGGTCCAGTCATTTGCTTAACTCAGGCCTCAGTTTCCACAACTCCAAAATGAGAGCCTTATACTAGGTAATCTTTCTGTAAGGATCCTTCAAACTAACCTCTTTGTTATAAACAGATACAGAATACAGAAACCACTGAGGTTATATGACTGACTTCCCTAAGGTTACAAATATAGAGTCACAAATTGTATAATATATAAAATGGGGAAGAGAACATGGAGAAAACTCCCACAAATTTTATTAGGTTGGTTCAAAAGTAATTGTAGTTTTCACCATTGTGGTTTTCACCGCAATTACTTTTGCACCAACCTAATTCAGAATTTAAAAGTGAAAAACATTTGAATGCTGAGAAGATAATACATTGTTATAAAGTAATTTGAATTTTTACCATAGATTTATACTTTACTTTGGGTAAGTGCCATTTTCAGAAAGGCAGCCAAATTTGTACAAACATAGTGGATATTCTGAGTCTCTTGATTGAGAATGAAGCAACAAGATCAAATAAAAGTTCATTTGTTTCTCTAGTATAATACAGAATACATTTATCACAACACTTATAGAGTGAGAAATTATTAAAAAAACACTCTATCCCTTCTCCCAGATTTCTTTAATTTCTTATGATAATTGAAATAATGCTTGTCCTTCCTACCTTGGATTCATTCGTGGATAACTTTTCTTAATTATTCCCCATTTCAGTCCATTAATACAGCTTCAGAATTATTTCTGAAAAATGTTGTTCAAATGTGCCACCTTTTAAATTCCATTGTGATTATAGACTCTTAGGGTTAGTAATTGAAAGCTCATTTCAGACAACTCCCTATCTCATGTTTGAACTCTGCACATCTCCCACTCTCTTTACAATGGCACCAAATAATGCTACCCAATTCCTGGGCAGAGCATAGATAAGGCTAAAAGTTGTCAGCTACCAAAGTAGCTGCTGAATATCAGAATGAAACCCAGGGACTCTAAAGTGGGTTATGAAGTGATGAGCTTCAGCTAACAGGGAACATTAGGAAATGACTGCAGACAAATCCTCATGCTTAATTCAGAGAAAGATGTACGGTTTGATTGGAGGGGGTGAGGAAGAAGGATATCATACAGACTATAAAGCCAAGAAGCAATGCTTAGAATGCAAATGTGTTATAATTTTGTGTGTGCAGTGTAAAAAGACTACTGGCCATATTTTAAAAAGTCATCTAGGTTACACTCACATACTTAAGAACACCAGAATTTCCATTTTAAATTTTAAGAAAATAGACATAATTGTTTGCACCTCTTACATGGCACTTAGCACATTGTATTACATTGTTTTTTCCTTAGATATGGAGTCTTGCTATGTTGCCAAAGCTGACCTTGAACTCCTGGGCTCAAGCGAACCTACTGCCTCAGCCTCCTGATTAGCTGGGACCACAGGTGCATGCCACTGCACCTGGCTTCTATCGCATTTTATTTTTATTACTTGGTTTTTAACTTATACTTTAGAGGCAGGCCTGGTGTTAAAGGTTTTACATGCATCACGTCACTTTTAAATTTGAGTCTTATCTTTCCTACTGGATTATAAATTCACATGGAACAAAGATTATAATTTATTCATGTTTATACTCCCCAGCTACCGTTTGCATATATCATTACATATTGTGGCTTCTCTCAACATATATTTGCTGAATAATTAATATACAAAAAGACACAAGCACTGTGGGAAAGGTATTTATAGTGCAAATTTGGAGTTAACTAGAACCTAAGTTCTAGTCTGTTATAAGCCTCTATGTCCTCCTCCGCCAAAAGAGAAAATCAGACTGGATGGTTACTGAGATAATTTCAAATGCTACAACTTTAAGAAAATATCAACAGTTTCTAATTCTGAAAATCCACTTCAAATAATAATACTCAGGTAGTTGATTTTATGCCCCAGAAGATTAATGGTTATGACTCTTCAGCTACTTAAGTAATTCTTATAAAATCTCAAGTCAATATTCACTTCAGGTCTCTAACTTGTCATTTTCCATTCACTCCAGTGCCCTACATTTGAAATGATTCATGTCTTAAAGATTTCTGAGTGATTGAAGACATGTCTTCTTTTTGTCTTTTGTTATTTAAAGTAAATTTAAGATATCTTTGGCTATTAATAATAAGTAACATTCATTTTAGGTGATTTATAATAAATTAAACTGTGCAGCTACAAACTCTACACAAAAGAAGTTACTTAACTATTTGATAGGACAGATAACACTCTCCTGCATTTTCAGAAACGATTAAGCCATATCTTATAGTTAATCTAATATATAAAAAAATGAACTTCCTTAGGATTTAGAAATGTTACTAAAAATAATTAGCATTGTTTTTTTCTCAATAGGGTTTCTAGAAGATTTCTAGACATCTTGAACGGTGAATCATACCATAATAGATATTTTACTTTTGGGGAGAAGAGAGATGGGTGTAAAACAGTTTTCAATATTAAAATGTTTAATACATATATAGAAATTGAAAAAGAAGTAAAGGTTAAATGGATCAAAATGCTTTGGCAAAAGGCATTTTGACATGTAAGCAATTCACAAATGTAAACAATTCCAGTTATTCATATTGTCAACCTTTGAACATAGATAATTCTTTTACCCATAGTAAAGAACATTGGAGATACTTATACTTTCTAGTTCAAAAGTTTTCATTATTTTAATTCCTATAGCTCTAAAGGCTTCAGAAAGAGAGATTACAAATAACATGTAGACAACTCCAAA
Organism: Homo sapiens; assembly: GCF_000001405.40. Lineage (NCBI taxonomy): Eukaryota > Metazoa > Chordata > Mammalia > Primates > Hominidae > Homo > Homo sapiens. Next base: position 114,594,696 of record NC_000023.11, read on the forward strand.
TTTCTTGATCTTACTACAGATTCGCTAATGCAGATATGTTTTTTTGAGATTCATCCCAATATCTACTTTCCATTCTCTCTTAACTCTTTTTATATTTTCTATCAAGTATTTTTAAAATTTTCTTCATTTCCTATTGTAAATTTTTTCAGCCTAAGAGCAATTCTTATATTCTGTTTCCTGTTTTCTCCTCCCTAATTTTTTATCTTATTTTCTAACGAAGGCAACATATAGCTGAAAGGGTTTAATAATACAGTCACAGAATATCCTTATTATTAATATATCTACTTTTTACACCATAATACAAATTTTCTTTGTAGATATTTTAGAGATTGTATATATTTTTCTCATATATCCCTTCATTTGATTTTCAACATAACTTCGACTTAGTTAGGGCCAGTATTACTACATTGATTACACAAATGAGAAAACGAAGGGTAAGAAAGGTTAAATTACTTATGTAAAGTCACACAATTAATTCTACAGCCAGATTCAAACAAACCCATGAGTTCTTATTCAGAATTCCATTCTTTTTATTTTTTTGAGACAGGGTCTCACTCTGTCACTCAGGCTGGAGTGCAGTCATGCGATCATAGCTCACTGCAACCCCGAACTCCTGGGCTCAAGCGATTCTCTCACCTCAGCCTCTCGAGTAGCTGGAACTGTAGGTGTGTGTCACCGTGCCCAGGTTGTTGTTGTTGTTGTTGTTGTTTTGTAGAAATGAGGGTCTTGTTATGTTGCCCAGGCTGGTCTCGCACTCCTGGTCTCAATCATCCCGCCTCTGCCTCCCAAAGTGCTGGGATTGCAAGCACGAACCACCATGCTCGGCCCTAAAATTTCATTCTATTTCCAGTACTTTCCCCTCTCTTCATGTCATGGATATTTAGTTCCAGAGAACTTCAGATGCTTAGAAATAAATGATACAATTAGGAAGTTATAGATATAGATATGTGTATGTATATTTGTATATATATATAGAGAGAGTCATGTTACTCCCAGATGTTTAAAAAGCATGATAAATACTTGGTTTTCTACAAAGAATCAGACATTCATTTGCATGTGGTCAAGATTTAAATAACAATAGACTGACTAATGAGCAATATGACAGATTAAAACACAAAAAAAAAATCCCAAATCATTTTCTGCAGAATATATTGGAAGTCTAGCTATCTGGTTGCACTTTAGCCAAACAAAGTTTCCTTAAAATAAATCAAGCCTTGATTGAGTTCTGCTTCAAATTTTTCAAAAGAGTGCTTCAACTTATTATGACTTCTCTCTTACTTTCATGACTATTAGCCCTATCCCTTTCACATTTCCTGTAATAGCCAGAACCCAGATAACAGAGGGTACCTTCTGCATTTAAAAATAATCATTTTCCAATACTTGTATTTAAAGAAAACATTTCTACCTTACCCACACACATGGCATATTTTTAAAATACAGAAGCACTGATAAACAATTTAACATTGCATACCCTGGATTTAAACATTTAAAATATACTGTGCATGTGGATAAGGTAGCAATGTTTGCTTTAAATACAAGTATTAGAAAAACAATTTTTAAGAGAAAATTTTAATTAGTATAAAAATTGATGAAATAATTGAATAATATTATCCCAAAGTTAGCTTTCAGTGGAGAATTTTAAATGGGAGTTCATTAATATCTTGCTGAATATCAATAACGTAAATGCTGAGTTTATGGTTTAGCTTCATGATTAGAAATTGTCTTATTCCTTTATTATATTTTTAGATTGAATTGGATATAGGCTATTACCTTATAAAGGGTTACAAAAGAAAACAAATTCTGGACAAACATTCATCTAGATGCCTTTAATTATATTTCATATGATCATTTTGCCCCTGTACTAGAACATTTATTTTTTGAGGAGTATTCAGTTTCCTCTATTTGTATTCAGAACTCCTTTGAGTCTTTGGGGGGTGATCCCAAATGGCAGGAAGAAGAAAAAGAAAAGTTATTTATAGCTTGTTCATGACTTTTATCAGTGTTCCATTTTGATTTCCAATTACTTTCCCCTGGAAAATATATCTAGATACCTTATCACTATCTTTAATGAATCTAAAGCTGTACAATTTGTGTTGCTATAAAATAATTTCAAAAGAATTATTCAAACTTTTGTCCTCAGTCAGATCTTAACTTGTGGTACTCCAGCCTGCTCTTGATCTGTCTGAGTAATCGTGTAGATTTCTATCACATCATCATCATCATTTAAGAAATATTTTTTGTGTCGGCCATGGTGGCTCACTCCTGTAATTCCAGCACTTTGGGAGGCCAAGGTGGGCAGATCACATGAGGCCAGGAGTTCGAGACCAGCCTGGCCTACATGGCGAAACCCCATCTTTACTAAAAATACAAAAATTATCCCGGCGTGGTTGTGTGTGCCTGTAATCCCAGCTATTTGGGAGGCTGAGGCAGGAGAATCACTTGAACCCAGAAGGCAGAGGTTGCAGTGAGCCGAGATCGTGCCATTGCACTCCAGCCTGGGTGACAGAGCAAGATTTCATCTCCAAAAAAAAAAAAAAAAAAAAAAGCAAAGCAATATTTTTTGAAGCTAAATTATACCCGACATTGTAAAAAACACATGTTAGAGAATATAACACTTGTTCTTAGAGTCACAAAACTGTCAAGGGAGGATTTAGCAAACATTTTACGGTTCCTACCATTGAGAAATTTATCTTCTATTTGGGAAGATAAACTGTATTGGCATGCAACAAAAATGAAGACATTATATAGTGAAGGACTAAATTGTGTACCACATAAAAATGAAGGAAAAGAAACAACTAAAGGAATTTTATTGGCATAGAGAGGAAATGAATTGGAGCTTGAGGACAAGTAGGGTTTGAATTGACACAGAAGGACAATATTCCAAAGGGCCATAGGATATTCATGTTTCACGGTATGAGAAGAGGTAAATTAGGAACTAGTTAGTGGGGGTGAGAGTCACCTCTAATCTGAATATGTTTAAAACAGTGGTGAGACATGCACCATCAGATGTTCTCTGGAGAAATGAAAATGTGATACTGGATCTCTGGAGATAGAATTTCGAACAATCCATGCTACACTAGTTTAGCTAAATTTCAAAATTGTACAAAAAAGAGAAGGTTGTAGAGAGAAAAGAAAAGAATGGAAGTCCAAAAATAAAGCATTTATTATTTAAAGTTTTGGGTAATATTTAAGATTGATATTTACCTGGGAATATTAATGATGAAACTTTTCTCAGGTTTTCCCCAACTTTAGACATTGTTACATTCAATAATTGTTAAGATTCTGCTCTGGGCAAGACATTTGACTGAGTACTTCAGGGCTTCCCAGAAGAGGAAACAATACTTAATTCTGATCTTTAGTAGTTTGAAGTCTAGTCAGTAGCTGGAGATCAAATATATGAGCTCTACACAAAGGATTTGGCAGCAAAGGTTACTGTTAAATTCAGAGAAGATTGTAAGAGCACAGTAGATAGAAAAGAGATTGCATGGGATGAAAATATTGATACAAAAACCTCTTTACCCCAAAGCCCAGAGAGGAAGTGTAAATTTGGATCAACCCTTTTGGGTGCCATTTTCACTATCACCTAAACATAGAGTGGCCAAACCTCTTTTTGACTGACTCACAGAGATTTTCGGATGGATAAGACTTTTGTTTAACAACAGAAAAAGCCTCCATGAGTCTGGAGTCATTCATATTCAGTCCTGTTGCTTTTATTCCCTTAACTTAATAAAGATAAGTAAATCAGCAAACAGGAGTTGAGTGCCTTTTGTGTGTTTAGCAATGTATTAGATTATTTGAATGATGCCAATAGAAATATGTAAGGTCCCTTATATAGTTAGGAGTCATATGAATTACTTGCTATCAGCAAGCCCTTAGAAACCTGAATTATACCTTGGTTTAAGTTACAAGTAAGTAATGAGCTGTAGATAGACTTTCAGTTAAAATTAATAGTCCAAATACCATATGACTGTTAGTTCTCAATGCCAAAAAGTCATCCATTTTATGAGATTATTTTTAGGAATACCAGCAAAGTACTTTATAATTCCTAAATGCATGGATAACGTTATGAAAATAATAACACATTAAATACTGAGCACTCTAATAAAGCAAGTAGAACTAAAGCATACTGATCACATTTGTAAGTGACTCAATATTGCCTGTTATTATTAAATGATTATATATTATTAAAGATGAACAAATTAAGACTTAGAGAGGGTTCTTGATTTGCTTCAGGTCATACAGCTAATTATTGGCAAAACTGCAGAGAGAACTTAAATTTCCTAACTCTGAAATCAGGTTCTTTTCCACCATGGTTCACTGCCTCTTGAAGCCTATGTAGCATATTAAATGAAAGCCTTTAAAAATTTGACTACATCATACTGTCCTTGAGAATCATGTCATGCTTAATAAATTCAAAATGAACAGGAAGTACATTTGCATTTTTGGCTTCAAAAATTAGAAAGTTAATACAAGTATGTGAATACTTTCAAAATTATGACTTGTTCTTACTAACATATAGGTAGAAGATGTATATGTGTGTGTGTTATATAATATCCGTATGTTTCACAATGAGAGAGAAACATGTAAAGACAAATAAGAGTATTTTTTGAAGTTTAAATTAGATGACTGACCAGTTAACAGGCCATGTGCTCTTATTTATGATAGCCTTTATTTCTTAATTTATTTGAGCAATCGAAGTCTGAAAGAGCTCAAGACTGGATGCTTCCTTTCTATAAATTACATCTCTTAAAATGTACAAATGCAAGCATGAGTCACTAGCTACAGAATTCCAGCTTTAATACATTATGTCATTTTTATAAGGAAACCAGTGACCTTCATGTGGTTTTTAAGGACAATGTCTCTGTGAACTACAGACTATGTGAAAGATGAAATCATAACATGAACAATCAAACAAGCTCAATGGCATGATCTAAAAGATAAAAAAAACATGCATTTCATAGATTGAAATCTGCTTACCTCTGTGATTATTTTTCCATGATTCATTTGCATGTGTGCCTTGCATATATTGTATTGATTTGAAATTAAATTGAAACATTCACATATGTTACAATCACATTTTAAATAGTTAACTTTCACTGAGGTGTGCACAAAGGAATGGTGATGAGAAGGAAAGTACATAGCCCACAGCAATCCTGAATGTATATTTTGATAGGTAGTTTGAATTTTCTATTTACTCAAACTTATGTCAGTAATGTTTAAACTATAGTATTACTGAAGTTGTTATTTATATATACCATTCCATCTAGTAAATATAGAGCAGAATCTCGGAGATAGGAGGAAGTCCAAGAAAGAAATCACGGACACTTCTAATGAAAAGGAAAGAGAAAGGGAAAGGAATCAACAAATATTGAGCCCTAACCATATCCTACTCAGTGCGTGTTGCAAAGTACATATATTATCTCATGTCATTCTCACAACAACTGTAAGAAAAAGGAAATGGAAACAGAGACAGGTTAAGTCATGTGCCCAAACACACAGCTAATAAGGCGTTGAGCCAAGATTCAAACCCATATCTGTCTAATTACAAAGGTTGTGTGCTCTTTTTCCATAGTACCTTGATTAACAGCCTTAAGGTTTAAAAATATGCCAAATACTCATGCACAACAACATGCTCTCAGTATAACATTTACTTAATCATTTTTCATTTACAATGTTTTCAAGGAACTAAATGGAAGACAAGTCAGGAGACATCAATCATATATCGCCTTCTACAAATCAGGAATGTGTGTATTTTCAAATATCTCAGTTTGTTTTTAGAGGTGAAGGATAGCTATTTACTAATAGTAATAAAGATGGAAAAAGTATGCAAAATGCTATCTAATAATAATAATTGGTAATGAAATAGGAAAATAAAAGGTGAATCACAATATTTAAAAAATATTAAAAATATTTTAAAATATCACCTTAAGAATCACATTTACTGGGAAATAAAAGGCAGTTATAATAACACAGGAAACATTTTGACTGCATATTCCATGAAATTACTACTGTCTTTATACTTTTGTAGCATAATAAGTGATTCTATTTTAATCTAATTTCATATATAATAGTAATATATTTTCATAATTTAACGAGTTCAAATCTAAACATGGCACTTGCATTTTAAATGCAAAGTATATGTAAGATCCAATTTTAAAGATCCATTTTATGTATTCTTTAAAATGTTTTCTTCCATCATACAACTTCAGATCGACAATATATTTTGTATTGAATTGTTTTCTTTAATTTTTACAGTGAAACTTGTCATTTCAAGTTTAGTAAATATTATGACTTGATTTTTAAATAAAAATAAAGCATACCAAACACATCTACCTGCTATCTAAGAGTATTTTAAGAATCAGTTTCCAAATACTATTCAGAGCAAAACCTATAGAATATCCAGAAACTGTCACTAGTTTTTTACTCATTTCTGAATTCATTAGCTTTTAAACTCTTTCTTTTTTTTTAGGAAAATCACCAGTGGTCTATATGCTGGTACAATTTAAGCAAGAAGACAGTTGAGAGGAAGAGATAGGCTTGCAAATCAAGGTACAGAATTGCCCCAGATAACTTTTTTCATGTGCGTCCCTGTGAAGAGACCACCAAACAGGCTTTGTGTGAGCAACATGGCTGTTTATTTCACCTGGGTGCAGGTGGGCTGAGTCCGAAAAGAGAGTCAGTGAAGGGAGATGAGGGTGGGGCTGTTTTATAGGATTTGGGTAGGTAAAGGAAAATTACAGTCAAAGGGGGTTTGTTCTCTGGCGGGCAGGAGTGGGGGTCGCAAGGTGCTCAGTGGGGGTGCTTTTTGAGCCAGGATGAGCCAGGAAAAGGACTTTCACAAGGTAATGTTATCACTTAAGGCAAGGACCGGCCGTTTACACTTCTTTTGTGGTGGAATGTCATCAGTTAAGGTGGGGTAGGGCATTTTCACTTCTTTTGTGATTCTTCAGTTACTTCAGGCCATCTGGATGTATACATGCAAGTCACAGGGGATGCGATGGCTTGGCTTGGGCTCAGAGGCCTGACATTCCTGCCTTCTTATATTAATAAGAAAAATAAAACAAAATAGTGTTGAAGTGTTGGGGCGGCGAAAATTTTGGGGGGGTGGTATGGAGAGAGAGAATGGGCGATGTTTCTCAGGGCTGCTTCAAGCAGGATTAGGGGCGGCGTGGGAACCTAGAGTGGGAGGGATTAAGCTGAAGGGAGGTCTTGTGGTAAGGGGTGATATTGTGGGGATGTTAGAAGAAACATTTGTCGTATAGAATGATTGGTGATGGCCTGGATATGGTTTTGGATGAATTGAAAAACTAAATGGAATAACAGAAGGAGAAAAACAGGTATAAAAGGTCTAAGAATTGGGACAACTCAGGATATCTGATTAGAGAGTGCTTAAGGAGATTTGGCATAGTCCTGCCAGCAAAGATTATTTATTTACTTCAAGAGTTAAGAGTGGCAGTTTGGGGATAGCACCAGGAGATATCAGCTGTGATGGCTTCGAGAAACAGTGTAAACCGGCAGTGTAAACAAGAGCAGGGCATGTATGAGTAGTTGAGAACGGTGAATAGGAGTATGACTAGACAGAAGATAGTAGGGATGACAAGTTTTTTTTTGGGGGGGCACAGTCTAAGTTGGTCTGGTGTCTGGAATGAGACTGGGGCCTAATAAAAAGGAGCGTCTATACAGGAGCTTAAATGGGCTGTACCCTGTAGCATTCCGAGGACAGGCCTGAATTCTGAGAAGGGAAAGTGGTAAAAGTATTGTCCAGTCCTTTTTAAGTTGGTGGCTGAGCTTGGTGAGGTGTGTTTTTAAAAGACCTTTAGTCCATTCTACTTTTCTTGAAGACGGAGGACCATAAGGGATATAAAGGTTTCACTGAATACTAAGAGCCCGAAAAACTGCTTGGCTGATTTGACTAATAAAACTCATCTGTTATCAGACTGTATTGAGGTGGGAAAGCTAAACTGAGGAATTATGTCTGACAGAAGGGAAGAAATGACTGTGGTGGCCTTCCCAGACCCTGTAGGAAAGGCCTTTACTTATTCAGTGAAAGTATCTACCTAGACTAAGAGGTATTTTAGTTATCTGACTCAGGGCTTGTTGAGTAAAGCTAATTTGCCAGTCCTGGGTGGGGCAAATCCTCGAGCTTGATGTGTAGGGAAGGCAGGGGGCCTGAATAATCCCTGAGGAGTAGTAGAATAGCAGATGGAACACTGAGAAGTTATTTCCTTGAGGATAGATTTCCTCGATGGAAAGGAAATGAGAGGTTCTAAGAGGCGGGCTAGTGGCTTGTACTATAGCATAACCTGCCTTTGCTGGTGTGTGGCGATTAGGCCTGGTGGAACCGCCATCAATAAATCAAGCGTGATCAGGGTGAGGAACAGGAAAGAAGGAAATTTGGGGAAATGGGGTGAATGTCAGGTGGATCAGAGAGATACAGTCATGGGGGTCAGGTGTGGTATCAGGAATAATGTGGGAGGCCGGATTGAAGTCTGGGCCAGGAACAATGGTAATTGTGGGAGACTCAACAAAGAGTGAGTATAGCTGAAGGAGCCGGGAAGCAGAAAGTATATGCGTCAGGTATGAGGAAGAAAATAGATTTTGGAAGTTATGAGAACTGTAGAGAGAGATTTGACATAGTTTGTGATTTTGAGGGCCTCTAAAAGTATTAAAGCAGCAGCAGCAGCCGCTGCATGCAGACATGAGGGCTAGGCTAAAACAGTAAGGTCAAGTTGTTTGGACAGAAAGGCTACAGGGTGTGGTCCTGGCTCTTGTGTAAGAATTCTGACCACTCGAACCATGCCTAGGAAGGAAAGGAGTTGTTGTTTTGTAGAAGGTGCTGGGGTTTGAGAGATCATTCGGACACGATTGGCAGAGGGAGCACGTGTGTTTTTATGAGAATTATGCCGAGATAGGTAACAGATGAGGAAGAAATTTGGGCTTGATTGAAGTAATGGGGGCTGTCTGTGAAGCTTTGCGGCAGTACAGCCTAGGTAATTTGCTGAGCTTGATGGGTGTCAGAGTCAGTCTAAGTGAAAGTGAAGAGAGGCTGGGATGAAGGGTGCAAAGGAATAGTAAAGAAAGCATGTTTGAGATCCAGAACAGAATAATGGGTTGTAGAGGCAGGTATTGAAGATAGGAGAGTATATGGGTTTGGCACCAAGGGGTGGATAGGCAAAACAATTTGGTTGATAAGGCGCAGATCCTGAACTAACTTGTAAGGCTTGTCTGGTTTTAGGACAGGTAAAATGGGGGAATTGTAAGGAGAGTTTATAGGCTTTAAAAGGCCATGCTGTAGCAGGCGAGTGATAACAGGCTTTAATCTTTTTAAGGCGTGCTGCGGGATGGGATATTGGCGTTGAGTGGGGTAAGAGTGATTAGGTTTTAATGAGATGGTAAGGGGTGCATGATCGGTCGCCAAGGAGGGAGTAGAGGTATCTTATACTTGTGGGTTAAGGTGGGGGGATACAAGAGGAGGACGCAAAGGAGGCTTTGGATTGGGAAGAAGGGCGGCAATGAGATTTAGCTGTAGTCCAGGAATAGTCAGGGAAGCAGGTAATTTAGTTAAAGTGTCTCAGCCTAATAAGGGAACTGGGCAGGTGGGGATAACTAAAAAGGAGTGTTTAAAAGGGTATTGTCTAAGTTGGCACCAGAGTTGGGGAGTTTTAAGAGGTTTAGAAGCCTGGCCGTCAATACCCACAACAGTTATGGAGGCAAGGGAAACAGGCCCTTGAAAAGAAGGTAATGTGGAGTGGGTAGCCTCCGTATTGATTAAGAAGGTAATCACTTACCTTCCACTGTGAGAGTTACCCGAAGCTCGGCATCTGTGATGGTCTAGGGGGCTTCCGAGGCGATCGGGCAGTGTCAGTCTTCAGCCGCTAATCCGAGAAGATCTGGGAAGGAGTCAGTCAGAGAGCCTTGGGCCAGAGTTCCAGGGGCTCTGGGAATGGCTGCCAGGTGAGTTAAACAGTCCGATTTTCAGTGGGGTCCCACACAGATGGGACACGGCTTAGGAGGAATCCTGGGCTGCGGGCATTCCTTGGCCTGGTGGTCAGATTTCTGGCACGTGTAGCAAGCTCCTGTGGGAGGAGGTTCTGGAGGAATGCCTGGCCGCTGCGGTTCAGGCGTTTGGAAGTTCTTGTGTGCTGGAGATGTGGCTGGGGTTTGTCTCAGAGTGGAGGCAAGGAATTGCAACTTTTTTCTATTATTGTACACCTTGAAGGCGAGGTTAATTAAATCCTGTTGTGGGGTTTGAGGGCCGGAATTTAATTTTTGGAGTTTTATTTAATGTCAGGAGCAGATTGGGTAATAAAATGTACTTTGAGAATAAGATGGCCTTTTGACCTTTTAGGGTCTAGGGCTGTAAAGCGTCTCAGGGTTGCTGCCAAACAAGTCATGAACTGGGCTGGATTTTTATATTTGATGAAAAAGAGCCTAAACGCTATCTGATTTGGGATAAAGAAAAAGGAGCATTAACCTTGACTATGCCTTTAGCTCCAGCCACCTTTTTAAGAGTAAATTGCTGGGCAGGAGGGGGAGGGCTAGTCATGGAACGAAACTGTAAGCCGGACCAGGTGTGAGGAGGGGAGGTGATAAAAAGATTATAGGGTGGAGGAGCAGAGGCTGAGGAAGAATTGGGACCTAGCTCGGCATGGCGAGGAGCAGCCTGGGGAGGAAGGGAGAGGTCAGATGGGTCTGTAGAAAAGGAAGATTAGACAGACTCAGCAATGCTTGGGGTTGGTACTGAGGGGACAGGCGGGAGGGAAAGAAGGAAGATTTGGGACGAGTTGCACTGGGCACAGAGACTAGGAAGGGACTGACGTGTAAAAGAATGCCTGGACGTCAGGCACCTCAGACCATTTGCCTATTTTATGACAAGAATTATTTAGATTTTGCAGGATGGAAAAATTCAAAGTGCCATTTTCTGGCTATTTGGAACTACTGTCGAGTTGGTATTGGGGTGAAGCGGCATTGCAGAAGAAAATAAGGCATTTAGGTTTTAGGTCAGGTGTGAGTTGAAGAGGTTTTAAGTTTTTGAGAACACAGGCCAAGGGAGTAGAAGGAGGAATGGAGGGTGGAAGGTTGCCCATAGTGAAGGAAGCAAGCCTAGAGAAAAGAGAGTAGAGAAATGGAGGAAAGGGGTTCAGGGGTTCTTACCTTCCAGAAAAGTGGGAAAAGGGGTTGGGGCACAGAGATAAGAGGTTGGGGGGCAGAAATAAGGGATTGGGGCGCAGAGAAATAAGAGGTTGGGGCACGGAAATAAGGGACTGGGGCACAGAGATACGAGGTTGGGGTGCAGAAATAAGGGATTGGGGCACAGTGATAAGAGGTCAGGGTGCAGAAATAAGGGATTGGGGCACAGAGATAAGAGGTTGGGGCACAGAAATAAGGGATTGGGGTGCAGAGATAAGAGGTTGGGGCATGGAAGTAAGGGATTGGGGGTTCTTGCCCCATAGAAAAGCGGGACTTGCCACTAAGGGTGAAGGAGAAGGGGTTGGGGTACTTAACCCTCTCCCAGAAAAGCGGGACTTGCCGCTAAGGGTGAAGGAGAAGGGCTTGAGGGGTACTTGCCCCTCTCCCAGAAAAGCAGAGAAGGGGTAGAGACAAGGAGAGAAGGGGTTGAGCTACTTGCCCCTTCCCCAGAAAAGCGGGACTTGCCGCTTAAGGTGAAGGATCAAGGCAGGCGTCCCTGCGTGGTCTGACACCCTTGAAACGTGGGTGTATAATCAGAGAGGCGTCCCTGCAACGATTAAACACCAAGGGAAGGCTGCCTTCCCAGTCCGTGACCGGCGCCGGAGTTTTGGGTCCACGGATAAAACATGTCTCCTTTGTCTCTCCCAGAAAATGAAAGGAATTGAAATTAAGAGAAGGGAGAGATTGAAGAGTGGAAAGGAGAAAGTGGTTGATGGACAGTGAGAGAGGTTGGAGAAGAGAGTAAGAAGAGGCCGTTTACCTGATTTAAAATTGGTGAGATGTTCCTTGGGCTGGTCGGTCTGAGGACATGAGGTCATAGGTGGATCTTTCTCACGGAGCAAAGAGCAGGAGGACAGGGGATTGATCTCCCAAGGGAGGTACCCCGATCCAAGTCACAGCACCAAATTTCATGTGTGTCCGTGTGAAGAGACCACTAAACAGGCTTCGTGTGAGCAACATGGCTGTTATTTCACCTGGGTGCAAGTGGGCTGAGTCCGAAAAGAGAGTCAGTGAAGGGAGATGAGGGTGGGGCCGTTTTATAGGATTTGGGTAGGTAAAGGAAAATTACAGTCAAAGGGGGTTTGTTCTCTGGCGGGCAGGAGTGGGGGTCGCAAGGTGCTCAGTGGGGGTGCTTTTGAGCCAGGATGATCCAGGAAAAGGACTTTCACAAGGTAATGTTATCACTTAAGGCAAGGACCGGCCATTTACACTTCTTTTGTGGTGGAATGTCATCAGTTAAGGTGGGGCAGGGCATATTCACTTCTTTTGTGATTCTTCAGTTACTTCAGGCCATCTGGGCATATACGTGCAAGTCACAGGGGATGCAATGGCTTGGCTTGGGCTCAGAGGCCTGACAACTTTTAATTAATATCAACTGTGAGTAGAGAAGTTAAAATGAAATATCAAACACAATGTTTGACCATGATAAAGAAGGTGTGGAGTTTCTTCTTCTTGGCCATTTATTGGATACTTAAAGACTTGACATTTTCCTCACCAAAGAAGTCACTAGGACCTATGGTACAACGTTAAGATCAATGATGAAAAAGAGTCATCCTCAATGGAAGAGTATGCATCATTCTGATTATACACAAGCATTGATTATTTGCTGATGTGAGAAAGGGTCAAGATAAAAATTGATCTTTGAATGTATCTTATTCAATTTTTTAATATTTCATAGTGCTTCAGTTGTTTGGCACATTTGTCATATCTTTAATTTTTTTTGATGTCCTGCTCCACCCTTCCATATCACTATAAAATGTTAATACATTTTTCATACACATGCAGAGCATCAGGTTTTAGGATTATTTTTAAATTAAAATCTGAGGCCAGGTGCAGTGGCTCACATCTATAATCCCAGCCCTTTGGGAGGCCAAGGTGGGTGGATCACCTGAGATCAGGAGTTCAAGACCAGCCTGGCCAACTTGGTGAAACCCCATTTCTACTAAAAATAAATTAGCTGGGCATGGTGGTGCGTGCCTGTAATCCCAGCTACTCAGGAGGCTGAGGCAGGAGAATTGCTGGAACCGGGAGGTGGAGGCTGCAATGAGCCAAGATGATACCACTGCACTCCAACCTGGGCAACAGAAAGAAACTCCACCTCAAAAAAAACAAAATCTAGCCTTTCATGAATCTTACATGTATAAAATGTTTACACTTTTATTATGTAAAAGTAATGTATTCCCCCAATGGATTTTATAACAATACAGTCAGTCCCTCTTGCAAAGGGGACTTTTTCATAACTCCCCTACTGTTTCATTAAAATTGAGGTTTAATTTGATCCTGTGTTCTCACATTTAAAAATCTATATTTTTAAGATCTGCTTTTTCCTTCGAAGTAATGGCTTTAACTCCGAATCACTTTTAACAGTTTTATTGACCTGTAATTCACATACTATCCAATTTGCCTATTTTAATGTGTAGAATTCAGTGGTTTTTAGTATACTCAGAGTTGTATAATCATCATCACAATTTAGAATATTTCCATCACCCCCCAAAGTAATCCTATACCCATTTACAATCACTCCACATACTTCTTCAACCCCCAGCACTAGGCAACCAGTAATCCTTTTTATCTCTGTAGATTTGCTTATTCTGAGAACCTGCAAACTTTTAAGGGATGTACTTGCTGGGAATGTCAGAGAAGTTGTTTGAGATTAAGAAGGGTTGGCAAACAAAATAAAATTTGTTGTTAGATTTAGGCAATAGGGTCTTGATTTATTTGGCTAAGTTCTTAATTTTTTCACACTTCTGAAATGAAAGTAATAAAATTTTGTCTCTGAGCTTCTGTCATCCTTACTTTTGCTATTCAATTTTATTTTAGTATGGCAAAATAAATAAAAAGGAAGTCATCCTCCAAGTACTCCTCTTAACAATAAATTGATTCAGAAAAACTAAGTTTCAAACTCAGGAAGGTTAAATTTCTAGTCCATTTCTTTCATTTTTTTTCCATTCTGTCCAATCAAGATTTGTCAAACAAAACTATCCTTTCCAGAGAAGAGGCATTTACCTCAAAAAAACTTTTGTGTACGTGGTATTTGCAGTTGAATGTCATAAGAAGCAATTGATTGAAGTGTGCCATCTGTTTCTTTTCTAAATCTCTAATATGCAAGACACGTCTTTAAAATTACACTTATTCAGAGGATTTTTATGAAATAAAATTGCCTGTCATTCTAATTAGCTCTGAATACTTCTCTTGCAACAGTGGTGTGGCATAACACATTAGTAGGAACTTTGGTTGGTATGTATTTTGGCCACTAACATCACTAATAAAAAAACAGTAAATAAAATCGGAATATAGAAACTGGGGCTTTCTACATAAAATCTGATTTTTTTATTAGTATTTAATATGCTTCCCATTAAAACAATAAATCTGATATGTATTATTTAATATACTTCCCATTAAACAATACATTTCATAATACCTAATAAAATAAGAAAATAGATCCTATTAATTACATCCTCAAATACATATTTTAATATTTTTCTGAAATATATATGCTCTTTACACACTAGAATATAATCGTTTTCGTTATCTGCATTGTGCTAAATGTGAAGTGATGGGCGATGCACCATTTTGTATTTAAAAGATTTCTCCTATGGTTTTTTTCTGTTGTAATTACTCTTTTGGTTGACCACGTTCGGTTGGACTTCTGACCATTGTTCCAAGCATCCACTCCATTACTCTATTTGACATGACACAGTGAGTTTAAAGGACAGTATCGTGTTAGACAAAGATTGAAGTTTTAAATAATACATGATAACTTGAAGGGAAAGTTAAGAAAATTTAAATAAATAAAGAGGATGAGGCAAGGGGATATGTATGTATGCTTTAAATAGTCTATAAATAAGACTCAGTGAAAGATGAAAATATCGTTTTGAACAAAGAAAGGGTGGAAGATATAGAAAACGAGCAGAGCATACTGTATGGTTCCATTTACATAAACTTCCAGAACTGGCAAAAATAATCTACAGTGATAGAAGTCAAAAAGTAGTTGCCTGGAGCTTGGAAGGTGGTGACTACAAAGAAGCAGGAGGATGGAATTGTTTTATGTTTTCATCACAGTGGCAATTACACGGGTGTAAACATTCATCAAAAGTGGTCAAACTCTACATTTAAAATATGCACATATTAGTATATGTAAATTATACTCATTAAGGTGGATTCCTTAAAAAGTCAAAGTAGGCAGTAAAGGGTACCATTCAGTCCCTCTGTGGTCCTGCTTTAATACTGAATGGAAGACAACCTCCTTCTTTTTAAATGAGCATGAATATCCATGAATATCGAAAAGAGTGCATTAAGCTCTTTGTAATGACTGCATTTCCTCATCCTGCTCAGGACTGACTACTGGCATTTTAATGCACGGTAATGTGGGCATTTCTTTGATAGACATTCCACTTTAAATGCCTACTTTTTCCATATTATTTCAACTGAAGGAGAAATAAGGCAGCAACCTTATCTATTAAATCTTCACAGGGTTCTTATGACTTTTAAAGCATCATTTTGAATTGAAGCTACTATTTTATATTATCTTTTCTCAGGGTGGGCTGAAAACAAAATAGCAATAATTTTTGTAGGAAAAGTAGGTTAAAGTCTGTCTTGAATAATCACAAAATCACACTTAATGTCACCTCATAAATCAGTTATAAATAGTGTCAGAGGTAATAGAATTGCACATGCGAAATTTAAAAATATTCTGTGCACAATTTTTGTAGAATGGAATGGCATGGTGTTTGGATTAATATGTACGGCAAGGTTATGGTCAGGCACATCTATGTTTTCTATCTAGAGTCACTCGCCTACAAAGGGAAAAAAATCAGTCACTGTGGAAATTTAAAAAATAATACTTTGGTAGGATGGAGAGAAACTTGAAATGACAGAGCGTTAATCATAAAATGTATCTCAAATTTATGTATAATTAGCTGAGAGGAAAAAAATTGGAAAGGAGAGTGTATGATAGATGCAAAATGTTAATATAAAGAATGTCGTGATCAGGAGGAAGGGAAGAAGCAAGTGAGCCTCAAGAGAAAAAAATTTGACTTCACTCAAAGTACTTCATATTTTTGCAAAATTAATTAAAATTTTAGAAATCGACACTAAAACGTTAGAGACCTCAGAAAACACTCTCAGTTGATAGGTCTTGGAGAAATTTTTTTAAAGAATATCTGATTGGATAATTTTTAATGACGGAGCAGTAATGTTTTAGTGTTAAATATCTCAATCTTCCCCTAAGGGGGAAAAAAAACGCAAAAATAAATTCTTCGTGAATAAATGGCATAATTACAATCATAGCACACATTGTTCTGTCTGCAATAGTCACAATTCGCCACTAGGGGGCTGTAATTCTGTTCTTAGCAGTTCTTGGTCCACAACATTTTCATTCCCTCCCAGGGTACTTGAACAGTTAGGTGAAGTTAAGTGGGAGCTTCGACGGGCATAACAGGTCATTAATGTGTATTGAGATGATCTCATGCGTTTCTGCGATGCGATGTATAATTCTTGTTGTATAGAATAATAACTTGGCCACCAGCTTCTTCACCAAGCATGGAGTCTCATCATTGCTCCAAGATTGCTATTAATTTTGTACGTATTACGTAGAATCATTTTATCTTCCTTTTTCCCAGGAAATTATTTTTATTTACTATAAGTCTCCTACTTTTTCATGAAAATTGAAGGTTAATGTGATCATGTGTTCTTGCATAGTCATTTCAATAAATCTGTGCTGTAAAAGAGACAAAAAATGTTGGTTCAAATTTATAAATACTAAATGTATTTTCTGAAGTGTAGATTAAAACAGCAAAGTTGTGGTTTTTTTTAGTTTTTTTCTTTTTTTGAGACGGAGTCTCGCTCTGTCGCCCAGGCTGGAGTGCAGTGGCGCGATCTCGGCTCACTGCAAACTCCGCCTCCCGGGTTCACGTCATTCTCCTGCCTCAGCCTCCCGAGTAGCTGAGACTATAGGCGCCCGCCACCACGCCCGGCTATTTTTTTGTATTTTTAGTAGAGACTGGGTTTCACCGTGTTAGCCAGGATGGTCTCGATCTCCTGACCTCGTGATCCTCCTGCCTTGGCCTCCCAAAGTGCTGGGATTACAGGTGTGAGCCACCGTGCCTGGCCCAAAGTTTTAATCCAAGTTATTTTTCACTCATTTGAAGTTAGAACTATTTTTTACTTTCATAAGGAATGAAAAATATAATTTGTTGGTGTAGTACATTGTATCTTGCATGATGTAAGGGGTAGTCACATTAAATTATTTAAATGCGGCTATAACATTTATTGAATATTTTATATTATACTTCAAATATGTTAATTTATGTTGATAAATTTATGAGCTAACAAAAGATCTTGTCCTCAATATAATAATTAACATTTCCTATGTATTTCTCATAACTTTGATGATCTTTACATCACTCAATTTTACTTACTAGGCTGAGTGCAAGAGTTAGCTTTATATTTTTAAAAATAATCCCTGCATTTAAAACTTTTTTTGATCATGCTTTATGTGTTTGGGGAAATTTTTGATGTTTAAAACATGTCAAATATTAATGTCCTTGCACCAAATTTATTTGTCCTACTGCAAAAATATAGCTGGCTAATATTTATTTCAGTCTTGTTTTTGCATTCCAGAATAAATATTGGCAACTGATGCTCTTACAATAATTGATACAGAAATGGTGATTTTCAAATGTTGTTTCCTCTTCCAGCGTCTAATATTGTTTTAGTATCTGTGGATGAAATACTATTTACTCTTGCTCTGTAATTGTTCTATGTGAAATGTTTCAACTTGACATTTGACTTAGAATTTTGCTGATTCATTTAGAATTCTTAACTAATATTTAATTTCCTCTTTAGCAGAAGGACGAACACTGACTTACCTGCTATAGGAATGGGGTCCGGATCCAGACCCCAAGAGAGGGTTCTTGGATCTTGCACAAGAAATAATTCAGGGCAAGTCTGTAAAGTGAAAGCAAGGTTATCAGGAAAGTAAAGGAATAAAAGAATGGCTACTTCATAGAGCAGCCCTGAGGGCTGCTGATTGTTTTTTATTTTATTTTATTTTATTTTATTTTTTTTTTGAGACAGAGTCTTGCTCTGTCACCCAGGCTGGAGTGCAGCGGCCGATCTCGGCTCACTGCAACTTCCGCCTCCCGGGTTCAAGCAATTCTCCCTGCCTCAGCCTCCTGAGCAGCTGGAATTACAGGTGCCCACCATCATGCCAGGCTAATTTTTGTATTTTTTAGTAGAGACGGGGTTTGATCATGTTGGCCAGGCTCGTCTTGAACCCCTGACCTCAAGTGATCCGCCCACCTCGGCCTCCCAAAGTGCTGGGATTACAGGCATGAGCCACTGCGCCCTGCCCTGGTTGCCCATTTTTATGGTTATTTACTGATGATATGTAAAACAAGGGGTGGATTATTCATGCTTCCCCTTTTTAGACCATGTAAGGTTACTTCCTGATGTTGCCATGGCATTTGTAAACTGTCATGGCGCTGGTGAGAGTGTAGCAGTGAGGACGACCAGAGGTCACTCTCATGGCCATCTTGGTTTTGGTGGGTTTTAGCTGGGTTCTGTACTGCAACCTGTTTTATTAACAAGGTCTTCATGATCTGTATCTTGTGCTGACCTCCTATCTCATCCTGTGACTTAGAATGCCTCAACTGTCTGGGAATGCAGCCCAATAGGTCTCAGCCTCATTTTACCCAGCCTCTATTCACGATGGAGTTGCTCTGGTTCAAACGCCTCTTACATACCTGCTGTACTAATATTTTGCTGTTTTAAATTCATTTTATATAAATGAGACTTCTTTCTTCTGAAGCTTATAGGTATCAGCCTTACTACTTTTCAGCCATTCATTATATGTGAATGGTATACCTACTCTGTGTGGCACCTTACTTATGGAGTTCTTACTGCATTTTTCTCAATGTTTGCTTTTAGGGTTATCAGCTAACACCCGCGAGCATCTATAACATAGGCCAACTGACGCCATCCTTCAAAAACAACTGTAAGTATACACATAAGCGTGCCTCAAGACTCTTATTTTGAAATAATATTCAACTATTATATCAAGGTGATTCCTATTATTTTGCTAGTGTAGACCTACCCCTGAACTAGTAAAACATATGCCATTAAGGGCCTAACATGTTTGAAAAAGAATATTATGTAATTGGTAAACAGCATTTTAATGCAACCTGAAAAAAAAAAACTCGGCTTATTTTATTACTAAGTAATGTGTGATGCAGACCCCTTACCGAACTGTTAACCACCACCGCAGATTTATAGTAAATAAGTATAAAGTATGATAGTATAAATTGGGACAATTAGGTTAGCGAAGTTCAATTTTCTTCTTCAATGACAAACTCTTGTTTTTTTTTTGTTTTTTTGTTTTGTTTTGTTTTCTTGAGATGGAGTCTCATTCTGTTGCCCAGGCTGGAGTGCAGTGGTGCAATCTTGGCTCACTGCAACCTCCGCCTCCTGGGGTCAAGTGATTCTCCTGCCTCAGCCTCTGGGTAGCTAGGATTACAGGTGCATGCCACCACACCAGGCTAATTTTTGTATTTTTAGTAGAGACAGGGTTTCACCATGTTGGCCAAGCTGGTCTCGAACTCCTGACCTCAGGTGATCCGCCCACCTCGACCTCCCAAAGTGCTGGGATTACAGGCGTGAACCACCTAGCCCAGCCTGCTTTCAGTAACAAACTCTTATATCCATGATTGGGGTGTAGGAAATCTAGCTGTTGTTTTCTATGATAAATTTTAGAAAACATAGCTAGCTCTTCAAAATACTCTCAATGGATGCACTTAAAAATCTCAGCAGGAGAGGCAGGGAGAGGAGAATTTTGTTTCTCAAAAGGGAGTATCATTTATAAATGCTGAAAAACGCAGATCCAGATAATGGAACACTCTACATTCTATAGATGTCTAGAGCATGATTATTTGATTGGGTAAATATATTACAAGTTAAACAAGGTGAATTTAAATTGGATTCCTTATTTTCGACTCCAGACTGCATGGGGAATTCTCAATTAAATTTCTGATTGTTCTCATAATCATACAAATATTTAATACCACAAAATGTTTTTAGAATGATAGTTTTGGAGGAAGAACTGATACGATGGTATAGACTAAATCATTTTTGACAGTAAAATTTTAACAGAAATTTTTAGTATAACATTAATATATACGCATTAGATTAAAGAAGTGAAAAGTCGAAGTCTATCAAAATTCGAAAGAGGATAGGGATGGAATAAGGTTGGGAATGTCTGCTGCACATGTTAATAATGATCAAAAATAAAAGAAATAAGAAAACAGTGATTTGACATCAAGACAGTTGCATCAAAATGGCTGCATTAAAATGTACCCTTTTTCAGAATAGCCAATTGTTCTGTTTTATTCAACTACTCACCATTTAAGATGATGGCAAAGGTAACTTTCTTTAATACATATTGAAAAGAGTTCTTGATGCTATCAACAGCTTTCCAGAGGGGAAAAAATAAAAAAAAATTTCATAAGGGACGTTCAAAAAGTATAAAATGTAAAATTTTGAAGAACCCCCACAGCAGTCCTGAAAGCACACAGGAAATCACTCATTCTGTTTGTGAAGATTCAAGTTTGCTTGCAGATGTTTTCAATGCGTTGGTGAAATAGGTTAACCTGGACATGCAGGTAAGTTTCTACTCTCAGGCTTCAAACAATGTTCACACAAGACTATCTCACATATATCATTGGCATGGTAAGCCTCGCCTGGTAGTAAAGACCAAGGTCAGCCTTACTAGAATGTGAAGTTCGCCAATTTCATCTTTACTGTCTTCCTTTCAATGCTATTCTGTCCTTACCATGTTGTTTTTCGACCTCTATGTGCCAAATATTCACAACTCCATAGTGAGTACTCCTTGCTTCTCTCCCAGGCCTGTGCACCCCTCTTTGTACACACACCTGTTGACACTTTGCTCTTATCTAGGTATTAATTAGAGAAGATTTGATATACAAATTCATCATAATGTGGCAATATCTTACAAGTCCTACCCCATCTAGAGGGAGGCATGGTTTAACATGTGGTTCCTATAACTGAATCCCTTGATGAGCTGAAGGGGAAAATATGCCTCAAATCTCATCATGTAGGTATGTAAGGCCTTTGCCTACTTCACTTCTCTGTAAGGCTGCCTTTGTCAGGGTATATCAGTGACATGAAAAAGATATGTACAATATATTTATTATAGAAGGTTGGAGCTTGATTATTTATGGTAAATAATGTTGGTGTTGTTAAATATATTAATTCTTACTGTAAATAGAAGAGTACCAAGAGTTTTATTGTAATGTGTATACATCTACAGCCTGATATTCTTTGGGTTGTTTTTTTTTTAATCTCTGGGTCCTTGGTGATTTCTATGGCTATTTTATTTTTATTTTTATTTATTTATTCATTTTTGAGATGAAGTCTCGCTCTGTTGCCCAGGCTGGAGTGCAGTGGCATGATCTTGACTCACTGCAACCTCTGCCTGCCGGGTTCAAGCAATTCTCCTGCCTCAGCCTCTTGGGTAGCTGGGATTACAGGTGCCCACCACCACACCCACCTAATTTTTGTATTTTTAGTAGAGACAGGGTTTCACCATGTTGGTCAGGCTGGTCTTGATCTCCTGACCTCAAGTGATCCAACAGCCTCGGCCTCCCAAATTGTTGGAATTACAGGCATAAGCCACCGCGCCCAGCATTTTAAGCTATATAATTCAATAAATCTTAAAAAGAAATTTGTCTCCACTATCATTTGAACTTAGTAATACCTTCCGTAAAGCCTTACTTATGCTACCTATTCTACTGTGCTATAGATGTATGTATATATTTATATCACAGTCAAAGTAACAATTTAGGTAATGTATTCAATGTCTCCTGTGAAAATAATCAGTTGGACAACTGTGCTCCTCCTGAGTTGTATAAGGTTTGTGATATCAGTAAGTATCAAAGGTAAACATTATTTTTTTCTGTAAAACCGCATCAACATTTCAAGTTATTCACAGAAAAGGTTAATGTAATGAGGAAATAGTATGCATACATTGGTTCTACATTGTCAAAACATGATTTATAATCGTCACTCTCTTGACACTTATATTAACAATTTAGGAATTTTTATCTTTCAATTATGTGGTCTTGTGTTACTATAAATAAATGCAAGTTCAATTAACAGAATCTGTTTTCAATATGAGTTCTCTGATACAGAACTGAGTTATCTATTGCAAAGTTCTTTACTCTAGGTTACCAAATTACTTCAAGAAAAACATAAATAGGCTGGGCATGGTGGCTCATGCCTGTAATCCCAGCAGTTTGAAAAGTCAAGGTGAGAGGATCACTTGAGCCCAGGAGTTCATGACCAGTCTGGGCAATATAGTGAGACTCCCATCTCTACAAAAAATTTAAAAATTAGCCAGGCATGATGGTGCAAACCTGTAGTTCTAGCTATTCAGGAGGCTGAAGTGGGAGAATTGCTTGAGCCCAGGAAGTCAAGGCTGCAGTGAGCTGTGATCACACCACTACATTCCACCTTGGGTGACAAAGCAAGATCCTGTCTCAAAAAGAAAAAAAAGAAAGAAAAACAGAAATACAGAAATAGACCATAACAAATAGCAAATGTTGCTTACATTGATAGACAATTCCATCATTTCACTTTGCAGTTTGTTGTAGTTATCTGTTTTATTCACAAATATTTTAATTTCACATCTTTGATTTAAAAATGAAATATATTTTACTACTCACTAGCTCTTCATTTGATTGATGTAAATAATATATAATCAAATGCCTGTATCAACAAGTCAAACATATTCTGTAAATATATACACCTGCTATGTACCCACAAAAACTAAAAATTAAAAAATAATTTATGAAAGGAGCAGAGAATTGAGTGTGTTAAGTAACAATAATTTGTTCTATATATAGCACATGTATTTTATATCACTTACAGGAACTAACATGAAGTCTTGCACATAATATACATTCAATAATATATTCAATAATTAGTTTAATAATAACTATCAATATTATGACAAAATAACAGCATTTCTAGAAGAGAGGTACTCAATCAGGAATGCATTTTAGTAAATGAACATACACATTTAAAGCACAGGAAAACCTGAACTTTATAAGATATTTCCACATTCTGTGCAGTTTTTGCTTTTGTTAATCAAAAATTTAAATGATCCTTTATAATTATCAGTTGAAGTCAAAACACATGGAATTAACTAAGTACTTAAAGAACTGATTATCGTAATTAATAATCTAACTTAGCCAACTGATAACTGTTAAAACTATCTGCCACACATATTTTTCACTCAATAGTCTGTGCCAAAATTCAACAAGACTAACAACATAGTTTAGCATGCATCCTTTCTAAGATACTGCAACTTTTGTGAAATAAGTGAAAGTTACCTCGTTTTGGAAAGGAAAGTAGCCAAATGGTTATCAAGGTGGTTTCAAAGTTACATGTTCATCCATATTAGATAATAACAGTAAAATAATTTTATATGTATGTTTTCTGGTTTTCAACATATGTCTTTCAAAAATCGGATTGACTTTTTAAATTATACATTTTCAAAACATTAATATCTTCTTAAATATAAAATATAGGTATAACTTAAGTAACTGTACCAAGTAAATTAATACATGTCTTATAAGAGGATATTATGCTTAAAGAGTTTATGACACAAGAATATTGATTTTTATTTCGCTATTTGAAAATGTGTATTAGTCTTAGCCTTTAGTACATATGACTCTAAACGTAACATAGTTCTTTCAAATAAAATACAGACATTTTAATTGTGTGGAAGCTTTTATATGCTGTGTGAAGTGACTATTTGCATATTACATCATGTTTCAATTGCATTTTGCTCTTATTTAAAAATGATTTTTTCCTCCAGCAAATTAAACATATGGCCCAGACAAGTAGTACATTGTGCACATAAAATTTCTAACAATTCCTTTCAGAGATTGCCACTGTGTAGATCTAAGTACAGTTGTCCACTTAGTTCTCTCATAACAAGCCTTTAGAGATGCTAATAAACTAATACTAAAGTAATAATGAAGATACTATTAAAATATGAAAACCAAATCATATATGTGTGGTATATCCATTAGATGTATACATAAATTAATCTCTATATATTTATTTTTGCTTCCATAAAGTATTCTCAGTGACTTCCTAGGGTTTTAATTGTGTAAGAAAATACTCTCAATGTGTTGCAAGTTTCTTAGCATCACGGGGAATTGCACTGTTATTCAGATAACTGGATTAACAAGAAACTGCGTCATCCTTGAATGGCTTACTCTCCCTTATCCCCCGTAATGAATTTATTACTAACTCCAGTCAACTCCAGTCGGTTTTAATTCCTAAATATCTTCACTCCATTTCTACAAACATCATACCAGTTTGGATTTCCATCATCTCTTTAGTACTAGAATAACCTTCTAACTAGTTCTCCCAATTACGCATTTGCACTCCCAAATCCGTTCTCCCAATTCTTATTGCTCCTAGGAAAATACCAAAATCTTTATCATGGTTTATAAAAGACAACCTGATCTGGTTCCTCTTCAGCATCATATATTCCCTCACCCCCCTCATGAATAGTTGGGCCCCACTGATCTACTTTCAGTTCCTTGAGCACATGCTCTCTCTGATCACAGGGCCTTGCCAGAAATTGTGCCTTCTGTTGTGAATACTACCTTGCATTCCCCATCTCTCCTAATACTTACATCACCAGTACACCATTTAACTCCTATATAAGCCATCAAAACACGAGCTTAAAGGCATTTTTTTTTCTGGGATCAGGGAAGACTTCCTGCCCACCATACCCCCTAACACAAGGTGAGAATTCTGTTATATACCCTAATAGATAACATCATGTACCTTCATCATAGCAATTATTACAGTTGATAATTATACATTTGTTTTTGTGATTCCTTGAGGATTCCTGTCTCCTCCACTAGATGTTAATTAACTCCATGAGATCAGGAACAGTATTTGCTTTCGCTCAATATTGTATTCTTAGCATCTAACACACTGCTAAGGATATACCAATGATTTAATAAATATTTGTTGACTGGATAACTGAATAAACAAATAGGTATTATTTATGAAAAAGTCATTTATATAATTTTTGGTGATGGTTGGTCTGTGACTGTTCGATTGCAGAGGATATTTTTCTACCTTCCCCCAAGTGGCAGCTGTAAATATTGCAGCCTGGTGAAAAATGAGAAGTCTCAGTAACTAAGACCTCAACAAAGGGTTGTATATGTGAGCTGTCAACTCATAACTGACAGCAGTAAAAGTACTGCTATGATTTTAAATGTAATGTTATCTATACAAGCAGGTGAAACTTATATATGCCTAACACCATATTTGCATTATTGAACAGTCCAGCAAAAATTTTGAATAAGTTTCACTTGCCCTGTTTCATGCAGCACGAGGTTCACATTCACATTTTAAGATAGCAGATAATCAAATCATATCACTGCTATGCTTTATTAAATAAGCAAACTCAAATGTATGTCAAATGAGTTATAGCATAATTTATAAAGTTTTAAGATTATTGCCAATACGGCTTACATTTCACACTATATATTTATGCATACATGTAATACAGTATGAATATATTGCCTGAATATATGACTATATGGAATATATATATTGAATATATATGAACATAATTGAAATATGGTGTTACTAAATGAATACCTTGCTAAGTGATATAATGCTTAGTTCATATACTTTCCTGGCTAAGCTTTCTTATTTCTGCTGTAATATTACATTATACTTTATATGTATTACACGGAATTGCACTCGGCTATTTTGCAATGACCCAAATTTGCATTAAATTCCATATATCTACCATAATTCATACATTTTATTATCCTGGTCATGTTTCCTGTTTTTCATCTGCTAAAAGATTGATGATTTTAAGACAGCATGATGAGTGCTAGACTAGTGCAGTCAGTCTGGGGAGGAATCTGAGTTCTGCATTTTTTTTTTCTTTTTTTGGCAGAGGAGTCTTGCTCTGTAGCCCAGGTTGGAGTGCAGTGGCACGATCTTGGCCTCACTGCAAACTCTGTCTCCCGGGTTCAGGTGATTCTCCTGCCTCAACCTCCCATGTAGCTGGGACTACAGGCGTGCGCCACCATGCCTGGCTAATTTTTGTATTTTTAGTAGAGACGAGGTTTCACCATGTTGGCAAGGATGGTCTCAAACTCCGGACCTCAAGTGTTCCACCTGTCTCAGCCTTCCAAAGTGTTGGAATTACAGGCATGAGCTATGGCACCCGGCCTGAGAGTCTGCATTTCTAACCAGCTCCCAGATTTCCATGGACTACACTTGGAGTCACAAGGTAATGAATCAGGGGATGAGAAACTTTTGAAAAGAGCTAGATGATAAATATTTTGGATATGGGAACCATGTAGGCTCTGTTGCAACTACTCAGCTCTGCCATTGTAGCTTGAAGTCAGCCACAGACAACATATGAATGAGTGAGTGGGGCTGGGTTCCAATGAAATTTTATGAACACTGAAATTTGAATTTCCTACAATTTTCCCATATCATGACATATTATTTATCTTTTTGTATTTTTTCAATCGTATAAAAACAAATACATCATTCTTAGCTTGTAGGCCATACAAAAACAGTCTGTTGTTGCCAACCACCCTGCTATGGTATAAGATGCCGATCGATAACTGTTGTAGAGGCTGGAGGGGAGGTAGAGTGTGACAGGATAGGCTTTGTAGAAAGGATTACAGTTGAGCTAGGACTTGAAGAAGGAAGGCTTTTCCTGGACAGACAAGTAGGAGAAAGTGAAAGACAAAGATGTAAGCCAGCAACAGCATTAGTATGTTCTCTGAACTGAAAGCAATGGATTGTGGCCTGAGAAGAACAAGCCCGTCTAGGTTGAGAAGGCTCAATGAAAGGGGGGTCCCTTAAATGCATGTCTAAATAGTTTTAAACCTTAATGAGTAGTGATGTCAGGTGAGCATCCAGAATGAGCAGTGGGGGATGCTATTAAGTTCTACATCTTAGAACTTCAAGTCAAGAGAGAACTGGACTACTGGGAGGGAGAAAGTATAGAAATGACTGAGGAAACCAGGAAAAACTGCACTTGAAAGGCCAAGGCTCTTTGAAAGTGACTACAAAATGTTCTCAAATGAAAGCTTTGTGGATGCTTTATACAAATGATCAGGGCTTGCAAATTTATTGATGAAATGGGAAATATGTATCACATAGCCGGACAGAGCAAGCCTGTCAAGCCATTTTTCCATTGCTACAGAGCACACAGCAGATTAAAAAGGGAAGCTAAGAACTGAGGATTGAAGATTTGAAAAATGGTCTCCCCAGATGCCTCAGTGTCTGACTGACTTTGCTGATAAGCTACAGAGTAGGAATACACGCTGAGGGGTAAAATGAGCATATGGGTTTTATAAAAGATGTTTCTATTAGTTCTCTGGAGGTGGCAGTGAAGTGAGATAATGAAATACTACAAAAAAAAACCAGAGCTGGAAATTATGAAAAATGGGATATCAAGTAGAAAATTAACAAAATCCAGTGCTTTTGGAAACTCTCTTCTCCCAATTATTTTTCTATTTCCCATCTCGTTCTCACCCATTTCCCCACAGGATGCTGTCCAGTTGTTTTGGAGGTATGTTTCATTGGAATAGTGGAGTTAAGATTTGCTGAGTAACTACTCTACAAAAAGCATGACTAATAAAAAATCTCATCATCCAATAAATGCTGAATTTTACTACCATTTAACAGATGAGGAAAGAGAGGCTTGGAAGCCTACTTTATTTATCCAGATCTCCTCCAAAATAGGCAATACATCTGCCAGTAGATGTGGCTTACCTATAACCCCTGGTAAAAAGTGGGAAGCAGAGCAAAGGGAGAATTTCCGCTTTTCCACAATAAGGGAATGCTAGTTAATCTTCCATCTTCCAGACGTACAGGAAAGATTTGTCTTTGGCTTTGTTCAAATCAGAAACAATTACCTACAAGTTTTGGTCACAGCATTTTAGGTAATTTTTAAATACTGGCTAACCATGAGAGGAAAGGCAGTAAGGTTTTATTAATAGAAGTTAGAAAGGGTAGCAAATATAGACATAGTAAACTTAATAGGGTTTAAAAAAAAATTCAAAGGACCTGTGATCAGGTTTCCCACCAAACAAGAGAGATATTAAATATGGTTATAAACTATCATGTATTGAGCATCTGCTCCATGCCAGGCACTATTGGACAGTGTACAAACTATGTCCTTTAATTTTCACAACATTCCAATGACTGGTTATTATTACCTATATTTAACATATGAGGCCTAGGGGCTTAAGCGAGTTATCCACAGTCCCCTGAGTCCTATAGGTTTCTATTGTGTCAATCTGGTAATATTAAGTACCTAACACATACCAGATGTTAAACAAATGTTAACTATTGTTTTCTTGCTAGTATTGTCATTATTATAACTGACGTTTACTTAACTCCTCCAAGCCTTACTTACCTTAACCATAACATGAAAGTCAACACAAAATAAGTTTGCCAGAATGATTAAATGAAACAGCCCACTTAAAGTTTCTGGCATACAGAAGCCACTTAGTCAATGTTAAAACCGTATAAATTTTCTCTTGAAGGATGTTTTTTATTTTTAGATGAGGCTATATAAGACAGTGTATATTGATGCTTTCAGCTATTTAGTGGCATGCCCCTGGATAATGAACTTGATGTTTATCTTCAGAAAACAATGTTTGACTAGAAAATGACTTTTTTCAAGTGCCTGTGATCAGGAGGTTAAGAGAGTTTATGGCTGAAATATTCAGCATACACATCAAAGTTTCTTAGTTTTTTCTATTTCATATGCTATTTCCTTTTCCTCTCTTCCTATAATTTGTCTCCCTAAGAACTTAAATAGATATTTTATACTGTTTGTGTATTTAGCAAAATAGTATTATTTATAATGCAATTGAAATAGTCTAAACCATTGGTGTCTTAGTCTACAAGTTGTCTCTTTTTTTGTTGTTGTTTTTTTTTTTTTTTTTTTTGAGACAGAGTCTTGCTCTGTTGCCCAGGCTGGAGTACAGTGGCATGATCTCAGGTCACTGCAACCTCTGCCTCCCAGGTTCAAGCGATTCTCGTGCCTCAGCCTCCTGAGTAGCTGGGATGACAAGCATGCACCACCACACCTGGCTAAGTTTTTTGTATTTTCAGTAGAGACAGGGTAGGCTGGTCTTGAACTCCTGGACTCATGTGATCCGCCCGCCTCAGCCTCCCAAAGTGCTAGGATTATGGGCGTGACCTACCCCACCCAGCCCCAAAAGTTGTCTTTTAATAGTTGAAGCAATGTTTACTGGTAGAGCATAAGCGCTCAATAAATGTGTTAAATAAATATCAGATGAAAGAGTAAATGAACAACTCTTTCCATTATTACTTATTATTTTTATATCTTTAGATTTCCACAAAGAATGCTTCCCTAAAATTGGATATGTACTTATCTCTGCAAATTCATTTTGACAAAACACATCATATTCTCCTAGATATAAAAGCACAAATGAATTAATCTTTATTACACTTTACAAGTTAAAATTATATTTGAAATTGATTTTGCTACTTGATGTGCTAACATTTAAATGCAGCTCAGCTTCCTTATATTGTTTCCTTCATAATGCTTCTCTTCATTTAAAATTCATTTTGATGATTTCTGGCACTCCTTGTGCCTTTAAAGCATAAGATAAAATTTCAGTTTACAACCTGATCTTTATGTTATTGACTAACAGCAACCTCTGATTCCAAAAGGAAAAAAAAATGACCAAGCATCTCTAGCATGTTAAGAAAGAACTCCTGATAGTTTAGAGTCTTCTCCAAATTTGTCAAATAAAGGCACAGCTAGAATGTATATTATTAAAAAGAGTAATTCTTTGGGAAAATGTTTATTTGAGAGCTTATAATTGAAAAGCTAGCTCGGGGAAAGAAAGCCCTGATGTCAAATTAGGGGAAAAAAAATGAAGAAAGGGCAAGATTAGCATGCATTGTAATGGAGGGTGCTAAATAAGGCTCTATAAAACAGTGCATATTGATAATTTCAGCTATTTAGTGGCATGCCCCTGGATATTTAAAAAGATATTTGGATATAGTTTACATAAAACCTCCAAATTTCAATAGTTGGTGCCACCTTCACCATAATAAATGAGTTCCTGCTCTGTTAATTTCCATGACAGCTGGTTGTTCAAAAGAGCCTGTCACCTCCCTCCCCGCACCTTCTCTTTTGCACAAACCAGCTCCCCTTAGTATTCTGCCATGATTGGAAGCACCCTGAGGCCCTCACCAGAAGCAGATGCTGGCACTATGCTTCTTGTACAGCCTGGGCTTTTCTAAAATATTCTCTACTTATAGTTTGGGTGTTTGACCCTCCAAATCTCATGTTGAAATTTAATCCCCAATGTTGAGAATGGGGCCTAATGGGAGGAGTTGGGTCATGAGGTAAAATCCCTCATGAATGGCTTGGTGCTGTCTTCATGGTAATGAGTGAGCTCTTGCTCTGTTAGACACCATGAGAGCTGGTTATTAAAAAGATCCTGGCATCTTTCTCCCTCTCTCTTTTGCTTCCTCTCTCACCATGTGATCTTTGCACATGCCAGCTCCCCTTCACCTTCCACCATGAGTGGAAGCAGCCCGAGGCCTTCACCAGATACAGATGCTGGCACCATGCTTCTTATACAGCCTGCAGAACTGTAAGCCAAATGAACCCCTTTTTAAAATAAATCACCCAGCCTCAGATATTCCTTTATAACAACACAAATGGATTAAGACAGAAAGTGAGAAGTGGCTTTTGAGCTCAACATTGAAGACAGAATAGAATTTAGAATTTGAAGGGGGAAAGAGAAAGAGTATCTCAAAGTGTGTGTTGGAGTAGGGGAGTTTCATGAAAAGCTTGGAAACCAATGAGTGTTGAATGAGGCAGGGCTGATGGTCTGTGGCCTTACTGGGTTGTACTCAGTAATAGGAGATCAGCTGGAATAGGTAAGTGACAGCAACTTCCAGCAGCTCTACCTTCATTAAATGTTATGATATCATGAACCAGAGAACATAAAGTTCTAAGTTTATTTTGGGGGAATGTTATGTAAATCCAAGATCATTATTTTTGATTCTTCATATTAATAGGCATTAAGTGTGCATTAGAACCAAAAATGGATAACCAAGGATATGGTAAGAGGCAGATGCCGATTTGGTGGTTTTGATATTTACGGTAGCTCTTCTAAAGAGAAACTCCTGTTAAGTGCTTAGACATATGGGACTGGCCAGCCTAGGCAACATGTCAAAACCCCATCTCTGCAAAAAAAAAAAAAAATAATAAAAAATTAGCCAGGCATGGTGGCACATGTCTGTAGTCCCAGCTACTCAGGTGGCTGAGGTGGGAGGATTGCTTGAGCCCAGGAGGTTGAGGCTGCAGTGGGTTGTGATTGGGCCACTGTACTCTAGCCTGGGCAACAGAAGGAGACCCTGTCACAAAAAAAAAAAAAGAAAAAAAGAAAGAAATATGGAACTGGAACTCTCATCTTTGTCTCATAGTTTTGATGCTTTGTGCTAATTATTATACCTGTAACAAACATCCCTTGCCACCAGGTGGCTACAGAGTTATGCCATGTTTTCAAGAGCTTAAGACTCCAATGTAGTGAAAGCTTTTCCAACTCACAACTTTAAAAACTGATAATCTATTTAATGTTCTATCTACTATCTAGACAACCTTTTAGGAAAAGTTGACTTGAGTTCATCCCTTCTCAATATTCATAGGTTTAGAGAATTGATTTATATTCCTAAAGGGGGCACTAAAGCAAATGAAATAGAAGGAATTCATATGATTTGTTTTCAGTTTCTAGTGAATTCTGTCATTTAAAAATAATTTTTATTCGTGTTCCATAATTCACTGATTGAGATTCCTTATGGCAGAGTTATAGCTGTGAGAAGAGATGTTCACTGAATTAGAGCAAGAGAAGGATAGCAAGCCTCTATAAAGCCTTAAGTGGAAGGTCAGAGGCAATTTGAATAGTAGTAGTTGGCAGAATACAGATTCAGTGTCTCTGACTTCATTAAACGTTATGATATCATGGCCTACAGAACATAACGTTCTAAATTTATTTTTTGGGAAAATTATATAAATCCAAGATTTTTTTTTGACTCTTCATATTAATAGGTAATGCATTAAGTGGGCATTAGAACCAAAAAAGATGTAAGCTAGTTTTTAAAAGGCAAAACACTTCAATTAACATATCAAAATACTCTTGTCACAAGGAAAGAATGTTGTTCATTGCCCTAAATTATTCATAAGTTTTCACATAATTTGCTGTAAACCATAGACTGATAGAAGAGTCCAGAACTAGTAGTTGATGTTGATACAATGAATTTCATCTTTTTCCCCTTCTTCTACTTGTGCCTATGAGGGTTATAATAAAGAATGAGTGGACTAAGGTATCTGGAAAATATATTCTTAAATATTAGATTAATTAACTAAGGTAATGATGGAGAACTATTATGTGATCAGCACTATGCCAGGAATTACTGGGGTTGCAGAAAAGTATTGGCCAAGATATCTGACCTTCACTTAAAATCTTATTGGTGCGATAAGATTAATTAACATAAAATAAAGAAAAAGAACAGTGTGCTCTAAGCAATAAGGTTTATACATGTACAAAGAGGTGAGGAATTAATGAAGCCTGCATTTCAGCAGAAGATCCTTAAGGAAGTGCTCTTATCAACTGGGATGAATTGTATAATCATTTTCTGTCATTATCTCTTTCATATCATTGCACAGTCTCCTTTTTATGCCCCATGCAGGCCCTTGCACATGGTAGGTGCTCCATAAATATTTGCTGCTGGATCAAATAATTTTTTCACAAGGATATAGTAAAAGCAAGCAAAAGAGAGACATTTTGTTTTTCTGTTGAATAGTTATCTTGAGAAAAAAATCTGCATTGACCATGATAGAGTACCTTATCATTAGATCATAGGATCAGAAAGTAAAGCTTATAAATCTGCTTTCTAAAGAGTGCAGTGCCCAGTAGCTCATCCTCACAGGCTTGAAGAATGAAGACCAAAACTGGAATGCCTAGTGGATCCTGAAAACAATTTTAGTTCACTAGTCTGAATCAATTAGACATGACCTATAATATCAAGATTGCATGTAGCTAGTAGTTAACTTTTCAGCAGAAATGTTTCTCTAATGCTTGGTATATGTAAAATTTGATGGAAATATTTAAGTAATGTGAATTTGCTCTCTTTTTTAAAAGCAGTATTTAAATAGTATCTATTTTATGCCTAACAAAGGCAGGAGTCTTTTATCTTGATATCTGTATCTATCTATCTATCTATCTTTTAATTGAGATGGAGTCTCACTCTGTCGCCCAGGCTGGAGTGCAGTGGCACGATCTTGGCTCACTGCAACTTCTGCTGCCCGGGTTCAAGTGATTCTTGTGCCTCAGGCTCCCGAGTAGCTGGGACTACAGGCGTGCACCACCATGCCAGGCTAATTTTTTTTTTTTTTTTTTTTTTTTTGCATTTTTGGTAGAGACAGGGTTTCGCCATGTTGGCCAGGCTGGTCTTGAACTCCTGACCTCAGGTGATCTGCCCACCTCAGCCTCCCAAAGTGCTGGGATTACAGGCGTGAGCCACCGCGCCTGGCCAATATCCTTATATTAAGGAACTCTTATTTGTTTAGAAATGCTCCTCTTAAATTTCAGTCCTCCAAATAAACAAACACATTGACCAGTATTTGTTGCAACTAGTAGTTGGCAAGTACGTAATTTTATTGGAACATGGTTAGGCATAATTAGAACAGTAGCACATCACCAAAGGTAGTGATAGAATAACAGCCACCAATAAAATAAAAACTTTGGCGGAATTTCTGTAGGTGAATTATCTGTACTACAAAGATGCATTTTGACGTGTATGCACACTGAGAGCAATATAAGAATTTAGGATTAAGGCTGTTGATATCATACTTACATATAAAACAATTATTTTGGGTACTACAACTGCTTTTCAAAACTGTCAAATAATGAACATGTATTTTTCGGAATGATGAATTAGATGGAACCACACCTTCATAAGTGAATGGCCCAATGTAAACTATTAAAACCCACAATTAATAAACAACTAGTCACATGTTATTTTTCCATCTTTTTATATTTATATCTGTGAAATGATCTGTGCATTTAAGAGAGTATCTATACTCTGGTTACCCAACAGTTTAGAAACGGGTCTCCATTGGAAAAACAGAAACGGGTTAATTTGTATCTTTCCCTTCAATTTGCTATTATTCTAGAATTTTAGGGGAGAAAATATGCCCATTTATGAGTCACAGAAAAGCCTGTGCCCTTTAATATCTGGAGTACACTTTCTTCCCCGACTCCTAAAGTGGGTAATGCTTACTTTTAAATTGTTTTCCTCCTCTTCATTTTTTAAAAGCCGTTAGCCAAGAAGGGACTAGGATATCACTTGTAGTTCTCATTTTGCTGAGAAGTTTCTGGTATTTGATTCCATTCTACTTCAAATGTCTGAGAAAAGTTCCAAACCTCAACTTTGTACATGAAACTTCCCCATACAGGGAGGACAGGCAAGAAAGTAATGGGACATTTTATACCTATTGTAAGAACCAAGCATTTGTGGGAACGTGAACCAACTGGATCTCTT
Organism: Homo sapiens; assembly: GCF_000001405.40. Taxonomy (NCBI): domain Eukaryota; kingdom Metazoa; phylum Chordata; class Mammalia; order Primates; family Hominidae; genus Homo; species Homo sapiens. Next base: position 114,629,568 of record NC_000023.11, read on the forward strand.
ACACATTGCTAGCAGAAATATAAATTTGTAAAATTACTTGGAAAAAGTTGGCATTATCTCTTAAAATCGAACATTCACAATCTGTATATGATGTTTTGTTTTAATTTTTAATTAATTAATTATATCTATAGAGCCATATGTGGAGACATGACAATGGTGATTCATACACCAAGGGTTATAATTAATCCAGTTCTGTGCACTAGAGGCCAGATTATTCCTAGAATTCAAGGATGGCTGAGCACCTAAGCAGCATCATTTGGTAAGGCAGCATACCAGGCTAGGACAAAAGTCAAGGGGGTATAGAGAAAGGCACTTGTTTTGGTGGGAACACTATTAATTAGAGTAGTGCTTGGTTCATAAAATTTTATCTATGAATATTTGCTGACTTAATGAAGCAAACAATGAAGAAAAAGGTAACGATTATTTGCCAATGGCTGCTTGAGGTGGCAGATTTTCAGCGATAACCAAGAGAAAAAAAAAAGAGGTACATCAAATGGATAGTTTTCTGTTTTGTACATTTGAGAGAATGTGAGTTCCTTCCAGAGGCACAGGAAAGATGTATCATTGTCCTTCAAACAATTCAAGGATAGTGATCTACAAATTTGTTGTCAGGAAATATTAGGCAATTTAAAATAGTCATTCAACATATATGCCAACATAAAATAGTTGGATCTAAAGCAACTTTTCTTTTGTAAGGGGAAATTATAAGAAGAATAGAAAATTGTAGAATTATTAACTAAAAAAAATTCCAACATTTTTTTACCAGATCCCGCACAAATGGTAATTTGAAAAAATAAAAAAGAGAGTTGGTATTGGTGAGTGGGGAGATTTTTAGTTATGACAATAGCTATTAATTATTAAATGTTTAACAACTAATGTCAGGTAGTGGACTAGACTCTTTGCAAGTTATTTCTTCCAATTCTCACAGCAGTCAATGAAGTAGTTATTACTGATTCCATTTAATATATATGAAAACAGAGGCTACAAGAACTTGAGTGAGTTTACCAAAGTCCCACAGCTAGTCAGTGACAGTGCTGGGATTCTGAGCCCAGATCTGCCTGATTCTAAACTCACATTTTCTTCACTGGAAGTTGACCTACGTTTGCAGTCACCATGTTGAGTGAATGAAGCAATGGGTTCTGAGATGTTTCTGGTCACCTACCCACTCCCTCCTTTAAGCTTGTTCTTCTATACAGAGCATGGGGCCCCAACCCCAGCTCTGCTGTCTACAGCACTGCCAAGTGACCCATTGGGCTCCATCTTGACCAACTGGGCATCAAGCGGTGCAAAAGCAAATCCCTCTCAAAGCTGGGAGAGTCACACCGTGGGCTACTCCTGCATGCAGCTGGGTACATATCTCCTGGGTCCTATGACCTGCCTAAAAAAAGTGAGAGAGTGGAGAGACAGATCCAGGCAGCTCAGTAACTGCTATTACTAGAAAAGCGTGACTATGTCTGGCCGGGCGCGGTGGCTCACTCCTGTAATCCCAGCACTTTGGGAGGCCGAGGCAGGCAGATCACAAGGTCAAGAGATCAAGGCCATGCTGGCCAACGTGGCGAAACCCGTCTCTACTAAAAATACAAAAAAAATCAGCTGGGCATGGTGGCGCACACATGTAGTCCCAGCTACTCGGGAGGCTGAGGCCAGAGAATCCCTTGAACCTGGGAGGTGGAGGTTGCAGTGAGCCGAGATCGCGCCACTGCCCCAGCCTGGTGACAGAGCGAGACTCCGTCTCAAAGAAAAAAAAAAAAAAAAGTGACTATGTCCGTACCAGGTTAATAGAAGATACTCAGTAAATATTATCCTCGCTATTACATTATCATAATCATTACTAGCTGTGAAGCTTTTAGCAATTTACATTAACCCCTCTTAGACTCAGTGTCCTAGTCCATAAAATAAGGTTGACACTACTGGAATGATCTACGATTGTCATGGTGATTACATGACAAGATAAATCCATTTAAATTTCTGGGCAATTTGCTCATTAAGTGTTAGTAAGACAGAGAGATAAGTGGTTTTCTCCTTTTGATGTGATGAAAATGAGATTATAATTATCTTATAGATGATGGCACCCATGTATTTGCCCCACATTTCTACTAGCTTCCTGACAAGCTAGGCTTCCCCAGCCTCTTCATTCTCTGTATATAAACAGTCAGCTTAGACCTAGTGCTGATAGAATTCCCTTTCCAGTTCTTTCTTATAAGTTAGAACTACATTCAAGGCTCATTCCTGGCCCCCTTTTTGTCCATCATGACACCTTCAAATACTCAAGTCCCCACTAATCTCTCTCTCTCTACCACATAATTTGACGATGATCAATTTTTCATTTATTCTGTTCATTCACCTTGTTAGCTTATTAACTAATTGGTAAACCCTTTGAAAGGTCTATCTTCTCATAAATCTTAGTACTTACTGCAGCACCTATCCCAGTGCCTTTCATAAAGTAGAAGCTAAATAAATAACTATTGCTGGATAAATTAATGTAAGTTATCTATGAAGTCAGCCATCAATTTTTGTAACCAAAACTGGAGGCAAGCTTTAGAAGATTGAATGTCATAGTTTTAGCACTGTATAAAACAAGGTACTGTTTTACGTGATAAAATACAGGATGAAAACTCATTTAAAATTTAGAAAAGATTAGTTTGAATCCAGGATAAGGTAAGTAAAAAATAATTATTTTGAAGGAAGACCTCACCTCATACTATTCTTGTGTTAAAATTATGGATGGTAAACTTGCCTTCCTAGGAAATGTATTGAGGGGGGACTCCCACAAAAAGGACATGGCCCTCATTAACCCAAGGTCATATTTATGTTCTGATCATAAATCAGATCAGATCAGGTAGCAAAAGAATGTACACAATCTGCATTTCATTTACAATCTTACTATTTTCAGACAATTGAGACAAAATGTATCAGTTAAAAATATATATCTCAATAAATACTTACTGATTGATATGTAAAACCCAGTAAAAAAGATGACACATCTTTCCTGACAATTGGCAAGGATTAATATAATGAGTTCTTTATGCCATAGTTTGGTATATATTTTAAACATTATAATTCTTTCAACTATAATCTTTATCAATGCTATTGAACCAAGAATAAAAGGAATGTGAACATCAAGTATGTGGGTGATATGGAATGGGAGTAGAAATTGGCCCGTGCCTTTATATAAACCTCCTTGTCTTGATGTTCCAGAGACTGGCCTCCTTAGAGGAGGCCTCCTTAGAATTTATTAAATTCTAATAAATATTATTATTTAGAAAAATAAATACCTTCTTTCTTAGAAACATGTCAAGGTAGGGTGCTCACGTGACCTAATAACCTTGCAAATGAATGTCTATAATGATAGTTTTATTATTTTCTCTTTATTATTTTAACACAGAATGAATGCTATTTCAATATATCTTCATCCCTTACCCATAAACACAAATATCCCACTGATAATAAGATGTGAGAAGGAAGTCTTTTAAATTGATTTTTAAAACTTAATTTCTTCAAATAATATAGTCTTGGGGCTCATCTTAGAGGTCCATGTGGATAGGTCAGAATCTGTCAACATTATGTCTTTTTCTCAGCATTTTTCCTAAGGGAAGCATGCTATTTTGTTTCCCTTGTAATTATTTTTGCTTCTTTTTCCTGCTAGTGTACTTTAATTTTATTTGGAAATTTGAGGATGGAAAATTATGATTATTTAGATTTTCTAATAATATAAAACACTTTTTGTGATAAAGACTATGAATTCTCTTTGACACAAACATCTGCCTGTAGTTGAATGAAGTATTATTTAGGATAGAATGTAGTATTCAACAGGAAAAGCAATTTGTCTAAAAAATGCTTCTTTCCTTGCTGCATTTACCCTCTTGCCAGCTTGATGTATCTGCACTGCCTATTTGTTCTTTGTTACTGTCAAGATAGCAAATTTCTATCTGGAGCAGATGGTGTAACTGCCATTGTTCAAATGCTTCAAATTCATTCTGCTGCTGGGTATTTTTATCATTAAACCTCTAATTTAGCAATATTAATAAATTGTATCTATGGACTATTCTGTCTGGGATGTCTGAACATTTGTTAAATATCTGAACATAAAAATATATATTCTTTTGATATCATGAAAATTGTATCAAAATTTATTTGATTATTTCTTAACAGAAATCAATGTAAAGATGTGTTTTATTAATATGTTCAAAGGCATCATTCTCTCTCTCTATATATATATACACATATATGTGTGAATGTACACATATATATGTGTGTGTGTGTGCATGTATGTATTCTAAGCAGATAAAACTATTGTTTTAAACACCTAGTGATCTTACATTTTGGAGAGGTAGTAAAAAAGTACGTTAAATATATATGCATGTGTATATATATATATATAGAGAGAGAGAGAGAGATGGTAGGTAAATGCTATAAAATTTTAGCTATTAGTCATTAGTTCTATAAATTTATTAGTTGTGTATGAATCTATAATAGAAGGTACTTGTTTCCCTTACTACTTCCTCCATTACTTATCTCAATAGAAATTTAAATAATCTTGATGTGTGTCTTCATACTCTTAAATAGAGAGTTTAAATTTAAATCTACTTTTAAATTACAAATGTGGGCCTTTTTATCTATACGTTCTAACAGCATGCCCCCCTCACCCCATGTAGAAAGCCATCATACTTCATATTTTACCATCAGGAAGGAATTAGAAACAAGGCTAATTTTTTTACTCTCCACCATATTTTCAATGCTAAAATGATTAAAACTGGAGCAACAAACATTTTTCAGTTAACTTTATCCTTACAGCTTTAAAAAACAAGACAATAAGTGAAAATTTGCAGAAATATTAATAACTTTTAAACAAATTATACTTACATATAAGAATTCAGTAAATAGAATTCTGCAACTTATCATGATTTTTCAGTGATTATTACTTTAGAAATTATTTCATTCACTGTGGTCTGTAAATTGTGGCCAGCCATGGTGGCTTACACCTGTAATCCCAGCACTTCAGGAGGCCGAGGTGGGCAGATCACTTGAGCTCAGGAGTTTGAGACCAGCCTGGGCAATATGGCAAAACCTTGTCTCTACCAAAACTACAAAAAATTAGAAGGGCACGGTGGCACATGCCTGTTGTCCCAACTACTAGGGAGGCTGAGGTGGGAGGATCCCTTGAGCCCGATGAGGTAGAGGTTGCGGTGAGCCGAGATCACATTACTGCATTCCAGCCTGAGTGACAGAGTGAGACCCCATCTTAAAAAAAAAATCAGTAACTAAATAGAATTCTGCAACTTATCATTATTTTTCAGTGATTACTGCTTTAGAAATAATTTCATTCAGTGTAATCTGTAAATTGAAACAATATCCCATAGTTGGACAACTGTACAATCAGCAATGATCAATTCTAATTTAACAAATGTTGAACAAATCAACAACTATTAGGGTGACTATATATTCTACTTTTCCTAGGACAGTCACAGTTTATGCTTATTGCACATGTATTAAATATAATTTTTAACTCTCAAAAGTGTCCAATCTGGATGCTAAATTATATACTCATTCTGATGCACCAAGGTAAACCTGCGTGTTACATGCTGATATATATAAAGAACTATAAACAAATGTCCCTTACCTGAAGAAGCATACAAAACTTATTAATGATGCAAGATATATACATAAAATTCTTGCCAAATGTGTTTTTTATTAAAAGCTTCAATTTTTGGTATAGCCAGTAAACACTAAAAATTCAGAGAAGAGATATAAGGATATGGATTAGAATGGTTAAGGCTAGTTTAATGGAGTTGCTGTACTAAAAGACATTGTGGGCATGAAGTCACATAGTTATGGGGATGAAGACGAATATGGTCTACAGCGGATCAATCAACAGTGGAAATGACTGAATATAAAGAAGAGTATGTTAATAAGAATAATAGGTAAGGACTCAGAAATTCTGGTCTCTTGTCCTGCTCTTCCACTGGCTAACTTTGTATCATTGAGAAAATTACTTCTTCATTTTGACTTTAGTTTCTTGATTTGTAAAATGAGGGATTGAACTGGATTCATCCATTCATCAGTTTTTTTATGATGAGATTACTTTGTGCAAGACACTCCACTAAGGACTATGTAAATGATTTTTCAAGTTCCTTTCCTGCTTTAATTTTTATGGTAATCACTTTTGTCACCAATACCTCCAATGATATTGTTGTAGCCAGTTTAGAATCACGTGCTTCTATGTCAAAGAAGAATATTTCTTGCAGGTAAATGTTCCCAAACCAACAAATATTTGTTGCATTAAGTTGAATTGAAACTTTTTTCTTGCAAGTACCCTTTGTTTCCTAATTGGATTAGAACCATGTTTTCATTCCCTGTGATGGTAATGCAACCCTAGAGTGATAAGTGACTGCCAGGAAAAGCTGGCTTTGTGTATTTTCAGACTGTGAATATAGCTGTTATGTTAACAGGTAACTGAGGCTGCAGCCAACTCAGCTGGGAAGCATGAATGCTGTGCAATGGTTTTTTTTTTTTTTTTTGTCCCTGCTTGCAAATGAAACCAGTTTCCCATTTGCCCTACCTCCCCGATCTAAAGAATCTTGCTCTTATTCCCAGTGCTAATCACCTAACAGGAAAGGTCATGCTCCCTGGAGTGGAGTTATGGTACTGAACAGCAAGGAACTCTAGCAACTCAAAGAAGCTGAGTTGTCTTCTGTGAATCCAGCTGATTCAAGGCTACAGGCCCACTTCCCAGTGCAGGTTTTCCTATTTTGAAGGGAGTTGGAAAAGTAACCCTAAAACATCAGTATGGATTATACATCACTTTTGATAATACACACTGATGCTCCCTTCCACTAACTGGATAAGTTGAGGATAGATCTAGCCTAAAAGGAATCTGATGAGCAAGAGAAAATTATTTTTACTTCTCAAATATTCATTCTGTACTTGAAAATTGTGGCATGATAAATGTAGCTGTATATTTATCCATAATTAACTCTGGAGCCTTCTTAATATATAGTATATGCAAAATACAAGATCAAATGCAGATCATGTTTAAGTTGATAGCTCATTCTTTTATCTTTGTCACTTGTCAGAAGTCAGAGACAGATATTGTGTGTGCCTCTACAGGATATAGTTAAAGCCAGGTGGAGTCTACCTCTGACTAATGTATGATTTTCACATTGATATTGATGGTCATGAAGCTAGCAGTAGGGAATTAAATGGAGAGAACTCAAGACTTTATCAAGACAAGTTGAATGAAAACTAAAAGTAGGAAAAAATAGGAGTTATAATAAATGTTTGATCATAAATGAGTGCTACAAGGAAAGCAAATAATCGTGAGGGTATTTATTTTCTCCAGATTGCACTTTTACACACAGAACACGTTGTAAACGTTGTTACCAGGGGTTTCCTCTCACTTTTGGTGTGGTTAGGGATTGGCAGGGAAACTGAAGTCCTTTCAGGAAAATATTCATAGTCAGTACCGTTTACTAATTTTTTAAAAAAATAAGTGAATTTTAAGTGTTAAGAAATTTCTACTAGCTTTCCACATAGATCTGTTGACATTTTTTAAGTGTATTTTTTTTTCAGAAATACATAATCTTGTAGGTTTAAGCCTGTAAATATACAGAGGCACTTTTAAAAGTGTTAAATCAGAGATATGAACAACTGAAAACTAACCAATAGGAGCTGGAAATAGAGTTGTAAGCAAATGGTTGGGAATCTGTCTTTTCAAATATACTGCATGAGAAATATAAATCAGTCTTTGTTTTATTCTGCCAGTCATATTAGAATATTCTACACCCTCAATCTATAAAGCACTCAAAACTTTGAAAACTTCTGACTAAACAAGGAGAAGTAGGAAGAGGAAAAGAAAAAAGCATATGGAATTGCTTGACAATGTGCTGAAATATTAAGCTGCAGACATCTCTGACTAAGTGTATGTGTAAAATAAAGACCAAATTTGAAAGTAGATTATTTATTTTGAAAATGAGCTCAATTATTTCAGGGTCTAGAAGCAAACACAACGTAAACCTCTACTCATCGTGTATGTGTGTCGGTATGTGTTAGTGTTTAATTACCACTGTGGCAAAATAAGAGCATGATCCAAATTCTGTGCCTCATCCCAGAACTTTCAGAGATTATTGACACCTTACAGAGTCATTGTAAAGGATCAGGTGCAGGAAGGAAAATTAAAATGCAAACTCACACTGACGTGCAGAGTGAGTAACCAGTCTTAGAAAACCTGAAAAGCCATGACATTGAGCAAGGCAAACTGGGTTTTAAACAGGCAATGGGAAGGCTTCGTTTTTTGCAATTGAAAAAAAAGCAAAATTCGCTAAGGGAGAGTGAGTGTAAACCTAAAAGAAAGGAAGCTTAATTGAGACCTACAAGATGGTGGGTATGTCTTTTTTCCCTGAGGAGCTATGAAACTTTTCAGGGACAGAAATAATAAGAAAATAGATCTGCATCCATTGTGGTTCAGGGTAACTGACTGGGCTCTTTGCCTAACTACTAGGCAACTTTGCTTAATGTAGAAAGAAATGACTCAGGTTAAACAGAATGCTTCGCTGATTTTTCCAAACAAACCTACTTAAAGAATTTCAGAAACAGGGAGTTTCCTCTCAGATGAGCTAGTGAAAACCTACTCATGCCCCAAACAATGTAGTAAACACAAATTGAGAGCGAGCAACAAAATAGCCCGAGAGTTCAATATAATGTGGAAATTCATAATTTAGAAACAAAGTCTGTCATTTTTAATACCTTCAAACAGGAATTTAACAATGTCTGTCACTGTCCATCTTTGAAATGCAGAGGTATGAGATGTTATATAACCAAGATCTTTAGGTTAGCAAGCATATAGATCAAATATGTTGTAAATGGAATCCTTGTACAATTTTAAACCTTCTTAAAGTGATAATTTGTAATATGTTTTTGACCATTATGTAATACGTTTATTTATTTATTTATTTATTATTTTTTTCTTTTATTATTATACTTTAAGTTTTAGGGTACATGTGCACATTGTGCAGGTTAGTTACATATGTATACATGTGACATGCTGGTGCACTGCACCCACTAGCTCGTCATCTAGCATTAGGTATATCTCCCAATGCTATCCCTCCCCCCTCCCCCCACCCCACCACAGTCCCCAGAGTGTGATATTCCCCTTCCTGTGTCCATGTGTTCTCATTGTTCAATTCCCACCTATGAGTGAGAACATGCAGTGTTTGGTTTTTTGTTCTTGTGATAGTTTACTGAGAATGATGATTTCCAATTTCATCCATGTCCCTACAAAGGACATGAACTCATCATTTTTTATGGCTGCATAGTATTCCATGGTGTATATGTGCCACATTTTCTTAATCCAGTCTATCATTGTTGGACATTTGGATTGGTTCCAAGTCTGTTATTGTGAATAATGCCGCAATAAACATACATGTGCATGTGTCTTGTAATACTTTTGTAGGTTTCAGTAATATTCTACAAGAAGAATGGATAACCTTAATGATCTCGAATATTTCTGGTTTTACTTTTGCTTGAGCAGTTTCATAAATGAATATTTTACTTGGCACATTATTTTTATTATTAAAAGAAAAAGGGCTTCTCCTATTACAAAAAGTAGTTCTATAAATATTTTGATCAAATTTTTAAACTATGTGACAAAACAATGTGAAATAAATATTTCAAATGCCATTTATTGATGAGTAAATTGTAAATATTGCTAAATTCCATTTACAAATTCTTGGAGGAACTTGGTTTTTAAAGGAAAACATCATGATCAATGTATGGATGTGCTCATTAGGAGACTCTTGGCCTTTTTCAGAAGGTTATACTCTGCCATAGTATAAAGAATCCTGGTGTGTTCGGGTGATATTTTCAATCTAAAATCTAGGAGGCAGGTGCTCACTTGTCCTCCTCCATGCTTGGAAAATGCAGGGAGGAGGCCATAGTGGCAACTGTTACCATGATTAATTTCGTTGGGATAGAAGATGGACCCGCTGGTTGTAATCAATGCATTGAGGACTCTCAGATCAGTGGGACTGTGAAATTTTAAACTCCTCAAGGTAGAACACAGTGGTAATGTTTTGAAATTTAAAGATTTTGAAATGCAAGCTACTTTTCTCAGGCCATTTCTTCTAAACAACACAACATAATGTTTAAGCCATGTGTTGTTCACAGATTATAATGTTGCAGTGATAAAATATATACTCCATTGGCAAAAATAAACAGCGGTAAAGGGACTGAGATTCTTGATTTTTAACTTTGTATTTAACCTTGTGTAATGCTGCCTGGAAAATTTTTGTAAAAGTATGAATAGATGTAAGAAGATTAATATATTATTACTGTATTTTACAATCTTTCTGTCCTTGAGTTTGAAGTATATTACAGGTTAAGGTTAAGCCAGGAAGTAAGATTGCTTTATAGAACTTTATAACTTTCAAAATTGACATTTGAAGAAATTGTGCTATACTATAATAGTGAAATAATAGTAATTACAAAGTAAATATAATCATCATTGAAATATAAATTTTCATACATTTTTTGTTCGACACATATTTATATAATACTTAATATATGAAAGGTATTTTCCATTCATAATCTATTTATCTTTAATGATAATCATTTTAGCAGTCTAATACTGGAAGTAGTATTTTCTTCAATTGACTGATGATAACGAATCCTCGAACCATAAAAAGTAGAATTGGATATTGTCAGTCTCTACATCTCTACTTAAATGTATTTTACATTCACTTTAAATGAAAACAATGAAACACATATATCTTTAAGAGTGATTAATGATTAGAAATAAGGGAGGCTTCTTATATGACACGGAATGCTAGTTAGAATAAAGTACACGGCTGGGCCATTGGGAAGTTGAACATTAAAGACTTTGCCAATCACATCTTATCATTTGCCACACTGCAGGTAGAGATTTATCCACATTTTGATCTTATAAGACTCAAATCTCATAGTACACAAAAGGTGTGTGTTACAGAGTGTTTTCAAGCTATGACATACCACAATGAAGCTTGACAGTAAATGTTTAATGGTTGGCTCTTTTGGTAACAAATTGGGCATATTTTTAAAATTATTGACATTCATTTTTGCAATGGCACAAACATCTTTTGAAGACTTACTAAATACAGGGCACTATGCTAAGTGTAATGAAGACAAAAGCAGATTCTGTGCATTCAAGTAGCTTACAGTCTGGGGAATAGAGATTTCTTGACCTTATTTCAAAAGTAGGACCTTTCTATCTTATGGATTTGTGATACAACATCTATTTTATTGCGCTGTTTCTCCTTGTTTCGTTCTCTTTCTTTCTTTCTTTCTTTTCCTTCCTTCCTTCCTGTCCTTCCTTCCTTCATTCTTTCCCTCCCCCTCCCTCCTTCTTTCTTTCTTTCCCTCCCTCCCTTTTTCTTTCTTTTTTCTTTCTTTCCTTCTTTCTTTCTCTCTTTCCTTCTCCTTTCTTTCTTTCTTCCTTTCTTTCTTTCTTTCTTTCTTTTTTTCTTTTCTTTTCTTTTCTTTTCTTTCTTTCATCTGTGTATTTCATCAGTGTCTACACCAGGCTGAAGTGTAGTAGCACAATCGCAGCTCACTATAACCTCGAACTCCCTGTCTCAAGCCATCCTCCTGCTTCTCCTTGTTTCTTAAACTTGAATAAAATGTTTATTCGTAGTAGATTTTCTGCTTTAGCAGATGCCACTGGATTCTGTTGACATATAAAATTCACGAATAGATGCATATATTTTCTCTTAAAACTGTTTTCTGCTTTTGCATAGTCCTTATATTTTAGAACATGAAATCATTTACCCCTGTACTCTGTTAGAAGCTCTTCTGATATGGTGACATTGATTAGTATATTCTCATTTAAAAGTGGAGAAACAGTTCTGTGAAATACTGAACATGGATTTCTGACTAGCTCTCATAGTGAGGGTTTTCTTTTATGATTTGATTAGTTTTCAAAGTAAAAAAAAAATCTATGTCTTTCCAGACTTGGCTAGGTTCAAGTGGTCATCCATATAAGATCAACAAGGGATAAGTTGATTTTCTTTCAACACTTGCTTTCAACATTTTACTTTTTTCCTCATTAAAATTCAAATTGCTCTCAAGAGCAGAGAAGTATGACTACATTTCCCAACAGATAATAATGAAAAATATCATCGAGAAAAGATGTTATGCCATTTTATTTTATTTTAAGTTCCAGGGTACACGTGCAGGATGTGCAGGTTTGTTACATAGGTACACGTGTGCCATGGTGTTTTGCTGCACCTATCACCCCATCACCTAGGTATTAAGCCCAGCACGCATTAGCATTTCATCTTGATGCTCTCCCTCCCCTTACCCCCACTCCCCGGCAAAAAGCCCCAGTGTGTGTTGTTCCCCTCCCTGTGTCCACGTTTTCTCACTGTTCAGCTCCCACTTACAAGCGAGAACATGTGGTGTTTCATTTTCTGTTCCCGTGTTACTTTGCTGAAGATAATGGCTTCCAGCTCCATCCATGCCTCTGCAAAGAACATGATCTTGTTCCTTTTTATGGCTGCACAGTATTCCATGGTGTATATGTACCACATTTTCTTTATCCAGTCTATCATTGATGGGCATTTGGGTTGATTCCATGTCTTTGCTATTGTGAATAATGCTACAGTGAACATACGTAAGCATGTATCTTGATAACAGAATGATTTATATTTCTTTGGGTATATACCCAATAATGGGATTGCTAGATCAAATGGTATTTTGTTATGCCATTTTATCAGGATGTGGTCTTCATTCAGGCAGTAATAAAATAAAGTACATTAATTTTTATACATTTTTGGAAATATCAAGGCTACATCTTCATAGCTTAATTCCTATTACTGTGCCTTATATGAAAAAATATGCAATCTAAGAGGAGGGAATTGCCATAAATTAAAACTTTGAGTGTTTAATTAATACTATGTGATACCATCATATAGAAAGTTTAAAAAACTTAAGCAAATATTTTATTTTGAAGCTTAGGAATATACAAGTTAGTATCTTATATGTAACACGGGTAGATGCCAGTCAGATTAATAAGTGAGACATTTATTTATGTTTTTATTCATTTTTTGATGTATTTACTTAGGCTTTAGGTGTTGTTGCTTGGCTTTTGTTTTGTTTGTAGGGCTGCTGTACCTGAATGATAACATTTTTCTAGCTTCTGAGTTTGTTTAGAAAAATGTGTGATCTTGTAATTTAGGGCAGTGGATTGTAATTTTTTATAGAAATTAGTTTTTAACAAATTAGTTTTTTTATAGAAAGATTTCTTGGACTGATTATGAATTTTCAGTTTACAACTGACACACATAATTGTTTTCTTGTTAACAATAAGCTTTAGCCCCCAATGATTTTATAATTATCTTCCAACATTTTGCATATTGGTGTTATTGATGAGTAAATCAAGAAAAAAATTCAACAATGAATTTTGCACAATAGAATCAATTTTCTACAAAAATAACTTGAAAATAGGAGACATGATTTTTAAAAAGGAGAAACAATGGTATTATTAGTGAATTAAATGTGAACTTTGTGATATCAGATTATTTTTGCTGTTTTGGGGGTTCACACTTTCATTCTATGTAAGTGAAGTTCCTAGATAAATGAGTCTTTGCAGATTACAGAGCATTCAAAATATATTAGGTTGGTGCAAAAGTAATTGCTGTCTTTGCCATTACTTTTTTTTTTTGCACCAACATAATATATGTCTTATTGTTTGCAAGAGCCATGAAATCTAGGTTATTGATTTGTGTCTTAGGGGAAATGGGAGTAGCAATATTGATTACTTTGTAATCTTTATTTTGTCTTCTTTAATATATATGTTAGTGTTTTTAATGCAAACTTCTTATTGCCATAAAGCTTTATCAGCCTTCACATACTATTTATGACTATGTTGGCTTTTTTTCAAGTGAAAATATGAACCACAGTTAAATTGGATGATTTAACCTGGGCAGTATGGGGATAGTAACAGGGTGGGAAAGAGTCTTTGAGCTTTGACTTTGTGTCCTGTCTGGAAAATCCAAATTAATCCGTTTTAACAGGATTAAGCTCTCAGTGTGAAAGTACTTTGCTAGGAAATTATCAAAGCACAAGTTAATTAGAACACAGAGCTCCTTGCATGGGCTGACAGTTATTAATTACATGTTCTTGGGCTGGCTTAATTTCAGGCAATTTACTGCTGAAAGTAGTAGAAACAAAAAGTTTCTCTTAGTTTTTAGTCTTGTAGAGAAAAAACAATCCCTCAAACTACCAACTGCGAAATAACTGCTGTATAAGGTATAAAGAAGACATATTTTAGATTTAAGTTCTTCAGCCAGTGTTTTTGGTCATTTTATTCCCTTCACTATAAATGTGAATTCTAAGTGCAGTTAGTGGAACAATTTGGGAACTTGTGTGTTTGCCTAAGTAAATAGAGTGTTCAAAGATTGATGTAGCTACTGGTAGATAAGTGTGAGTTTGCCTTGTTTTAGGATTAGATACATTTCTGAGAAGGGCTGCGCACGGTGGCTCATGCTTGTAATCCCAGCTCTTTGGGAGGCGGAGGCAGGCGGGTCACTTGAGGTCAGGAGTTCGAGACCAGCCTGGCCAACATGGTGAAACCCCATTTCTACTAAAAATACAAACAAAATTAGTCTGGCATGGTGGCGCACACCTGTAATCCTAGCTACTCAGGAGGCTGAGGCAGGAGAATCGCTTGAGCTGGGGAGGTGGAGGTTGCAATGAGTAGAGATTGCTCCACTGCAGCCTGGGTGGCAGAGTAAGGGAGACTCCATCTAAAATAAATAAATAAATAAATATATATATATATATATATATATATATATATATATATATATATATTTCTGAGAAGTTCTATGTAACTATACTTTTTTTAGTCATATTGTAAGTGCATGGGAAATTATTTAATGAGCTTTATGAGCCTCGGAGGTTCACATCATGGGATTACTAGAACCATTGCATTGTTCCCTTTTAATTTTTTCTCCTCATACTTAAATAAAATTATAATCTTATTCTTAAAAATTAGATTGGTCTTACCTCTTTATGGTTTATCGAGTTGGCATATCACCTACTTATGGGATCTGAACGTTTTGGTGCTTGAGCCTCTGTTGAGTATTACATGCCTCTGCTAATAAACTAAGTACTGCTAGAGGCAATTATTTTGAGGTAATTATTTTCTCAAAATTGAAAGTATTAATGATTGGTGGTATCATACTGTGGAAAATAAATGAAAAGTGAGAGCATAGTAATTAAGTTCTTAGTTCTTAATGCTGAGTTTCTTAATTATGGTTTGTCCATGTCATGATGTAAGTGGCTGAGGATGTCAGGGTATTGCCCAGACATACAATGAAAAGATGAGTCAACAGAGAATGAGGGCTCAAAAAATCACCAAAGTGCATTCTCTATAAAAAGCAGGTGGAGAGAAAGGAATATAACATTTTTCAGGAAGGGATTATGGGCAACTGGAAGGAAAAGACACATGAAAACAATCCAAAACACAAGAAAAGGCAGCATTTCATACCTCTATTGTTTGAGGGCAGGGGGCAGACAGAATTTCTGAGCTGATGGCAGTAATCCCTATTCTACTGAGTACTATAAAGCCACTTAGCTACAAAAGAGAGAGAATGAAGTATAAGGAAGCTAAAAAAAATACGTAACATTGAAAAAGATGTATAAGTATCAAGTTGTGACAGGAATGTAAAATATAGAAGAAAATTGCTATATTAAGGCTCACATAAGGAAAAAAAAGTGCCTCAAGAAAACAGCATGAAAAGATAGATTTATGCAGGAGGAATTAAGGAATATGAGAAAATGTAGTGGACATGCCTGAAACACAGACATCAGTTTCCCTGGGTAGAGGAGGGAGTGATTGATGGGGGAAGTGGAAGAAGGAGAGAGAGGGAGAACGTAATAATAAAAAAAATGAGTAAATGACAAAAAATTAGGGAAGCAAACTGCCCCAGTTGAAAACTGATTTCCAGAAGCATAAAGGATAAAGTTAAAGGGAGAATTTAAGAATTTAGAGTTTAAGGGGAATCTTGGATAATTAATTAAAATCAGGCAACTATGAGCAACATAATTGAAAGTAGGTACATGCACTGTGTGTTTAGTATAAGAATGCAAAAGGCAAGTTGATAAAAATGCAAAAGATTGTGGTGATTTATGCAAGTTCAGGGCAATAAATAAGAAAAAGACATTTTTATGAAAAAAGATAAGATATGGACCTTTTCTGAATGATCTTTATCAATCATTAGATAGGATCATTATTCTGAAACAAGCATTAAAAAGTTGTTAAAATATAAGAAATCTAGGAAGGTTGATGGATGATTATGAATAAAATGGAAAACCGGAAAAGAGAAAATTAGATTTGTGAATATTATGCACCATAAGAGATGAGATTGCCTCTTTTCTATGTGCAATCAAAAGGTCTAAGGATTTTTGTACTTGAACTTAAAAGAATTTATGCACATTATTTATGTTTTCAGATTAGCTACAGTATATCTTAAAACCATTATGGGAGTAAATATTGAGTAGATTAATTAAAGTTTTATATCAATTCAGATAAATACTTTAAAGGTTTAATTTATTGACAAATATCATTTGAAATTAGGTAAAATCATCTAGGTTATTAAAATTATTTAAAGCATATTTAGATTTTTGTGATATTCTTAGAGACATCTGTGATTTGACCATATGGCTGATCATTCTATTTTTAGTGCATACCACAGATCTGTTAATAAAGGCTAAATTGTCTTTAATTTTAGGTTCAGACCTATGATAAATATAAATTAACCTTACAATTTTTTCCTAATCCATAGAATAAATTTTAAATTGTTAAAAATCACAACATTATTTTTCCTTAAAAGGAAAATACCTCTGTCTTTTTATCCAGAAGTACAAATTTTCTAAGATATATATGTTGCTAACAGTTGTGAGGTAATATTTCACTCTGCTTTTAATTGCATTTCCTTGATGATTCGTGAGGAACATTTTTTCATAACCCTTTTGGCCATTTGTATTTCTTCTTTTGAGAAATGTCTATGCAAATATTTTCTCCCACTCTGTGGGGTGTCTCTTCACTCTGTTAATGTGCAGAAACTTTTTAGTTTGATGCAATCTCATTTGTCTATTTTTGCTTTTGTTGCCTGTGCTTTTGGGGTCATATCTAAAAAATCATTGCTGAGACTTTTCCCATATGTTTTCTTCCAGTAGTTTTACAGTTTCAAGTCTTACATGCAAGTCTTTAATCGCCTTTAAGTTGATTTTTGTATTTGATGTGAAAGATAAGGGTATAATTTCATTACACATTAATTCGCATTTCTCTGGTGATTAGAGATGATGAACATTTTTTTTCATATATCTGTTGGCCATTCATATGTCTTCTTTTGAGAACTATCTATACAGGTCATTTGCCCATTTCATTACTGCATGATCTCACTTATATGTGGAACCTGAACAAGTCAAACTCATAGAAATAGAGAGTATAATGGTGGTTCCCAGAGGCCTGAGTGGGGAGGAAGGTGAACGGGGAAAGAACAGTTGTTGGTCGAAGAGTAAAAAGTTTCACCTAGGAGGAATGGGTTCTAAGAATCTTATTGCACAGCATGAGGACTATAGTTAATAATAATGTAATGTATATTTCAAAATAGCTAAAAGAATGGATTTTAAATGTTCTCCCTACAAAAAAATGATAAGTATTTGAGGTTCTGGCTATACTAATTAGCCTGATATGATCATTCCACAATGTATACAAGTATCAAAACATCACATTGTATCCCATAAATGCATACAATTATTATTTGTCAATTAAAAATAAAACTTAAAAAATAATTTGACAACATGCTTTGATTTACATTTTCCAGCATGAAAAATGGTCTTTACATCCAATTTTAAAATCACCCTTTTAATTTTCCTCAACTTCAAATATGTATAGGTAGTTTGCTTAGCACTGTTCACTTCTCTGTTTACTATATGCCTACTGTGGGCCAGACACTGTGGCAGGTGTTAGGAACCCAAAAAAGAATGTTGTAATATTTGTTAATTAATTGCTCCTAGCCTTGTAGAGGAGAGAGATGTGCAGACAAATAATTAAAACAAAATCGTATGAATGTAATGTTAGAAATAAGCATGAGGTATACAAGTAAGCTAGAGGAAGAAATGGTTGGCACTATCAGTGCAGGCTTCACAGAGAGCATGATATCTAGCAGGACTCTGTGTAATGACTATGAGATGGCCAAGCATAAAAAGAGGTCAGAGACATTGCAGGCAGAGGACATAGCATGTGCCAAAACAGAGATGTGTGGAAACAGTACAGTCTGTATTTTGCTATTGCTATTATAGGGGAGCAGAAATATCATCACCCATCCTGTGTTAATGGCTGTACTCCCTGTAAGAAAAGACAGATTAATAAGAGAAAAGCATACAAATTTATTTAATATAAGTTTAAAATAACATGGGAAACATCATAAAGAAACGAAGACCCAAATAAATAAGTAAACCTTTTTATTTTTAGTGCTAGGTTTGGTGCAAAAGTGGATAGTAGTGGAGAAGTATGATTGGATAAAAAAGTATGATCTAATGTAATAAAACTTGAGGGAACTTAACAAGGCCTATTTGTTCAGATTCCCCTCTGTGACTCTGTATTTTCAGAGGTAAGAATGTTCCTTTCTTTTGGGTATAGGGAGTGCAGTTCTCAAATGAAGATCTTATGACTTGCTTCAGAGGAGAAGGGTGAGGGGAAAGTGAGAATGACCTTCCTGCTTCTGCTGTTTTCTTAAATGTCAAGGTGCCATGTTTTGGAATAACACGTCCTGGTCTCCATCATTATTGTACTACTACGGTCTTCTAGAAACTTCCTTTTTCCATTAAAAGTTATACAGGTCCAGGCACCGTGACTCACCTCTGTAATCCCAGCACTTTGGGAGGCCGAGGAGGGAAGATTGCTTGAGCCCAGGTGTTTAAGACCAGCCTAGGCAACATAATGAAACCCCATCTCCACAAACAATACAAAAATTAGCCAGGCATGGTGGCATGTCCCTTTAATCCCAGCTACTCAGGAAGCTGAGGTAGGAGGACTGCTTGAGCCCAACAGGTTGAGGCCGCAGTGAGCCATGATTGTGCCACTGCGCTCCAACCTGGCAACAGAGTGAGACCTTGTCTCAAAAAAGAAAGTTATGCAAATTGACAGATTGTTGGTGTCATCATCATTATTGCTTAGTCTGTGTTAGGCTCTAGTACTTTAAATAGTTTACTCCCGTATATCTCAATATATGTCATTTTTAGCTTTAGGCAAATGTTCAGAGACATGAGTGCTATATTAGCTCAGGAAAATTTTAGAAGTCTGTCCCTTAACAAATATTTCAAAATCCCCCTTTTCTGTATTGGAGTATGGAAACTAACATGTACCAAAAGTTTACTTTTGTGATAATTTATTGATTGCCTACTGTACGCTACATACGGATACTTTAACGTCAACAGATCTTGGCTCCAAGAGAACAGCAGTACATAAATTTAGATTCAGGCTTTATTTTCTCCCTTTTGCCCCCAATTATTTCATGTTTTAAGTATTTTCCACATATGATCATGACAATTATAGTACTAAATCTATAGTGTCTAATACACTTTTCAAGCACTTGGGAGGATTCTATATTTTTATTTGTCAAATTCAGCTTTTCTCAATACTATTTAAATGTTATTCAGAAGATATTAATAGTTGGGAGCAGATTTTGTTACATTTGCCTCTTGGCTGTTAATACAAACAGTAGTTTTTATTTTTGTGCTTTTTTCTTGATGATTAATTATTTTGATAATTCCCAATACAATATGGTACAGCAGGCTTTCTTTCAGTACAAAGAAACACAGTGTTTATCCTACTGTAAACACTGTTAATGCAGTTTTCTCTGAAGAATGCTTTGTGTCTTCTGAATTGGGGGACACCAGCAAGGCTTTTAGCCATAGGAACATAAGAAATTCTTGTGGTCACAGAGCAAAGGTAATCTTTCATCTTTTCTGTGTTATTTTTATTTTTATTTATTTTTGTTGTTGTTGTTTGTTTGTTTTTTAATTTTTTGATGGAGTCTTGCTCTGTCGCCCAGGCTGGAGTGAAGTGGCGTGATCTCGGCTCTCTGCAACCTCTGCCTCCCAGGTTCAAGCAATTCTCCTGGCTCAGACTCCTGAGTAGCTGGGATTACAGGCACGCATCACCACGACTGGCTAATTTTGTATTTTTAGTAGAGATGGGGTTTCACCATGTTGGCCAGGCTGGTAACGAACTCCTGACCTCAAGTGATCCGCCTGCCTTGGCCTCCGAAAGTGCTGGAATTACAGGTGTGAGCCACCGTGCCCGGCCTTTTCTCTGGTTTTGAAGATTTGTGTAGCATCACCATTCAGTCATTTCTAACTGAACAACAGGTGAGGAGTAGGAAACATAGTTTCATCCGTATACAGAATTTTGCCTGACTTCCTATGAAACAGAAATAGCATGAGCTTGACGTTTCTGTCTATTTTGACAGATCTGGAGAATGAACACAAAGTGGATAGCATAAATCTCTAATTTGACTACATTTAATGTCTAAGTCATTACTTTATTGCAAAGTACCATATGAATGAAAATTAATGTTTACTAAACAGATGAAAGGAAAATTCCCAAGTCCAATTTGCAGATCATATAGATGGTAAAAGAGGCCCCAGTTTAATGTATTAAGAGGATTCAGAAATCATTCTGAATATTAGTTGTTTAGTTGATTTTAACACATCATTCCATGCTTAAGACTGTTCAATGCCTTTCTATCTAAACTCCTTATCATTGCATACAACATGTTAATAATATGGTCCTAGGGTTTTCTCCCTAATCTCAGTCTTTAGAAATCATTTTGTCACAGTGGTTCACACTCACCTTAAAGTCATTTGTACTTGGTGTTCTCTCTGGAACACTAGTTTTCCATTTCTTCAAATGACTAGATCATCCTCATTCTTCAAGTCTCATGTCATATGTGACTGCTTGGAAGAGTTCCATCCTGATCATGCCATCCAAACTACTCACTCCCATTTCTTGTGTTGATCTGTTTTATCTTTCACAGCATTATTACTGTATACAATTTTCTTCTTTATTTGTTCTCTTCTTTATTATCTCCCTCTTTCTGCCCCATATTGTAAACTCCCTTGTAGACAGTTCCTCATCTGTCTTGTTCAGTTTGCTTTCTATTGAAGTAAGAATAATAAGTAATCAAAATAGCTACCATCCAGCTGCTCTATTGAATCTTAAATCTAGTCAGGGCTGTCGAATTGAACAGTGAGGTAGAGGCTCTTGGAAAGATTTCAAAGACACAGTAAGATGATGAAAAGATTAGAAAATAAAACCTATGAAGAGGAGAAAATGGTGACATGGGTTGCAGTATTAACTACCCCAGAATAATAATCCATTATATTTGCTCACTTCTTGCAGTTTACAGAACACTTTTGCATGTATGAACTCCGTTAGTATTTTACATGATATCTACATTTATGATTATCCCTGTTTTACAGGCATAGAAACGGAGGCTAGGGGAATTTAACTGACTTGTTCAAAGACAGATAGTTATAAGTTATTATTTATGTTTTCTCAGTTCTAAGGCCAATATTTTTTCCATGACACTACTTTTGGTTTAGTCTTCAAAGCAAATAATTTAATTTGGATGTGATGAACAAAGATGTTTAATATTAGGGATTATAAATTCTGATAAGTTATCCCAGTTGTTCCCAGATAAATTTGGAATTCCTTTTGAATAGATATTCATCTGTCTGGTATGGTTTGGAAGAGGGTAGAGGGTATGGCTAGAGGGTAAGAGACTACTTAGATATTGTCTCTTCAAGCTTTAAAATCCTATAATCTTTTGGCTAAGTTTTTGACTTTCAAAATTAATCATTTCAAATTTACTTAACATTTAAAATTTGATCAAATGATACCACCCTTTGAGCCTTCTATCACAACTGGACTTGGCTCTAGGATGTGCTCATTGCATGGGCTGTGTATAGTATTATTCAATACCCAGAGCATGCAGTGTGAACATAATAGAGATTGAAAGACAGCCAGAAGGGTAAAACATGAATTCTTAAAGAGTAATTTTGTACTTCATGTAGATTTTTTTAACTCTCCATTTTCAGCTGTTTACTAACTATGCTTCCAAATTCTATTCCACAACTGAAATTTTAAACTCACAACTTAAATTTGCATGTTGCTTCTATTATAATACATTTTTTATTCCTCTTTTATTTACATTAAAAATTTACTGAAATTTCACATGAATAGTCAAAGTTAGCTTTCAGTAGCAGTTAGAAGCATTCTTTTAATAGAACTATAAAAATACATTTGGAAGAACATTATTATGATCTTTCATCATGTTGAAATTTCTTTTGATGACACATCAGATGCTATTTACAGATGATAATTGAAATCTCCATAGTATAATTTTACCTCATGATGATATCAGTGAACATATCATCTTGTGATCAGCTAACTGGATGTTTCTTTAACCCATTTATTTAAAATTTCACATAATTTCCAGGTGTTTTCTTTTATAATGAGAATCTGTTACTTCAACAATTCTAAGTAGATCATATGTCTTTGATTTGAAATAGGAAAAAAAATTTCCTAGACTGTTAGAATGATTTTGTTTGGTTGGAAAGCTGCGTGATCTCTGCATATAATTCCAAGTATAAAATGTACTTGATGCAGTCCTGACTATATTCCTTATAATTAGAAAATTTATTTTTATTTTTTGCGTCTCCTTGCTTGTATCAGGAACCAAAACTAAACTTAGTCACCTAATAGCCAAATATTTAGAAGTACTTGTTAAGAGGCCTAGTCCAAAACATGAATAAGAAATGTTATAAGTGGAAGAAAAATAACAGAAGTTCACTTAAGTGAGAATATAAATGGAATAGAGGTGGGAAATGGATTTATATAGAAAGAAACATTTTAATACATGCTGATTAGAAATATTGCGGCATTTTCTGAAATATTATCAAACTGAAAATTATGGTCTAATAGTTTTAAAGAAAATATCATAACATATTCAACACATTGTGTTTCTCCATGCCTGGCATATAGCAGGTCCTCAATAAGTATTTGTTGAAAGAATAAATAAACCAACAAGTCTTATTTGAGCACCTGTTATGTGGAGGATACAATCCTACGACCCAGACAGACCTTATGATCTAGTATGGGAGAGAAGAAATATAAGGAGAATGCACAAGTGATCGCCATATCTGAAAGTCTGTGATAAGAATTAAAGAATTGGAAAAGGTTAGAGGAAGGCCAGATTATTTCTCATCTGGGAAACTTTTGGGGAGAAAAGAGGACTTGAGCTTGGGATTTAGTAAGAATCAAGTGCACAAAAGTATTTATTGTAGAAATTTGAGCGAATATATAAATATTATTAAATCATTATTATAAGACAGTCAATAAACTAAAACAAGAATTATATCATCAATAAATCTTGTTATAATCATCCATTCTTAACTTCATTTGCACATTACATTGATATAATATGAAATAGTCTAGGTTCCTGCAAGCCTCTTTGTCACTTAGCTTTTTTTTTCTTTACTACGTTATATAATTTATAGGCAGCGTATCCAAAATGTTTCAGTAATTACTCTGCCCATCATTTTATTCTTTGGGTTAAATTTCTAGCCTAAGTTATTAAAAATTAATTTAAATAATGAAAATAACTTCAGTTATGTCTAATTTAAAAATTCCTATTAAATATGTCAAATAATAGTTTATTTATTTTTAACCTTTTTCTTCCTGAGAAGATCAAAGATCTTAGCATATTTCTTTCTATTTCCTCCTAGGACATCTTTGTGAGGAGTAGTTGGTATCAGGAAAAGTTAATTTCATCAGGTTAGGGAGAGTGTTAGGAGAAAAGCAAACTGATTGTCCCACCCAAAATATTTATGCCTGTCTTGTAAGTGATATGCAGATCACTTTGACTCTAAGCTAGTTTTCTCATCCCCTTTTCATGCAACTTGCTTCTTACTGACTTTGCCATTTATCAGACAGAACCTTATTATGTGCATTCTCCTCCTATTTTCCCTCCTCTCCCTCCTGTTTCTCCTTGTTCATCTTTCTTCTTTATTAAGTGTACAAGGATTATGCAGGCTTTGTTCACCATTCTATATCTAGCTACAAACACTTTCTATAGGGTTGAATTGGAATCCATATAAATGTTTGCTGAATAAAGTAATAGCCACCCGCTTTGGAAAAGTCAGCCCATTTAAATATACTAATCTAAGAAAATCAGTATAGGAAGATTAATCTGACTTCTGAATGTACATAGTGCATACTAAAATAAAATGTGGTCAGCTTTTATTTTATTCACTCTTTTGCAATATTTCTGCTACTACGCTGCAGAACCTTGTCTGTCTCATACTCCTTCAGCACTTATTAGGTGTGTAATCTTGAGCCAGTGAATTAACCTTCCTGAGCCTTTAGATATAATACGAGACTAATAATATCTTGTCTATCTGAAGACAGTAAAATGGATTAGAAAGTCTATTGATCCAACTTATGATAAATGAAGATGTGAATAAAATTTTTAAAAATTGATTTATGAAAATTATACTGTTTTCTGCTCTTTGCTTATTAGTTACTGTAACTAATTCCTCATGAGATTCCAAAACCCCTTAACTTAAAAAACAATAAAATAATAGATGTATGTGTGTATATGTGTATATATGTATATATACTCATATATATATAACATATATATCATATATATAATTTTTTCGCTAAAAACTCATGGTACCTACCTAGTAATGGTGATTATTATCATCAGTTAGAAGTGTGTAATTCATGAAATTTCTAAAAACAAATTCAAATCAAAAGCTTTGGTATGCATATTTAATGATATATTTTGAAGAGTTAAAGCTTACGTAACCATCACCAGTGTCCTTTCAATTGCCATAATTGTAGAATAATTTTTTATTGGTTGGCTGTTTTTCTTTTTTTTTTACTGGCACTGAAACTTTACCCCACATTGTTCTTTTATTCATTAACTAAAGTTGTACCCTAATACTTGGTTCTGTACTAGGAGCTGCAGATACAGCAATGAATAAGACACAATCCCTCCCTTCAAAGAGATAACATTTTATTGGGAGAAGTAGGCAATAGAGCAGACAATTAATATACTGTGTTGAAGTGCTATAGCAAGAATGAGCTCAGGATACATTGTGAACACATGAAAGTTCTCCGAACCCAGCTAGAAGGTAGAGGAGTCAGTCAGGGAAAGCTTCCTAGAGGAGGTGATGTCAGTATTGTATTTCTCCTGCCTATACATGTCCTTCCCAAGGAGGTTGAAATGCAAATTATTTAAACATTTAGTATCTAAGTGAGATATACAGTAAAAATTTATCATTTGGTTATACTGGCTACTTAATGTTTAGTACTAAATGAAACTACAAAACACATTACCAGGACTAGAGGTGGGGTAGAAAAGAAAAAAAAAAAAAGCCATACCAAGAATGAAGAGGCAGTTTTCACAAACCTGCCAAGTAAAGAATAAGGTATGATTAGGAATCAGATGCTTACTAGTAGACTTCCTGGAGACTAAGAATCAGAAGGCTGAATGGAATTTAGGTGACAATGCTGAAGATTTTTCTAAGAGGGTGATGTATTTAGGTTAAGTAACAAACATGACAGTTAATTTGAGTTGTGTGCTTTAGGTTGTTCATAGAACTGAGAAACTGGGATCAGACCAAGTTACCATGGCACTATTTCTGTTTTAAATGGTCTGGTAAACCACCTGTCTAATCTATTAGTCAAAATGTGCTGATATGTTGTAGTGATTACCTTATTATCTATTCCTAATAATACTCCTACAATGTGTTTTCAGCCCATATTGGAGTATGGCTAATGCACTATGTTAATATTCTTTTGCTAGATATGTTCATTTTAAAGTTGTCAATTACTTTTTGTTGTTCCTCAAGTTCTTGTGTATTTTTGGCACATGCCATTTAAGTGTATTTTTTTACTATATTTTATGAAAATAATTTTACAGCTACCTCATGTATCAGCCCAAAATGTTAGTAAATGACTTGTCTTCCTACAACTCTGGATGAGATATATCTATATCTGCCTTTTAGGGGCTGGTGGGGCTACACACTGTAGAATTCTTTTCTACCTCTTAAATTCCATTGGCTTGATTGGATTCCTTCGGAACATATTATACCTTCTTGAGTTTTGTGTAAAACTCTACCCTTCTGATTTTACCTGTTAATTAAGTTTACAAGAATGACTTGCTGAATCATGGCACATTTATTTTGATTATTCCCATCCTGGCTTTCTTCATATTTCCATTATCATTTCAAATATGCATTTAATTTTTGCTTGCATGGTAATTTCAGCCAACTTACCTTCATTTAGGTCAGTTTGTACAAGAAAATTAATTATCTTATTGTTTCATCCACTGGATTGATTTCTGCTACTGTATATACAAGCCAATAGTTTGTTCTTTTCTTTTGGTGCCTTCTGTAAAACTGGGGACCATTGTCAATTAATTGATGGCTCACAGATTTCTTTCTGACCTCTATTACCTTTTCTGAACTTCTTGTATCACAGAATCACCTATCATTTTATTGTGTTCACTTTGTTGGCTTAGATGATTTATTGTCTCACTACTAATTATATAACTAGGGAAATTAGAGATGGAAAGATTAATGTAATCTTCCAACTTCTTTTTGTGCTGTCTGCACTTATATTTTTCTTAGAGTATTGCTTCAACATGAAGAAAAAGAATGCTCATTTAATCACCCATCCATCCAATTTTTAATTTATTTTTTAACTCTCAGTACAATACTTCACACAAAGTTGGTTACAAATGAATGAATATATCAATTTGTTTCTTAATGCAATAAAAGTCCTGCTTTCAAGGAGTCAGGTTCTGCTTTTGCTTTACCTATAACTCTCTATAGTCTAAAAAGGAAGGAGAAATGGAGTGAGAAACAGAAATAGAGAGTTTTTAATCCAGAGAGACAGAGAGTCTTTTTAAATGCAGTATTGCTTAGAAAGAGCTTACTAAGGTAAACTCAAGTCTCAGGTAATTTTTTTTTCTGGAATAGGTTTTATTTTGTGCAAAAATTGTCAAATATAAAAGTAGTTTATGTCTGAATTTGCCATCGATTATCATAGACTTTACACAGAAACCTTCTCATGGAAGATGAATGAATTTTTCTGAAATCACTTTTAAATGTAGCCAATTTGTATCAGATCCTATAACATGAATGTTAACACTGAAGATTTCATTTCACTTCAATCTTAGCCAAAAGACATATTGACCTAGAAAAGGACATATGTGAAAAAAAAACTAAAAATATTAAATATGCTTGCATCATGTCTAACTTGGCAAAGCAAATGTATAATTTATCTTAGAAATAAATATTATATAACAGAGTAATAAATAATGTTTACAGTGGGAAGCAGTCTTATCTTCAAAAACAACTTTTCTAGTTGTGATTATAAAACAATCTTGCAAATAAAGAAGTGCAGCTCAATGAAATGTAAAAGCATGCCACTTCAACATAATTTAGCTAGTTGCTTTATCTTGACACATTTCTTGATTTTCATGATATTAGTGTAAAATATAAATATTTTCATACATTTTCCATAACCCGATTGCTCTTTCTTTCCAAAATAATGATGAAATGGAACAAGAAAAAATTGTCTCCCAGCAAATATTTAGACATGTGACATTTTATGTTTTTAAAGGTCATTGATATTTTAGGGTATTTATCTTAACTACTTAATATTTTTAATTGCTTGAATTGCCTTCAGAAGGTGACTACTTTTCTATTTGGTTGCATACATGGAACCCACAATAATAATATGTATGAAAATTTTCCTCTTTATAAATAATTCATGCAAATTCAACAATACACCCTGAAAAGTAAATATTTATCACCTGCGTGTAATATGGAAAACATTTAGTGTTATTAAGAAGTAACCGATTGCAATGAATAGAAGAAATCTGTTTTAATGTGGTAAGTCTACCTCCCTTAAGATACAGTTTGTCTAGGGCAGCTGTGAATTTGTTCCTATACTTCATGGCCCACCTAATCAAATTCTTCAAGAGAGGTAATTATCTTTTTATTCTCATTTTTTTATATATATTTTTTATTATGCTTTAAGTTTTAGGGTACTTGTGCACAACGTGCAGGTTAGTTACATATGTATTATTCTCATTTTTTTAAGGTTCACAACTTCCATGATGGAAATAGATTATTAGTAACTATAACTCCTGAAGAACAAGCCAATATTTTGTTGTTGTTGTTTTTCTGTGTCTTCTGTAAAACTATTAATCTCGGTCAATTAATTTATGGTTTGGGAGGCAGTCAGTCATGTCATGAAGACCTAATCTATCTAGAATAAAAAAACAAGATGCCCAGGCTTAAAATTTCTTTGTTACAATATAATAGCATTTCTGTAAATAGTAATTTTATTTTTAGAGGAAGAGTAAAACAATTTTTTTTTGTTTGTTTGTTTGTTTTGGTTTCTCCATGATCCTTGCATTAGATTTTACATTTAATTTAACTTATTTTAATTTTTATCTACATTTGCTCTTGTTAATAAATACTTTTAAACAAGTACAACAAATAAAATTCCAGAATTGATCACTTTTATTATTGCAAAAGATAATCTTTCATCTTGAATATTTATGAATTATCATATTCCCTTCTAACAAGGATAGCAATGACAGTTTCTAATCCTAAATGACTGATACAATTAATTAACCTGTGAAATATAAAATGCTAAAGGAACAAGTCAAGAGAATATATAGAAGTATGAAATCCAAACTAAAATTGTTTTTATCTTTTAGTTTGGAAATATACAGGAAATTGCTGAGTTCTGTCTCTATCACCAGATAGCCAAAGTAGAATTTTAGTATGTGCTCATGGAATGGTGGGTGGATCGATGAAGATTATCAGGAATATTGGAGGGTTTCTATTTTATCTCTTGTGGTATGGCATAAATGGTGAAGCATTAAGGTATGAAAATGTCTACCTTGTACTCTCCCATAGTAAATATGATAAGCTATGAAATCTTGAAGTGGAAATATCCACAACTCTACAGAAATATAAATAATTGAATCAGCAGATAAAGGGGGGAGAGGAGGGATAACTCTGCCATACAGAAAAATTCCAGTTTATAAATGTGGACACAATTAGGGAAATACAAAATCATCATCAGGCAAACACACAGTAACCATTGTTGTTTCAGGCCAAGTCCACTAATATGTGCTAAAATAAGGGGGGCAAAAGTTTTAGGATAAACAGGGTATTAACATAGTTTCAAAATATCTCCCTCAAGTTATCTATTTGGTTACTGTATTAGTTTGTTCTCATGCTGCTAATAAAGACAAACCCAAGACTGGGTAATTTATAAAGGAGAGAGGTTTAATTGACTCAGTTCCACATGGCTGGGGAGGCCTCAGGAAACTTACAATCATGGTGGAAAGGGAAGCAAACATGTCCTTCTTCACGTGCTGGCAGGAGAGAGAAGTGCAGAGCGAAAAGGGGAAAAGCCCCTTAAAAAACTATCAGATCTTGTGAGAACTCACTCACTATCACGAGAACAGCAACATGGGGGTAACTACCCCTATGATTCAGTTACCTCCCACCGGATCCCTCCCACAACACAGGGATTATGGGAACTACAATTCAAGATGAGATTTGGGTAGGGATACAGACAAACCATATCAATTACAAAGAGGCTAATGTAGCATCATAGAAGAATAATCAGCAGACTTCACTTTAACCAAGTAATCAAGGTTATAACAGTGACAGTTTTTATGCTCATCCCATCTCCTCACCATCATATAATGCATTGAGAAGAACACAGCATCACTTCTGTAGTATTCTTGCCCCTGCAAAAAAGAATAACTTCAGTCTAATCATCAGACAAACCCAAACTGAAACATTATACAAAATAATTGGCCAGTACTCATTAAAAAATCAAGGTTATGAAATACAAGGTAAGGCTGCCAAACTGTCAAACGTTGGAAGAGATTAAGGAGAAACAACAACTAACTACAATATAGGACAGCTATATACAATATAGTCAACATTCAGGAGAAACAACAACTAAATACAATATAGTCAATATATTGTAATATATTGACTAGAAATATAATATAGGATCCTGGAATGAATACTGGACTAGAAAAAAAACTGATGAAATTCAAGTGAGGTTTATAGTTTAGTTGATAGTTATCTTCCAATGATAATTTCCTCATTTTGATCATTTGTTTATGATTATATAAGATACTTGGGGAACTGAGTGAAGAGTGTACAGGTACTCTCCACCATTTTTACAATTTTTCTCTAAGTCCAAAATTATTTTAAAATAAGAAGTAAATAAGCAAACAAACAAAAAGGCAGAAATACTGTCTGCACCTTCCATGACACAGGCTTTATCAAGTGATATGATGAATTTGGATGTTATATAGATAAGAAGTGAATTTACACATGTAGTAAAATCGGTGTATCTATTTAATGGACTTTTTAACCACATGTCGGTATCTTTAACGCCACAGATATACAGTGAGATCATAATAACCAGTATGTCAGCTTGAAGAATAGGAACATATAGTTTTATCTTCTAAGATTCAAATTATTATTCATGATTTGTTTAAAGCAAATCAAGGCTGAGTTTGTAACTCTGGAATTTTTAACTTACAGATTCTCTTACTCATTCCTGTCTTCCAAACATAAAACATTTTTATTTCCCTGTCAATTCATTATTAGGAGAAACAAGAATCTTGAAAAAGTCTTTCCTATGCATCCAGCAATAAATGTATTCTACTCCACCATGGACTGTTTATTGACTTTATTACAAGTCCATTATCTGTTTTCATTTTTACTTCTCCAAAATTGCTAATTAGAACACAACACAACCATTTGCATCCATAGAAAATTTGCGTTTACACGATTATCTCTAAATGGTATTATTTCCATTGAGTTGTATTTCTTTGTGACTTTCCAATCCATATTTTACTAATTCATTTTGTGCATAAAATTGCACATGATTTTTAAATTACTATTACTACATTTTACTTTATTTTAAACTTAACCTTTAATATTGCACACTGAGAATCCTTATAATAGATTTGAAGTACAATGCCCTTTTTAGGATTTCTATGTGTTTGAAATTACATGTATCAGTGAATAAGGTATACTGTCAAATACTTAATACCTTAAGAAGTCATTAATGTTACCAAATTATAGTGAATGGTGCTATATTATATTTTGAACGTTTGTGGCCTCTAAACCGGTAGCAAGTCTCTTTTAGATAATTTTGTAAACCCCAAAGTTGTGTATTCTATTTAAGATTATTTATACACTCATGTATTGATTGAGATATCTCTGCAAATATGGTTCATTTAGGATGGATCTTGTTAGTTATTAGAAGTTAATAGTCAAATAAGTATTCCCCTCCCCTAAGCTTCCAGGCTAACTCATGTCTCCCTAACTTTGGCCACAGGCCCAAGCAAGCATCTATTTTTAAAGTGACCCTGGAAGTATGTTTCTTGCCTTCGGAAGTAGAGTGATGCATTATCTGGTTTGAGTGGAAAAGTTGGCCGGGCGCGGTGGCCCACGCCTGTAATCCCAGCACTTTGGGAGGCCGAGAAGGGTGGATCACAAGGTCAGGAGATCGAGACCATCCTGGCTAACACAGTGAAACCCCGTCTCTACTAAAAATACCGCCGTGGTGGTGGGCGCCTCTAGTCCCAGCTACTCGGGAGGCTGAGGCCACGTAAATACACAATAATTGTTTTGCTAATTAGTTTGAACACTATGAATGAATTTGTAAAAAAAAAAACTATAATATCCAATAAACCATTCCAAAAAGGAACACGTTTTAAGGGAAATGATTGTATATATGTTATGAGGTAAAATTTATTTTTACTCCAGAATGTCAGCTAGTAATGACACCTGGCTAATTTTCGTATTTTTAGTAGAGATGGGGTTTCACCATGTTGGCCAGGCTGGTCTCAAACTCCTGACCTCAAGTGATCCACCTGCGTCAGCCTCCCAAAGTGCTGGGATTACAGCCCTGAGCCACCGTGCCTGGCCTGGAAATCTATAAATAATTATTTTGGCACCTATCCATCTGCATTCTGACCTCCTTTTGGCGTCCAGAGATCTCAAATCCTTGAGCATTTCAGGGACCACTACTGTGTAATACCCAACTGTGGTTTTGTTCTTGACTTTCATTTAAATCTGCCATGAAAACACACATAACAAGCAAGTCTTACGTTTCCTAGGTCCCACTATTTTAAGGTTTAATTTGCAAATTAACTTCCAAAGCTATATTATTCTACTTGTTAGCCCTTTCAAATAGAATCTTGCTGCCAACTGGTTAGCCATTTCAAAGTCTTTAAACATGTGCAATACATTTGTATGTATTACACAGTCAATATGTTATTTCATTCTACGTTGATTGCTCTCTATTGGCAATTGTCTTTTTATTTGGGGCTAAAACAAATGCTGAAGTAAAATAATGGCAGAGTTTTTCAATATTCGGTAGGAATACAAAATGAAAAGGCTGCCTTTTTTAAATAACCAATCGCTTAAGTACTTCATGTAATACTTCTTAATTTCACACTTATAAGAGAATGTTTATACAGGTATAGGGTTACTGAATATTTCACTTAATTTTTTTATAATGATATTATTATTATAAAATTACATGGT
Source organism: Homo sapiens (assembly GCF_000001405.40). Lineage (NCBI taxonomy): Eukaryota > Metazoa > Chordata > Mammalia > Primates > Hominidae > Homo > Homo sapiens. The sequence goes on from NC_000023.11 coordinate 114,662,292, forward strand.
GTTTCTTTTACTGGAAGAAACTATAAAATTCAGTAAACTCCTCTAAACTTCAGTTAATTTCTTTCATATGCAAATACATTCACAACTTTAAATCTATTTGAAGTAATTTAGTTCTACAGTATGTTGTGTTTCTCTGTTTACCTACCAACACACACACACCAAGATGCAGATCACAAACACAGAAAAAGAAATTGTTCCCTTGATTTAGGACTTGAAATATAATCAAGCCTTAAGATGAATAAATTATTTGAAAATATCCTCTAGGTATTTGCACATATAATATATCCCAAGGGTTTTACAATACAATGAAATATACTTTTTTTCTAAATGACTGTGCAGACACATGCAGAATCCATTATGCATTAAAGGGACCAATAACTTCTCCTTTCACTGATAATAATTCATGTAGTGTTATAAACAATGCTAATCTTGCCAGGAGATGGCTTCTTATTCATTTTGAAATTATCAGTGAATCAGACAATATATCTATTTCATGTTGTAAATAAATGAGGAAACATAGAGTAAGGGGAAAAATAATCCTAAAATAAAATGTATACAATAGTATTGCCCTTGATTTTAAAGTACTTGTGTAAGTAACAGAAAATCATGATGTCTAATGTAAATGTCCCAAGTTTTAGAAGAGTGGCTAAATCCATTGACAGAGTACTCAATGCTGTATAACAGAGAAAGAAATAGGTGTATTTAGGTGTATTATTGTAAACAGGTGTATTTTTATAAGTAACGTGCTAATCATGGATTTGCTTGATGGAATCTATTCCAAAGAACCCAACTTAGTTCTTGAAGTGCCGTAGGTCTCACCTTCCCAATTAGATTGTAAGCTCTCCTTCATCAACTATTACCTCTTTTTTTTTGTTTGTTTGTATCTCCCATAGTACCTAGAACTGTACTGATTCTTAATCAGTAGTCAACAATTGCCTATAGAACCTAATGAAATACTTAGTGTATTCGTTCCAGCAACATGTTCAGCACTGTTTCATTGAGGAGAGGGGATAATAAGCAGGATGGTATGATAGGAAATATGCATTGACCTGGATTTTTAAATGAAAAATGAAATAAATTAAAATATTAAAACTTAAATGTTAAAAATCTCTATATAGGATTATAGTCACATGACTTATGAAGCTTTGAGCAAAAATATGCCAAGAAGGAAATCATAACTAACTGGCATTTATTCTTGCAAAGTAAAAAATTAAAAAGCTTTCAAACAAACAAAAACCAAATACACACTTGATAAAAATTATTTTTATCTCCCTATAAAGGTTTTTGTTTTACTTTTGTTTTTGGTGGATTGATTTTATATGATGCTAAGAGCTCTGAAACAGCAGGGCTGTTTTCCAAATTTAGCCCCCACTAAGTGAGGGAAATGCATTTCCAACTCTATGTTTGCTTTTAATTATTTATTTACCAGGTTGCCCTTTCTCCAGAGGTAGTAAATCCACTTACCTTTTATGCATTTTTGTCTCTTGAACTGAAAGTATAGGTAGGATCTTTGTCTCAGCAAGAAGAGGAAATAGACTAGACTGCGGGGGTGAGGGCAGTGCAGGCAATCTCGTAATGTGTTAATAGTAACCAGCAGGAATAATTCTGACTAGATCATTTCCACTAAATAGTTTAGTTTGTGAAGAAGACTGACAGGATCATTTCCACTAAATAGTTTAGTTTGTGAAGAAGACTGACAGGAGTGAAGGCTCAGAAGATTATTTGGAAAAGACCAGTGCTTTGCATCTGGTGAAAGTCCCAGCAAATCATGGTATCAGTGAGGACTATACTAGGTGTCTCTTTTTCCATCTGACATATACCCGTGCAAAGTTTTAAGATTCAGCAGTAAAGCTTTTATTCTCCTACCACAATCACTATGGCTGCCACTGGTTGTGAAAATCACCTCATTTTATTGTTTTTTTCTTCAACTTTTATTTTTAAGCTCTAGGGTACATGTGCAGGATTTGCAAGTTTGTTACATATGCAAATATGTGCTATGGTGGTTTGCCGCATAGATCAACCCATCACCTAGGTATTAAGCCCAGCATGCACTAGCTATTCTTCCTGATGCTTTCCCTCCTCCTTCCCCACCTCCAGACTCCAGTGTGTGTTGTTTCCACCCATGTGTCCATGTGTTCTCATCTTTCAGCTCCCACTTATAAGTGAGAACATGCAGTGTTTTGGTTTTCTGTATCTGCATTAGTTTGCTGAGGATAACGGCTTCAAGCTCCATCCATGTCCCTGCCAAGAACATGATCTCATTCCTTTTTATGGCTTCATAGTATTCCATGGTGTCTATGTACCACATTTGCTTTATCTAGTCTATCATTGACGGGCATTTATGTTGATTCCATGTCTTTGCTATTATGGATAGTGCTACAGCAGACATATGTGTGCATGTGTCTTTATAATAGAACAATCTGTATTCATTTGGGTATATACCCAGTAATGGGATTGCTGGGCCAAAGGGGATTTCTGTCCCTAGGCCTTTGAGGAATTGCCACACTGTCTTCCACAATGACTGAACTAATTAACATTCCCACCAGCAGAATCACTTTATCCAAGTGCTTCAAGCTGTTCTGTAACTTAAGGTGGAATTTTCGACAATGTCAAAATTACTCAGTTTCATACTGTTGATGTTCATGTAAATTTTTGGTTAATTTTTTAACAGCTTGTTTGAGATATCAAAAGACAGAATTATAACTAATTTAGTTCTAGATCTAATTGACTTTCCTTCTCATTCATGTATCGCAAATAGAACAAGCACTCCCACTGTGCAATGGCAGAACAGTGAGTTTCATAAGGGGGTACAAGGTAACAGAACAATAGAAAAAAAACTGATTGGTTAACGTCAGCTTGCTTCAGGTTACTTTTTTTTGGTAAGGGTTTAAGCAGAGGAGACCTCCTTATTACACTGACTCAGGTAGGATTGGAAGTATCCTGTTTTCAGGAAAAACTGATCTGTTTCAGGATCTGTCTGCTTCCTTAGAGTTTCAATTTGATTATTTGGCCTTTGGCATGATTGCCTCCATTTTTGTTCGATCTGCTCTTTAGGGCCAACTGTAGTAGCTAAATCCAAAACAATGGACTGGCATAATTTTTGTTTAACAGAGTTATAATTTAAATACAGTTGGCCCTTGAACAACGTGGGTGTTCAGGGTAATGAACCCTGTGCAGTTGAAAATCTGCATATAACTTTTGACATCACAAAACCTTAACTACTAATAGCCTATTGTGAAGAGTTACTGATATTATAAACAGTTGATTAACAAATGTTTTCTATGTTATATGTATTATGTACTGGATTCTTACAATAAAGTAAGCTAGGGAAAAGAAAATGTTATTAAGAAAATCATAAGGAAAAGAAAATATATTTGCTATTCATTAAGTGGAAGTGGATCGTCATAAAGGTCTTCATTCTCATCATCTTTTCATTGAGTGGGCTGAGGAGGAGGAGGAAGAGAAGGAGTTGGTCTCGCTGTCTCAGGGGTGGCAGAGGTAGAAACAGTGGAGGAAGTGGAAGGGGAGGCAGGAACACTTGGTGTAACTTTTTCTGAAACAAAATCTGTGCATAAGTGGACTTGAGCAGTTCAAACCCATGTTATTCAAGGATCAACTGTATTTGGTTAGTTGCTGATATGTCTTCTTTTTCGCAGGTATACCCTTGTAGGAAATTAAAGCCCACTTTCTCCATTATTATCTCTTTAAGAGAGGTTTTTCTTCTTAAAATTTATTTTTTATCTCTCTGATATGATACTGCCTCTCTTCCATCTTTATCATTTGCAACCAAATTATATCTAGAACCAGAACCTGTTTATGAAAAGATGTGCCTTCTCACTTCGTGCTGCTGAAGAAAGATCCACAGTGATAGTAGAGAAAGCAACATATTAGCTGCTAAAAAGATTGCAAACATAAACTACAATTGTAAATTTTGAAGTCAACTATGTTCTGAGCTTGATTTCTTTGCTTCAACTGTCTGTATGAAATGGAATAAATACAGCTAACCAACCTTCAGGGATAGTTTTGAGGAATGTTGTGAAAAATAATAAGGTGCAATCGTCACAAAAATAATTTTCTAGAAAAACTGAATTGAAAATCAACCTGAGTATTTAAGATACAGTTTTAAAAAACTATGAGAACAACCTTTCTTTCTAAAACTTAATTATCTTATTTTTCTTTATGATTATCTAATTTTGTCATATTAATGTTGTCAAGGTGCCATATTATGTACAATGAATAGAGAACTTGAGTTCTGAGCAAAAGTTACATTTTAGATTTTGTAATAACATTGAGAAGATTCAAGATAATGAGCTTTGTGTTTGGTTATTTATGTAAGTAGTTGAACACTCACTTTTTTTTCTTTCTTGACTTGATTTTTAAGGCCATTTATATTAGATCTTCCCTAATTCATACATATGACTTTTTTCTTTTAGGTATAATCCATTGTATAGTCACTTTTAAGATGTTTTGAAAATTAAAAATATTTTAAATTCAATAAATAGCAATATTGGATCTTTAAATTCAATAGGGAAATCTCAGGAAATGTACTGTAAGTTACTTCCCTATGCTTGTCTTGAATAATCTTTTAATTTTATTTTTAGTTAAAAAATTACTTAGCAACTGTAGCAGTGACATAGGTAACAGAACTGCCTTACAAACAACCTTGCATTATATTCATTTTCTACTATATTTTTTAACATCCTGTAGTCTATGAATTATCAGAATCATTGACCTCTTAATCATTTGTTTGCTTCTTGAATTTTAAGGGAACTCTGGGCACTATCAAAATGAGGGAAACATAATATCACATTCTAAGGACCTTACTATATTCAAACCTATAAGCAACAAATTTAAGTACTAGATTATAGGCTAATCTTAAAAACTATTTTTTATAGTATCAGTTGTTTTTTTAACAAAAAATACCTTAGAGAAAAACAATAAAAATTAATTATTTATGCAGAGCTCTAATTTTATTCTCTGTAACAGGATGCTTGGTTTCTGTCTTATTGTTTCCCTGAGACATCAAAAACAGGACTTAAATAAATTTTCGAAAAGAGGGTTTCTATAGTTACGTGTTTTTGTTTGTTTTTTAGTATTGGGTACTAGATACATTACGTACTTGTAATCTGACATAAACAATTTAATTATCATTAGCTTATTGTATCTTTGCTGTTGATCAACTCAACACTCAAAGCTTACTCTTCGCTACCAGTGTCTTACAAAATATGTACTGACTATATTTTGAGAAGCCTAAAATAAATGACAAAAGTACTAATTTGCTGAACTTTGGAAGTGTATGAGAATGTTTAAGCGATTTATGACATGTTGAGGCTATGGAAGGTAGAATGGAAGATGTGGAACTGGGTGACATTGAAGTAACATGTAAAATGATTTCTAGGAAGCCAAGGAACTAAATTGTACTCAACTAGTTTTTCCTGTGAGCCCAGATTGTGCACAGACCCTCTTCCAAACGTGTTTCACAAATCCAAGGCAGTTATAGAAGAAGTAAGAATGTGTGTCCTGATTATGAGCCAGAAACATGACCTTTACTGAAAGGCAATGATATATTTATTAACTATTTAAACATTTCTAGAAATCTACAGACTCATTTAATGCTTGCATTAAAGTTATTTTAACAAAATCCACTTACATACTTTCTTCTTATGTATGGTAAAAATTACTTTCCTCTAAACATGGTAAAAATTATCACCTGTATCTGCCCATGTCTTGGAAGAGAAAGTACATACAAAAAAATCTGTTTCATTGATATTGAAGGACAATATATGTATGTATCTACAACACAAATATACCTTTGATTTACTAAGCCAAGTAAAAAATGGAAGTGTTTGGGTATAATAGACTCTCAATGACAAGTCCTGCCACTTTTTCTTTCTTAGCACGTCTTCCTTTGTAGACTATATTGTTTCTAAAGTGAGACTATTTATGAGTTTATCCTCCTAGCATAGATGCCTGATCTGTTCTCCTTTTAGCTTGAAACTATTTCAGTAAGAGCTTTACACAATAGGCTTGAGGGCACTTTAAGAACATGTCTTAAGAATATTTGAAATTAATGACTAATCATCCCAATTCAATAGGACAAATATTCTGATCTACATTTGTGCATCACCCACACATTTTTGTTTTAAAATTTTTATTTAGCTCTTAGAGATGCTGTGAGGGAAGCCATCCTCCAAAGCTCCAAAATTCTATAATTATTTTTAAAATTGTATTTATGGCTAGGTATAAATTCAAGATAAGTGGGTGTAGAACCTGAAAAAGCATAGATGGGGAAGTAAAAATAGGTATTACAGTATGTGCCCCAATAAGTAAACTCTACTCCATATATTATCCTCTTGCATATTCTTTAAATCTGGTGTTACCAAAATGGGAACCAAGAATTATTTTTTTTACCTGTAATATTTCATAAACATGCTCTTACATAACCCTCCTGCTTTGGAGGATCTAAAGCACAAAATGGAAGAGAGATTATATAGCCACAGTTTTTCCTTGGGATTATTAGGTATTTCAAGTAAGTGTTAGATACTTAGGGCCAAAAATTAACTTCTACTTCAACTAAAATGTGTGCGTATGTAAATAATATAATATATACAATGTAATATATATAACATGTGTATATAGTTAAGATTATTTTTGAAATAAGTGACTTTTGTAGGGTGGTGGCACTGTTGACATACCAAGGCAGGAATAGATACTTTCTTTCAAATGATTTACAGAGGTCAAAAGTAAAGGTACATGTGTTATACAATACTGTCTATGATATATGTTCTACACTTGTGTCAGTTTTTTTTTTATACAGGGGAGAATAGGACTAATTAGTCTTTTTCATTGCATTTTCTATCAACAGGTTCTTTTCTAAAGTTCATGTAGTAAGTAATATGTCATAGAAACTGAAAAAAGGATAGCAATCATAGGCTGGCTTTTATCTTACCAATTAATCTAAGAACCATATACACACAATAATTCGCTGGTAATAAGTTAAAGTTTTCTCAGAATGTGAAGTATTACTTTAATTCGATGAGCAGATTGGTACATTAGAGCTTTTTCATTGGAGAAGAAAAACTTCATAAAGCCTAATTCCCTTTTGATTTATATAACAGTACCCAAACTCTTACTGAGCCCCCTTCGTCTATTACTTAGAATTGTGATGATCATATGAATTGGGAATCATTTAATTGAGCATAATAATCATCAGGCAAGCCAGTGAACCAGGTTGTTGAACAAATTAAGCTTATTACCATTAAGAGTGGTGGCACGTGCCTGTAATCCCAACTACTCAGGAGGCTGAGGCAGGAAAATCACTTGGACCAGGGAGTCCGAGGTTGCAGTGAGCCGAGATCGCGCCACTGCACTCCAGCCTGGCGACACAGCGAGACTCCGTCTCTCACTTCTATCTTTTAAGCACTAAGTTAAAAGAGTACTTTTACACAATAAACTAGGGGTGTTTTATACTTACAACAGCTAACATTCATTAGACATTATGTATCCAGCATTATTCTAAGAGTATTGTATGCATTTTTCACTGTCTCCATACAACAACTATTTACAATAAGTTTTGTTCATAACCTCATTTAAAAGATGAGAAAACAATCATAGAGAAGTTAAATAATTGGCCTCAGATCACACAGCTTAAAAGTAGCAATGCTGCCAGACGTGGTGGTTCACACCTCTATAATCCTAGCACTTTGGGAGGCCAAGGCGGGAGGTTCACTTGAAGTGAGGAGTTTGAGACCAGCCTGGCCAACATGGTGAAACCCTGTCTCTACAAAAATACAGAAATTAGCTGGGCAAGGGCTTACTTGGCCGGGCTCAGTGGCTCACGCCTGTAATCCCAGCACTTTGGGAGGCCGAGGCAGGTGGATCATCCAAAGTCAGGAGTTCAAAATCAGCCTGGCCAACATGGTGAAACCTCGTCTCTACTAAAAATACAAAAAAATTAGCTGGGTGTGGTGGCAGGTGCCTGTAATCCCAGCTACTTGGGAGGCTGAGGCAGGAGAATTACTTGAACGTGGGAGGCAGAGGTTGCAATGAACCTAGATCGCGCCACTGTACTACAGCTTGAGCAACAGAGTGATACTCTGTCTCAAAAAAAAAAAAAAAAAAAAAGCAATTCTGAGGCAACTCCTTTAGCAATTTACTGCATAAAGTTTTCTATTTTTGTCCTCAGAAAATCGTCTTTTATGTATTTGGTCTTTATTAACTATGTAACCATTATATTGACATTTGGCCAAATGCAAAATGCATTCTTATCCTGAAATAAGCAATTAAAAATGAATTGATATTTTTAGGCAAGCCTAGCATGTAGCAACACACTTTTTATGGTTTTGCTAATCTGATAGTGTAAGTTCAATGTTTATAATGAAGATGTATTTACCAAAACTCAAATTTATGCAATATATTAAATTTATCATTAAATGTATAAATTTTTGACAGATAGATTATTAATATCCTCTATATGCAAACCCATAGACTATTATCACGAGTTAGCCATGTGTTTGCCTTTAGGCAGTTTGCCCGAATAAAAAATATTCAAGAGCAAATTTTTTTTAATTTTAACTATAGTAGTGTTTTATAATTAATGTACGAGTTTAGCTGAAGAAAAGACCTGAATAAAGAATAGACTTAAAGTTCATTCGTATTTAAGTTACTGGCTATTGTCACTGAATTATCTATTCTTGGTTTTATGAATAGGCATGGAAATCATGAACTGGACTCATCATCACACTTATGTCATTTATTTGATTTGTGAAACATTTTGGATCAATAATTTTAATTAATATATATCTAATGTGTTTCCATTTTGTAAAACAATTTCTTTACAGTTCTTAACACATTGAGGGAGAAATCAAACAGATTAACATTCAAATTTTCATGTATGACCATTGGTAAACACAGAACAGAAGGAAAACATCCCAAAATGTTTTTTCTACCAAAATTATGGATGACTCTTTACAAATAAATTTCAGCAGTTTTAGATAAATTTAAATGAATATTGAATTAAAATGGCAAAAGCAATTAAATAGAAATATAGTTATATGCCTTGTTTTCAGATCCCAGATGCCTGATCTCCAGATTACGTGAAAATTATTATTAATCTCAATGACAAATATTGAAATGAGCATTTTGCTATGTTACTGATAAGTTGCAGTTTTTAATCAATAGATTGAAAAACTCACAAGATTTGGATTTGTAACACGTTGCTACAAGATTTGGGTTTGACATTTGCTTTAACGTTTAATTCAATTATTTTTACATTTCCACTGAGATTGACTTGTATAACAACATGGTGTTTATTTCAATTGTTAAGTTGATCTGTGATGGCTTCGAAAATATGTAATGTTCCTTAATGTATAAATGTTTTAAAATACTATAAAACTTGCAGAATATTTCTTTTACCATTAGCATTATTATACTGTAATCATTCACATTATTGATGTGGACTATTATTTTTAAGAAATTGGTATTCACAGTAATAGGCTGAGGCATTAGCATTATTCATAGTCAGAAGTTCATTGGAAAGTAAAATTAAATATTCAAATACCTTATAATATTTTCTTTAAAAATAGCAATAGTTGTATTCACTCGCAACATACTTGAGCATGAGTCTAATATGCACTTGTCATAGAGCCTGTTCATAGAAAAATGAATAATAACAGTACCCAAACATTTGTCTTCTCCTTCTTTCTCAATCATGGAAATGAAAAAGGTCACTACTATTTATATTAATATGTATCAGAAACCGTTGGGCTTCTGCTAGATACAAGCAAATAAATATAAACAAGAAGAATAGCAGATCCTGAGCATTTGCCTTTATAAGAGAGAAGTGCTAAATCTGAAAAGTAGAGTAACTTGGACTATAAAATTAAAGTTTATCTGAAATGTGGTGTATAATCATATTTTAACCTCATCTCTGCTAAAAAGGTAAATTAAAAATTACATGGGTATGGTGAAACATGCCTGTAGTCCCAGTGACTCTGGAGGCTGAGGTAGAAGAGTCGCTTGAGCCCAGGAGTTAAAAGTGGCAGTGAGCTATGATCGCACCCCTGCACTCCAGCCTGGGTGACAATGAGACTGAGTCTCAAAAAAAAAATCGTATTTCACACCACTTAGATAAAATCATATAAATATTTCAATATCACTCCTGGATTAAATAAAATCATATGTAAACATTTACTTAAGCTAAATTATTTTTTAAAGGGGTATGCTATCTATAAGACTTGGGCAATTTACTTAGTTTCCCTGTAAAATGGAATATTCTTTACCTATAAAATGGGTATTCCTTACCTTTGATATGAGAGTTAAATGGAATAGTGTAATTATATACCTAGCTGTAAAATAGCTATAGCTAATTCTCCATTAAAAATATTCACTTGTACACATGCACACAACCAATTAAGACTTCAAATTAAGGCATGTATACATTCTGTAGAGTTTCAAATATAACTTTGGAAAATACAGCAGCCATATTTACTTATATGTTAATATGCAGATATTGAGATTATTAGATTATGTTACAATATGCTGTTCATAACTGAGTTGTTTAGTCAATGTTTCCTACTTTTTTATTGTTAAAACAGCACAGCTATGAAGTGCAGTTATCTTAATTTAGCTATAACTAAGACTAATGTGGATCTGGAGGCTCATCTAATTGCACCCTCAAGATCAACAGGATTTAGTTAAATCTCATCTTCCCCATGTGTAGCTGGACCTTAACATTCTATGATTCTTCATTAATCAGCCAATTTTTTTCAGGGCAAAGGCTGCTTCTCAGTTGTCAAATAGACAAACTTGAAAGCTATATGATAACTCTTAAGATTGTCAAACAATTATAGTTGGCCGAAAGCAGTAATACACTCTGTCTCACTTTTGGGACCTGAATTATCTAAAAGTTAACTTTAGTTTGGAATGAACTTTAATTAATTCCAGGAAACAAAAACCAGTAAGAAGCAAATTATTTCACCAAGTTATTACATTCATTTTTTATGATTATCTTCAATGGATTTGATGGTAAGAATGTGAATTAATAAATTAGATGTATATGATATTAAGCTAAACTAACCTAGATTTTCAGTAAGAGATTAAGAAATCTAAGGTCATTATGATTCAACCTTTCCTTCCCTATAAACTTTCAGAAAACCCTCTTTGCTACTCTCTCTTCTCGGGATCTTCATCTCCAAGGGAGGGGATTCCAATAAAATCAGAAAAGAAAAAAGGCTTATATTATTTGGCATTTGATATTCTTAAATCCTACTGTTCTTATTACAGTAGATCTGGCATCATATGGTAATGAGGTTTTATTTTAAATGAAAATCCTCAAGACTAAGTAGAAAAACATGGACACAAAATTATGTATTTGATTTCAGGTATGTGAAAATATGTATGAGATTGACAGTAGTTATATATGGGGGTTAGCATCACCTGGAACTTTTTAAAACTATTTTTTTTCATTTTTCAAACTTTGTACAATGAACATGTATGTTATTTATGAGCAATGCAATTAAGTGATATTTTAAAACATTGTGGAAACTTTTTTTGCTATAGACTGAAACTCAAAATTCTACTTCTATAACTAAAATCTTCAGTCTGTAAATTTCTGAAAATACATTAATAATATATAATATCATAATATATTCTAATAAGAAAGCACATCAGACACTGTCTGTTTCAAGGCTGTGCTTGATGAACCTTTGAACTTATAGCTTGTTATGGAGAGTAGAGAAGAGAATGGCTGTGTTCTCAGCAGTTGTGTTTTTCCAAAGACCATGCCTCAAGGCAATGCAGGGGCACCTTTTAACTCATGAACAAATGTGTTTGTTGATTAAACGTCCAGACTCAGTAATCACAGCCCAGCAGAGAGCTTCGTGACATATCTTTCCACCTATTTCATAGTCTAGTTTTCTAGGATATTCTCCTGAGAAAATCTTTAGGAAAAAAAGTGAATGACATATGGTTCATTCTATGTAGTGTCTGAAGGTCTGTTTCTATAGCAACAATTAACAGGCTAAATGTTAGGATTTGAAACATTCTATAGCTACCATTGCTTATGTTAACAACAAACTTTAGGGAAACTTCTGACCTTATAGTAGTGACTTTGAAAGAGTGAATTGTTTTCAAGAATTTATTTTTTTTCTAAATCTGCAGTAGTCAGGATATAAAGGAGAAATGTGTCTTCTGGCGCCCCTTTTCCTATCTGCTTCTCTACTTCAGATGTTTATTTTTGTATTTCTGCTCATATCCTCCCAAATTGTAAATATGAAACTTTGAAACATTATAATTATGATACGTAATCAGGGCCAATCAATGCCCTTAAGTCAAAATGCATAGCATGATGAGATACTTTATATTGCATAGTGTCTTAAAAAATTATAACATCTATTATTTCATTTAAGCCTCCCAATAATCCCTTCAAGTACATAAGACAGGTATTATAGTCACTCAATAGATGGGTATGTAAGTTATGGTTGAGTGTCTTCCCTAAGATGTATTAAAAGCAGAGGCAGTTTTAGAATCCATGTTTTCTGCCTCTAAACTCTATACTGTCTCCAGATAGTTTTCTTGATACTGTATTCATTATTATGGTCTAGGAAGTTGATGAATCTTAAATTCAATTCATAGTTTCACATCATGTGTTCACAATTCCAAAATCATATTTATCTAAACTTCGAAGAAATACGGAAGTATAGTTAATATGATTAGAGCTAAATGTCTCAGGCACTGGGCCAGTTGCTACCTTTTGCTTCTACATTGTGTCTACAAAACAAGCAAACTAAAATATCTGTAAATATTACATTAACATTTTCTTCAACATAGATGTATTATTAAAAATCTAGTGGCATAATTATAAGACAACTGTCATACTCAGCAGCAAATGTTCTACATTATTTAATACATCTTCAATGAGCCAGGTCAGAGGGTGGTATGCATATGGTAGAAGTGCAAAAATATTCCTTCTTATAAAAATAGACAATAAAACCCAACACAATCCAACTTGGTTAATTGGAACAGCATGGCAAAAAGAGATTTGATTAAGCCCTTTTTACTTTTAATTTCAACTCTTATAGTAGTACATCCTTCTAAAATGCAGAAGTCTTCCATTCAGGTTTTTAGTCAATGATCTAATCTGTCATTTTCATCTATGGAAGAATTCCAGGGGATACCAAAGAAGTTACTAATCTATATCCACAGGGTAGAAAGGGACTTTGGAATGGTGGAGTCTAATTTTTTCTTAATGTGTTGTACTTAATCTAACATTAGCTTGTTGAAAGTTTATTTTATGTTCTCGCCTTGACATTTCCAAATTAGGCACCTTTGGCATTTACATTACTCTTTTTATTTCCCGGAGCTTTGTTGTAGTACACTGAAATAATGACTCATCATACAATATGTGATGACCTAAAATAGTTGCTGTAGCTTCCCAATGTGCCAGAAAGAAATAGCTGAAGCCCTGACATCTTGTTTCATTAAACAAAAATTCAAAGTAATGGCAGTTGCCAAAGAACATAAAATATTATTATGTTGAAAGATTTTCTAAGTTTTTAAGACTTTTCGTTTCTTTTTTCTTTTTTCTTTTTTTTTTTGAGACGAAATCTTGCTCTTGTCCTCCAGGCTGGAGTGAGATGGCACGATGTCGGCTCACTGCAACCTCCGCCTCCTGGGTTCAAGTGATTCTCCTGCCTCGGCCCCCCAAGTAGTTGGGATTATAGGCGCCTGCCACCACAACCAGCTAATTTTTGTATTTTTAGTAGAGACGAGGTTTTACCATGTTGGCCAGGCTGGTTTCGAACTCCTGACCTCAGGTGATCCACCCACCTTGGCCTCCCAAAGTGCTGGGATTACAGGTGTGAGCCACCGCGCTCAGCCTTTAAGACTTTTTGATAACCATATCTCATATTGTGTAGGTAAATAAGAACCCTGAAAATCATCTGCCTGCAATCATAAGTTTTGTCTGTAGCTTCCTAATGCATATAGAAAAAAACCACAATAAATGAAATTGACTAATCTAGCAAAATGCCTAAGCAAATAGACTCCCTCTCCAACATTCAGAATTATCTTTAATCTTGTGATATAATTACCTCAATTATCCATAACCATTATTCCATGCTGAAAACAGAAATGTGTTCCACTTCAGCTTTCTGAGGTAAAAAAAAAAGGACTAACTTTTGAAGAGGAAAACAAAACAATCATTTGAGCTGCAAAGTGTTTCCATTTTTATGCACATTAAAAAATCCATTTGGAAAGGAAGAATTCATTGTAATCTGCAAGAGTAACACATTTTGAATTGTAATACACATATTTTATTTCATACGAATTTATTAATTATTGACAGAAGTACTCATGAGAGTGTTTAAGTTGGAATGTGGGATATCATGTGTCAAAAAAAGGCTCACATAATTTGTTATTATTGCTCTATGACACTCTTTTGTTTTTGTGCTTTTTGCCTTTAGATCAGAATGAATATGCTCTGCACAATTTGTTAAATCTTTAGAAAACCATCAAAAGACCACTCTGGAATTATTTGCATTGAGCCAAAAACTATTCGGATAACAGGTGGCCTGAGTGGGTGTGTGTGAAATTCAAGGGATAGAAGGAAAGCAAGATTTGCTTACTTGAAATCCTCCTTCAGTTCAGTGATGGGACTCCTTAATTGAATTCAAATCCTGAGCAATTGTATTTGATTTCCTTTCTGTATTAATAAAGGCATAGAGGCATAAAAGTGTTTAACATGTTCAAGAAACATAATATGGTTTGTGTTAGATGTGTTGGCATATGTGCTTGTTGTGTACTTGCAGGGCCCGTGTTGAAGGGGGAAATGAGAAGTAGGTTGTGGAAATTTTGTTTAAGATCTAAAGAGTTTGGGTTTTACTGTGTGGTCAATATAGATTTCCTGAGCTGATTGACAACATGATTTTATCTCATACGGGAAATAAACTATGGTGGCAATTTTGAGAAGAACTGAAATGGGTAAGAGTCTGGAAGCAAGGAAAAATATGGCGAGACTATTGGAATAATCTAGATGAAAGTTGATGAGGGCCTAGATAAAAGGAAGAGACAGATTCAGACAGTTTGATGATTCAACTCTTAAATTATCTGGAAAAACTATGTCTCAATGAAATATTAGTTTTTTTTTTCTTCTTTTTAGAGGACAAACCTCAGTTAACTACAAGAAAATGTTCAACCCTATAAAATGATGAAGCACTTACTAGAATTTTAACCACGGTACAATGAAACAGTATACTAAACAAAAATAAAAATGCCATTTTTTGTCACCAGTTTCTTAATGACAAAATAAGGCCTTATATTTTGAAACAACATAAGACTTGATAATTTTCAAAATTAAAAAGCTCAGAAGGTAATTCCTCATTAACAATAGATCACACTGGCCTTTAATGTATGTAAACAATCTTGAGTATTGTCAATAAAGGAGGAAAGGATGATAATTACAAACAGACTAAGCTTCTTGCAATTGTTTTCTGCCTACTCAAATAGAACATAAGAGAGCTCAGTCCCGTGTACCCAAGGTTAGGAAAAAAGGAAATATTACTGTGTCCATTTTTAATGTCACCACTTTTCCCTTCTATGGCTTACCAGATCATCAAAATGATCCTCTAATGCCGTGGCTAAAAGAATAGATGTCCTAAAGCACTCTTTTTTTTTTCTATTTTCTCGAGCTTTCGTGATAGATAAGATCGTTCAGTACTGCTTTGAAACAACGACATTTTATAATATAAAATTACTTTTGAATCAGAAGGTCTGGCCATTCTTCTCTCCTCTTTCCTGTGCTTTGAATTATTTTTGGACCCCAGCATAATTCAAGGTAAATAGATCCTGTGTGAATAAAGTATGGGCAGAATGATTCTTTCTCTGCACATGTAGTAAATATTAAACATTGATCAGACAGTTATGTGCATGAGAAAATATCTTGAGACTGTGTATTTGGTGTTTCTCTTTCCCTCTCTGTCTGACACACACACACACACACACACACACACACACACGTTTAGAAAGATTGATGTGAAACAGACCTAAATTAAAAAGGTCAAACTAACCCCCTTCAAATCCTGTCAACCTTCCCACCTATATTCTTACTTCCATGTTCCTAATTGAAATTGGAAAAAAAGTAATAGGCGAAACTACACAATGCTGGTGTTGATTTGGCAGTGAGGGTCGAGATAAGAGAGAGAAAACTAAGCTCTAGTGATGCAGTGGCAGATTGGCGATTAGTAGGCAGACCATTCTGGGGAATGAATAGAGCCTCATGAGTAATTAT
Source organism: Homo sapiens (assembly GCF_000001405.40). Lineage (NCBI taxonomy): Eukaryota > Metazoa > Chordata > Mammalia > Primates > Hominidae > Homo > Homo sapiens. The sequence goes on from NC_000023.11 coordinate 114,678,577, forward strand.
TTAACATGAAAGATAGTGTTTACATTGCTCTTCCCTGCCTGTTTCACATTCTGGTAATCATAATCTTGTGAGGCTCAAATGAGATAATGAATGTGAAAGTGCTTTGTAAAGTATCATAGATTTTAAGGACATTATACATTTAGGTCTAGGTAACAACATTTCAGAAGATATAGGAATTTTCATCTCCCACCCCCCATTCAGTTTCTCACGGATTGCTTTGAAACTGTTAGCCTTAAGAGTTCCATTTTTATTATGTAACTACATAGTTAGAAAAGGTAAGAATTTCACTAATAAAATATTCTTGCTGCCCAGTAATCAGACAATTAACAGGGTTCTGTTCCCCCACAAACAAGACATCCTCCTGGGCTTCCTCAAGAGTTTCCTCAAGAAAAAAGTTAAAAATAAATAAAGTAAAAATACAAAGCAGAAAAGTAAAATGTTGGAAACACAAACTTACTAAGCCACACCTTGGAAACACAGCTAGATTTTTAGTTTCTAAGAATTTAAGAGTCTAAGAGATGATTATGTGAACAATTATGAATTAAGCCCCTCCTGTGGGCAGGGGCCTGATTATTTTCCTATTTTTCTTATTCCATACTTAATAGGGGGTTGTTATATACTTTGCTTTTTCTACACACAGTGCTGGCTTATCCTTGGCAGTCTTAAAGAACCTTAATATCACAGATTTTTATTTTTTAAATTTATTTATTATTATTATTAGAGACAGAGTCTTGCTCTGCTGCCCAGTCCTGAGTTCAGTGGTGTGATTTCGGCTCACTGAAACCTCCACCTCCCAGGTTCAAGTGATTCTCTCGCCTCAGCCTCCTAAGTAGCTGGGCTCACAGGCACGCTCTACCATGCCTGGCTAATTGTTGTATTTTTAGTAGAGATGGGGTTTCACCATGTTGGCCAGGCTGGTCTTGAATTCCCGGACTCAAGTCATCTGCCCGTCTCGGCCTCCCAAAGTGCTGGAATTACAAATGTGAGCCACTGCACCTTGCCCAGTGTGACAGATTTTTAAAAGCGAAGATGACCTTGGAGATAATCCAGTGAGAAAATCACACTCAACTGGAATGTAAACTCCATGAAATAAGCCATTTCATACTCACAACTCTATTACTAAACCTAATAGCTTGCAATAATACATAAGAGATGTAAACAGAAGAGGAAATTACATGTTAAAAAGATAGAGTCTTGCCCAGGTTCACAAAAATAGAATCTAGGTCTTCACTTCTAGCTCAGTGCTTTTCCCATCATGCCACACTGAGCCTCCTGAAGGATATGATGTCTTCTCCAAATCAGTATAATTTAAGTTCTAGAATAATGTTTTCTTGGTTACTAATGTGTAACTCATACTAAATTCATAACTTTTGAATTGGATTATACTGATTTATATCTGCATATTACAAACTATACCTACTTCACTTGATTTTACTATTGGGCATTTTTTGTTACAATTTGTTTACTTAAATTTGGAACTGTAGAGAAAATAAACAGAATTAGATGACCAAAATAACAGAAAGGAAATTGTTTCATCTTTGAATAGACAATAGTTAATTACCAGGTCCTAAAGCCACTTCTAATACCCATGAAGTTTCTTAGTTATCTTGCCAAGAATGAAAAATAAATGAAATTATGCAAAACATTAGTTGGTAGGTTAAATTCTGTGGCAATTAAAAGCAATTTATTAAGTGAGTAATGTATACCATAGAGAAGGAAAAACTTAGCCTCTACACTTCTAGGGTGTTTTTCCGGCGGAGCCTGATAATTAAATTGACATAAGACAGAACAACAGGAGAAAAGCATACAAGTGTATTTAATACAAACTACATAACACAGGAGACTTAAGAAAATGAAGACCCAAAGACATCATTAGAGCTGAACACCTATATGCTGAATTGGACAAAAAGTAATAAGCTGTGAAAATGTGACAAGGCAAAAGTTCTAGGGCTATGGGACTTGTTTGGGTGGAGATGTGGGCAGGAAATAAGGGTTAGTCTGACATAGTGTGTTTGTACAGATTTTTCTTGGTCTCACCTTCTCATCCTTGATGGTAAGAATGAAACTTTCCTTCTAGTATAAGGAAGATATCTTTCACATGGGGATTTCATCTCTTGTTTCTAAGAAACAGAATGAAGTTTGGATGATCTTCTTGTATCTGCTTTTCTTCAAGTGTCTTTAACTCAGAATAGTCAATATTCCAGAATGGCATATTTTAGGGTGGCATATTCTTAACTCCTTCAATACAAAAAGGCTTGTGTAGAGACTTTATTTAAAGCAACATTTAATGTTAATTTTTTTTAAATTATATGTCCCTTTATCCTATTTGTTTCAAAATTTTGCTACTTCAAACCTAACACTTTCCACAGAAAAAGCCTGTCATTGCCTTCTAGGGATAAAATACTGCCATGCAGAACATGGTGCACATATTAGACATTTAAGTAATTTAGATGCTGGAAGGGAATGTAACATATTATACTTGTTAACATTGTTGACAGCAACATGGAAAGCTCATTTTGTCTGATTACCAGCCTTATGCTTCATCCGGAATCTTATTTCAATATTTAATACATTTCAGCATCTTCCTTTCTTATATCAAAGTTAAATATATTGTACCCAAATTTTATCCTCTTCCATATTCCATTCCCTTAGTGGAAATTGAGGACAGTTGGTCATTTTATTCTGGGTAAGATTACTATTTACACTTATATAGCATTGTTAAATCACCTCCTTGATCTTTGCCAGGCTTAATAATTATTATAATTAACATCTTTTGAGTTCCTACTAGGTATTATGTACTTTTACTTGCTGTATTTTATATGTTTCCCACAACTCTTTGAAATAGATGTTACCTCTATTTTAAAGATGAAACAATTGATGCTTCAAGAGAACGACTTATCCTAGATCAACTAGTGGCAGAGCAAGTTTTAGCAATGAGTAACACTGCAAGAAACAAAAGGATAAAGAAGACTCAAGTTACAATTTGCAGTTGGGTTTTTTAACCTCTAGCTCCAAAGAGATGAAATAATGTTCCTCTTTCAATAATGTTTTCTCTGGTTTGTCTTTTGTCTCTCAGATTAATGTGAAAAACACTCTTTTGCAAAATGTCAGGTATTCTGGTAATCTAATCTCTAGATTACCAAATCTTGGTAGTCAGTCCTCTTCTTTCTACGATGTGAACTTATGCTGAAAAAGACTAACCTTAGTGTTTTTGTAATGTGTTAGGAAATATATTAGAGTTTTCTATTGTCAAAACGTGTTCCTCTCTGCCTGTGTGCTTTCTAATAACTACGTTCCCCTTTCCATAAACATGAGCCTTCAGATACACAGTTGTATGGCCAGCAGTGTCACAGAAGAAGAAACAAATAAAATGCATTCAATAAAAATGAGATAAGGAACACATGGATTCCTTATTTTAATTTCCAGGAGGATATTTTTCATCTTGAGTAGCTGAACAATTTTAAACTAAGACTTATTTTTAAATAAGTTTTGCCACCTATAAAATTCAATTATTTAAAATGTATACATGCCATTAAGATATAATTACCTTGCATTCAGAGAAAAGGATTTAAACATTAGGAAATTTCTTTAACAGGCTGACAATTTTCTTTTTTAATAAATGGAACAAGAAAGGAATACCCAGAACCACAAAGAAACATATTTAAAGCATTAATGGAAGAAAGATAAATGCATATCTTTAAAATGCTACAATTGAGATTAAATTGGTGATTAAAATTTGCCATCTTCTGACAACAATAACTTTTTATATATATTTTAAAATGAGTAATACTATTTTCATTAGAAACTGAATCTTCTAAAACTGGACTACTTATTATCTATAATTGGTGGGCGGCAACACATTAAAATTCAAATTTCTACATATTTCCATATGTAAATGTGCTTTTTATATTTTTTAATATGCTGCTCTTTTTAGGATTTCAAAGTTCAGAAAAATAAGATTGCCTTGGAAATACAATTTATTTTTCTTTCTCTTTAAAAGTCTATTTCATGAGCTTTCTGCTGTTTAAGTTTTACAGTAGGGCTCCTGACATTCTTCATAGAAATAAATCTTATTTCTTTTGTTTACCCAGGAAAAGAGAAAGAAATCTGTAGTTCATTTAGAGATAAGGTCTGTCTCCTGCTCACCCTCCGCCTTTCCTTCCCTCCATCCCTAATACCTTTTCTTGGTGATTCTGAAACTCTATAAAATACTGGTATATAATAGGCTTCATCTTACATTTCTCTTTAGGCTTTTCTTTTAAGAGGTGGAACAGTGTAATGCATATAACTACTTGAAAAGGAGCAATTTGCCTTTGTTCACTTCATTCGAAGATATCTATCAATTTAACATTATTCAACTGTATCTAGAAGATTCCCTTTCTGCCAAATTGGAAAATAGGTACCCATATTGATAATACCAGGCAAGCATATCTTACTGATCAGATACCAAAATATGAGGTTGTAACTATGATCGTAATATGATCAGACCAACCATGATGGAGATGACAACTCTGTGTCACTCTTGGAAGCCTAATGAAACACTTAAGCTTTGGAAACGTAGACTGTTTTTAACTATTTTTAATCCATCAGTGGTTGTTACATACCCAAAAGATAAATGATTGCTCTTTGAGGTTCTTTACAACACTCGTTGAAAAATAAATGATGAATATAATAGATTGAGGATAGACATAACTTATCCTGAAACTGCTATTCATTTATAGCATTATATCATCTAGTCATACAAAACAAACACATTCATACACAGATGTACCTGAATGCCATATTGAGACTTTTAAATCTTTTTTTTTTTCCTTGCATTCTCTATCCCTAGTAAATGTAAGCTGAAGTTTCATCCTGGTATCGGGGGAGAGGGATAAAGGGACTCATCATCCATAAAACTTAGGTATTGGTAAAGAAGAACAAGCTGGCCAGGCACAGTGGCTCACACCTGTAATCCCAGCATTTTGGGAGGCCAAGGCGGGCGGATCACTTGAGCTTAGGAGTTTGAGACCAGCCTGGTCAACATGGTGAAACCCTGTCTCTACTAAAAACATAAAAATTAGCCAGGTGTGGTGGCCTGTGATCCCAGCTACTCAGGACCTCAGCTCCTTGGGAGGCTGAGGCACAAGAATCGCTTGAACCCTGGAGGCAGAGGTTGCTGTGAGTCAAGATGGTGCCACTGCACTCCAGCCATGTGACAGAGTGAGATTCCATCTCAAAAAAGCAAAAACAAAACAAAACAAAAAAAGAAGAATCATTTAGGAATTTCAGACAATGCGACCTAGTAAAAGAATGACTCTCTGTTCAAAATGCTTGACTTCTGAGAATTATCTTTTTTACACTTAAAAATTTGTTTTGAGAAATATCTTTTGAAATAAAAATATTCTCTGTACAAGTTCATACAATTGCTAAGGCACATATCTTTCCCTGAAAAAAAATGACCCTTGCCAGCAGTGAAAGTATATTTAATTAATATAAATTCATAAATTCTATTTTAATAACATAAGCGAAGAGCTTTATATTGAGAGCCCTTTGAGATAAACTGTATCAATAGATTTCACAAGCTACTCAGTTGTTATTATGTATTAATTTAGTATTTTTATATTTTTTCATCAGTTTTATCTTAGAACTTTCCTGAAGTGTCCTATTATGTTTTCTATCATGTTTGTTTGCTTGTCACATTTTCTAAAATGGTTAGCTGACCGAGACTAAAGAATTCAATAGAAATTATTAACTAATCTCAAGTAAAGATATTGCTCTTAGAACTTTTGGCCAAGAGTTAAACATAGCTGGAAAAAAGTCTAAAGCTTATACTTATTTTAAAAGAGGCATTGCCTATTCTGAAATTAAATGTTCTTCATAAAGTAAAAGTATGCTTTGGAATGTGCTTTATTTTCTTCTTAGAAGCCAGGTATGTAATAATAAAAAATACCTCTCTTATTTCACAGCCTTAAATTTTTTAGGTTACTTTTATTTAGTAGTTACCCTGGTTCTCTTGACTATTTCTTGAAAGGGGGAGATATTTTTCTAAGGAAAAATAGGCAGATAATTTCTACTTTTATGAGACTCTTTACAAACACTCTAAGAATAAGTGCAAAAACTTTTTTGGCATATAAAGTATTGCAGCTTTTTTGCAAAAATACCAAATCTAAGAAAATGAGAATGGTAGTGGGAGGATTGTATTTCTCCTCATTATAGTACATTAAAAATAGGTCTTTACAGGAAAAGGACTAAAACAAGATACTTAAAAAATAACCATGATATAAATGGTTTACTATTTTAAAAGTTTAATTTATAATAGCTGTTTTTATCAAAAATCTCTGCCATGAAAAGCCTTTTTCTTGAAGTCTAGACAGGTAAGAAGTTTATATAAATACATCAATAGATCAAAAGGCTAAAATCTTTCAATTAATAATGAGATGTAGTTTGATGCACTGAAAGGGAAACAAGAGCAGTAATACAATTTGTATACTGCAGTCATGACATTTTAGTGACCTTCAAATTTGATGGATATTTGTTTTCTAAAGGTTATCATCATGTTTAAAAATATTTTATTAATTTATAACATTTATACCATAAACACCATTAATTTATATCATTAATAAATTCCACTATAATGTATTAGTGAACCAGTTAGCAGCTGTAAGATTGAGTAATATTTAGACTTTTATTAATAGTTTCTAAATGTCCCAGACTAATTAAATCTTCTCATTCCACAAGAACAATGCTTAATTATCTTGACTACACAGCTTATAAGCAAGATATTAATAGAATATTCTTGTTTCACACCTTCAGTGGTATGGAGACTGTCAGTAAAACTATCTCTTTTCATTGCTAACACTTCATTGGACCGATTAGATGACTTCTGAATTCATTAGTGAAGTGCTAACTTCCTACTGGAACTGGAACTGGCATAGTGTGTTTTATTACTGTGTATGTTTACATGTGCTGATACACCTTTCAGAAAGTTGAATCTTTGACTAACATATAAACCTGAAATTAGACAGTAACCCGCCACCAGAGGGATTGTCAATCTCTGGATTGCCTAAGTGTCAGATGTCTGCCAGGTGCCATACGTTTATCTAAAGCAGGTTATAGCAGTGGATTATCATAGAGTCATAGCAGTGGATTATCATAAAGTCATAGCACTTTAGAACAAAAAAGAGTCTAATCCAATTGTTCTATTTTGCAGAGGCAAAAAATGAGGATTGGATTAACTATTTCTACCTAGCCAGTACTTTATCCGTGTTAAAAATGTTATTACTCAAATTAGCTGATGTGCACAGGTAGTGGTAGTGATTTTGCTACCTGATATTATAATAGAAAATGATTATATTTAATTTCCCCTTTTTCAGTGAAGCTTTCATCATTAGGGAAATTGGCCTGATCATCTTATGATCATAATTACAACCTCATACTCTGAAGGGCAGTTGATATAGAACAAATCCTTTTCAAAGCAACAATATAAATTGAGATCATTTGGGTAACTTTCATGACAGCTCTTCCCTATTAGCATTCACCACTTTCAATATTTTATTGTTCCCAGACATGATTAAAATGAATCTTTTATAAAAATAACTTTGTTATCTAAAACTTTTTACCAGATTATAATATGAAAATTCTTCAGCTGAAGGAATAATTTTTAGCTACCCCACTTCATGGCATGTTCCAGAAATAATTCCCCACTGGGTCAACATCCCCCAGAGCTCTTCTTCACAGACAAATAGAGACACAAAGAATGTATGCAATTTGATGTTACTGAGCACATACACATTTTGGAACTATTATTCCCCCTATCAGATAGTACTATTACTCTTGCTTTTAGTGGTAACTTTGACAATTTATTGCTAGAATTATTCATCTTTAGTGAGGCTGAAGGTCCAATGTTAGAATGTTTTAGAGACTTATTTCTGAGAGGGCCTTAGGTCTATCAAGGTGGGCAAGGTTGTTATTTTTAATCAAAATAAAATGTTATGAATCATTTAAAAATGTAAACTCTTTAAACAGTCTACAATTTTAAATCTTTTGTTTAATTTAGAAAGTAGGCAAGGCTAGAAAGGAAAGGAAATTTTACCCATATTACTTCCACACAGTATATTTATATATTTTATTTAAAAAATTTTTTTAAATAACATTTAAAAACAGGTTACAAAATACTTATGGCACACATCAATGGATATAACTGTAAAATACATTATATAACTTTTATGCAATTTTATTTTACATATCCTCACCTTAAATAAAAATAGCAAAATTTTATAACGTTTCAGATAAGAACAAAATAAATTAAATAATACAAAGACTCATGAATTTCAATTTGTTTCTATTTTGAAAGAAGAGTGAGAAAAATTTTAAATTATTTTAATATTCAATGTAGCTTCTTTAGCCAGTGCTTTCCTTAGGTTAAATAAAATTTGTGTGTAAAGTCAATGATGGGAACATCATTTTGAAAATTACAGTAATAGTTGAGTTCATGACACTGACTTAATTACACTGACGTTTAGAAGAGATTTTATAAATTTAAAAGATTATTCCTGTCATTTACCCCAGCTATATTTTCTTCCAATAAGGCTTTAAAACTTGCTTTGGAAAATGCTATGCAGAACAGTTACTTAGCATGTGTAGCAAGATACGAAGTGGGAAATACAGATGAAAAACAAGTTTACACTGTTTAGAAAACAATTTGGTCTAGTGCTGGTTATATTTGCACTTTCACAATACATCCTGTGCATTATGCATTACTTAAAAATGTATTCGTGTTTTACACATTTTATGTACTTTCATTGATTTGAGAATTTGAAAGTCTTTCAACATCATCTCAAGGTATCCTGTACTCCATCGTTTACTGGTACATTGCTTAAAATTTCACGTGTGTCATATCTAGTCTTTAAAAATATTTGTAATTCTTTTATCAAAGAACGGATAAATGCCTAAAATTTGTTTTTATTTTATTATGAATTTTGTATTGTTATTAAGATTAATTAAGATTATATTGCAATAAAAATTAACAGTTGACTTGTTTGTCTAATTTTGAGACCAGCTTAATATGATCTATAAAGTTTACAAGTATAATTTCTGAATAATGTAAGTTTTAAAAATATTACTGTTTTTTAATCAAATAAATAATGAGATAGGTAATTCATAGATAAATGTAAAGTGCAGTTGAGACTCTTAACCAACGGTCTCTTAATACACAATTTATTTTGTCTGCCTTCTTTTATAAATATCAGCTCCATTCTTGGGCAACTTTTAATGTCTCAAGCGTTTTCCTTTTCTACTATGCTCCTGATCTTCATTAAAGTTTTCTGTAGAATGGTTATAAATATTAAAACGGTCATAAATGTTGAAACTTTCCTTAAGTAGGTAATATTTGTTATCCAACGTCTCAGAGGAATTTCCATTTGCTTCATAAAGCATGGCACTTTTTTAAAGACAAAAAACAAACCTGGAATTGACATTCACGGCCGAGCACGGTGGCTCATGCCTATAATCCTAGCACTTTGGGAGGCTGAGGCAGGTTGATCACCTGAGGTCAGGAGTTTGAGACCAGTCTGGCCAACATGGTGAAACCCTGTCTCTACTAAAAATACAAAAATTAGCCGAGTGTGGTGGCACCTGCCTGTAATCCCAGCTACTAGCGAGGCTGAGGCAATAGAATCGCTTGAACCTGGGAGGCAGGGGTTGCAGTGAGCCGAGATCATGCCACTGCACTCCAGCCTGGGTGACAGAATGAGACTCCATCTCAAAAAAAAAAAAAAAGAAAAGAAAAGAAAAGAAATTCACATGCATCTGGGAACAAGTGCTACTCCAATGCTGTAGCAATTGTCCTACAGCGCACACCACTATGTAGAAAAATGAATTTTTATTAATGATAAACATACATAAGCAACCATGACATAATTTAAAAATCGTCTTATAATTTGTCAGGTTTAATAAGTAGTTCACTTGGTTCAGCTGAATTATACATGTAGTACTTTTGCTACCTGGGATTAGAAAACTATTTTATCATTCATTTCTTAATGGTTGATAAGGTGAATTCTAATTTTAACAGATTTTTATTCCTAGTCATAGAAATGTAGATGCGAATTGAGTCTGTACATCTGCTTACATTTTCTTTCTATAAGCTAGTAAGTAAATAGGCGTTTTGTTTAACAAATCAGACTGAACAGAGTTAGTACAATTTGGCTGGCCAGGGCCTAGCATTAAAGAGAAAACTGAGAAAATTTGCATAGCTGTGGTGTTCCAGACCACCATTTCTTTTATTATTATTATTTCAACATTTTCTGGGTACAGGTGGTTTTTAGTTACATAGATAAGTTCTTTACTGGTGATTTCTGAGATTTTGATGCACCCATCACCCAAGCAGTGTATGTTGCACTCAATGTGTAGACTTTTATTCCTCGTGCCCCTGTAACCCTTCCCCTCGAGTCCCCAGAGTCCATTATATCATCCTTATGACTTTTGCATCCTCATACCTTAGCTCTCACTTATAAGTGAGAACATACAATGTTTGGTTTTCCATTCCTGAGTTACTTCACTTAGAATAATGGTCTCCAACTTCATCTAGGTTGCTGTGAATGCCATTATTTCATTCCTTTTTATGGCTGAGTAGTATTCCATGGTATGTATGCGTATATATATATATATATATATATCACATTTTCTTTATCCACTCATTGCTTGATGGGCATTTAGGCTGCTTCCATATTTTTGCAATTGCAAATTGTGCTGCTATAAACATGTGTGTGCAAGTGTCTTATTCATATAATGACTTATTTTCCTCTGCATAGATACCCAGTAGTGGAATTGCTGGATCAAATAGTAGTTCTACTTTCAGTTCTTTAAGGAATCTCCGTACTGTTTTCCATAGTGGTCGTACTAGTTTACACTTCCACTGACAGTGTAAAAGTGTTCCCTTTTCACCACATCCACACCAACATCTATTTTTTTTTTATGTTTTAACTCTGACCATTCTTACAAGAGTAAGATGGTATCGCATTGTGGTTTTGATTTGCATTTCCCTGATAATTGGTGATGTTAAGCATTTTTTTTCATATGCCAGACAACCATTTCTGTGTGACTTCAAAGACAGCATCACTTCCTCCAAATGAAAGTGAGTATAGGATTTGTAGTAGTGAAATGACTCATTATAACCAATCAATGTAAAGATGGTAAACTATAAACTAACATTTATTATAATTTTAATACAACATTTAATGTTCCTAAGTCAGTAACTTAATAGTTAAAGTAGAACTATAATATGGTAGATTAAATTTGGTTTGTGATGCAGTACTTTTTAAAGTGAAATTAAGTTTGCAGTTATTGCTGGGATCATTGGCTGTCATTTGTGAGATAATTCATAACTCATTTTTTTGAACTCATTATTTATAAAAGGTATCAATTTGACAGCTCTGGAGACACACTTCATTTTTTCAATTCAAATAATAGGAACAGCAATGCTGAAACTTTCAGCAGCATCTCCAACTAAAGCATCTGTCACGTCTATCACTAATTTGAAAAGTCTGTTTCCTGAGTGAGGAATTATTTTGGTCAACACATCTGAGCAGCACCCCAGAAAGTCAGCCTTTATCCTCAGAGCAATAACGATGATAGTGACAGTTCTTGACTTTTGGGAGATGCAGATGTATATCTGGTTAAGAACTTCCAGCTTGCAACCCAGCCATTTCCTCCTCTCCAAGTAGGGGGCAAGAATTAAATATGCTAACATGCAGAAGTTCTTCCTAGCACAGTACCTTTCATTTAATATGTGATAGTTTTCCTTTTATTGTTTCTTTTCTTCTCCAGAATACTTTTGAAAAGAAACTAAAACTAACACTACATTATTTTGATATTTGACTGTTTTTCATCTGCCTCTATACCCTTCAAGATGTTTCTTTTTCAGTATCATTTTCTTCTCTCATTTTTCATTCAACTCTAACAATAAAATTGTACATAGAAAATAGAATACAATGAAGAAATTTTAACTGAAAGCCTGCATTTTAGGAAGTAGCTCACAAAAAAATAGATGAACCATAAAGGATTTCTTTATACCATAATGAGCAAATTAGTAACTAAATAGAAAATCATTGATTCTGGGATAATAGGGCAGGTGCTCTCCTTTATATTAGTTGAGTATCAGCTTGAGATGAATGTTATAAAAATAGAACTCAATACGGATTAAAAACAATAAGCATGCAATGTTTTGCTTGATTCATTTAAAGACAATACTAGAAAAAATTTGAGACTGATTTAATACATTTATCGTGTCATGGAAAACATATGACTTATACCCTAGGTTGATTCCTTTTTTGACACTGCATCGCATCCTATTTATGGATGAGAAAGAGTTGGGTCATTAAACATATATTCCTTCCATGGATATCAATACTTTTACTTTAGCATCACAATCATATTGATTATAATAATTATCTTAATTTTTATCATTCTCAATCCTTATAAAAATCCTCAACTCTTACTAATTCCATTTTATAGAAGAAGCAATTGAAGGTAAAAATGATTGAGTGTCTTGTAGAACAAAGTCATACAGTGAGAAAGACAGGACTTTTCTTTAAAATGAATACTAGATTACTTGCTTCTTTGGTTCCCTTGAGAATTTTTCTTAGTAGTGAAATACTAATTATACAGAAGTCAATGGCAAACAAGTGTTTGTGAGCTAGAAATGGGCATATACAGGACTAGGGTAAAATGAAAATCACATTATCAACTGCCCGATGCTAAGTGTTAGAGGTTACAGAACAATATTAGTGATGAAGCCCACTTATCATAGAAGTCAAGCTTATTTTGCTCTGTTACAGACTAATGAGAGATGCAATTTAGAAAGGATTTCTGTATGAAACCAAAGTTTACCTGTTTATCATATAACACTTGCTTTTTTGTTGACTCTCTATCTTTGACAAAGCAAGTTTTTAAACAATTATTTGAATTTTCTTTTTGATTATATTCTCTACCATACATGCTATCTTAATTCTGTGTATATTCTCTACAATGTCTTAACTACTCAATAGTTTCTTCATTCAATAGATATTTACTGAACTCCTACTTTTTGCCAGGTCCTGTCTTAGGGAATTTACTGACAAATATCTACGCTGATAGTTAGAGACATAGTTCGGATTCACTTGATCAATTATATTTGGTGTCTTTGAATGTTTAATACAAATTACAAGTATATTTATACAAATGAATAGATTTCTTCATAAAATGTGTTCATCCCAGATGGCCACTGCTTCTTAGAAAAAAAATAACGTCTATATATCTTCTTGATACAATTACTACTAGCTTGGAATTTTTGAAACCTTAGGAGAGAAAATACCACAGCCAAACTATTTTCAGGCTTTATTTTCCTGCTAAGGGAAGATTCTGAATCTTTCCTAAAAAATAAATATTACATTTCTCCTAAATTTTTATCTTCATTTTCATAGAGAAAGTATTCCTCTCAGGAGAAGTGACTATCAATTTTTCTCTTCAGAAGAATTTTTATACTTCAGAAGTATTTAGTTTGACTATTAGACAATCCCAGAAAAAGCATTTTGCTCATCTCTAAAATGTGATGTTTCAGGTTATATGTTTTACTTCAAGAAGAATATAATTTTAATAGTCACCAGATATCATTACTGAACATTATCACTTTCCAGCCAAAAAGAAAGTAAAGCATTTCAGAAATACTTATTCCTGCCCACTCATTTCATAATAAGACTTCAAGTAATTTATTGCCTAATATAAGACAATTAGTGAGTTCTACAGTCAACGACATGGACAATGCCAGTTCTTGTGAACATTTCCAAGAGGATATTTATGCTTAACTTTTTCTTTTTTAAAAAATAAATAGCTTTATGTAATTAAGTAGCTTTACCTTATAACATATAATTAGAAGATTTAAGTATTCATTGTAAGATCTTTTTTATGTATACATTTATTAACTAGAGGCATGTGACTTCAGCATCATGAACCAAGTCAGTATCTGAATATATATATTCTTTACATTTTTTTTTGCCACTACTTTTGAGATCTATTACTGTATGGGGTGATTTGAATATACTATAAACTTTTGGTAAAACTTTTCTCTCATGTTAAAATAACTTTTTAAGTGCTCAGCAATATAGGTATTATAAGAATAAGTATTGTGACTAAAGAAGATAATCAGCAGAAATGCTGCCTACAAGATAAATTTGAAAAAATGAATTAACATACCAAACGTTAGCCCATTTCCATCTCAAAATACACAGCTTGCTTTTTTTCTTTGAAAGCCAATGGCTCACAGAAAGTTTATTCAACAAGTATTTCTTGAGTGCCTACTATGTACAAAGCACTGTATGAGGACTTTGGAGCATAAAAGCAGTATAATACAAGGAAGAGTATGAAAAGAAGCTTGGGAATGAAACCACGTGAAACAGCTGAAAGGAGTTCAGAGATAGGAGAGATGACTTCTTTCTGTCAAGGATAGCATAGTAGATAGCAACCAGTTTTTTTATGTTATTACAGATAAATAATACAATATTCCCTCAAGTAACTGTTTAATATCAAGCATATAAATATTTCAATATATATGTCAAACAAAAACAGCATGTTTCAGTTTTTTATGTTTGTTAGGTAAGATAGAGCAATAAAGGAAGGGATAGAGAAAGGAAAATGCAAAGAATGGACAGAGGAAAGAGATACGGAAGAAGGATAAGGGAAGTATGGAGAGAAAAGAAGTGTCTCCATATTACTCCATATCAAGGATTATAAAATAGCTTCAGATGACCAGTATAAGAGCTCTGTGTAGAACATCCCAGGACTTCCTGTCTTTTAAAAGATAATAGGAAGTAGATTACAAAGATCTATGTGAAACTTACATAATTGGATATAGACACCTCAGTAAAGAGTTATGATAAATAAAAAGAGATTAAGTCATGGACAAGGTATAGCTAGACCAGGGTTTCTCATCCTTGGCACTATTGACATTTTGGGCCAAATGTTTCTTTGTTGTGGAGGGTTGTCCTGTGCACTGCAGGTTGTTTTGCAGCATTTCTGACATTCACCCACTAGATGCCAGTAGCCACAATTTTCCAATTATGAACGGCATTAATGACTCCAGACATCTTCAAATATCTCCTCAGGGATAAAATCACCCCTGGTTGAGAACCACTGACCTAGAGCATAAATATTTCAGTTGTAGTGAAGGAGAAGTTTAGAAAAGAAAGTACAGTCACCCGACACAAATGATAGCCACAAAATGAACGTCATGGGAAGAACAGGGATTATGATCTAATGTGGAGATACGTAGAAAAATAAATGGAACAATGAGAAGAGAGAAAACATAATGGAAGCACATTGTTCTTTTGGGTAGTTTGCAATGCCTTATGGCTGAAGTCTCTCTACCTATGAAAAAATAGACAAATAATGGCATGACCAAACAAAACTCTAGAAAAAGTATCATTTAGTGTCAAACATGATAGTAATTATCAAACTTTACTATGTTTTTCCTGACAGTTTTAAGGTATAAACAATTAATATCTTTGGAACTGCCTCAGATTTTAGAATTGCCCCACTTAGCTTTTCCCTGGGAAAATAATATTGCTCATCTAAAGGAAAAAAGTAAGATAATTAATGAAACTGTTTATTTTCCTTCACTCTTGAAAGCATGAGGAAGAATAAATTTTATTCCATAAATTTTTTCATGGCTTCCATTTATTAGTAATTTTCACATGGTGAAATTCAGGTATTTTACATAGAATTTCTTTTTTATTTTGTTATTACAATTAATATTTCGAACACCCAAAATACATTCCATCTACTTGTGCGTTATGAAACCATGGATTATATGTATTCCAAACTCTGTTCATTCTATTCCTCAACTAAATATATATATATATATATATATATATATATATATATATATATATATATATATATATATACACACACAGATTTAGACAGAGTCTCATTCTTTTTGCCCGGGCTGGAGTGCAGAGGTACAATCTCGGCTTACTGCAACCTCCGCCTCCAGGTTCAAACGATTCTCCTGCCTCAGCCTCCTGAGTAGAGTAGCTGGGATTACAGGCTCCCGCCACCATGATGGGCTAATTTTTGTATTTTTAGTAGAGATGGGGCTTCGTCATGTTGGCCAGGCTGGTCTCGAGCTCCTGACCTCAGGTGATCTGGCCCACCTCAGCCTCCCAAAGTGCTGGGATTACAGGCGTGAGCCACCATGCCTGGGCACAACAATCTATTTCAAACCTCACTAGTAGCACAATGTCCTCTGTATTTCTAACCAATAATCTAAAAATCACTGCTATATTTTGATATTGGAGGGTTGCAAAGAAGTAGAAAAGCTTTATTTTTTATTTTAATATTTTCAGCTATTTTCACAGTTTACCATTGAAACTTTAAAATCAAGGGGCAAGAGTTATTGACAATTTGCCTCCCTTTAGGCTTTCTCATGACAAGCAAGATTATAATTTCTGGCCTTTTAAAAATAAGAATGTGGTGACTACAGACTCATCCCCTTAGGGAAATTTGTCACGCAAACCGATTACCTAACTTATTAAGGCTTGTAGAAATTTGGTATGCTTTTAAGAACAATAAGTATTATTTGATGAAGAAATTTTAAATAGATATGATTCTTTCATTTTGTTAGAGACCCTAAAATGAACCTCGAAACAGAAGATATCCCAATGATTGTATGATATGGGAACAAAAACATAGCGTTGGGTTTTCTTGTTTTGTTTTTGATACTATAGATTCAGACTTTTTAGCTAAGACTAGGATTGGAAGGTTTAAAATATGTTTGGTTGTGCATGAGTAGAGACAAGAAACAACAAATAGGAAGAATGCTCTTTGGCTTTCTTAAGCTAAATATCTGCTTTTACTAAATAATCGACCCTCTGTTATAAGGCTCTGTTTCAAATTTATCTTCAATGTCATCATGATTGTCTTCCTTTATCCTTACAAGTTCATTTTAATAAACACAAAAAAATTATTTAAACATATTGTATTATATAATTCCTAGCACCATGATATTTATTCACTGAAATCTTTTGAAGAGCCATGAATTTTTTAATAGCAGAATTTTATAAACAATAATTTAAATATTTTCCCATTCAGTAGTAAACACTAGCTGGGAACCACCAACACTGTGCAAATAGTAGCTACAGTGAGCAAATAATTCCTATGAGGTTTTGTGAGCTTTTCACTCAGTTAATTGAACAATACAGTTATATGCTCACCCTGACCCTCCAAACTCAGTAGGAGAGTTATTATGGGGTCATTTATCCTGCACATTGCAAATATGAAATGCTATATAAATGCACAATTATAATAATGATGATGAGTTGCAGTGAGGCTTAATGTCATTGTCCCTATTTAAGTATAATTTAAGATTGGATTTAGCAAGATTTCTTTTTCATTAACAACAGGAATCACATAATCACACTAGGAAACAAATGAATGTCACTAATGAGACAGTTTTGTTCAAGTAGCATGCTTTCAATATATTAGTCAATTCCTCAAAGTCCTATAAATGAGCATGCTTTATATATTATTGAACAGCATTATATAGGCATCGGTACTTTTCTCTGACTTCAAGCAAGACCATACATTAAGCATACCAGGAAAAAATGAACTTATATCTATCCTCCAAAGGCTGCAGTAAAGTTTGATTCACTGGTATCTTTTATTAACTACAACAGTCACGTCACCCTTCATCTTTGGCAATATAGTGACTTTTAGGCTATGCCTATATCTGTTTTACCTTCTTCCTTCCACCTCTACTTGCAAACAAAATCTGTATATAATCAATAGCATGTACTGAGATGATGCTTCAAATTTACCGAGAAACGAAAAAGAATATGTGGAAGAACAAAGGGAAGTCTTATATGTGCTACTTAAAATCACGAAATTAAGTGTAGCAGTTACGTGTAATATTTGAGTGTAGAAAATAAGATTAGAAACTCTAGAAACAATGTTTTTCTTCAGTCAAAAAACTCCACAAAGATGGACAGTAATAGAAGTAGGAGCAAAGCTGAATTAAAGTACACAGATAACAGGTTTTTTTTTTTCTTTTTTCATTTATCGAGTTGAAAGTCGTTTTATTTTCATTGTTTGCTGGACTCTATTAAGGATTTACAGGGCAACAGGAGGGAAAAGAATTTGATAATCTTTGATCAAACTATACGATGTTAATGATACTTATTGCTCATCTTTCTTCTATTTTTTTTCTATTATTAATTCTCTGTGGGCCTAGCATTTACCTCTTTATCGCATAAATCTTAAAGCAAAGAAAATAATGCTCATAGTAGTTGCTTATTAATGGATTTCTGTGAGGTTACACTGCAGGGAAAGGATTTAAAAACATAATAATCCTGCCAGTCCTTTGAACAGTTTAGAGCACAGGAGATACTTAAAGTTTTATAGCTTTCTCCTGGGAAGCCATCAGCTCTTTGCCTTTTCTCGAATTTAAGATTTTAATTGCCTCAGTGTTTCAATAACAATTACAGCCTATTCAGAAATTTCCTTTCCATGATCTGACAGCTCTGGGTTTTAATTTCTGAGAAGCTTTCCTTAAGTAGGTAATATTTGTTAGCCAAAGTCTCAGAGGAATTTCAATCTGTACATTATGGAATAAATTTCCCATTTATCTGCTTTTGATCCATCAGTGTTTTGATTGATTGTGTATATTATGCAAGCAGAGCTTTCCAATGTTTCCTTTTTCTCTTGTGCCACCAATCTAGCAATGCATTGATTTGATCACTTGACTTATTAGTTCATATTAATCCAAACAAAGTATCTTCCGCTTTTTTGGCATAAATTTAATTCAATTTCTATTCAGACTTGTTCAAATCCAATAAAGTTTTTCTATTAAGATGGATTGTGGTGAAGTGCAACTTCTGATTCTTTCCCAAACTTCTTTGTCCTTCAGAACATAACTTTAGAAAATTCTAAGCCTGAATCTTCCGTATTTATTTAGGAGAATATGAGAAAAAAATAAATAAAATGTAGACATTTCCTCAAATCCATTCTCTTTGATAGGGAAGAAACAGTTTTACCTAACAAAAAGGCCAGGCTTTCACCTGCTACATCCTGCAATTCTTCTGTTCTTCACCCCTGTTCTCTACGAATCATTTGGCTGAGACTGTACTTTTTGCTTAAGCTATCATCCTCATTACTTCTTCTTGTACCTCTTACATTAACTGTATTGACTAACAGTATTAGTTTTCTACTGCTGTGTAACAAATTGCCAAAAAAACCTAGTAGCTTAAAACAATACCCATTTGTTAGCTCACTGTTCTGTAAGTCAGAAGTCCAGGGACCTCATCTGGGTTCTCTGTTTAATGTCTCACAAGGATGAAGTCTAGGTGCCAGCTGGGCCCAGCTCTTATCTAGAGGCTCTGGAAAAAATCTGCTTTCATGCTAATTCAAGTCAATAGCGGACTCAGTTCTTTAGGGTTGTAGGACTGAGGTCCCTGCTTCCTTGCTGGCTATCAGCCAGGGGCCATGCTCTGCTCCTACAGGCAACCCACATTTCTTCTAACGAGGCCCTTTCCATGGTCAAAGCCAGCGACTGCATGTAGAAGCTTTTTCATGCTTCACTTGGACACCCCTTTCACTTATAAGCCAGAGAACATTATCTGCTTTTAAAATGTTAATAGGATGAGAATAACTCCACTTGGATAAGTCTTTTTGCCACCATATAAGCCAACATGCTCACAGGAGTGATATCTCATATTTACAGGTAAGAGAACTTGGGTTAGCATGGTAGAAAAAGTTCCGTTATCATGGAAAGACTTCCAGTACCCTTCAATTTTTTTGACTGCTATCCATAGCATTGAAATGCGTTGTTCTGTGCAATCCAGAACACAGGCACAAACACACACACACACACACAAACACACACACACACAAACACGCACACACACAGAGAAATGTTTCACCAAAGAGTACTTATTTTTACTTTGTGCAATAAATGTTATTTTCAAATGTCTTGTATTTCATTAAAGGAAAATATTAATTTAACTTAAAAAATTTATGACCAAACCTACTAATGCATTTTGTTTTGTTTTAACCAGATTGGAAAAGGCAGTCACTTTTGTTTCACTTTTTGGAAACCCATTTGTAATTTTGATGTTCTACAAAACTGAACTATCAAAATTGGGATTAAGATAACATCTGAAGTGAGTTATATGTTCTTTTTAATACTAATTCATCCCATTCTCCTTTTCACATTAGTGTCTTTGTCATGTGCACTTAAATTTAGTTTCAATGCGAAAAAAGAGGCTTAGGAATTCAATTGGTACTCACATAGCTTTTTCCATCCAGGTAGGAGCATTTTATTCTGTGTAAAACCCACCACAATGTTCACCAGTATAAATGATCACTAATAGTAGTTATTGTGATAGTCACTCGACGGCAGCTTTAAAATCTGTGTTGCCTGAAATTAAAAGTGGCCACAGAGGGGAGTCTCTATATATAGTATTAGAATTCTGCCCCAGTCACAATTCTTGTGATTGTTCAACAATAAAACAAATATTAATGTGGTATAGTTTGTTTAATGTCCTCCAAATTTTCTTTTAGAAATATTTTTATAGATATTTTGCTTTAAGCTATGACTTTTTAATATACTCATCACACAACTATAGCTTTGCATCTACCAAACTTGAGACTGAAACACAGCTCTTTTTTCCAATAACGCTGTAGCCTAATGAAAAATTGGCACAGCATGAATCTTTCAGGTTCCAGTTAATTGTTAACTTCTTGAAGAAACCACATTTGACCAACCAATCAAAATTAAACTTTCCATAGCTTCCTGCCCCTTCCCTTCTTAGCACTGATCATAACCTCCAACAATATGGAATTGGTGTAATTATTTCTATAAGGCCTTTATGCTTCATACAAAAAGGATTGTGTCAATTTTGCCTAATACCATGTCACCAGCACCTAGCACAATGCCTGACACACGGAAGGCCCTCAGTTAAGGTTTATTCAATAAATTAATGATGAATATCAGCATGAATTATTTTCTTTATTCCTCATTAAGTGTATTTTGTTAGAGACCTTGCTAACCTGTAGGTTCATGTGAGCTTTTCCTCAGAGAGTGCTATGGCTAATGGGCATTCATGTTACTGCCACTTCAATGGAAAGCAACCACACATAGTTATACTTTGAAAGTCTACCTCCACAACTTCACAATGATAATGTTGATTTTGAAAAACCTTTCCATAGCTATAATTTTTATGGAAGAGGAGAAGAAATATCAAGCTGCTAGGCAATGTGTTCTTTCTTGCATCTGTATTTCTTATGATCATATGATTTTATATGACTGCCAGTTTACTCATTAACATCAAAAGTTGCTACCACAGATATTAGCCTATTGCATTTCTTTTGATTAAGTTATAAATTTTTGGCAAGGATGGCATTAGTGTATAGATTTGAAAGAAAATATGAGCGTAATAAATAGATCTCTTCATTTCATTCTAGCAGTTTGTATTGGCAGGTGATTTTGTACTCATTCATGTTCTTTTTCTTCTGTAATAACATAATTAGTGTAATGAAGCATTGAGTTATCCCTTAAAGTAGAATATGAATGATGCCTAACTGTAAATAGGGCTCACATACCACTCAAAATCATTATGAATAGATGTGAAGGCACATAATTCCACCTATCTTAATAAAAATATTAATTTAACTTACAAAATGTATGACCTCCATTAAAAAATCATTATATCATGTTCTAAAGTTTGATGGAGATAATGCACCTTCCCTAATTCACTGGCTCTTCATTTTATTATTGTTATTTTATTGAATAATAACTACCCTGCAGAAAGAGAAGCCTCAAGGATGTTTTGCTGATGGGATCTGAATCAATATAATGGCTTTAAATGAATTGGACATGCTCATTTTACCCACATCTACTTCCCTGATTTTTCTGAACTTAAAAGTAAAAATGACCCAGGTATTTGATTATTTTATGTTCATTTCAAGACTTAAGAATGAAAAAAGGTCTGGCAACCAAGATGGCCAAATAGGAACAGCTCCAGTCTACAGCTCCCAGCCTGAGCAACGCAGAAGACAGGTGATTTCCTCATTTCCATCTGAGGTATCAGGTTAATCTCACTAGGGAGTGCCAGACAATGGGCGCAGGACAGTGGGTGCAGCGCACTGTGCGCGAGCCGAAGCACGGCGAGGCATTGCCTCACTCGGGAAGCCCAAGGGGTCAGGGAGTTCCTTTTCCTAGTCAAAGAAAGGGGTGACAGACGGCACCTGGAAAATCGGGTCACTCCCACCCCAATACTGCGCTTTTCCGACGGGCTTAAAAAACAGCGCACCAGGAGATTATATCCCGCACCTGGCTCGGAGGGTCCTACGCCCACGGAGTCTTGCTGATTGCTAGGACAGCAGTCTGAGATAAAACTGCAAGGTGGCAGCGAGGCTGGGGGAGGGGCGACCGCCATTGCCCAGGCTTGCTTAGGTAAACAAAGCAGCCGGGAAGCTCGAACTGGGTGGAACCCACCACAGCTCAAGGAGGCCTGCCTGACTCTGTAGGCTCCACCCCTGGGGGCAGGGCACAGACAAACAAAAAGACAGCAGTAACCTCTGCAGACTTAAATGTCACTGTCTGACAGTTTTGGAGAGAGCAGTGGTTCTCCCAGCACGCAGCTGGAGATCTGAGAACGGGCAGACTGCCTCCTCAAGTGGGTCCCTGACACCTGACCCCCGAACAGCCTAACTGGGAGGCACCCCCAAGTAGGGGCAGACTGACACCTCACATGGCCGGGTACTCCTCTGAGACAAAACTTCCAGAGGAACAATCAGACAGCAGCATTCACGGTTCACAAAAACCTGCTGTTCTGCAGCCACTGCTGCTGATAACCAGGCAAACAGGGTCTGGAGTGGACCTCCAGCAAACTCCAACAGACCTGCAGCTGAGGGTCCTGTCTGTTAGAAGGAAAACTAACAGACAGAAAGGACATCCACACCAAAAACCCATCTGTACATCACCATCATCAAAGACCAAAAGTAGATAAAACCACAAAGATGGGAAAAAACAGAGCAGAAAAACTGGAAACTCTAAAAAGCAGAGCACCTCTCCTCATCCAAAGGAACGCAGTTCCTCACCAGCAACGGAACAAAGCTGGACGGAGAATGACCTTGACGAGTTGAGAGAAGAAGGCTTCAGACGATCAAACTACTCCGAGCTACAGGAGGAAATTCAAACCAAAGCAAAGAAGTTAAAAACTTTGAAAAAAATTTAGACGAATGTATAACTAGAATAACCAATACAGAGAAGTCCTTAAAGGAGCTGATGGAGCTGAAAGCCAAGGCTCAAGAACTACGTGAAGAATGCAGAAGCCTCAGGAGCCGATGCAATCAACTGGAAGAAAGGGTATCAGTGATGGAAGATGAAATGAATGAAATGAAGTGAGAAGGGAAGTTTAGAGAAAAAAGAATAAAGAGAAACGAACAAAGCCTCCAAGAAATATGGGACTATGTGAAAAGACCAAATCTACGTCTGATTGGTGTACCTGAAAGTGATGGGGAGAATGGAACCAAGTTGGAAAACACTCTGCAGGATATTATCCAGGAGAACTTCCCCAATCTAGCAAGGCAGGCCAACATTCAGATTCAGGAAATACAGAGAATGCCACAAAGATACTCCTCGAGAAAAGCAACTCCAAGACACATAATTGTCAGATTCACCAAAGTTGAAATGAAGGAAAAAATGTTAAGGGCAGCCAGAGAGAAAGGTCGGGTTACCCACAAAGGGAAGCCCATCAGACTAACAGCTGATCTCTCAGCAGAAACTCTACAAGCCAGAAGAGAGTGGGGGCCAATATTCAACATTCTTAAAGAAAAGAATTTTCAACCCAGAATTTCCTATCCAGCCAAACTAAGCTTCATAAGTGAAGGAGAAATAAAATCTTTTACAGACAAGCAAATGCTGAGAGATTTTGTCACCACCAGGCCTGCCCTAAAAGAGCTCCTGGAGGAAGCACTAAACATGGAAAGGAACAACCGGTACCAGCCGCTGCAAAATCATGCCAAATTCTAAAGACCATCGAGGCTAGGAAGAAACTGCATCAACTAATGAGCAAAATAACCAGCTAACATCATAATGATGGGATCAAATTCACACATAACAATATTAACTTTAAATGTAAATGGACTAAATGCTCCAATTAAAAGACACAGACTGGCAAATTGGATAAAGAGTCAAGACCCATCAGTGTGCTGTATTCAGGAAACCCATCTCACGTGCAGAGACACACATAGGCTCACAATAAAGGGACGGAGGAAGATCTACCAAGCAAATGGAAAACCAAAGAGGCAGGGGTTGCAATCC
Organism: Homo sapiens; assembly: GCF_000001405.40. NCBI lineage: Eukaryota > Metazoa > Chordata > Mammalia > Primates > Hominidae > Homo > Homo sapiens. The sequence goes on from NC_000023.11 coordinate 114,702,911, forward strand.
TAGTCTCTGATAAAACAGACTTTAAACCAACAAAGATAAAAAGAGACAAAGAAGGCCATTACATAACGGTAAAGGGATCAGTTCAACAAGAAGAGCTAACTATCCTAAATATATATGCACCCAATACAGGAGCACCCGGATTCATAAAGCAAGTCCTGAGTGACCTACAAAGAGACTTAGACTCCCACACAATAATAATGGGAGACTTTAACACCCCACTGTCAACATTAGACAGATCAACAAGACAGAAAGTTAACAAGGATACCCAGGAATTGAACTCAGCTCTGCACCAAGAGGACCTAATAGACATCTACAGAACTCTCCACCCCAAATCAACAGAATATACATTTTTTTCAGCACCACACCACACCTATTCCAAAATTGACCACATACTTGGAAGTAAAGCTCTCCTCAGCAAATGTAAAAGAACAGAAATTATAACAAACTGTCTCTCAGACCACAGTGCAATCAAACCAGAACTCAGGATTAAGAAACTCACTCAAAACCACTCAACTACATGGAAACTGAACAACCTGCTCCTGAATGACTACTGGGTACATAAGGAAATGAAGGCAGACATAAAGATGTTCTTTGAAACCAATGAGAGCAAAGACACAACATACCAGAATCTCTGGGACGCTTTCAAAGCAGTGAGTAGAAGGAAATTTATAGCACTAAATGCCCACAAGAGAAAGCAGGAAAGATCCAAACTTGACACCCTAACATCACAATTAAAAGAACTAGAAAAGCAAGAGCAAACACATTCAAAAGCTAGCAGAAGGCAAGAAATAACTTAAATCAGAGCAGAACTGAAGGAAATAGAGACACAAAAAACCCTTCAAAAAATTATTGAATCCGGGAGCTGGTTTTTTGAAAGGATCAACAAAATTGATAGACCGCTAGCAAGACTAATAAAGAAGAAAAGAGAAGAATCAAATAGACGCAATAAAAAATGATAAAGGGGATATCACCACTGATCCCACAGAAATACAAACTACCATCAGAGAATACTACAAACACCTCTACGCAAATAAACTAGAAAATCTAGAAGAAATGGATAAATTCCTCGACACATACACCCTCCCAAGAATAAACCAGGAAGAAATTGAATCTCTGAATAGACCAATAACAGCCTCTGAAATTGTGGCAATAATCAATAGCTTATCAAGCAAAAAGAGTCCAGGACCAGATGGATTCACAGCTGAATTCTACTGGAGGTACAAGGAGGAACTGGTACCATTCATTCTGAAACTATTCCAATCAATAGAAAAAGAGGGAATCCTCCCAAACTCATTTGATGACGCCAGCATCATCCTGATACCAAAGCTGGGCAGAGACACAACCAAAAAAGAGAATTTTAGACCGATATCCTTGATGAACATTGATGCAAAAATCCTCAATAAAATACTGGCAAACTGAATCCAGCAGCACATCAAAAAGCTTATCCACCATGATCAAGTGGGCTTCATCCCTGGGATGCAAGGCTGGTTCAATATACACAAATCAATAAATGTAATCCAGCATATAAACGGAACCAAAGTCAAAAACCACATGATTATCTCAATAGATGCAGAAAAGGCCTTTGACAAAATTCAACAACCTTCATGCTAAAAACTCTCAATAAATTAGTACTGATGGGATGTATCTCAAAATAGTAAGAGCTATCTATGACAAACCCACAGCCAATATCATACTGAATGGGCAAAAACTGGAAGCATTCCCTTTGAAAACTGGCACAAGACAGGGATGCCCTCTCTCTCCACTCCTATTCAACATAGTGTTGGAAGTGCTGGCCAGGCAATCAGGCAGGAGAAGGAAATAAAGGGTATTCAATTAGGAAAAGAGGACGTCAAATTGTCCCTGTTTGCAGATGACATGATTGTATATTTAGAAAACCCCATTGTCTCAGCCCCAAATCTCCTTAAGCTGATAAGCAACTTCAGCAAAGTCTCAGGATACAAAATCAATGTGCAAAAATCACAAGCATTCTTATACACCAATAACAGACAAACGGAGAGCCAAATCATGAGTGAACTCCCATTCACAATTGCTTCAAAGAGAATAAAATACCTAGGAATCCAACTTATAAGGGATGTGAAGGACCTCTTCAAGGAGAACTACAAACCACTGCTCAAGGAAATAAAAGAGGATACAAACAAATGGAAGAACATTCCATGCTCATGGGTAGGAAGAATCAATATCGTGAAAATGGCCATACTGCCCAAGGTAATTTACAGATTCAATGCCATCCCCATCAAGCTACCAAGGACTTTCTTCACAATATTGGAAAAAAATACTTTAAAGTTCATATGGAACCAAAAAAGAGCCCGCATTGCCAAGTCAATCCTAAACCAAAAGAACAAAGCTGGAGGCATCACACTACCTGACTTCAAACTATACTACAAGGCTACAGTAACCAAAACAACATGGTACTGGCACCAAAACAGAGATATAGATCAATGGAACAGAACAGAGCCCTCAGAAATAACGCCTCATATCTACAACTATCTGATCTTTGACAAACCTGAGAAAAACAAGCAATGGGGAAAGGATTCCCTATTTAATAAATGGTGCTGGGAAAACTGGCTAGCCATATGTAGAAAGCTGAAACTGGATCTCTTCCTTACACCTTATACAAAAATTAATTCAAGATGGATTAAAGACTTAAAGGTTAGACCTAAAACCATAAAAACCCTAGAAGAAAACCTAGGCATTACCATTCAGCACATAGGCATGGGCAAGGACTTCATGTCTAAAACACCAAAAGCAATGGAAACAAAAGACAAAATTGACAAATGGGATCTAATTAAACTAAAGAGCTTCTGCACAGCAAAAGAAACTACCATCAGAGTGAACAGGGAACCTACAGAATGGGAGAAAATGTTCGCAACCTACTCATCTGACAAAGGGCTAATATCCAGAATCTACAATGAACTCAAACAAATTTACAAGAAAAAACAAACAACCCCATCAAAAAGTGGGCGAAGGACATGAACAGACACTTCTCAAAAGAAGACATTTATGCAGCCAAAAAACACATGAAAAAATGCTCACCATCACTGGCCATCAGAGAAATGCAAATCAAAACCACAATGAGATACCATCTCACACCAGTTAGAATGGCAATCATTAAAAAGTCAGGAAACAACAGGTGCTGGAGAGGATGTGGAGAAATAGGAACACTTTTACACTGTTGGTGGGACTGTAAACTAGTTCAACCATTGTGGAAGTCAGTGTGGCGATTCCTCAGGGATCTGGAACTAGAAATACCATTTGACCCAGCCATCCCATTACTGGGTATATACCCAAAGGACTATAAATCATGCTGCTATAAAGACACATGCACACGTATGTTTATTGCAGCACTATTCACAATAGCAAAGACTTGGAACCAACCCAAATGTCCAACAATGATAGACTGGATTAAGAAAATGTGGCACATATACACCATGGAATACTATGCAGCCATAAAAAATGATGAGTTCATGTCCTTTGTAGGGACATGGATGAAATTGGAAATCATCATTCTCGGTAAACTATTGCAAGGAAAAAAAACCAAACACCGCATGTTCTCACTCATAGTTGGGAATTGAACAATGAGAACACACATGGACACAGGAAGGGGAACATCACACTCTGGGGACTGTGGTGGGGTGGGGGGAGGGGGGAGGGATAGCATTAGTAGATATACCTAATGCTAAATGACGAGTTAATGGGTGCAGCACACCAGCATGGCACATGTATACATATGTAACTAACCTACACATTGTACACATGTACCCTAAAACTTAAAGTATAATAATAATCAAATAAAAATAATAAAAAAGAATGAAAAAAGTATGGTCTATAAAAATAGATTTGCATAAATACAATCTGCAGCTGGCTTCATTCTCTTTTTATAATGGGTTGGATCATAGCACCATGTTGAGCTAAAATCTATTGCTTTTGGTAATCCAGTCAAGAAAAAAGTAGTAACCAACAATTACATATAAATGACATAATTTTATAAAGTGAAAATACTACATGGTAATAATTTGATAAATTACTTAAGAAAATTTAAGATTGTAAGGTTTGTCCAGATTTTTTCCTATAGTTTATTAAAAATAATGAACCAAAACAAAAAATTTCAATTACTATTGCATATAAAGAGCAATTATAATCTGTCAATGACTACAAGCCAGCCATCTTAACATCAACTGAGAACAAAATTCTAAAAACAAATTATTCTTATAACTTTAAGTAAAAAAATTGAAGAACTAATTTAAGTGCATACTATTTGTCTGCTTAGAAAATGGTAAAATGATAGGAACTTCTTAAAGGCATTTCTATTCAAAATATCGTTGCAGACACTTAGATTAAATCAGGCTGGGCATGGTGACACATGCCTGTAGTCCCAGCTACTTGAGAGAAAGAGGTGAGAGGATGGCTTGAGCCCAGGAGATCAAGACTGCAGAGAGCTTTGATGGTGCCATGGCACTCCAGCCTTTCTCAAAAATAAATAAATAAATAAATAAAATAAAAACAATTTTAAAAACCATGTTTATAAATATGTATTACAAGTTCATTATTTAAATGAGACTATAAAACCTAAAGATGTAAACATCACTTTAAAAGCCTTCCTACTTTTTTCTTGACTGATTTGCCAAAAGCTGCAGATTTTAGCTGAGGATGGTGCTACAATTCAGCTTCTTTTAAAGATGAAGGTGACTAGAGAGTGTACTTATGCTGAACCTGCAACTATTTCTTCACTATAAGAAATAATTTCTCCTTTTACAGGCCATTTATTCCATATTGCAATTTATGACTTAAGTAAGTGACTTTTTTCTTTCCCTGTTCTTGTAAATTCTCAGAGTGATTGTCAGTCTTTCTCATTTGAATATCATGGAAACTCTACCATTTCAGTTTTAGTCCAGTGCAAATACAGTCTATTCAGTCCTTCTGATTTCAACTTTGCCTATTTACTATATAATAGTAAATAGGCAAAAAAAACTTTGCCTAAATACTATGTAATAGTATTTCAAGGTAATACTATTTAGAAAAATGTATTATAACCGTTTTAACTTGGTTTGTCTCCCACTCTTTAATGAAGCCAAAGTAAAAAATCCAGTTAAAATAAATTTTTGCTGAGAGTTGTTTTGTTAAAAACATATATTATCAGAGTTGCATATTAGGAAAGTAATCAATGTTAACTATTTTCATTACCAATCATGTCACTCTGAACATAATCTCAAAATAATCACATAATTCTATTGGCTAATTTTATAAAATTCACTTACTCATGAAATCAACATACCCCTTTATTTTATCATTTGCTAATCATTTAGATTTTTAAGAGCAATTTCACATACTATCAAATTTTTGGCCACATATCAGATTAAACAAAGGCACAGAAAGATTAAATAAGTTACCCAAATATCATAGCTAAGAAGTGAAAGTTGGACTTAATTTTCTGTCTTTGGAACCCAAAGTTCTATGCTCCTTCAAATGCAGCATACATGTGTCTTCCATTAATGACAATTAAAGTCAACTTATTCCATTACTGTATGCATTTTAACCTGAAGGTTTAGAGACATAGAGTTGGTTTCCTGACTCAAAAGTTTTAGCATTGGCCTGGTGTGGTGGGTGATACCTGTAAATCTCAGCCCTACTTTGGGAGGCCAAGATGGGAGGCTTGCTTGAGGCCAGGAGTTCAAGACCAGCCTAGGCAACATAACAAGACTCTGTAGCTAAAAAAAATTTTTTTTAAATCAACCAGGAATAGTGATTCATGCCTTTAGTCCTACCTACTAGGTAGGCTGAGGCGGGAGAATTGCTTGAGCCCAAGAATTCGAGGTTACAGTGAGCTATGATCATGCCACTGCACTCCAGCTTGGGTGACAGAGGGAGATACTACATTTTTTTTAAGTTTTATTATTATTCAGCTTCATATTTAATGGACCAAAGACTTTCTCTGGTTACTTAACTATATGGCTTAGAGAGAAAAGGCATTCTTTGGCAAATCTTAAATGATAGTTGAATACATTATTGCTTCAAAAAAGTCATTGCTTTCAAAACAACTAATACAATTAAACAGTGATAGCAATATCAAAGGCAGTGCTATCTTGTGAATCACTTAGGTTGATCATAGTAAGCCACAGCTAAAAGCTATCTCCTATTATTAGGGTGCACCCATAAATGTATTCTTCCACCTTTTTTAGATTTTCCTTTATAAAAGTCATTTCTGTTATTGGATGCAGAGATACTCTTAACTGCTATTTCTTTGTTGTTAATTGTGGCTTTCTTTTATCATTAAAAAGCGTCTTTCTTTTTCACTCTTATTTTTTTAACTTCAAATTTATTTTGTCAGATATCAAGATTGCTATTTGAAACCTCCCTAGTCGATTATTATTCTGTCCAGAATTTTGTAAATTATGTGAAATTCACAAACTATAGTAAAATAATGATCTAGGAATATTGGTTGATGGGATTATCTCTGTACTACTTGTTTGAATAAAAAATTGGTATGTTTTTCTACAGAACAAAATTGCCATCTTTAAATTTTTCCTCTAGTCATGGAAGTGTTAATTGTATTTAAAAATCACTTTGTTCCACTGCTATTGTTGTGAGTAAATTAAATGATCAAGAAAGCAACTGTGAGATTTAACAGAGTTTTGCATAAACAACTTATGTTTGAGAGTAGTCCTGCCAGCATATTCCTGCCAGAATTTGTCCTTGTAACAGCAGACATTACATAACCATGCAGGGCTTCCAGACATCTAGGAATTAATACAGATTTTAGGACAACGATTTCTTTGCCTTTCTTCCTTCTGTTCTCTTCTTCCTTCCTTCCTTTTCTTATTCCTCTTCTCCTTCATTTGTTCCTTTCTTCATGCCTGCCTTTCTGCCTGAGTTCCTTCTTTGAATATTTGCAGAGCCAAGTGTTCAGAAATGCATTCCAAAGTAGCTTTCTACTGCATTTAATTTTGTAGTCTATGACATTTCCTTCATTTTCTTTCACTTAAAGAGAGGCAATGAGACAATTGTCCTAACAGTTATGCATAAACTAGTGAGACACTGATCATCCGTGACTCTTCGGGCTTTTTGCTATCAGTAAGGCTCAGAATCAAAGGACTGGAAAAGAAGCAGGAGACTGGCTTCTTATCTTGGCACTGACAAAAATTAACATTAGGACGTTGAATAAGTCATTTATCTCTTCTGGATCAGATTCCTTAACTATTAAAACAGAAAGTTAGAACTTTGCACGGTGGCATGTGCCTGTGGTCCCAGCTCCTCAGGAAGCTGAGATGGGAGAATAGCTTGAGCCCAGGAGTTCCATACCAACCGAGGCAACATAGTGCAACCCCGTCTCTAAACAACAAAACTACACAAAGCAACAGAAACTTGGATGGTCTTCAAGTACCCTCTTTCAATACTGCTCATGAGAGTATGCTTATTAGACATAGAGATTGACAGGTACAATGTTTAATGTGGAAAAATTTATAGTTTCTTATAAAAATAAAAGAACCACAATAAGAGATAGTGATGAGGAGTGAAAAAATGTAGATATTGGAGTGCAACACATCTAAAATTAAATCTTGCTCTGTAACTTATTAGTTCTATGTGGTAATTCAACATCTCATTTTATCTTTTAATCTGGCATTGCATTGTTTTCATAGTAAAGATTAAATGAGAAAAATAGAGTGTTTCTCACATCACTTGGTGTATAATAATAAATCAGCAAATGGAAACAATTATTATGTATCTGTTTTTAATAGTTTTTCTTGTTGAGCCATTTCCACAGGAATGACTCAACTGAGAGGAGTTTTTTATTCCCTTTTCTATTTATCTTAGGGCAACAGATGGTGGCTTAGACAGTAGTACTTCCCAGGGTATATCACAATGACAGATTTAGTGACATGAACTTTATGAAGTCCTCTGCTAATAGCTTCTCTACTGCCAGAATGCAAGGTATCAGGCCAAAAGGTGTGTGGGAGGCTAATGACTACGTTTCCACAAATATTGGCATGAGCTGGATACTTGATTCATGAGAGCAACTTCCCAATTTTTGGCAAGTTACCTGTAAAGACCATTTAGAAAAATTTCTGGCTTTCTCTGAGTAGCAAGTGTTTTATGAAACCTGTAGAATTTTTCAAACCTACCTAAAGTATAGGCAATATAATATGATTGGCTAGATTATCTATGGAGGCATTATATTGCCAATTCTTCTATCTTTGGCTTTCATTTTCTTAGTTGCTTGCCTATACAGATGGTTTTAATTTGGACCAAAATATTTTAGTAATTTAAAATAAGACTTTAAAACTTGAGGAATCTTTCATGATACAATAACAATGATTTTGTTTCAGTGCCCCAATATCAGCAGATTGTAGAAAAATTAAGTATGAATAGAGAATAGTAATGAATATATAATCACAAATATGTTAGGCAGTAACCTTAAAGATTGAGATAGTTTGCCAAAAGCAGCTCGCATATCTTTCATTCTTTTACTTATAGAACAGATGAATAAAATCTTGAAAACATTTAGACATTATACTAATTTATTTTACCATAAATTCTTACTTAAGAAAAAATTGATAATTAATGGAGAGAACAAGAATGTAACCTCTACATGGGCAGAGCTCTTTGCCTTATTCACTCATATATCCCTAGTATATAGAACATTACCAAGCACATACTTGGCATTAAATAAATGCATTGAATAAGTGAACAATACCTTGATGAAAACATAAACTCTTTGCTAATACTGCCTTCCTAAATGTGTTTTTTAAAAATCACTTAAGCATGCTTTCAGAATCTGAATCCTGCCATTTATCAGAAAAAATAGCTTAACCTCTTTGAACTTCACTATTTCTTTTTCTGTAATATGCATTTCTGTTAACATGAGGTAAAACTAACTTTTATCACTGTGCCTGGAACAAAGTAGGTGGACATTAACTGTTTGTGGATTTTGTTTCATAAACACAATACCTGCATTTAAGAAAATAGGGTCCTATAACTTTAACCTAGAAATTGTTATTTATAAAAGAAGATTTGTATCAATTCTTTATATCAATAAAAGAAGCATATCAATTGTTATTAACAAAAGAAAATAATGGCTCTTTGTGACAGTTTTTAAAATGTAGCAATAGAAGAAGCAACGCTGCCTATGATTTACTACTTAAGAACAAATGTTCATGATGATGCATATAATCTCTTTTTCTTAAGCAAATGCATAATTTAGTCAGCATCATATGCAGTTTTGAAAAGTAAAGCATTATTATTTAGATGTCATTTCTGTGATCTCATGAAATATAGAATCCCTGGAATGAGAGAAAAGAATAAAATATTCTCTTTAACATATTTCACTGCATAACATAAAAGGTCTGTAAAATTACCTGAAAGGCAAAGGTGTCACACCATACCTCAGTGGTGATTTGCACCAAATACACTGTCTTTCATAAATTTCCTGAGCAAACAGAGATTTCCAATGAGAAATGAATACTTTAATCAATGCAACTTTTCAACCTATTTAGTCCCTGATCTTGAAAAATTATACCCAGTCATGAAGGATGGAACTAATTTTGAATTTACAGAGAAACTCATAACAAATTTAAATACCATAATATGCGTATTATATCTGCAGCTGTCAGAAAACTTTATTTACAGTCAGTTGCCTTTCTCTGAATAATCATATTGTTGTCCTGAAAGATATTTAAGACCTTTGCCAAATTAGAGGTATGGCCTATATTTAGTGAATCATCATCATTGCACCTCCCCAGGGAGAGCTTAGATGAGAGAGCTCATGTTGTCGTCAGCTGTTGTTAAGTGGAAGGGATGGTACTGATCCAAAGACTTTAATAAATTGTTATTGGAAATGTGGTTTACCCAAAGACCATTGTTCTCAAAATGTATTATCATAACATCCACTGGAGAGAAAGTCATCAAAGACGAAAGATGTCTGTACCATTTTATATGATCAAGAAAGACTAATTTTTTGCTATGGAAAAGACATCATCATTATTTTAGGAGATAATTAGAATAATGTTTTTGTTTGTTTGTTTTTAAAAACTGGACTGGTGATGTATAAAATGCTAAAAATAAAAACTGGATTGAGTATAAAATAATGAAGTCTTCTATCTTTGACAAAACTTTATATTTTTCATGCTATGTAATCTAAAAGCATATCTCATTTGTAGTTATAAATTATTTTAAAAACCTTTCAAACATAAACAGTCATAGAGACAACAGTACAGTGATCCTCCATAACACCATCATCCAGATTCAATAATTATTAAAATTTTGCAACCAATCTATCCCTTTCTCTTTCCCATTCTCTTCGTTGAATTATTTAAAATCATTTCACATTGCTTCAGTATCTATTTCTAAAATTGTGGCTATATTACTGCAAAACCATGATGCAATTACCACCCCCCAAAATTTTAGGAATAATTCCTTAATTTAATACCCCAGTCCATATTCAAATTTTATTTATAGTCTCAGAAACATCTCATTTTTTTCTTTTTAAAATGTACTTTAAGACTGGATAAAACTGTAGAACAACATGTTGATATTTTAGCAAAATTGCTACAATTGGTCTATATTATAGAACAAGTCTGTGTGATAGAAACTGTCTCCATGGCACTCAAGTGAGTGGAATGATCGTGACTGAATTCTATATATAGAATCTTTCAGTGAGAAGTAAAAACAGATGTTGTATGAAGCATCTGATGTTTCATAAATGGGTTATTTTATCCAAAATTTCAGTGATCAATAGTTCATAGATTTTTTATATTAGGTAAGTTACTTCTCCCTCTTGAAAAACGTGAAGGAAAATATTCAAACATTCAAAGGGCTTTGAATTATTATGAAATGATTATGAAATGATGGTGCTTTGGATGGTGGTTATAATAAAATGTGTGTAGTTGTAGCACCTTTCTTTTCATTCCTCACTCTCAAAACACATGCATACACACGTATACACAGACACACACATACACACACAGAGTCATGAGCAAAAGGATTTGAAGATTTGTTAGTTCGAATTTTCTGACAGGTTTTATTTTATAAATTGAGTTGTACAGGAGGTACTCTGAGAGGGTAAGTTGAAGAATTCTCCACAAATCTAATTAGAAAATTTAAAAAGTGAAAATATATTACATGTCATTTGTGGTCTGATATTTTAGCTTTAATTACACTGAGGGGAGTTATAAAATAGGCATATCAGTTTCGCTAAATATTGACACCATCTGATATAACGTTTGTAGAACTGGGACAGGAAACACTATTTTCAAAGTTGTCAAACTGAAGTACTATTTTTCTCCATAAATAAACAAAATGGTAGAAGAGTACACAAAACCATAAACAGATTCTACCTGAGAATTAAACCACTAAAGTAGAAGCCAAGCTTTAGATAGCTACAAAACTGGCCATTACTTCTTATACTTCACTTTTCTGTAAAATATTCTAGGCAGAAGATTTTTTAAAATAAAATCACCAATAAACAATTTTGTTTAAAATTTTTATGAGTCTGTGTGGTCTCCTAACTCTTTAAGAATGAGAAATGTATTTAAGGATTCATTTAAGGAAGTAGATAAAGGCATGGTACAGAATACCTACATATTAATTTGTGGGATGTGTAGACTGAGTTATGAGAATACTCAAGTTAAAAGTCACTTTCGCATTCCTTTCAAACAAAAGGCTTTGTCAGGTGAATGCTATGTTTTATATTTAATTAGCAATAACAAGTAAGATTTAATTGTAACCAAACTCAGCTATTTAGAAGTATCTTGTTTGTAAAACAGCGTAGAATAATGTCAACAATTTAGCAAGAAAACCCAATTCACAGCATTTCAGAGCAAAAAGGGATAGAGGTCCTCTATTGCAACTTCTGTGTCATGGATGAAAACAGTGAGGCTCAAAAAGTTTGAGTGACACATCAAGAAGTGGTAAGAGTCAAGACTAGAACTCATGTCTCCTACTGCCCAGCCTAATGTCCTTTATGCTAATCACACATATTTAACGGCTAGGGTGTTGAATGATACTAGAATGAATTATACATTATATAAATTATTCATTATGCAAATTAATTTTTGTTGTCTCAGTTTTCTGTATTCATGACATATTTGAATTTAACAAGATTCATCTGGTACTTCTAGCTATTTCTACATTTTATGAGTTGTATACATTTTATATCAATAAGTTATAAAACAATAGCAGAAGTCACTTCTTTTTTCCAGATGAGACAGCAAAACCAGAAACTGACCCTTCAACTTTGAAGTAGCTTTTTGTTTGTTTCTTTCCCCTTTATATAGGATGTCTTGAAGCCGAGAAGGAAGAGCTGTTGGAGAGACGAGGAGTTAAGAGTTCATTCGGCTGTCCAGATGTATCCAAGTACCCTGTGTTATTTGGCAATAAATACATCTGGGCAACTGACTGAACTTTTCACTTTTCATGACTCAGCTGGAACCCTCCACAACCAGAAGAGCCTGTTATAAAGTGAAAAGTTTGTGATCTCTTAATCTAATGAAATGGGAAGTAGGAATTGCTTGTGGGTGAAGAGACACCATTGTAAATGTAAGTGGGAATGTATTTTAGTATGCAACTAAATTGATTTTTAAGTGTCTTGACAAAAGATAAAGAGGATTTGTTTTTCTAGCTTGCAAAATTAAAATCAAATTAACAGAAAATTTTGATCTGCTCCCATCAGTGACACTTGTCGTGTACTTAACTCACCGGTATAAAATAACTATTTTATACTGTGATGGAGAGTAGCTGGCAAATGCTGGCAAATATTATTTGTATATTACAATATTTAAAAGATATCTAACCTCAAGCTATGGCTATGTACATGGATCCATCTAATGTATTTACCCCAATCACTCTTTATCTCATGATGCAATTTCATTTTATTCATAGCAATTATCACGATTTGAAATTATCCTACATCTTTGTTTAAATGTTTATTTTCTGTATCTCCAGCTAGAATGTAAGCTCCATTGGAGCAGGGGCCTGGTTTACCTTGTTTACTACTACATGCCCAGCATCTGGCATAGTGCCTGGCATGTAATAAGCAATCGATAAATATTTGAATATATGAAACTACTATTATACAGCTTTTGGTCCTGCAGATCGGTTGGAGTTGGTCTCCAACACAGATATTTAGCATATGGTTTGCTCCATTAGCTCTGCTCTTTGAAAACCTTCAGTTTGTTGTGCTATGTGCATACTAACACTGAGATAATTCCCAGATAGTTCTGCTACCACCTATGGAGAAAGCAGTTTCAAATTGCTGGGCATTCTGCCCACTAAGGCAAATTCTCTCCATGTCTGTTACTACCATCATAGAGTGATTTGCAATAGCTACTTTAAGTCTATCAATTGGGAAGTGTATGTTTTTAAAGTATTATTTTATGTAAATGGAATAGGTCTAGCTGTGAAAAACATAATTTTATATGCTGTAGATTTTGAGTTAACTGTTGTGTGAATTCGCACATAATTTAACAATAATCACGCTCATGGAACATGTCAAACACAAGCAGAGGTATTTAGTAAATACAAATGAGGAGAAAAAAATTTTTTTTTCCATTTGAATTCCAAGCATAGGAGGAACAGGTAAATCTATTTAAATAACCACTTAACATTATCTTGGAGGAGAGGGAATAAAAGTAATGAGCCTAGACTTGCATTCAAATTGAATAATCACTGGTGGAAGAGTAGTCTTTAATTTCATTGATGATAATAACTGAAAAACTTTCTATCAAAATAATAAAAATTATCTGATTTGACTATAATTAGCAAAGGTGAGTTTTTAGTATGACAAATGTATGATTTATTAGAAAATCGCTAGAGTACATTTGAAGTTGAAAGGAAAACTTCCTACAATATTCATTAGTCCTAAGGATAATTTTTGAATTAAATGAGCTCCCCCAAAATTATTGTAAATCTGTGCCACATTAATATAATCTTCCCAGGACTAATCTGAACATTTATGGCTAATTCATTTTTGATTTAGACATCTGCTAAAAGCTCACTGGGTATAATAACTAGAGGGATAATATTTGAATTATGAGTCATAATTTCTGAACACTGAAAATTGATAAAAATCAAACTTCTATATGTATTATTATTTATTCAATTTTTAAATGCTTTGTTATAAAAAGTGAGACAGAAGTGATCTAGTTGACTATATTCTACAATTTCTTTTTTTTTTGAGACAGGGTCTGTTGCCCTAGCTGGAGTAGAATGATGTGATCAGGGCTCACTGCAGCCTCGACCACCTGAGTTCAAGGGATCCTCCCACCTCAGCCTCTCAAGTAGCTAGGACCAGAGGCACACGCCACCACATCTGGCTAATTTTTTGTATTTTTTGTAGACATGGGGTTTTGCCATTTTGTCCAGGCTGGTCTTGAACTCCTGAGCTCAAGCAATCCACCCACTCCGGCCTCCCAAAGTGCTGGGATTATAGGCGTGAGCCATCGCACATGGTCTATTCTACAATTTAAAAAAATTTAGTGTGAAATTTAGTCTTTCAGTTTGATAGAAAATATGCTGCATCATTATAATGTGCTAACGGAATTTCCAGAAATCTAGTGTAAACTATACCTTTTCATGGGTGAATCTAGACTCTCCAATTTTTGTTAAAACATGAGTAGAAATGCTGGCATTTTTTTTTAAGACTCATCAATATTATCTTCAACCAGGTCTGGGAAAAAAAGAATAAAAAGTAGTGTGAGAGCAGAAAACGTGATTGAAACACGACCAATCTTTCTTCAGTGCCAAAGGGTGGAAAAGGTAATGGTAAAAATGAATTATAAATGGTTAGCTTTAGAAGTTGCAAGGCAAGCGTTTTCAATAAAGTTGCAAGCTTCTATCCTCTCCAAGCACAATTTGGGCAAAACCACAGCTCTTCCTTTATTCTTAGATAGTATCTTTTGACTTCACACCTTAAATCTCCTACCTTCCCATCAATCAGCCAATTACTTTGTACCCAGGACTTGGCCAAGGATTGTGGATGTTACATGGAAAGTACATCTATATGGCTCTTCTGCTCAAAAATTTGCCTTTAGTATTAATACAACACCTTTAAAAAGCCTTGTTCGTGCCAGCCTTTGTACCCCACAGTTTTTTGTTTTCTTTGATTTTGTTAATATTTTTTGAGACAGGGTCTCACTGTGTCACCCAGACTGAAGTGCAGTGGTGCGATCACGGCTCACTGCTGCTGCCACCTGCTGACCTCAAGCCATCCTCCCACCTCAGTCCCCAAGCCCACCCCACAGTAGCTGGGACTACAGGCCCGCACCATCACATGGGGCTGATTTTTTTTGCAGAGATGGCGTCTTGCTCTGTCCCATAGTTTTTAACTTATTTTTTAAAATTATTTTTGCTTCCAAGGTGATTATTGATGATGACTTTTAAGTATTTCTGTGAGTGATACGGATTCTGATAGTTTGCAATTTATTTCCAAATTTCCAGTGGAGATTCGATTTTGGTTCAGTTGTTTTGGAGTGTTCACACTATTTTGGATGACATATGCTGTATGACACATGGCATATAGCCATATAAGCATAGATTTCATAGGCATGAATTAAATATAATACTCATGGTATGGATTCATACTTAATTAAATTTTCACATTAGTTGAGGTTATTCTGCAATATCTTGTGTAAAATTGTACTATTGAAAATTATGTGAAAACTAATGTTTCTCCCCCATTTGTCTTAGCAACTGTAGTTACTGTTATTGATGTCTGAAGATTTTACAGTGCTTTAGAGAAGGCATGAAAAGATCTGTGATTTACACTGTAGAAAGGATTGAGAGATTGGTCTGAGTGTGTATTTAGTGACTAGTGATCCTGATCTTATTTCTATGATTTAATCTGTGATTTTCTCTTCATACTTGAGACAGCTAATTGGTTTTAAGTTAATCAATCTTTTTCTGGACACGAAATTATAAATATGTATGACTACACAAAGTAACACAGAAACACACAAATGTTATATAAGTTGGTTGTAATTATAAATTATATTAATTTTATATAATTATATATATAATATAATATAAATTATATTAATATTAATATTAATATTTAATATATATAATATAATAATATAATATATAATAATAATATAAAATAAATAAATAAAATAATATAATAATATTAATAATATAATTATAATTATAAATTATAACACTTATTAAATTATCAAACCTACTTTCAAGGCAAATATTATAAAATCTCATTAAAAATTAGTCAATTATTCCGTCAATTATCTCACAAGTGATTTTAAAAAAATTTTACAAAACACAATCCTTCACAAATTTGAAAACTTGAATTTATAAGCATTCTTTTGTGTTCATGCAACTTTAAAAGTTCCATTACACAGATCAGAAAGTTCCATATATGCATATCAGAAAGTTTCATTAGAGTTGTTTCGCTATGTTTTTCAGTTTCTGTTATTGATTGATCTTATCCAAGACAAGAAGTTTTGCATCACCTTCCCTTTTAGTAGAATTACTCACAGAACATTTCTTATTGCAAAATATCATCATCACAGTGGCCTGGCCATTTGGGGAAACATGTAAGATAACATAATTTATGTTACATAATTCATATAATTTATTCCCATCACACCATGTTCCGAAACTCTTACCACCAGTTCACAGGTATTTTCTATCATGTCTACTCAGTGTTCATGCAAATTTTAACAGCATGAGGAGACATGATTTTGCCTACAAGTCATTTTTGTTAATAAATTGGAAATCTATATACATAATATTTTTTGTGATTATTACTCATTCTTCTCAATAAAATTGGAACTTAGAAAAATAAATATTTGATGTTTAATTTTTCTGCTTATATTTCTCAGGAATATACATGTAAAAAAGCATAAGGAAGCTGGCTAATTTTTAAAGGAATATAATATTTTGAGTAACAGTAATGGAATTCATCCATAGCTAAAAATGTGGCTAATAAAGTGCTTCATGAGATGATTATTGTATCAGCTTGTTTTGTTATACTCTATTGGAGCACAGCATATTTCACTCTATCTTTGAACCTTTAAAAATTATACTAATATTTGGATACATAAAAATAAATATTGAAAATCATTTTAATACTTTTAGCATAAGGAAAAAGGAAAAAGTTTGATACTTATTGAGGGCTAAGAAGCAGGATGGGACCTTTTGGTTTCCCTTACCATTTTTTCTGTCACTTATTTTCAGACCTCCCAGAGAAAGAGATGTCTGTGTTGTCTGGTAAAATTTATGGGACAGTATTGGCCTGACTAATGGTCAGGGTGATATAGCTCTCTCTCTCTCACACAGAATATTTTGAGTTCCTAGATATTGGAAGGCCATATTTTATGTATTACGGTAGTAAGGGGATGATTTGGAGATTGATTTTTGTGTAGGTAGCACTGATAGAACTGATAAATGAGAGCTAAGGGATGAAGAAGGGAGAAAATATTAACTATGTATCTTGAGTGACAAGGATAGTGCTATTAAATGAGATGGAAAACACAGGGAGATGTGATTTCTTCTGGTTAAATTTTACTTCCAAATTTCTAGAAGGAGCTAGAAGCACACTAAAGAAAGCTTATCAAGACAGATTTTCAGGATCATATTTCTTTTTCTTTTTTTTTTTAATTATACTTTAAGTTTTAGGGTACATGTGCACATTGTGCAGGTTAGTTACATATGTATACATGTGCCATGCTGGTGTGCTGCACCCACTAACTCGTCATCGAGCATTAGGTATATCTCCCAATGCTATCCCTCCCCCCTCCCCCGACCCCACCACAGTCCCCAGAGTGTGATATTCCCCTTCCTGTGTCCATGTGATCTCATTGTTCAATTCCCACCTATGAGTGAGAATATGCGGTGTTTGGTTTTTTGTTCTTGCGATAGTTTACTGAGAATGATGATTTCCAATTTCATCCATGTCCCTACAAAGGACATGAACTCATCATTTTTTATGGCTGCATAGTATTCCATGGTGTATATGTGCCACATTTTCTTAGTCCAGTCTATCATTGTTGGACATTTGGGTTGGTTCCAAGTCTTTGCTATTGTGAATAATGCCGCAATAAACATACGTGTGCGTGTGTCTTTATAGCAGCATGATTTATAGTCATTTGGGTATATACCCAGTAATGGGATGGCTGGGTCAAATGGTATTTCCAGTTCTAGATCCCTGAGGAATCGCCACACTGACTTCCACAATGGTTGAACTAGTTTACAGTCCCACCAACAGTGTAAAAGTGTTCCTATTTCTCCACATCCTCTCCAGCACCTGTTGTTTCCTGACTTTTTAATGATTGCCATTCTAACTGGTGTGAGATGGTATCTCATTGTGGTTTTGATTTGCATTTCTCTGATGGCCAGTGATGATGAGCATTTTTTCATGTGTTTTTTGGCTGCATAAATGTCTTCTTTTGAGAAGTGTCTGTTCATGTCCTTCGCCCACTTTTTGATGGGGTTGTTTGTTTTTTTCTTGTAAATTTGTTTAAGTTCATTGTAGATTCTGGATATTAGCCCTTTGTCAGATGAGTAGGTTGCGAAAATTTTCTCCCATTTTGTAGGTTGCCTGTTCACTCTGATGGTAGTTTCTTTTGCTGTGCAGAAGCTCTTTAGTTTAATTAGATCCCATTTGTCAATTTTGTCTTTTGTTGCCATTGCTTTTGGTGTTTTGGACATGAAGTCCTTGCCCATGCCTATGTGCTGAATGGTAATGCCTAGGTTTTCTTCTAGGGTTTTTATGGTTTTAGGTCTAATGTTTAAATCTTTAATCCATCTTGAATTGATTTTTGTATAAGGTGTAAGGAAGGGATCCAGTTTCAGCTTTCTACATATGGCTAGCCAGTTTTCCCAGCACCGTTTATTAAATAGGGAATCCTTTCCCCATTTCTTATTTTTCTCAGGTTTGTCAAAGATCAGATAGTTGTAGGTATGCGGCGTTATTTCTGAGGGCTCTGTTCTGTTCCATTGATCTATATCTCTGTTTTGGTACCAGTACCATGCTGTTTTGGTTACTGTAGCCTTGTAGTATAGTTTGAAGTCAGGTAGTGTGATGCCTCCAGCTTTGTTCTTTTGGCTTAGGATTGACTTGGCGATGCAGGCTCTTTTTTGGTTCCATATGAACTTTAAAGTATTTTTTTCCAATATTGTGAAGAAAGTCCTTGGTAGCTTGATGGGGATGGCATTGAATCTGTAAATTACCTTGGGCAGTATGGCCATTTTCACGATATTGATTCTTCCTACCTATGAGCATAGAATGTTCTTCCATTTGTTTGTATCCTCTTTTATTTCTTTGAGCAGTGATTTGTAGTTCTCCTTGAAGAGGTCCTTCACATCCCTTGTAAGTTGGATTCCTAGGTATTTTATTCTCTTTGAAGCAGTTGTGAATGGGAGTTCACTTATGATTTGGCTCTCTGTCTGTTATTGGTGTATAAGAATGCTTGTGATTTTTGCACATTGATTTTGTATCCTGAGACTTTGCTGAAGTTGCTTATCAGCTTAAGGAGATTTGGGGCTGAGACAATGGGGTTTTCTAAATATACAATCATGTCATCTGCAAACAGGGACAATTTGACGTCCTCTTTTCCTAATTGAATACCCTTTATTTCCTTCTCCTGCCTGATCGCCCTGGCCAGCACTTCCAACACTATGTTGAATAGGAGTGGTGAGAGAGGGCATCCCTGTCTTGTGCCAGTTTTCAAAGGGAATGCTTCCAGTTTTTGCCCATTCAGTATGATATTGGCTGTGGGTTTGTCATAGATAGCTCTTATTATTTTGAGATACATCCCATCAATACCTAATTTATTGTGAGTTTTTAGCATGAAGGATTGTTGAATTTTGTCAAAGGCCTTTTCTGCATCTATTGAGATAATCATGTGGTTTTTGTCTTTGGTTCTGTTTATATGCTGGATTACATTTATTGATTTGTGTATATTGAACCAGCCTTGCATCCCAGGGATGAAGCCCACTTGATCATGGTGGATAAGCTTTTTGATGTGCTGCTGGATTTGGTTTGCCAGTATTTTATTGAGGATTTTTGCATCAATGTTCATCAAGGATATCGGTCTAAAATTCTCTTTTTTGGTTGTGTCTCTGCCCAGCTTTGGTATCAGGATGATGCTGGCCTCATCAAATGAGTTAGGGAGGATTCCCTCTTTTTCTATTGATTGGAATAGTTTCAGAAGGAATGGTACCAGTTCCTCCTTGTACCTCTGGTAGAATTTGGCTGTGAATCCATCTGGTCCTGGACTCTTTTTGCTTGGTAAGCTATTGATTATTGCCACAATTTCAGAGGCTGTTATTGGTCTATTCAGAGATTCAACTTCTTCCTGGTTTAGTCTTGGGAGAGTGTATGTGTCGAGGAATTTATCCATTTCTTCTAGATTTTCTAGTTTATTTGCATAGAGGTGTTTGTAGTATTCTCTGATGGTAGTTTGTATTTCTGTGGGATCAGTGGTAATATCCCCTTTGTCATTTTTTATTGCGTCTATTTGATTCTTCTCTCTTTTTTTCTTTATTAGTCTTGCTAGTGGTCTATCAATTTTGTTGATCCTTTCAAAAAACCAGCTCCCGGATTCAATAATTTTTTGAAGGGTTTTTTGTGTCTCTATTTCCTTCAGTTCTGCTCTGATTTAAGTTATTTCTTGCCTTCTGCTAGCTTTTGAATGTGTTTGCTCTTGCTTTTCTAGTTCTTTTAATTGTGATGTTAGGGTGTCAATTTTGGATCTTTCCTGCTTTCTCTTGTGGGCACTTAGTGCTATAAATTTCCCTCTACACACTGCTTTGAATGCGTCCCAGAGATTCTGGTATGTTGTGTCTTTGCTCTCATTGGTTTCAAAGAACATCTTTATGTCTGCCTTCATTTCCTTATGTACCCAGTAGTCATTCAGGAGCAGGTTGTTCAGTTTCCATGTAGTTGAGCGGTTTTGAGTGAGATTCTTAATCCTGAGTTCTAGTTTGATTGCACTGTGGTCTGAGAGATAGTTTGTTATAATCTCTGTTCTTTTACATTTGCTGAGGAGAGCTTTACTTCCAAGTATGTGGTCAATTTTGGAATAGGTGTGGTGTGGTGCTGAAAAAAATGTATATTCTGTTGATTTGGGGTGGAGAGTTCTGTAGATGTCTATTAGGTCCTCTTGGTGCAGAGCTGAGTTCAATTCCTGGGTATCCTTGTTGACTTTCTGTCTCGTTGATATGTCTAATGTTGACAGTGGGGTGTTAAAGTCCTCCATTATTATTGTGTGGGAGTCTAAGTCTCTTTGTAGGTCACTCAAGACTTGCTTTATGAATCTGGGTGCTCCTGTATCGGGTGCATATATATTTAGGATAGTTAGCTCTTCTTGTTGAATTGATCCCTTTACCATTAAGTAATGGCCTTCTTTGTCTCTTTTGATCTTTGTTGGTTTAAAGTCTGTTTTATCAGAGACTCGGATTGCAACCCCTGCCTTTTTCGTTTTCCATTTGCCTGGTAGATCTTCCTCCATCCTTTTATTTTGAGCCTATGTGTGTCTCTGCACGTGAGATGGGTTTCCTGAATGCAACACACTGATGGGTCTTGACTCTTTATCCAATTTGCCAGTCTGTGTCTTTTAATTGGAGCATTTAGTCCATTTACATTTAAAGTTAATATTGTTATGTGTGAATTTGATCCCATCATTATGATGTTAGCTGGTTATTTTGCTCATTAGTTGATGCAGTTTCTTCCTAGTCTTGATGGTCTTTACAATTTGGCATGATTTTGCAATGGCTGGTACCACTTGTTCCTTTCCATGTTTAGCCCTTCCTTCAGGAGCTCTTTTAGGGCAGGCCTGATGGTGACAAAGTCTCTCAGCATTTGCTTGCCTGTAAAGTATTTTATTTGTCCTTCACTTATGAAGCTTAATTTGGCTGGATATGAAATTCTGGGTTGAAAATTCCTTTCTTTAAGAATGTTGAATATTGGTCCCCATTCTCTTCTGGCTTGTGGAGTTTCTGCCGAGAGATCAGCTGTTAGTTTGATGGGCTTCCCTTTGAGAGTAACCCGACCTTTCTCTCTGGCTGCCTTTAACATTTTTTCCTTCATTTCAACTTTGGTGAATCTGACAAGTGTGTGTCTTAGAGTTGCTCTTCTCGAGGAGTATCTTTGTGGCGTTCTCTGTATTTCCTGAATCTGAATGTTGGCCTGCCTTGCTAGATTGGGGAAGTTCTCCTGGATAATATCCTGCAGAGTGTTTTCCAACTTGGTTCCATTCTCCCTGTCACTTTCAGGTACACCAATCAGAGGTAGATTTGGTCTTTTCACATAGTCCCATATTTCTTGGAGGCTTTGTTGGTTTCTTTTTATTCTTTTTTCTCTAAACTTCCCTTCTCGCTTCATTTCATTCATTTCATCTTCCATCACTGATACCCTTTCTTCCAGTTGATCGCATCGGCTCCTGAGGCTTCTGCATTCTTCACGTAGTTCTTGAGCCTTGGCTTTCAGCTCCATCAGCTCCTTTAAGGACTTCTCTGTATTGGTTATTCTAGTTATACATTCTTCTAAATTTTTTTCAAAGTTTTCATCTTCTTTGCCTTTGGTTTGAATTTCCTCCCGTAGCTCAGAGTAATTTGATCGTCTGGAGCCTTCTTCTCTCAGCTCGTCAAAGTCATTCTCCATCCAGCTTTCTTCCATTGCTGGTGAGGAACTGCGTTCCTTTGGAGGAGGAGAGGCGCTCTGCATTTTAGAGTTTCCAGTTTTTCTACTCTGTTTTTTCCCATCTTTGTGGTTTTATCTACTTTTGGTCTTTGATGATGGTGATGTACAGATGGGTTTTTGGTGTGGATGTCCTTTCTGTTTGTTAGTTTTCCTTCTAACAGACAGGACCCTCAGCTGCAGGTCTTTTGGAGTACCCGGCCGTGTGAGGTGTCAGTCTGCCCCTGCTAGGGGGTGCCTCCCAGTTAGGCTGCTCAGGGGTCAGGGGTCAGGAACCCACTTGAGGAGGCAGTCTGCCCGTTCTCAGATCTCCAGCTGCATGCTGGGAGAACCACTGCTATCTTCAATGCTGTCAGACAGGGACATTTAAGTCTGCAGAGGTTACTGCTGTCTTTTTGTTTGTCTGTGCCCTGCCCCCAGAGGTGGAGCCTACAGAGGCAGGCAGGCCTCCTTGAGCTGTGGTGGGTTCCACCCAGTTCGAGCTTCCGGGCTGCTTTGTTTACCTAAGCAAGCCTGGGCAATGGCGGGCGCCCCTCCCCCAGCCTCACTGCCACCTTGCAGTTTGATCTCAGACTGCTGTGCTAGCAATCAGTGAGACTCCGTGGGCATAGGACCCTCGGAACCAGGTGCAGGATATAATCTCCTGGTGCGCCGTTTTTTAAGCCTGTTGGAAAAGCGCAGTATTGGGGTGGGAGTGACCCGATTTTCCAGGTGCCGTCTGTCACCCCTTTGTTTGACTAGGAAAGGGAACTCCCTGACCCCTTGCACTTCCCAAGTGAGGCAATGCCTCGCCCTGCTTCGGCTCGCGCACGGTGCGTGCACCCACTGACCTGCGCCCACTGTCTGGCACTCCCTAGTGAGATGAAGCCGGTATCTCAGGTGGAAATGCAGAAATCACCCTTCTTCTGCGTCGCTCACGCTGGGAGCTGTAGACCGGAGCTGTTCCTCTTCGGCCATCTTGAGAAGTTTTTGAAGAATATATTCTTAATTTCTTTTTCAAAACATTGATTTGAAGCCATGTCTACTCCAAGAGGGGGAAATTTGGTATAAACCATGTATAAATAAAACATATACAGAAAATTTTTAAAAACTGCGATGATAAATAATTGAAAAATCTGCTCTCTTTGCCATATTTTATCACTTACACAGTATAACATGCTTACCTGTTTGCTGAATTAATAACTGTTTCTTATCACCATTAAGTGCATTTAAGTTTATTTAATTGGTTACTATGCAAGTTATTTCGATGTTTAACTAATTTTCTCTTTCTTCTTTTTCTCTCCCCAGAAAGGATGATATGATGAACCTAGCCTGTTAATTTCGTCTTCTCAATTTTAAACTTTGGTTGCTTAAGACTGAAGCAATCATGGTGAACCTGAGGAATGCGGTGCATTCATTCCTGTAAGGATGTTACTACTTATTATTTTAGTAAAAAGATAACTTTGCTTGGTAGCTTGCTCAACATGTTAAAAAAATGCTTCTATATGATCAGCTATATTTGCCTAAATCTGCATAAATGGCTTGCTTCCCAAAAGACTAATATTATGGGTGTTTCCTATTCAAAAATAATTAATGGAAAAAAAAATTTGGACTCTAATTAAGCACTTGAGCTCATATACTTAAACAAGTAATATGGTGATAATGCCCTAAATTCAAATAATCTCAATGTTCATGGCTACTTTTTCCATGGGTAAAACTTAGAAAGGAAAAATTTCTGTCCTTTTCCTTCTTGCATGAACTGAACAGTTAAGAGAATGAAATGCCTCTGGTTTTGTGAAGAATAGTTGAGGTAGGAAAAGAAAAGGTTGGAAGTTAGGGGATAGGGCTTGGCGATGTAGCTGGATGGGAAAAACCAATGTCATCCTCAGAAGTATTGATGCAGTGACCCAGTTGCAGCCAATAATATACAACATAAAGGGTGTAGGTAAAGATACAGGAGATTCAAATAATAAGCAATTCTAAATTTGATCTAATCCAGGTATACCTTCTTTTTACATAGAAAAATGTTGGTTTCTTCCGAACCTGCTTTTTGAGGAACGAAGCATAGAAAAAAATGATCCAAAGCAATGTAAACTCTGATTGGTATAGTTGAGAAACCCCAAATCTCCTTGCTCCTAGGTAGTCTCCTTTATGATTCTTGTAAAAGAGCTCACCCAGGAAAAAGTTTACAATGTGGTGGAGATATAAAGTTCAGCAACATTGGATCCTCTGCAGTGTGCATCACTGTGGCCCATCTTGAGTGTCATTGTTGTGATGATAGTTTCAAGTATGGAAGAGTCCAAGAGAACTAGAGCAGACAACTGGGAAAGAAAAGAGTGAAGGACAGTGATAAAGAAGGGAAAAGAAGAGTTGGGTATGGGAAAATGAAAGGACAAGTGTTCCTGCTCCATGGGCCTGTGCCAACTTAGTATATAGCCATTGGCCCATATACCAAAGTGTAGGACTGCCGTAAAGGGCACCAAATTATTCTGCTATGAAATTAATTAAAGAATTCATATACAATTGTTTTAAATTCTATTGAGAGAAACAAGGAAGAATTCCTGTCTTCTAACAATGTCCTAGGTCATAGAAAAACTCAGTAGATTTTAAATATATTCAACTTTTTAAATTAAATTATCATTTTGTTTATATACTAAGAATGTAAAGTTATGTTTTCATTAAAACTTTAGTAGCAATGAGTAAATTATATGCATTTCAGAGAGAAATTATGACTTTTGTATACATATTTTATGAGATTCCTATGAGCTTAAAAACAATTAGGATAAACTTTAAGAGCAAGACCTAAATTACTCCTCTTTTGTAAAAGGACTTTATAATTTCACTGAGCATGTTAAGTATTAAAAATTAGATTTAATTATAATACAGACAATTCTTCATTACAAAACTGAAGAATAAAGGATTAAACTTTAATAAAAATCATAAAATCTTGTCTATAAGTAGTGCTCAATAAAAATTTATTAAACTGAATTTAATTGAAACCAGGAAAGTGAAGTAAATACTTTATCAAGATTTATCCTAACACCATTACCTTATTTTGTAATTCACAACAGATATGTTTACATCTGACAAGACTCCTTCCTTCAATAATTCAGTATTTGTCTTACAGATTCTTTTATTAAAAAAAAATTTTCTGACCAGTAGGGATAGGCTAGATAACTACTTGAAACAGTCCAAACTCAAAGATACTCAAATTATAAAATTCATAATTTGACATAATTTTCTTCGTATATGTTTCTGTTATATATAATTTGTCCTGTACCCCTCTACCATTTTTAGAGACATATGAATGAATTTCGATGTTTTCACAATTTACTTAGAACATTTGAGGCAGACTGCATATTCCCCTAGGACCTTATTCTATAGGTTTAAGGATAAATGTATTTGTCATTCTGCAATCAACAACTGAAGACGCAGTTTAGTATTTGAGATAAATTCTTGTGGGACTACTTGAGATGATCTTCAGCTAATTTAAAACAGAACATTGTTTTTTAAAATGCCAGCAGGACAAGTTTTTTATCAGCTAGGCCAGAAAGGACTCTGGAAAACGTGCTGGATTTAAGATTACTTTTTTGAGTCCAGTTCTTCACACATAGACGTCGTCTCAAAATAAAATCAAGACTTAAATTATCCTGGCAAATTTTGAAATACATGAGTTGGGATATAGCAAACATAAAATGCTTTTGTTTAACTACAAAGCAGACAGAAGGTACCTCCAGCATTTACTGAAGGCCTCTTATGACACAGGTATTAAAGTTTGACATATATCATTTAATTTTCACAACAACCATATGATGGAGATTGTTCTTGTACAGATGAAGTTGATGTTCTGATAGGTTAAGTGACTGGTCAAAAATTACTGAAGTCAGATAGCCAGGACATTGGCCACATGCCACATTCAATAAATACAGTGACAGAGTAATCAAAGCTGAGAGCGAATAACTTGCTTCTGTTTATTTGGTCCTTTATTTCACTAATTTTTACTCATATTAATCACAGATTAATTATGACATAGATTTTGGAATCCTGTATTATTTTTGCCTATTTTTTATGTTTTGGGAAAATAATACATTTGGAAGAATTTACTGATTACTTCTCATCATTTGATAAGAATTACGATTTCTCTGATAATGGTAGTCAGCAATGAGTCCATTAAATCACACATATATTATCCCTGCCTGGAGATACTATCTTCAGTTCAAAGAACAAGTGACTGGGATAATGACATAAAAATACATAATATGGAGAACACATAGACTCTGAATGTTATGTCATGTGTTCCATCTCCCTAATTTCAGAAAGAATCATCCTTCAACTATCTTGCATAGAAAATTATGTAGCATATATTGTGCAACCAGAGGCAATTTTCTCCTCTATAAATAATATCAAGGTTGAACAACCACTACATATAGGAAATGTATCCTCATGTTGCTGTTTAACATTAATTAAATAACTATTACTACACATGGAATAAACATAAATCACTCATTCACAGGTAATATTTCTTAGTTTTAAGCAGGAAATATTGAACATGCTTGGCTGTCTTGTCTATTTTATGAAGGAAAAAATGTGTAGCTTTATTAGACATTTTAGGAGCTTACACTTTGAGAGAATACTTATGTACATAACTCGAATAAATCTCATGTCGCCATAGGGGGATATTAATTTAGAATGTGCAAATGACAACCACATCCATCTCTGGCAATAGCCTGCCACCTGGCCTGAAATTCCTACTGGTAGAATCTACCAAAGGACCATCATGAGAAATGTACATTTCTAATGTACTTAAATGACTTAAGAGATTTAGTTCCAGTGCATGAAAAGTAACAAATCCATAGGCATTAATCATCACCACAAATCATTATCTAGCCTAGAACAAGGCCCACAAAATATAAGACAAGACAGAAATGTGGAGAGTGGCAGGTAGAAGGAAAGTTTATAGCACAAAACGTTAAGAAACAATTGAACCAGCATAATGGCACTTTGCAAATGTGAGAAGGTAGAAAAACTTCTGAAAAGAAATGAAAGGGTATTCTTGTCAAAACCCACTGTACCTCTTCCAGACGCTTTGCCGGAATTTGATCTGATGGCAACTTAATTCCTTCTTAGCCTTGGATCAATAGAATGCAACTTCCAGTTTCCTTGTTAGGGTCATGGATGCTTTAAGAAAATCCCCCTTCATTCTGTTATCAGCTGTCTCAGAACATATCTAAAGGAATCAGTATTTTAAAAATATAAAGAATAGACTATTACAGCAAATCAAGCAGTACTGTGGTTTCAGATCGCAGTAAAAGTTTAAAACATAGACTTTGAAATCAGTGGGACCTGAGTATGGACCCTGGCCCCGCCACTTACTGGCTGTTTAGGCTTGAAAAAGTTACTTACCCTTTCTGAACTTTACTCAGTCTTCTCATCTACGTGATGGATATAAATTAGAACTGACATCATGAGGTTGTTTAATAAGATCAAATGAGATTATACATATATGTTTCAGCAAACTAAGTGCCTAACTCATAATAATCACTCAATAAAAGTTGGTGATTTTTGGAGAGAAAGAAGAAATACTGAGATTAATTAAGAGAGTAGAAATAATGATGATGACAATGATGCTGATGATGATAATGATGACAATGATCCATGAAGAAGCAGTTGTTTTGCATGAGCAACGTATTGTGTATAAGTAATATAATATGTACCTGATTGTTTTTTTTTTTCTTAATTTTCAGTGTGCACCTAATTGGCCTATTGGTTTGGCAATCTGATATTTCTGTGAGCCCAGTAGCAGCTATAGTAACTGACATTTTCAATACCTCCGATGGTGGACGCTTCAAATTCCCAGACGGGGTACAAAACTGGCCAGCACTTTCAATCGTCATCATAATAATCATGACAATAGGTGGCAACATCCTTGTGATCATGGCAGTAAGCATGGAAAAGAAACTGCACAATGCCACCAATTACTTCTTAATGTCCCTAGCCATTGCTGATATGCTAGTGGGACTACTTGTCATGCCCCTGTCTCTCCTGGCAATCCTTTATGGTAAGTACAATTTTATTCACTTTTCAATCTCGTATAATGTCATAAATTTGTGTCATAGTAAACACTCATAAAGTTAATTATTTTACTTGTAACATTTGGAAAAAGAAAAAAGCAAATCGTGTGACAGAAGGAGTTGGATGTATGTATCATATTTATTAAACAAATCAGTAACAGTCTTCCAAAAGCAAAACATACATTTTATATATATTAAAATCATACATAGATGCTCTCTTGCTTAGTGTCTTTGTAAACAATGAATGAACAGTTAGTTGCCTTACAATGTACTGAATGAGACATTAACAGAAACATCTTTCAACCCCTGTGTTCTGGGCAGTACACATACCTACTACCATCTCTGATACAAAGAAGGAAAAACCGGCTCATCCTCTTTAATAAATATATTTTAAGAAATCCTTTTTTAAAGCTGCCAAACTAAGTGGTTGACACAAAACAGGCACTCAATAATAGCTATTCTTCTTGTTCATGGAGTCTATAATTTGTGTTATTACAAAGAGACAAGAGATAGCAAAATTAATTACTAAGTATATAAGTGTAAGTTCATATCATCACTTTAAAAATTCAGGCATTGAAAGTTTCAATATATTGATTTTAAAGAGGTTTTTAATTTTTCTTTTGATTTTCTTCCATCCCTTCATTCTGTTCATTTTAACCTAAGGTTTTGTTTCTAGCTAATATTTATGATGAACAATCAAATAGTTTATACAACTCTACAAAGTATCTTTACTAGGAAGTTGGAGAGCCCAGTTTGAATTTAATTGCTAATATGCTTATCTCACAAAGGAGTAAAATAGACTTCCAGTTGCCTGGAGTGTATAATGGAATTAGACTAGAAGAAATAATATTGAAAGTGTATCTAGTTGTCGAATCCTAAAAGAAAATAAATGCATCTAGAAAATAATCTCTCATGTAATGTAAAAATTAAGTAGCCTGTTCTATACCTATGGCAACAGTAGATTATCTTAATAGGCATTTTATAAAGTGTTCTCAGAATATATGCTTTTCATATTCTTCATCGAGTTTCAATGATGCATTAGCCTTAAAGCACTAGTATTTTATCTGCTCAGTGGGCATTTTACCACTCTATTGCTCCAAAATTAAGAAAAGATTACTGGAATGAAGTGAAACTATGATTTAGAAGGTATACTGTGTTCTGTGGTGTCTGTTTCGCCAGCTTCTCCCTTTAAAAAAATGTGAGTGGCCAAATAATGATATTAGCATAAATCCAAGTCTCTTAACATATCTATTCCCCTGCCCAAATAAACAAAGAACAATATAAAAAACAAATAAAACTGCACAATACCACCATTAAGTGTGGAGAACATTCAAATTTCAAATTACCTGTAAGTAGGAAAACAAATGGGAAATAACATTGAACTATCTATTAGACTTCTACCCCATGCTGTTGCGTAGAAGAAGAGTAGTCCAGGAAAGATAGCATGAAATAAACTAGAGGAAAGCTATTAGGAAGCCTAAGATTGATCTAAAACCACCACAGGTGGCCGGGCGCGGTTACTCACGCCTGTAATCCTAGCACTTTGGGAGGCCCAGGCTGGCGGATCACTTGAGGTCAGGAGCTTGAAACCAGCCTGGCTAACAGGGTGAAACCCAGTCTCTGCTGAAAATACAAAAAAATTAGCCGGGCGTGGTGGTGGGCGCCTGTAATCCCAACTACTCGGGAGGCTGAGGCAGGAGAATTGCTTGAACCTGGGAGGCAGAGGTTGCAGCAACTCGAGATCACAACACTGCACTCTAGCTTGGGCGACAGAGCAATACTCCATAAAAAAATTTAAAAAAAAAAC
The DNA here is from genome assembly GCF_000001405.40 of Homo sapiens. Lineage (NCBI taxonomy): Eukaryota > Metazoa > Chordata > Mammalia > Primates > Hominidae > Homo > Homo sapiens. Next base: position 114,733,428 of record NC_000023.11, read on the forward strand.
CACCACAAGCAAGTAAGTCTACCCCAAGTACGAAAATACTGAAAAGTTTCTCTAGAAGGTCAGCTTTCAGATAAGGTACTGAAAAGTATGCATAAGACTCAAGAAAGCAGCCTTGGAAAATTAACTCTTTGGAGGTGGAAAAAGGTAAAAAAGGAAGCAAGAGGTGACTTGAAAAAAAAAAAGCACAGTGAAAGGAAAAAGAAGCAAGAGGGGGAAATTTATCATCTTACAGTACAGAAAATGTCAAAATATTAGGACCCATCACCCCTCCCTCTACTGTCTCCCACTGTCCCCCAAAGGCCCTCCAGTAAAGAAACCATACTTTGATACACAAAGAAAAGAGGATGCTCTTGAGCTTGGAATTTTGGAAGCTACCTACAAACTGTCAGTCATGTTCATAGAAATTCTGAGATGCAACCAATCTTCATCTATACCAAGCTACTATAGAAAAAAATCAGAATATGAGAATAGAAAGAAGGCATTTGATGAACATTCCCTCCAATAAAGAATGATCAAGCCGAAGAATATGCTAGCAAAACACTTCAAAAAAAATCTGCAAACAAGCATGTTAAGGTATTAAAAAATGTACTTTGAAGTAGTAATCTAATAACTAAGAATAGAAATGGTCAAAAAAATAGGACAGCATGAAGGAAAATTAACTGAATTCAGGACAAATAAAATAGAAGAAAAATACATCATATCAGGAATGAACATAAAAAGCACCCAACGAAGAATTGATTCATATGAAGCTTAATAAGGAGTATAGAAGAAAAACAGATTACCAAAGAGAATGAAGATGAGACGAAGAAAGAAGTAAAATATGTTAGAGTGTGGTTGAAATAGAATATCAGCAAAAATGATTAAATGTATGTATGAGAACCCTTGAAAAGGAACAAATAGGAAAACAGAATTAATATTTAAAACTATAATCCAATAATGTCTTCCAGATATGAAAGAGAGTCTGACTCTACATATTGATAGGTTCAACCCAGTGCTAGAAAATTGACCTGAAACAATGAACTCTGAGATAAATCTGAGACACTGGATTTTTCAATATAAAGAAAAAATCCTCGGGGTTTCCAAAGCAAAAAGAGGGAAAAATTTACAAGAGCAAGAGTGTTAGACTGCCTTACATGTAAAAAAAAAAAAAAAAAAAAAAAAAAAAGACAAAACAAAGCAATAGTGAAACAATACTATCAAAACACAACCATTTATAGGACATTCTTTGAAAGACAAATCTATACAGACAGAAAACAGATCAATAGTTTCAATGGCTGAAAGTGGGAAGATGACTTCAAAAAGCCATTTATTTTGTTATTATGAAACTGTTTTATATCTTGATTGTGGTGATGGTTATACAAATATATATATATAAATTTGAAGAGCTATAAATTCTAGTATACAGTTTTAAAAAGGTGAATTTTACTCTATATAATAGATGCCATAAATTTAAAAATATTTTTAAATACACAAAATGGTTTGGAAATATGATTCTATGTCTAGACAAGTTGTCCATTAAGGCTATAAAAAGTTTAAGTCTTTTAAAATTCAGGGAATTATGTACCACAAGCCCTTTTAAAAAATAAAATAGTGGAGGTCAGGTGTGGTGGCTCATGCCTTTAATCTCAGCACTTTGGGAGGCCTAGGCGGGCGGATCACTTGTGGTCAAGAGTTCGAGACCAGCCTGGCCAACCGGATTTCTTTAGTAGAGACCCAGTATCTACTAAAAATACAAAAAAATTATCTGGGTATGGTGCTGCCTGCCCGTAATCTCAGTTCCTTGGGAGACTGAGGCAGGAGAATCGCTTGAACCCAGGAGGCGGAGGTTGTAGTTAGCCAAGATTGAGCCACTGCAATCCAGCTTGGGCGACAGAGGGAGATTCCATCTCAAATAAAATAAAATAGAATAAAATAAAATTACAAAATAAAGCAAAATAAAATAGTGGATGGGATTCATCTAACAAAGGGATGACTGGGAAAGTTTCATCAAAAAGACTGATGATAAACATTTAATATATTTAACTTTAGAGCTAAAATAAAAGAAATGGTATTTTAAGAGCAGAAAAATACCATGTCATATAATATATATTATGTTTTATCTGTTCTAACAATCTGGAAACAATGCAACCAAAAATTAGGAAGAGAAAGAGGAAGGGGAAGAGGAGAGTAGAATCATTTCGTTGATTCTTCTATAAACGAATGATAAGAATTAAATTATAACCATAAAAAACTGGCAAATCAGAAAGTAATAGAATAAGAAAACATGGGTCTAGGGTCATTAAGCATGTTATAAATATAAAGTTAACCACTAGAACAAAAATACACACGTTCTTAAACACCAAAGGAAATGTAATTAGTAGAAGAGCCAAAATCAGTCAAATAGAGGAAGAAATAGAAGAAAATAAGGCTGGGCGTGGTGGCTCACGCCTGTAATCAGCACTTTGGGAGGCCGAGGTGGGCAGATCACGAGGTCAGGAGATCCAGACCATCCTGGTTAACATGGTGAAACACCGTCTCTACTAAAAATACAAAAAAAATAGCCAGGTGTGGTGGTGGGCACCTGTGGTCCCAGCTACTCGGGAGGTTGAGGCAGGAGAACGGTGTGAACCTGGGAGGCGGAGCTTGCAGTGAGCCGAGATCGCGCCACTGCACTCCAGCCTGGGCGGCAGAGCGAGACTCTATTTCAAAAAAAAAAAAGAGAAAAGAAAACATAATGCACTTAACATTATATGATGATATAATATGACAGAGTTAAAATCAAACATATCAGTAAGTAATAATCATAAACTCGAATGAAGAAGCTATCACTCTATTAAACATAAAAGATTTTTAATTAGGCATATGAAGAAAGACCCAAGTATATTCCATATACAAAAGTAACCCTTACAACCCAGGGATTAGTAAGCGCTAAAAATAAAGGGGTAGGTGAAAGTATACCAAGCAAATGGTAACAATAAAGCAGAAATTGCGATCTTGATATCTGACAAAAGAAATTTGAAGTAAAAAAATGGTAAGACTAAAAAAGAAAGATGCTTATTAATGATAAAAGAAAGCCACAATTAAAGACAAAGAAATGGCAGTTAAGAATATCTCTGCATCCAATAACACAGAAATGACTTTTATAAAGGAAAATCTAAAAACGGTGGAAGAATACATTTATGGGTGCATTCTAATATGGGAGATTTTAATATACTGTACTCAGTACAAGAAAGACTGGACCAAAAACAAAGAATATATATCTTATGAATGTATATTGAACTTTACACTCTTATCGTAGAAAGTATAGCTTCTTAAGTGCACATGAAGTACGCAAAATTTAATCATATATTAGGTCACAAGAAAAGGTTAAAGTAGAAATTTTATAAAAAGTTCTTTTTGATAACAATGTAATAATACTAGAAAGTACTAACAACAAAAGCTTTAATATCATCTTGGAACCATAAATTTTAAACAGCTCTTGGGTGAAAAGAAGAATGCAAACAGAAATTACCAAATTTATTTTAAAATATGATAGCATAAACACTGCTTTATCAAAATCTATAGGATACACATAAAGGAGTGAACAGAGGAACATTCACAACTCCAATTACATTTATTAGTAAAAAACCAAAGTATATGAATAAATTTCCATTAAATAATCTTGAAAAAGGACCAAAAAAGAGAACAAAAGAAAGCACAAAGCAGAAAAAAAAAATAATAAAGATAAGAGCAGTAATTGACTGGGTAGAGAACAGTAGAGAATAAAAGGACAGTATACCTAATCAAGAAATTAAACTCCTGGCTTTTTTTTTCTTTTCTTTTCTTTTTTTTTTTTTTTGAGATGGGGTCTCGCTCTGTCACCTAGGCTGGAGTGCAGTGGTACGATCTCGGCTCACTGCAACTTTCGCCTCCTGGGTTCGAGTGATTCTCCCACCTCAGCCTCCTGCGTAGCTGGGATTACACACGTGCACCGCCACACTCGGCTAATTTTTTATGTTTTTGGTAGAGACGGGGTTTCACAATGTTGGCCAGGCCACTCCTGACCTCAAGTGATCCGCCCGCCTCAGTCTCCCAAAGTGCTATGATTACAGGCGTGAGCCAGCGCGCCAGGGCACTCCTGACTTTTTAAAAGATTTTTCACAAAATAGAAAATTGCTAGCTAGTTTTAACAAGGAAAAAGGAATAGAGCATAAATATATCAAATATAATATGAGAGGGCATATAATCATAGAAAAAAATAAATTTTGTAAATCACAAGATTACCTTGTAGATTTACATGCAAATCAATGGAAAACATAAAAAATAGATAATTTATCAGAGGAATCCAGGTTAACAAAATTGACCCCATGAGATGTAAAAGGAAACAGACCAATTTCAGTAGAAGAAATAGTTATCAAGGAAACTTGCACAAAAATCCCTCCGGACTCAAATAGTTTCACTGGGCTCTTCTAGTTATAATGCTTCAAAAATTGTTTCAGAGCATTGAAAACAAAGTGAAACTTCCTAAGGTTTATATGAAGTGAGAATAACTTTGATACATAAACCAGGTAAAGACAGTATGAAGAAAGGATGCTATAGACCAATGTCACTTATGACTATTAATGCAAAAATACTTTATAAAATCTTAGCACACAGAATCCAATGTCATGTGAATTGAAAAAACTCAAAGTTGTAGAAGCAGAGAGTAGAACAGTGTCTTCCAGAGGCTGGGGTGATATGGGGTGGGGAAGGGAGATAGGAATTGTTGTCAAAGAGTACAGTTTCAGTTAGACATGGTGAATAAATTCTGGAGACCTATTATTGTACAGTATAATGACAATGCTTAATAATATTGTATTGCATGCTTGAAATTGTTAACAGTAGGTCCTAAATGTTCCAGTCTCAAAAAAATGTATGTTAGGTGGTGGATATGTTAATTAGCTTGATCTAATCATTTCACAACGCATAGATATGTCAAAATATCACAATATACACCATAAATGTATACTAATTTTAATTGTCAATTATAACTTAAGAAAACTGAAATAAAAAAGAATCCAACTCCACATTAAAAAAGAATACACCACGACCAACTGGGTGGTCACACTATTATTACTATTCTAGTAACATTGTGTTACTAGTAACACAGGAACAGAAAACCAAACACCACATGTTCTCACTCATAAGTGGGAGTTGAACAATGAGAACACATGGACACAGGGAGGGGAACATCACACACCGGGGCCTGTTGGGGCATAGAGGGGGCAATGGGAGGGAGAGCATTAAGACAAAACCTAATGCATGCAGGGCTTAAAACCTGGATGATGGGTTGATGGGTGCAGGAAACCACCACAGGACATGTATACCTATGTAACAAACCTGCACATTCTTCGCATGTATCCCAGAACTTAAAGTAGAAAATATATGTATATATACACACACCATGACCAACTGGGTGGTCACACTATTATTCTAGTAACACTATGTTGGCTCAATATAGGGAAATATTTTCCTAAAATATATTAACATATGACATTAACATTATTACTAATAAGCACATATTAAAAATTAAAGCTAAAATATAATGAATATTGATAATTATATTAATACATTATTATATTTATAACATTAACATAAAAATATTAATTTAAAAGTATATGATTTATCTCTAAAGATACTGAGTGAATAAACATTTGCCAAAATTTATAGCTTTTTTGATAAAAATCCCTCAAGAATATAGAAATTGATATTACTTTTTTACTGTGATAAAATATAAATAACTTTGTCAGACAGCTGGCATCTTAGTTCATAGGAAAACAATAAAAGCACTTGTCCTAAGATCAGGAAAAATATGAGCATGCCTTATGTTTCCATTTCCACTTAACATTTTGCTGTAGATATTAGTCAATGCAGTTAGATAAGATAAATTAATTAGAGTTATAAAAACTGAACAAGTATAACCATCTCTTTTTCCAGTGTATCTCACACTTCATAAGAAAATCAGGATAAAACTATTAAAAAATAAGATATTCAGTGAGATAGCAGGATGTAACATTAGCATGGAAAGGTCTATAGAATTAATATACCCAAATAACCAGTTGGAGAAACCTCCATTTAAAATAGCAAGGAAAAGAGAATACATTAAGGAGAAAATATGCAAAATCTATTGTTAGGAAAAATTAAAAACACCCCTAAAAGACAAATGATTGATATCATTGGCATAACAACAATAATAATAATAACAATAATACATGCCAAACACCAAAAGCAAACTTCAAAAACAAACTCATAGAAAATAGTTGCAAAATATATTGCAAAGGGCTAATATCTCTAATACATAAACAATTCTTTATAACTGAAGTAGAAATCCAGCACTCAATAGAAGAAATGAACTAAAGATGTGAGTAGGCAATTTGGATTTTTTAAATATATTTTATAGGCCAGGTGCGGCAGCTCACACCTATAATCCCAGCACTTTGGGAGGCTGAGGCAGGTGGATCACTTGAGCCCAGGAGTTTGAGAACAGTCTGGGCAACATAGTGAAACCCCAGTCTCTCCAACAACAACAACAAAATTAGCCAAGGGTGGTGGCGGGCACCTGTAGTCTCAGCTACTTGGGAGGCTGAGATGGGAGGATGGCTTGAGCCCTGGAGGCTGAGGCTACAGTAAGCCATTTTCATGCCACTACACTCCAGCCTGGGTGACAGCCAAACCCTCTCTCTCTCTCTCAAAAATATATATTTTAAATATATATATAAACATGTGTGAATATTTGAATTATATATATACACATTTATATATATATATATGGTCCTTAAATACATGAAAATATGTTTAATCTCAATCATTAGAAGGAAAATGCAAAATAAATGACACCATGATACCATTTTTTAACCTATCAGATTGGCAAAATATGACAAGCTTGAATTGCACTGTGGCAAGGCTATGGGGACATCAGCACTCTCGTATATTGCTGGTGGGAATGTCAATTGCTACAAACCATTTTGGAGGAAAATCTGACAACACTGAAAAAAACTACATAAGTAATTATGTTTTAACTCAGAAAACTAACATCTAAAGTGTTCACTGGATGATAAACGTGTGTTAATAGCAACATATATATGTGTGAGATTATTCATATAAGCATTATTTGTAATTGCAAAATATTCTAAACAATCTAAGTTCTATATAGAGAGAGATTAATTAAATATATTACAGACTATCCACAAAATGGGATTTATTTTTTAAAATAAGGAATTTCTTTATTACCTGATACAGATTATAAACAGAATCCAAATAACTTAATTCTATTTGAAACTAATAACATAACCACACTGAAGTACAAAAAAATCTGACCCAAATAACTTTAATACACAATATTTGTACAATATACATTCTGTCTAAATATAAATAAACTCTAAATAGTAGGTTTGCTTTTTATTGGTGTTATGCAATAGTGATTGTATAACACCACCAATATTGTTAGTGTACTCTGAGATTGTATAAGTGTGTAGGTATACCAAAGACAATAGAAGCCAGATTTCTCACTGTTGCATAAGGTAGTTAAAAATTCGAAAGGGGGAAGGAAATAATGAACTCTACATCATTGGACTAATATTCATGATATCCGTGTAAATTCATAGTGGTAGTAGGTGATAGTTAGCTAGCTAGCTAGCTAGAGAGATAACATAATATTTATATGTATACTTTGAATTATGTCCTAGTCTGTCCACTAAGAGGGCCTAGCAGCAGTGTCACATGCGTAGCAATGAGCGAAAACAGAAACAGAAACTCCTTGGGGAAATAGTCAATTTCAGGAATGGGACAGAAAAATTACAGCATGAGATTGGGAGGGCCGGGCACGGTGGCTCATGCCTGTAATCCCAGCACTTTGGGAGGCTGAAGCAGGCAGATCACGAGGTCAGGAGATAGAGACCAGCCAGGCCAATATGGTGAAACCCCATCTCTATTAAAAATATAAAAATTAGCCAGGCGTGGTGACACACGCCTGTAGTCCCAGCTACTCAGGAGACTGAGGCAGAATTGCTTGAACCCGAGAGGCGGAGGTTGCAGTGAGCCAAGAGCTGAGATTGCACCACTGCACTCCAGCTTGGGCGACAGAGCAAGACGACTCCGTCTAAAAAAAAAAAAAAAAAAAAAAAAATATGAGATTGGAACACCTTTTCAGCTGAAAAGTAAGGAAGTGAACATAGAATAATGGAAACATTAAAAAAAAAAAAAACCCACAGGAGCCAGCTTAACAGAGCCCCCACTGACCAAATGTGGGAACATTCAAACATTAAGTTTAAATAAGAGTTCTGATGACAACAAAAATAGAGTAAGCCCACTAAAAACTATCTCTTCTTTTGTATTCAATCAATAACTCTGTAAAAAAATTCAAAAGCAACTACCTGAGGACTCAGAAAAATAAACAAAAACAGATTGAAAGGGAAATCAAAACTTAGAGAAGTAACCTATATGGGAATGAGGTTCCCTTTTTTTTTCCTCTCTTTTCTCTAGTAGCTTTGCCCCAGGCAGGACTCAGTCACTTAGCTGCATGGTGGTAGCCCAGGAGTGGTTTAATCCTTATGGAAACCCAATCTTTCCAGCCAGAGTAACTGACAAAAGGAGTCTCTATGGTCTCCCTAATGTAGGGGAAATACAGTTTTCCCTCCCTTTTTTGTCTCCTGGCTTTGTCTGGAGAAGACTCTAGTCAGAGAGCTTTGATAGTATGAGCACTAAAATTTTGAAGAAACCTTTTCTTTCTGGCCAGCAGACCAGAAAAAGAGGACTTTGTGGACCAGAAAGCATGAAAGGGAACCCCATAGAGTAGACAGCTGGTAAAAGGTTTTCTTAATTCTGCGTTTAAACCTGAAAAAGTGCCAGTCTTAATGCTGAGCTTTAAGTAAACAGGACAGACTTCAAGAAGCATAGAAAAGCTTTAGAAAATTTAATGTATTTAAACATCCATCCAAGTCAGAGACCATGCCCTGAATGACATGTGTGTGGGACAGACTCAAAGCAGCGTAGCCAAGGTTATGAAAACAAAATACATTGAATCCACTCACCACAGAGGCAAGACTGAACTCTAAGTCTGAATTTAACTGGGTTTTCAATGCCTACTAAATCAAACAAGTAAACAAAATCAGCATTCTCAAGCAGATTTTAACAAGATCTAAAATCTACAAAATATAAAACTCAGAATATCCAGGATACAATTTAAAATTGCTTGACATAAAATATATCCAGAAAAAAGACTAACAGATACCAACCTCAAATTACCAAGATGTTGCAACTGTCAGCCAAAGCTTCTAAAGCAGCTACTGTTTTTTTTTTTTTTAATTTTTTTTTTTTTTATTATACTCTAAGTTTTAGGGTACATGTGCACATTGTGCAGGTTAGTTACATTTGTATACATGTGCCATGCTGGTGCGCTGCACCCACTAACGTGTCATCTAGCATTAGGTATATCTCCCAATGCTATCCCTCCCCCCTCCCCCGACCCCACCACAGTCCCCAGAGTGTGATATTCCCCTTCCTGTGTCCATGTGATCTCATTGTTCAATTCCCACCTATGAGTGAGAATATGCGGTGTTTGGTTTTTTGTTCTTGCGATAGTTTACTGAGAATGATGGTTTCCAATTTCATCCATGTCCCTACAAAGGACATGAACTCATCATTTTTTATGGCTGCATAGTATTCCATGGTGTATATGTGCCACATTTTCTTAATCCAGTCTATCATTGTTGGACATTTGGGTTGGTTCCAAGTCTTTGCTATTGTGAATAGTGCCGCAATAAACATACGTGTGCATGTGTCTTTATAGCAGCATGATTTATAGTCCTTTGGGTATATACCCAGTAATGGGATGGCTGGGTCAAATGGTATTTCTAGTTCTAGATCCCTGAGGAATCGCCACACTGACTTCCTGTTGGTGGGACTGTAAACTAGTTCAACCATTGTAAAGCAGCTACTGTTACAATACTCTATGTAGTAATGAATAGAAATTAATGGAAATATGGATGCTCTCAAAGGAAAAATAAATTATTAAAAATTGAAAATTTTAGGACAGAAAAATACAATATCTAAATTTAAAAAATATATAGCATAGGCTTAATAACAAAGTAGAGATGACAGAGGAAAGAGTCAATTTGAAGATGAATCGATAGAAATTATTCAAACCAAAGAATAGAAACACTGAGGAAAAATGAACAATGCCTCAAGAACCTGTGGGATTCAGCCAAATTACAGAAAATTTGTGCCATTAGAGTCCCAAAGGGAGAGGAGAAAAAGACGGGTTGGTGCAGAAAGAAAATTTGAACAAAAATGGGCAATGATTGCCCCAATTTGGTGAAAGAAAAATTTAGAGATTCAAGAAATTCAGCAAACCTCGAACAGGATAAACTCAAGGAAAACCATGCCCAGACACATTATAATCAAATTGCCAACACTGGCAATAAAAAGTAATGAACTATTGATACACATAATGACATGGAAGAATCCTAAAATAATTAAGTTGAGTTAAAGAAGCCACACAGAAAGAGTACATACTACGTGTCCATTTATATAGAATTTTAGAAACTGCAAACTAATCTACAGTGGCAGAAAGAACAGCAGTGATTGCTGGGGACAATCATGAGTGGGGTGGTGCAGATGAAAAGGGTTATTAAATGGGAAGAAGAGAAGTTGAGGTGCAGTGGATATGTTGATTATCTAGATAGTAGTGATAATTTCACAAATATACATATATATGTCAAAACATCACATTGTACATTTTAAATATATATAGTTTATGTTTGTCAATTGTATCCAGTAAAGCTGTTGTTAAAAATTGTAAGATGTAGCTAAAGTAGTGCTTAGAGGAAGATTTATGGCATTAATTACTTATTTTAGAAAGTAAGGACGGTCTCAAATCAGTAATCTAAACCTCTACTCTTAGAAACTAGAAATGAAGAGCAAATTAAACCCAGTGCAAGCAGAAGAAAGAAAATAAGAAAGTTCAGAGCACAAATTATTAAGATTAAAAATAGGAGAACTGTAGAGGAAAACCAGTGTGTTCCAAAGCTCATTCTTTTTTTTTTTTTTTTGACGGAGTCACGCTTTGTCGCCCAGGCTGGAGTGCAATGGCTTGATCTCGGCTCACTGCAAGCTCTGCCTCCCAGGTTCACGCCATTCTTCTGCCTCAGCCTCCCGAGTAGCCGGGACTACAGGCGCCGGCCCTAATGCCCGGCTAATTTTTTGTATTTTTAGTAGAGACGGAGTTTCACCGTGTTAGCCAGGATGGTCTCGATCTCCTGACCTCGTGATCCGCCCGCCTCAGCCTCCGAAAGTGCTGGGATTACAGGCTTGAGCCACCGCACTCAGCCCCCCAAAGCTCATTCTTTTACAAAAGTAATGAAATTGACAAACTGCCAGGAAGACAATCAATTTAAAAAGAGAGAAAACTCAAATTACCAGTATCAGTTATTAAAGAAGTAGAATCACTGCAAAACCTGTAGACATTAAAAAATTATTTCTATCAATTCAACAACTTATATGAAATGAACCAATTCTCTTAAACATATAAACTCCCAAAGATTGCATATGAAAAAATGGTTAAACTGTTTAAATAGCTTAACTCTCGTTAAAAGCCTTCAGTGAAGAGAAGACCCACAGAAGGGGAGAAAAATGTTTGCAAACTACCTATCTGACAAGGCATTAATAGCCAGAATATATAAGGAGCTCAAACAACTCCATAGAAAAAAGTCTAATAATCCAATAAAAAATGGGCTAAATATTTGAATAGACATTAAACAGGCATATGAGAAGGTGCTCAACATCACTGATCATCAGAGACAAGCAAATCAAAACTACAAATTAAACTACAATCTCGCCCCAGTTAAAATGACTTGTGTCCAAAAGACAGGCAATAACAAATGCTGGTGAGGATGTGGAGAAAAGGGAACCCCTGTATACCGTTGGTGGGAATGTAAATTAGTACAACTCCATTAGTATGGGGAACAGTTTGGAGGTTCCTCGATAAACTAAAAATTGAGCTGCTATATGATCTAGCAATCCCACTGCTGGGAATATACACAAAAGAAAGGAAATCAGCATGTAAAGAGTTATCTGTACTCCCATGTTTGCTGCAGCACTGTTCACAATAGCCAAGGTTTGGAAGCAACCTAAATGTCCACCAACAGATGAATGGATAAAGAAAAGGTAGTACTTGTACACAATGGAGTACTATTTAGCCATAAAAAAGGAGAAGATTCAGTAATTTTCAACAACATGAATGGAACTGGGGGTCATTATGTTAAGTGAAATAATCCAGACACAGGAAGACAAACGTCAGATGTTCTCACTTATTTGTGAAATCTAAAAATCAAAACAATTGAACCCATTGAGATAGAGAGTAGAAGGACGGTTACCAGAAGCTGGGAAGGGTAGTGGGGGGGGATGGGTGGTAGTGGGAAAGGTTAATGAGAACAAAAAATGGCTAGAAAGAATGGATAAGACTTAGTGTTTGATAGCACAACAGTGTGACTATAGTCAATAAAAACTTAATTGTACATTTTAAAATAACTTAAAGAGTATAATTGGATTGTTTGTAAGTCAATGCATAAATGCTTGAGGGGACAGATATCCCATTCTTCATGATGTGATTATTATGCATTGTATACCTATATCTAAACATCTCAGGTACCCTGTAAATATATACACACTATGTACCTACAGCAATTAAAAATTAAAAATTAGAAAAAATTTAAAAGCTTCTAAAAATCTCCATGCCTGGATAGCTTCACTGGCAAATTCTACTGTACATTTCGGGAAGAAAAAAATAAGAATTCTATACAACCTCTCCCAGAAAATAGAAGCAAAAGAATACATTTATATCATGTTATGAGACCAGGATTACCCTGATAATAAAACCGGAGACCTTATAATCAAGAAAATTAGGGATCAATTGCTTCATTAATATAGATGCAAAAATAATCAAGATATATTAACAAATTTAGTTCAGCAATATATAAAAGGGATAATACATTCTGATATAGCGGGCCCAACATTAAAAAATCAATTAATGTTGATTAATTGATCATCTCAATAGACTAAAGAATATAATAACCATATGATCATCTCAATTTTGGATTAGTTGATACAGAAAAGACATTTGGCAAAAATGAACTCCAAGATAAAAACGATCAATTAGGCTCAGTGGCTCAGGCCTGTAATCCCAGCAATCTGGGAGGCTGAGGTGGGAGGATCACTTGAGCACAGGAGTTTGAGACCAGCCTGGGCAACCAGGGGAAACCTCAACTCTAAAAAAAAAAAGAGAGGCCGGGCACGGTGGCTCCCACCTGTAATCCCAGCACGTTGGGAGGCTGAGGCAGGTGGATCACGAGGTGAGGAGATTGAGACCATCCAGGCTAACACGGTGAAACTCCGTCTCTACTAAAAATACAAAAAATTAGCCGGGCATGGTGGCGGGCGCCTGTAGTCCCAGCTACTTGGGAGGCTGAGGCAGGAGAATGGTGTGAACCCGGGAGGGGGAGCTTGCAGTGAGCCGAGATCGAGCCACTGCACTCCAGCCTGGGCGACAGAGCGAGACTCCGTCTCAAAAAAAAAGAAAGAGAGAGAGAGAAAGAAAAAAAGAAAATTAGCCAGGCATGGTGGTGAGTGCCTGTAACCCCATCTGATCCAGAGGCTGAGATGGAAGGATCACCTGAACCCAAGGAGGTTGAGGCTGTAGTGAGCCATGATTGTGCCACTGCACTTCAGCCTGGATGACAGAACGAGACCCTGTCTCAAAAAGAAAAAATAAAGATTAAAATTCACCCAGAAAACTCAGAATGGAAGGGAAGTTCCTCAACTTGATAAAGGGGATCTACAATTATCCTTAAGCAGACGTTGTACTTTATGGTGAAAGATTGAATGACTTCACCTGAAGTTCAAGAATAAGATCAGGATATCCACTTTCACCACTCTTATTCAACATCATACTGCAGGTCCTAGCCAGTGTAGTAACATAAGAAAAATTAATGAAATGCACACTGGAAAGAAAAGAACAGAACTGTTTTGGTTTGAAGATGACATAATTGTCTACACAGAAAATCCCAAGGGATCTACAAAGACGCTCCTAGAAATAATACAGTAGCCTGCTTCTGAAATGGCCCCCAATAGTCCCTGCCACAATGATCCCCTCCCTTTTGGTGTGAGAATAGAGCAGAAGTGATTGGATGCTACTTCTGAGATTACGTTATAAAAGACTGTGACTTCCATCTTGCTTGCACTTTCTCTCTTGCTGGCATTCTCTCTTGCTCATTCACTTTCTTGTTCTGATGAAGCAAGCTGCCATGTTGTAAACTGTCCTATAGAGAGGCCCACATGGCAAGGAATTGAGAGAAGCCTCCCACATCCAATGTGGGTCCCAGGCCTTCAATCCAAAAGCCAGCAAATTATATGAGCTGCATGAGTGAACATAGAAGTGGATTTTTCTCCAGATGAGCCTTAAGGTGGCTGCAACCTGGCTGACACCTTGATTGCAGCCTATGAAACATGCTGAAGAAGAGGATATGCTGTGACCCAATGCCTGATTCACAGAAACTGTGAAATAATGAATGTTTTTATAAGCTACTAATTTGGGGGATAATTTGCTATGCATTCACAGATAACTAAAATAATTATTAAGTGAGTTTAGCAAGCTCTTAGGATGCAAAGCCCATATGCACAAATAAATTGTGTTTCTATATAGTAGTGGTGGAAATTGGAAGTCAAAGTTTCAAAGAGTACCATTTATAATATCATAAAAAATCATAAAATTATAAATGTAAATCTACCAAATTATGTGCAGGAGCTGTATGCTGCAAACTTCAAAATACTGATGAAATAAATTAAAGACCCAAATAAATGGAGAGATATATCCTGATTATGGATTAGAAGAAGAATCAATATTATTAAGATGTCAGTTTGCCCCCAAATGATCTGTAGATTCAACACAATTGCAACCAAAACTCTCAGCAGGTTTTTTTAATCAAAAAGCTGATCCTAAAATTTATGCAGAAAGGCAAAAGAACTACAATAGCTGAAACAGTTTTGAAAAACAGCACAATTGGAGAACTCATAATACTGGAATTTAGGACTTACTGTCAAGCTACAGTAATCAAGAAGAATGGTATTGTTGGAAAGAAAAGTGCATATATGAATGGACATAAATAGAGGATCCAGAAATCAACAAATATAATCAATTAATATTTTTACTAAAAGGCATTTCAATGGAGAAAGAATAGTCTTTTCAACAAATGTTGGAAATCCACATTCAGAAAAAAAACCTGAATTCATATTTTACACCTTCTACAAAAATAAACTCAAAATGGAATATAGAGCTAAATTTAAAATGCAAAACTACTAAACTTCTGGAAGAAAACAGAAGAAAATCTTTAATGATATTGGGTTAGGCCAAGAGCTCTTACCTATGATGTCAAAAACCACAAGCCATAAAAAGAATGGGTAAATTGGACTTCATCAAAATTAAAAGCTTTTGCTCTTTGAACAACAGGATTGAGCCAATGAAGAAAAGCCACAGATTGATAAAGAATATTCAGCAGTAACATATTCAGTAAACGATTTGTATCCTGAATAGATAAAGAACTCTCAAAACTCAAAATAAGAAAAATGGCTAATTAAAAATAAGAAGTTATTTGAACAGACACTTCACCAAGGAAGATATGTAGCTATCAAATAAATAGACAATAAAATGTCAAAAAAAAACCACACAAAACAACAACAACAACAAACCACTTGCTGAGTGTGGTGCCTCACACCTGCAATCCCAGCACCTTGGAATGCGGAGGCAGGAGGATCGCTTGAGCCCAGGAGTTTGAGACCAGCCTGGGCAGCATGGCAAAACCCTGTCTCTATAAAAAATACAAAATTAGCTGGGCATGGTGGTGTGTGCCTGTAGTCCCAGCTACTTGGAGGCTGAGGTGGGAGGATGGCTTGAGTCCAGAGCCCAGGAAGTTGAGGATGCAGTGAGCCGAGGTCACACCACTGCACTCCAGCCTGGTTGACAGAGCAAGTCCATGTCTCAAAAAAAAAAAAAAAAAAAAAAAGAAAAAAAAAAACAGTACTTAGGAGTCTTACAGTAGAGAGGCTCAAAAGCAGACAGTTACCCTGAAATATGGCAAATAGGATGAAAGAGAATTGTAGGATCAAAAAAGGTGGTCAATTTAGTGTCAGAAAGCTTCCCAGAGGAAGTGACATCTAAGTGGGGATCTAAAAGATATGCAGGAATTAATCTCATTACAACCTGAGTGACAGAGTAAGACACTGTTAAAAAACAAAAACAACAAAAAAACAAAAACAAAAAAAGCATTTGTAGTAATTAACCAAAAGGATAGTAATCATATATCTTTAAGGAAAAAAATAAAAAATCATTGCTAGTCTAAATCTATTTTCATTATAAACCGAAAGCAACCTCAAATTGCCCCTTACCATTACATGATATTTCAATATATATGTTTTCATTCGTAGAGCTATTTGCAGATTAAAGCTAGGTTATAAATATGAGCTCATTCAATTCCTATACAGATAACAGACTTTAAGGCTGAAGTTAGGTGATCATGAAGACTTGAACTTTTAAACATTCTTATTGGTTTAGGAGCTCAGATCACACCCATTTTCCTTGTGGCCGATTGGCATGTTTTTGTCTGAGTTGACGCATCTGTGTGTAAGTGCAACTACCTCAAGAAATGGCTAACTTAAACGGTACCTTCAGAGGCACTGAAACGTGAATTATCATTCTACCCCATCATTGCATTTCAACTAACAATGAACTCTTGAAAAAAAAGATGATAAAGAGTTTTGCTTCTGCTAAATTCTACTTGAAAACACTGAACCTCTAACTGTCATTGTTCAAATAATTTTTTTCCGGCTTTCTTTTCCCATCCTGTTATCCTGTCATTGTATGTGTATTTGAGGTATCACATTTAATCTGTTCTGTCTTCTATTACTTTGAAGAAATTAGATATATATCTCTAATCTTTGTAAATAAATCAGTTACATAAAGATATATTATTCAGCTGTCAACACTGTCTAGAGGCAAGTCTTTAAGAAAGTTGTGTATAATTATTCGTATGTAGCTTTGCAGGAAATGACAATAATCATAGCTAACAGTTGTTATTCCTTACGTGCCAGGCACTGTTTTAAGCACTTTACATGTATTTCATCATTTAATTCTCGCAAACCATATGAGTTAGATTCTGTTGTCATCTGTAGTTTACATACAATAGAATAGAGGAAGAGGTCTATTTGGTAATTCACAGAAGGACACATAATTCGTATATTGTAGAGTAGGAATTTTAAACTGAGGCTCTGTGGCTTTTGAACCAATGTTTTTAAACACTGCAATAGATAACAAAGAAGATATTTCCCTCTTTGTCAAAGAAACTAAACCTAAGTAAATACCTACAAAGAAAGGTAGCAGACACAATAAAAACACCAACGTGTCCAGTTTTAATCAGATAGTAAGTTCATACACATAAAAGGGGGAGGTAGTGAGACTGAAGATGTATGAAATTATTGGACTAGAGTTGGGTAAAGATAGTTCAGGAAGACTTCACAGAGATGGTGAGACTGGTTAAATTTTGAAGAGCAAGGTTTCATTAGAATTTGAGTGCATTAACATGTCAAGAGCTTAGCAGTTGTTATCATTGTATTTTATTTTATTTTTATTTTTGTGGAGATGGGGTTTTGCTATGTTGCCCAGGCTGGTCTCAGACTCCTGGCTCAAGGTTATTTTAAATTCTCACAAAAACATAACATTATAGACATGAAAAGTGAAGATCATTCATTTGGCAATTATTTATTGAGCACCTACAGTATACCAAGCACACATCTAGGTTCTGTGTCTGGTGCACAAAACAAATTTTTGCCTTCATGCAGCTTACTTATTTCTCATTTAGGCAATAACTTGCCCAGGGTCACATGATTAGACTACTAGACAGCAAAGTCAGAATTGGAACCTAGATCTAGCTGATTATAACACATATTTTTATTTGTCATTATAGCATTTCAACACTCATAGTTTACATTTAAAAGGCAGGAGAAGATTTTGGGGGAGAATGAGGGACATGTAAACTTGATTAGAGGAAAATTAAAACTCAAATTGTTCCCTAGAATACCAAGAAGGTAAGTATGCTGTTTAAAGAAATGCTTCAAAATTGGCAGAAATGAAGGTAATTTTGTGAATTGGATCAGTGCCTCAACTGTTCATTTGGTGTCATTTGAGTACTTACTTCATAATATGCTTCAAAATGATTATTTAAAAATAATTAGGCCTTTGGGTGTCATTAAGGTACTTAGTTCACAGTATGCTTCAAAATGATTACTCTTGCTTCCATAAATATATAACTTTTTTGCAGTCATGTATTTCCACAATGACCTCTGATCTCTAGTTTGAAAATATTTTCTTGCTGTAATTTTCTTCACCCTTCAAATTCCTACTCACTCCAAATTTCTGGAAAGATCTGCTATGGTAAGATTCTTACCTGGGCTCTACTTTTCATTAAAATAGAAAACAAAAACAAAAAGGAAATAACAACTATAAAACGGAACTAATTTCAAAAAGACTAAGACCGTTAAACTTAAGAGATGCAAACTGATACCTGGGAGCAGACATATCAGATATATAACAGCATCTTCAAATTGCTAATGCAAGTGAGCATACACCATTAAATTTATTAAAGTTCAGACACTTTTTAATATAATGATACAGAAACTCTCAGACTTTAGATATTTAGACAATGAATAAGTTAGAATGAAATAAAGCACTTAAATCAGTAATTTTTGGATTTAATACCTTAGACAGCACATGTTTATTTTAGTACAACAAAGGCATGCACAAATCAGAAAAATATTCAAATATATTTGAAAATGTATTATGTAATTTGTGAAAATCTCAGTATCTCTTATGCAATAAGCTGCATTTTTACTTACAGCATTATTATTTTTTCTTGCTATTCTTAGAATATCTTCAGATCCCCTTCCAAGCCACCTAGTAAATGTTCTCCAGGTACCTTTTGATTCTCTCAAAAGAAAAGCGCATGCCTTCTGGTCCACTGTACCAGAATTTTAAGGCTCATGATCAATAACTAATTGATTAGTGCAATTCACCGAAGACTATCATAAACAAAGAGTAGCTGACATAGCTCTGTACATAAACACAGAGTAGCTGACAAAGCTCCATTTTTGCATACAGATTGGCAAAATTCCCAAGGGGCATTATAATGTTGCATTTAGTTAGCTACCACTGAAGTCACAATATCACCCTATTTCTCTCCCAACAGAACGCAACCACAGATGTTCCCATCCTCTGTTACCAGCCTAGCACCCCTTCTTTTTGTCACTCCCAGTTGAATTGCTAGTCGGCTTCATCCACAGTCAATTTTCGGAACCCAAGAAATTGTTTCAAAATATTTCTAAGTTCCATAGTAGCAATTAGATCTTCTAGGCTCATCTAAAAAAAAAACTTGTATTATTATGTAATATTTGATAACTATTAAAAATACATGATTCAGGACAAGATGGAGTAGACTCACTTTTCCCTGCT
The DNA here is from genome assembly GCF_000001405.40 of Homo sapiens. Taxonomy (NCBI): domain Eukaryota; kingdom Metazoa; phylum Chordata; class Mammalia; order Primates; family Hominidae; genus Homo; species Homo sapiens. The sequence continues at coordinate 114,752,974 of NC_000023.11, forward strand.
GATCTCCTCTAAATACAACCAAATACCCTTATAAATAATTTGATAGACATTTATAAAAAACACTCTGAAAATGCAAAGAAGATGAACTGGCTGGGGAACTCAATACTTGAAGAATGACACTCTAGTGACTTCCCTGTGGTTTTTTTTTATCTCCAGTACCCTCTCTGGGTACTGGAGAGGCCTGTAACTCAGGATCACCAACAGTTGTAGACAAAAACCAAAGAAACCAAAGCAGGAACTTAGAAAAAGACTCATATCCAGTGACAGGGTGGGCCCATCTCCCAATAGCAGTGGAAACAGTCCTGGGCACAAGACAATGCATTCCCCCTAAGATTAAGAATAAGGCAAGGATATCAATGTTCACCACTGTTATACAACATAGGACTGAAAGTTGTTTTAAGTCACCAAGTTTGTGGTAATTTCTTACAGCAGTCATAGGAAACTAATACATTTGTCTTCCTTTGTTGAGTAGCCATTGCAATAAGGCAAAAAGAGGCATATATATTAGAAAGAAAGAAGTAAAACAGTTCCCATATGCACATGATGTAATTGTTTTTGTAGAACATCTCAAAGAACCTACAAAGAAACTCCTAGAATTAATGAGTTCAACAAAGTCACAAGGGTATAAAATCAATGCACAGAAGTCAATGACATTTTTATATTAACAATGATCATATGGAAACTCAAAATAAAATTCAATATTATTTACTATCACTTAAAATACTCAGGTCTAAACATAATAAAATATGTGCGGAATTTATAGTTAACATTACAAAATGTTGATGCATGAAATCAAAGACCTAAATAAATCAAGAGGCATACCCTGTTCATGGATTGGAAGAGTCAACATAGTAAAGATATCAGTTCTTCCTCTATTAGTTTGTTAGAGCTGCCATAACAAACTACCACTTACTGGGTGGCTTAAACAACAGAGTTATTTTATCACAGTTTTGGAGGCTAGAAGTCAGAGGTCAAAATGTCGGTAGGATTGCTTTCTTCTAAGGTCTTTCTCCTTGGCTTTGTAGATGGCCATGTTCTTCTTGTGACTTACACATGGTCTTCCCTCAGTACTGTGTCCACTTTTCTTCTTCTTAAAGGATACTAGTCATATTGGATTAGGGCCCACCCTAATAACCTCATTTTAACTTAATTACCTCTCTAAAGGCACTACCTCTAACTACAGCCACATTCTGAGGTACTGGGGTTAGGACTTCAACATATGAATTTTAGGGGGACACAATTCAGCTCACAACACTTCTCAAATTTATTTAATGCAATTCCTACCAAAACTCCAAAAAGGATTTTAAGACATGATCAAGCTTGTTTTAAAATTTATATAGAAAGACACAGGTAGGTCCTTGAAGAACTAAAATAACCTTGAAAAAGAATGCATTAAGAGGAATCACTGTACCTGATATTAAGGATTACAAGACAGCTGCAGTAATCAAGATAATATCATATTTGCAGAGGAAGGGACACATAGATCAATGGAACAGAACAAAGAATTCAGAAATATACCCACATAAATATGTCCAATTGATTTTTGACAAAGGTGCAAAAGTAATTCAATAGAGGAACAAATGGTGCCAAAGAAAATGGTCCTCCATAGGTAAAAACAAATGAACTTTGATCTAACTTGATACCTATACAAAAATTAAAACAGACCATAGACTTAAATGTACAATGTAAAACTATAAAACTTTTAGAAAAAAAAAACACAAAATTTTCAGAATCTAGGGCTTGGGGTAGTTCTTAGATTTGACAGCAAAAGCCCAATCCATAAAATGTAAAAATGTGTAAATTGGACTTTATCAAAATGAAAAACTTTTGCTCTGCAAAAGAGCCCTTTAAAGGAATTGGAAAACCATCTACAGGGTGAGAGAAATATTTGTAAATGATACATCCAACAAAAGAAGAATGTATTAGTTTCCTATGTCTGCTGTAAAAAAATTCCACAAACTTGGTGGCTTAAAACCACGGAAGTGGCCGGGCACGGTGGCTCATGCCTATAATCCCTGCACTTTGGGAGGCCAAGGCGGGTGGATCACCTGAGGTCAGGAGTTCGAGTCCAGCCTGGCCAACATGGTGAAGCCCCGTCTCTACTAAAAATACAAAAATCAGCCAGGTGTGGTGGCAGGCGCCTGTAATCCCAGTTACTTGGGAGGCTGAGGCAGGAGAATTGCTTGAATTCAGGAGGTGGAGGTTGCAGTGAGCTGAGATCGCACCATTGCACTCCAGCCTGGGGGACAAGAGCGAGACTTCATCTAAAAAAAAAAAAAAAAAACACGGAAATTTATTGTCTCCCAGTCCTGGAGGTCAAAAGTCTGAAATCAGTACTATTAAACTGAAATCAACTTGTCTGCAAGGTCATGCTCCCTCCCTCCAGAGATTCTAGGAGAATATCCTTTCTTTGGGAGTTTTAGATTCTGGTGACTACTGGCATTCCTTGGCTTATGGCCACATCACTCCCTTCTCTGCCTCTGCAATCACATTGCCTTCTTCTCATCTTTTTGAAATCTATCTCTGCTCCCCTTCTCTGAGGATACAAGTGTTTGTATTCAGGGCCCACCTACATCATCCAGAATAATCTCTTCATCTTAAGATCCTTAACTACCTCTGCAAAGACTCCTTTTTATTGCCATATGAGGTAACATTCAAAGGTTCCAGGCATTTGGACTTGGCTATTTTTTGGGGGGTCATTTTTCACCCTACTACAACTGGTATATAGAACATATAAATAATTCTCAAATTTCAACAGGAAAAAACTAAATTTTATTTAGATAATGAGCAAAAGACCAAAAAACACATTTCATTGTACAGAATATAAAAGATGTTTGACATGAGTTATTAGACATTAAGGAAATGCAAATTTAAACCACAATGAAGTTTTGTAAATCCCAAAACTTTAAGAGGATAGCATGAGACCAGGAGTTTGAGGACAGCCTGGGCAACATTGCAAGATCCTATGTCTACAAAACTTAAAAAAAAATAGCTGAATGTGGGGGTGTGTGCCTGTAGCCCCAACTACTTGGGAGGCTGAGGCAGGAGGATTGCTTGAGTCCACGAGTTTAAGATTACAGTGAAGGGATCAAATCACTACACTCCAACCTGGGCAACAGAGCAAGACCTTATCTCAAAAAACCATACAAAACAACCCCCCCCAAATCACAATGAGATACTACTCCATATCTATCAGAATGGCTAGAATAAAAAATAGTGACAAAACTAAATGCCAAGGATGTGGAGAAACTGGATCACTCATACATTGCTGGTGGGAATGTAAAATGGGACAGTAGCTTTGGAAAACACTTTGGCAGTTTATTACAAACCTAAACAAACAACTAACATGCAATCCAGCAGTTGCACTCCTGGGCTTTTATCCCAGAGAAATGAAGATTTATATTTACACAAAAACCTGTCCACTGATGTTTATAGCAACTTGATTCTTAATAGCCCCAAACTGGAAACAACATTTAACAGGTGAACAAGCTGTGGTACCTCCATACCATGGAATACCACGCAGCAATAAAAAGGAATGAACTATTGATTCTTGCAACAATCAAGATGATTCTCCAGAGAATTACGCTAAGTGAAAAGTGCCAATCCCAAAACATGACATGCTGTATGCTTCCATTTATAAATATTTCTATGACAAAATTATAGAAATAGAGACCAGATTAATGCTTTTCAGGGTTTAAGGATGGGGAGCAGAGAAGGAAAGTGGGTGTGGTTATAAAAGGCCAACAGGATAAATCCAAATGGTGATGTTAATGTTCTGCCATCTTGGCTATATCAATGTCAATATCTTGGTTGTGCTATTTTATTATAATTTTGCAAGATGTTACCATTGCAGCAAACTGAGAAAAGGGCACATGTGATCTCTCGGCATAATTTATTGCAACTAACTGCATGTCAATCTACACTTATCTTTAAATAAAAATTTTAATTAAAAAATGTATATATAAGGCATATATAAGTTGTGAAGCAATCCAGACTCATTTCATACTAAGACCTGGAACTTCCATCTCTCAGGAGACCTTGATCTCTCTAGTGAGGAATAATACATAGAAAATATAAAAATGTATAATAATACATATATGTGTAATATATTATTTAAATGTTGGCAGCAGAAAATAGATATCTATATACAAATTGCTACTATTTTAGAAATTACATCCTTCAATGAGGACAATGTTTATAACTAAGGTTATAAAAATTTAAAAAACAACTGGAGTTAATGGTCCTTGTCATCATTCTATTATGGATTAACTCAGTTTTCAATTAAATTGTGAAAAGAAAACCCTATTTTCTCTAAATAATAGTCCATAGACTGTCACAGTACCACCAACTCCAAATTTATATTTCAATCACATCTCACATATTTTCAATAGAATTGTAATTTTTTTGTCACCAGTTTAGCCACAACTTCATAATCTTCAAAAACATAATGAAACAAACAAACAAAAACAAAACAAAACAAACAAACAAAAACAGGAGAACTCCAAAATGTATAAGGCCAAGTCTTTATCTTTCTTTTGTAAATTCTACTGCAGCCAAACAAGTACCCAAATCGTTCAGGTAAACTAGACACTCTGTGCCTATGAACTCAACTTGAAATTCTATAGTGATAGTGCTCCAAAAAGCCACCCAATAAAAACTAAAATCTCTGAAGGTTTGTATTCACCAACATAATTTTTTTCCTCGTCTGCTTAAAGTCACCAATATGTAGGTATTAAATAGTTCAAATGTGTTTAGTTCAAATTTTGCTAACAGAATTGTTATATTCTACAATTTCAATTTGCAATCATCATTTTATTGTTTAACAAAAACAATACCTAGCCTAAATATTTCTATTAATGCATATTAGGAAACCAATTGCCCTTGCCCTCTCTACTTCTTGCCAGCCTGCTAAGATACCTGTAAAGAGGTAGATGTGTGTTCTCCACCTTGTAAGGTTAGGAGGAATAAAACCTTAAAAAACATGAACACACATACACACAAACACACACACACACACAGAAATAATAAGCCTTTGCCCAGCCACATACCATGTAATCCTATGCCTCTTTTTCCTGCAGATTTGCTACTCTAAGTTTTAATAATGACCACACTCACATCATGAAATTATACACCAGTTTATTCAAATCAATGTACAAATTGAATATTATCACATTTATTTTGTTCATTGGAAAAGACAATATGTCATTTCAGTTTATTTTCATTTTTAAACACCAATATTTAAGTCTTAAAAGGAAATAAAAGTTTACAATAATGATGAATGTCAAACTTAAAGGTGTTTGTTATCTGGCTGGGCATGGTGGCTCATGCCTGCAATCTCAGAGGTTTGGGAGGCCGAGACAGGAGAACCATTTGAGACCAAAATTTGGGAACAGCCTGGGCAACATAGTTAGACCTCTATCTCTACAAAAAAAACCAAAAAAATAGCCAAGCATAGTGGCATGCCAGTAGTCCCAGCTACTTAGGAGGCTGAGGTGGGAGGATGGGTTGAGCCTGGGAATTCAGGCTGCAGTGACCTATGATCATGCCACTGCACTCCAGCCTGGGCAACAGAATGAGAACCTGTCTCTAAAAAAGAAAAGATGTTTTGTTATCTATTAGGCCTTTCAAAAATATATGGTTTTTTCTGAGGTTTTCAAGTTATATAAGACTTCTATGCCAGCCACCCTAAACAAAACAGAAGAAGCACAAATATTACTAAACAAATTAATGCTTCATTAACAAGCAAATCACCAATGGTGAAAAAAGAACACATTTAAATCAAAATCAGTACTGATACAGAGGTAAGAATTACATCCAGGCACAGACATTTGGAGTTATTCCCCCATGTTAAAAATTCCATCACAATGTGCAAAATAATTATTAAATCTTCTTTTTGAAATATATCCCCCCACTTTTGTTTTGCCTGATACAGATATTTTAACCTTAGGTGTACAGAACCCTATTAAAGAACCCAGATTACAATTTTTTATCATTTACATAACAGTGGCAGTTTTCTCCCATGTTCTTGCACAAAAAGAATTTATTTTCACATAAATTACACCCTGCATTTTTCAATAGTAGGAATAAAAAATACTCATGTTCAGGTTTACATATATTTACCATGACTAAATTGGAACAAATCAGCTCACAGCTTCCTCATGCCTACAGTTCAAATTAAATTTCCTCTTTTATATTCCTAGGGCTTCTCTAGTTGCATGTCAAACTTTTCAGATCAGCTGTCTTGATTCCTATCTTTTCCTCTCCTTGAAAAATAAGTGTATCTTCCATCTCAACCATCCTCCTTTTCAGCAGCTTCCATTTGATTGGTCTGGTAACTTACTATCATGAGTATCTTTGTGCTCAGAGGAGACATCAGGCTGCCTAGTTTACTAGATCTTCATTTATTCCTTCTAATTTTGTGGTCGCTCTGCTAGTAACACATTGTAAGGTTTAGACTCAATCTACCCCAGGCTTATTTAAAATTAAAACACGAGTATATATAAATATTAAGGTTATATGTTTAAAACTTAACTGCTTTGGCATATAAATTGCATCTATAAAAATATTAAATGAAAATTTGGCTTAAAAATGTAACCTAAATATAGACCTTGTAAGTTTAAAATAATCCTTGTCCTCAATTTTCTTTACCAAGTTTCCAAATATTTACATCATCTTTAACTTTCCACGGGGCCCCAATTCGTCAATCTCAACTCCTTGAGTTGTTTTTTTGGATTTTAAGTGCTTTGTACAAACTCATTGATGAGTGGAATGGAGCCATGCTCTCTGGTACCTTGCTTGCTCTAGGGTCTGATCTCTCTTTCTCACACTTCGTGGAGTAACAACTTCCCCATACACTTACTGAACATTGGAAATTACCACTTTATTCCCACTCCATGGCTCTACTCAACCCACCACATTACCATCAACTCAGATTCATAGATTAGGTGCCATATTAAATGATATGATACAGCAGGAACAGAAAACAGACATGCCTTCAAGGAGTTTACTATCTAGCTGGAAAAGTAGAGGCAAGACAGTAACAAAGATCTGGATGGCACCCTCACTTTGGAAATTGGCAGTCATTCATAAGACACAGATATATTCGGAGTAAGGAGAGGGAAGCAACTGGGAAAATATCCTTTCCAGTAATAAGCAAAAAGCAAGAGGCAAAAAGAAATGTTAACTATTTAAGTCACATACTTGCCCATCTATGTAGCTTTGCAGGATTAAACTACAATTTATTATTATTATTATACATTTCTATATGGTTTTGAAATGGTTGTTCCACAAAGGAAGGGTCCTCCAGAAAGTTTCTATAGCCTTCTTTTTGGGTAATTTTTGCCTACCAATATTTGAGGCTACCAGATGAAAGTAATTTCTTTTTCAAAGCAATTGGATTAATTTTTACAAGTACACGGAGTCAATTCTTGAACTTCTGATTCTCTATCTAGACATTATCATAAAATATCTGCTATGGAGCACTCATGATGCTTTCATATGTGTTATTTAATTTACCACAATGGAAATACACAACCCCACATCTTTTATTTTTTTCTTTTTTGAGACAGATTCTTACTCTGTCACCCAGGCTAGAGTGTGGTGGCACAATCACAGCTCACTGCTGCCTTGACCTCCTGGGCTCAGGCTATCCTCCTGCCTCAGCCTCCCAAGTAGTTGGGACAACAGGCATGTGACACCATGCTCTGCTAATTTTTTTTTATTATTTATTTGTAGAGATAGGGTCTCACTCTGTTGCCCAGGCTGGTCTCTAAGTCCTGGGCTCAAGCAATCCTCCCACCTCGGCCTCCCAAACTGCTGGAATTACAGGCATGAGTTACCACATCTGGCCCACATCCTCTTTCTAACAGCCATGATTTCTTTTCAGACAACAACATATTTATAATTCATTTGCAACACTTCAACCAAACTAGACATACAGAGGATGTGGGAGACATAGGTTTCTCACTTCATTACTAGCATGCAACCCATGCAATCAAACATCTGTGCCAGAAGTAGATTTTAGGTTACTTTGTTATGGAAATGCATTCTCCATTTTAGTAGCATTTTTTTTCTTAATTAGAGGAAGTGCTTTCAGAAATTGCAAATTACATAATGTAATTACAGCCATTTTAATGAACTAAAGCAAGTAAACATCAATATAATTTTAAGATATTTAAAATTCTTTATAGTTTTTTGCTTATCTTTCTAAGTTAGGGCTAGTAGTAATAACTACCTAAATAATTTGAATCCCTTGAGAATGCAAATGTATTAGGCTTGGTTTTCTGTTCACCTGAGTCAAAAAACCTGTGGATCAGAAATAAGTCTGGTAGCTAAAATTCCTGTGGAAGTTATAAAAGGGTTGTTTTTTATCAAAATATAAGATTATCTATGTAAAAAGGAACTAACCAACCGGTTAAGTATGTTAATTGGAATTTGGAAGGATTTGAGAACTGGAAGGGAGAGAACTAAAATTGTTGACTAGTAACTTTGTAAAGCCCTAGACAACAATCAACCCATTTCATCTTTACATTAAAAATAATTATCATTAACTGAGAATATACTATAACCCCAGGCATTCTGCAAAAAATTTCACATGCGTTAACTCATTTAACTCTTCCAAACCCTTTCAAAGAAATGTGTATTATCTATTTTTTCATATTTTAAATAAAGGAAAGTAATGTATAGAAGAGATAAGTAATGTGTCCAAGACCTTAGAACTTTTCAGTAACACAACTGATTATTAAGCACAGGCCTATAAAACTCCAAAGTCCTTGTTTGTAGTCATTGCTTCATGTTATATGTCACTTAGAATGCTCCTTTAATGAATAACTACATTAAAACATAGAACTGATAAATAAGGCACCCTCCCCCCAAAAGATTACTCTCTATCTCTCTCTCTCTATATATATATATATGTGTATATATACATATATGTGTATATATACGTGTATATATACATATATGTGTATATATACGTGTATATATACATATATGTGTATATATACGTGTATATATACTATATATACACATATATATAGTATATATACTATTTGTACACATATATGTGTATATATACATGGTTTTCTAGATATATATGCATGACAGTGAATTATCTTTGAAATTTAATTATTCCATTAAAATGGAATATATGCTTATAAATCTTTCTGGATTTTGTAATTTTGTCTTCATTTATTTTGAAGAATGCCTTAAATCCAAACCCCCTTTTGCTAGAGATTTATGCCTTTTTGTAAAAGATAGATATTGTCAAACCTAGACCAGAACTATATTTGGGAAAGAGGGTTTGGGAATGGATCTAGAAAGTGTAGATCCATCATATTTTCCACTGTCATCCCTGGGGATTTTCAAGGATTCCATCAAAAGTTACTCACTGGAGTCCAAGTTGTCCTAAATGTTCTCAAAACATATACAGTTTATGAAAATAAACATGCAATAAATAAAATCTCCCTGATTTCTTCGAATTGGTTAATGAATAGCAGAAGACAATCTTCTCATATATATTAATACCTCCAAAATTTGTATAACTAGAGGTCATTCTCAAAGTGAAACAATTTTCTTGTGTGTATAAAGGTGGTACCATATCCCTAGATAGATGGCATATTAAGCCCTAGGGTATTGGAACATATTGTTATAGTGGCTCTTTGGCTGAATTTTGCCTGCAGATAAATTTTGTTTTGGCCTAGCCAACAATTTTTAAACTTTATCATTTGAATACATTTTAAGAGTGAGTTCCAACTTTGCTATCTTTTCTACCACTCCCCATCTTCTTATACCCAGCTGTCCTACCCACTGATATTACCTACCTGGTCCCTAAAAGTGTTTACATTTGTGATGGGCATCACAGCTGTGAGCACAGAAGAAATAGCTTTCATGTTGATACTCCACATTCACCCCTGTGCTAACAAAGGTCCTCTAGCCCTCTAGAAAAAGTACACTCATTTTCCCCTAAGTACTTCTAGAAGTCACCAGTGGTTCTCTCGTGTGATCATGAGCAAATCAATTTTCATCATGCACTGCTGCAATTATTCTGGGCTTTCATGGAGCACACATGTATCCACCATCACCCGTCATCATTCATAGTATCTGCTGGGCATTCATCATCTACCACTGGGCATCCATCATCTCCCATTTGGCATTCATCATCTCCCACTGGGCATCCATCATCTGCCACTGGGTATCCATCATCATTTGCTCGGCATCTGCTGAGTACCGCCATGTCTGTTGGGCATCCACAGTCTCCCACCAGGCATTGTGGTCTCCGCTGACGCTTTGCCATTTCGCCACCGGTGCCTTCCATGAGAATGCTGGTTACTTCTCCAGAGTGCTGTCACCCGGGGCTGCCAAATCTACAAACCCTCAAGATACCAGGTGTGCTGCATTTGCGTCAGTATTCATTGTACTTAGCTGTGTTCCTTGCATAAATTAGGAAAATGCCCCTTTATAACTGTGGCACATTTTGTTATCTAAACATTGAAAAAGCAATACTTGTCCCTGTCCCCTTCACAAAGTCCCTCTGTAAAACAGCTATCTCTGTTTTATCTTTCTTTGTTACTTATGGTTATCATCCACAGGGCTTACATATTCCACAGGGCTGATCTTGAGTCTATACACTGATGCCTTAATTCCTGTCCTCAGGCATTCACCCAAAAAACATCCCTCTGAAAAGCTTAGCAGGTAACTTGTCAGCCTTGTGTACTTGTATATACCTAGCATCTACTCCTATATCTGGTCTTTTTCTTTTTAATGGATAGATGAAGGCCTCCTTCCTCTTTGCAAATCAGTTCATGAGGTGATATTCTTGGAAATTCCCAGGCCCACATATCTTCACCTGTGAATCATTACTTTGGGTTTGAAATGTCTTCTCCCAATATCACTTTTCCCTTTAACAATATCCTTAATCACTTCACTGCGGGATCTTTATCCTAGAGAAAAAAATTTCTTTACCGGGTAAGTTTCCATTCTAAATACAAAAAGAATAATGGTATCAGTATATTTAAATTATAATGACATATGTGGAAGAATACAGTCCAGAGGTCCTGATTTTTGTTCTTATATCTAGAGTCTTCTACCTCTGGTTATCCTTTGCTGTTTCTCTCTTCTATCCTCCTTAGAAATGTACAACTTTGGCTGGGTGCGGTGGCTCATGCCTGTAACCCCAACCCTTTGGGAGGCCGAGGCGGGCAGATCACCTGAGGTTGGGAGTTCGAGACCAGCCTGACCAACATGAAGAAACCCTGTCTTTACTAAAAGTACAAAACTAGCTGGGTGTGGTGGCGCATGCCTGTAATCCCAGCTACTCAGGAGGCTGAGGCAGGAGAATCTCTTGAACCCAGGAGGTGGAGGTTGCGATGAGCCGAGATCGCACCATTGCACTCCAGCCTGAGGGCAACAAGAGTGAAACTCCATCTCAAAAAAAAAAAAAAAAAAGTAAAAGAAATGTACAACTTTTACATATTAATTACTGGTTTAATTCCCCAATAAATGCACAAAATAAATAAATAATGTAATTGTAGTTAACATTCCAGTTCTGGTTGCAAAAATAATTTCACTACAGGCAGATAGGCAGCACTGTCAAAGCTAAATAACAACGGCCAACACTTGAGTTTTTGCTCAGGGCCAGACATTGTTCCAAGTATTATACATGTACTATCCCTATTTAATACATAAAGAAAACAATGCACCAAAAGTTTAAATGCTATCAGTATTCTACTGCCAACAATGGGACGCACCTCCTACGTTTTCTTCCTTAAGAGGAGACATCCTCTGTCTTCTCAAGAAAGATTAGAATTCCCTCTGTAGTGTCCAGTTCTGGTGATTTGAAGATTCTCCTCATTTTCCTTTTTCTTCTTAAATCTCACTCCTTCATGGAATCAATCTTTCTTTCTTTCTTTCTTTCTTTCTTTCTTTCTTTCTTTCTTTCTTTCTTTCTTTCTTTTCCTTCCTTCCTTCCTTCCTTCCTTCTATCTTTCTTCCTTCCTTTCTTCCTTCCCTCCATTCATCCCTTCCGTCCTTCTCTCTCTCTTTCTTTCTTTCTTTTTTCTTTCTTTCTTTTTTTTTCTTTCCTTTCTTTTGACAGAGTTTCACTGTGTTACCCAGGCTAGTTGTGAACTCCTGGGCTACAACAATCTACCCACCTCAGGTTAACAAAATGCTGAGAATACAATCATGAGCCACCATGCCCAGCCTTGGAAACTTTCAGTGATTTTTATATTGTCTGCTAATGTGCCAATTCCTAGAGAGCTAAGTTCTCAGTCCTTACTTCATGAACTTTTCCCTCAAAGCCTGTATGTCTATGCCAAGAGCCTTTTAACTGGGTTGAATGATGGTGGTGAAGGAAGCTATTATAACAAGTACTATAATAGCTAACTTTAATTGAACACTTACTCTGTCCATTTATCTTATTCAATCCACACAACCAACATATAAGTATTTTTCCCACTTTACAGATGAGGGAAATTGAGGTATACAATTTTACCTCATTTTAGGGCCACAAAAGGCTAATATCCATCCTCACATCACTGGTATTAAAGGTCCCATTCTCCCAGCTAGCCAGAGTGCTATTTCTGCCACCAACCCATGGAAATGTTGAACATACTATGTTCCTGAAAAACAACAACAACAACAACAACAAATATTGATTCTTGCTTGATGTCTTGATATGGCTCTAGAGACACAGAGTAACATAACTAAGGAAATAGTCTTTTGTATATTTAAGGGTAATTTCTCCAAGCCCTACCATAATACTAATAGTTAATAGTTATTGTGTACTTATTAGTACTGTACATGGTCCTAGCTGATACACACTGTTTTAGAACTATAGCTTTACTCAAAATAATTTTATTTCAGTTCAGTTCAGACTCTATTAACACCTGCCTAAGACAGTTTGAAGGCCCAGATTGCAATGCCTCTGCTATCATGCAATTAGAAATGGAATTAAGGAGAAATGGGAGGGGTCATGATATATCTTCAAAGACTTGAAGGATTTTCATACTCATACGCTTCCAAAGACAAAAGCAAGATAAATGGTAAAAGATACGGAAAGAATCAGCTTAGGGTTCAATAAAAGCTCTGTCTTTCAAAGAGAGGACACCACCAGCCATCACTAGTGGTTATGCAAAGAATTTGTGCCTGGAATAAGAGCTTGAACTAGATTTTTTTTGAGGTTGTCTTTTATGTCTTAAGATTCTATAATTAAGATACCTAGTTATGCCACTTTGAACAAGTTACTCAAAATCTGAAAGTATCATTATGAAGTTAGAAGTTTAGTGCTTTTGTCAATGATAGGGAGATGAAAATAAGAACTTCTATTTCATACAATAGTGTTAATTTCATATGTGCTTTTATGTTCCTATGATCTTTATAATCAGTTTGGTTAGTCCCAGCAAGAGATCATAGATGAAAAACCTAGTCATTAATTATACATTATTTTAATACTCAGAAGACATTTTATCCTTGTTGCCATCTAAGTGAACATAAAAGAAAACTTGCTTAGAATGAATGGACTATATATCCATAATCCTCACTCTTAAACATTATGCGATGAATAAGAATAGCCTACTTAGCTTTTATCTTAAAGGGCAGTAACTCTATCTTGAAAGTTGTCTTTCATATGCTGAATAGAATATATTACAACTATGGATCTTAATTGTTCGCATTTTTCTGTATGTACTCCTAACAGAGTGCTTGAACTGTGTAGTAAAAGGATCATTGGGCTAATCATTAAAAGTTAGTTTCTTTCTTTTCCTCTTTAGTCAAATTTCCATATTCCTTGTGTGCTGAAGTTTGTTTTGTATTTCAAATAAAACCTATCAAAAATCTAAAATCTTTGCCATCTAGTTATTCTGCATTCAAAATGTAGTAAAGACAAGCTGCTTACTCAATGCTCATATAACATTAAGTCCCCAAAGTAAACTTAATGAATTAAGTTTTCCCATGACCCAATGCCATTGTTTCTTTTAAAGGAAGAGCATCAACAAGACAATCAAGTTTGAATGAAATTGATTTTCTAATGGAGTTCTTTTTACTGAGAAATATTTAGTAACACAGATATTGGAGACAGAATTTTTATTTTCATCCTGTTTATTTCTGTTTTTATTCTGTAGTAACATGTTATGGGATATATAAGAGTTTTTATGGGAGCATGTACAATTGCAAATTAGCCAAGCCACTGAAGATTTTATATTGCTGTTTTTTATGTAATTGATAAGATCATGACAAATGTGGTTTTTTGCCCTATTTAGAATAAAGCAGAAAGAGTATTCTGAGTTCGTACTTAGAGTATACATGGGATAATTAGAACAGGCTGTCTTCTGCAGAGCAAGAGGTTTCCTTATTCTAGATCATATTCATTCTTGGAACCCAAAAGCTTGCACTGGCTAAGAAAAAACCTATTTTCTCCTCAAAATTCTGTAGAACAAAACTTTAAAGGGGAATTAATTTAGAGGCATTTGATATTCATTAAGCACTTATTCATTTTCTATTTTACTTTAACCCTATCTTATACCCCATATTTTACTTTAACCCCATCTTAGCTTAATATCTCCTTTATATTGATAGGGAGGAAAAAGTTTCTGGATTTACTATTTTAAGAGCAAGTACAAAGGACAAAGCTGAATATGTTCTATTAAACTAATAGCTGAAGCTAACTTTTATGTATTTAATTTTGTATGAAAATATATTCAAAATAGAAGGTATATAAAATATATATAATGAAATATATATATAAATCAAATATATTTAAAATATATATAAAATAAATAAATGAAATATATAATGAAAAGTAAATTCCCTGTTGTTTGAAGTGTTTCTTGTGATGGAAGAAAATGAAGTGTCTAATTTTGAATTCCTCATAAACCTGATTACAAACTCTGTGTATACATGAATTTCACCAGTGAGTGGCACATATAAACCGTTGTAATCAACCTCAGTGTTCTGTTGAAGGGCAACTGGAGTAAAAAATAAAGATGACAAATTATTTCCACTAAACATTATAGTATAATTTGTTTGGTTACTAATAAAAAGGAAATTGCTCAATAGAAAATTACATAAAAGCTAAACATTGATAAGTTAATCATATACATAT
The DNA here is from genome assembly GCF_000001405.40 of Homo sapiens. NCBI lineage: Eukaryota > Metazoa > Chordata > Mammalia > Primates > Hominidae > Homo > Homo sapiens. Next base: position 114,768,074 of record NC_000023.11, read on the forward strand.
TTAAATTTGATAGTTTATAGCCTTTAGCATTAATTCTGGCTAAGAAATACTCTTTTTTAACTAAGTCTTTTTGATCAAATGACTCTTAAGTAATGTTATATTAGTATTTTGATTTTGGTAAGTCACTGGTTATCTCTACAAACTAGATTCTCTTTTATAAATGACTTTTACTGTGCATCTATCTTGATAAGTATTTTAACCTACAGTATCTCACTTAGCATCTGCTTCACAGGTATTTGTGAATATTAAAAGCTGAATGTGAAAATATTTAGTAAATTTTAACTTACTATACAATTTTAAGGTTATCATTATTTTTAGTATTACATTAAACCAAACCCCTATTTACAAACAAAAAGATATTATGCATATAAAAATGTAAATTATGTATTTTCACGTGTACCAAAACAAATGTTCTAGAAGTAGTATATTGGTTCAAATATAATGTAATATAATATAACATAACATAAATATATATTTTCTCAGTTTAAATACAATGGAGTAAGGTAAGCTTCTTGTTATTTAAGTGGAATATGAAAATTAAATGACCATTTCCCCAAACTTATTTCATTGAAAAATATTAAGGCAATTTTTGAAGACCAGTGTTTCATAAATAAACTTTTTAGCGTGTATTACTATGACAAGTTACTCAATTGGCTTTTACTCTGGGTTATTCAACTAAAAGTTTCATTTTCAGTGACTCATAATATTGTTTACACATAATTTGTAAGCTCTATTTAATTACTTATGTAAATGACTAAACAAAAGATGGCAACTGCAGTGAATCTAAGACTGTACTTAATTCTGGTGTAAACTATTCTAACAATGTAATTAAGAGCTGTCCAATTTACACTTTGAAGTAAACAAAAGATCTTACAAGAGATTGCAAGTGCCATCATATGACACTTCTAGCTTTACCTCATGTTCCCTTGCAGTTTTTTTCAGACATGTGTTAAAACTATTTGAAAAAAAAGCAGTTAATTTAACAGTACACAAAGGTGATAGTTAATAGGAAAAATAAAATTGTAAATAAAAAAGTAGTGAAACAGCAAAGTTAAACCTAGACTCACCTTACTTTCTTACCTATTGCTATTATTTATTCAATGACTACTACAGCAAAGCTGTGGCCTTGAGGAAATGATTTTATGCTATGAATACAATAACAATAACAAAAATAAGGCTAATAATACATATAGGTACAGTATATTGGATTCCAGCTAGATGCCAAGCAGTTAAGCATAACAAAATTAGGAAAGGTAGTTATTATTATTCATTAAATTCCTTTTTGGATTTTTTTCACTATGTTTTTATTTTATTTTATTTACTTAAAAATAGTATTAGTGTTTGCTCTGGGGCTTACAATATACATCTTTTAATTTTTATTCCTTTTTAAAATTGAGATATAAATCTTATACCATAAAATTCACCCTTTAAAGTGTACAATTCAGTGATTTTTAGCATATTCACAATGTTAGGCAACCATCAACTTTATTTAATTACAGTAGAATTTCATTATCCCATTTTCAGTCACTCCATATATAATATGCATCTTAATTTGAAACAATCTTGTTAAGATTAACATTAAACTTCAATAGTATGTAGACATATTGCTCCAATATACTTCCATTTCTTCCCCCTTCTTTGTGATATCATTGTCATGCAAATTACATTTTTATACATTATAATGCATCAAAATAGTTTTGTGTTTTTTTTCATGGAGTTGTCTTTTAAACCATTTGGAAAGAGAAAAGAGTTTTCATTCATGTGGATTCAAGTTACCATCTACCTTTTCATTTCAGTTGAAAGATTCCCTTTGGTAGATATAGGTTAGGTATGCTGACTACAACTTCTATCTATTTTTTTATTTTGAAACATCTTTCTCTTTCATTTTTTTAAGAAATAGTTTTACTGGAAATAGAATTCTTGGTAGACAGTATTTTTCTATCAGCCCTTCAAATATGTCATCCCAATGCTTTCTGGCTCTCACAGCTTCTGATGAAGTCAACTGTTAATCTTATTTGGGTCCCTTTGTATATATTGAGTCATTTATCTCTTGCTTCTTCCAGAATTTGCTCTTTGTCATTGCCTTTCAACTATTTGACTATGAAGTATCTAGGTTTGTATCCCTGAGTTTATCCTAATTGGTGTTCATTGAGCTTTTTGATGTGTAAATTAGTGTCTTCTATCAAATTTGGGAAAATTTCAGCCATTGTTTTTTCAAATATCTTTTCTGTATCTTTCTAACCTATCCTTCTGGACTCCCATTATGCATAATTTGATGGTGTCTCACAGGCCTTTGAGGCTCTGTTCATTTTCCTTTATTCTCTCTGTTCTTCAGATGGGATAATCTCTTTTGACTTATCTTCAAGTTTATCTTCAAGTTTATTGTTTCTTTCTTCTGCCTCCTGAAATGTTCTATTAAGCCTATCTAATGAATTTACCATTTCAGTTATTGTACTTTTCAACTTCGGAATTTTTGTTCTTTTAAATATTAAATTAATTTGTATATCTTTACTGATTTTCTCTATTTAGTGAGCATTATCATCATAGTTTTCTTTAATTCTTTAAAGATAGTCTTCTTTAGTTCTTTAAACATATTTATATAGCTGATTTAAACTCCTTGTCTGATAAGTCCAACATCTAGGCCCCCTCTGTACACTTTCTATTGACTTCTTTAATTCCTGCCTTTATGCCATACTTTCCTGTTTCTTTTCTCTTTTCTTTCTTTCTTCCTTTTTTTTTTTTTTTTGAGGTAGGGTCTCATTCTGTTGCCCAGGCTGGAGTGCAGTGGCATGACCTCAGCTCACTGCAACCTCCGCCTCCCAGGTTCAAGTGATTGTCATGCCTCAGCCTACTGAGCAGCTGAGATTACAAGTGCCTGCCACGACACCCGGCTATTGTTTGTATTTTTAATAGAGACGAGGTTTCACCATGTTGGTCAGGCTGGTCTCGAACTCCTGACCTCAAGTGATCCACCCACATTGGCCTCCCAAAGTGCTGGGATTACAGGCGTGAACCACCATGCCTGGCATACTTCCCTGTTTATTTGTATGTCTTACAATTTCTTGTTGAAACTCGGACATTTTAAATAATATATTGTAGTAACTTTGAAATCAGATCTACTCCAACCTCTAGTGTTTATTGTTGTTTATGAGATTTTGTCCTCATTGCTGCTTGCCTCAGTTACTTTCCTAGAATACTTCTATAGATTCTGTATTCCTTGCAATATGTGGCTGCTATTTTCTCTGGTAGCATTTTTCTTTGATATTTGTTTTTATTTTTAATCCTTCTTAAGAGTTGCCCCTGAATCAGCATTGTTTGTAGTCAGCTAATGATTGTTCAGAATATTCTGTTAAATGCTATGAGCCAGTTTTTCTTTTACCCTGTTCCAAGGAGATTTTTGTGGGAGGTCACACCTTCAAATTTCAGAGAATTTACAAGTCAATATTAGCTTTTACTTCCTGCTCGAGTCCAGCATCAAAGGTAGCTAGAGATGAGTTGTTGGTCCTCTCTGAGTTTTCTTGGGCATGTGTACAGACATACACATTTGTGCAGCCTTTTAGATTTCCTGAAATATGCTGGAGCATTTTAGAATCCCTTATGTTGGTCCTTTTGCCATTACCGATGTATTCCTTTTACATTTTTAGCCAACTTCTTGTTTGTTACAACTGAGTTCACAGGCTTAGGCAACTGCAATGTTATTAAATCCAGCTCATGTTATTGTTTTCAAAACTCTGGAGATAAAGCTTTTTCTGAAGAACTGAACTCAGAGTCAGGACAAATAGCCCAATTACCTGGGAATAATGTGTTTCAAAGGAATTATTGTAAATATTGTTGAAATATTGAAAGTGTTCTAAGGATGGGGCTTTACATGAAGCTCCAAAACAAATCAGTCCCCACTCAACTGGCTGGTTACTGTGCTCTGTTACTGTGGTGAGAGGGGAATGAAAGTAGCCCCAAGTGAAAACAACATAGATCCCACTGTTCTAACTGAAGTTCAGTAGACTGTTTTTAAATGAATATCTTTTAAGCCAAATCTATACCTTTGGTTAATTTCCAAGATTCTAAAACAGTTGATTTTTGTAGTTTTGCAAGTATTTTTATAGCTTTTGTGAGAGAAAGAATTCACCAAGGTTGCCATTCTGTAAGTTCTGTTCTCATAAGTACTTCTTTATACACCTTGAATTATAATGACATTTTAAACATAATAGCATAAAATGATTTTACTGCATAAAGTTAAAATGATTATTTCATATCATCTACTACCTAATCTGTATTCACTTTTAACAAATGACTCAAATTAGGATATAAATGAGTTGCTTTATTTAAATTAGGTTTCCAACAAGGTTCACATTTTGCATTTGTTTTTTATGAAACTAGATTTTTGTGTATGTGTGGTGGCGGGGCGGGGCGTGGTGGGGGGGCCTTGATTCTGACCTTTAGGAGAGGAAACATTTTTCAGAGGGAGACAAAAAGTCAAAGAAGTACTTCAATTGTTGGGGAGACTTGTACATGTTTATGGGATCAAGGGAAATCACTATACTTTCTGGCTTAAGAAACAGCCCTATTCATGTCTTGTCCAACAAAGGCTAGTAATTCCAGGTTAGCCTAGGGCCCAAGAGATGAAGCAAAAGCTGAAACTGGGAAAAGAATAAATTTAGAAAGGGACAAGGTCAATGAGGAGAGTTGGTAGGGATATAATATTATTAAGCAAATCATCAATAATGTAACTTGGATTTACTTTGGGATGCCAGACTCTTGGTGGATTACTCTTTCTTGTGAACTATTTCACCATTCTGCATTTTTACATTTTCCTTCAGTTGGTTAAAACTACGGGATGGTAGAGTACTGAAGTCCTAGCTTCAATTTCCAGCTTTTCCAGTAACTGTGTGATCCAGGTTCAGCCACATGGCTTCTTTGAGCCTCCTTTGATTTGTGAAATGAGAGGACTGGGTTAGATGTCTCTAAACTTGATTTTGTCTCCAAAGTATGATTTTTCTAAGACCTTTCTTAAGCAGGTATATGCAATAAGTAAAAACTGTTTTTAGTAACTGAGCTTAACATTTTTGCTTTCCTCACCCTGAAAATCAGGTACACAAGAACTTCTTTCCCCCTTTCCCATTATAACTTGTTTTATGGAAAGAATCTTAAATCAGAATTAAAAACTGGTAAACACAGTATTAATAAGATAGAAATATTACCCTTTCCTCCCACTCAAATCTCAAAATAAAGCAATATTACTGCAACAAGGTATACTTCATTTTTGTAGTAAGAGCCAGTTTCATAAGTGAAACTATATGAAAAAATAACTATGGGAGTTAAAGCAAAATAGCGTATTGTGATTTGGAATAGCCAAATACATTTTATGCGTCAGTTTTCCAAAAGTTAAATTTTAAAGTAATCTTGGTTAAATTAGAATACAGACTCTTAAATAATCTACAAACAGACAATTTTTCAGATACCATGGAATCATACCTTTTATCAAGAATAACAGTTGTTTGTCAGTGCACTTTGGGATATTGAGCAGATATTTTGGAGATCACTTATGCTGAACAATATGATGCATTTATTCCAAAAATTACAATTGCATATTTTTTGTATTACATATTTTAGTCAGCAAATAAAACAACTGCAACCACAGAATCTATTCAGGAACTAGAATTAAACAAGTTCCTTTAGAAACTGATTAAATAAACCACATAATTTCCAAAATGCCTTTCACTTTGTGCACTTAGCTTTGGTTTCTAAACCCCTTCTGAAACAGATATCTAAATGAAATTAAAATCTTTATTTTACACAGAGGCTTCCCATCCCATCCCACCCTGTGTCCAAACTCCATCATCTTTAACACTTTAAGCAGTTATTATGAACCCAGAAGCCACTAGGATAGAGATGTTCTAACAAAGATCAAAGAAAACAAAAGTCATTGTTAAATTATTATAACCCGTGGGTCAAACCACAATCAATATAAAGACACTTATTGAGTATCTGCTCTTTGTCAGCACTGAACAAAACACAGTGGGATGTCATAATATATTAGTCCCAATCCCTGCTTATGAGGGAGTTTATAATATAATTATGTGTATGCATATGTGTGTTTGTGTGTGTTGGTTGGAGGCAGAAATTTATGTAAAAAATAATGAACAACATGAGGTTATGTGCTAATGATGGAATGCATCAAATAAATAATAGGTGGTTAAGAAGTTCAGAGGAGGTACATGTCTCCCTAGTCAATTGGTAAGAATAGGGCTCACAATGGTGCAATTTAAATTACTATAATAAAGTAAATGGGATATTTTCCCAGCTCCCAAATTACCACATAGACGATTGTTTTCATACTTATTATATATAGTCATAACGTCAACCCAACTTTGAAGGGAAATAGAGAAACCCAATTTTATTGTAGTTACACCTTCAGGATTGCATTTTGCTACTAATAATTTATACAAAATGTAAGTGCTTATATCTCTGTAACTTTTAGAGATATATTCTTAACGCAGTGTTAAACTATATATTTTTGTGCCAATTTTAAATAGTTTTATTTAAGACATTGCATTTTCCACTTACAGTACAGTGCTTATAAAGTGCAATGTTATTTCCCTCCCCTGTGCACATGTTGCATATTCAAGTATTGAGAATTCCTAGTAACTTACTACAGCAGCTGAACTTTTAAACACTGCCACAGAATTTGCTACAAATTTAGGTCCTTCAATGTTTTAAATGTGTGGAACAATGCTACATCTATATTTATGTTGGCTTAATCAACCTCTTCAGTGATGGGCCTTGAGGAAGCACCACTAGAGGGAGGAGCTCCACCACCAGGGAATCCCCCAGGCATTCCTCCAGGCATGCCTCCTGCACTCTGGTACCGCTTGCTAATGATGAGATTGCAGACTTTCTCCAGCTCTGTCTGCTGATGTTCAAATTCTTCCTTCTTAGCAGCCTGATTCTTATCCAGCCATTTGATAACTTCATTAAACTTGTCCAGAATCTTCTGTTTGTCCTCACCATTAATCTTACCTTGAAGCTTCTCATCTTTGACTGTTGCTTTCATGTGGAATGCATAGGACTCAAGTGAATTCTTGGATGACACTTTGTCCCTCTGCCTCTTATCTTCAGCTTTGTACTTCTCAGCTTACCGGACCATATGTTCATGTCTTCCTTGCTCAAACGGTGCTTGTCATTAGTGGTAGTAATCGTGTTCTCTTTTCCTACACTCTTGTCCACAGCAGAGACATTGAGGATGCCATTGGCATCAATGTCAAAAGTGACTTCAATCTGAGGAACACCATGGGGTGCAGAAGGTATGCCTGTGAGTTCAAACTTGTCAAGCAGGTTGTCATCCTTGGTCATAGCACACTCACCTTCATAAACCTGAATCAGCACACCAGGCTGGTTGTCAGAATAGATAGGCTGTCAGAAGGTCTCTGTCTGCTTGGTAGGAATGGTAGTACTATGCTTGATGAGGACAGGAGGACAGTCATGACTCCACCAGCAAGTTCAATACCAAAGGAAAGAGGATTGACATCCAAGAGCAGCAAATCTTGAACGTTTTCAGATTTGTCTCCAGATAGGATGGCTGCCTGGACAGCTGCACCATAAGCAACAGCTTCATCAAGGTTGATGCTCTTATTCAGTTCTTTTCTATTGAAGATGTCTTGGAGAAGCTTCTGAATCTTGGGGATATGAGTATAACCACCAATAGAGACAATATCATGAATCTGTGACTTGTCTAGTTTGACATCTCGAATGGCTTTTTATACAGGGCCAAGGGTGCCATGGAACAGGTCAGCATTCAGTTCTTTAAATTGGGCACAGGCAATGGATGTACAGAAGTCAATTCATTCTTAGAGAGAATCGACCTCAATACTGGCCTGGGTCCTGGAAGAGAGAGTATGCTTAGTGTGTTCACAAGCAGTACAGAGGCGTCTTATAGCTCTCTTCTTCTCACTGATGTCTTTCTTATACTTATGCTTGAACTCAGCAATAAAATGGCTGACAATTCGGTTGTCAAAGTCTTCTTCACCCAAGTGGATGTCTCCAGATTTGACCTCAAAGATTCCATCCTGAATAATGAGGATTGACACATCAAAAGTGCCACCTCTCAGGTCAAAGATAAACACATTTCTTTCAGCTCCAACCTTTTTGTCTAAGCCGTAAGCAATATCAGCAGCACTTGGCTCATTGATAATTCTAAGTACATTGAGACCAGCAATAGTTCCAGCATCTTTGGTAGCCTGATGCTGAGAGTTATTAAAGTAAGCTGGCACTGTGACCACAGCATTGGTAACAGTCTTCCCAAGGTAGGCTTCTGCAATTTCCTTCATCTTTGTCAGGACCATAGAGGACACCTCCTCTGGATAGAAGATTTTGGTCTCTCCCTTGTATTCTACTTGGACCTTGGGCCTGTCAGTATCATTCACCATCATGAAGGGCCAATGCTTCATATCAGACTAGACAACAGCATCATCAAATCTGCATCCAATCAGATGTTTGGCATCAAAAACCGTGTTGGTGGGGTTCATTGCAGCTTGATTCTTTGCGGCATCACCAATCAATCATTCAGTGTTCATAAAGGTGACATAGCTTGGAGTGGTTCAGTTTCCCTGATCATTGGTAATTATCTCTACTTTTCCATGCTGGAAAACACCCACACAAGAGTATGCAGTGTCAAGATCAATACCAACTGCAGGTCCCTTCGACATGGTTGCTGGCGTGTAGGGCCGGCTCTGACTACAAAGAAAGACACAGAAACCTCCAGAACTGCGGGCGCATTCAATGAGCTATATTTACTTCTTGAAAGGGAAAATAGATGTAATTTAAAATTTCATAGCAAATACTATGGAACAAAAAAATGATGTCAAAAACACTATGATTAAAAACTCACTGATATGCTGACAAACATATTACCTCAACTATCATCTGCTGAATTAAAACAGCACCAAAGCGTAAGTAAAATGACAATGAATAAAATGACCAATAAATGTACTAATGCCCTTACAAGGGCTCCCTGTAGTACTTAGTAATGACAATTAAGAAGTATTGTGATTAGGTACTAAAAAGTTGATCTATTTCCATACTTTTTCTGAAGATTTTCCTGACTGCCCTTTTCTGCATTTATATTTCATCTACTTCTAGTCCAGTTAGTTTTATATTTATGTTCTAAGACATGCTTTAGTCTGAACAGTTCATAAGGTCTAAGAGGAAAATGACCTTTGAAGGCACTTTCTGGGATAATGTGTCAAAATTTCAGGCCACCAAATATTATTGAATGCCCATTCTGTGTTAAGCATTGCACTTGGCATTATGGAATACAGAGATGTGTACCAGGGCCCTAGCCTCCAAGAAAATGCTTCACTTTTAGAAATATATTTAAATAATTTAAAAGGGTTATATAGTGTAGAATTTTCTAACTTGGTGTGACTAGATAAAATATCTAATTTTCAACATCAGCTTTGAATAACTTGTGGAGAATTTTCTATTGGTATTTATTTATTCATTTATTAAGACAGAGTTTTGCTCTGTCACCCAGGCTGGAGTGCAGTGACACAATCTTGGCTCACTGCAAACTCCGCCTCCTGGGTTCAAGCGATTCCCCTTCCGCAGCCTCCCGAGTAGCTGGGATTACAGGCACGCACCACCACACCTGGCTAATTTTTGTATTTTTAGTAGAGACAGGGTTTCCCTGTGTTGGCCAGGCTGGTGTCAAACTCCTGACCTCAGGTGATCCACCTGCCTCGGCCTCCCAAAGTGCTGGGATTACAGGGTGGAGAGGTTTTTAAATTAGTATTGTCCAAATTCAGTGACTCTGACTAATGGTAGCTAATGGAAAGCTGAAATGTTCAGTTCCAACGAAAATCCTGAGGCAAATAGTGGTTTTGTTACATTCTTTAAGAGACAGAATGAATTCCTGTAGAAATGCATAATGCCTATATTTACATAACAGAAAATGTTTGGCAGAAAATAAAGTGCTGTCATTGTACGAGTTAGTATCTTTCTTTCTCTGAAGATATTTTTTAATAATGAAAGTAGAATGTACTGGAAGTGCCATGTCAGTTCATCTGTCAATAAACATAAAATACCATTAACTCAATGGTATTTTCCGAGGTGTTGTAGTGAAGTAGAACTTGAGTTTTGGTATCACATGAACATAAGTTTAAATCCCTACAATCTCACCTTTTTAAATGACCTCTTATTTCTAAATAAACATTTTCTCACCCACATTAGCAGGGAAATAGCATGGTATTGAGGGTTAGAGGTTAAGCTCATAAAGTATCTGGATTTTAGTACATGTGATATTTTAATTATTAACAAAATTATTCTTAGGAATTGATTTTATTAGAACATTATTTTAGAAGTGATCAGGCAAATTATATTGAAGTTCACATGGTAGAAACTTCTGAGAATCTGTCCTAGTTGAGTGGTAATACAGTAGGATGAGATAAAGCAATGAGGAAAAAAAGGAGAAAATCAGCCTTTTCCAAAAAAAAACAGGCAAAAACTGCAATATCACATAAGTCAGCTTACAAATGGAAGTGCCTTCCAGACCACAGTACAGTATTGGATTAGTGTTTTTGTATGCTACATATATGTCTTAGTGAAGACAGAAATGATTATACACAATTCATTTCCCATTTTTCATGTAAAAAAAAAGTTTACGTCTGCCATTATATTATAGAAACAGAGCTATCTAGATAAAGCCTCATCTGTAAGAGATAATGTCTGACCTTCAGGACACAGATGGAGGGCTGTGCTATTGGGCCAGGAAAATTTGCTATTCCAAGTCAGCAATAGAAAACATTAAGTTCCTGGCTAGTAGTCCAGTTCCCATTTTAATTCTCTTTACTATCTTTTTGAACTCTTCATAAACAAAAGAAATGAAGAATAAATATATATAGGGCCAAGTGATTAAACAGAATTAAAAGTTCCGTATATAAATCTTATGTTCTTAATTATAGACTGACTAGGCTCCCCAGGATTCCATTTTAGAAGATATTTGGCAAAACATCAAATTGCCACTTGGTGCAACATCATTTTTTAATTTTCTTTAATTGTCTAGACCTGAATTTAGCTCAGTACAGTAGATATCAGGACAGTGGAAGCGCAGGCAGTTAAAGTTTGTCATCTTGGGGGGAGGCTGCAGCTGATATCTTAAATATTTGACATATTCATAATATCTTTTGAATATATCTCTGAACAACCTTGTAAAGTGAATAAAATAGGCAATTTTCTCAAATTTTAGACAGGAAAACTAGATTTTGAAATTACAGATAGTATGTGGCAGAACAGGTACTAAAAGAAGACTTCTTTCCCCCTTACCTACAACCATTACAACCACAGAATATGTTTTCTCTTGTGTCTTTCAGAGTGTACCTGTTAACAGTACTGATGTTTTCCATATAGGTTGGTGCAAAAGTCATTGCAGTTTTTGCAGTTACTTTTAATGACAAAAGCTGCACCTCCAATGCAGCTTTTTATTCTAAGTAAAAATCCTTCCAACTCAAGCAGGGTAACTCTTTCACATGGACATTAGGGTCTTGAGCACATTCAGACTCAACATTGCCAGTACTCTGGAAGGCCACAGGGATATTTTCGTAGTCAGGTACTAGCAGCTATCTCAAACAACAAGCCTATACTTGGATTACAACATCTCTTCAGCTCAGATTCTTGTTATCTTTTGTTGCATGTCAACTTATTTGTAGGAGGATTGGAGACATTGGGTACAAGAAGATACTTTGTAAGTTTATGAATGAATTCTGCTCTATGTAAGATGATAGACTAGGTTTTTGGAGGTAACACTATCAAACAAGTATATTGGATGTATATGTATATGTGTGTGTGTGTGTGTGTGCATATGTGTATATGTGTGTATATACTGTCAGCCTTTTGCATCTGGAAGTTCAACCAACCATAGATCAAAAATATTTTAAAAACAACGAAACTAACAAAACAATGATAAAAAATAATACAAATAAAAACAATACAATATAACAAGTATTCACATAAGATTTACATTGTATTAGGTATTATAAGTAATCTAGAGATGATTTAAAGTATACAAGAGGACGTGCATCAGTTATATGCAAATATTATGTTATTTTATGTAAGGGACTAAAGCATTTGCAGATTTTGGTATCTACGGGTGTCCTGGAACCAATCCCTCATGAATACCGGGAAACAACTGCGTGTATGTATATACACTCACACACATAGGTATGTATGCATGTATGAAAGTATCAAAGAGCTCACATGAGAGTAAGGAATTAGAGAGTAAAATCTATATGAAGGATGGAACCCAGATGTGGGCAGCTCAGGACTGAGCAGCTATTGTCTTGTGGAAATTTGCTTAACAAGGGAATTTTTAAGTATGCAGACAAGGATTCAAATAGAAGGTTATCCTCCTTTAAGCTGACACCCTAAAGAGCTATACCATAAGTATAAGGATAAAACAGAGGTAAACATGAACCACAACCTCACCCTTAGGGTCTGCAAGAAAAGGTGCCTTAGAATTGAGGGGAGGAGTAAACCTGTCCCTGATCATTTTAAACCACAAGCCAGAACTCACAGTGATTTGTCATCCAGATTCATATCAACTGGGTTGTCCAGAAATCTCAAGCTATAAATTTTGTTGATAATAATTTTGGAATGTATGCCCCTAAAGGTCTCAAAGAAGCAAATGCAAATATTCTCTGAAAAGCAACCCCATTCTAAAAATAATTTTCCAAAGAGAATAAGTAGCTCCTTGGGAAACAGCAACAATTAGGCACGCACAAGTTCAAAGTACCACTGGTAAGAGGCAGAAAAACAACAAATATAATAAATATACCTGAAAAACTTCAGGCATTGTATCATCAGACATTATTGCTATCAATAAAGAAAAAAACTATAAGATGAAAAATTTCTACAGGGAACAACAACATCTGTTGTTCTGCTTTTAATTTTTAGAAGATCCACTTTGTTCTTTTTCAGATAATCCAGGCCATTTTTATAGTAATTTGTAGAGTAAATTAAGAGCAGTTTAGGCAAAGCTGAAGAGAGAATTCATAAACAGAAAATTATCAGAAGAAAGTGTCAAAAATGCAAAAGAGAGGGAGATGTTGAAAACATAAGAGAGGTTAAGAAATATGTAACATAGGCTGGGTTCAGTGGCTCATACTTGTATTCTCAGCATGTTGGAAGGCTGAGGTGGGAGGATCACTTGAGGCTACGATTTTGTGACCAGCCCGGATAACATAACAAGACGCTGACTCTACAAAAAAATTAAAAAATAAAAAAATTAGCCTGGTGTGGTGGTGTGTGCCTGTAGTCCTACCTACTTGAGAGGCTGAAGTGGGAGGATCCGTTCAGCCCAGGAGTTCAAGGTTACAGTGAGCTCTGATTGCATTTCTGCACTCTAGCCTGGATGGCAGAGCAAGACCCCAATCTCTCTCTCTCTCTCTTTTTTTTTTGAGACAAAATCTCACTCTTTCGCCCACTTTGGAGTGCAGTGGCGTGATCACAGCCCACTGCAGCCTTGATGTCCTCGGCTCAAGTAATCCTCCTGCCCCAGCCTCCTGAGTAGCTGGGACTATGAGTGTATACCACCACACCCAGTTAATTTTTAAATTTTTTGTAGAGATAGTATCTCGCTATGTTGCCCAGGCTGGTCTTAAACTCCTGAGCTCAAGTGATCCTCCCGCCTCAGCCTCTGAAAGTGCTGAGATTACAAGCGTGAGCCACCACATCCCAGTCAACCCCGCCGTCTAAAAAAAAAAAAAAGTAACATACAGTGAGAAGTAACCAAATGTCTAATTGGGATTGAATAGGAACAGAGAAAGAGATTGGGTTAGAGGCAGTATTTGGAAACAATATAGTTAGAATTTTCTGGAGATAATCAAAGACATCAAAGACTTAAGAAGACCAATGATTACCCAAGCAAAACAGATAAAAATAAATCTACACCTAGATATGTCACAGTGGAACTGCAGATAACCAAAGACAAAATTAAATCACAAAAGCAGTCTGACAAAAATGCATATTACTCAAAGGGAACTATTAAACTAATAGCTGACTTCTCCAAAAAAAAAAAAAAAAGCCAAAATAATATATTCAATATGTTAAATGAAAATAACTGCCAAGTTAAAATTCTGTATTTAGTGAAGTTATACAAGCATGGGTGTAAAATAAATACAGATGAAAACAGAGGAACTTTCTAACCAGTAATTCCTGTTTCAGGAATTTGAAAAGGAAGTATTTCAGTAAAAAGGAAAGTGAATCTAGATAGAAGGTCTGAGGAGCAAAAAAGAATGAAGAGCCAAGTAAATGATGAATGTGTGAATAATTCTAATGAAATATTGACTTATAAAACAAAATTAATAATATTCTGGGTGGGCATGGTGGCTCATGTCTGAAATCCCAACACTTTGGGAGGCCAACGTGGGAGGAATGCCTTAGCCCAAGAGTTTGAGACTAGCCTGGGCAACATAGGAAGACCCTGTCTCCACAAAAAAATTAAAAGATTAGCTGGGCATGGTGATGCACACCTGTGGTCCCAACTACTTGGGAAGCTGATGTGGGAGGATTGCTTGACCCCACAAGATCAAGGATGTAGTGAGCTGTGATTGCACCAACGCACTCCAGCTTGGGTGACAGAGTGAGACCCTGTATAAAAAAAAAAGGTGTCAAAATAGTGTCGTAAGTGAGTACATATTTTAAGAAGATAAAATACAAGGCAAGAATAACATAATTCAAAGTTGAATTTAAATGTTCTAAATTCATTGTATTGTCCAAGAGGAAAGACACTTATTAACTTCAGACTTTATGAAACACACACACACACAAACACACATTAATTTAATTTATAAAATAACCAGTAAAAGAAAAGGAAAAATGTGTACAACTTTGAAAGAGAGGCAGACAGAAAAACTGAGATGTTAAAAAAGGATTAATATAAAAAGGGTAAGAAAGGAAAGGAAACAAAAAATTAGCAGAATAAGTAGACTGCATTAAATAAAAGAGTAGCTATAAACCCAATGATATCAGTATTTACATTAAATGTAAATGGTCTAAAATTTCAGGAAAAAGTTTTCAGACTGGGTTAAAATAACAAAATAAAATAAACATAATAACAAGACAAAATGAAATAAGACAAAATAAAAATGAAATCTAAATCTACACCATCTATTATAAATACGTTTAAAGCATAGGATACAGAAATTTTGACATTAAAAAGACAGCAAAATACACCATATAATTAGTAACTGAAAGAAAGATGGTATAGCTACTGAAATAGATAAAATAGCTAAGAGAGTAAAAGAACATTACTGGAGACGTAGCTGTTAACTTCATAGTTATACAAAGTTCTATTCATCAGGAAGATACAGCAATTTGAAACGTGTATTTATGCAATAGCATGATTACCAAATATATAAAGTAAAAACTGACAGGAATATGAAAACAAATAGATAATTTCACTAATTGATAGAACAAGCTGGAAAAAAAATCTAAGTTTATAAAATATTTGAAAAACATGACTGACAAAAGTGAAATGACTATATAATATTCTGCACCCAAATGTAGAATACAAATTATTTTCATGCATACAGGGAACATTGACAAAAGTTGACTATTTACTAGGCCACTGAGAAAGTTTCAATAAAATTAATGAAATTTAATTCATACAAACACTGTTCTCTGACCGTAAACATATAAGTTAAAATCATATATAAAATGACAACTAGAAAATTAGCAAGTATTTGGAAATTACTAAACATTTTGAAATAATCCATGAATCAAAAATCATATTGAAAATTAGAAAAATTTAAAAAACTGAACTATAACAAAATACTAGATATCAAAACTTGCCAGATGAATCTAAAGCAGTGTTTAAAGCAAAATTATCAGGCTTAAATGCATACATTGTCAAGAATAAGGCTGAAAATTAATGAGCAAAGCATACCCTCAAAAATTAGGAATTGCAGACTAAATTAAACCTAAGGAAAATAGAATGGAGACAATGATAAAGACATGAGCAGAAATTAATTAAATAAAAACAAAACTGTATCAAATCAAACCAAACATTGGTTCTCTGAAAAAAAAAAAAAGACAGACAAACCACTGACTAGATTGATTAATAGAGAAAAAAAAAAGAAAGAGAAGGCAAAAACAGTGAATATCAGGAATTGAAACAAAAGGATATCACTGAAAATGCTACATAAATTAACATAACAAAAGGATATTATAAATGATTTTATGCCCAAAATTGAAAAGTTAGAAATATGTACAAATATCTAGACAAACATAACTTGACAATACTGGCAGTCGTAGCTTGTGAGGTCTTTCCAAGGAAATTACCACACATTCGTGGCTTAAAACAACAGAAATGTATTCTCTCACAGTCTGGAGGCCAAAAGTCCAAAATCTAGGTTGGTTCTTTCTGGAGTGTCTAAAGGAAAAATCATCCTAGCTTGTGGTAGTTGCCGGCAATCCTTGACGGTCCTTGGCTTGCAGATGCATTACTTCAGTCTCTGCCTCCGTCTTCACATGGCCTTCTTCTTGTACATCTCCTGCTTGCTTAAGTTGCCTTCCTTTTTTTTTTTCTCGCTCTGTCGCCCAGGGTGGAGTGCAGTGGCGCGATCTCAGCTCACTGCAAGCTCCGCCTCCCGGGTTCACGCCATTCTCCTACCTCAGCCTCCCGAGTATCTGGGACTACAGGCGCCCGCCACCGCGCCCGGCTAATTTTTTGTATTTTTAGTAGAGACGGGGTTTCACCGCGTTAGCCAGGATGATCTCGATCTCCTGAACTCGTGATCCGCCCGCCTCGGCCTCCCAAAGTGCTGGGATTACAGGCGTGAGCCACCACGCCTGGCCACCTTCTTCTTATAAGGAGACTAGTCATATTGGATTTTGAGCCCAACATAATCCAATATGACTTATCTTAAGTAATTATATCTGCAAAGACTGTATTTACCAATAAGGTCACATTTTGAGGTTCTAGATGGACATGAATTTGAAGGGACACTATTCAACTGAGAACACTGACTTAATGGGTCACAGAAAATGTTAATGCTTTTATAATCATTAAAAGAACCAAATTTCTTTCCACTATGGCAATTCCAGAAGTAGATGGCTTTATGTGGCTGGAGAGTTCCACAAAACATTAAGGAACCAAAAATGTCCAATCTTATATAAAGCATTACAAAGAAATGAAAGCAAAATGTCACTCCCAATTTTATGAATATAGAATAACCTTGATATTAGTGAGAAAAAAATACAAGAGTAGCTCAGTTATCAACATACATGCAAAAAATCCTTAAAGAATTAGAAAATTGGTCTCAAAAAATTAGAAAATTGAAGGAAGCGACTTATGAAAAGAAAAATACATTATTACCACATTAGGTTTATCTTAGGAATGCAAAGTTGATTTAACATTAGAAAATCAATTAGTGTATTTACAGCTTTAACAGATTAGATTTGCAGATTGATATGGAGAGAATGGACTTTTCCATAAGTGGCTCTGGAAACACAGGGTATCAATATGGAAAAAAAATCAGGCCACTCCCTCATACTATACCCCAAATAAATTAGAGTTGCATTATAGACCTAAATATAAAGTACAAAACTATGAGGATTTCAGAAAATGATATAGGAGAATATTTACATGATCTTGCAGTAAATGAAGGATTTCAGAAAGCAGCAATTTAAAGAAGCAATAAATCTGACTACATTAAAATACAGAACTTTGGTTCATCAGAAAACACCCTGCAGTGAATTTTTATGGAAATTATACTTCAATAAAAGATGGGGAAAATTCAAAAACTGTATGACACCTGGCAGGGTCAAAAAACAAGCCACAGAGGTGGCAAACATATTTGTAATACAAGTACCCAGAATAAGAGTAGTAACCAGAGCATATAAAAAACATTGATAAATTAATAAGAAAATAGCAAACAATGCAATTTGAGAAAAGGACAAAGGATTTCAAGGGGCACTTCACAAAAGAAATGCAAGTGGACAATTAATATTTGTAAAGATGCTCAAACTTAGTAATCAGGGAAATTAAAATCGCAATTAAATGCCAGTTAGTAGTCACCAGACTGGCAAAAATTAAAAGTGTGACAATACTTATGTTGGCAGGCATATGGAGCCATAGGAACTCTTATATACTTCTTGTGGAAATGTAAATTGATACAAACTATACTAAAAAGCAATTTAGCATTATATAGCAGTAGAAAAGTGTGAACCCCATGATCCAGAAATTCCATGCTTAGGTGTATAGCCTACAGAAAGGGTTACACATGAGCACCAAGATCCATATAAAAGAATTATTTGTAGCAGTATTGCTAGTAATTATCCCAAGCTGAAACAACTTCTACATTGTAAAAGCAGCAGCAAAAAATACTGAAATTTATGCCTTTAGTAATACAATCAAGTATTGTGCAGGTGAAGAAGCTGAGGTGCAAAGAAATGCAAATGTTTACCCCAAATCACAATAATTAAGTGACAGAGGTAACCACTTAATTGTGGCTGCAAGCAATCTAACACCAAACCTTTAGCTATTATATTACACTCTGCTGCCTCTCATGAATTTGTTATGGGTGGAAAGGAATAAAATTAGGTTGAGGTATATGAAATTGATATTTTTGAAGGTTAGGGAGTTGAATATTAGCAATTTGATATGACTCAGACTAATAGTTTAAAAGTTCTGAGCCCAATTGGCCTGAAATCACATAGTCCAGTGTAACAGCCTACTTCTCCTTAGGGGTCTCAGTTTCTAAGTTGTGTTTTATTAGTTTAAAAAAAGGTGGGATTTTTGTTTTTTTGTTTTTGTTTTTGGGTGTTTTTTGTTTTGTTTTGTTTTGTTTTTTGCTTTTTTCCCCTAAAAGCCATCATTGCTAAGTATTCTGGTTGATTCTTTCTCCTGGTTTTCATTTTATTAAGTGGCTGTGGCACAAAACACAGGCGACTGAAGTGAAAGCAATTACAATTTTCGACATCTGCCAAGAAATATAGTCTTTGGCATGCATTTGTACTAGTCACCCACTTTTGGGCAACAGAGAGTCTTTCCAAATTCAAAGACCCAGACGAATCTTTTTCTGGACCGCATTATATCCTGAATAAGAAGGAGCCATCTGTCCTTGGGCCTGGTTCCCCAGAGGACTATATACAACACAAATCCACCAATAAAATTGAAAGAGCCTTCCAAGATGTTACAGAAGCCAATTGTTGTAGTACACATTGCATCAGTTTGCATGCAATAACACATTGCATCAATTTTCATGCAGAAAAATATCTACCAGAACTGTATTTTAAGGTTTTAAGAAGGCAGTAGAACACAGAGGAGTATGAAAAGCAGGTCACGAAAAATTGGGTTCCAGAAAATATTTATGATTTCACAAGTCAGAAATCTGTTGGGTATGGAAAAAATGAACTGAAAGTTTATAAATGCTCGAGAGACCTCATCTTGAATACAGGAGATTGAATTAAATAGCTTAGAAAAGGAAAAATATAAAACGGCCATTCAGTTTTGCCCTAAATGGTTCTAATGGTTGAAAGCCAGGGTTTTCTTTTCATGCAGAAATAAAGACATCAAAACTAAATTAGAAGTCTTCAAAATAGGCCAGGCGCGGTGGCTCACGCCTGTAATCCCAGCACTGTGGGAGGCCGAGGCAGGCGGATCACGAGGTCAGGAGATCGAGACCATCCTGGCTAACACGGTGAAACCCCATCTCTACTAAAAATACAAAAAATTAGCCAGGCGTGGTGGCAGGCGCCTGTAGTCCCAGCTACTCGGGAGGCTGAGGCAAGAGAATGGCGTGAACCCGGGAGGCAGAGCTTGCAGTGGGCCAAGATGGTGCCACTGCACTCCAGCCTGGGCAACAGAGCGAGACTCTGTCTCAAAAAAAAAAAAAAAAAAAGAAATCCTAAAAAAATTCCCTGGAATAATGGGGAAATTAATTTTTTGATACATTTTGAGTTCAGATAAGGGTTTGAAGAATGAGAAAATCCTGTTAAAGTTCAGGGATAAGTCCTGTTGTTGTTTTTTTACCCAATAGTATTAATTAAACTAAGAGAAAACTAAGTAATTTCCTGTTCCTACCCCTGCATTTCCTCTCTTCTATCTCCGGACCAACTACAGATTTAGACTAACCATATACAGTTTGGGTTCTAATAACGTTTTTACCCTTCATGAGTTCATGAGTATGGATTCTTTTTTATTTTTATTTTTTGAGATGGAGTTTCATCCTTGTTGCCCAGGCTGGAGTGCAATGGCGCCTTCTCGACTCACTGCAACCTCTGCTTCCCGGGTTCAAGCAATTCTCCTGCCTCAGCCTCCCAGGTAGCTGGGATTAGAGGTGTCCATCAGCTGCCCAGCTAAATTTTTTGTATTTTTAGTCGAGATGGGATTTCACTATGTTGGCCAGGCTGGTCTCGAACTCCTGACCTCAAGTGATCCACCTGCCTCGGCCTCCCAAAGTGATGGGATTACAGGGGTGAGCCACCTCACCTGGCCCCATGAGTATGGATTCTAATAACATTTTTACCCTTAATGAATATAATCTTCCCAATTCAGATGAAATGAGGTATAGATACAAGCAAAGTCAGGGACATTTTTTTCAGACAGTATCTTGCTCTGTTGTCCAAGATGGAGTGCTATGGCATAATCACGGCTCACTGCAGCCTCAATTTCCCAGGGTTCAAGTGATCCTCCCACCTCAGACTCCTGGGTAGCTGGGACTACAGGCATATGCCACCATGCCGAGCTAATTTTTGTATTTTTTGTAGAGATGGGGTTTTGCCATGTTGCTCAGGCTGGTCTCAAACTCACAGGGTCAAGCAATCTGCCTGTGTCAGCCTCCCAAAGTGTTGGGATTACAGGCATGAGGCACCATGCCCAGTGGGATATTTTTGGAAAATATTGTCAATATATCTCATATTCAAATTTTCATCTTCCTACTTTAACTTAAGTTTGGCATGAAATGACTTTATTAATGTCAGTCTTTTCAAAGTAAACTGAAAGAACTATTCGAAAAATTACAGTTCTCAAGAAAGCTGAGGCCTCCTCCTTAGTGACATTATCTCAAGAAGAAAATTATTTGCTTCACACTTTTGGCGCAGGGATAATTCTATAGGAAAGAATTTGCAACAGTTTAATTACCCTTTTGTGATAATTTAAAAAGAAGACTACTTGAGATTTTAGCTGTGCCACAGAATGCCAAATATTTTAGTGTAGGTCTTGTTTTGTTACTATGTAAGAGATTTAAGATTAATGTTTTATCATACTTTACACTTACAAGGAACGGAATATCCTCGTGCTTCTCACTGACTGCAGGCATACACCCTATAAAATGTTGAGGCAGATATTCCCAGGGCTTCAATTTCTCATTGGAATTTAAAGCTTTCGAAAGTGTCATTAATTCTTTCTCAGTTGATTCCTGCAGGGAGGCTGATCTGTTCCAGGCCTTTCTCAGAAAGAAAGAAAATAATTAACTAATTAACAATAATTAGAAGTGATCTTGATTGTTAAGATTTAAAAAAATGTTAACGACCTCTGAAAATTAAAAAAAAAGGGCTTTGAGCTTAGAACATAGAGACCATAGAGGTCACAAAAGGAATTATTGCTAGCATACCCACAACTAAGGTCAATATTGATAAGAAGGATAAGAAGTTTGTGTCTTATCCAAGGACTCTCATAAACTCATGATTCCTCATCTTTAAAATGGGGATGATCATAGTATGTGCCTCACTTGATATGCGGACTAAGGCACCTTAGGTATGGGATATAAGGAATCGTGTATGAGGACAAAGCACCTGTAACAGTGCCTGGCACATAGTAAGCAACATGTAAGTATTGCCTACTATTATTGTAAAATAATATGTTTAGCATTCTAAGAATTTTGTTTTATTTCCTATCAAGTTTTTATATTTATGTGCAGGTACTTAAAGTGTCTTTTGAACAATATGCTGAGTTAGGTTTGCACTTCTAAGCGTTTATATTTTGGTTACATTTTGCATAAAATAAATTGTTTATTCTGAGATAGACTATAAGTGGTTGAGTAGTTTGTGAGAGATATTATTGCATTGTTTTTGTTATTCAGTCATATTAGAACCTAAAAATATCTGTATGGTACATGGAGTTAGATGTCTGTCCTCTTTTTACAGATCTCTAGGGACAAGATCCCATCCCACTCTTCTTTTTCAGGATAATCAAAAACCTTATGGTATTCAAGAAGTTCCACAATAGTTTAAATGTGAATATTCAGTTCTATGTCCTTCCAAATCCTTACTCCTACTCATTTTATTGCATTTATAATGAGTTTTAAATGCAATTTCTTCCCTGTTATATGCATATGTTTGAAGGAAATAAAGTTTAAAAATACCATTACAGTGAAATGTTTTACAAAATCAAAAAGATTCCTAATCCCAGCCAATTAACCACTTAGGTTAGGTAATATTGAAGTTGACCCACCTCATTACAGCAAAAATAATTTTCTACTTTATGGGAATTCATTGTAATAGGATGTTTGATAGATAAATAGACTTTCATTCTATTTGTAAAAATTAATTTTAGAAGTTTAAAAATAAGCACTTAAACCAATGTACATGTCTATTAGAGGCATAGCGTAGAAAATGAATACCCCTTTTCTTTCTCTCATTTAGAAAATAGCACTGCTTAACTTCCAACAATATATTAAATAGATTATGACATTTTGTTTCATCTGCACTTAATGAATTACATGAAGATTTAATCACAAAAAAGAGTATTTTGCCCATTTCTTCTTATTCACAAGTTTTATTATGGAAAAAATATAACTATTCTTTACGCTCAAGATTATTTAGTTCATCACTGGAACATTTGGAATTTTTAAAATAAGCAAATGAGAGGTTGCAATGAGCTGAAATCACATCACTGCATTCCAGCCTGGGCGGCCAGGGGAGACCCTGTCTCCAAAAAAAAAAAAGAAAAGCAAACAAAATGTTTCATATATTCTTCTAGCAGTATCAAAGAAAAGAAATTGCCAAGATCCTTTTAAATTCTGAATAAATATGGCTTTCTGACCATGCCAATTAATAGCGCCATGAGCGCATCAACCAAACCCATAAATGGGCTTACATAATACATAATAATAATTCAATCATATTATAGAATTGATCATAAGATTTGCAGAAAAATTAAATGGACCAACACATTTATCATGTTCTGGTACGTTAATCTGAATGTGCTTATGAATATTCAGATACAAACATATAAATGAGTATAGGAATGCATACTTACATAAAACATGTACACCAACACATCAAAATTGACAAAGCAGTCTATGCAAATTTTCTTAGTCGGTCTTTAATCCACAGGAAATGAAACTATTATTACTTTAAGAAGAGATAATCCATTGCATTGGTATGAGGGAGAGGGAGGGTATGGGGTAGAAGAAAGAAGTGAATTCTTCCTCTCTTCTCAGAAAACACTGGAAAATTTCCTCCCACTCCCAAGTTTATAACTATTTAATTCAAAACTATAAGCAGGAAAATGGAATAGCTTGAGCCAAATTTTCTTCAATATTTGCCAATTAGAGATCAGAAGTTCATTCATTCATTCATTCATTCAGATACTGAGTATATATACTAGGTGCTGGGTTTACAGTGATAAACAAAAAGCATAGTACTTACCTTAAAGGAAATTGAAATCTTGTAGAGAACCACAGACAATAAACACACAGACACACACACACACACGCACACACACAAAAAGAACTATTATCTAATGTTTTAATTAAATAATTATAAAATGGCTAAGGAATTTGGTAAATTTGAGTTTACTAGTCCGTATTTCCCATACGTAAACTTGATGCGTGATCTTTAGATGGCCATTTTCATTCATTGTAGTCACAATTCTTAGAACATGACCATGTGCATCAGAATTTCTTGATTTTTGGATCAGCATTCAAAACTCACTGTTCCGTGTGATCTTTCTTTTAGAAAGACAAATTCTACTACTAAGCCCCAAGGTCTATCCATTATTGTCCAGACAAATAATACTTTTCCATTTTTGGTTTTATTTTTATTTTAATTTTTTTATTTTACTTTAAGTTCTGGATACATGTGCAGAACGTGCAAGTTTGTTACATAGGTAAATGTGTGTCATGGTAGTTTGCTGCACCTATCAACCTGTCACCTAGGTATTAAGCACCACATGCATCAGCTATTTGTCCTGATGTTCTCCCTCCCCTCACCCACACCAACAGACCCTAGTGTGTGTTGTTCCCTTCACTGTGGCCATGTGTTCTCGTTGTTCAGCTCCCACTTATGAGTGAAAACGAGGTGTTTGGTTTTCTGTTCCTGTGTTAGTTTGCTGAGGATGATGACTTCCAGCTTCATCCATGTCCCTGCAAAGGACATGATCTCATTCCTTTTTTTGGCTGCATAGTATTCCATGGTATATATGTACCACATTTTCTTTATCCACTCAATCATTGATGGGCATTTGGGTTGATCTCATGTCTTTGGTATTGTGAATAGTGCTGCAATAAACATACGTGTGCATGTATTTTTATAATAGAATGATTTATATTCCCTTGGGTATACCCAGTAGTGGAATTGCTGGGTCAAATGGTATTTCTGGTTCTAGATCCTTGAGGAATTGCCACACTATCTTCCACAATGGTTGAACTAATTTCATTCCCACCAACAGTGTAAAAGCATTCCTATTTCTCCACAACCTCACCAGCATCTACTGTTTCTTAACTTTTTAATCATCACTATTCTGACTGGTGTGAGATGGTATCTCATTGCGGTTTTGATTTGCATTCCTCTAATGATCAGTGATGTTGAGCTTTTATTCATATGTTTGTTGTCTGCATAAATATCTTCTTTTGAGAAGTGTCTGTTCATATCCTTTGCCCCATTTTTGATGGGGTTGTTTGTTTTTCACTTGTTCATTTAAGTTCCTTTTAAATGCTAGATATTAGACATATGTCAGATGGGTAGATTGCAGAAATTTTCTCCCATTCTGTAGGTGGCGTGTTCAGTCTGATGATAGGATTTGTGTGTGTGTGCTGTGCAGGAGCTCTTTAGTTTAATTGGATCCCATTTTTCAATTTTTGCTTTTGTTGCAGTTGCTTTTGGTGAATTCATCATAAAATTTTTGCCCATGCCTACAGACATATAATACTTTTCTAAAGATCATCTTGTTATTGTTTTCATCATGATCCCATACATTAATATATTTATCTCAGCCAGTCTAGAAGACAGAGTGAGATTTTGCACCATCTTTAAAAAAAATTATTTAAGAGTGAGGCTCCTTGGAGGACATTGACGTGTTACTGATCTAATCTCTATACTTTCAGTTATTTGAAGCTATGCATCACTGTCTTCTTTTTGTTTCTTGGACATAGGACAATTAACTTTTCATAGGAAATGTTCCTAGATCAATTAATAGTCTTCAAATAGTTTTCAAATCAAATAGTCCTCAAAGAATAATCTTTTCATTACATTTATTAGCTGTATTATCCTATTCCCACCCTCCTTTAATGGGAGATTATTATGGATTTTCATACTTATCTTTCTCTTTCATTCATAGGGAGTACGGGATTGAAAGTCAGGAGATCTGGTATCTAGATCTGGCTCTATTATTGAATAATGCATAAACACAGAAAAATCAGTAAACAACACCTTAGGCTTTTTTTTTTATTTATTCATCCATCCATCCATCCATCCATTAATTCAGCCAATATATATTAAGCACTTACTACTTTGTATTATACACTCTTCTAATCATTGCAGCTAGAGTGGTGAATATAAACAGACATAAAGCTTATATTCATGGGAGAAGAGAGACAATAAATAAAATAAAGGAGTCAGTATAGAGTAAGTTAGATGTTAGTGAGTGCTATGAAAAAAAATAAAATGGTGAGAATAGCGAGTATCAGAGAGAGAGAGAGAAGTATGTACAGTGTTTTGTTAGTGATGCCTGTACAAGATCACTTGATCATGATCAGTGATTTTAGTATTTGATTAGTGTTTGTGACAACTTTAAAAGTCTATGCTTTACTGTTTCCTGCCTCAATCAGAAAATAACATGAAAATAGCAAAAGCTTAAGGAAGACTCACTAATATTTCAAACCCCAAAATTATATAACCAAAATGCCTGCACCTTATTTCTAGATGTGTTCTTTGTTGCTTGTGTAAAAGGCAGGCAATAATAAACACCTATTATGCTTGTTTTTGCTAATTTATGGCTACCTCTTTTAAGCAGCAGAATACAATCTGGTAATATTCTAAGGATGTGTTCTTCTTCAATTTACTGCTGAGTTTAGCCACATGTCTTTTTTTATTTTATTATTATTATACTTTAAGTTTTAGGGTACATGTGCACAACATGCAGGTTAGTTACATATGTATACATGTGCCATGTTGTTGTGCTGCACCCATTAACTCATCATTTAGCATTAGGTATATCTCCTAATGCTATCCCTCCCCCCTCCCCCCACCCCACAACAGTCCCTGGTGTGTGATATTCTCCTTCCTGTGTCCATGTGTTCTCGTTGTTCAATTCCCACCTATGAGTGAGAACATGCAGTGTTTGGTTTTCTGTCCTTGCAATACTTTGCTCAGAATGATGGTTTCCAGTTTCATCCATGTCCCTACGAAGGACATGAACTCATCATTTTTTATGGCTGCATAGTATTCCATGGTGTATATGTGCCACATTTTCTTAATCCAGTCTATCATTGTTGGACATTTAGGTTGGTTCCAAGTCTTTGCTATTGTGAATAGTGCCACAATAAACAAACGTGTGCATGTGTCTTTATAGCAGCATGATTTATAGTCCTTTGGGTATATACCCAGTAATGGGATGGCTGGGTCAAATGGTATTTCTAGTTCTGGATCCCTGAGGAATCGCCACACTGACTTCCACAATGGTTGAACTAGTTTACAGTCCCACCAACAGTGTAAAAGTGTTCCTATTTCTCCACATCCTCTCCAGCACCTGTTGTTTCCTGACTTTTTAATGATTGCCATTCTAACTGGTGTGAAATGGTATCTCATTGTGGTTTTGATTTGCATTTCTCTGATGGCCAGTGATGATGAGCATTTTTTCATGTGTCTTTTGGCTGCATAAATGTCTTCTTTTGTGAAGTGTCTGTTCATATCCTTTGCCCACTTTTTGATGGGGTTGTTTGTTTTTTTCTTGTAAATTTGTAGATTCTGGATATTAGCCCTTTGTCAGATGAGCAGGTTGCAAAAATTTTCTCCCATTCTGTAGGTTGCCTGTTCACTCTGATGGTAGTTTCTTTTGCTGTGCAGAAGCTCTTTAGTTTAATTAGATCCCATTTGTCAATTTTGGCTTTTGTTGCCATTGCTTTTGGTGTTTTAGACATGAAGTCCTTGCCCATGCCTATGTCCTGAATGGTATTACCTAGGTTTTCTTCTAGGGTTTCTATGGTTTTAGGTCTAACATTTAAGTCTTTAATCTATCTTGAATTAATTTTTGTATAAGGTGTAAGGAAGGGATCCAGTTTCAGCTTTCTACATATGGCTAGCCAGTTTTCCCAGCACCATTTATTAAATAAGGAATCCTTTCCCCATTTCTTGTTTTTGTCAGGTTTATCAAAGATCAGATAGTTGTAAATATGTGGCATTATTTCTGAGGGCTCTGTTCTGTTCCATTGGTCTATATCTCTGTTTTGGTACCAGTACCATGCTGTTTTGGTGACTGTAGCCTTGTAGTATAGTTTGAAGTCATGTAGCGTGAGTTTAGCCACATTTCTTTGAAATGTAAGAGGCTATCCTGGATCTACGTCAAACAGACCAACTCACCACAAATCAAAGATCTATGTTCCAGACTGGAAGGATTTTTCTCATATTTGTTGTGCTGACAGAGAGCTGTTGTTTCTCAGCTAAGAATACTGGGTGTTGGGATTGAAGGAACATAATACCTTAGAGCTAATGTTGTTGCTGTTGTTTTCCCTTGAGTTTTCTTCTTAAGATATATAGCATATATAGATATAGAGATAAACTTGGATACCTTCCTGCCAAGATCTTAGGATACTTATTTACAAAGAGAGAATTTTCGGGAATGGCCTAAGTAGCTGCAAACATCTGAGAGATGCAATGAATGCTAGAGGTGTGATTTGCTAATTATTGCCACTTTTGAAATTCTAATTCACATAAAGATTAAGTGTTGGGTATAGGAAAACCGCAGAAAACTTCTTGGATTTGTAGAAGTGTCTGTAAAGTCTGATTCAAACAACTCAGGACAAATAAAAACTAAAAATAAATTTGCAGAAGCTCAGGATTGGGTATTTTACATGTATAATCTCTGTAGCACATAACCTGGCAGTGTGAATTCCGTTTTGGACAGGTAAGGCTGTTAAATGCAGCAGAGGTCGCTGAAAGGATCTGCATTTGACACTTTGGAGATGGATATGCATGGATTCTGATCCTAATTCCTGTTACTTAATGTCTATATTACTTTAATCAGTTCTTAAACTTATCTGAACCTCACCTTCTAAAACATCTATAAACTGCAGAGGAGGCAAACTGCATTTAGTTATGAATAGCAGGCACCACATGCTCCACACCACAGGGCCATCTAATAAATTTCTCAGATATAAATACAATTGTTTTCTTTCATTTGGCTCCTTGTGATGTCAAAGGGCTCCCATTCAGACAACAGATCTCTCTTCTCTTTGTCTTCCTAAGACCTGATCTTCTTGACTCAGTACCTTCTGTGCCTCACTTTCCACTACCCAGTGATCACGTACAAGGGCAAAAGCTACTGTTATCTGAGGATAGAATGCCCCCGTCACCTCACTGAGGATAAGTCTTTAGTTAGTTGTATCTGGTCATGCAGATGCATATTCCAAGAAAATGTGACTCTCATCTAATAACAGCATAAATTAAATTGTTAAGGAGAATGTCCACTGTCGTGAGAAATACTCCTTGGATAAATGTGAGATATCCCTAAAATAATTCATGCTGGTAAGGTTAGTTTCATTGAAATTGGCTCCAAACATCTGTTTTTGCAAATCTGCAGCTGGAAAAAGGTTGTGATGCAGTAATTTGTCTTGAAAGAAGACATTCTTATTAATGCATAAGCCAAAGTTAGTTGACTTCCTTTAGCTTACTTTCATTATCACCTTATTTCCTGGCCATAGCTTCTTGCATCTTATAAGCCTTTAGTCAAGCAACATTTTTTTAAAATAGTATCCTGTTCTGGTAAGACCAATATGTTGTCACCTGAAATCTATTTGGTAATATTTTTGTCTCTCTATATCTTGAATTTTGATGCCTGTAGAGACATTCTTTCTGCCAAGTTGTGGATTTCTTTACTCCAATCTACCTGTATTTGTCCTGAGGTAAATTCTTGTGAATACCATTTAATATAGGGTTTTCTAATTATTAAGAGTTCAGTTTCACTGATTGGTCAACACTGTGTCTTGAATTTCTAACCTATGCCACAGTGTATATAAACTAAACATCCATGGGCACAGAAGTGGCCTTCAGATTTTACTTCCTGGCCTTAAAGTAATTAAAGGAAAAATTCCTTGTTGTGCAATCAGGGTTAAATAGGGTTAGTGTCTATAAAGGAGCACATTGTTCCATAAGTGTTCTCACTTGGGAAGTTGGCAACAAGTATTTAATCAAGCTAAAGAAAAGTTTGCCAAGGCAGACAGTGGGTGACTGAAATAACCTTAGTCAGACTGGAATGAAGTCTGTTCTCATAAATGGAGTACCTGGCTGTAGCCAAGAACAGTATATATGAAAAAGAATAATTCCTGGGATTTGAGGACTGAACGATCAGCAATTAGGGAACAGGCAATGTCTGACTGGGAAACAAGAGTAAAATTAATTTTGTAGTTATTACCTACACCAGATGTTCTGGCGTGCATGTGGTAAAATAGAGGTCTTCGGAAATCACAAATTTTGGTAAGAACATTTGCTTACTTCATGTGGTTTCAAACAAGTATAAATATAAATCTTGCTGTAGATTAGTAGTATTAGTATTAACATTGCCCTGTTAATCTCATTGAGCCTATAAGAATGATTTGGACAGCTCTATATTCCTCAGATAATTAGGAAGACAATTACTAGTTTATACTCAGAGTCTTAGAACTAGAAGAGACCTTAAAATTCAAAGCGCTCTGTTCCTTCATTTTGCAGATCTGGAAACCAAGGCTTAGTGAGGTGAATTGATTGTTCTAATGACACAGAGCTAAGTATTATGAAAGCCAGGAGTGGAGTCCATATCCAGGGTTTGTCCACTGAACCAGACCACAGTCCTTTACAATCAAGAGAACCCTAGGCACTTAGGGCTTCTCAAGAATACCTGGCCTTGGTTATGCCAAGAACTTATTAATCTGATAAATTCACAGTGTTTGGGGTATTAATGTCAGAAAATCATGTAATTATTGATTTTCCCTAGGATGTATGTATTTTAGCATGCTTTAAACATTCATGCTTTAATGTCTAAAGTGTTCAGTTGCATGTAATAATTTTTAAAGTGTGGATGTTAGCAGAAGGCTGCATAACTTAACGGGATTTGACTGATGTTTCAGGCCAGAAGTAGGTTGCCTACACAAAGAGAAATTTCAAACAGGGCTCATAGTCTTTAAATTTAGTTAAGTGAAAACCCATTATGTTTTCTCTGCAATGTTAAAAATGTTATGTTAGTTATCACATAAAAATACTACTTAACCATAATATGTTATTGCAGGTCATAGTAAAGACAACACATTATCTTAGCACTGAATAAAAAGCTTTCTCATTCTACACAAATCTACCTTATATGTCTAAATCCTTGACTCCTAAAACATTAGGAAACATCTCCTGTTAATTAAGTAGCTAATTACTGAATAAAGTATTTTGATAAAGTTATTTCCATAAGGTTAAACAGCCCAGAGCGCACACACACACATATATATGTACACTTAGGTGCCCCAGGTACGAGTGACACAGAACCATAACACATGATTCCTAACCTTGATGTTTCCAGAAAAAAAAATAAAAAGCAATGCAGAGTAGTCTAGATCAAGTGACAAAGCTATAATAAGTGCCATATGAAGTAAGAGAAGGGAGAGATGACTAAGAATTAGTCATCAGAGAGAGGCTTTATTGAGACATTATCAAACTCAAATGACATTTTCTTGAAGTTCAAAGTTACCACTAGTGAATTTCAAGGGATGGAAAACTTTTAACTTTATGTTCAATATGTTCTCTTAAGATAATATTCTGTAGAGAAACAATTTCTGCCACAACCCACTAAAACCAAATGCTGCTCAAAATTATAAAATAACAGTAAGATAAATCTCAGCATTGTGAACCCTTTGGCATTTGTTATCATTACTTGTTTCACCCCTTGTGAGTTACAAAGAGTTAGCATGAACCATAAGTCCAAAGGTCACTCGAAATCCCTCCTCTCTGGAAAAAAAAAAGAATTACTTTAATTACAAAAAAAAGGTATTTTTAGGGATATTTCAAAAATTTTAGTACATATGCATTCTTACCACAATGGGCAGAAAAATAAGCCTTTTTCAATATCTTAAATATATACTATAAATAATTCATTAACTAAAAAGGAATAACCAGTAGTATAGACTTGAATTCAGCAGTAGATGTATTCATTCAAGAAGTTAGTACTAAGTAAGACACTTACTTTGAATTACAGAATTTTCTAGGTTCTAGAAAATAAAAGTGAATAAGTCCACGTCAGTGTTTTCAAGGAATCATATAATTATAATTTGTCTATTTGTATACAAATCATATAATTTGTCTTATTTGTATGTTTATATATATGTACATATTCCACTATGATAATATTTGATAAATGCTAAACTAGAGGTATACACAAACTTCTAAGAGGAATATATCAGTTCAGAAGTCTGATTCATTAATTTGTTCATTTATTAATTTAACTGATATTCATTTAGGGCCCACTATGTGTGAGGCACTGTTCTAGATGTTTCCCAAAAAAGGTGACTTTTGAGTAGGGTCTTAAAATGTAACTGGGTTTTTGAGAGGCAGAAAAGAGGAGATAAGGCTTGATTTTATAGACAGTGGGAATGACATAGGAATTAATGAAAATGTAAGAGTGTGATGTCATCAGGGAACCTAGCCCTTTGAGTCAATGTCAGAGGAAGCTGGAAAAGGTGGGTAGATGTTAAATTATAATATGCTTTGAATTTCAACTGAAATTAAAGTAAATTTGGAGATTATTGTTTGGACCATAGAACACCATATTTTTCCTGTTAAAACTTTTTGAAGCTATAACAGAAATAATATGATTTCTATTTTAGAAAAATACATTTTGTGGGAATACTGGATTCAAGTAGAGGAAGACTGAAGGCATTTATCTTTTACCCACATCCATCTTTTATACATTTTCTCAAGCCTTCTCAAATCATCATCCTATCTGAAGGACATTTATGCCCCGGAAGTAACTCGTGGCATCAGACTGACCTTGGCCACACTTCAGATTGATGGAGAATGTAAGCATTAGCATTTAATTCATTGGCACTTCTTTGGCTAGCCATATATATTTTTTCTTGGCTGTCCTTATTTTTCTCATATATTATGCCAAAGAGCATCTCAGACATCAGTAGCTGGTAATAAGCTGAAATAGCTCCATGTGTCACTGCAACATTTACGTAAAAATAGATATTACTAGCAGAATCTTTACAGTGTGGTCCTCGCCTTTGCAATAAAGACAAAGACCAATCTGGCTTAGAAATCAACTCACAGTATTGGTGATCATATAATATATACTGACTTATCCCATAGGAACAAGTTTCTTTAGCAATTTATTTAGCTGTCTTCTCACAGAAGCAACTCACATTTCACAATAAGATATGACTCAATAGTCTCTCTGCGCATGCGTGTCAGCCAATAATGCTTAGTCAGAAGAACTCAAGACAGTCTATGAAGCAGTAGGGAATATAAGGCAGCAGTGAAAGAACTTAGAGAGCCCATTAATAGGAAATGGAGAGCATTTGGCCGTCTTTATTGGGAGTGGGGAGAAGCAGACCTGTATATTCACATAGCTACCAAGGCCTAATTCAGGATTTTTTTCCTCAAATGTTATTTCTGATGTTAATATTTTTCCTCTGGCTTTTCTATGTTGCTTAAGCATACAGTATTAACCCGTAAGCATTTAAAAATACTTGTCTAGATCACATGGAAGAGGTTCCACTCAGAATTGTACATGTTCTCCCAAGGTTCATCCATCATCAGTGTATCCAAGAAAATGTAAGCACTAATTTACCTGGAATCTAAGGATAGAAAGAAATGCAACATCATTCATTAGTTGCTATAGATAGATGTGGTATCCTGATGTGGTAAAATAAACTCCAATCAGGAGTAATTTTCGTGCATGACTCTGACTATTGGGGATGTATCTGCCTGCCTATTAACGTGGTGTACTTTACATAGATTTTTTTAATTTTGTGAGTTAGATCTTAGAAAATAAACACTGGCTCCTTAATAGAATTTGAGCATTTGGGGACAGCTGTAACCAATCTGACAAATTCTATCAAATAACTTCCTTGTCAGGAAAGCCTGGTTTGAATACACATATTATAAAGGTATTCAATTGAATAACTTTAATTGATTCAGTCTTTAAAAAATATTTTTAATATTTGTGGGTACATGGTAGATGTGTTCGTTTATGGGGTGTACATGAGATCTTTTGATACAAGAGTACAATGCATAATAATCACAACAGGGTGAATGGGGTATCCATCACCTCAAGCATTTATGCTTTCTTTGTGATACAATCTAATTATAATCCTTTAGTTATTTAAAAATGTATGATAAATTATTATTGACTGTAGTCACCCTGCTGTGCTATCAAATACTAGATCTTATTTGATTCAAACTTTTAATCAAATGGTTTAATTAAATCATTTTAATTTGAATGATTTAATTTAAATATTAATTTGGTTACATTTTCAAAACCACAAAGAAACAGTCTCTGATGAAAGTAGTAGTGCAATGAGATACAGGGGCAACAAAGAATTCTCCCCCACTTCAAAAAGGTCCATTTATGAAATTTCTTGCATCATTTTTTCAAGAGATCTGCCTAATAAATTAATTTAAATTGAGGCACCGTAATTTTGGAATCAGCAACAGGGATTTTGTAATAGAATTATGGGAGCCATTTAGCACTGGCTATGGTGTATTCATATGTGATTTTAATTGCATGAAGTTCCAAATACAAGATCATGAACTTTCTTATCTATCTCTTTTACTTAACAGATAGGGGCCTCTGGAAGCTAGCTGCAAAGTTCAATCTAATGATACTGTTAGATACTATGATGGGAAATCATAGATGAGAGCAGGAGCTTTTGCACTGAATTTCTGTGCCATTTCCTGGCACTCATATTAAAATTATAAACTACTTAAATCCAAAATGTAGCCATCTTAGAATGTGCCACAGAGTTTTACAATTTTTTCTCAGAAATATGGTTCAGTATTTCCAGAGAGCTAAATTAATTGCTAGAAACTCCTCTGACAACCCAACCAAACACAAGCTGTTATGAAGCCCATGATGATAATTAAGACTTAATGAAATTTTGCTCATGATGATGCCTTTAGCTTTATATTTTCTGGCCTGATTTTATTGCCATGCTATGCTTAGATTCTTTCTTTCTTTCTTTCTTTCTTTCTTTCTTTCTTTCTTTCTTTCTTTCTTTCTTATTATTATACTTTAAGTTTTAGGGTACATGTGCACAATGTGCAGGTTAGTTACATATGTATTCATGTGCCATGCTGGTGAGTTGCACCCACTAACTCGTCATCTAGCATTAGGTATATCTCCCAATGCTATCCCTCCCCCCTCCCCCCACCCCACAACAGTCCCCAGAGTGTGATGTTCCCCTTCCTGTGTCCATGTGTTCTCATTGTTCAATTCCCACCTATGAGTGAGAATATGCGGTGTTTGGTTTTTTGTTCTTGTGATAGTTTACTGAGAATGATGATTTCCAATTTCATCCATGTCCCTACAAAGGACATGAACTCATCATTTTTTATGGCTGCATAGTATTCCATGGCGTATATGTGCCACATTTTCTTAATCCAGTCTATCATTGTTGGACATTTGGGTTGGTCCCAAGTCTTTGCTATTGTGAATAATGCCGCAATAAACATACGTGTGCGTGTGTCTTTATAGCAGCATGATTTATAGTCCTTTGGGTATATACCCAGTAATGGGATGGCTGGGTCAAATGGCATTTCTAGTTCTAGATCCCTGAGGAATCGCCACACTGACTTCCACAATGGTTGAACTAGTTTACAGTTCCACCAACAGTGTAAAAGCGTTCCTATTTCTCCACATCCTCTCCAGCACCTGTTGTTTCCTGACTTTTTAATGATTGCCATTCTAACTGGTGTGAAATGGTATCTCATTGTGGTTTTGATTTGCATTTCTCTGATGGCCAGTGATGGTGAGCATTTTTTCATGTGTTTTTTGGCTGCATAAAGGTCTTCTTTTGAGAAGTGTCTGTTCATGTCCTTTGCCCACTTTTTGATGGGGTTGTTTGTTTTTTTCTTGTAAATTTGTTTGAGTTCATTGTAGATTCTGGATATTAGCCCTTTGTCAGATGAGTAGGTTGTGAAAATTTTCTCCCATTCTGTAGGTTGCCTGTTCACTCTGATGGTAGTTTCTTTTGCTGTGCAGAAGCTCTTCAGTTTAATTAGATCCCATTTGTCAATTTTGTCTTTTGTTTCCATTGCTTTTGGTGTTTTAGACATGAAGTCCTTGCCCATGCCTATGTCCTGAATGGCTTAGATTCTTTTTGTCCACATAGCTGAAAAAAATATTATAATTCCTCTATTTTCACTCTTCCTTTAAGAAAAATAAATCAAGCCACTTAAATATTGCTTATTCACCTGCCTTTTCAAATATTTAAAGGAACACCTAAATTGTGCTGAGCTGTGTGTTGAGTGCTGGAGATATAATAGTAAACAAATGCTCCTTCGTTTTAAGGAGTTGTAATTGAGGAAACTGACATGGTAGCTAATCATTTTAATAGAAGGTGGGATAATTGTAAAGCTGGATCTATGCCAGAGTTTCTTGTGAATATAAAAGGAAAATAACTCATGAACGAGGGGACAGTTCCAAGAAAGGATTTGTGGAGGTGGTTACACCTAAGCTACTGATATTCTGTCTCAAACTTAGGTTTTTCTAGTCTCAAAGTCCACACTTATTCCACTGTATCACATTATAGTAGAGGCTGTACAATGCCGAACTAACAGCTAAATGTGGCTGAACAATAAGTTTCTTAATCTAATAATAATATGCTTCTATTTCTCATAAGGTTGTTGAGATGACAAGAATGAAAATCATTAAGAAATAGTTCTCTCC
The DNA here is from genome assembly GCF_000001405.40 of Homo sapiens. Taxonomy (NCBI): domain Eukaryota; kingdom Metazoa; phylum Chordata; class Mammalia; order Primates; family Hominidae; genus Homo; species Homo sapiens. Next base: position 114,804,408 of record NC_000023.11, read on the forward strand.
AAGATGATGTAATGCTAAAATTGCATATGATTACTTTGTTTCTGCAAAATGTTGCAATAGCCAAGAGACTTTAAAGTGATCAAAAGAAATAAAATAAAAATTAAAAACCCTTCAGCTTTAGTATATGGATTCTGGAGTAAGATACTGTTATCTACTTTTTAAGAAGGATTAAACAACATTATTAAAAACATTTCAAATGAATGCTTACACCAGAAGACTGTAGAATGCTGAACAATTATCAGTGATCTTAAGTGGCAAGTAAGCTAGTCTTTTGCCCCATAGCATCCTGTGTTAGTGGTCCATTTAACACCTTCAGCTAGTATTTCCAGGGACTTGTTACAGGGACATAAATTTCAAGCAGAAAACAATTCAAAAACTATTGAAGTCCTTGGTCTGGTGTCTGCTTCCTCTACATTCTTTCCCTAGGCAATACAACCACTTTCATTTTTTATGCTACCATTTGTTGATGACACCTAGATCTAAAATCCAGGCCACAGGCTTTTTCCAGACTTTCCCTTCAAGTGTTATGAAGATTTTTTATGCCAAGAGGAAGGCTTATCTTTGGTGAAAAAGTATGTCAAAGAAAAAGGAAACCGGTCATTGTCCTGGGAACGAAATATAAAAGTTGAGAGTTAGGTATATAGCCAAATAGTTCATTTAATCTGCAGGAAAGAAGCAGAACAGAAACTAGGCTCTGCCATAGGTACAAATGGATTAAATGAAGCTTTTTTGCTATTATGTTTATGCTGGTGTTTCCCATGGGGTGCCATGATTGTTCTATTTTACTCTGTAGCCATTTTTTCTTGCCCTTTTTGCTTTTGTTTCTGCGTGCCTGATTCTCAAACTTTGACATATGACCAATCTGTTTCTCAGGCTGTAGACATACACCTTCATTCCTTGGCTAACCTTTTTTCTTCCTTCACCAGAACTGAGGCCCTTCTCTTGTGATAGAGTGCCAAAGTCAATCCATTATTACAACTCTGCACCTGTCTCCACCCCTTTTTTTTTTTTTTTGCCATTTCCTGACTTCAATTTTAATTGTGAAGCAAGATTTTATTTCTTTTAAATTTTAAATTTTGGTGGGTACATTGTAGGTTTGTAGATATATATATGCACCATATATATATGGTATATGGTGTATATATATACACACCATATAGATACACACCATATATATACACCATATATATACCATATATATACACATCATATATATACCATATATATACCATATATATACACCATATATATACCATATATATACACCATATATATACCATATATATACACCATATATATACCATATATATACCATATATACACCATATATACACCATATATACACCTATATATACACCATATCTATACCATGTATATACACCATATATATACCATGTATATACACCATATATATACCATATATATACCATATATACCATATATATACCATATATATACCATATATATACACCATATGTATACCATATATATACATCATATATATACCATATATATATACACCATATATATACCATATATATATACACCATATATATACCATATATATACACCATATATATACACCATATATATACTATATATACCATATCTATACACCATATATATACCATATATACCATATGCATACCATATATACACCATATATACACCATATATATACCACATATATACACCATATATACCATATATGCACCATATGTATACATATATACACCCTATATATACACCATATGTATACATATATACACCCTATATATACACCATATATATACCATATATATACACTCTATATACCATATATATACCATATATATACCATATATATACACCACATATATACACCATATATATACACACCATATAGATACACACCATATATATACACTACATATATACACCATATATATACACCATATATATACACACCATATATATACCGTATATATACACACCATATATATATACTGTATATATATACACCATATATATATACTGTATATATATACACCATATATATATACTGTATATATATACACCATATATATATACTGTATATATATACACCATATATATACACCATATATACACCACATATATACACCATATATATACCGTATATATACCATATATACCATATACATCATATATATCATATATATCATATATATCATATATACACCATATATACACCATATATATACCATATATACACTATATATACCATATATATACACTATATATACTATATATACACCACATATATACACCATATATACACACCATATAGATATATACACCATATATATACACACCATATATATACACCATATATATACACACCATATATATACACACCATATATATACCATATATATACACCATATATATACTGTATATATATACACCACATATATACACCATATATATACCGTATATATACCATGTATATACACCATATATATACCATATATACACACACCATATGTATATACCATATATATACCATATGTATATACCATATATACCATATGTATATACCATATATACCATATATATACCACATATATATACCATATATATCACATATATACCATATATACCATATACACCATATATATACCATATATACACCATATATATACCATATATACACCATATATATACCCCATATATACACCATGTATATATATACCATATATACACCATATATATACCATATATACACCATATATATACCCCATATATACACCATGTATATATACACCATATATATATACACCATATATATACCATGTATATATACACCATATATATACCATGTATATATACACCATATATATACCATGTATATATACACCATATATATACCATGTATATACACCATATATCTATACCATATATATACACCATGTATCTATACCATATATATACACCATATATCTATACCATATATATACGCCATATCTATACCATATATATACGCCATATCTATACCATATATATACGCCATATATATACCATATATATACGCCATATATATATACCATATATATACATCATATATATACCATATATATACACCATATATATATATACCATATATATATATGGTACATAAGATATTTTGATACAGACATACAATGGCTAATAATCACATCTAGGTAAATGGGGTATCCATTACCTTAAATATGTATCCTTTCTTTGTGTTACAAACAATCCAATTACATTCTTAGTTATTTTTTATTTATTCATTTTTTTTTTTTGAGACGGAGTCTCACTCTATCACCAAGCTGGAGTGCAGTAGTGCGATCTTGGCTCACTGCAACCTCTGCCTCCAGAGTTCATGCGATTCTCCTGCCTCAGCCTCCCCAGTAGCTGGGACTACAGGCGCATACCACCACGCCCAGCTAATTTTTGTATTTTTAGTAGAGACGGGGTTTCACCATGTTGGCCAGGATGGTCTCGATCTCTTGACCTCATGATCCACCCGCCTCGGCCTCCCAAAGTGCTGGGATTACAGGCGTGAGCCACCGCGCCCGCCCCATTCTTAGTTATTTTTAAATGTACAATATAAATTATTGTTGACTATAGTCACCCTGTTGTGCTGTCAAATACTAGATCTTACTCATTCTTCCTAACTATATTATTGAAACTATTAAACATCCCCACTTCTCTCTCCCCTCCCCCAAACCCACTACCCTTCCCAGCCTCTGGTAACTGTCATTTTACCCTATCTCCATGAGTTCAATTGTTTTAATTTTTTTAGCTCCCATTTATAAGCGAGAACATGTGAAGTTTGTCTTTCTGTGCAAGGCTTATTTTGCGTAACACAATTACCCCCAGTTCCATCCATGTTGTTGCAAATGGCAGGATCTCTTTTTTTTATGGCTGAATATACTCCATTGTGTATGTGTACATTTTCTTTCTTCATTCATCTGCTGATTGACACTTAGGTTACTTCCAAGTCTTACCTGTTGTGAACAGTGTTGCAACAAATATGGGAGTGCAGATATCTCTTCGATATACTGATTTCCCTTATTTTGGGTATCTACTCAGCAGTGGGATTGCTGGATCATATGGTAGCTCAATTTTTAGCTTTTGGAGGAACTTCCAAATTGTTCCCATAGTGGTTATATTCATTTACATTTCCACCAACAGTGTACCAGGCTTCCGTTTTCTCCACATCCTCGCCAGTGTTTGTTATTGCCTGTCTTTTAGATGTAAGGCATTTTAACCGGGGTGAGATGATACCTTACTGTAGTTTTGATTTGCATTTTTCTGATGATCAATGATAGTGAGCCCCTTTTTGTATGACTGTTTGCCATTCATGTGTCTTCTTTGGAGAAGTATCTATTCAAATCTTTTGCGCATTGTTCGATTATTTTACTAGATTTTTCCTATAGAGTTTTTTGAGCTCCTTATACATTCTGCTTATTAATGCCTTGTCAGATGGGTAGTTTGAAAATATTTTCTCCCAACCTGTGGCCACCACCACTGGGACTGTACTAGGTCAGACCTGAGGCCAACACAGAAATGGGTCTGCCCAGGTCCTGCAATGACCACTGCCTGGCTACTGTCTATGTTTGCTCAAGGCCCAAGGGCTCCACAATTATTTGATGACAAATCCAGCCAGGCCTGTGTCCTTCCCTTCAGGGTGGTGAGTTTCCTTGGCCCTGGGCAGGCCTGGAGTTGCTGTCTGGGAGCCAGGGTCTGGAGTCGGTTACCTTAGGAATCTACCTGGTGCTCTAGTCTATTGCAGCTGAGCTGACACCCAAGCTACGGGACAAAGTTCTTCCCATTCTTCCCTTCCCTTTCATCCAGCAGAGGAATCACTTCCCATGGCCGCCACCACCCCATGCACGTGACGAGTACTGCCTGGCTACCCCTAGCAATCACTCAAGGCCCATGGGGCTCTTCAGTCAGCTTATGGTAAATGCTGCCAGTCCAGTGCCTTTTTTTTGTTGTTTTTTTTTTGACAGAGTTTCGATCTTGTCACCCAGGCTGGAGTGCAGTGGCGCGATCTCGGGTCACTGCAACCTCTGCCTCCTGGGTTCAAGCGATTCTCCTGCCTCAGCCTCCCGAGTAGCCGGGCTTACAGGCGCCCGCCACCACGCCTGGCTAATTTTTGTGTTTTTAGTAGAGACAGGGTTTCACTGTGTTGGCCAGGCTGGTCTCGAACTCCTAACCTCAGGTGATCTGCCCACCTCAGCCTCCCAATCCAGTGCCTTTTCATTCAGGCCAGTGGGCTCCACTCTGGCTCAAGGAAGGTCCAGAAATGCTGTCCAAGAACCAAGGCCTGGAACCGGGGACCCCAAGAGCCCACTTGGTGCTCTGCCCTACTGTCACCAAGCTGTTACCCAAGCTACAAGACAAAATCCCCTTTACTGTTCCCTCTCCTTTCCTCAATCAGAAAGAGTCTCTCTCCATGACCATCACAGCTGGGAATGTGCTGGGTCACATCTGAAGCCAGCAGGGCTCTGAGTCTCACCCAAGGCCCATGGCAAATTCTGCTCGGCTACCACTGCTGATTATTCAGGGACAAAAGGTTCTTTAGTCAGGAGGTGATGAGTTCTTCCAGGACTTGGTCCTGCCCTTCAAGGCAGTGGGTTCTCTTCTGGCCTAGGTGTGTTAAGAAATGTTATCCAAAACTAAAACCTGGAATGAGGGCATCAGGACTCTGCCTGGTATCCTATTCTACTGTGGTGGAGCTGGTATCCAGATTGCAGGACAAAGTCCTCAATCCTCTCCCCTTTTCTCTCCTCAAGCTGAGGGAAGGAGTCTCTCCCAGAGCTGTGAGCTATGGTGTCAGGGATTAGGGGAGGGGTGATGCAAACATTCCCTTGGCCACGCCAGCTGATATCTCACTAGGTCTCATGCACCCCAAGTGCACTGGCTCCAAGCCCAGCACAGCACCAGGACTTGCCTCATAGCCTAGACTGCCTTTCAAGTTTATTTAGGACCCGGGGGGCACTTTTGCCCATGGTGGTGGGGCTTGCCAGACAGAACTCAGGTTCTGACCACTGGGATGGACAATTTGCCTCTAGCTAGGGCTCATCTAAATGCTCTCTCAGTGGGCGCTGGCTGATTTCTGCCCCATGTTGCTTACCAGCACTGAGTTCCAATGCAAAGTCCCACAGTCACTGCATTCTCCCTCCAACAAGCATACAGATTCTTTCTCTGCACCATGTGACCACTGCCAGAGGATGGGGCAGTGGTGGTGGTGTAGGCAATTCAAGACTGTCTTTCCTACCCTCTCCAGTGCCTCTTTCCTTAATACAATGTTAAAACCAGGTACTGTGATCGCTCACCTGATTTTTCTTTGTATGAAGGTGCTTTTTTTTGTGTGTGGATAGTTGTTCAATTTGGTGTTCCTGTGAGTGGGGGACAATTGCTGGAGGCTTCTATTCAGCCATCTTGCTCCACCTCCCTGAAGCAAATAAAAAAGCTTTAGAAAAATTTGTACCCCTCACACCAAAGTGATTAAATGATAGTGATAGTCCACCTAAAATGTATAGTTTCTGATTTTTAAAACCAGTTTATATATTTTATATTTCATTACATAAATGTACACCAATAAAATGGCCAAAAATGATATAGTAAGGCTAATTATGTCATTGAATGGCCAGTTGTGTTCTTTGAAGGCTTGGAGTTCTTGAAGTTCCAAGAAAGCCTCTGAGCTGGTGTGATTTGGGGGGCACTGCTAAAGTTGTCTTTCCCGCATCAGGCAAAATGTCTTGCTATCACCTGTCACTCTTTATAGTCCCAATAATAGTCATTTAACTTTAATTCAAAGTGCCTAATTAAAATATAAGCACTATTAATGGGAGAAAGAGGTTTGAAGTAAAGAAAGGGCCCAAAGGCCAGTCTTTTTTTTTTTTTCATGGTTTCCCTCAGACCCCACCCAATACGTTTTTTTGGAAGATTAACATGCTAATGTTTATAGAATGCTGTAAAGTCTTCGTATAACAAAAGAGATCTACATACTCCAATGGCAATAGTAATACAGTATAATGTTCAAAGAACATATAGATGTCACATATGTGGAATATTCCTATCAGGGAAACCCTTACATATTCCCTCTGTTACCTTTACATGGCATTTCTTCTTCTATTATTCCTGGCAATGTCTGCCTTAGTGAAAAGACAGGGGTCAAGCCAATATGTTCCCATTGCATGCACTCGTTACAAAGATTTAATTCGCTGATAAACATGTTACCATATTAAATCTGCAGCTTGCCTACCAAGAGTAAATGTTTTGTGTGAGTGTGTATCTAAATGCATAGTCTGAAAAGAAGATAGGGGGCAAGTTATTGCAGGAAAATTCTTCGTGGGAAACTATTGCCTTCTGATGAGCTACTATCTGTTCCCAGCATGTGCTTTCATTAGTCATCCATTAACAACCACCAGTTCATCTCCTAAACATTCAGGGTTCCTCATGGTAAAATAACTGTTTCTTCCTAGTGTCACGTTTTTCCTACTGTGCTATGCAGCCATAATTTTTGAGATTTTTTAAAATTTTTATTTTTAAGTTCTGGGGTACATGTGCAGGATGTGCAGGTTTGTTACATAGGTAAACATCTGCCATGGTGGTTTGCTGCACCTATCAACCCATCACCTAGGTATTAAGCCCAGCATGTTTTAGCTATTTTTCCTAAAGCTCTCTCTCCCCCTACCCACCCCCCACAACAGGACCCAGTGTGTGTTTTTCCCTCCCTGTGTCCATGTAATCTTATTGTTCAGCTCCCATTTTTAATCTTGCTACCTTCTCTTCTGCTCCCTTACTATTCTATGAGTGATTATCTACCTACCTAAATTGTTTTTCAGTAGAAAGAAAGCATTATATAGAGTGGCAGCCATCCCAAAACTCTGTGGTTACCCCCAACTTTTTCCCCACCCTCTACATGGGTTATAAACTTAACAAACGAACATTATGAAAACCAGGCTATATTCCATGAAGACACCCTCCAGTAGTTCAGACAGAGCAAGAATGTTTAAGCAGAATAATGAAAAGGCTATCTTGGGCCGGGCTCGGTGGCTTACACCTATAATCCCAGGACTTTGGGAGGCCGAGGTGGGTGGATCACTTGAGGTCAGGAGTTCGAGACCAGCCTGGCCAACATGGTGAAACCCCATCTCTACTAAAACTACGAAAATTAGCCGGGCGTGGTGGTGAGCCCTGTAATCCCAGCTACTTGTGATGCTGAGGCAGGAGAATTGCTTGAACCCAAGAGGTGGAGGTTACAGTGACCCGAGATTGCGCCACTGCACTCCAGCCTGGGCGACAGAGTGAGACTCCATCCCAAAAGAAACAAACAAACAAACAAACAAAAAAAAAAACAAAAAAACAAGGCTATCTTGTTAAACCCAAATAACCTGGTAGTGAATTGAAGTAGCTGATAGTAATTTTCAGTTTTCCTCTGAGTAATACCAGTTTATAAATTGAATTATTATGGTAAATAGTGGATATTTTGTCAAGTAAAAATAAAAATATAAAATAGTATAATAAACATTTGCATGTATTTACCAGACAAGTGGCCCTTTAATATTTACATTTACGATTAATTTTTAAAAATATAACATAGACTTATGAAGTAGAAAAGGACTTTACAGTTTTGTCTAATTAAATTATTTGCACTCATAAAAATAGTCATGCCACCCCACTTATAAATATCTACCCCCGCAATAAAATCCTTATATACAACCAAAATATATTTCACAATGTCCTTTATTAATGCATAACACTTAAAAGTCTTCCCTTGATGATTAAATAATGTCAAAAACAGACTTAAAAAATAAGGATTTGGAAATTTTTGATAACAATTTAGTGGGGGCGATCCATCAATAACTTCATAAATTTCTTCCAGAGTAGGATAACATAGTTGAACCACAAATCCTGTTCCCATCTTGGAGTCTCACTCAGACAGTTGAATTCAAATTCACAAGTCTAAAGTACCAAGATACAGTCCAAATTGGAGTACCTGGAGAGTCCAAGAAAGCTGTTTGTGATGTCACATGAGGTGTCTTCAATAGTGTTGATATTCAATCCTGAGAGAAGATGTAACCCAGGCGAAGATTTTAATGTAGAGGAATCTGGAACTGAGGTGAGATCTGGAAAGCCAAATGTAGGTACTCTGCTACCAGACAGAAGTAAGTTTTGTCTCTGGTCAGACAACGATCTCTTTCTGTAGCAAGGACGCTGTAACAGCTAGGCTTTAGGAACCTAAGCAGTGAGACCAGCTGCTAAACAGCCCGGCCACAGAGGGCAAGAGTCATTTGAGAAGAGCTTCTTATATACTACTAGGTCTTCTCTCATTGGTTGAGAGTCTGGGTGGGGCTGATTATGTCAATAATCAGGTGAATTGTGATATCATAGACCATGTAAGTACTGACATATATGTTATTATATTAACCAAGCTATGTTGTACATTACAGAGTACAAGGGCAGATTGTAATGTCATAAAGTTTACAGTGTACCAGGAGATATAAACAGAAAATTACAATACAATATATATGCTAGGATACAGATATATGTAAGGTACTGAGAGAAGACATAGCAAGGAGTAATTAACTCTGTGTGTGGAGGTTTAGAAAGGGCTTCCCAGATAAAGTACTGTCTCAGCTGGGTCTTTAATTATGGGTAGACATTTGCCTGTGTGTACAGGAAGGAGGTTTGAAAAAGGGGTATATTACAGATGTCATTCTAGGCAAGACAGACAAAAGTATACAAAAGCACAGAAAAATGAAAGGGAAAAAATAGCTGGAGATGAGGCTGGAGTAGAAAGCATATCTCAGACCTCAAAGTAACCTAATTCTTCATGATATAGTATGCCTTTTTAGTCAAGTTTTATTCTTAATGAAATGAGGAAATATTTGTGTAAGAATACTTACAAGTCATCACCAATGTTGTATTTCCCTAAAAGCTACAGAACATAATCTATTAAAATCCTATAGATTTACTTTAATAATGCAATGCTGTCATCATAAGGACTTTCCTGTGAAGTCATGGAACCTAAAACTATAATTTGTATACATCTATCCAGTGTTAACAATTTGTAGGGCATCAGACCAGGAAGGAGGTTTGGAAAGTTAGTAGCAAGTCAAAATGTGACTTCAGTACTACTAAGAAAATAGGGTGATATTAGATAATCAACATTTATAATGTTATGGAATTATTAATAGAATATCAAAATATTAATGAAACATAAATTGTCCTGATCCAAAATGGAACCATGCATTATTCAAATTATTTACTGAAAGAAAACCTGTGTTCATCTACCAAGTTTCACAGAACATCTATCAAGTTTCACAGAACATCTAATATATAGTATATATATTATAGTATATATAATAATATTATATAGTATATATCATATAGTATATATCATATAGTATATATCATATATACTATAGAATATATATTATAATACTCTATAGTATATATGATATATACTATAGAATATATATTATAATATTATATAGTATATATCATATAGTATATATCATATATCATATATACTATATTATATATTATAGTATATATACATATAATACATTATATATTATAGTATATATACATATAATACTTTATACATAGTATATTGTATATCATATAATAAATGGCATTCTGCTTTATAAGCATTTCTTTTCCCTGCTAAAATATAATTTTACTCATCCTCAACAGGTTTTCCTAGGAATATTGAGTAAAGTGCCTTTTCTGTACCTCTTTCATTTTTCTCTGCTTTTACTTGTCAGCATCTCTTTATTTCAATCTATTTGATCATAGGTTTTCAAAATCAATGTATTATGTTTAGAAGGGCTGAAGTGTTATTTGGATGATGACTAGAAAGAGATACTGCTACTTCTAACAAATAGGCACACCTTTCTTTTTGATCCTTTCCTCCAACCCCAGGCCACAACTAAAACTGCTTCTTTTGAATTACCTTCAAGTAACAGAGTATGTAAACGTGGTGGAGACTGTTCTTAAAATCTTGTGCAAATCCTGTAAAACCAAACAGAAAAAAATCTAAAGTCCTACCAGAAATTAATGAGCACTGAATACATGGTAGAATTTTGAAGCATTTGTAAAAACTACATTGAAGAAACTAGAGTTAGAAACAGTACCAAAGTTCTGCCTCCTAAGCCAGGATGAGGACATGGTAAAAGAATATCTTGATGACCTCCAACCATCGTGCCTAAATTATTGATAAATTAAGGAAGCTGGAGGATGAGAAAATCTGTAAATCTGTATTAACCTAAGAAATTGGCAGAGGAGAAAGTATAGTATATAGATAGAGTGTATGTCAAATAAGGCAGCAATAAATATTTTTAAAAGCAAAACCATCTGGCAAATTTAGAAACTATATGACTTTTATGGCTACTCTTAGAATTTGCCAAAGATTAAGAATTGCCCCTCCTCTGTGATCAGTTTTCTGCTTCTCAATGTAAAGTTCTTCCTTCCAGCTTTTCAACACTTTTATTCACAAATATCATTCTATGACATCATTACTGATCTCCTTGACATTTTCGACAAATCTCTTGCTTCCTCCAAACTTCACTCTCTTCCCTCTCCAGCCTGCTTTGAAAAAGCTTATCTCATAAGCTTGAAGAGAATTAAGTATATCATACACAGTACTCCCAGAACATCATGTGTACTGCCTCTGTCATAGAATTTACAATGATGTACTGAAATTTGCTTGCATGTCTGTCTCTCTACTACACAGTAAATTCCTACTTACTAATATATAAAAATTCAAATGAAATATAATACGAATTGTATGACCAGGATGGAATCATAACTTTGAAGATGAGAGATGATAGATAGATAGGTAGATAGATAGATGATAGATAGATAGATAGATAGATAGATATTCAAATCCAAATGACCAACCGCATCACTTTGGGCATTTAATATTGCCAAATCTCAGTTTGTTTGTTTGTTTCTTTTTAGTTTTAATCTGTAACTACTTTATAAGGTTGTTGTGAGGAGTAAACGAGATAATGTAAAGTTTCCCAGAAAAAAAAAATAGTTAACTCATGCTAGTTTCATTCATCTCATGATTTTAGGGGTTGTTCAATACATTATGAAATATATAAATATGGTACTGCAGTAGGTTAAACACCATAAACTATAGTTCATCCTGGTAGAAGCTGAAAATCATTTAATAAACTTCAATGTATATTTATAATAAATACATTTCAAATATGAAAATAGGAAGGCCATCCCTTACTATATTACAAAGTAACAACCAGTATAATTATAATAATGTGTGGCTATAGGATTAGGAAGATTAAGCATAAAAAAATTACAGCAATAAGTCCTACTATGAGTGATAAATGAAGCATCAAAATCAATGATAAAAGAAAACATGTTAGATAAATTCAGCTTCTCATCTCATCTCACATATAAAAGTAAATTCTGGGAAGATGAAAATGTTGACGATTTAAAACCTATTCAAAGAAAAACAAGAATAATAGAATAGAATATTTATCCAACTATGTATTTATCCAGCATCTAAGATTAAAAAAAAATAGATGATTACACAAATGAGAAGACTGACAGATTTGCATGTAAATATAAAATGTTTATCTATGATAACTTTTGTTAATGTGAAGTGGATTGGGATTAAATAATTGCAGCAAACATAAACATAAGCAAAATTAAAAGATAAAGACTGGCATAAAATATTTGAGACAATTTTTAATAAGTTAGAATATTATATCATAAAATGTGTCTGTAGGTTTTTTTTAGGACAGTGTATAATGCACCTCCTATATACTGGAAAATGAATAGAAATGTAATATTTACATATTCTCATTTATAATTCTTTTCAAAACCACCATTGTCTACATTACTCTAAATTAGTAATATGCTTTCATTGTACAGAATTTTCTACAAATGCAATTTCTAAACTCTGTGAGATTATAGAAGTATAAAATGTGTTCATAACACAAAACTTACATTGGAGGCATCAGCAAAAATGGCTAAGTACTTTCAAAATTCTCTCCTTCATAAAAGCAGTAAGAAAATTTACAGAAATTCTCTGAATCAACTATTTCGGGACTTTGAAAATTAACTAAATGCTTGCAGCAACCCAGAATGTGTTTGTTTAAGAAAATGGCTGAATGTTGTTAAGAATAGCAATCTCCGTGACATTTTAACTTGTCCTATTCCCATTCCCCCTTCAAGTGCCATGGTAGCCTTAAAAACCAACATCCTACAATCATGTTGAAAACCTGCAGCCTGGCAGCTACTGGATGGGGGAAGGGAAGGGGTAGAATGAGGTTGCAGCTCCTTCAGAGCCTCATTTCCAGAGAATTTTCATTATTTGACTTGTCTGGTAGTTCCCTGGAAGCATTAACACCAATCCTTCAAAAACTACCAAAAAACAAAAATGGGAAGAATATTTCCCAATTCTGTTTATGAGGCCAATATTATCCTGATGCCAAAATCAAACAAGGACATCACAAGAAAACTACAGACCAAAACCCCTTACAAATATAGATGAAACAAATCCTGAGCAAATTACTAGCAAACTGAATCCAGCAGTATATAAGAAAGATTGAACACTGTGACAATGGTGTTATCTCAGAAATGCAAGGTTGTTTCAACATATGAAAATAAATCATTATAATACACTATATTAATAGAGTGAAAAACATAAACTACCTGATTACTTAAATGGACACCCAAAGAAACCATTTGAGAAAATCCAATACACTTTCATGGTAAAACAACAAACTAGGAATAGAAGGGAACTTCCACAACCTGATCAAGAGCTTTGTGAAAAGTGAGGCTTTGTGTAAAGTGAAGGACACACGTATATGAGTTTGTTGTGTTTATTTGATTAGAGAACCTTCACTACTACTGAAAATAGAGGATCTCAGTATCTAATGAAATTAAACTTCAGGTGTTCAAGTTCCTCATGAAATTTTCTTAGTGGTTTGAGTGAATTGCTTTTTAAAGCCTTCTCTCTTTCAAATAGTAATGTCTTTCATGAAAGCTAATGACTATCCTTATCAATATGCTTATTCTATGCAGCTAAAGCAGATACCTTTTGTGTGCCTGGATTATTTTTTCAATTGTACCCTAATATACATAGCATTTGCTCTATCCCTGATCACTTCAAGCAACAGCATTGAACATAAGAATAAATCATCTCCATCAATCAATACATCCACCACATCTCAGCTTCACCCTTCCTAGCTCTCTAGGTCAGAGGTCAGCTAACCACAGCCCATGGGCCAAATCCTGCTGGCTGCCTCTTTGGTAAAAACAGGCATACTAGAATAAAACCACATCCATTATTTTAAAGATTGTCTATGGCTGATTTCATCCTGCAATAGTAGAGTTGAGTAGTTGCAATGAAGATTGTATTGCCCACAAAGACTAAAATAGATACTATTTGGCCCTTTACAGAAAATGTTTGCTGTTGTTTGGCCTAAGATGCAGTGTTTTTATTTGTTAGTTTTGTTTTATGTGTGTATTTATTTATTTATTTTGCTTTGGCTTTCTTCTCTTAATTGCTGCAATTTTTTAAATGCCTTTTCTACTCCAATGTGCATTTATTTGCCCAATTTATTATTTAACTAATTTTGACCACATAATACTCCTCACTATATTATAAAACCATGAGAACAAGTATAATTTTACCTTCTGAATCATTATCTCCTTCTGCCCAGTAGATTTTAACAACTAAATATTTATTAAATACATAAATAAATGCTACATGGGTAAAATACTTCAAATTTATTTTGGAATAACAAAGAGAATAAATTTATTAAATACTCCAGTTCTCCTAAAACCCATTTCAATATTGTTCTAATCATACTAGCAAGTTGAATAATTTACTACTCTGAAAATGACATTTCTGTTATTAAATATAGTAGTTACTGTCAACTGAAATAAATGCATACATTTAGAAAAGGAGAGAAAAAAATTTATTTCTTATAAAGGGTTACAGCATTTGGAAGGAGGAGGTGTGGGGGTAGGTGCTTTATGATGAACAGGTTAGCTAAACATACATATTCAGCAGATTACAGGATGATCTGTGAATATTCATGAAAGGGGTTGTGACACATGCATATTGAATACACATGCATATAACATATGACCCATGTTTACTTTGGGATGAAGACTTAACTTTTACATGTATTACAATTAGGCCCTCTATATCAAAAGGTCTTTTCAGGACATGAAGGTGCACAAGTGCACAATCTCCGTAAGCCAGCCAGAACCAGTTCATAGTCAGTGGTCTTATCTGGAGAAAGCTAATGAAATCAGTCTCTTGTCCAGTCAGAGCTGTAGTTATAGCTTGTGGAACACGGGCTGAGGATCAGCCTAGTCAGCAGCTGGTGGAACTGAAAATTGTTTTAATATCACTTGTTTTGAGACCAGTGCTTGTTTAGCTGCTAGAGAAAAAGAAAATCCTTGTGACAGTTAGAACATAGTTTATTCTTTAAGTGCAGGAATGTGTGATTTAACCTTTGCCTGGCATGTCCTTAGATAATGTTTATAATCTAATATCTTATTGTCACATAGAGTCTGTTCTGTCAGCCTTTTAATCTCTATTTTAACATTAATGCTGGTCAGTTGTTCTGTCCAAACCACAAAATGGAGGGGGTGTAACAAGGTGTGTCTGACCTTCCATTCTGTCATGGCTGGGAACTCAGTTTTAAGGATTTTCTGCGTTCCCCTTTGCCAAGAGAGGGTCTGTTCTTTCAGTGGGGGGCATAGGATTTTATTTTTAAATTTTAAAATTTTTAACTTTGTTTTCTTTGGGGTACATAGTAGATATATAAATATTATAAAATATTATAAATAAATATTATGGGGTACATGAAATGTTTTGATACAGGAATGGAATGTATAATAGTCACATCATGAAGAAGGGGGTAGGAGTTTTTTTTAGTTTACATTACTTTAATATTGGACCCCTGAAACACACTGTCCTTTGTTTAAAAAAGTAAATTTGAAAAACTTTTAGGGAAATCTTAAAAAATGGCAATAATTTAATTTTAAACCACAATTTATCAGTCATATATACATGACTGATATATAGAGAACACAGCTTTATATATACAGTGTTTAGCTATTGATATGGTTTGGCTGTGTCCCCACCCAAATCTCAACTTGAATTGTATCTCCCAGAATTCCCACGTGTTATGGGAGGGACCCAGGGGGAGGTAATTGAATCATGGGGCCCAGTCTTTCTTGTGATAGTGAATAAGTCTCATGAGATCTCATGAGTTTATTAGGGGTTTCCGCTTTTGCTTCTTCCTCATTTTCTCTTGCTGCTGCCATGTAAGAAGGGCCTTTTGCCTCCTGTCATGATTCTGAGGCCTCCCCAGCCATGTGGAACTATAAGTCCAATTCAACCTCTTTTACTTCCCAGTCTCGGGTATGTCTTTAGCAGTAGCATGAAAACGGCCTAACACAGCTGTGAAGTTGTATATCAATATCACTTTCTGGTTCCCCTTAGAACCCTCAGGAGTTTCTCTTTTCTGTTAATTAAAATTTCACAGTCACTTTTAATCTATTATCATTATTCTGCAGAGTGAACTGTTTGAATAGAGAATCAATTAAAAGCATAGCACAGTAAAACGTGGGGATGTTTTGCAACTTGGGCATATGAAAAGTAGTGAATAAGAATCATTTTCAACCTATGATATGAAAGAAGGGAGATCCTGGGGGCATCCATAGTCAAACACTTGGTTGTACACTTGGAGATGTTTTTTCAAGCCTTGGATTATTACTAACAGTAAACAAGAAATTCACTAACTAGAGAAAGCAGATATGAGTACGTACAGACTATCAGATCACAAACAGCAGTTAGTAAGGTGATCTAACTAAAAGCTGTAGATGGTGTCTCTTTGAACTAATGCTACTTTGAGCGGTCTAAAAGCATGATTGCTACATGATGCTTTAAGAAATCTGCCTAGTACCTGACAGCATATTGTTCATACTAGTATCTGTAGCTGTAAATTTAGATTTTAATAATTGTTTGGTACATATTAATATATAATTTTAAGATAAAAAGGAAATTGATTTTATAGGTTATATCCTATATCTTTGGCTTAAAATATATTGTAGAAAATAATGTATCCCATCAAATTCCATGGTAAATTAGTGAGTCACAGCGAAAGTTAGAAACACTGGCCTACAACTTTTAATGATTAATTACTTGGCCATGAATAAGCCATACATTATTTAGATGTATATTTAATTTTAAAGAAATCTGCATTTTAATATTTCTGAATATGTCATTAGTTATTAAGAAGATTACTATAAAAAGCAGTATTCAAAAATATATTTTACAGTTTACTTTAGTTTTTAGTGAACATTAGAATGATAGCATGGCCATGTTGTTTATCACTGAAGCACCTAGGAGAGTTAGCAAATGTTAATCCTGCTAGTGTCATCAAGACTAAACAAATTATAAAGACTAAATATCCTTTTTTTTTTTTTTTTTTGAGATGGAGTCTCACTCTGTCTCTGAGGCTGGAGTGCAGTGGCACGATTTTGGCTTACTCCTACCTCAGCCTCCCAAGTAGCTGGGCTTACAGGCACGCAACATCACCCCTAGATAATTTTTGTATTTTTAGTAGAGATGGGGTTTCGCCATGTTGGCCAGGCTGGTCTCGAACTCCTGACCTCAGGTGATCCACCCACTTTGGCCTCCTAAAGTGCTGGGATTATAGGCGTGAGCCAACATGCCTGGCAAGATTAAATATACTTTTAAAAAATTATATTTTTTTCTATTGACTTAGAAATCACTCTACATTAATGACATAGTCAAAGAGATTTTACTTTTGTTCTCTTGTAAATAAAATACCAGATTAAAGGTATGCTTAATGTGATAAAGTAAAGCCAAAATCCAAACCAGAAAATCTAGAGTCATAAAGTTAAAGCCACAATTATATCTTATTCTCTTACCTACTCATTTCTTTTTCCCCACTACTGAGAGGATAGAGTCACATAGTACAAATCAGCAGAAGTCCTCATTATTATATTCTTGCTTAGGCAAGAATTCATGATTGCTTCTTTGTCCTTATCCCTTTTCCACCACTCAAGATCCATACAATAGAAGAAATAGAGAATCATTTAATAAAGTTGTCTTCCATTCAACTCTGAAGAAAATATCAACAGAGAAATGGAAGTCTTTTCCATGCACTCATAGGTAAAGTTTTGAGATCAGCTTGAAAGGAGGTAGCTCAATTGGAAATTACATAAAAAATTCCAGGAAAGATGGGTTGTGAGACTATCTCAGAAGAGAAAATCTAGGGTTTGTTTGTTTGTTTGTTTGAAGATATTGTAGATTGTATTGAACCTCTCAGGTGTCAGGTCCTGATGAAATTGTAGGCTCACAAAATTTTGCAGATAGGAAAGTTCTTGGTGCTGAGAGACTTGAGATGAGCAAGTACATAATGCAGAATTTGCTAAGCTAAATGAACAGGGCTGATTGAATTTGTCCTTAGCTAAGTTTCTTTATTTTGTAATGTGGTGGTCACATTGCAGAGCCGCAGAGCCTAGGATCTCATGATGCTTCTAGGCCTGTGTTTTTGGCAACTAAATTGTGATACATCTGGGATAGCTTTGGTAAAAAGTGTGTGCAGCCCATCTGGGGTCTTCCAGCCATAGAATTCCTCTACTGTCATGTAAGAAGTCTGTTTATATGATTTAGAAGCAGGTAATACAGGTTGACTAAATTGGAAGTGGAGCTGGGCAGTGTTTGTAACCCAGAAAATATCTTGGTACCTATAAGTGTCAGGAGATTTTTCTCCTTTTATTTAATTGGTGGGAAATGATATTTTTGAGATAAGGGGTTTAAGTTCAAGTAAGAGATGAGTTATTGGTTGACAAGCTTTTGGATCATTTAGGCTACTTGTAATCACAACCAGTTCATCAGGAAAAGACCACCAGGCCAGAAGAGGCTTTCATGACAGCATTTACACAGAGAAGCATCAATCAATGTCAAGCCTTTCAGCAGAAACTGGAACTTCATGGTGCAGCAGTTCATCTTCGCATGGGCCGGGAGGTTGAACATCCTGCATAGTGCTGCCAGGAAATCCCTATTTCATATAAGAGGGGGCTGGCTGGTTGCATATGTAGGATGTCCCATCTCCCAGCCCACTTCGTCATGACAGACACCAGAAACACCACTCTGCTTCACTGAAGAACAATAAAATCTGCGTGTCATGGAAACACAGATGCTAGAGCTGCATCACTAGAAAGGCATTCTGACAAATGTATTTAGAGGAGGGTAGAGTACTGACTGCTATGACCTTGGCTCATAAGAGGCAGTGGGTATGTGAGTGGATCTTTAAGCTCAGGGCCAGTAGATCTGCATTAAACCATATTAGCAACAACACTGGCCACACAGATAATGCCTCCAGAATTGTGCCACCTACTCTCAGAGCTACACCGAATTAGGGAGATTCAATAGTTGGGCATATTTATTTAGGCTAGCCAGAGCCAAATACCTAGAGGTAGAGAGAATCTAATTCTTAATTATAGAAAAAAACAAAGATTATATCCTGAAAAGCAGCCTAGAATTTCAAGTCTGAGGGTCAAGGTAAGATAGTAAATTAAAAAATATGTCTCAAAGTCAGAAGAAGGATATTTGGGAGGAGTATTCCAGAGAAGAACTAACAATTCTAAATTGAGCAGAAACAGTCTATTACACTTTGAGGCAAGAATCAAGTTACAAGGAAGTAGGTGTGATTGCAAAGGGAGAAAGTTAGCGGCATGTCCCTACAAATATTTCAGAGATATAATTTCTGTCAGCTGCAGTATCCAATCATATCCAGGGAATTCTGTCAAAAGCAAGGTGATAGGAAATATCGAGAGCAGGGCCCAGCTCTTAAAAACATAGGGCAGGATTAAAAGTAATGCAAAATCCAGCCAATCCTAGCGGCCCTTCTACTTCTGGATTGGTACAGGAAGGATATAATCTCAGAATAGAAATAAGCCATTTAAATGGAATATATTTAGCTTTATAAATAATTGGCTGTTATACATAATTTTCCATTTTCACTTTAGACTGCTGAAATTTCACTATGGATCTTTATATGAAAATGACTAATCTGTAGGAGATGCTACTGGCAGAGAATCAATTATGTCAACAGCACAAACTTGAGTTGTATCCTGGGATGCTATCGAGTTTTCCACTGACTTTAAATTAGGGTCAAGTTAAACAGGCCATCTCCAAAGACTTTGGGGTTCTAAAAAATGTTGATTTGCTATGCATTCGAATCTGGGATGAGTTTCTAGTCAACCATCCTGGCTTTGGCATTCTTCACAGTGGATGGTAAGTGGGCCAATCTTAGGCTGAAAAACAGGCTGATTTAGGGTTTGGGATTTAGAGCATTTATATCTCTTTATTTTCCTCAGCAGCACAGACTCTCCATTGGAATTAGGGGCTTAGTGAATAGTTCAAAAAACGTATGGTTTCATATACAAGGACCCCAAAGTTCCATGCAAATGTATGAGCATACTGTTATGTATAATACCCATGTAATTTCTGTAGAGTCTATAGAGATATCACCTCTTTGATCACTGATAATTGATAATGTGTGGCTTCTACCTTTAATTCTTAGTCGATCTGTTGAGAGGTTTATCAGTTTTATTGATCTATTCCCAATAAAGTGCAGCATTTTATTTCATTGAATTCTCAATATTATAGTATTGCCTAAATTTTATTGATTTCTGCTTTTATATTTATTTATTTCTTCTGGTACTTGGATTTCATTTTTCCTTTTTTGCCTAGCACTTTAATTTTGGAAGCTTAGATCATGGATTTGAGTTTTCTTTTCTAAAATAAACCATTAACGTTAGAAAATTCCCTTTGAGTACTACTTTAGCACCATCAGACAAATTTTAGTACGTTTTGTTTTCATTTTAATTTACTTCAAATTATTTTTTAACTTCATTTGCCTTTTCCTTTTGAAACATGAATTATTTAGAATTGTGTTATTTAATTTGCAAATATTTGAACATTTTCAAGATATCTGTTTTATTTGTTTTCAGGTTAATTCTGTTATACTCAGACAACACACGTTGTTTGATTGCAACCATTTTAATTTCTTCAGGTATATTTTATGAGCCAGAATATGGTCTTTCCTGGTCAATTTTCCATAGTTCTTGAAAAGAATGTGTACTTTCCTGTTGTCAGGTGGTATGTTTTATCAATGTCAATTAGGTCAAGTTTGTTGGTAATGCTGTTCAGTTCTTTTACCTCAGTGATAATTTTCTGTATGCTTTTCTGTCAATTAACTGAGGAAGGGGTGTTGAAATCTTGAAGTGTAATTGTAATTCTACTTTTGATTTCTTCTTTCTGCTCTACCATTGTTGTGCTTCATGAATTTTGAAGCCCTGTTATTATATTTTAAATGTTATTATATTTTAAATGTATTATAAACGTTTAGGACTGTTATATTCCCTCGATGAATTGACACCTTTATCATTATAAAATGGTCTGTGTTACCTCTGGTGATATCCGATGATCTGCAATTTACTTTATCTGTTATTAATATAAAAATTCTAGCATTTGTTTAATTAGTGTTTGCACAGTATATCTTTTATCCATACTTTTATTATACAGGTTGAGCATCTCTAGTCCCAAAATCTGAAATCTGAAATAATCCAAAATCAAAAACTTTTTTTTTTTTTTTGAGACAGGGTTTTTCTTTGTTGCCCAGTCTGGAGGGCCATGGCACAATCATGCAGCCTCAAACTCCTAGGCTCAGGTGATCCTCCTGCCTCAGCCTCCTGAGTAGCTGGGACCACAGGTGTATGCCACGATGCCGGGCTAAGTTTTTAAAGTATTTGTAGAGACAGGATCTCCCTATGTTTCCCAGGCTGGTCTCCTGGGTTCAAGTGATCCTCCCACCTCAGCCTCCCAAAGTGCTGAGATTACAGGCATGAGCCACCATGACCAGCCAAAATACAAAGCTTTTTGAACATCTATATGGTGCCACAAGTAGAAAATTTCTCAGCTGACCTCATGTGACTGGTCACAGTCAAAATGCCATCAAAACTTTGTTTCATGCACAAAATTATTTGCAATATTGCATAAAATTAACTTCAGGCCAAAAAATAAATGAATTTCACGTGTAGACTTGAGTTCCATCCCCAACATGTCTTATTATGTATATGCAAATATTCCAAAATATCAAAATGTCCAAAATCTGAGACTCTTCTAATCCCAGGCATTTCAGATAAAGGATGCTCAGCTTGTACAACTATCTATATTATTAAATTTAAATTTGTAGAGTTTCTTATAGACAGCATATAATTGTGTCTTGTTTATTTTTATTCTCAATTTTAATCCAAAATCGCTATCTCTTTCCTTGAATTGGTGTGTTTATACCATTTAGATTTAATGCAATTATTGATTTGTTTGGACTTATGTCTACCGTGTTTTGTTTTCTATTTATCCCTTGTCTTTTCCACTCTTTTATTTCCTATAGGAATGGGAAACATTCTTTTGTTTCCTAATTCTGATTTATTATGTTTTTTTCTTTTTATTTGAGTATTTCAATTTTATTGATCTATTGGCTTTTTTACTATATTTCTTTGTACAGTTTTTTTGTTTGTTAAGTGACAATGCTCTGAATTAAAATATACCTGTATATTATAAGTATCCCTTATCCAAAATTCTTGGGACCACAATGCTTTGGATTTTGAATTTTATTAGATTTTGGAATATTTTCATTATAGTTAACAGTTCAGCATCCCTAATCCAAAATTCCAAAATCCAAACTGCTCCAATGAGTATTTCCCTTAAGCATTATCTCAGTGCTCAAAAAGTTTAGATTTTGGAGAATTTGGGATTTCAGGTTTTCAGATTAGAAATATTCAACCTATATATACATATTTTTTCCAAGTTTCTTACCCTTAATATTTTATCACATCAAGTGAAAGATAAAACCATATATGCTCCTTTATCCTCCTTTTTTTGGTCTTAGTTGTAATATGGATTACATCTACATGCATTGAGAACCTTATCAGACAATGTTACAAAATTTTTGCTTCTGAGAATCATATGTATTTTAAAGACTTAAGAAAAATTATTATATTTTCTAAGATATTTACCGTTTCTGTTGTTCTTCCTTTGTTCCTGATGTTTTCCTTTAGTGTAATTTTCCTTTAGTGTAATTTCCTTTAGTGTTTTCCTTTAGTGTAATTTCCTTCTGCCTGAAAAACATCCTTTAACATTTTTAGACCAAGTCTCCTAGTTTAGAGAGACTTGTTTTAGAGCAATGAGTTCCTAGTTTCCCTTCACCTGAGAATCTCTTTATTTCACATTCATTTGTGAAATATATTTCCACTGGATATGGAATTTTGAATTGATAGCTCCTTTCTTTCAGGCTTTTAAATTTGTGGTTACACTACCTTCTGGTTTTCATGGTTTCTGATGCAAAATCTGAAGATATGCAACTTTCAATGTTTTTGTCTTTATCTTTTATTTTGACCAGTTTGATTATGATGATCTAGGTATGATTTTTTTTTTGGTTTAAACATTTGAGTTTTACAGAACTTCTTAAATCTGTAAATTTTTTCCCCCCAAATGCGGCATGTTTTGGACCATTATTTCTTCAAATAGTATTTCTTCATCAATTTTTCTCCTCTCCTTATAAAATTCCAATGATACAAATGTTAAACATATAGTTATTGTCCCACAGATCCCCACTATGTTCATTTATTTTTAATTTTTTCACACTGTTGTTCAGATTATATAATTTATATGGATCTAACTTTAGTTTTCATGACTCTTTATCTGTCATCTCTACTCTTCTATTGAGTCCATTCAATGATCTTTTTTCAAATATTGTATTTTTTGAGCTCCAAGCTTTCAGTTGGTTCTTTTTAATAAATTATACTCATTATTTGAGAACTCCTACCTTTCTATTCATTTCAAGAGAGGCCGCCTTCCTTCACTGAGCATGATTAGGGTAGCTGCCTTGAAGTCTTTGTCTACAAATTCCAACATTTGCGTTATCGAAGGGTTGCTGTCTTTGATTCTCTTTTTCCTTAAGAATTTTTGAGATTTTTCTAATTCTGTGTATATTTGGATAAAACATTTTGTATCTTTGACACTTTGAATATTATGTCTTGAGATCTGGATCCTTTATTATTGAGATAAAATTCATATAACAAAATTAACAATTAACCATTTAAAAGTATACAATTCTGTGGTATTTAGTACATTCACAATGATGTCCAACCGTCATCTCTATCCAGTACCAAGATATTTTATCACTACTTCCAAAAAAATTCCATATCCATTAAGTAGCTTTTCTACATTGCCCCATTCCTCAGCCTCTGGAAAACACTAGTCTCCTATCTGTCTTTAAGGATTTACCTATTCTGAATATTTCGTATAAATAAAGTCATACAATATGTGATCTTTTGCATCTGGCTTCTTTCACTTAGCATGATGCTTTCAAAGTTCAACCATAATGTGCCATGTATTTGTAATTCACTCTTTTTATGGTTGAATAATACTCCATTATCTGAATATAGTACATTCTGTTTATTCATCTGTCAGTTGATAGATATTTGGGTTGTTTCCTCCTTTTGGCTATAGTGAAAAGTACCACTATAAAGAGTCATGTCAAATACTTGCTTGAGTATCTATAAATAGAATTGCTAGGTCATATGGTAATTCCGTGTTTGGCTTTTAAAGGAACTAACAAGCTGTTTTCCACAGTGACGGCACCGTTTCACTTTATCACCAACAATGTATGAGGTTTCCAATTTTTTCTCCACATCCTCACCAAGACTTGACATTTCTCATTTTGTTTTTGGTTTTGTGTTTACGGTCAACCTGGTGGGAGTGAAGTGGTTTCTCATGGTGGTTTTCATTTATATTTCTCTAATGACTAATGATGCTGAGCATATTTTCATATGCTTGTTGGCCATTTGTATATCTCATTTGGAGAAATGTCTATTCAAGTTCCTTACCCATTTTTTATTTGCAAATATTTTCTTGCATTCTGTGGGCTGTTTTTACACTCTTCTGATAGCACTCTGATGCAGAAAAAATTTTTAATTTAATGATGTCCAATTTTTCTATCTTTTCTGCTAATGCTACTGGTGTCATATCTAAGAAACCATTGCCAAATCCAAGGTCACTAAGATTTACCCCTGTGTCCTTTTCTAAGTGTTTTGTACCTTTGGTTTTTATATCTGGATCTTTGGACCATTTTGAGTTAAATTTTGTGTATGTTGTGAGGTGAGGGTTCAACTTCAATCTTTTGCACGTGATATCTACATGCAATTTTCCCAGCATTATTTGTTGAAGGGACTGTTGTTTTCCATTGGAAGGTATTGTCACAAGTGTAAAACTCAGCTGACTGCAGATAAATAGGTTTATTTCTGGCCTCTCAATCCTATTCTATTAATCTATGTCTATCCTTATACTTGTACCACATTGTTTGATTATAATAGCTTTCCAGTGAATCTTGAAATTGGGAATTCTGAGTCCTAAAATTTTTTTCTCCTTTTCAAGATTGTTTTGGCTATTCGAGATCCCTTAAGATTAAATATTTATTTTAGGATTAGCATTTCCATTTCTGCCAACAAACACATTAGGGTTTTGATAGGGATTGCATTAAATCTGTAGGTCACTTTGAAAAGTATTGCCATTTTAACAATATTAAATGTTCCAATCCATGAACATGGCCTAACTTTCAAAATTTTAGTTGCCTGCAGAGCTCCTGGTGTATAGTGGTGTTGCCACTATAGATGGGCAATTTAATGATCGATGCTTGCCTCCTTTTATGCCAGGATAGAAAAAGTGAAGCAAAGAAATCTCTCTGTTTTATGCCTGTCCTCTTGTCCCCTGGGAAGACAGTATTTTTCTTGGAGGTTTCTTTCTGCACATCCACTACACAGTTTGAAGATTTCGGGCCGTACTAAAATCTAAGCCAGGAGGTAAGGGAAGTGGGAAGGGAAAGGAAAATAATTCTTTTATTGGTCATTGTTTAACTTTTATTGTCTTGCCCAATTAGTCTGCTGTTATTTATTTTTCACATACCTCAGTTACTTGTTTTGGGTATATGTGCACAGGTTTTAGTTGTAATCTATAGGAGAGATAGGATGAAATGTGCTTACTTCAGTTTTGCCAGACCTGAAAGACTTTTAATTGGTAACTTTTTATTTTTTTATTTATTTATTTTTTTTAGTTTCTTTATATTTTATTTTATTTTTTTTAAGAGTTAAAGAGATAAACTTTATTTTATTTTTTTATGGAGAGTGCTGTTTTTTGTTTTTTTTATTATTATACTTTAAGTTTTAGTGTACATGTGCACATTGTGCAGGTTAGTTACATATGTATACATGTGCCATGCTGGTGCGCTGCACCCACTAACTCATCATCTAGCATTAGGTATATCTCCCAATGCTATCCCTCCCCCCTCCCCCCCACCCCACAACAGTCCCCAGAGTGTGATATTCCCCTTCCTGTGTCCATGTGATCTCATTGTTCAATTCCCACCTATGAGTGAGAATATGCGGTGTTTGGTTTTTTGTTCTCGCGATAGTTTACTGAGAATGATAATTTCCAATTTCATCCATGTCCCTACAAAGGACATGAACTCATCATTTTTTATGGCTGCATAGTATTCCATGGTGTATATGTGCCACATTTTCTTAATCCAGTCTATCATTGTTGGACATTTGGGTTGGTTCCAAGTCTTTGCTATTGTGAATAATGCCGCAATAAACATACATGTGCATGTGTCTTTATAGCAGCATGATTTAGAGTTCTTTGGGTATATACCCAGTAATGGGATGGCTGGGTCAAATGGTATTTCTAGTTCTAGATCCCTGAGGAATCGCCACACTGACTTCCACAATGGTTGAACTAGTTTACAGTCCCACCAACAGTGTAAAAGTGTTCCTATTTCTCCACATTCTCTCCAGCACCTGTTGTTTCCTGACTTTTTAATGATTGCCATTCTAACTGGTGTGAGATGGTATCTCCTAGTGGTTTTGATTTGCATTTCTCTGATGGCCAGTGATGATGAGCATTTTTTCATGTGTTTTTTGGCTGCATAAATGTCTTCTTTTGAGAAGTGTCTGTTCATGTCCTTTGCCCACTTTTTGATGGGGTTGTTTGTTTTTTTCTTGTAAATTTGTTGGAGTTTATTGTAGATTCTGGATATTAGCCCTTTGTCAGATGAGTAGGTTGCGAAAATTTTCTCCCATTTTGCAGGTTGCTTGTTCACTCTGATGGTAGTTTCTTTTGCTGTGCAGAAGCTCTTTAGTTTAATTAGATCCCATTTGTCAATTTTGGCTTTTGTTGCCATTGCTTTTGATGTTTTAGACATGAAGTCCTTGCCCATGCCTATGTCCTGAATGGTAATGCCTAGGTTTTCTTCTAGGGTTTTTATGGTTTTAGGTCTAACGTTTAAGTCTTTAATCCATCTTGGATTGATTTTTGTATAAGGTGTAAGGAAGGGATCCAGTTTCAGCTTTCTACATATGGCTAGCCAGTTTTCCCAGCACCATTTATTAAATAGGGAATCCTTTCCCCATTGCTTGTTTTTGTCAGGTTTGTCAAAGATCAGATAGTTGTAGATATGCGGCGTTATTTCTGAGGGCTCTGTTCTGTTCCATTGATCTATATCTCTGTTTTGGTACCAGTACCATGCTGTTTTGGTTACTGTAGCCTTGTAGTATAGTTTGAAGTCAGGTAGTGTGATGCCTCCAGCTTTGTTCTTTTGGCTTAGGATTGACTTGGCGATGCGGGCTCTTTTTTGGTTCCATATGAACTTTAAAGTAGTTCTTTCCAATTCTGTGAAGAAAGGCATTGGTAGCTTGATGGGTATGGCATTGAATCTGTAAATTACCTTGGGCAGTATGGCCATTTTCACGATATTGATTCTTCCTACCCATGAGCATGGAATGTTCTTCCATTTGTTTGTATCCTCTTTTATTTCCTTGAGCAGTGGTTTGTAGTTCTCCTTGAAGAGGTCCTTCACATCCCTTGTAAGTTGGATTCCTAGGTATTTTATTCTCTTTGAAGCAATTGTGAATGGGAGTTCACTCATGATTTGTCTCTCTGTTTGTCTGTTGTTGGTGTATAAGAATGCTTGTGATTTTTGTACATTGATTTTGTATCCTGAGACTTTGCTGAAGTTGCTTATGACCTTAAGGAGATTTTGGGCTGAGACAATGGGGTTTTCTAGATATACAATCATGTCGTCTGCAAACAGGGGCAATTTGACTTCCTCTTTTCCTAATTGAATACCCTTTATTTCTTTCTCCTGCCTAATTGTCCTGGCCAGAACTTCCAACACTATGTTGAATAGGAGTGGTGAGAGAGGGCATCCCTGTCTTGTGCCAGTTTTCAAAGGGAATGCTTCCAGTTTTTGCCCATTCAGTATGATATTGGCTGTGGGTTTGTCATAGATAGCTCTTATTATTTTGAAATACGTCCCATCAATACCTAATTTATTGAGAGTTTTTAGCATGAAGGGTTGTTGAATTTTGTCAAAGGCTTTTTCTGCATCTATTGAGATAATCATGTGGTTTTTGTCTTTGGCTCTGTTTATATGCTGGATTACAATTATTGATTTGCATATATTGAACCAGCCTTGCATCCCAGGGATGAAGCCCACTTGATCATGGTGGATAAGCTTTTTGATGTGCTGCTGGATTCGTTTTGCCAGTATTTTATTGAGGATTTTTGCATCAATGTTCATCAAGGATATTGGTCTAAAATTCTCCTTTTTGGTTGTGTCTCTACCCGGCTTTGGTATCAGAATGATGCTGGCCTCATAAAATGACTTAGGGAGGATTCCCTCTTTTTCTATTGATTGGAATAATTTCAGAAGGAATGGTACCAGTTCCTCCTTGTACCTCTGGTAGAATTCGCCTGTGAATCCATCTGGTCCTGGACTCTTTTTGGTTGGTAAACTATTGATTATTGCCACAATTTCAGATCCTGTTATTGGTCTGTTCAGAGATTCAACTTCTTCCTGGTTTAGTCTTGTGAGAGTGTATGTGTCGAGGAATTTATCCATTTCTGCTAGATTTTCTAGTTTATTTGCGTAGAGGTGTTTGTAGTATTCTCTGATGGTAGTTTGTATTTCGGTGGGATTAGTGGTGATATCCCCTTTATCATTTTTTATTGTGTCTATTTGATTCTTCTCTCTTTTTTTCTTTATTAGTCTTGCTAGCAGTCTATCAATTTTGTTGATCCTTTCAAAAAACCAGCTCCTGGATTCATTAATTTTTTGAAGGGTTTTTTGTGTCTCTATTTCCTTCAGTTCTGCTCTTATTTTAGTTATCTCTTGCCTTCTGCTAGCTTTTGAATGTGTTTGCTCTTGCTTTTCTAGTTCTTTCAATTGTGATGTTAGGGTGTCAATTTTGGATCTTTCCTGCTTTCTCTTGTGGGCATTTAGTGCTATAAGTTTCCCTCTACATACTGCTTTGAATGCATCCCAGAGATTCTGGTATGTTGTGTCTTTGTTCTCGTTGGTTTCAAAGAACATCTTTATTTCTGCCTTCATTTTGTTATGTACCCAGTAGTCATTCAGGAGCAGGTTGTTCAGTTTCCATGTAGTTGAGCGGTTTTGAGTGAGATTCTTAATCCTGAGTTCTAGTTTGATTGCAGTGTGGTCTGAGAGATAGTTTATTATAATCTCTGTTCTTTTACATTTGCTGAGGAGAGCTTTACTTCCAAGTATGTGGTCAATTTTGGAATAGGTGTGGTGTGGTGCTGAAAAAAATGTATATTCTGTTGATTTGGGGTGGAGAGTTCTGTAGATGTCTATTAGGTCCGCTTGATGCAAGGCTGAGTTCAATTCCTGGGTATCCTTGTTGACTTTCTGTCTCGTTGATCTGTCTAATGTTGACAGTGGGGTGTTAAAGTCTCCCATTATTAATGTGTGGGAGTCTAAGTCTCTTTGTAGGTCACTCAGGACTTGCTTTATGAATCTGGGTGCTCCTGTATTGGGTGCATATATATTTAGGATAGTTAGCTCTTCTTGTTAAATTGATCCCTTTACCATTATGTAATGGCCTTGTTTGTCTCTTCTGATCTTTGTTGATTTAAAGTCTGTTTTATCAGAGACTAGGATTGCAACCCCTGCTTTTCTTTTTTTGTTTTCCATTTGCTTGGTAGATCTTCCTCCATCCTTTTATTTTGAGCCTATGTGTGTCTCTGCACGTGAGATGGGTTTCCTGAATACAGCACACTGATGGGTCTTGACTCTTTATCCAATTTGCCAGTCTGTGTCTTTTAATTGGAGCATTTAGTCCATTTACATTTAAAGTTAATATTGTTATGTGTGAATTTGATCCTGTCATTATGATGTTAGCTGGGTATTTTGCTCGTTAGTTGATGCAGTTTCTTCCTAGTCTCGATGGTCTTTACATTTTGGCATGATTTTGCAGCGGCTGGTACCAGTTGTTCCTTTCCATGTTTAGCGCTTCCTTCAGGAGCTCTTTTAGGGCAGGACTGGTGGTGACAAAATCTCTCAGCATTTGCTTGTCTGTAAAGTATTTTATTTCTCCTTCACTTATGAAGCTTAATTTGGCTGGATATGAAATTCTGGGTTGAAAATTCTTTTCTTTAAGAATGTTGAATATTGGCCCTCACTCTCTTCTGGCTTGTAGGGTTTCTGCCGAGAGATCCGCTGTTAGTCTGATGGGCTTCCCTTTGAGGATAACCCGACCTTTCTCTCTGGCTGCCCTTAACATTTTTTCCTTCATTTCAACTTTGGTGAATCTGACAATTATGTGTCTTGGAGTTGCTCTTCTCGAGGAGTATCTTTGTGGCATTCTCTGTATTTCCTGAATCTGAACGTTGGCCTGCCTTGCTAGATTGGGGAAGTTCTCCTGGATAATATCCTGCAGAGTGTTTTCCAACTTGGTTCCATTCTCCCCATCACTTTCAGGTACACCAATCAGACCTAGATTTGGTCTTTTCACATAGTCCCATATTTCTTGGAGGCTTTTTTGGTTTCCTTTTATTCTTTTTTCTCTAAACTTCCCTTCTCACTTCATTTCATTCATTTCATCTTCCATTGCTGATACCCTTTCTTCCAGTTGATCGCATCGGCTCCTGAGGCTTCTGCATTCTTCAGGTAGTTCTCGAGCCTTGGTTTTCAGTTCCATCAGCTCCTTTAAGCACTTCCCTGTATTGGTTATTCTAGTTATACATTCTTCTAAATTTTTTTCAAAGTTTTCAACTTGTTTGCCTTTGGTCTGAATGTCCTCCCGTAGCTCAGAGTAATTTGATCGTCTGAAGCCTTCTTCTCTCAGCTCATCAAAGTCATTCTCTATCCAGCTTTGTTCCATTGCTGGTGAGGAACTGCGTTCCTTTTGAGGAGGAGAGGCGCTCTGCTTTTTAGAGTTTCCAGTTTTTCTGTTCTGTTTTTTCCCCATCTTTGTGGTTTTATCTACTTTTGGTCTTTGATGATGGTGATGTACAGATGGGTTTTTGGTGTGGATGTCCTTTCTGTCTGTTAGTTTTCCTTCTAACAGACAGGACCCTCAGCTGCAGGTCTGTTGGAATACCCTGCCGTGTGAGGTGTCAGTGTGCCCCTGCTGGGGGGTGCCTCCCAGTTAGGCTGCTCGGGGGTCAGGGGTCAGGGACCCACTTGAGGAGGCAGTCTGCCCGTTCTCAGATCTCCAGCTGCGTGCTGTGAGAACCACTGCTCTCTTCAAAGCTGTCAGACAGGGACATTTAAGTCTGCAGAGGTTACTGCTATCTTTTTGTTTGTCTGTGCCCTGCCCCCGGAGGTGGAGCCTACAGAGGCAGGCAGGCCTCCTTGAGCTGTGGTGGGCTCCACCCAGTTCGAGCTTCCTGGCTGCTTTGTTTACCTAATCAAGCCTGGGCAATGGCGGGCGCCCCTCCCCCAGCCTCGCTGCCGCCTTGCAGTTTGATCTCAGACTGCTGTGCTAGCAATCAGCGAGACTCCGTGGGCGTAGGACCCTCCAAACCAGGTGCGGGATATAATCTGGTGGTGCGCCGTTTTTTAAGCCGGTCGGAAAAGCGCAGTATTCGGGTGAGAGTGACCCGATTTTCCAGGTGTGTCTGTCACCCCTTTCTTTGACTCAGAAAGGGAACTCCCTGACCCCTTGCGCTTCCCAAGTGAGGCAATGCCTCGCCCTGCTTCGGCTCGTGCACGGTGCGTGCACCCACTGACCTGCGCCCACTGTCTGTTACTCCCTAGTGAGATGAACCCAGTACCTCAGATGGAAATGCAGAAATCACCCGTCTTCTGCATCGCTCAGGCTGGGAGCTGTAGACCAGAGCTGTTCCTATTCGGCCATCTTGGCTCCTCCCCCTCGGTAACTTTTTAAAACATGTCATTTTATCATTGTATGTTGTTTTATGAAAACAAAATTGATTGATTTTTTTCAGATATTGACTTTATATACAACAACCTTTCTAAACTCGTTAATGCTCAACATTTATCTGTAAATTTTTTTATGTACACAATCATGTTTTCATTTTTCCTTTTAAGTCCTGAACATTTTTACTTTCATAACACAGTAATAAGTAACTCTAGTACAATGCACAATGGATGTTGTGATGGTAGACTTTCTTGTTTTTTTCCAACATTTAATTATTAAATATTTGAGAGACATACTTTAGTTTAAGAAAGTTAGAATCTTAGTTTGCTGAAATTTATTCAACTTGAACTACGTTGAGTTATATTTAAAAATGTGTGCCTACATTGACTTACTCACATAATTTTCTCCTTATTTGTTTACTGTGATACATCTTCAAGCTTTATTTTCAAAGTTATACTGGCCTCATGAAGTATGTTGGGAAATAATCCCCTTATTTATTCAAAGAATCTGTGTATGGTTGATGTTATTTTTTTCTTACATAGTTGATATCACAAGTAAATACATTTGGATCTACATTGTGCCATCCAAAGAATATAGTATGATATAATATCTCTTTAGATGTAGATTTATATTTTTCCATAAGATTTGGTGGTTATTTTGTTGTTGCTGTTTAATCTTTCTAATTTTAAATTAAGAGAGTACGTGTGCAGGTTTTGTGATTGTATTTTCATGTAGGACCTGTAATTATCTTGTTAAAGTTTTAATAAGATTTTTAATGAATTTTGTCACTGTTGCAAATAGACTATTTTCCCTTTTTCTATCTCTGGCACTTGTTCTTGGACTAGTTAAACCTCTAGATTATTTTATATTTATCTTGTATCCAGCCAGACTATTATATTCTCTCAGTAAATCCAGCATAGTTTTTAGAAGAGTCTCAGATTCGCTAGTCCTACAGTCAAAAAAAAAAAATCACCGATAAACAAGAGATCATTTTATACCTTGTTTTCCAAAGTTATACAAGTTAGTTTATACTCTTATCATAGTGAAAATTAATAACATAATGATGAGTAATGGGGTAAACTGGCATCTTGTCCAATTTCTAAATTTAATGTAATTGAAATACATTTATTGTATTGCTATTTATAATATTTGTTGTAGGTTCTTAGTAAGTTATCTTTATCAAAATTAAGGGCACTGCCTTTATCCCTTCATTATTAAAATTTTAATTAGGAATGGCTTCTGTATTTAATCAAATTACTCTTCAATATCTATTAAAAGACCAAAAATTTCTTCACAAATGCTAATATCAGGGATTATATTGGTAGATTTCATGATGATAAATCGCCTTTGCATTCCTGGAAGAACTCTTGTTTTTTCTGATGTGTTATTCTTTTGGTACTTTTTTGGGCTTTATTTGTTAATATTTTATTTTGAACTTTGAATCTATAATAATGAATGCTATTTTCTCTAGTCTCCTGTTTTAGTGTTTTTCAAGTTTTGCTATTGACACTGTATTGTTTTATAAAATGTGTTGAGGAATTTTTAAACTTTCATGGCTATTCATCTTTTCATATATGTTAACTTAGAGATTGATTATAATTTTTTGTTTCCAAGTGCTAGCTTTGGGATTACTTCACAGTTGTCCCCACATTCCCATACATCTTAATTAAATTATCAGAATACTGAACTTTTATTCTTTTCTCAAAGGCAAAAATTGTCTACATTACTTCATGAAAATAAAGTCCTTTTGTATTTTCTTTGAACAGAAGAGCTGAAAGATTAATGTCTTGTATTCAGTCTTTGCCTTTTTTTATTATTGGTGGGGATACCTGTGATTGCTGGAGTCATTAAAAATCATGTAACATTTGAATGAATGAACAAACATATAAAAATGTCTTATGAAGCACTATACACAATTTTTTCCCCTGAAAATAAGATTTCATTTCACTCAACTATGAATTGGCCTCCCCTATGGAAAGTGTGCTATAGCCTCTTGGCTATTCAACTCCCTTCAAACCTTTTACATATTAATTGTATAAAATATTGCTGGCTCACATAATTCCACACATTGTTCTATGCTCTATGGATAATGGAAAAATAAACAATAATTACTGACCCAATGGAGCTTATGTTCTAATGGTTATGGCAACAGAATTCTCCACATAGTGATAATCAGGATATACTTGTGCATTTGAAGCACAATTGGAAACATAATTTCTGCAAGTGAAACATGTCAAGGAGAATACAAAAACCCTCCACATGATCAACTTCCATGGTGGATACAATCTGAGGGAGTTATAGGAAAATGATGAACAATAATGAACTTTTGGTTAGAAGAACTTCTCATGATGTATTTCCTTTCCTTATTGCACTGGTTGAATTCTAATAATTGGTAGTTTGATTTCTAGTATGGCCATATAAGCACTTCTATTGTTAACCTTTTGGCAAATAAAAGCTACTAACTTGGAACAAAACACAAAGAACAACTACCTTAAGGTATTGGACAGGAATCCAAAACAGAGATATTGGCAATCACAACACTTGGAAAAAAGAAACAACAGAGGTTGAGTTTCCAACTTTCAAGACTTATAGCTTAAGAGGAAGATGCAATTTCTGCCAGAAGAGGTGGCTAAAACTCCAATAAAAAAATCTTTAGTTTTTTTGGTTGGGTGTGGGGGCTTATGCCTGTAATCCCAGCACTTTGGGAAGCCAAGACAGGTGGATCACTTGAGGCCAGGAGTTAGAGACCCACCTGGGCAACATGGCAAAACCCCATCTCTACAAAAAATACAAAAATTAGCCAGGCAGGGTGGCTGGTGCCTGTAGTCCCAGCTACTCAGGAGGCTGAGATAAGACGATTGTTTGAGTCTGGGAGGTGGAGATTGCAGTGAGCTGAAATAGTGTCACGGCACACCAGCCTGGGTGACAGAGCCAGATCCTGTCTCAAAAACAAAACAAAACAAAACAAAACAAAACAAAACAAAAAGTCTTCAGTTTTTATGGCCTGAAGAACCTGAGGAATTTGCAACTGGAAGGTGAAGGAGCACCTAGGAAAAGGTAAAGATAGAGAGAACCACAAATTCTTCTCTGGGAAACTATAAACTCTGCCTAAATCTCTAGATGACATTTAAACCGTGCTTGCCTGGGATATCCTACAAGCAACCTAAGAAATGATAAATGAACTGAATTGACATTTGAGCTGTAGCCCAAATGAAAGAGACTGCAGTTTGAGTCCAACCAAGCTGATTGCTGGAAAAACAAAAACAAAAACAAAAACACCAATACTCTTTGGAGCAAAAGAACCAAATCCAGCATCTCAACGACATGGCATTCACAATGTTTAGTTTACAATCTAAAATATTTTACTTTAAGAAGAAACAGGGAAAGACAACTCATTCACACACACACTAACACACACACATATATACACACACACAACTTTTAAGAGACCTATCCTGAGAATACCCAGATGTTAAAATTCACCGAGAAAGATTTTATTGCTGCTATTATATTTATATCAATACCATCAAAGAAAATATGCTCATAATTATTGAAAATGGAAAACCTCAGAAGATAAATAAAAACAACAAAAATAATTGAATGGCAATTTGTGGGCTAAAAAATAATATATGAAATATAAAATTATCCTGGATGAGTTTAACAGTATAATGGAGATGACAGACAAGAAAAGCCAGTGCATTTGAAGATAGATCTATAGAAATCGTCCGAAATTAAGATCAGAGCGAAACACATTGAGAAAAAAAAGAATGGACTCTCAGGAATCTGTGAAACAATATCAAATGCTCTAACATGCATGTGATTTGAGACCCAGAGAATGAGAGGGAAAATGGGACCAAAAACTATTTGCAAAAAAATAAGGACTGAAAAATTTTCAAATTTGGTGAAAGCCGTAAGTTTATAGACTCATGAAGCTCAGCAAATACCAAGCATCATAAGTATAAATTCTGATGATTAATCTAAGAAAATTTTACTATCCAAATATGTATAAATAATTCATATAGATTGAAGCAGCACCATTTATAATGGAAAAAACAAAAAATGGCAATTTTACTGCCTTTAATAGACATCTAAGAACTTGTTATATACTGGTGAAGGTTGAGCATGTCGCCAACCTAAACAAGAGTATTATAAAAGAACAATGAGTTATACAAGATCTCTTACTAATGGACAATAATGTTCACATTAAAAGTAGAGGGGTTTGATCGCTGCTTCATTATTATCAAGAATGAAGCACCAGTTCATCAGTCTGTATCTTGACATATCCTTCAGCCCATTCTGGAAGAAACCAAAAATGTCCAAAGGAAGGATGCTGGTTAACCTTCCAGAATATTTCAACAGCCACATTTCACCTTACTTTTCCTTACTTCCCCAAGAAAACAAGATTCTGAATTGTTTATTTATCCTGTAAGGTAGTCATGCCTACTAAGGTTGCATAGGAGAAGAGCCCAGTATCTAAGATAATTCTCACTAACAACTCCAGCAGACTAGAATATGACACATCGTAAAACAATTCACCAACAGCAGATTTACAAGTTGGTTTTTTGCCTGATTCAGTTGCTAGATTCTAGATGCCAATGTCATTACAAAAACTTTAAACTTTTAATGATGCTCCAATATGGAAACTTTAACACTACTGAAAATAGTTTAGATCTCAAGTTTTCAAGTAAGAACACCAATGTTAAAAACAACTTACTTGCGGCTGGGCGCAGTGGCTCATGCTTGTAGTCCCAGCACTTTGGGAAGCCGAGGCAGGCCGATCATGAGGTCAGGAGATCGAGACCATCCTGGCTAACAAGGTGAAACCCTGTCTCTACTAAAAATACAAAAAATTCGCCTGGAGCGATGGTGGGCACCTGTAGTCCCAGCTACTTGGGAGGCCGAGGCAGGAGAATGGCTTGAACCCGGAAGGCAGAGCTTGCAGTGAGGGGAGATTGCGCCACTGCACTCCAGCCTGGGTGACAGAGTGAGACTCCGTCTCAAAAAAAAAAAAAAATTTTACTTGAAATGTTCTGCTAATTTCGGCACCAGCTCAAAGTCAGACTTAATGCCACACCAGAGACTATCATGAAAATGGCAACAGTAATTCATCTGGTAACTGTTAAAAGTAAAAATAACAAGAGTTTCTGCCACTTATTAATCTTTACTTCTAGTATCTAACAAAATGTTTGGCATATAGAAAACAAATAGCTAACATAGGGTAAATTAAGGAATAAATAAGTAACGTTAAAGTAATTTATATGAGGAGGAACTTTATTGTTCTGTCTCTCCAAAAGAGCAAGAAAATGACCTGGAAATAGTTGTCAGAATCAACTATTATGAAACTCAAACATCAAATCAAAAATTTAAAACAAACAAGGTAATGCTAAATGAAGAAGAAACCCACTGCTTTGCAGTAAGGGAGCACTGTAGGGTTTTAAGCTGCCTGCTACCATATCCCATTTCCAGATATGCAGCTAATTTGAGGATGAAAGCCTGCACTCCTGATGCAAGTTGCTAGTGCCAAAGAAATACAGATCTTTTCCTCAAAGAAATGTGCTTGTCTTTTTAGACTTCTCTGATGGCCCCCTGAAGGACTGGGACAGTAACTTCCTTTGTTTTGCCTGACTCAGAGCATTTCCAGGGCTCAGATGATGTTCTGGTTGGAGTTTGCCAAAAGTATTAAAAGGCACAAGCATTGTTTGCAACAGACTAGGACAAGTAACACTAGACCACACAAACAAGAAACAGGCTGAATGGCCTGGGAAGAAAGAGGTTGGGAATGGAGATACGTTGGGAAAGAAAACTTTATTTTTAAGGAACTCAAATATAACAGAGAATGGAAAAAGCTACACATGGCGTGCCTAAGGATGTCAGAATGCTCAGAAGAAGCCTGGAAAGACACTATTCTTCCACCTGTGACCGGGCTGTCCATCAGCCTCTGAGATTCTGCTGAAGTATAAAGTTGAGGCTGAGGCAGAGTTATAAACAACCTCATTAAGCATTGAAGGAAGGTCCCAAACAGACCCAACCTGCAAAAAGTAAGAAAGCATTCATTCCTTTTTTTTCTTTGCCTACCGGTATTTAAGAAACCCCTGTAAAAGTGCTAGGTAACCACCAAACTAACAGGATGCTGATTTTAGCTGCCACAGAAGACCAAGAAAAAAGAAAACAGACTTTATAAAAATAGTTTTGAAAAATCACTAAACAGTCAAACAAAATCAGTCCAAAACAAGTAGCAACAACTTCAGGAAGGGAAGAAAATCTGATTTACAGATCTGCCACATTGTAATATTAAGATGTCCAAGTTTTACCAAGATTAAAAAGCATGCAAATAAACTAGGAAATATGACCTATTTTCAGAAAACAAAATAGAATAGAAACTGATCATGAGGAAGCCCAAGCATTGGACTTAATAGACAAAGACTTTACATCAACTGTCTCAAATGTACTCAAAGAGCTGAAGGAAACCATGGAGTAAGAATTAAAGCAAACCAGAAGAACAATGTCTCAAGGGATAGAGAATATAATTAAAGGGATAAAATTGTAAACAAAAAACAATGGAAATATGGCAGCTAAAAATTATAATAACTGAAATGAAAAATTCACATGAGGGAATCAATAACAGACTTTAGCAGACAGAAGAAAGAATCAGAGAACATGAAAACAGGTCAATTGTGATTATCCAGTCCAAGGAGCATAAAGAGAAAATAATAAATAAAAATGAACAATGCCTAAGGGACCTTTGAGACACTATCAAGTTTACCAATATATGCACAATGGGATTTCCGGGACATGAGAGATTAAAAGGATCAGAAAAAAATATTTAAAGAAATAATGGCCACAAACTTTCCAACTTTGAATAAAGACATGACTATAAATCCAGGAAGCTCAATGAACTCTAAGCAAGAATTACTCCAAAATATCCAAACCAAGGTGCAGTATAATCAAACTCTTGAAAGGCAAAGAGAGAATCTTAAAAGCTGCAACAGACAAGCATCTCATCAAATACAAAGTATCTTTAACAAGATAAACAGTGAATTTCTCTACAGAGACCATGGAGGCCGGAAGCAGTGAGATGACATATTTAAAGTGCTGAAAGAAAAATTGTCAACTAAATGCTCTAAATCTGGCAAAGCTATCCTTCAAAAATAGAGAAATTAAAACACTCCTGGTAAAAGAGCAAAAACAAAAACAAAAAATCAGAAGGAGTTAATTACTAGTGGACCTACCCTAAAAAAAAATGCTAAAGGGAGTCCTTCAGGATGAAATGAAAGGACGCCAAAAAGTACCTTGAAGGCATATAAAGAAATAAAAAACAACAAAAGTAGCTACAAAGCAAATATAAAATCCAGTGGAATTGTACTATGGGTTTCTTACACCTGTTTTGACTTTCTATTTCCTTTAAAAGGCAAATACATAAAACAATAATTATAAATCTATATTAATGAGCACCAAATGTATAAAAAATGTAATTTATGACCAATAGCAACATAAAAAAGGATGAAGATGTAAAGAAGCAAAATCTTTGTATAGTATTGAAACTGAGTATCTATAATTAAAACTTGATTGTTATGGAAGAAAGATTATAATTGTAATCCCCAGGTTAACCAAAGTAAACAATTAAAATAATACAAAGAGAAAGAGACAAGAAGAGAATCCCTACAAAAAAATCAGTTAATCACAAAAAAATCACTTAATCACAAGTGAAGGCAGTGACAGAAAAAAATGATAGTATATGTTATAGATAAAATGGTGCAAGTGTCTTTTCTTTACTGTAATTACTTTAAATGTGAAAGAATTAAATTTTCCAGTTAAAAGGCAGACACTAGCAAAATGGATAAAAATACATGATCCAATTATATGCTTTCAATAAGAGACTCACTTTAGACATAAGGACACATGTATGTTGAAAGTGAAAGGATGGAAAAAGATATTCCATACAAACAGTAACCAAAATAGAGTTGAGGTGGCTGAACTTGTCAGACAAAATAGAACTTACAAAGATAGTTGTTGTGAACAACATCAACTAAAAGAAGAACATCATCTATTGATTTCAAGCCATCAAGAACATATAACAATTATAAACATATATGTACCTAACAACAGAGCCCAACAATTATACGAAGTGAAAAATAAAAGAATTAATGGGAGAAAAAGGTAGATCTATAATAATATTTGGAGATATCAATACTCCATTTTCAATAATGGACAGAACAACAAGACAGAAAATCAATGAGGAAAATAGAGGACTTGAACAACACTATAAAACAACTAATTCTAACAGACAGATACAGAACATTCCATCTAATAACAACAATAAATACATTTTTTCTCATGTGCACATGGAACATTCTCTGGGATGGACCATAAGTTTTACCACAAAACAAATGTCAATACATTTAAAATATTATTATTATTTAAAGTATCCTAATACATTTAAAATATTATTATTCAAAGTAGAAATCAGTAACAGAAAGAAAACTAAAAAATTTACAAATATGCAAAAATTAAACAATATTAAACAACCAATAAGTGAAAGAAGAAAATACAAATGAAATTCAAAAATATTTTGAGAATGGCAGAATAAAAACTTAATATACCAAAAAATTATGGGATGCATCAAAAGCTGCGCTCAGAGGGAAATTTATATCTGTAAATGGCTACATTTAAAAATAAAATGAACTCAATTAATGACCTAACTTTATACCATAAGAAACTAGAAAAGTAGAGCAAGTTTAACCCAAACTCACAAAATAACTGAAATGATGAAGTTTAGTGGAAATATAAAAAATAAAGAATAGGAAAAATATAAGGACAATTAATAAAACCAAACGTTTTCCTTTTTTTGAAAAGATCAAAAAAGTTGACAAATCTTTAGATAGACAGACTAAGGAAAAAAGAGAAGACACAAATTACAAAAATCAGAAATGAAAGTGGGGGTATTACTACTAACCTTACAGAAATTAAAAGGATTGGCTGGCCAATCCTCCTGGTGTGGTATCTCATGCCTGTAATCCTCGCACCTTGGGAGGCCAAGGTGGGAGGATTACTTGAGCCTATGAGTTCAAGAGCAGCCTAGGCAACATGGTGAAAACCCATCTCTACAAAAAAAAATTTAAAAATTAGACAGGTATGGTGCCACATGTTTGTGGCCCTAGCTACTCAGGAGGCTTAGTTAGGAAGATTGCTTGAGCCCAGGAGGTTGAGACTGCAGTGAGCCATTATTACACCACTGCAAACTAGCCCAGACAACAGAGCAAGATCCTATCTCAAAAAAAATTAAAAGGATTATAAAACAATACAATGAACAATTATACACCAGTAAATTAAATAACCTGGATGAAATGTAAAAATTTCTAAAAACACACATACTACCAAAAGTGACTCAAGGAGAAATAATCTGAAGAGTCATATAAAAAGTAACTACATTGAATCAGTGATCAAATACCTCTCAACAATGAAAGCTCAAGACAAGAAGTTTTCCTTTTGAATTTCACCGAACATTTCAAAAATTAACACCAATTCTTCTCAAACTCTTCTAAAAAATAGAAGATGAAGAAACATTTTGTAATATATTCTATTAGACTGGCATTATCTTAATATCAAAGCCAGCTAAAGACATTACAAGAAAATTATAGATTAGTATTGTTTATTAATATAAATGCAAAAGTCTTCAATAAAATACTAGCAAACTAAATTCAGCACCATATTATATACCCATTACTAAATGGGATTTATCTCAGGGATGCAAGAGGGATTCAACATACAGAAACTAATCAATGTAATGTATCACATTAATAGAATGAAGGT
Source organism: Homo sapiens (assembly GCF_000001405.40). Taxonomy (NCBI): domain Eukaryota; kingdom Metazoa; phylum Chordata; class Mammalia; order Primates; family Hominidae; genus Homo; species Homo sapiens. Next base: position 114,846,552 of record NC_000023.11, read on the forward strand.
ATGCAAACCACATGATTATGTCAATTGATGCAGAAAAAGCATTTGCAAAAGTCCATCACTTTTTTATGATAAAAAAATGTTCAACAAACTAGGAATAAAAGAAAATGTCCTTGACAGGCATTTATAAAAAACAAAAACAAAACCCAGTCAATAGTGAAAGACTGATTTTCCTCTAAGATCAGGGAAAAAAGGCAGAATGCCCAACTTCATTAGTTCTATTTATCATGGTACTGAAAATTCCATGTAGAGAAATTAGGCAAAGAGAGGAAATAAAAGGCAGAGGAAAATTGGAAAAGAATAAATCAAATTATTTCTATTTGCAGAAGACATGATCTTATATATGGAAAATCCCAAAGAGTCAACACAAAACATAGCTCTAATAAATGAATTCAGCAAAGTTGCAGGACATTTGTAGTTCTATACACAGTGATGAACAATCCATGAAAGAATTTAAGAAAACAATTCTATTTACAACAGCTTCCAAAAAAACCTCAATTGATAACAGCATCAGCCACAAAGAAGAATTAAGTATTGATACATGCTACGAAATAGATAAACCTCAAAAACATTAGCTAGGTGAAAGAAGCCAGACCCAAAAAGTCACAAATTGTATGATTCTATTTATATGAAATATCCAAATTAGTTAAATCCATAGACTGGATTAAGAAAATGTGGCACATATACACCATGGAATACTATGCAGCCATAAAAAATGATGAGTTCATGTCCTTTGTAGGGACATGGATGAAATTGGAAATCATCATTCTCAGTAAACTATCGCAAGGACAAAAAACCAAACACTGCATGTTCTCACTCATAGGTGGGAATTGAACAATGAGAACACATGGACACAGGAAGGGGAACATCACACTCTGGGGACTGTTGTGGGGTGGGGGGAGGGGGGAGGGGTAGCATTAGGATATATACCTAATGCTAAATGACGAGTTAATGGGTGCAGCACACCAGCATAGCACATGTATACATATGTAACTAACCTGCACATTGTGCACATGTACCCTAAAACTTAAAGTATAATAATAATTAAAAAAAAAAGATAAAAAGCAAATTAGAGATTGCCAGGAGCTGGTTGATGGGAGAATGGGAAGTAACTGCTTAACGGTATGCAGTTTCCTTTTGGAGTGATGAAATGTTTCTGAACTAGAGACAGATGCTAGTTGCACAATATTGTGAATGTACTAGATGCCATTGGATTGTACACTTTAAAGAGATTAATTTTATGTTGTGTAAATTTTACCTCAATAAAATATATGTCACGCTGAAGGTATCATTATCATGATCACCATCATCATCCCTATAGAAAATAATGCTTCCTAAATTTCACTTTCTTTAAAAGGTTTAGATTATGAGAAAATATAAGCAGACTAAAATTTGAGACTATAGTCAGTACAATTTGGATGACGTGTTCTTGTCTTCTCTCTGTTCTCTTTCAGATTATGTCTGGCCACTACCTAGATATTTGTGCCCCGTCTGGATTTCTTTAGATGTTTTATTTTCAACAGCGTCCATCATGCACCTCTGCGCTATATCGCTGGATCGGTATGTAGCAATACGTAATCCTATTGAGCATAGCCGTTTCAATTCGCGGACTAAGGCCATCATGAAGATTGCTATTGTTTGGGCAATTTCTATAGGTAAATAAAACTTTTTGGCCATAAGAATTGCAGCGGCTATGCTCAATACTTTCGGATTATGTACTGTGAACAACGTACAGACGTCGACTGGTAACATTTGCGTTTGATCGGGTTCTTTTATTTAGTAATTATTCTTAACCTATTTATCTGATATTTAGGTTAACAATAATGAAAGGAATGTAATGTGTATTAATATGTAAATATAAAGTTTCCATTTATGCTGCTAAATTATTTTATGCATTAGTATGCCAATGAATTCTGCAACACAGATACAAAATGTTTGAAATATTTAAAATGCTTTGAAAATGAGAAAGACATAAAGTCTAATTAAAGTCTAAATTTTAAAAATATAACATTTCAATCTTATATTGAAAAGTTACATGTATCCCAGAATATTAACCTTAGTATTTTTATTCTAAATTCCTATCCTTTTCAGTAGAAAAATTAATAATGCAATCTAAATCATCATCAAGTAAATATGTCTAAATTTTTGTTGCTATGACACCTAAAATGTACTATTTTCTCTCAGTTTTAATTGTCTTCTTGAATTCTGGGTATACAAAAAGAAAAAAAAATTTGTTTCTTTAAAGATTTGTAGCAGTTTAAAGGGAAAGAAATGATCATTTATTGCTTATATTTGAGGTATTCATAAATGCCTTAACAGTGCTAATATTAAAGCCAAGAAATTTAAACAATTGGACTTTAGGGGTTTTACTTTCATGTTTTTTTCCTTTTCCAGTTGGTGTAAATAATTTTTCTTCATATTTATGTTTTTGTAAAGATTGAGGTAAAGTGTGCAACAAGATCAAGACTTCTATTTAATCTTCACTAATATCATCTAAATATTTTGACTCTGGGTTTATTGATCAAATACATTTAAGTTTTAAGATTGTTCTATTGTAGATTGTTCTGCCTGTGTATAGCATAGACACCTTTGAATAAAAAGTCGTGAAGCTTGTCCCAAAAGACAAAAATGAATTTACGTAAGTTTGACTTACAAATTCAAGAGTTCACAGATTTTGCCCTAGCCATCACAAAGAGTTCATCTAAAAAGATGCCAGCTTTTATGGTGCTTACAAAGGAAATACACAGACAGAATATTGTTGCATCAGCTTCTAGTAATGAAAGACTGAGTAATTTGCAATGACTCTTGTGCTAAAGGCAAATAAACACATGGATAAAACACTAAAAGCCCTAAGAAGCTAATGAAATAGAAATTGCTATTGGCTAAGATCCAGAAAAAGACAAAAACCCAAGAAAAATGATTATGACTTCTAGTTCACTTTTGCCAATGATGCATTATAAACCTGAAGATATGACTGACAGGTGGAGACGATCATTTCAGACTCGCAAGCAATGGAGGACTAGAGTAGGAATACAGAGTCTGGCAAGGGCCAACCAACCTGAATTTAATTCTGGGATCACAAAAAAACCAGACACTAGGAATAAGGATCGACCAGGATTAAATCACCATAGACATGGAATTCAGCCCTGGTTCAAGTCATCTATGTAAATGAGAGAAATCTTGGGCCTTAAAATTGGATTAAGATGATTTCGTATTATTCAGGTTTCCAATTTTGGGGCATAAACAAACAAAAAAAACCCCATAATCCTAGATTTCAACTTATTTCTTTCAATAATTTTCAAATGCTGTCACTGAAATACAATGATATGCAGATATATGAGGAGACAATACAACATGAATCAGGTATGGGACAATAAGAGATAACAGAAATAAACTTACAAACACTTCAGATAATTGAATTATCAGACATACACTTTAAATAATCATTTGGAATGTGCACATGGAAATTACATGCTGATCTTAAACACTTCAGCAAGAAACTGCAAACTATAACAAATGACATTAAGATTTGAGAAACACCTAGAAAATATGGAACTTAAGCATAATATGAAAAACTAAGGGCCAGGCAGTGTCTTACACCTGTAATTCCAGCACTTTGGGAGGCCGATGCAGGCGGATCACTTGTGGCCAGGAGTTCAAGACTAGCCTGGACAACATGATGAAACCCCATCTCTACTAAAAATACAAAAATTAGCCAGGTATGGTAGCACACGCCTGTAATCCCAGCTACTTGGGAGGCTGTGGTGGGAGGATCACTTGACCCTCAGAGGTCAAGTCTGCAGTGAGCTGAGATCATGCCACTGCGCTCCAGCCTGGGCAACAGAGTGAGACTCTGTCACACACACAAAAAAAATTAATTAATTAAAAAATGAAAACCTAAGAACTCTGTGGCAGATTAGAGATGGCGAATTTCCAAATTTACAGAAGATTATTATAAAATATTAAAAATTAGCTGGGTATGGTGGCATGTGCCTGTAGCCCTAGCTACTCAGAAGGTTGAGGCAGGAGCATCACTTGAACTCAAGTGTCTTGAGGTTGCAGTGAGCTATGATCGTGCTATGACACTTCAGCCTTGATGAGAAAGCAACACTTTGTCTCTACAAATAAAAGATAAAATGAAATAATAAGATAAATCCAAAAGGAGTCAATAAAAGATAGAAAAATATAAAACGTATACTGAATGGCAGAATTAAAACCAAATATATCCCTAATTATATGAATTACTAAGGATTCTAAGACTGTCATATAGGCTTTCAAAAAAATAAGACAACTATATGTTACAAGAGGCATATATAAAGCATAAAGAAAGTAAAAGGATAAAAACAAACAAAAAAATTCCTCCATCTAAACACTATCCAAGAGAAAGACTGTATAGCTATATTAATATTTGTCAAAATAGACTTTTCGGCAAAAAACAAATACTCCAGTGAAAGAAGATTACTTACTATGAAAGATTTAATACATCTGGAAGACATAAGGTAATAAATTTGTATGTACATAATTATATGTAGATACATATGTAATATACATAGTATATACATTATAAAGTAAAAGAGGACAGAACTTCAGGGACAGATAGACAAGTCTACAATCATCGCATAAGATCTTAGCACATCCTTCTCAGCGATTGTATGAAAACAATTAACAAACCTGAACTCACTGACAAGTGAAGAATACATATTCCCATCATTGCACAAGAAATATTTATCAAAACTGACCATAAAGTAATTCCTCAACACATTCCAAAGGGTTGGAATAAATTGTTTATTCTTTGACTGAAATTCAAAAGAAATAGAAATGACTTCAAAATAGTAGAAAAACCTTCGTATATTTGGAAATTAAGAAATTGTTTCCCAATAAACTTTGACCTAATGGATTTCAAATCCATTGATGATTCTTCCCTAAGCTATCTATTACTAAGGTGATACAATGATAATTTTTCTCATTTTATTATTCTTCCTGCCTTTATTTGTTGGTATTATACTGTAAGGAAGTGTTTTCCCTCCAAGTCTTTGTTATTTATTAGTTCATGTTGGTGGAGACTCCTGGATTCTTTTGTATTCAGTGTAATATATATGATTCATTATTGCCCTTAATTATTTTGATGCTCAAATTGTCTCATATTTTTCTAATAAGAACTCCTTTTCATATATCCCATCAGCTTTTGAGCATTTGCCAGACTCACCTTTTACTTTCCATGCCCCAGTTCCGAAATTAGCCATTTCTTACAAGAAACCCTTTTAGTGGGCAATGGTTTTATAAAGCAGGATGCAGAAGCTCAGTATGCTCATTGCTAATAGGATATCATTGCTCCTATATATCAATACCTTTAATCCCAATTCACGAACACAGGACTCTTGCTACTTTCCAATTCTTTATTTTTCCTCATTTTTCTCACAGTGAGTAACTTTGTCCCCAAACCATTGATATATTTATTATTTATATTTTCTATATCCTACCATACAAGAAATTAATTTCAGAATTTCTATACCCATACCACTACCAATAAATGAAATGCAATGTTTAAAATTTCATTGCAATTTTATCTTTAGAATGTTTTCCACCAATGGCATATAGTCAAAGCATTGTCTTCAAAATGCTAGGATTAGTTTGAATTTTTTTTCTCTGTGGTTCTGATACCAATTGTTCACATTTAGGGATTTTGTTTTGTTTTTGCATGTATTCCCCAACCTTGTTGACTTTATTTTTTAATATGTAAAACTTTAATATGATGCTCCAACAGTCAAAACTAGGCAAATAAAATACTCAGAGAAGAGTCAGTTCCTCTTCTATTCCGTGGTTAACCCATTCATTAGTTTCTAGGGCATACTTCTTGAATTTATTTTTGCAAAAAAAAAAAAGATTATACACAAATACACGTATTGTTATTTTTCCATTCTTAAATTAAAAGTTAAAATGCTACATACAAATTAATACTTTGTTTTGCTTTGTTCTTTTACTTGGAAATATGTCCTGGAAATCACTCTATCAATTTGTAAGATGATAGATATGCACCCAACTTTATCATGTAAATGGCCTAAATACTCCAATTAAAAGCTAAATTCATTCTATTATTTTTTACACTCACTAATAATAGATTGTGTTGATATACTTTATTTAACCAATCTTCTGTGTATAATCAGGTAAGTTGTTTCCAACATTTGGAAGTTGCCAATAATTCTACTAAGAATAATTGTGTGTGTGTGTGTGTGTGTGTGTGTGTCCTTTGTGTGTGCGTGCGTGCATGTGTGTCTGTCTTGTGTGTTTGTGTGCGCGCGCGCGTGCATGTGTGTGTTTCATATTATTGGAAGTTTAACTTTTAAATAAATTCTTGCTCAAATGTATTCAGAATTTATCTTCTAAATAAATTCTTAGAGGAGGAGTTGATTGATCAAAGGGTACATGTAGTTAGGAGTTGAACCATTTTGCATTCCCACCAGCAATGCAAGAAAGCCTCTGTTTCCCCAAAGCCTTGCTAATGAAGTTTATTTTCAAACTTTTTAGATTTTGCAAATCCCATAAGTGAGAAATGTTACCTCAGTGTAATTTTAATTTGCATCTATTTTATTTGGCTGAAGTTCATATGATTAAATGTATGAAAACCACTTCAGTGCCATTGCTAAATCAGTTTTAAGTGTCCTTTTGCTCATTTTTTCTGATTTTTTTTCATTTTTATTTCTTAATTTAATAGCTCTTTATAAGTTATAGACACTAACCATTTAACATGTTATAAATGAAAATATTTTCTGTTTGCTATTTGATATAGCTATGGTATTTTGCCATACAAAATTATTTTATTTTCATGTAGTTCATCTTGTCAATCAGATTTCCTTTTTATGTTGAGAGTAATGGCAACAAATTCTTTCCCCTAACTCAGGTTGGACAATAAATCACACATATTTTTCTCATTTTTACATTTAGACCTCTGATACATTTGGAGTTTATTCTTGTACGTTGTGACATACACATTCAATTTTAGTCTCTTAAAACTAATTCTTCCATTGTCTCATGCTATTTATTTAAAAAGTCCATCTGTCCTGTGATATGAGATGCCATCTTTATAGTATATTAAATATTCTTATATGCCTGGACATGTTTCTGAAGTTCACATTTTATTCCACTACACTGTCTAATCAAATGCCAATTTCACACTTTTAATTATAAATGCTATTACATAAATGTTATTATCTGATATGGTTAGTCCCTATTCATTAGGCATTTTTTAGAGCTTGTGTAGACATTACTGAAAGTTTAATTTTCCATATTAACGTTAACATTAACTTGCCTTGTTCTATTCTAAAAGCCTGGATATTTTGACAGGGATCTCCTTAAATTTATAATTTAATTTAAGAAAAAATGAACAACTGAATTTTAAAAATGCTTTCTCTAATCTGTATACTAATTTAGGTGGTGGCCACTCTGTCTTCCAAACTTTACTGCCAAACCTATATGTCACTCTCATGTCTTCCTTATCAACATTTATAATGTATCTCATAAGAATCAATTTTTTAGCTTTACCACAAACCAAATCTGTCTTCTATGCATTCACTAGTGACTACTTAATTGTTTAATTTATGAATTTTCAAACTTTTTGGTCTAGTGATCTCTGTATACTCAAACATTATTAAGGATTCCAGAGAGTTTGCCTTTATATGAGCTATATCCATCAGCATTTAATGTCTTTGAAATTAAAATTGAAATTTTAAATTATTTTTGTCTACATTTATTTAAAATAACAATAGTAAATCCATTACATGTTAACATAAATAATTAGCTCTATTAAAAAAAGCTATATTTTCCAAAACAAAATCAACAAGAAGAGTGACATTGTTTTAGTTTTTTCTTTTTTTGACTTTTATAAATTTAGGGGGTACAAGTGCAGTTTTGATATATGAATATAGAGTATAGTGGTGAAGCCTGGGCTTTTAGTGTAACCATGACTCGGTAACGTACAATGTACCCATTAAATAATTTCTCATCCCTCTCACCATATACAAAAATTAACACAAAATGGATGAAATCCTTAAATGTAATATCTGAAACTACAAAAACACTAGAAGAAAACCTAGGAAAAAACTCTGCTGGACAATGGCCTAGGCAAAAATTCGTGACTAAGACCTTGAAAGCACAAACAACGAAAACAATAATAGACAAATGGGATTTAAACTAAAAAACTTCTATGCAGAAAATAAATAATCCACAGAGTGAACAGATAACCTGCAGAATGGGAAAAAATATTTGCAAACTATACATCCAACAAGGGACTAAAATCCAGAGTCTATAAGGAACTCAAACAACTCAACAACAACAAAAGACAACCCCATTAAAAACTGGGGAACAGACATGACCAAACATTTTTCAAAAGAAGGCATACAAATGGCTAACAAGCATATGAAGAAAATGTTCGATGTCACTAATCGTTAGAGAAATGTTTTACAGTTTTTCAAGGTGCTTTAATCATCTGACTTAATAGAAGATAGCTAGATTCTCATCTCTGTTTTTTTCATCCAATTTATTGCAACAATTTGCTGTGGTTCAGATAATTGCGGTCATTCTTATTTGACAGTGCACTAAAACTCTGCAAGTAGTAGTTTCTTAAGTTCTGTGGCAATGTACAATCAGAAACCAAATCACTGACTTTTTTATATACTGTTACATTAAAATCCACTAATGTATCTAGAAATGGATATTTCAAATGAATACTTTACTTCAGTACTTCACATGGATATTTTACCCATGATTTATATTGTAACATCAGGCATAGGTCATTAAGAAAATATTGGTTCACCGAGTTACACATATTTTCTCAATGTTGGTATATTTCACTATACAATGTCAAAAATCATATACGTTGATAATCTTCATCAACCTTAATGGAAAAATCTTAAGATATTGGGAAAGTTCAATCTCCCAGAGATGAATAGACATTTTCCAAAAATTACATTATTCACTTGAAACCTCAGATTTTATCATTGGCAGCAAATAGCATCTATTTTTTGCTTAACTTGACAGGCTCAAGTCATCCATTATTGAGAAAGTAGCTGCCAAATACCCAAGTCTGAATAACTCTAGTGTGTCTAACAGTCAAGTAAAGATGTTAGTCTATGAAAAAATACATGGCTAGTTAATCTTGCAACTCTAACAATTGCATAGGTACTTTTTCTCAAAGCAACCATCTTTTTTTTTTTTTTTTTTTTTTTTTTTTTTTTTTTTTTTACCAAAGCTGTACATATATTTTAAACATGAAGATATTTTGGAAAATCAGGTCTAAGTTTTCTTTCTCCAAACAGGTATGTTTAAATTCTTTATAATTTTTTTCCATACAAGAGAAACTTTTTCATGGTACAAAGGATGAAGGTAAATTACAGTCCTGTAGGCAGTCCTGTTAGAGTGACTGTTCTATACATATTATTGAACATTTTAAATAAAGGGTATTCAATTAGGAAAAGAGGAAGTCAAATTGTCCCTGTTTGCAGACGACATGATTGTATATCTAGAAAACCCCATCGTCTCAGCCCAAAATCTCCTTAAGCTGATAAGCAACTTCAGCAAAGTCCAGGATACAAAATCAATGTACAAAAATCACAAGCATTCTTATACACCAACAACACACAAACAGAGAGACAAATCATGAGTGAACTCCCATTCACAATTGCTTCAAAGAGAATAAAATACCTAGGAATCCAACTTACAAGGGATGTGAAGGACCTCTTCAAGGAGAACTACAAACCACTGCTCAAGGAAATAAAAGAGGATACAAACAAATGGAAGAACATTCCATGCTCATGGGTAGGAAGAATCAATATCGTGAAAATGGCCATACTGCCCAAGGTAATTTACAGATTCAATGCCATCCCCATCAAGCTACCAATGCCTTTCTTCACAGAATTGGAAAAAACTACTTTAAAGTTCATATGGAACCAAAAAAGAGCCCGCATCGCCAAGTCAATCCTAAGCCAAAAGAACAAAGCTGGAGGCATCACACTACCTGACTTCAAACTATACTACAAGGCTACAGTAACCAAAACAGCATGGTACTGGTATCAAAGCAACCATCTTATATCAGTATGCAGAAGATGCGCTCTTCCTGTACTTCTCATTTTCTTACATAGGTTGTTAAGAAGATGTGTACCCACATGTTGAGATTTAATAAAATTAATATTTTTTACTACTTCATAAAGTATATTCTTAAGTAATAGTGGCTTCTTTCCCCAAAAGTACATAGTGATAAAGAATACAATAACTTCTTGTACAGTTTGGTGTCATCTGCTTGATTCATGCCAAGGCACCAGCAGTTTCACCCACCATTACATTGGCATTATCAGTAAAATTGTAAACACATTGAAAATAGCAAATAACATATTAATATTTCTATGGAAATACTTTTGACTTCATGAAACTATTGAAAAGGTTTCAGAGATACATAAATGTTCATGGAACACACTTTAAAAACTAAGTTTCCGGTGCTAGCTCCCTTTGTGGTATTTGATATAGTCAATGATGTTTTGTTCATAATTCTCCGATTCTTTGCTACCTATGACACAATTTTCATTTGGTTTCCTTTTCTCCTATTTCTCTGTCTGCTCCAAATCATTTTCTTCATTTTCTGCTTTATCCCCGTTCTTCCCCAGGATTCTGTTCCTTCCAATTGCTTATATACTTTTCCTGGCTTGCATCATCCACAGAAATAATTAAAATCTATCTACCAATGACTCTTGAATAATTATTTCTATTAATTTCTATCTGGATTATATGCAGATCTATAGCTTGTAGAAAAACTCTTAGCTCATGTTCCATATAAAATAGACTACAGACCAGATTTGGCCGATGAACCATAGTTTGCCAAACCCTGGTCCTAATAATTGTGTTCTGGCAAGTATATAGTGACATCTAGTCCTGGTATTTATCTTTAATTCCCTACTGACTCATAATGTTGGGCACTTTTTGTTATGGTTTTTAAGCATTTCGACGTCCTCTTTTGTGATGAATTTTTAACACCATTTGCCTATTTTCAATTTTTTAATTCTAGTGTTTTTTTGTATAGTCTAGATAAGAGTTCTTTGTCGGATATGTATAGTGAAAATATTTTTTCCCAATCTGTGCATGACCTTACACTCGTTTAAAGTTCAATTTGTCAGCGTTTTCTTTAATGGCCAGTGATTTTTTATCCGGTTTATGAAAAGTTTTCTCATCCAGAGTTCAAGAGGATATTCAAGAGGATAACCTCCTCTGTCTTTGTATTTCCTTCCTTTCTTAAGTGTTTGATCATCTTAGCTTTCACATTTAGGTCCAGGAGCCATCTTAACTTAATGTATACGTCTGATGCGAGCTAGAGATTGAATTTTTTCCCTATGTGAATATCCAGTTGACTCAGCATCATTTATTGGAAAGATTATTCTTGCCTACCGAATTACAATGGCGTCATTCTCATAAGTCAGGTTACCTTATATATGTTGTTTCTCCTGGGCTATAAGTTCTGTTCTATTGATCTAATATTCTGTCCTTGTACTAGTATTACAATGTCCTAATTACTATAGCTTTATACTAAGTCTTCTAATCTAGTTGAGTAAGTCTGTCAGCTGTGTTCTTCTTCAAAATTTTCTGGGCTAGCCTAAGGCCTTTTCATTTTCATATAAAACTAAAATTAGCTTGTCAACCCCCAAAACAAAATATGCTATTGTTTTAAAATTGGTATTGCATTAAATCTATAAGTCAGCTAAGTGAGGATTTGTCTTAACAATACTATGGCTTCCAATCCATGTACGTATGCATATGTACATGTAAATAATCTACTATTTATTTAGGCCTTCTTTAATACTCTGTTATGTTTTATTTAATTTAGAGGTCTTGCACATCTTTGTTAGATTTATCGTTAGGTACTTGATTTCCTAGGATGCTATTGTAAATATTTCTAGTTGCTTGCTGCTAGCATATAAAAATAAAATACATTTGATATTTTTGCATTTACTCTATACCCAGCTATCTAAATTCACTTAACATTTCTTGGAGTTTGTTAAAAGATTCATTGGAATTTTCAGCGTACCTAGTGGTGTCACTTGTGAATGACGACAGATGTATTTCTTTTTCTTCTATCTTAAAAATTTTTTTAATTAATTGTTCTTGCTTGATTGCACTGGTAGGACTTAGAAAATAGTGTTTAATACAAGTGGAAGTAGTAGACATCTTTTTTTTTTAGTGGAAAACTGCTCAGTATTTCAACATTAAGAATAATATTTGTAAGTTTTGTAAAATGTCTTTCATCAAATTAAATTCCCTTTTATTCTATATTTTCTGTGTCTTTTTTATCATAAATATGTGTAACTTTTCCAAATCCTTTTTTCTGAATCCACTGAGATGATTATAGGATTTATTTCTTCCTTTATTCTGTTAGCATGGTAAATTGTATACATTTTTGAATTATATCTTGCATTCTTGAAATAAATCCCACTTTGTAATGGGCTTTTTTTTTCTATATCATTGGATTATTTTTTATATTTTAGTTAGGATGTTTTAATCCATTCCAATGAGAGATTTTGCCTTGTCATTTTACTTTCTTTAGTGGTATCCTTGTCTAGTTTTGGTAGCAGGGTATGCAAGCCTCATAAAATGAGTTTGAAGCTGTCCCTTTTGACCTACCTTATATGTTTGTGTAAAGTTTGCATCTTTTTATTTTAAAATGTTTGGAAGAATTAATGAATGTAGTCATTTGATACTGTCACCATCTGAGCCTGCAGGGTGGTATGTGTCTGTGTGTGTGTGTGTGTGTGCGTGTGCATGCATGTGCACATATGTGTAAAGGTTCTTAATTATAGATTCAATTGCTTCAACATGAATGGCAATATTAATATTTTCTTTTGTGTGTGTTAGTTTTGGTAAATTGTAATTGTCAAAGAATTTCTTCTAAGGTTTCTAATTTATTGGCATCAAGTGGTGTAATTACCATCCTTTTAATGTCTATATAATGTGTAGTGACTTCCTGTTTCGCCCAGAGAATGGTTATCTCTGTTTTCTCTCTTTTTGTGTTTAGTTTACTAAGAGTTTATAATTTTTTTTTAACTTCTCCAAGAATTATCTTTTGGAGTCATCAATTTTCTCCATTGTTTGTCCATTTTCTATGTCATTGACATCTAATTTTACCTCCTTCTTTCTACTTACTTTGGGTTTCATTTTCTCTTTTTTAACTTCTTAAGGAAGAAAGTTAAGTCAGTGACTCTGGGCCTTACTTGATTTCTAATATACACATTTAAATCCATAAATTTTTCTCTAAATTCTACTTTAGCTGTATCTCATAACTGTTGATGTGTATTTTAATTTCAGCTCAAAATATTTACTAATTCCCTTTTTTAATCCATGGATTATTTGGAAACTTGTAGTTTAATTTTCAGACTTCAGGAAATTTTCAAGGTATCTTTCTTATTGAGTTGTAATTAATGCCACAGTGGCCAGGGTATATACACTTTATGTTTCCATCATTTGACTTTTATTGTCATTGCCTTTTGGCCAGCATATGGTTTACAGTGATAAATGTTCTATGTCTACCTCAAAAGACTATATATATTATGATGTTGATAGACGTAGTAACAGAATGTGTGTTTTGTAACTTTTCTATGTGTATTTTCTAGTTACTGCAAGAGTTGTGTTAAAATCTCTGACAATCATCATGGATTTGTCTATCTCTCCTTTTAGTTTTTTTAACATTTGTTCTATAAATTTTGAGGTTATGTTATTTGGTTTCTTTAATAAATAAGATTATATCTTTCCATAGGATTGACACTTTTATAGTTATGAAATATTCCTCTTTATCTCTCCTAATACTTTTTGCCCTAAGAACTAATTTTTATGATATATCAGCTTTCTTTCAGTTAGTGTTTCCATAGCATAACATTTTCTATATTTTTAAAACAGGCTCTGTCTTTATATTTTTAAATAATTCACTTATAAAGAGCATATAGTTATTTCTTAATATAATCTGAAAGTATTTCATTTTTAGTTGAAGTTTTTAAACCACTTAAACGATATACTTTAGTTTACATCTATTAATTTTTGTTAGTTTTTTCTTTGTTTCTTTATTATTCTTTCTTTTGTAAAAAGATTCATTTAGGTAAATTTGATGTAAGATAACCTGCACTTTTTAAAATGTATAATTTGACAAATATTACAATGTGCATAAACCCATGAAAACATCACCACACTCAAGATCATAAAGATAGCCATCCCCATCAAGTTTCCTCATGCCCACTTGTAATACTTCCCTCCCTCAATCATACTTCACTGTCCCTGAACAATCACTGATCTGCTTTCTGTCACTATGCTCTAGCTTGCATTTTCTAAAATGCAATACGTATACTTTAAAAATATATATTTAAGGTATACAACAGGATGTTATGAGATACATAGAGATAGTAAAAAGGTTACTATAGTGAAGCAAATGAATATATTCATCATCTCATATAGTTACCTATTTTTGTGTGTATGGCAAGAACAGCTACAATCCACTCATTTAGCATGAATCCCATACATAGTATAATTTTATTACCTATCGTCCACATGTTGTACATTAGATCTCTAGACTTGTTCAGCCTACATATCTACTACTTTGTACTCTGACCTGTGTCTCCCCATCACCCAACTCCCACTGTTTTATTCTCTATCTCTGTATATTTCAATTTTTCTTTAGTTTCCACATAGAAGTGAGATCATACAAAATGCTTCTTTCTGTGTCTGGCTTATTTCATTTAGCATGTCTTCCAGGCTAATCCATGTTGTAGCAAATGGCATGATCTCATTCTGTTTTAGGGCTGAACAGTATTCCATTGTGTATACATATGTGCCACCGCTTATTTATTTATTCATTCATTCATGGATTCTTAGATTGTTTCCATATCTTAGCTATTGTGAATAATGCTGCAATGAGCATGGGAGAGCACATATCTTTACAATGTGACGATCTCATTTCTATTTCTAATATTTCTAAAATATTAATTTTGAAGAACCTCCATACTGTTTTCCATGATGGCTGTACTAATCTACATCCCCACAAGCAGTGTACAAGTGTTGCCTTTCCTCCACGCATTTGCCAACACAGGTTATATTTTGATTTTTTATAATAGCTATCCTAACTGGTATCTCATAACGGTTTTGACTTGCATCCCTGATGATTAATTGATGTTGCGCACCTCTACATATACCTGTTGGAGATTTTTATGTCTTCCACAGAGAAGTGTCTATTCTTGTCTTTTTTCTAATTTTTAAACAGGATATTTGTTTTTCCATTATTGTGTGAACAAGTTATTGATAAATTTTGGATATTAACCCTTTAACAGATATATGGTTTGCAAATATTTTTTTCTCAATTCATAGGAACCATTTCATCTTGTGGATTATTTCCTTCACTGTTTAGAAGCTTTTTAATTCGATTTAATCCCATTTATTTATTTTTGCTTTTGTAGCCTGCACTTTTGACATGATATACAAAAATTCATTTCCAAGCCTAATGTACAAGAGCTTTTCCTTTATGTTCTCTTCTAAGAGATTTACAGTGTCTAGTGTTGTATGTAGGCCTTTTATACATTTTGAGTTGATTTTTGTGCATGATGTCAGATAAGGGTCAAATTTCATTCTTTTGCATATGGAAATAGAGTTTTTACAGCATCATTTATTTAAGAAATTATCCTTTTCCTATTGGGCTTTATTGATGCCCTTGTCAAAAACAAATTGACAATTTGTGTTTGGATTTATCTCTGGGCTCTCTATTCTGTTTTACTGGTCTGTGTGTCTGTATTTCTGCCTGGACCATACGATATTGATTACTATAGTTTTGTAATACTATCTTAAAAAAGGAAGTATGATGCCTCCAACTTCATTTGTTCTCAGAATTATTTTGGCTATTTGGGGTCTTTTATTATTCCATACAAATTTTATTATTGCTTTTGCTATTTCTGATAAGGAAGGCATCGGGATTTTTAAAAGGGTTGTGTTGAATCTCTATATTGCTTTGGGCAGTATGAACATTTTAACAATATTAATTCTTTATGTATATATAATAGTTGTACATATTTTTCTTTATGTATATATAATAGTTGTACATATTTTGTCACATACTTGTGACATTTTGATTCTTGTGTAGAATGTGTAATGAGCAAATCAGGGTAACTGGGATATCCACCACCTCACATTTATATTTGTTTTGGCGACGTTACAATTCTTCTCATCTAGCTATTTTAAAATATACAATAGGTTATTGTTAACTATAGTCTCCCAACTGAACTATCAAATACTAGAATGTATTCCATCTATCTAACTGTATCTTTGAACTTCTTAACCAACTTCTCGTCATCTCCCTCAACTCCCCTACCCTTCTAAGCTTCTGGTAACCTGTCTTACTATGCCTGGCTTATCTCATTTCACATAATTACCTCTAGGTCTACTCATGCTACTGCAAATGACAGGATTTCATTCTTCTTATGGCTGAATAATATTCCAATTGTTGTATATATCACATTTTCTTTTTCCATTCATCTGTTGATGGACACTTAGGTAGATTTCATATGTTGGCTATTATAAATAATGCTACAATAAACATGAGAGTGCAGATATCTCTTCAATATATATTAATTTTCTTACTTTGAGATACGTACCCAGCAATGGGAATGCTGGATTATGTGGTAGTTCTATTTTTAGTTCTTTCAGGAACCTCCATACTGTTTTCCATAGTGGCAGTACTATTTCATCTCCCCACCAACAGTGTATGAGCACTCCCCTTTGATATGTTGTGTTTCTATTGTTGTTTGACTCAAGATATTTTTTAGTTTCCCTTTTGACCCATTGGTTGTTCAGAAGCATGTTCTTTGCTTTTCACATGTTTGTGCATTTTCTAATATTCCTCCTAATATTGATTTCTCGTTTCGTGTTATTGTAATCTGAAATGACACTAGATATGATTTTAGTCTTCTTAAATTTGTTAAGACTTATTTTGCAGCCTAACATATGGTCTATCCTGGAGAGTGCTCCATGTGTACTGGAGAGGAATGTGTATTCTGCTGCTGTTGGATGTAAAGTTCTGTGTATGTTTGTTAGATCCATTTGGTCAAAAGTGCAATTGAAATCCAGTATTTCCTTATTATTTGTTATCTGGTTGCTTTATTCATTGTTATAAGTGGGATATTAAAATCTCCTACTATTATTGTATTGCTATCCATTTTGTTCTTTTATGTCCATTAATAATTTTTGTATGTATTTATGTGCTCCAATGTTGGGTGCATAAATATTTACAATGGTTATGTCCTCCTGATGAACTGGCTCTTTTAACATTAAATAATGTCCTTTTTTGTCTCTTGCAAAAATTTTTAACTTGAAGTCTACGTTACCAGATATAAGTATAGCCACCTGCTCCCTCTTTTGGTACATTTGCATGGAATATCGTCTTCCATTCCTTCACTTTCAGCCTGTGTATGTCTTTAAAGCATAAGTGAGTTTCTTGTAGGCAACATAGTTGGCTCTTTTTTTTTTTTTCCACTCAGCCACTCTGTTTTTTGATAAGAGAATTTAATCCATTTACATTCAAGGTTATTATTGACAGATAAGGACTTGCTACTGCCATTTTCTTGTTTGTTTTCTGGTTATTTTGTAGCTATTTTGTTCCTTTCTTTCTCTTTTATAGTTTACCTTTATGAATTGATACTTTTCTGTAGTGCTAAGATTTGATTGCTTTTTCTTTAGCATTGGTATATCTGCCATAGATTTTTGTTTTGTGGCTACCGTGAGGCTTATATAAAACATCATATAGTTATAATCTACTATTTTAAGCTAACAACTTAACTTCTGACACATACAAACACTCTAGGCTTTTACCTTCCTTCCTCACAATTTACATTTTTGATGTCACAACTTTTGTCTTGTTATATTGTGAGTTCCTTAACAACTTAGTGTAGCTTCCATTATTTTTGACCATTGTGACTTTCATCTTCATACTAGCAATGCGTATAATTTATACAGTATTGAAGTATCCTGGATTTGACTATTTACCTCTACCAGTGAGTTTTGTATTTACCTCTACCAGTGAGTTTTGTATTTACCTCTACTAGTGAGTTTTGTACTTTCTTTCATATGTATTCATGATGGTAATTACTGTCCCTTTGTTTCCACTTGAAGAACTCCCTTAAGTATTTCTTGTAAGTCAGGTTTCATGGTAATAAATTCCCTCAGCTTTTGCTTGTCTGTGAAAGACTTTATTTCTACATTTCTGAAGGACAGCATTGCTGTATAGAGTATGCTTGGCTGACAGTTTTGTTTGCTTTTTTGTTTTGGGGGTTATTTTTTCTTTTTCTTTTTCTTTTTTTTTTTTTTGCTTTCAACACATTAAATATATCATTCCATTCTCTCCTCGCCTGTAAGGTTTCTGCTGAGAAATGCACTGATAATCTAATGGGGATTCCCTTATATGGACTCAGGATCATGAAAACATCCATCCCCATCAAAAGTTTCCTCAAGCACATTTGTAATACTCCCCTCCCTAATACTTCACTGTCCCTAGGCAATAGCTGACTTGTGTTCTGTCACTATATTCTAGTTTGTATTTAATGAAATATAGGATATACTCTTTTGTAAATGGCTTCTTTCACTTAACATGATTATTTGAGGCTAACCAATGTTGTTTGTATCAATAGTTTGTTTTTATTGCAGCATAGTATTCCACTCATGGATATACAATTTGTCTAAAAATTCTACTTTTTATAGACGTGGTTTATTTCCAGTTGTTGGATGTTATAGAAATTTATGTACAATTCTGTAGGTGGGCATATATTTTTATTTCTCTTGGATAAATACTTAAGAGTAGAATGGCAGGGCTTGTACAATAGGTGTACATTTAGCTTTTTAAGAAACTACCATAATTTTCCAAAGTGATTGTAACATTTAATATTCCCACTAGCAGTATGTAAGAGTTACAGATTCTCCACAACCTCCCCAATTCTTGGTATAGTCAGGCTTACAATTCTTGCTATTCCAGTTGGTGTATAGAGATCACCGTTTGTGGTTTTAATTTGCATTTTCCCAGTGACTTAGGGTATTGAGCATTTTTTTATGAGCATATTGATCTTTATATAATCTAGGGTAAAAGTGTCTGGTTGATTATTTTTCTCATTTTTATTAGATTGTTTGACTTCATATTATTGAGTTTTAATTGTTATTTGTATATTCTTGGTAAAAATTTTATTTGATGTGTTTATTTCTTATTTTTTATTGTATTTATTTATTTATTTATTTTGAGACAGGGTCTCCCTCTGTTGCCCAGGCTGGAATGCAGTGGTACAGTCTCAGCTTACTGCAACCTCCACCTCCCAGATTCAAGCGATTCTCCTGCCTCAGCCTCCTGAGTAGCTAGGATTACAGGCATGCACCACAACAGCCTGGCTAACTTTTGTGTTTTTAGTAGAGACGGGATTTCACCATATTGATCAGGCTGGTCTCGAACTCCTGACCTCAGGTGATCTGCCTTCCTCGGCCTCCCAAAGTGCTGGGATTATAGGCGTGAGCCACTGCGCCTGGCCCCAGTGCGTTTTTTAAAATATTTTCATTGTCAGTGACTTAACCTTAAATTTCTTAATAGTCTCTATGGAAGAAGAAAGTTTTTAATTGTCATGAAATTCAAATTATTAAGAATTTTTCTCTTATGCTTCATGCTTTTGAGTCATATTTAAGAAATATTTGCCAAACCTATGGTCACTAAGATTTTCTCCTATATTTTATCATAGAGTTTTATACTTTTAGCTGTAATATTTGCTTCTAAGGTTTAATTATATATATATATATTTAATTTTTTTAGGTACACAGTAGGTACATGAGATGCTTTGAAACAGGCATGCGATGTGAAATAAGCACATAATGGGGACTGGGATATCTGTCTTCTCAAGCATTTATCCTTTGAGTTAGAAACAATCAAATTACACCCTTTAAGTTATTTTAAAATATGTAATTATTATTGACTATAGTCACCCTATTGTGCTATCCAATAGTAGGCCTTATTCATTCTTTCTATTTTTTTTTGTACCCGTTAACCATCCCCATCTCTCCCCCCACAACCACCAACTACTCTTCCCACCCTCTGGTAACCATCTTTCTACTCTATGTCCATGGGTTCAATTGTTTTGATTTTTAGATCCCACAGATAAGTGAGAACATGTGATGTTTGTCTTTCTGTGCCTGGCTTATTTCGTTTCACATAATGATCTCCAGTTCCATCCATGTTGTTGCAAATGACAAGATCTCATTCTTTTTTTGTGGCTGAATAATACTCCATTATGTATATATACCACATTTTCTTTATCCATTCATCTGTTGATGGACACTTAGGTTGCTTCCAAATCTTAGATATTGAAAACAATGCTGCAAAAACATAGAAGTGAAGATATCTCTTTGATATATTGATTTCCTTTCTTTTGGGTATGTACCTGGCAGTGGGATTGCTGGATCATTTGGTAACTCAATTTTTAGTTTTTTGAGGAACCTCCAAACTATTCTCCATAGTGGTTGTACTAATTTACATTCCCACCAACAGTGTTATGAGGGTTCCCTTTTCTCCACATCCTTAGCAGCATTTGTTATTGCCTGACTTTTGGATATAAGCCATTTTAACTGGAGAGAAATGACATCTCATTGTAGTTTTCGATTTCCATTTCTCTGATGAGCAATTACGTTGAGCACTTTTTTGTATGCTTGTTTGTCATTTGCTTGTCTTCTTTTGGCAAGTGTCTATTCAAATATTTAGCCCATTTTTTGATTGGATTATTAGACTTTTTCCTATAGAGTTGTTTCAGTTCCTTATATATTCTGCTTATTAATGCCTTGTCAGATGAGTAGTTTGCAAATATTTTCTCCCATTCTGTGGGTTGTTTCTTCACTTTGTTGATTGTACCCTTTGTTGTGCGGAAGGTTTTTAACTTGATGTGGTCCTATTTGTCCATTTTTGCTTTGGTTGCTTGTGCTTGTTGGGCATTGCTTAAGAAATCTTTGCCCAGACCAATGTCCTGGAGATTTTCCCCAATGTTTTCTTGCAATAGTTTCATATTTTGAGGTCTTACATTTAAGTCTTTAATCGATTTGATTTGATTTTTGAATATGGTGATAGACAGGGGTCTAGTTCTATTATTCTGCATATGGATATCTAGTTTTCCCAGCACCAGTTATTGAAGAAACTGTCTTTTCCCCATTGTACATCCTTGGTATCTTTGTGAAGAATGAGTTCACTGTAGCTGTGTAGATTCGTTTCTGGTCTCTGTATTCTGTTCCCTTGGTCTGTATGTCTGTTTTTATGCTAGTACCATGCTGTTTTGTTTACCTTAGGTCTGTAGTATAATTTGAAGTCAGACAATGTGATTCCTCTAGTTTAGTTCTTTTGCTTAGGATAGCTTTGGCTATTCCAGGTCTTTTTGGTTCCATCTAAATTTTAGAATTTTTTTTTTCTATTTCTGTGGAAGAATGTCGTTGGTATTTTGATAGAGATTGAATTGAATCTGTAGATTGCTTTTGGTAGTATGGACATATTAACAATATTGATTTTTCCAATCCATGAACATGGAATATTTTTCCATTTTTTGGTGTCCCCTTCAGTTTTTTTCTTCAGTGTTTTATAGTTTTCATTATAGAGATTTTTCACTTCTTTGGTTAATTCTTAGATATTTTATGTGTGGCTATTTTTTAAGAAAAACTTATTTATTTTAAATAATTTTTAGATAATAATTTCTTTTTTTCTTTCTTCCTTGCCTTCTTCTCCTCTCCCTCCTCCTTTTTGCTTCCAGGGTGACTCATGTCAAAAACATTGTGGATGTCCCTTTCCAGTTTCCTATTGACTTGTATATTACCTTACAGCATTTCTCCCCATTCAGCTGTCCCTAGTAGAAATCCATAGGCTAACCTGGTACTGCCGATTCGTTGTCTTTAATGGCTGAATAATAACCCACAGCAGGAATGTGCTACCATGATTGATCCTGCCATCTGCCTACTAAAGGGTGTTCACTTTGTTTCCAGGTTTTTGCCACTGGAATAACTTTGCATTCAATGCCTCATGCATAAATATGCCTTTATCTACTGGTGCTGTTATTTCTTCGGGACAGTCCAAAATCTTATGATACATGTTAAAATGTATGTATATTTTGGAAAGTTAAAATCTCTAGCCATAGAGCTTTCCAAAAAGGCTGTGATACTTGCATTCCCACCAGCAATACATGAGGGCACCATTTTTCTTGGATTGTCATTCAGCAGATGTTATCACTTTTTGTATTTTTTTTTTATTATACTTTAAATTCTAGGGTACATGTGCACAATGTGCAGGTTTGATACATAGGTATACATGTGCCATGTTGGTTTGCTGCACCCATCAACTCATCATTTACATTAGGTGTTTCTCCTAATGCTATCCCTCCCCCAGCCCCCCAACCCCTGACAGGCCCCAGTGAGTGATGTTCCCCGCCCTCTGTCCAAGTGATCTCATCGTTCAATTCCCACCTATGAATGAGAACATGCGGTGTTTGGTTTTCTGTCCTTGTGATAGTTTGCTGAGAATGATGGTTTCCAGCTTCATTCATGTCCCTGCAAAGGACGTGAACTCATCCTTTTTTATGGCTGCATAGTATTCCATGGTGTATATGTGCCACATTTTCTTAATCCAGTCTATCATTGATGGACATTTGGGTTGGTTCCAAGTCTTTGCTCTTGTGAATAGTGCCACAATAAACATATGTGTGCATGTGTCTTTATAGTAGCATGATTTATAATCCTTTGGGTATATACCCAGTAATGGTATTGCTGGGTCAAATGGTAATTCTAGTTCTAGATCTTTGAGGAATCGCCTATGTGTGGCTATTTTAAATGAGATTACTTTTTATTTCTTTTTCACATTGTTCACTGTTGGCATATAGAAATGCTACCAATTTTTCTATGTTGATTTTATATTCTGCAACTTTACTAAATTTGTTTATCAGTTCTAATAGTTCTCTTGTGGAGTCTTTAGGTTTTTCCACGTATACTATAATATCATCTGAAAACAAGCATAATTTGACTTATTTCTTTCCAATTTGGATGTCCTTTATATCTTTCTCTTGTCTGATTGCTCTAGCATGGACTTTCAGTACTAAGTTGAATAACAGTGGTGACAGTGGGCATCCTTGTTATGTTCCAGACCTTAGAGGAAAGACTTTCAGTTTTTCCCCATTCAGTATGATATTAGCTGTGGGTCTGTCATATATGGCTTTTATTATGTTGAGGTATGTTCCTTCTATCCCCAGTTTTTGAGGGTTTTTATCATGAAGTGATGCTGAATTTTATCAAATGCTATTTCAACATCAATTCAAATGATCATATTGTTTTTGTTCTTCATTCTGTTGATGTGATGTATCACATTGATTGATTTGCATATGTTGAACCATCCTTGCATCCTGGGATGAATCCCATTTGGTCATGATCAATGATCTTTCTAATGTATTGTTGAATTTTGTTTGCTATTGTCCTGTAGTTTTATTTATTATTATTATTATTTTTTTTGAGATGGGGTTTAACTCTTGTTGCCCAGGCTGCAATGCAATGGCATGATCTTGGCTCATTGCAACCTCTGCCTCCCAGGTTTAAGTGATTCTCCTGCCTCAGCCTCCTGAGTAGCTTGGACTACAGGCATGCACCACCACATCTGGCTAATTTTTGTATCAGAGATGAGGTTTTGCCATGTTGGCCAGGCTGGTCTTGAACTCCTGACCTTAAGGGATCTGCCCACCTCGGCCTCCAAAAGGACTAGGATTACAGGTGTGAGCCACCGCGCCCAGCCAGTTTTATTGTTTTGATGTGTCTGTCTTTTTTTGGTATCAGGATAATATTGGCCTTGTAGAATGAGTATGGCAGTACTCCCTCCTCTATTTTTTGGAATAGTTTGAATAGGATTGGCATTAGTTCTTTAAATGTTTGGTAGAATTTATCTGTGAAGCCATCAAGTCCTGGGGTTTTCTTTACTGGGAGACTTTTTTTTATCATGGCTTTGATCTTGCTATTTTTATGGGTTTGTTCAGGTTTTGGATTTCTTCCTGGTTCAATCTTGGTAGGTTGCATATGTCTAAGAATTTGTCCATTTCTTCCAGATTTTCCAATTTATTGGCAAATAGTTGCTCATAGTAGCCACTAATGATTCTTTGAAATGCTGCATTATCAGTTGTAATGTCTTCTTTTTCATGTTTGATTTTATTTATTTGGATCACCTCTCTTTGTTTCTTAGTCTGGCTAAAGGTTTGTCAATTTTGTCTAACATTTCAAAAAAACTACCTTTTGTTTCATTGATCTTACTATTTTTTAATTTCAATTTCATTTATTTCTACTCTGATCTTTATTATTTCATTTCTTCTGCTAATTTTGGGTTTGGTTTGGTTTGGTTTCCTCTTGCTTTTTTTAGTTCTTTAAGATGCATTGTTAGATTGTTTATTTGACGTTTTTCCTCTTTTTTGATGTAGGTACTTATAGCTATAAAGTGCCTCTTTTTGCTGTTTTTGCTGTATCCCATAGGTTTTGGTATGTTGTATTTCCATTATCATTTGTTTCAAGAAATTTTTCAATTTCCTTCTAAATTTTTTTATTGACCCACTGGTCATTCAGGAGCATATTGTTTAATTTTCATGTACTTGTATAGTTTCCAAAATTCTTCTTGTTATTAATTTCTAGTTTTATTCTATTGTGGTCAAAGATGCTTGATATTATTTTAGTTTTTTGAATGTTTTAAGACTTGTTTTGTAAACTAAAATATGCACTGTCCTTGAGAATGAGCTATGTGCTGAGGAAAAGAATGTGCATTCTGCAGTTCTTGGATGTAATGTTCTGTCAATATCTATTAGGTCCATTTGGTCTGTAGAACAGATTAAGTCTTATGTTTCTGTATTGATTTTCTGTCTGGAATACCTATCCAATGCTGAAAGTGGAGTGTTGAAGTCTCTAACTCTTATTGTACTTGGGCCTTTCTCTCTCATTGATTATTTTTGTGCCAGTAACAATAAAAGTACTCTGTCTGTGGCTTACGATTTTTGTGACATCTTCATCTGTTTTTTTTTTTGTATCAGGATAATATTGATCTCATAAAATGAGACAAGGAATGTTATCTTCTTTTCTGTTTTTTGCAAGAATGTTTGAATGATTGATGTTAATTCTTCTTTAGACATTCGATAAATTTCACCAAAGGTGCCATCTGAACTTGGGCTTTACTTAGTGGAAAGTTTTTTTTTTTTTTTATGACAAACTGAACCTCTTTACTTATAGGTATTTTCATATTTTGTTTGTATTTGTGAATCAGTCTTGGTGGCTTGCATGTTTCTAGGAATTTTTCCATTTCATATAGATTTCCAAATTATTTGGCATGCAATTATTTAAAATATCCCCTTATAATACAGTTTATTTGTCATTTCCCCTCTTTTTTTTCCTTAACTTTTATTTTAGGTTCATTGGTACATGTGAAGGTTTGTTACATAGGTAAACTCATGTCACTAGGGCTTGGGTTTGTTGTACAGATTATTTCATTACCCAGATATAAAGCCCAGTACCCAATTGTTATCTTTTCTGCTCCCCTTCCTCCTCCCATTTATTCACATTATTAGTAATTGGTGACTTCACACTTTATTCTAGCTAATCTAGTTAAAGGTATCAATGTTAAGATCTTTCAAAAAACCTTTTATTGATTGATTTCCTCTATTGGTTTTCTATTCTCAAATTTATTCACTCTGATTAATTTTTGTTATTTCTTTCTTTTTGCTTACTTTGGATTTAGTTTGCTCATTTTCTAGTTTTCTTTGAAGGGGGAGATAAGGTTATTCATTAAAGACCTTTCTTCTTTTTCAATATAGGCATTACAGCTACAAGTTTTTCTTCTAAGCACTGCTTTTACTATATCCCCTAAGTTTTCTTCTGCTTGTGGTTTTATTTTGTTTTTCTCAAAATATTTCAAAAATCCCTCGTGATTCTTCTCTGACTCATTAATTATTTTGAATTGTGTTGCTTAATTCTCACATATTGCAAATTTCCCAAATTTCCTGTTGTTGATTTCTACTATTTTTCCATTGTGGTTGCAGAACATGCTTTGTATAATTTCATCCTTTTAAAATCATTGAGGATTGTTTTGACTTAACATATGGTCTATGTGGAAATGTTTCAGGTGCACTTGAGAAAAATGTATACTCTGCTGTCTAGTTGGTTTATAGTATTGTTCAAGTCTTCTATTTCTTTGTTACTTTTCTGTCTGTTTGTTAAATCTGTTCTTGAAAGCTGGGTATTAAAGCCTCCAGCTATCACTGTGGAACTGTGTACTTCTCATTTCAATTATGTTAGTTTTGCTTCATGTATTTTGTGGTTCTCTTATTAGTGAATAAATAATTTCTACTATTTGGAAAAGTTGATTTTGGCAATATTTCCCAGTGTTCTCATTGTTTTTACGAAGAAGAGTATTTTCCAATGTCCTTATTCCACTATTCCCACTTGTGTACCTCCAGTGATATGATGTTTTACTTTAATCTCTTTTTGTCTTCATAATCAAAGTGGGTTTCTTATAGAGAGAATATAACTGAATCTTATTCATTTACTCAATCTTATAATCTCTATCACCCATATTTATAGCTTTTCTATACAATGTGACTATTGATATGGTTGGGTTTAAACCGAATCTTTTGCTATTTGTTTTACACTTGTCCTATCTGTTTTTTGTTTTGTTTTCTTTTGATTTTTCTTTTATTTTACCAGTTTTTCAAGAGTCCATCATTCCTGGGCCTCCTTTATTGAGTTTTTCATCTTCTGATCAGCAGTTGTTGCTTTAGGGTTTTTTCATATCTTACAGTTTTTAATTGTATGCCCAGCATTATGGATTTTATTTTAGAAAAGCCCTTGATTATGTTATCTTTTTCTCATGAGTACTAAATATTGTTCTAATTAAAAGTTAATTTATCAGTACAACACCTGAATACTGTCTCAGACTTTGTTTAGAAGAAAGACTATTTTAGTTTTTTCTTACAGATAGAAAATATTCCTCACTCTTAAGGCACTGAGTTTCTTTTTTTATTTTCTGTCCAGCTTTAAGATGCAAGCAACAAATTTAAAAACTTATATATTTAAAGTGTACACTGTGATGATTTGATAAATGTATAGATCATGAAATGATTACCACAATCAAGCTACTTAAAATGTCTATCACCTTACAAAGTTACCTTTTTTGTATATGTGTGATGAGAACACTTAAGATCTACTCTCCTAGCAAATTTCAAGTATACAAGTGTTAACTATAATTGCCATTCTGTATGTTAGACCCCAGAATGGATTTATCTTATAACAAAAATTTGTACATTTTGACCAATATTTCCCCAACCCCCAACCCCAGCCCCAGAAATACATCATTCTACTCTCTGCTCCCGTGAGTTACACTTTCTTAGATTCCGCAAATAAGTGAGATTATACAGTATTTTTCCTATGTCTGACCTATTTCATTTACCATAATATCTCTCAGGTTTATCCATGTTGTCACAAATGACAGAATTCTCTTCTTTTTAATGACTGAATAATTCTCTTGTGTGTGTGTGTGTGTGTGTCATATTTTCTTTATCTCTTCATCCATTGTTGGACACTTAGGTTGATTCCATACCTTGGTTATTGTAAATAGTGCATCAATAAACATGGGAGTGCAAATATCTCTTTGACACATTGATTTTATTTTCTTTGGGTATATATCCCGTAGTGGGATTGCTGGATCATATGGTAGTTCTGTTTTTAAGTTTTGAGGAACCTTCAAACTGTTGTCAATAATGGTTACACTAATTTACATTCCTATCAAAAGCGTGCAAGTGTTTCCTTTTCTCCACATCCTCACCAAAACTTTTTATCTTTCATCTTTTTAATAATAACCATTCTAACAGGTATGAGGTGACAGCTCAATATGGTTTTGTATTTTTTTTTTTTGAGGCGAAGTCTCGTTCTGTTACCCAGACAGGGGTGCAATGGCACGATCTCGGCTCACTGCAACCTCCATCTCCTTGTTTCAAGCAAATCCCCTGCCTTAGCCTCCCGAGTAGCTGGGATTATAGATGTGCACCACCATGCCCGGCTAATTTTTGTATTTTTAGTAGAGACAGAGTTTCAACATGTTGGCCAGGCTGGTCTCAAACTCCTGACCTCAGGTGATTCGCCCACCTCGGCCTCCCAAAGTGCTGGGATTACAGGTGTGAGCCACCGCACCCGGCCTCATTATGGTTTTGATTTGCATTTTCCTAATGATTAGAAAGGTTTAGCACTTTTTCATATACCTGTCTGCCATTTGTATGTCTTCTCTGGAAAAAAAATGTGAGTTGTATGAATTCCCTCTATATTTTGGATATTCATACCTATATTTGTGGGTTCAGGCTGCTATAACAAAACATCATAAACTGGACAGCATATAGATAAGTAAAATTTTTTTCTCATAGTTCTATAAGCCAGGAAGTCCAAGATCAAAGTACAGGCAGATTTCAGTGTCTGGTAAGGGCCCACTTTCTCATAGTCTGCACCCTCTTGCAGTGTCCTCACATGGTAGAAGAGGTAAGGGTTTCTCTGGGGTCTTTTACGAGGGCATTAATTTCATTCATGAGGGATCTGCCCTCATGGCCTAATCATTTCCCAAAGGCTCCATATCCTAATACCATCACTTTGGAAGTTAGGATTCCAACATGTGAATTTGAGTGGGACACACATTCAGAATGTAACACCTCCTTATCAAACATATGGTTTGCAAATATTTTTTTCCATGCCATAGGTTGCCTTTTAATTTTGTTGATTGTTTTCTTTACTGCACAGAAACTTCTGTTTGATATCATCCCAGTTGTTTATTTTTGCTTATTTATGTTACCTGTGCTTTTGGTGTTATATCTAAAAAATTATTGCCAAGACCAATGTCCAGGAGTTTTCCCTATGTTTTTTTCAAAAGTTTTACAGTTTCAGTTTTTACATTTAAGTCTTTAATTCATTTTGAGTTTTGTTAATATGATAAGGATACAGTTTCATTCTTCTGCATTTATATAGCCAGTTTTCCCACCACCGTTTATTGAAGAGAGAACCCTGTCCCCATTATGTATTTTTTATGCCCCTCTCAAAGACTATTTAACTATATATATGTGGACTCATTTCTGGGTTTTCTGTTCTGTTCCATTGGCCTATGTGTCTGTTTTTACAATAGTACCATAATATTTTGATTACTATAATATAGTTTGAAATAAAGACATATGATGCCTCCATCTTGATTCCTCTTGCTTCTTACTTTTTTTTTTCACTTAATTCTGGCTATTTGGGGTCTTTTGTGGCTCCATACAAATTGTAGGATTAGTTTTTTTTTTTATTTTGGTGAATAATGTCACTGGAATTTTAATAGGGATTGTATTAAATTTGTATATTGCTTTGAGTAGTATTGACACTTTAAAAATATTAAATCTTCCAATTTGTGAACACAGGATCTTTTTTCATTTATTTGTGACTCCAATGTCTTTTGTCAATGTTTTATAGTTTTCAGTGTACAGTTATTTCACTTCCTCGGTTAAATTTATTCCTAAATATTTTATTCTTTTTTATTCTAATTTGAATGGGATTTTTTCTTCACTTATTTTTTCAGATAGTTTACTGTTGCTGTATAGAAATGCAACTGATTTTTGTATGTTGATTTTGTATCCTGAAACTTTACTGAATTTATTAATTTTAATAGCTTTACAGTAGATACTTTAGGGTTTTACTTATATAAAATCATGTCATCTGCAAACAAAAACAATTTTACTTCTTCCTTTCCAATTTGGATGCCGGTTATTTCTTTCTTTCTTTCTTTCTTTTTCTTTCTTTTTTTTTTTTTTTTTGCCTGCTTACTTGGATTAAGACTTCCAGTTCTATGTTGAATAGAAGTGGCACGAGTGGGCACCCTTGTCTTGTTCCTCATCTTAGAGGAAAAATTTCACATTTTGTCATTGAGTATGATGTTAGCTGTGGGCTTGACATATATAGTCTTTATTACATTGAGGTATATTCCTTTGATACCTAATTTCTTGAGAGTTATCATCATAAAAGAATATTGAATTATGTCAAATGTTATTTTTCTGAATCTATTGAGATCGATCATATTTTTATCATTCATTCTGTCAATGTGATGTATCACATTTATTGATTTGCATATGTTGACCCATCCTTTCATCCAAGGGATAAATAACACTTGGTCATGGTGTATGATACTTTTGATGAGCTGTTGAATTCAGTATGCTATTTTGTTTGTTTGTTTGTTTGAGATTTTTGCACCTATGCTCATCAAAGATATTGGCCTGCAATTTTCTTCTTTTGTTTTGTTGTTATCTGGCTTTGATATGAGGGTAATGCTGACTTTGTAAAATGAGCTTAGAAGTGTTCTTTCATCTTGAATTTTGTGAACAAGTTTGAGAAGGTTTGGTGCTAGTTCTTCATGAAATGTTTGGCAGAACTCACCAGTAACACCATGTAGTCTTGGGCTTCTCTTTGTTGGGAGGTTTCTGATTACTGTTTAATCTCCTAACTCATTATTGGTATATTCAGATTTCCTATTTCTTTAAGATTCAGTCTTGAAAGGTTGTATGTTTTTAAAGAAATGTATCCATTTCTACTAGGTTATCTACTTTGTTGGCATGTAATTGTTCTAGTAGTCTTTTATGATCCTTTGTATATTTGTGGTGTCATTTGCAATGTCTGCTCTTTCATTTATAATTTTATTTATTTGAGTTCTTTCTCTCTCTTTCTCTTGGTTAGTCTAACTAAAGGTTTGTCCATTTTATTTATCTTTTCAAAAATCCAACACTGTTTCATTGACCTTTTCAACCGTCTTCCCATCTTTATTTCATTTATTTCTGCTCTAATCTTTATTATTTCCTTTCTTTGACTAACTTTGAGCTTAGTTTGTTCTTTTTGTTCTAGTTCCTTGGTGTAGAGTTATTTATTTGATGTCTTTATTTTTATTAATGTGGACATTTATCACTCTCTACTTCCTATTAGAACTACTATTGCTACTATTACTACTATTGCTGCATTTCATAAGTTTTGGTATGTTGTGTTTCCATTTTTGTTTATCTGAATATTTTTTTAAATTTCTTTTTTATTTCTTTTTTAACCCATTGGTTATTTGGGAGTGTGTGGTTTAATTTCTATATATTTGTAAATTTTTAAATTTTCCTCCCGTTATTAATTTTTAGTTTCATACCATTGTGGTCAGAAAATGTATTTGATACAATTTCAATCTTCTTAAATTCATTAAGAATTGTTTTTCAACCTAACAAATGCTCTATCCTGGATAATGTTCCATGTGCACTTGAGAAGAATGTGTATTCTGTTATTGTTGGATGTAAAGTTCTGTATCTCTCTGTTAGATGCATTTAGTCTCTAGTGTTTTTCAATTCCACTGTTTCCTTATTGATTTTCTATTGGTTGATCTATACACTGTTGAAAGTAGGGTGCTGATGTCTTCTATTTAATACTATTATTGTATTCCTATTTCTCCCATCAGTTTTGGTAATACTTGCTTTATATATTTGTGCTTCAGAGTTGAGAGCATATATATTTACCATTGTTATAATCTTTTGATGAAATTAACCCTTTATCATTTTATAATAATCTTCTTTGTCTCTTGTGACAGTTTTTAAAGCTAATTTTAGACTTACTTAGAGTTATAAAATAGTACAGAGTCCCTTTATATCTCTCATCCAGCTTCATTAAATGTTAACATATTGTATACCCGTAGTATAATTATCAATAATAGGAAATCAATATTGTGAAACAGTACTATAAAGTATAAATTTTGTTCAAAATTTACAAAGTTTTTCATTAATGTCCACTATTAGTTTTTATATCTTATCCAGAATACGACATTGTGTTTGGTTGCATTGAGCTGCTTTACAACCTTCCAATAAATCTGATAAATTATCTTTTGACTTTTATTTAATTCCAGATAATTTCTAATTTCCCTTGTGATTGCCTCTTTGACCCATAAGTCACTGAAAAGTGTGTCATTTAAACTCCTAATACATGGGAGTTTCCCAAGTATCTTGTGTTAATGTCTCATTTAAATACTTTTTGTCTGCAACACACTGTATTTTTTCAATCCTTTTAACTTTATTAATACTTTAAATATCTAAACCAAAGATATTTCTTGAAGAATGTTCCAATTG
Source organism: Homo sapiens (assembly GCF_000001405.40). NCBI lineage: Eukaryota > Metazoa > Chordata > Mammalia > Primates > Hominidae > Homo > Homo sapiens. The sequence continues at coordinate 114,878,765 of NC_000023.11, forward strand.
CACTTGAAAATATGGGGGCTATTTCCAGAATCTTTTGTTATTAATTTCCGACATAATTCCACAGTTATAAGGGAACAGATGGTATATGATTTCAATCCCTTTTAGAACATAATTTTTTAGAATTGTTTTGCATCCCAGCATATGTTCCAGTGTTTCCTGATTAAAATGCCATCGACACTTGAATAGAATTGTATCTTGCTATTGTATAAAATGTATAAATGTTAACTACGTTCAATTTGTTCATAGTACTATTTAGGTTTATTATATATTTTTTACTTTTCTGTCTTCATTCTATTAATTTCTTAGAGTTTAGTATTGAAAACTCCAATTATATATATTAATTTATCTATTTTTTCCATCAATTCTGTCAGTTTTTGCTTCATGTATTTTGGGGCTCTGTTAGTAGGTGCAAATATACATTTTTAATTACTATACCATTCTGCTTTTGACCCATTTATGGTTAAAAATATCTCTGTCTTTAATAATATTCATATTATTAAATAAATGTTGTCTGAAATTAATATACATACTATAATATTTTATGCATATGATTTCCATGTAATATATATTTTAATTTTTTATTTTTAGCTATAGGTTTTTTGTAATTAAAATATATTGTATGTGAGGAGCTTAGAATTGGGATTCTCTTATGAAAACTTTTTATCTAATCTGACAGTACATTTTTCATTTTTTAAATTTTTTATTTCCATAGGTTTTTGGAAACAGGTGGTATTTGGTTACATGAGTAAGTTCTTTAGTGGTAATTTGTGAGATTTTGGTGCACCCATCACCCAAACAGTATACACTGAACCCAATTTGTAGTCTTTTATTCCTCACCCGCCTCCTATCCTTTCCCCTGAGTCTCCAAAGCCCATTGTATCATTCTTATTCCTTTGCATCCTGATAGCTTCGCTCATACAATGTTTGGTTTTCCATTTTTTAGTTACTTCACTTAGGAAAATAGTCTGCAGTTCCATCCAGTTCGCTGCAAATGCCATTAATTTGTTCCTTTTTATGGCTGAGTAGTATTCCATCATACATATATACACCACAATTTCTTTATCCACTAGTTGATTAATGGGAATTTGGGCTGGTTCCATATTTTTGCAATTGCGAATTGTGCTACTATAAACAAGCAATATCTTTTCATTAGAGTAGTTAGTTAACTTACACTTAATGTGGTTGATTTGCTTATTTTAGGTGTTCAATTTTGATACTCATTTTCTACTTATTTTATATCTTTATTGTTCCTCTGTTCTTCCTTTCCTGCCTTCGTTTTTTGTATTGTAATATAATTCATATATCATAAAGCTCATTATTATAAAGTGTATAATTAGTAGTGTTTAGTATATTTACAAAATTATACAACTGTCAACACTATCTCATTACAGAACATTTTCATGACACTGAAAAATTTAAAAATATATTTATTAGGAACCATTCTCCATTTTCCCCTCTCCCCAGCTCCTAGCAACTTCTTTATTTCTATAGATTTGCCAATTCTGGACATTTCTTATAAATGAAATCATACAATATGTGGCCTTTTTTATCTGCCTTGTTTTAAATACTATAATGTTTTCAATTTTCCTGTATTGTAGCATTTACTAGTATTGAATTCGCTTTTTCCTTTTTCTTTATTTTTCATTGTTTAGTGAGATACAAGTCACATAACTATACAACTCACCCATTAGAGTGTAAAATTTAATGATTTTTAATATATTAATAGATGAATGCAAATATGACCATCATCAATTCTAAAACATTTTCATCACTGCAAGACAAACATTATACCCTTTAGCTATCACCACCCTACTTACCCAGAACACCATGCCTAAGCAAGAACGAATTGACTATCTGTCTCTGTAGATTTGCCTACTCTGGCAATAGCTGGAATTTCATACAGTTGCAATCATGTAATATGTAGTCTTACGTGATTGGCATATTCAGTTAGTATAATGTTTTCAAGGTTTATTCATGTTAGAATCTGTATCTATAATTATTTTTATATGATGAATGAATACTCTGTTGTAAGAATATATCAGAATTTTTTTTCATTCTGCTGATTGACCTTTGGCTCGTAGCCAATACTTTTTATCACAAATAATGCTGCTATGAACACTAATCAAAGATTTTGTTTAAATACTTGTTTTAATTCTCTTGGGTATATAACTAGAGAATTTCTGGGTCACGTGGTAACTGCCAAATTGTTTTCCAAATGCAGGGGGATTCCAACTTCTTTACATCCTTGTCAATACTTGTTATTGTCTATAATTATGACTATGTTCATCGTACTGTGTGTAAAGTGGTATCTCATTGTGGTTTTGGTGTGCACTTCCCTAATAGCTAATGATGTTGAGCATATTTTCACATACATATAGGCCATCTGCATATCTTCTTTGGAGAAATGTGTTTTCAGATCCTTTGCCCAATTTTAATTGGGTTATTTATCTCTTACTACTGAATTGTCAGGATTGTAACAAATATTCTGGATGAAAGACACATAATGATTTGAAATTATTGTCTCCCATTATTTTAGTTGTCCTTGATGGCATCATTTGCAGTGTAAAATTTTTTAATTTCGATAAAGTCTTTATTTTACCTTGTTGTTTGTGCTTTTAGTGTCATATTCAAGAAAACATTGTCATAGCTGGAGTCATGAAGATTTAGTCCTATGTTTTCATCTAAAAGTTGTACAGTCTTACCCCTTACTTTTAGGTCTTTGAACTATTTTGAGGGTTTTTTTTTTTCTGTGAATGGTGCAAGATAAGGGTATGATTTTATTGTTTAGCATGTTGGTATTCAGTTATCCTAGCACCATTTGTTGAAAAGACTATTATTTCCTTCACTGAATTGTCTTGACACTCTGTTGAAAATCAGTTACATAGAAACCATGTGTTTACTTGTAGCCTCTCAATTCTATTCCATTTATCTATATGTCTATATATATGTCAGTACCACCTGGTCTTGAATACCACTGCTTTGTAGTTGGTTTGAAAATCAGGTAGTGCGAGTCCTCGTACTTTGCTCTTTTATCTCAAGATTACTATTACTCTGGCTACTCTGAGTCCTTTGCAATTTCATATGAATTTTATAATAGGCTTGACAATTTCTACAAAGAAGTCATCTGGGATGCTGATAGTAATTTTGTTGAGTTTTTAGGTAACTTTGGGAAGTATTGTCATCTTAAGTATTTCAAATCTAATCCATGAGCATGAGGATTTATGTCCATTTACTTAAATTCTTTATTTTCTTTCAACAATGTTTTATAGATTTAAATATATTAACACAAGTTTTGCATTTCTTTGGTTAAAATTATCCCTAAGTACTTTTATTTTTTCAATTATATTATAAACTGAATTACTTTATTAATTTAATTTTTGGATTGTTCATTGCAAGTGTACAGAAATATAATTAAATTATGTATACTTATTTTATATCATGCAAACTTTCTGAGTTCATTTATTAGTTCTAATACTTTTTAAGTGGATTCCTTAGAATTTCTATATACAAGACATGTCATCTTCTAACAAAGATAGTTTTAAATTCTTCCTTTCCAATCTAGATGCATTTTCTTTTTGTTGCTTAATTTCCCTCTGTAGAACCTCTAGTACAATGATAAATGAAAGGGGCCAGACTGAATATTCTTGACTTGCTCCTTATCTTACGAGGAAAGTATTGAGTCTTTCATCATTAAGATGTCTGCTGTGGGTTTTTCATAAACGCCCTTTACCAAGTTGATGAGTTTCCTTCTATTTCTATGTTGAGGAGTGACTTTTATCATAAAAGGGAAGTAGATATGTTTAAAATGTTTTTTCTGTATCTATTGAGATGATCATGTGTTTTTTACTTCTATTGATATGGTATATTACTTTAATTGGCTTTCAGATGCTAAACCAACCTTGCATACCTAGGACAAAGCCCACATGATCATGGTGCATAATTTTTTATATGTTGCTGGATTCAGTGTACTAGTGTTCTGGTTGGTGTTTTTGTGTCCATATTCCTAAGAAATATTTATCCGTAGTTTTCTTGTGTTGTCTTCATCTCATTTTGGTATCAGGGTAATTCTGACCTCATAATATGAGTTAAGAACTGTTTCTTTCTCTACAATATTTTGGAAAAGTTTGGGAAGAACTGGTATTATTTCTTCTTTAAACTTTTTATATATTTATATAACTTCTAATATCTTTAAATTTTTATCACTGGTAAAGTCATCTTTATGGCCATAAGTTATGAACTTTTCATTGTGCATAGTTTTGGGTTAGTGGTCAGTGTGTTTACTTGGTATACGTCCAGTCACATTGTCTTTTTTTGAGTCATTTTTGGTAGGTTGCACCTTTCTAAAAATTTGACCATTTTATCTGAGTTATCTCATTTATTGCCATATAATGGTTAATAATATTCCTATAATCCATATTTCTGAAAGATCAGCAATAATGTCCCTGCTTTCATTTTTGATCCTAATAATTTAAGCATCTATCTATCTGTCTGTCATCTATCTACCTATCTATCCATCCATCCATCTATCTATCTGTTTATCTATCATCTGTCATCTCTTGGTCAATCTAACCAAAAGATTGTCAATCTTGTTGAGCTTTTCAAGAGTCAGCTTTATTTTCATTAATTTTCTGTATTGTTTTAATATTCTCTATTTCATTAATTTCTGCTCTAATCTTTACAAGTTTCTTCCTTCAGCTTGCTTTATGTTTATTTTGCTGTTCTTCAAGTGTCTTAGATGGAAGCTCAGGTTATTGACTTGAGACTTTTTTTTTCTTAATACAGGCATTTAAAATGATAAACTTCTAAGCCCTGTGTAGTTGCATCCAGTAAGTTTGGGTATGCTGTGTATTTATGTTTATTCACCTAAAAGTATTTTCTCTTGTTTTTCTTTTTTAATTGACCAATAAGTATATATATTAATTATGTACATCATGTTTTTAAAATATGTATATGTTGTATAATTACTAAATCGAGCTAATGGAAATATGCATTACCTCACATACATATCCTTTTTGTGGTGAGAACACTTAAAATCTACTCTCTTAGAAATTTTCAAGTATACGATACATTGCTATTAACTATAGTCACCATGTTATCAATAGATTCCTAGAACCTATTTCCCCTTTTTTTTAACTGAAATTTTGTATCCTTGAACCAGCATCTATTCAAACCATCCTAACCTCTGGCACGACTATTATACTCTCTGCTTCTATGAGTTAGACTGTAATTATAGAGTTCACATATAAATGAGATAATGCGGTATTTGTTTTTCTGTGCTTGGCTTAATTCATGTAGCATAATGGCCTCCAGATTCATTCATGTTGTCACAAATGACAGGATTTCCTTCTCTTTTAAGGCTGAGTAATATTTCATTGTGTATATATTCCACAGTTTATTTATTCATTTATTCACTGATGAAGATTTAGTTTGATTCCATATCTTGGCTACTGTGAATAATGCTGCAATGAACATGGGAGTGCAGGTGTCTCTTCAACATATTGATTTCATTTCCTTAGGATATATATGCAGTAGTAGGATTGCTGGATTATATATTAGTCCTATTTTTAATTTTTTAAAAACCTCCATACTGTTTCTCATAATGAACCTATGGAATGGGAGAAAATGTTTGTAAACCATACATCTGATAATACGTTAATATTCAAAATATGTAAGGAACTCAAACAATTCAATGGTAAGGAAACAAATAATCCAAATAAAAATGGGCAAATGATCTAAATAGACATTTCTCAAAAGAAGACATACAAATGGCCGGCACATATAAAAAAAATGCTCAACATCACTAATCATCAGGGAAATGCAAATTAAAACCACAATGAGATGACATCTGATACCTGTTCAAATGGCTATTACCAAAAATACAAAAGATAACAAGTATTGCTGAGGATGTGGAGAAAAGGCAACCCTTGCACACTTTTGGTGGGAATGTAAATTAGTACAGCTACTATGGAAACCAGTATGAAGGTTTGTCTAAAAGTATTTTCTAATTTCTCCTTTGATTTATTATTTGTTCCATTAGATATTTGGAGCATGTGATTTAATTTCCACGTATTTGTGATTTTCTCAGATCTCATTCTATTATTGATCTGTACTTCCATTTTTTTATGTTCAGAGAACATGCTTCATATTCTTTATCCTTTAAAGTTTGTCGAGGTTTGTTTTATGATATAGCATATAATCCAGCCTGGAGAATGTGCGAGGTGCACTTTAGAAGAATGTAACAGACACTGGGCCCTAACCAGAGGAGGGAGGGTGGGAGAAGGGAGAAGATCAGGAAAAATAACTAATGGGTACTAAGCTTAATACCTGGGTGACAAAATAATGTGTACAACAAACACTCATGACATGAGTTTACCTATATAACAAACCTGCACATGTACCCCAAACTTAAAAGTAAAATATGTATATACATAAATATAATAAAAATTATGTAAAATAAATAGTCATGAACTATATAATTGTATTTTTACTGTTCCTTTTCTATGTTTAGATACACAAATATTCACCATTGTGTTACAATTGCCTACAGTATTCAGTACAGTCACATGCTATACAGGAGTCCAGGTGTGTAGTAGACTATACCATCTAGATCTGTGTAAGTACACTCTGTGACATTCACACAGTAACAAAATCACCTAACAACACATTTCTCAGAAGATGTGGCCATCATTAAGCCACACGCAACTGTAATTAGATTTTTTAAAATCCAAATTTAAATTTTTGGCTTTATATAAAAAAGTTTGATTTAAAAATGGATATTCATTTTTGACATTGGTATCTTGCACTTTAATTTTAATTTTTAATATTTTAAAAGAAAGAATTTTTCAAAACTATATGGAAATAATGTTAACTTTTAAATTGTATGCTTGTTTTAATGTATACTTTTATAAATATATTTTCATTTTACTCATTTAGGTTATTACTGTCAATTGAACACCAATTATGTAAAAATCTTTATGAAATCCATATAATTAGCAATGTAGCTAAAAAGAATGCAAGAAAAATAAATTTTATGTGACAAATATATTTTTAAAAAGAATACATATTCTGTTGTTGAGTAGATTGATCTACAGATGTCTTTTAGGTCTAATTGATTTATAGAGTTGTTCAAATCATCTATTTCCTGGTCGATTGTTTGACTACTTGTTCTTTAAAATCATAAAATGTAGTATTGATGTGTTCAACTATTGTTGAATTGTCTAATTATCACTTCATTTCTTTCCATTTTCACTTCATGCATTTTGGTGTTCTGTTATTGGTACATATATGTGTATAATTGTTATACCTTTCTCATGGATTGACCCTTTACCATTATAAAATTTTTGTCTTTAGTAAATTTTTGTTTGGAAATCTATTTTGTTAGATATTAATTAGTATATCCTCTTTAGCTCTCTTGTGGTTGCTCTTTGCATGATTCATTTTCCATCTTTTAATTTCAATATATTTGTATATAGAGTTGTATATACATTGTGCCTCCTGTGTACAGCATTAGTTGGATCATGATTTTATTCAATCTTACTATCTCTTCATTTTGATTACATTTTTAGTCTAATCACATTTAATGTTATTGGTGATATAGTTTGATTTAGGTCTGCCATGTTACATTTTGTTTCTATATGTCTCATGTCTTTTTTCCTTATATTTTTCTTTTACTGCTTGCTTTTACAGTAAGTGGATATTTTCTAATGTAGCATTTTAATTTATTTAATTATTTCTTTCTAGTTATTTCTTTAGTGGCAACTCTAGGGCTTACCATATATATCTTATCAGAATCAGCTTCATATATGTACTAACTTAATTCCATTAAGATTTAGAAACATTACTCCTATGTAACTCTATTCCTTTTTCCCCTTTCTGAAGTATTATTTATCATATATTACATATGATACATATCACATCAATACATTTTACAAGCACAATAATATATCATTATAATTATTACTTTATGTAATTTTATGTCTTTTAAATAATTTCATAGAGGAAAGGAGCAAATTCATATTTATGTCTTTTGTTATATTAATCTTATTTCAGATTTTTTCCTATGGGTTCAAGTTACCATGTAGAATCATTTATTTAGCCCATTATAGCTTTGCCCCCACCTACATCTTTTTAGCTGTCATTGGCAAATGTGTTTACATTTCTATAAGGTATATAGTCAAGCATATATTATGTCAACTTAAATAACAAACCAAGAGAAGCTCTCTAAAAGAAAAGATGTTTATTTGGGGATACAGCATTGCAATGGGAATATGCATGCCATAGTAAAAAATGTGCATATTTAATTAGATGAACAAAGACAAAGTCTTTTAAAGGAAAAAATCAGACGGATTACATAATTGTTTTGAAATAGTTATTCTTGTCTACAAAGATTAATAACAAGAATGATGCCAGTCTGAGGTTAGACAGGTAGTTGCTGGGTAGATGACGCTGTAGAGGTATTTTTTTGTGTGAAGTTGTAATGCTTTCTGCAGACTTTTGTGATAGTTGTGTTATCAGATATACCAACATGAGAACGCTCTCTTCACGGCCTTTCCTGGCTCTATTTGTCAGGGTTTCATTAATATTAATGAATCCATTTTGATTATGGCAACTTTCACAATTGTACACTTTTTTATACAATTGCTTTTAAAATCAGCCAAGAAAGGAGAAATGTATGCATTTATACTGTCTTCTATAATTAAAAATTTCTTTATAGATATTCTTTGTATTTTTATATTGGTATTATTGCCTGGGGTCACTTGCCTTCAGCTCAAGAACTTCATTTAGTATTTTTTGGAAGGCAGGTCTGCTAGCAAAATTCTCTCAGGGAATGTGCTTATGTTGCTTTTGTTTTTAAAAATAGCTTTGCTGGATATAGGATCCTTGGTTGACATTTTGTTTTTCTTCATTAGGCATTTTTGAATATGCTATCCCATCACTTTCCACCCTCCATTGTTTCTGATTAAAAGCCAGCTGTTGGCCGGGCGCGGTGCCTCATGCCTGTAATCCCAGCACTTTGGGAGGCCGAGGTGGGCAAATCACGATGTCAGGAGTTCGAGACCAGCCTGGTCAACGTGGTGAAACCCTGGGTCTACTAAAAAAATTAGCTGGGTGTACTGGCGGGCGCCAGTAATCCCAGCTACTTGGGAGGCTGAGGCAGGAGAATTGCTTGAACCCAGGAGGCAGAGGTTGCAGTGAGCCAAGGTCACACCACTGCACTCCAGCCTGGGCGACAGAGTGAGACTCTAAAAAATAAATAAATAAATAAATAAAAGCCAGCTGTTTATTTCATTGTGGTTCTATTGTAAGTGATGGGCCCTTTACCCTTGTTGCTCCCAAATTTTTCTCCATGTATTTGGCTTTCAGTATTTTGACTAGTTTATCTGTGGATCTCTTTGTATTTTTCCAACTTTTAGTTAATTGACTTTCCTAGATATGTAGATGTGTAATGGTGTTCTTCTCTCTGAGTAGTAGTCCCAATCTAGAATTTGAGTGCTAAGTGAAAGGGCTAGGCCGTAGCCATAGGTCTTTAGGCTTGCTTCTCTTGACATGAACCCCTGTCTTATCAGGTGGGAAAATGGCAATTCGGGACCCAGTATTTTCAGCAGCACCATACCCAAGCTGGAGCTTCTACTGTATGAGTAGAGATCAAGTAGAAAAGTAGAGTGCCCGCTTCTCAGCTACACTTACCCAGATATTATCCTCAGCAGCAGGTAGCTGGTAGTAGGATGAAAAATGCTGATGCTGTGTCTCTCCTAGGAATATAAATCCTTGACTGGGAACTGGGGATAAGGGGAACCTTGTGCATTAGCTCTACCAATCTGAGTGAAGTTTCCATCTTCCTGCATTGGGAATGGGGAGGAACAGAATGGGTTATGGTTCAAACACCATAGACTCTCACTGTTCTTACTGAGCTCTACTAGATTTCCTTGAACAAATGTTTCTTCATATTTTGCATGTCTCCAGGACCATTTTCAGAAAGTTTAAATTATTGTTCTTCTATAATTTCCACTAGTTTTCGTGGAAAGTAAATCTGTGGAGTTCTTCACGTGGTCATGCCAAAAGTGGACCTCACTTCATCTTTTTTTATGTCTTCATAATATTCAATTCTATGGATATACCACATATTTACCTTCAGTTCATTGAACGTATTTTAAATCACTTATTTAAAGTCTTTTTCCAGTAAGCCAAATATCTACGTTTTCACAGAGACAGTTTCTACTGATTACTTCTTTTCCTATGTAAGAGCCATACATTCATATTTCTTTGAAATTCTCATATATTTTTATTGCAACTTGGACAATTTAAATATTATAATGTAGTAACTCTGGAAATTAGATTCTCATCATTCCTCAGGATTGGCTGTTTTCACTATTTATTGTGGTAGTTATTGTTTACTGACTTTCCTGAAGTAACTCTGCAGAGTGTATATTCTTTATCAATGAAGTCTCAGCTCCATTAGCTTAGAGGCCAGCTGATAATTGGACAGAGATTACCTTAATTGCCTGGAACAAATAAATCTCTCAGTTGTTGCTAAGGAGTTCTGTGTTGCTGTTGGGACACATCTTCAACATTCAGCCAATCAGTATACCATTTTGCCATGGGCTTCCCTTACTTGCACAGAGCCTCAAGGTCAGACAGAAGTGAGAGCTTAAGGCCCTCTCAGGTCTTTCCTAAGCAATCCGACTGTTTGGGGAATGCATACAATCCTACACATGCAGGTGTCCTTTTAGATTATGAAGAATCATGTTGGAGCTTTTCAAAGCCCTTCTGGACATTTTATTTCTCACTTTTTCCTTTTATTCATTTTGCTTAGTCTATTGTTTTCCCCAACTGTAAATAATTTCCTCAGGCAGCTGGAATGTTAAAACATTTGCCAGTAAATGTTTTCCAGAAATGCTCCTCAGGGAGAAGTTTTTAGCACTGGTTGAACTCCAAGTCAGATGAAAGGAAATAAGCCTTTTGTGTTGGTTCTTCCAGGACACCACTAGAAAAGTCAAATAATGACAATTTTTTAGGTGCATGGCTTTCAGAGATCTCCAACTCCATTTTGCTACTCTCAGTGCCAGGAGGGTCAGCTGTTATTTTTTAGGACTGACACTGATCTGGAGAGCACGGGATGGGAAAGGAACGGTTCTTAGTGATATTGAGACAATTATCTTGAATGAATGTTTCCCATGTTGCTGCAAGTTTTGGGTTAGTTTTTATAGTTCTGATGATGTTGAATCTATTTTTCCAATTTTTCTGTTGCTTTTATAGAGAGGCAAATTTTTGAAGGGACTTACTCTAACATTTTCACAGATGCCACTCTCTGCTTTTTCTTGTTTTAAATAAATTTCTTAGTATGCAATTTCAATTCCACTATTGGCATTTTAGATATATTTGAATTATTTTTAAATTATTGAGCTAGAAAATATGGTATGCTTCTATAACTTATCCTATTATACTAAATGTTCATCTCTACTTACTTCTTAGAACAAGAAATATAGGAACTTTGAAAACGTATAGTTGCATTTACCTCTTCCCATCATTTGTGGATTGTTGTCAAATATATTACATGTGTCTACATTATAAAGCCACTTACAGAATGTTGTAATTTTTGCAGTAAATAGCATCTTTGTAAAATAAAAAGAGTTTTACCTTGTATTATACTTAACCACATATTCACTTACCATTTCTTGTTCCCTTCATTATTTCTGGTTTTCATGAGTTACTATCTCATGTCATTTCCTTTCAGCCTGAAGGACTTCCACTAACATTTCTCATAGTGCATATCTGCAATCAATAATTCATTTTTTGCTATCTACAAATATTTTCATTTCACCTTCAATTTTGAGGGATAGTCTTACTGGATATAGAATTGTTTGTTGACTGTTATTTTGTTTCAGCACTTTTAATTTGATATTTGAGTGTGTCCTGTCCTTCATAGTTTCTTGAGATAAGCTGATAATTATATAATTGTTTCCTCATATGAAATATGTCTCTTCCTACTTCTGCTTTTTAAATATTCTTACTCTCTTTTAAATTCAGCAGACTGTGATGTTTGTAGGTGTGATTTCTCCTGTTTATTCTATTTGGAATTCATTCATCTTTATGAAAATGTGGGTTAAACTTTTTCACAAATTTGTGAAGTTATTGGCCACTATTTCTTCAAACATTTATTCTGCTTCTTTCCTTTCTGTCTGGGGCCCAAATTATACCTATATTAAGCCACTTAGTATTATCTCATAAGTCTCAGGCTTAATTCATATTTTGTATCATTTTATTCCCTACTCACTGATTCTTCTAGCCTTCGAAATTGCAATTGTCCCATCAAGTGAATTTTTTTTTTGCTATTTTGATAATTTAATTTTACGAACATTATAATTTTCACTTGGTCTTTTTATAGGTGTCATTTCGTTATTGATATTGTTGTCTTTCCTGTCATTAATACCATATTTGCCTCGAACTTATTGAACATATTTTAAAATACCTGTTTTCACATTTGGATCTTTAAATCAAACATCTGTGACCAAGCATGGTCTATTTATATTAAATTCCCCTTTTACAGTTTATGTTTCCCACTTTCTGTTTCTTTGTCAACTTTTGATTGAAAACTGGATATTGTTATACATTGACACTCTGGAGCTTGTTTCTTATTGTGAAGATTATTGTTTTTTATATCTAGTAGGTATTTAACTTTCTGGACTCAAACTATAAAACCTGTGTCCCCCACATTGTGCAACAGCTGACATTTCTTTTCAGTTTTCTTGACTTCTAGTTGCTTCTTTTTAGTGTGTTCCTCCCATCTTTCCCTTGTGCCTATGGAGTTTAAAGATCAGCCTAGGATTGAGGCAAAATTTGTAATGAGATTTAGGATAGGTTGGAGAATGCATTCAATCAAAGACACAAATTGAAAATTAGTAAGGGAACTCAGGAAGAAAGCGAACCACAGAGAGATCGTTAAATCTAAATATAAATTCATGCTGTATGTCCTGATCATAGGAAGAGATCCTTCAATGTATCATAATTTAGTCTGGCAATAGCTGTTTTTTTTTATAAGAATATATCTTTTTATCAACTGGGGAAGTATCTTTGTTCCTAGTTTTCAGAGAATTTTTATCGGGAATAGATATTGACTTTTGATAAATGATGTTTTAAATTCTATTGAGAGGATCTAATAGTATACTTTTTTCTCTTATTTATCCTATTAATGTGGATAATTTCTTTGACTGGTATACATTCTTGAAACATCCTTGCATTCTTGGGAACAATCTAGAGATTAAACCCCCATCTGATCATGATATACTTTTTATATATTGATGGATTTCAATTCCTAATATATTACTGAGGATCTGTACATCTATGTACATAAATGATTTTGTTCAATAAATTACTTATCTTGCAAAGTCCTTATCAGCTTTTCGTATCAGTTATGCTGAAATCATAAAATTGGTTAGAAATATATCCTCCTTTTCCATTATCTGACACTGTTCACATAAAATTGGTAATATTTCTCTCTTAAATGTTTGACCGAATTCACCAATGAAGGCATTTGCATCTGAATTCTTTTTCTGGAGGGGGTTTCAAATGTCATTTAGTTACCTTAGTAGATGAAGAGCAATTTCAATTTTCTGTTTCTTTCCATTTTGTTTCACTTTAATTCATAGGCAATACAGTAAGGCAAAAAATTAAATAAGGAAAAGTAAAGAAGACTGGAAAGAAAACACAACTTTTTTACCTGAAGATAAAATAATTGTCTATGTGAAACTTAAGGAATCTACAAAAATGAAAAATTTACTAATATCAATAAGTAATTTAGCAAGCTTTCTGAGTAACAGATCGTATAACACACAAACATAGATGGTATTTCCATATACTCACAACAAGTAATTGAAAAATTAAATAATCTGTATCTATAGTATCATAAAAAATATAGTACCCTTAGAAAATATATGAGAACCCTCTATACATATAAACATAGCTTAGAGAAATTAAAGTGGAATAAATAAATGGAATGATATTACATGTTTTTGAATTGAAAATCTAAAAATTAAAATATAATATATTAATATATCTAAATTAATCTATAGATTCATATTAATCCAAAAATAATCACATCAGGCTAGTTTCAGAAACTGACAAACTGATTTTATTATTTATTTTTATTTTTATTTTTATTTTTTTTTTGAGATGGAGTCTCACTCTGTTGCCCAGGCTGGAATGCAGTGGCATGATCTTGGTTCACTGCAACTTCCGACTCCCGGGTTCCAGCGATTCTCCTGCCTCAGCCTCCCAAGTAGCTGGGATTACAGGCGCCCGCCACCACACCCAGCTACTTTTTTTGTATTTTTAGTAGAGACGGGGTTTCACCATGTTGGCCAGGCTGGTCTTGATCTCCTGACCTCAGGTGATCCACCCGCCTCAGCCTCCCAACGTGTGGGATTACAAGTGTGAGCCACTGTGCCCAGCCTGATTTTAAAATTTATAAGGAAAAGTAATGGACCTAGGAGAGTTAAAATAATTTTGAAAAAAAATCTAGGAGCATTTATCTGATCTCAAGACATACAATATAGCTAAAGTAATCAAGAGAGTGGTTATTGGCACAAGAATAAAGAAATAAATCAATGCAATTTTTAAAAAATAGTCCAGAAATATACTCACACATAAACTATCAGTTTTCCAAAAAAAGTGCCAAGATAATTAAATAAGAAAAATGTTTTTTTCAATAAATGTTCTGAGGCTTATGTACAAATTGGTATAAAAGAATTAACCTTGACTTCAACCTCATAGTATATACAAAATTACCTTAAGCCAGATCATCAATCTAAATATAAAATCTAAAAGCAAAATTATTATAGATAAAATATAAAAGAATATCTTCATAACCTTGCCATAGGCCAATATGCTTTGAATAGGAAACAAAACACATAAATTAAGAAATTAAAAGTTGACAAATCAAACTTCAAAATTAAAAACTGCTCTTTGAAAGACGACAATATTAAGGAAATAAAAAAGACAAGCCAAAGACTCAGAGAAAATATAGGCAAGATATATCTGACAAAAGACGTGTATGCAAAATATATAAAGAGCTCTTAAAAATAAGTCAAACAACTCAACTGAAAATGGGAAAAATCTTGAACACTTTATAACAGAGTATATCCAAATGGCAGTAAGTATATGAGACATTGTTCAGTGTCATAGACTGTGATGATAATGCAACTTTAAAACCACAATGAGAACTGGCTTCACACCACTAGAATGGCTAAAATTGAAAAGACTAACACTACCAAGGGGTGTCAAAAATTAGTGGCAACTGAAACTTTCATTGCGGATGGGACTGCAAAATGGTACTTTGTCAGTTTCTTAGAAAGTTAAACATGCATCCACCCTATCATCCAGCAATTCCACTGCTTACATTTACCCAAATGATACGAAACTATATGTCTACACACAAAAAAAATCTTATCACGACTTTTAAAACTACTTTATTCATAATAATCCCAAACTGAAAATATATCAAACGTTTATCAACAGGTGAAAGGATAAGCAACAATTCCTTCAAAGGAATAATATTTACAATAGAAAGAAAAACTAGTGACACAACCAAAAATATGGGTGAAGTGATAACCATTATGATGAGCAAAAGCATCCAGATATTTAAGTGTAGATCTTATATGATTCCATTTATGTAAAGTCCTAAAACAGGTAAACCTATACTGATAAGTATCTAAAGAGTCATTTTTTGGGGTGGGGAAAATTTACTAGATAAGAAGATAAGAAAACTTTCTGCAGGCTTGAAAATGTCCTATGTTTCAACTGGGATGGTGATTTCACAGATATATACATTTGTAAAACCTCATGTAAATTTATACTTGAAATCTGTGTGTTTTTATGTGCTTGTAAATTATATTTCAATAAGGTATTTATATTTCAATAAATCTACCTTATTTATTTATTTATCCATTTATTTATCTACCTTATTTATTTATTCATTTGAGACAGAGTGTTGCTCTGTCACCCAGGCTGGAGTGCAGTATCATGATCTCGGCTCACTGCAACCTCTGCCTCCTGGGTTCAAGCGATTCTCATGCCTCAGCCTCGAGTACTTGGTATTCCAGGCACACACCACCATGCTCGGCTAATTTTTGTATTTTTATTTGAGACGGGGTTTCACCGTGTTGGCCAGGCTGGACTCGAACTCCTGACCTCAAGTGGTCCACTCGCCTCAGGCTCCCAAAGTGCTGGGATTACAGGTGTGAGTCACTGTGCCCAGCCAGATTTATTTTTTAAATAAACAAAACATCAACAATCTGTGAGACACTGACAAGTGCTCTAATATGCATTGATCTCAGAAAGGGAGGAAAGACACACTGAGGACATAAAATGTTTGAAGCATATAGAAAGTGTACATCCCTTCTTATATTTTTTAAAGTCTAGTAATAACAAGTGAAAAAAATTATAACAAAGTGTTGTGGAGTTATGCCATATTTAGAAATAAATCATATGAAAACAATGACATATGTTGGGGGTGTAAATGAACTTATGCTGTTATATTATTCTTACATTATACATGAGGTAGTAGATCATGCAACTTATCATAATTGATCATAGTATTTCTTTTTAAAAATATCTGTAGGTTATGTAGTGATGTACTCTCTTTTATCTTGATACTGGTAATTTGTGTTCTTTCTCCTTCCTTTTTCTTGATGTGTCTTGGTAGAGATTGATCCATTTTATTAAACTTTGCAAAGAACCAACTTTAGGTTTGTGAGGTTTCTTTATCATGTATCTGTTTTCTCTTTTGTTGATTTTTACTCCTCATTTATCTGTTTTCTTCTTTGTATGTAGGATGTAATTTCCTCTTCTTTTTTTCAAGTTTCTTACTGCAGAAACTTAGATTACTAATTTTAACCATTCTTTCTTCTTTTTGAATATTGACATTTAGTGTTAAAATTTCTTCCAGGCTGGGTGTGGTGGCTCACGCCTGTAATCCCAGCACTTTGGGAGGCTGAGGCGGGCGGATCACATGAGGTCAGGATTTCGAGACCAGCTTGGCCAACATGGTGAAACCTTATCTCTACTAAAAATACAAAAATTAGCCAGGAGTGGTGGCGGGTGCCTCTAATCCCAGCAACTTGGGATGCCGAGGCAGGGAGAATCGCTTGAACCTGGGAGGTGGAGGTTGCAGTGTGCCAAGATCATGCCATTGCACTCCAGCCTGGGCAACAGAGTGAGACTCTGTCTCAAAAAAAAAAAAAAATCCTCTAAATTTTGCTTTTGCCCTACCCACAAATTTTGTATGCTGTGTGTTCAACAAATTATTCTCAAACGTTTTTCCAATTTTTCTTGTGATTTCTTTTTTGGCACATGAGCTATTTAGATGGTTGTAATTTGATTTTCCAGTTATTTAGATGAGATGTGGGAAATGAGTGATCAATATCTTATTTGTCATTAATTTCTTATTTAATTCTGTTGCTAAGAACATACTATATAAGATTGCAGTCTTTAGAAATTATTGAGAGATATTTTATGCTTCAACATATGACTTATCTTGATAAGCATTCCATGTGAACATTTTAAAGAAGGTATATTCAGAAGCATTCAGTGTAGTGTTCTGTAAATGTCAATCACATCTAATTGACAGTGTTTATATTTTATATATCATTACTTTCTTTTTCAAACAGTTACTGAGAAAGGAATGTTAAAAATGCCAATGATGATTGTGGATGTATTCATTTCTTCCTTAGTTCTGTAGATTTTGCTTTAAATATTTTGAAGCTGTGTCACTGGGGGAAACACATTTAGGATTTGTATGCCTTTTGAATTTGTCCTTTTATTATTGTGAATACCCACTTTCATCTCTGCTAATATTGCTTGTCTTGAAATACACTTTGTCTGACAATAATATAGCCATGCTACCTTTCTTGTAATAACTACTCATACAATATATAATTTTCCATAATTTCTAACTTTGTACTTACATATGTCTTCATATTTAAAGTTTGTCTCTTTTAAGACAACTGATCATCTTTCTCTTTTATCTTAATCTGAAAATCTCTGCCTCGTAACTAAACGATTTGGATCAATTACATTTTATGTAATCATCAATATGACTAGGTTTAAGTCTGATATCTTACTATTCATTTTCTTTTTGCTTCATTTAATTTTTGTTCTCCTGTTTCTCTTTTCCTGCCTTCTCTTCTGCTTACCAAATACCTTTAGCATTGCATTTTAGTTCCTTTATTGACTTTTTATCTATATATTTTTAAGTATTTTTATTTGACCTAGGTGGATTTAAGGATTGCCATCGGATATCTTATCTCATAAGCATCCTTAATTTTAATAATGTACTAATTTTCCACTTTAGACTTTAGACATGTAAGAAACTTAAAATGTATAATTTGATTTTTCAAGCCTGTTCTTTTTGTTAATATTGTCATGTATGCTCTTGCTACATATGTCATAGACACAACTTTAAAATCAACTCATTTGTGCCTCAAAACCTCACTTACCTTTTAAGAAATTAGGAAAAAATAAAAAGTAGTCTGTTTACTTACATGTTTACCATTTTGGGTGCTCCTCTTTCCTCCAGTAGTTGTGAGTTTCCACCTGGTATCATTTTCAACAGCCTGAAGAACTTCCTTTAGCAATCTTTTTTTTTTTCCAAATTTTATTTTAAGTTCAGGGATACACGTGCAGGATGTGCAGGTTTCTTACATAGGTAAATGTGTCCCATGGTGGTTTGCTACACAGATCATCCCATCACTTAGGTATTAAGCTCAGCATCCATTAGCTATTCTTCCTAATGCCCTCCGTCCTCACCGGCTGGCAGGCCCCAGTGTGTATTGTTCCTCGCTATGTGTCCATGTGTTCTCATGATTCAGCTGCCACTTCTAAGTGAGAAGACAAGGTATTTGCTTTTCTGTTCCTGTGTTAGTTTGCTGAAGATAATGGCTTCCAGCTCCATTCATATTCCTGCAAAGGACGTAATCTCATTCCTTTTTATGGCTGCATAGTATTCCGTGGTTTATATGTACCACATTTTCTTTATCCAATCTATCATTGATGGGCATTTGGGTTGGTTCCAAGTCTTTGCTATTGTGAATAGTGCTGCAATGAACATATACATGCATGTATCTTTATAACAGAATAATTTACATTCCTTTGGGTATATACCCAGTAATGGGATTGCTGTGTTGAGTGGTATTTCTGCCTCTGGGTCTTTAAGGAATCACCACACTGTCTTCCACAGTGGTTAAACTAATTTACACTGCCACCAACAGTGTAAAAGTGTTGCTTTTTCTCCACAACCTCACCACCCTCTGTTGTTTCTGGACTTTTTAATAGTCGCCATTCTGGCTGACATGAGATGATATCTCATTGTGGTTTTGATTTGCATTTCTCTAATAATCAGCGATGTTGAGCTTGTTTTCATGTATTTCTTGGCCACATGAGTAGCTTCTTTGAAGAAGTGTCTGTTCATGTCCTTTGCCCACTTTTTAATGGAGTTGTTTTTTTCTTGTAAATTTGTTTAAGTTCCTTGTACACTCTGGATATTAGACCTTTGTCAGGTTGCAAAGATTTTCTCCCATTTTATAGGTTGTCTGCTCATTCTTATGACAGTTTATTTTGCTCTGCAGAAGCTCTTTAGTTTAACTAGAACCCATTTGTCAATTTTTGCTTTTGTTCCAACTGCTTTTGGTGTCCTCATCTTAAAATCTTTGCCCATGTCTATATTCAGAATGGTATTGCCTAGGTTTTCTTCTGAGATTTTTAGTTTGGGGTTTTACATTTAAGTCTTTAATCCATCTTGAGTTGATTATTGTATATGGTATAAGAAAGGGGTCCAGTTTCAGTTTTCTGCATATGGCTAGCCAGTTCTCCAAGCACAATTTATTAAATAGGAAATCCTTTCCCCATTGCTTGTATTTGTCAAGTTTGTCAAATATCAGATAGTTGTAGGTGTGCAGTCTTATTTCTGAGATCTCTATTCTGTTCCATTGGTCTATGTGTCTGTTTTTGTACCAGTACCATGCTGTTTTGGTTACTGTGGCCGAATAGTATAGTTTGAAGTTGAGTAACGTGATGCCTCCAGCTTTGTTCTTTTTGCTTAGGATTGCCTTGGCTATTTGGGCTCTTTTTTGGTTTCATATGAATTTTTAAAGTTTCTTCTAATTCTTTGAAGAATTTCAATGATAGTTTAATGGGAATAGCATAGAATCTATAACTTTGGGCAGTTATGAGCATTTTAATTGCATCGATTCTTTCTATCCATGAGCATGGAATGTTTTTCCATTTGTTTATGTCATCTCTGATTACTTTGAGCAGTGGTTTGTAGTTCTCCTTAAAGAGGTCCTTCACTTCCCTTATTAGCTATATTCCTAAGTATTTTATTCCTTTTGTGGCACTTGTGAATGGGAGTTCATTCATTCTTTGGCTCTCAGCTTGCCTGTTGTTTCTGTATAGGAATGCGCTATCTCAGGCAGGCTCCACCCTGTTGCTGGTGGCTGGCTGGAATTCCAAACCAGTGGGTCTTATCTTGTGAGATGCCATGGAAGTGGGGCCCGCAGGACAATGCTGCTTGACTTCCCGGATTCAGCCCCCTTCCTAGTGGTATGTACGGACCTCCCGCCTTGCCTGAGTTGCAGACACCTTTGTTGGGGATCCTGGGGTCAGAGTATGTAAAGCTCCTGGGTCTCTGTGTGTGCCTGAGCAGCTGCTTTGCTGTGACTCCACACAGCTCTGTGTTGGACCCAAGGCCCTGGTGGCATAGGTTCACAAGGGGATCTCCTGATCTGTGGGTTGCAAAGATCCGTGGGAGGAGCATGGTTTCCCACGGTCGCACAAGCACTCACCGCTTCCCTTGACTGGACGTGAGGGTTCCCTTGGCTCTGTGTTGCTCCCAGGTGGGCCGTTGCCCCGCCTGGCTTTTCTTTGTTCTCCATCGGTTGAGTTGTTTCCCTGATCAGTCCCAAAGTGAGTACCTGGATATTTCAGTTGAAGATACTGTATTCACTCACGCCTTTTGTTCCTCTCTGTGAGTGCCGTGGACTGTAGCTGCTTCTAATCAACCATCTTGGTCCCCTTAGCATTCTTTTAATGAAGTTCTGTTGGCAACAAATTCTCTCAGCTTTAGTTGACATGAAAAAGTCTTAATTTTACCTTCATTTATGAAGTATATGATCACTGAACATAAAATTCTGGGTTGACAGATGTGCGTTTGTTGCTGTAGTTTTTACTTTATTCTTTTTAAAGATGATTTTATCTTCTGTCCTCCATGGTATCTGATATGACACCCTTGGATATTTCTTTCTTTTTCTTGCATTAAGCTTTATTTTAATGGGTTTCAAAATTCTGTAACAGATTTTTGGTCAGGGCGTTTCCATTAAAAAGTGTTGATTTTAAAAACTAAAAACTTAAAACTGCCACATGCAAAAAAAAGGGGATCCAGAAAACATTCTCTTTTTCTTCTGAAGGTTTTACAATGCATTGTCATCATTAATCAGTTTTACTATTAAACTTAAAAGGCTAATTGAAACAAACAGTTCTGAGACCATTCTTCCACCACTGATTAAAACTGGGGTGGCAGGTATTAGGGATAATATTCATCTAAAACTTCTGAGATTTCTGGTCAAACTTGGTGACCTTGCCAGCTCCAACAGCCTTCTTGTCCCTTGCTTTGATGACACATAATCAAGATATGATGTCTATCTCATATCATAAAGAGCAAAATGACTCAGAGGAGGATAGTCTGAGATACTGTCAACACACATGGGTTTGCCAGGAGCCATATGAATGACAATGACTGCAGCATCACCAGACTTCAAGAACTCCTGTCAGCCTGAAATAGTATGGTTTTCTAGGTATCCTTGAAAAAAAATTTCCTCTCCATGCAAAATAACCCATGGAAACAGATAACCCTGCAGGTTAACAATAATTTCCCTATGTTTTCATTTTGATGTTTATCAAGCTGTTCTAGGAAACGTATTCTCTAATCTCTTTTGTATCACTATTTATTATTCATCTCTTGGCAGTCTGTTTCCTGTCTTCACTATAATTGTTCTCTCTATAATCACCAATGACCTCTTCATTTTCAAAGATAGAGAAAATGTTTCAAATTCTAGATCTCTCTGTGGCATTTGAAACTGTTGCGGATGTCTTCTTCAGAACACTCCTTCCCTTTGTTCGTAATGACATAACTTTTCACTTACACTGAATTGTTGTCATGTAGCTGACACTCATTTTGCAAATTTTGCTGCTGGTAGTTTTGATCTTTCCAGAAGATGTCAAAAGAAGTTATTCAGACCAGTTTCACACATGTACTGACAATGACAACTATCTAATGACTAGTTTCTGGCCAACAATGATTGTAAGACACTATGGGTTGTATGAAGCATCACAATTTCAAAGATGTTAAAATCTGAAAGAAATGTGCCTCTTAGAATCATTGGCATATGACCTTATGGTTTGGAGAGAACTGATCTGTGTTGCTTGAATTCAAGGTTTTAAGAAATAATGTAAACATATTTATACATCCTCTGAACTTACCTCTTTTGCAGTAAAATAACTTCATCAACTAATGGGCTTTTAAGAGGCTGAAATGAGATAATGCATGTAAAGTATGTAATGCAGACAAAGTATCAGAGTCAGTAAGCACTCATAATAAACACTTAATGAATGATAGTAGTAGTAGTTGTAACAGCAGTAGTAGTTATAATAGCAGTAGTAGTTATAATAGTGGTAACGTTATATTTTGAATAAAATAGTGGTAGAAGTAACATATGATATTTTCAGTAAAGCTTTAACTTAACAATGTTAATGAATTTAATATTCTAAAATGCTAAGTAAGACTCTTATATGTTTACTGAAGGCACTCTTCCTCTCAGAGTTTAAGTAACCTTAATAAATAATAACCACTTTTCAGAGATTTGCAACAACTGAATTAGATAATGCATGTGAAATATATTTGACAGTTTATTAGTTGAAGAAGTACCTAAGGTTTGCAGCACAACATGAATTATAACTTACCTTTGTTGGTTCTAAAATTCTAAGGAAGATGATACAGAGTTATTGAAGTTAATCTCAGAAAGGTTAAGTGATTCCACCTAATAATTTATTTTTTTTTGTCTGGATTGAATAAAATATATATAAAAGTATATAACAATTGTGAAATATGTGGCTTAGTGCATGACAAATAAGCCCTCAGTAAAAGGTAGTTATTATTATTGGAATTATTGTTAGTGACACCTGATATTTTCAATGGTAGTTCATATCTAGTTTTCCTCTTTGGCCAAATCAGGAATTTCAAAAATATTGAAGATTGCCTCATGATATTTGCTAAACTTACTTAATTTTTCTGAAGTTAACTTCATCAAATAACATGTGCCTTGCGGAATTTTTATAAAAATGAATGATGAATTTAAAGTGTTTTGTTGCCAGTATTGCTGTTATTTATATTTACCAGACATGATAATATCGCATGAATTACTATTGGTTGAAATAAAAATGCTAAGACAAACTTAACACATTTGCTGAACTTAACTCTCTAGCACTTAAATAACTTAATGCATTAACATAGAACAGCAGTTCTCAAGCTCTTTGGTGTCAGGACCCCTTTATACTCTTCAAAATAATCGAGGACTCCAAAAGAGTTTTTGCTTATGCGGCTTATATTTATTGATATTTATGGTATTAGAAATTAAAACTGAGAAATATTTAAAATATTTAGGAATAATTTTATTTTCAATAATAATAATAAACCCATCTAAGGTTAACATAAAAACATATTTTTGAAAACTATAATCTCCAAAACAAATCAGAGAGAAAACAGGCATTGTTTTACAGTTTTGAAAATTTATTGTATTTATTTATTTATTTATTTATTTTAGATGGAATTTTGTTCTGTCACCCAGGCTGGAGTGCAGTGGCGGGATCTCGGCTCACTGCAACCTCTGCCTCCTGGGTTCAAGCGATTCTCCTTCCTCAGCCTCCCGAGTACCTGGGATTACAAGCATGTGCCATCATCCCTGGCTAATTTTTGTATTTTTAGTAGAGACTGGGTTGCACCATGTTGGCCAGGCTGGTCTTGAACTCCTGACTTCAGGTGACCTGCCCACCTCGGCCTTCCAAAGTACTGTGATTACAGGCGTGAGCCACTGCACCCGGCCCACAGTTTTGAAAATCTCTTTTAATATCTTGTTTGACAGAAAGAAAGCTAGATTCTCATATATGTATCCACATTCAAACAGTTGTGATATGTTGTTTTGGTTGAAATTTATGAAGAAAATGCAGTTTTAAAGACAGTTAGGAAAGGAAAACCTAGCAAGCTTTCTAACAGTCTCAGACACCCCCCTAGGGTCCTTGAATCACACTTTGAGAACTGCTGACACTTACCTTTTATTTTTTTTTAAAGTATTGAATAAGACAGTGTACAACATATATTGTTATTAATGCTGCTTTTGTTGTTGCTTTTTATAATTTCCTCATATGTTTGAAATAACTTGAATTTCTTCTTGTTTTGTTGATTGCATTCATGGTTTCTAAAAACAAAAGAAAATTAATGACAGTGCAGATTTGGTAAACTGGTTAAGCTACTTTGCCAAATAATACCTGTCTTATAAAGTTTTTAACCAAATTGAGATAATACATTCTACATCTGTAATGTCAGTAATATACATGGCTCAGTGCCTGGCACATAGGATACACTCAATAAATGGCAGCTATTAGAATCACCCTTTCCTCAATGCACAAAAAATAATACAAATAGATGCCAGGGATAAAATTGGCCTCATCTACCCAATAACAGCTTCAGCTTATCTACAGTGACTTTGCTACCCTCTCTTGCTGTCCCTTGACAAGGCCTACTTTAGGCTCAAGAATCCCTTAGACAAGTGAATAAATCATTTAACAGAAGCGAGCTAACATTACTCTGGAGTTGGTCTCTAAGTGATACAAACTTCCACCAATCTCATGGCCTGTGTGTGAGGCCTTCCCCAGAAACGTCCAAGTGTGTCTATGAATACTTAGAATATATGCAGCATTTCCTGTGGGAAATTGAAGGTACATGCCTCAGTCATGATGCCTCCAGGGTGAAAGCAAATTCCCCAGATTGAGTCTCTAGCCCCACGCTGTAGTATCTAAGGTGCTGGGTGGTTGGCAAGGTAGGAGATTGAAGAGGGAAACACCACTCCTGCATCCTTTATTGCTTTTGCTGTAAGGAACCTGGAAAGGTATAACAGAGTTTCCTATCAACACATTGTCAGAAAATGGCCTTCTTCCCTACAGTTTTATCAAACAGGTGGTTGAATGTTTCTATTTAGGGATCCAAATGTTTTTTTGCTCTGGAAGGAATCACTTCCAAGATTAGCAGTGGCCAATCAGTTTTGGAGACTTTTTAAAATCTGAGGCTTAACAGTGATGTTACTCTGTTTCAGAAAGGACCTCTATGTCTTCTTTTCTCTTTTTTTAAATTGAAAAAAATTATTAAACTTTCTGTTTCATAGTTGACTTTCAAAGATTACAAAGGTAGAATTATAAAATAAAGCCCATGAACTCATCATCCAGCTCCAAGATTTATCAGCCTGTGGACTGTCTTGTTTCATCCATACTTTCATCCACTTCTCCCTCCCGTATTATTTTGAAATAACTCCAAACATCATAATACTTCATCTGTAAGTGTTTTAGTATGTATATCAAAAAATAAAAGAGCTGTCTTTTTATATAACCACAATATCAATACCTCACCTAAAAATTAATGAACAATAATTATTTAATATCATCCAAAGGCCAGTCATTGTTCAGATTTTTAATTGTGTCATGAAAATTTTTAACATGTTTTTGTTTTCATCAAGATCCCAAGAAGATCCACATATTATAATTACTTGATAGATCTTTTAAGTATCTCTTAATATATAAGTTCCCCCTCTAACATTTTCTCTTGTAAATTTTTTTAAAGAAACTCTTTCTTCTTTTAAAAATCTTATATTAACTTTCTGCAGACTAATCCGTCACTAAAATATGTTATTAAGGTTAAGCCAACACTGATGTCTTTAGGGCATGTTTGATCTGTGCTGTCTAGAGATTACCTTACGTTTATGATTTTTCACATAAAGATTTAAACAACACAGTCTGGCAGCTTTCTTAACTGCTTTTTTTTTTTTTTAACTCTTAAGAAATATATTCTGTGTGGTTCTGCTGTACTCTATATTCCCAAATTCCTGTTGAAATTTCCCAGGCATTTCATCAAACTTGGTGAAAAATCACTTTCTCTTTTCTCCTTCTAATAATTGTCATTCCACCCCATCTAGGTGCAAAGGTCTCTGCTTTAGGATCTGGCCATGCACTACTTGAGGTGACTTACTGTTTGCAGTGCCTCCTCATTTTCAGTCTTTCCTACTTTCTTGAATGGTGTGCCTAGGTTCAGAGCTATAGGTAGGCATGGACCAATACCCAGGGAAGTCTTGTCATATCTGTTGTGGCTTCCTCACCCTGTTACTTGGCTTCCTACTCTAGGAAAAGGCCAGTCATTTTAGAAATTCCATGTCTGAGGAAGAAGACTTAAAGATCACTTTCAAAACACTCTCTTCTTTCTATCTTCCCAGAGATTAAACATCCGTCAACATTCTCAGCAAGCTCTAGCAAAGAAGCATTGACTCATTGTTTTTTTTCCCTCTTGATCATCCAGCCAGACACTCTATACCTGACTAGGCATGTTAAAGCAACTAGTAAGGACTTTCTGTTTCAGGTTTGTCACAGTTGCTTGTGTGTTCTCTAAGGTCAGCAAGGATCTCTGAGAATGCATTTCTGTCTCCTCTCACAGTTCATGATGTAGACACCTACCAGCCCAGGATTCCTAATAATCTCTAATGGAACCCCACAAATACAATCTGAACTTCCCAGGCTTCGACTTCCTGTGGACACAAGACAGGACAGCAATCTCTATCTGTTATCTATTTATCTCTATGTATTGATGCAGGACCTCTTGAAGACCTACTGTGGTTATTTCTGAAAGCTTCCAGATATCTTACTTATGCTCAGGCACAAGATCACCTTCTGCTCCCACCTCCTCATTGATATTTCCTAACTATGGGCCTATTTATTGAAGGAAGTGCTTCCCTAGAGTACTACCTCTCAGTATTCTTAAAACAAAAATGCTCAAAATTCCACACAGAAACTGGAGGACTGCATATCTCCCAACTCTACATTTTACCCTCTCTTGACTTTGAAACATTGCTCATGCCCAGAGACTCAAAATAAAACAAACAAACAAAAACCCTTGCTAAAAAGAGAATCTTTTCAGTCTCTGCTTATTGACTATTTCTGCATAGTAGTTAGACTCAGCCCAGCCATCCCTAATAGGCTATTATTACTATTACAGGTGGTATTTGTCTCATTTTTATTGAATTTGGAAAATGATATGCTAAAGAAAGAATGATTGGCTTTATTAATGTCATCAAGTACAGATGTGAATTTATTCATTGATTCAACAAATATTTATCGAGTGCCTTCTCTGAGCCAGGACGATTCTTGGAACTGGAAATCCAACAAATCTGACACAATCCACCCTTTGACACAACCGTGTCTCTAATATAGTTAATATCAATAAGGGTAATTCCATGCCTTCTACAGAATTTAGGGAGAAGGCATTCCTAACATGAAAAACGCCATCATTTTCTGATGCCATACTGCTAGTGTTTCATGTGACTATCGATTATGCCGTGAATAGCTTTCAACAAATATCAGGTCTGAATTTCCTTCCGTAAAATGCAAATTAATGTATGCCGTTGAATACATCTGTTCAGTCCTTCAAGATGCTATAACAACCCCCTTCCTTTTTCTTCCTTTAGGTGTATCAGTTCCTATCCCTGTGATTGGACTGAGGGACGAAGAAAAGGTGTTCGTGAACAACACGACGTGCGTGCTCAACGACCCAAATTTCGTTCTTATTGGGTCCTTCGTAGCTTTCTTCATACCGCTGACGATTATGGTGATTACGTATTGCCTGACCATCTACGTTCTGCGCCGACAAGCTTTGATGTTACTGCACGGCCACACCGAGGAACCGCCTGGACTAAGTCTGGATTTCCTGAAGTGCTGCAAGAGGAATACGGCCGAGGAAGAGAACTCTGCAAACCCTAACCAAGACCAGAACGCACGCCGAAGAAAGAAGAAGGAGAGACGTCCTAGGGGCACCATGCAGGCTATCAACAATGAAAGAAAAGCTTCGAAAGTCCTTGGGATTGTTTTCTTTGTGTTTCTGATCATGTGGTGCCCATTTTTCATTACCAATATTCTGTCTGTTCTTTGTGAGAAGTCCTGTAACCAAAAGCTCATGGAAAAGCTTCTGAATGTGTTTGTTTGGATTGGCTATGTTTGTTCAGGAATCAATCCTCTGGTGTATACTCTGTTCAACAAAATTTACCGAAGGGCATTCTCCAACTATTTGCGTTGCAATTATAAGGTAGAGAAAAAGCCTCCTGTCAGGCAGATTCCAAGAGTTGCCGCCACTGCTTTGTCTGGGAGGGAGCTTAATGTTAACATTTATCGGCATACCAATGAACCGGTGATCGAGAAAGCCAGTGACAATGAGCCCGGTATAGAGATGCAAGTTGAGAATTTAGAGTTACCAGTAAATCCCTCCAGTGTGGTTAGCGAAAGGATTAGCAGTGTGTGAGAAAGAACAGCACAGTCTTTTCCTACGGTACAAGCTACATATGTAGGAAAATTTTCTTCTTTAATTTTTCTGTTGGTCTTAACTAATGTAAATATTGCTGTCTGAAAAAGTGTTTTTACATATAGCTTTGCAACCTTGTACTTTACAATCATGCCTACATTAGTGAGATTTAGGGTTCTATATTTACTGTTTATAATAGGTGGAGACTAACTTATTTTGATTGTTTGATGAATAAAATGTTTATTTTTGCTCTCCCTCCCTTCTTTCCTTCCTTTTTTCCTTTCTTCCTTCCTTTCTCTCTTTCTTTTGTGCATATGGCAACGTTCATGTTCATCTCAGGTGGCATTTGCAGGTGACCAGAATGAGGCACATGACAGTGGTTATATTTCAACCACACCTAAATTAACAAATTCAGTGGACATTTGTTCTGGGTTAACAGTAAATATACACTTTACATTCTTGCTCTGCTCATCTACACATATAAACACAGTAAGATAGGTTCTGCTTTCTGATACATCTGTCAGTGAGTCAGAGGCAGAACCTAGTCTTGTTGTTCATATAGGGGCAAAAATTTGACATTGTCAGAATGTTGTGTTGGTATTTACTGCAATGTCTGTCCCTAAACATAGTGGTATTTTAACATAGCAGCTGGTTAACCGGGACTACAGAAGTGGAAGGATAATGAGATGTAATACACCAAATAGCTTTTCACTTCTTAAGGACAGTGTTCAAATTCTGATTATTACAACAAGCAAACTGAAATTAGTGTTTTCATTCTGGTCCTTAGTAAATTCCTAATTCTATGATTAAACTGGGAAATGAGATCCCAGAGTTATTTCCCAACCCAGGATTCAACATCAATTGGGTTTTGATCTCAGCATCCTGGAAATTTGTGTGCTTCACACAAAGTGAAATTAGTATTTTGAGCCTTATTAAAATATTTTCTTAATTATGGTACCTCTGTCTATAGGACTTAATTTAGCAGTCCATTTTTGAGTAAAACTTGTATTGGAAGTATAGATGGTAGAAACTTTGGAAGTTTTACTTGATTAAGGACTACAGAATTGGGCCCTTAGAATGTGAAAAAAAAAAGTAATTAAAAAGACACTTTTACCGAACTCGGGATTACAGAAACACGGAGTTTCCATTTGGATTTTAAACAAAATTTATGTCATTTTCAGATCCTTCCAAACTCTCTAGTGCAGGAAAAGGCTGCAGCTAATTTGTGAAAGTGGCAAGCTCTTCATTGCACTGCAGTTATTTACCAGAAGTTTAAATCTTTGTTAAAATATAGTGTTGTGTTACAATAAGTGTTGGCCATCATTTCATTCGTGGGCCTGCTGCTCTCTAAGAATTCAGTAGCATTTTAATAGTTTCTAAACCATGAAAAGTTTTCAAGCATTGCTAAAGTCAGGCCATTCAGTCTATGCTGTGTGCAGAGTATACAAGTGTTTCTAGTAACAGTATTTCCATACGTGCCCATTTCACACAACTGTGGATAAATTTTGGAAGAATTCATGATGCTAGTTCTTACGCTTGACAGTTACTTACACACCTGAGAATGTGCCTCTCAGTATCTTAAAATTGGTTAATGAAAAATCTGAATTTCTAAAACCCTTGGTCTGTGTTCTCAACACACAGTATAGATAAATCCAATAGTCTGCCACAAGGGCAGTGGAAGAGCTGCTGTATTTGAGGAAACTCATACAGTCTCTATTTGATTTGCAACACTGCCAAACATCAGTCAATTGCTTGAGCATGCCCAAATATAACATGAAAGTCAAGTCTACCTGCCTTGCCTGTTAGGTCTGTTGAAGTGCATGTTAAAATAATTATATGAAGCAGAATGAGATGATTTAATTCTTACCGAAATGAAAATGGCTGAAGAAACACAGCATGCATTTAGCATGAGTTCTGCACATACAGATGGTGTCCTGCATGTATGCCATGTATGTTGCATGAATCCATCGATTTGTATTAATGTAGGGCAGAATAGCTGATAGAAGAAGGACTGAAGAAAATCCTTCAGCAATCCTTAAAAAGACCATGCATTCAGATCTGAAGTAGTGTGAGTGTTAGAAAAAACTGGAAACATCTGATTTCTGAACTATCAGGGCAAGCTCATAGCACATGTTTTACAAAGAAACAAAATATAAATCACAGATTTCCAAAAGTACTAGCAATAAGTTGAATGATAATAGCTCACAGCACATTTGTTAATGATTCTTGTGTCATCAAGTAGTAGTACTTAATAGTACCCAACCTGGTAATTATCCTCAAGTTGTGTGCTATTCGTAAGTTCTGTGCAGTTTGGTATGAAACAAATATACTCATTTGGATATAAATCTTACCCTTCAATGTTAAATCTACAAACTTTTATAAATGTTTTAAAGAAGTCCATGTGATAATTGTAAAGGTGATGAATTTACCATCAAACAAATCATTTTGATGTATTATTATATATGTATATCTGTGTAAGACACGTGCAACAGACTGCCTTATATTATTTTCTGTAATTCTTCTCCTTTGTCAAATGGTATTTTTTGTGAATGGTTGCAAAGTGTTGTCTTATTCCTAATTCCTGTATGTTATCCACTACAGGTTTTATGAGACTTCCTATTAATTTATTAAATTTATTAAATGTTGGCTAATATGTCACATGTCTTTTTTCCCCAGAATCTTTTGAGGGAAACATATACCACTTGACACTTGACTTCATTTTCATAGAAAATGAAATTGTATCCTATAAAATAAGTTGACAAAGACAAATGCAACCAGAAAAGATCACTTTCTTTTTAGTAATGATGCATGTACTCAAAGACTATGGCATCAGAGGAAAAACAAGAGGTGTGACTGAGAAAAACAATATCAACAACAGCATCACCAATTCCTCATGAGCAAAATAACCACACTCCCAAATTGTTCTGCCTTCCTTACTTGAGCAAGGACGAGGGTGGTTCACATGCTCTCCTTGTTATAGGTGTCAGTACTGCCTTATTCCCACTGGAATCTAAGTTCCTCAAGGACAGAAAGGACCATGTTTGTCCTGTAGATGGTTTGTCTCCAACACTTAGCAGCCTCTCTACATTCAACATGTATTCATTGAGTATTAATATTTGCAAGTACCAGGGCTGGTGGCTCATGCCTGTAATCCCAGCACTTTGGGAGGCTGAAGTAGGAGAATCACTTGAGTTCAGGAGTTTGAGACCAGTCTGGGCAACACAGCAAGGCCTCATCCCCAATAAAAATAAAAAAATAATTAGCCAGGCACTGTGGTGCATGCCTGTAGTCCCAGCTACTTGGGAGGCTGAGGCGATTGCTTGAGCCCAGGAGATAGATGCTACAGTGAGCCATGATCATGCCACTGCACTGCAGCCTGGGAGACAGAGCGAGACACTCTCAAAAAAAGAAAAGAAAAAAATTTGAAGGAATTGTGTTATCTGTTCCAGTTGCCAAACTAGGTCTTACAACTCCCAGCTCTTCAGTCATGAGATGTGGCATGATCACCTTAATTTATCTCTTATATCAACTGGCTTTGGATACCTCCAAAATCATCAGAGACATGATACTAAAACAACTCTCTTCTTCCATACCTGGAACCAGGGATGACAGAATACGTTGACCTTTTCTTTCAACATATATGCTCTTCTGATGCTGGGTGAGTGTAGAAAATACTGGCATGACGTCAGTTCCCTGAGGAAAAAAAAAGCAGTAATACCTCATTTCTCTGCAACTCTGAGTAGGTCGGTTCCTATGAGTAGGTCAAGACATAAAGGTTGAAATGCCACTTGAAACAATAGGTTTACTGCTGCCCATGGCCAGAAATATCTTATTCTGCTAAAGCTAGGGGCTACTCGAGCCCATCACTGAGGCAATGGAGAGAGGCTGAAATTTCTTGATGGCCCAGTCTAGGAGTCACTACTACCAGTGGAAGGGAGGAGGGCAGAAGAACACTGAAGTGCCTCAGTCTGTAGCTCTAGAAGGTCTTCATGGTCTGAGGAGAGAAAGAAAAATGCTTCTTGCCATCAAGTAGCAATAGGTTTCTTTTATCCATGTGGTTTCCCAGCTCCCACTTAGGCCAATGCAATTTCCAAGGTTGAGGCCCATTTTTCCTTGTGTATTCTCCCCTAGATATATGTAAACCCATCCGTCACCTGGATCAGCAGTCCCCAACCTTTTTGGCATTAGGGACCAGTTTCTTGGAGGACAATGTTTCCACAGATGGTGAAGTGAGGGTGGGAGATGGTTTTGGGATAAAACTGTTCCACCTCAGATCATCAGGCATCAGTGAGATTCTCATAAGGAATGTGCAACATAGATCTCACACATATGTAGTTCACAATAGAGTTTGCACTCCTATGAGAATCTAATGCTGCTGATCTGGCAGGTGTAGGAGCTCAGGCAGTAATGATCACTGGCCCACCACTCACCTCCTGCTGTGTGGCCCAGTTCCTAACAGGCCGCAGACCAGTATCCATCCTCAGCCAGGGGTTTGAGGACCCCGATCTAGAGAACTGATTATATTAGAAAGAGATATTTTTGTATATCAACAGGAATAGGTGGCATCAGAGTGGTTCTCAAATATTATGTGACCTATAGCATTCTCAAAACATAAATAGTTCTAAGACATAGATTGGGTCCCCTGGGATATAAATTCTCAGATGAAGAAAAGTGTGCAGGATGTTTATTGGGAAGTGATCTTGAGCCCTCTATGCATGGGAGAAAGAAAGAAATTAGGATTGGACAGAGGTAGAAGTTGGGCTGTGATAGAGTTACAATAAGAACTTATTTCCCCTTCACCTTTAGAGGGGAAAACATAGCACTCCATGTTATTTTTCTTTGAAACTTAAGTTGATTCTTGTGAAAGAGGTTCACAGAGACAAACACACCAGAAAGTACCACTCTTCCTGACTAATTATGCATGTACTTAAAGATTACAATACCAGAGGCAAGACAATTAAGAGGAATGAACACCAAAAAACGATATCACAGTTAGCAGAGCCCCATGGAGAGCTTTGAATCTAGGATAACCTTCAGAATTATTACAAGTTGAGGTGAGAGTGTTTATTAGCCAATTCTCATATTGCTATAAAGAAATACCCAAGACTGGGTAATCTATAAAGAAAAGAGGTTTAATTGCTTCACAGTTCCACATGGCTGGGAAAGCCTCAGGAAACTTACATTCATGGCAGAAGACACCTCTTCACAGGGCAGCAGAAAGAAGAATGAAAGCAGTAGGAGCTACCAAACACTTATAAAACCATCAGCTCTCATGAGAATTCACACACTATCATAAGAACAGCATGGGGGAAACTGCCTCCATGATCCAATTAACCCCACCTGGTCTCTCCCTTGACACATGGGGATTATGGGGATTATTAAGATTACAATTTAAGATGAGATTTTGGGTGGGGACACAGCCAAACCCTATCAGAGGGCCAGGCCTCTACACCTCCACTGTCCCCAAAAGAAATATGTGATCTTATGCCAAGCCTCTTTCTTCAACAAAGGCAACTCCCAAAGAGGACTTATAGCTGAGAGCTATCAGCTCACAACATCTGAGCACCTGGGAATAAACACCTCTTTCCTGAAGGCAAGATCTTTGGCAGGGAATCTCAACATCCACAAAAATGTATTAATTGAGTAGAAAAGGTTCACCACAACTATAACTTGTTTCTAGAACACTCCACTTCTGACACCAAATGTATGGGGTTTCCACACCAAGAAATTATCCACTTCTCTGCAGACACCAGTTGGGTGTCCTACAATTTACTCCAGTGCTGACAGTGTTCAGAGTTAGCACAGACCCCACGGGTTAAGAGCTCAGTCCCACAAGACTGCTCCTCACTCCAGATGCCAGTTGCAAATATTGAGTGCCCAGGATACCCACTCTTCTGTCCGACTTGGTCACAAATTGGAGGTTCCCACAACTCTCTCCTTAGGTTTGATAATTTGCTATACTGGCTCACTGAACTCAGGGAAACACTTTCCTTACATTTACCAGTTTATTAAAAAGAAAGGATACCAATGAATAGCCAGATGAAGAGGAACAGAGGACAGGGTCGAGAATGGTCCCGAGTATAGGGGCTTCTGTCTCCACGGAGTTAGAGTGCACTGCACTCCCAATAAATGGATGAGTTCGCCAACCCAGAAGGTCTCTAAACCCCATAGTTTAGTGATTTTTATGGTGGCCTCTTCATGTAGGCATGATCGATTATTAACTCAATTCCCAATTTTACTCCACTTCTTGAAGAATAGGTGTTGGGCCAAAAGTCCCAAGCTTCTAATCATGGCTTGGTCATTAACAGCCTCCATCCTGAAGCAATCAAGGAGCCCACCAAGAGTTGCCTCATTAGAACAAAAGACACTCCTATCACCCAGGAAATCCCAAGGGACTTAGGAGCTCTGTGTCAGAAACTGGGTGCAGAGATCAAATATGTATTTCTTATTATTTGCCAGCCGCTTCATTCACCACCTACATAACATAAAACAACCTGGTTGGCTGCCACTTCAGCCAAAATCAAATCACACAGAGGTGAATGGAAATACATTTTTTTCTGTGGTTTATCCTCTTACTAAATGTGTTCTCAATCCAGCATCTTACTAAGATTCTTAGATTTTGAATTCATCTGCATAGCTTAGGCTAAGCTGCATTAAAAAAAATCACAAAGACTCAGTGACTTAACAAAAAAATGCTAATTTCTTGATAAAACTGCATGTCCAATTTGGATTGCTGGGAAACCTCTCCTCATTATAGTTACTCCAGAAAAAATGCTGATAGAGGCTCTATCTTTAGCAGAGAGAAGGGAACTTAGTGAGCACATTTTGTTCACTCAAGCTAACCCTATCTTTAAGTTTCAATTCAATGTTAATTGTATTCATGTCCTCATACTTTATCTATAACATTATTTCTGTCCCTAACTTTATCTTTAAAACTGTCCCTATATGTAATTCTACCTCTGCTCTTAACTTTATGGTTCCAACCCCTAACCCTAACAATTTTCTCTAAATTCTAACATTACCTCTAACTGTGATTCAATTCCAAAACCTACTAGGACATTATATTACAGAGCAGGCAATAACTTACATGAAAGCTGCTCCTAGACTCTAAAATATTTTGGTATCAATGTATGGTTTTAAGGAGAAGTGTACAGGCCTGTATGTGTCAGGGATATGGGTTCTGGTGGGGCTCAGAACACAATACCCCAAATTATGGTGCTCAGAAGCAAGGGCCTGAGAAGCAGGAAGTTCTGTCTCACCTTATTCTGCCCTCCTTTCTCCCCCAGTGCAGGTCATAGAAACTAGAATTCCTCTTCCACAAGGCAGGTCATAGAAACTAGAACTGCTAGTCCCTAAAGCAAGCCATAAAATTTAGAGAGGTCACTCTCTGACTTACCTCCCCTGAAAGTAGGTATCTTCATTCATTTTGTGCTGCTATAACAGGATACCCGAGACTGGGAGATTTATAAAGAACAAAGATTTATACCTTATAGTCTGGAAGCTGAGAAATCTAAGATTGAGGGGTCTGCATCTGGCAAGGGCCTTCTTGCTACATTATCCCATGGCTACAGATGGAAGGGCAGGAGAGCACATGAGAGAGAGACAGACAGAGGGGTGGGGCGGGGAGAGAGAGAGGAAGAGGGCCAAACTCATCCATTTATCAGGAGCCTGTTTCCTTGATAACCAACCCAGTCCCACGTTAACAGCATTCATCCATACATGAGGGCAGAGCCCTCATGACCTAATCTCCTGTTAAAGGTCCTACTTCTCAATACTGTTGCATTGGGGATTAAATTCTTCACACATGAACTTTGGGGGACATGTTCAAACCACAGCAGTAGGCCATAAGACCCACATTCCAGAGGGGTCCTGCCCCATACCCAGGAAAGAAGAAATGCTACACAAGGAGGTTAAGAAGAATCTAAACAAATACGTCTTGCTAAGTCCCTCCCAGTTTGTTACCACTAGATCATACCCTTTTTGTCCAATCACATTTCTACACTATGGTCCATTCTTCATTGAATTTAAGCATAAAAATAGAGTTTTCCTTGGTTCTTTGGGTCTTCATTTCTAAAGGCTCCCATGTCATGTAATATTTTGATTGAAAAATCTGTTGTACTTTTCACTTGTTAATCTGTTTTTTGTCATAGGAGTATTGTCCGTGGACCTGGCCATGGATGAGGAAAAGGTATTACACATTTTAGCTTCTACAGTTCTCAGTAAATCCTTAAAATGTAGGCCTACTCCAGTTTCAGTTATCTCCAGACCCCATCATTAAGCACTTGCCTGCTAACACTCATTCCTTTCCTCTTTTTGATCTGTAGCATTGAGATTTTTCTTTTTTATCTTTTTTCAGTTTTACAATATTTTATTTTTTGACAATAATACAATCAATTTTACAGGGAAGCAATACATGATAATGTTTTATTTGAGTTACTTTTTATTTTTTAACAGTTTTATTGTGGCATGATCTACATGTCTGGGCCTGGTAGTAGGAGTGAGGTTTGGCAGCAAACGGGCATGAGGAGGTTTTGGGGGTGATGGAAATGTTCTAAAACTGGATTGTGGTGATGCTAGTATAACTCTATCAATATACTAAAAAGTATTGAATTACACACTTACAATAAATGTCTGCATTACTTAGAGTGGGTGCTCTGTGAACAATGCATTCAAGTAGGTACTGTATTAGTCAGGGTTCTCTAGAGGGGAGAGGACTAATAGGATTGATGCCTATGTGAAGGGGAGCTTATTATGGAGTATTACCTCACAGGATCACAAGGTGAAATCCCACAAAAGGCTGTCTGTAAGCTGAAGAGCAAGAAAGCCAGTGGTGGATCAGTCCAAGTCCCAAAACTTCAAAAGTAGGGAAGCTGACAGTGCAGACTTCAGTCTGTGGCCAAAGGTCCGAGAGCCTCTGGCAAACCACTGGTGTAAGTCCAAGAGTACAAAAACTGAAGAACTTGGAGTCTGATGTTCAAGAATAGGAAGCATCCAGCATGGGAGAAAGATGAAGGCCGGAAGACTCAACAAGTGCTCTTCCATTTTCTCCTGACTGCTTTATTCTAGCCATACTGGCAGCTGATTAGATGGTGCCCACCCAGATTGAGGGTAACTCTGCCTCTCCCAGTCCACTGACTCAAATGTTCATCTCCTTTGGTGACACCCCCACATACACACCCAGGAACGATACTTTGCAATCTTTAATCCAATCAAGTTGATACTCTATATTAACCATCACAATCATCTCCTTTGGCAACACCCCCACATACACACCCAGGAATCATACTTTGCAACCTTTAATCCAATCTAGTTGACACTCTATATTACCCATCACAAATACTGAATTGAAGATACCACCACAGTGATTTTGGCAACCTCTGGGCAAACCACTGCCTATGTTGCTACTGGAACTTCTGGACAGCTTAGATCTCTTATCTAGGTAAAAACTAGGACTTTAGCAATTCTACTGGTTTCTCCAGAATACTTTTACATTTTTACACTACCATTGCTGTACTGTAGCCTACAGGGGTTTTGGAATAAGCTAATCCACCCGGCTACCTCCTGATTCTGATGTCCCTCTTCAGAAATGGAAAGAGGTTTATTGACTCACAATTCAGCATGGCTGGGGAGGCCTCAGGAAACTTACAATCGTGGTGGAAAGGGAAGCAAACACATCCTTTTTCACATGGCCGCAGGGAGGAGAAGTGCAGAGTGAAGGGGAAAAAAGCCCATTATAAAACCATCAGATCTCACGAGAACTCACTCACTCTCACAAGAACAGCATGGGGGGACTCCCTCCATGATTTAATCACCTTCTACGAGGTCCCTCCCCCAACACATGTGGATTACAATTTGGATTACAATTCAATATGCAATTTCGGTGGAGATTCAGAGCCAGACCATATCAAATGGTCTGTATTATTTTTTCATGTCTCATCCTTTTGTTCACAATATTCATTTATACTTCCCATTTTTTATTAGTGCTGGCATAATTTCTCAAACTAGACTTTGATTTACTGATTTTATATTCTGAAATATCCAACATGTTATTAATTGAGTATATTTTTAAATGTATATTTTTTATTTTATTTTTTATCTGAATGTCATTATTTCTGATTTCAAATTGCTTCCTTTTTATGGATGCAATGTCCTCTTATTCTCTTTAAATGTGCTACTCTTTTGGTTAAAATTGTTATTATTTTTGTTAGTGTACTGGTTACAAAGTTGCATCAATTTTGAATCATCTGTACCTATCTTAGTTTCCAATAAGCCTTTTTTATTTTTAGTGAAAGATTGTGTAGTATGTGAGCTTTACATTTCTGCGATGCATATATCACATTATATCAAAATATGTACCATGTAATTTAATTTTACTAGATTTAGGAGGGATCTGTAACCCTAAGGATTCACACAACAGGGACAGTCTCTAGTACTCTCAATGGTTTCTTTTTACTAAGTTTTCTGTGATAGCCCTAAGTTATAGCCCTAAGTTATCTGGAACATCACCTAGGGCCACCAAGTTGTGTGACTCTGGCAGTGTAAGTGAATGGCATATCCTGTAGTTGTGCAAGGCAAAATCCACTCAGCTTTGTGTGATGGCTATGGTACTATACCTCCTAATTAATTGGCATACTTGTTTTCATTAAAAATCCACTGTATGTAAGGGTCCTACTTTAGTTATTACGCATTCCCATAGCTGAGTATCTTGCCAAAATCCGGAATGCCCCCTATTTTATGTTAGGCTCCACCTAGTTCATTGACTGTTTATAAAATGAATCAGATAAAAATTTCAAAACACGAAGAAACAGAGCCATCAAAGAGTTTTTATACATCTCCCTTTATTTTTTACCTAATAGAATATTAATGATTAGATATTCCTTTCAATACTTTTCAAATCTCTGTTAGTGAGGTTTCTTTCCTTTATTTCCCCAGAAGTTGTAATAGTTTCCTATGTCCTCCAAATTGAAGGAACTGATAAGGAGAAAGACAAGCCCAAAGTCAAGCTTCATAGACATATGCTGGTAACTGCTTTGAAGGAATAAAGTCTTCTGATCTTGACTTTTTTAGCCTTTCCTGAGGCAGGATTAATGGACAATAAGAACATTCAATTTTTGCATTTTACATTTCATCTCTTTTTAAGGCACGGAAAGGCAGATATTTTTTCCTATTCTATAATAGAACCATGAAAAAGTTGTATGCATACATGAGTTCTAGACAACAAGATATTTAAGAATTTTGCTGATTAATATATGCATCCAGTTCCTGCCCTTGGGTCACAACATGTGTAAGTCATCTCTTGGGATCTAATGGTCAGAGACTTCTGGTATTATGTTTTAGGAGTACTAGTCACAGTTTATAAATCCCTTCTCTTTCTGGGAGAAAGATTGACTTCTACATGGCCAACTTTCAAAAACTCTTGGCCTCTAAGCAGTATTATCTAAGGGTTTTCTGAAAGGTTTTAAGTGTTAGAGTGAAGGATGTGGCCAACTCCTTAGTATGCTGATGCTGGTTGAGTTTTCCATCCATCCTTCCCAACCAATTCCCTCCAAGTGTTTTCCTGTCCCTGGAATTGCCTTCTTTGTGGATTTTTCCTATGCATATTTGGGATATCAAGGTGATAACAATGCCCCTATACTTGGTCCCATATTTTATATAACTTTCAGAAATTTGAGGTTACTGTTGGCAATGTTCCCTACTTTCTAGCACTTATCCAGAATTTGCACAAATTATTATATTTCTTGATATGGTTTTGATCTGAGTCCCCGCCCAAATCTCCTCTTGAATTGTAATCCCCAATGTCGGAAGCAGAGGCTGGTGGAAAGTAATAGAATCATGGGGGCAGTTTCTCACGAATGGTTTAGCACCATCCCTCTTGGTGCTGTTCTCGTGATAGTGAGAGAGTTCTCATGAGATTTGGTTGTTTAAAAGTGTGTAGCACCTCTCTCTCTTTCTCTCTCTCTCTCTATCTATCTATGTTGCTGCTCCAGCCATGTGTCATGCCGGCTCCTCCTTTGTCTTCCACCATAATTGTAAGTTTCCTGAAGCCTCCCCAGAAGCTGAGCAGATGCCAACATCATGCTTCCTGAATAGCCTGGAGAACCAGTAGCCAATTAAACCTCTTTCCTTTATAAAGTACTCAGTGTCGGGTATTTCTTTATAGCAATGTAAGAATGGCCTAATACATTCCTTTGAAAAGAATTGGGGAGGAAAAATGTATTAAATATGTGGGATATAATTGTGCACAAGAAGTTCTATATGGTTTTTATTAGAGCTACCACAGGTAGAGTCCACAAGAAATAAACTACAGAAATTAAAATTACTAAATAGTACATTTTGTAAATACACTATATTCGAAATATATTCATGTCAATCAAATTTCAATACCATTGGGAAAAAAACACAACAAAATGTTATATATTTGATTATATTCTGTATTATCATAAAAAACAATTATACCAGTTATAAGAAATGTATTGATACCTTTTTAGATAAGCACGATAAATATCACCCACTTTAAAATACTGTTATAGAGATGAAATAAGAAAAAAAAATAAGTCTAGGACTACGCAGTCATAAATTTTGAACACAAATGATTACATTTTACTCATTCTTTATGTCACTAATAAATTAATTTCTTATTATGCAAAGTTGACAATTCAAAATAGAATTATTAAAACATATTTGATGTGATTAACAGCATATGTTTGGTACTTCCTTTATCCACTGAACTATTGGAATTCCTGGAAGAGTTTGTCTGAATTATCTTCAAACTACTTTAAGACTTTCACTGACAACGAAAAATTGATGATAATAACCTCTGTAGCTGTCCAAACATCTTCCACATGAGGCTTTAGGAAAGTTGATAGAAACAAGTAACAATTCATACTTAATATTGCAAGCATATTGTTATATAATCAGATCCATCATACAGCAGGCCTGAAACACTCCAGTGCATGCTAATGATCAAGTTCTCACAAACATTGCAGCTACATATTTTATGAGGTGACACAGCTTCATACTGGACAGAGTTTACATAATTGACTTAACTCCATAAACAACGAGACTGCATCTAAACAGTGTTCTTGACACAGCTTAGCCCATTACCCTTGATTCCACTAAGATTCACAGGCCTGCTGCTGAAGAGCCTAAGTGCCCTGAGGGGTCTATAGGGCTTGTGGGGAACTTTTCAGGTGTGAACTGCCCTAGAAACGCTCTCTCTGACTACCAATTTCCCCTTAGAAACTACTCCCTGGTATTTTAAGCAAGGTGTTTATTTTATACTTAACAGGACAAATCTGAGTACAGTCAGCTTTTTTTAAAAACCTCAAATGTAGCTTAAACTCAATACAGCAGTTCCTTGCACAACATCATTTTGTTCAACATGGTTTCTTTATAACATCGATACAGAAAAAAATCAATTCCCAGATGAGGTGTATTAGTTTGTATTCACACTGCTGAAAGAATACCTGAGAATGGGTAATTTATAAAGGAAACAGGTTTAATTGACTCACAGTTCCACATGGCTGGGGAGGCCTCAGGAAACTTACAATCATGGTGGAAGGGGAAGCAAGGACCTTTTTCATAGGGCAGCAGGAGAGAGAAGAGAAAGCAAAGAGGGAAGAGCACCTTATAAGGCTATCAGATCTCATGAAAACTCATTCGCTATCACGAGAACAGCATGGCAGAAACCACCCCCATGATCCAATCACTTCCCACCACTTCCTTCCCTGACACATGAGGATTAAAATTCAAGATGAGATTTGGGTGGAGACGCAGAGCCGAACAATATCATGTGACCACAGTCTGTGTTGAGTTTGCACATTCTCCCTGTGTCTACATGGGTTTTCTCATGTACTCCAGTTTCCTCCCACATCCCAAAGCTGTGCATGTTATATGAATTGTCATGTCCTCAAGTTCCATTGTGAGTGTGAGTGCATGTGTGTGTGAGTGTGCCCTGTGATGGGATGGCAGCCTGTCCAGGGTCAGTTCTTGCCTTAGGCCTTGAGCTTCCAGGAGAGGTTCTACCCACTCAAGACCCTGAACTGGAATAATTAGGTAATTATTGTACTCAATTTCATTAATCTTTTTTAGATGTATGTATATCTCACATTTATTTCAATGTTATTTATTTATGTATTTATTTTGAGGCAGGGTCTTATTCTGTCACCTAGGCTGGAGTGTAGTGATACAATCATGGCTCACTGCAGCCTCAATCTCCCAGGATCAGGTGATTTTCCTACCTCAGCTTCCCGAATAACTGGGACTATAGGTGTGCGCCTCCACACCCAGCTAATTTTGTACTTTTTGTGGAGATGGGGTTTCACCCATTGCCCAGGCTGCTCTCAAACTCCTGGGCTCATGTGATCTGCCTGCCTCAGCCTCTGAAAGTGCTGTGATTACAGGTGTGAGCCACCGCACCTGGCCTATTTCGATGTTTAATATTAGAAGTGTTTGAGATCTTTATTTAGAAGTTTGGTGATGTTTATTTGCGACCAGAAACATGCCATAGGAAATTAACTCTTGTTTATATCAATTAGCCTATGGTAAATCTGGTTTCTTTACACATCATTTCACTTAAAGTTGCCATTTCCAAGAACCTATGGATGACATTAAATGAGGACTTACTCTAGTAGTTCATTAATTTATTATTTTATTATGGGGATATTTGTTGAACAACTACTATTTGCTAGGCACTTATTTAGGTACTGGAAATAGAGTGTGAGCAAACAGATCAAAAAATCCCTGGACTCATAGAGCTTTCATCCCATTGGGAGGGGAAATATTTTTAACTAAGTTATACAATGTGTTATATGATAAGCATGAGTACTATGAAAAAATTTAAGAGGACTATAGAGGGTTGTGGTGAAGGGGTACAATTTTAAGTAGGGTGACACTCTTTGTAAGGTCAGCAAAAGCCTCACTGAGAAAGCAATATTTGAATAAAGACTCGATGGAGGTGAGGAATGATCTGTGGGGATATCCTGGGGGAGCATCATTACAAGCAGAAGATATAAGAAAAGCAAGGACCCCAAAAGAGGACTGCATCTGAGGTGTTTGAGCATAGCAAAAAAGATGGTATGACTGGTACACAGTGGGCCAGAGGGAAGCTA
This sequence comes from Homo sapiens, assembly GCF_000001405.40. NCBI lineage: Eukaryota > Metazoa > Chordata > Mammalia > Primates > Hominidae > Homo > Homo sapiens. The sequence goes on from NC_000023.11 coordinate 114,922,526, forward strand.
AGAGGAGATAAAGTCAGAGAGGTAACAGAAGACCTAATCATGCAAAACCTGAAAAGACATTGGCTTTCAGTCTGAGTGAGATGAAGAGCCTTTGCAGAGCCATTATAGAAGCTTAGACACCTGCCTTTTTGTGTATTCCTCAACACATACCTTCACAAAAGACCCTGTATTCATAATGTAACCCTGTATATGTTAGTTCTTATCTACCTGTAATTACTATGTATGGTCATAGCACTTTCTTATGGTAGCAAAATGGTTATGGGAAATAGACTTTTAAAAGTCAGTTTGATACAAGGCAATCCTAAGATAGGGGCATCTGAATTTCAAGAATGAAGAGAGAGAAGCAGAAGTTAAAAGTAGGCATACCATCAAGAGATTAGGATGAAATATAGGAATTAGAAACTGGGGCTTTAATCCCTATCTGAAGAAATAATCTCCAATCACCAAATGAAGTTAGAACTGGATTCTCATCCTGTTGCTAAGTAAAAGTCTGCTCTCTCACTGACAGAATATTGAAACTCACTTGCCTAGGGTCACAGCCAAAACTGAGCTGCTCACCTCAAGCCACAGGCAGATAAAACATGTCCTCCTCAACATACTGAAATGCCAGTTATCGAGGGTGTAATTTCCAAATTTTCTGTGATATGAGTAGGATGGAAACCACGAAATGACAGACTAACAAAAAAGTATTGAATTCTGTCAGAGCAAGACAAAAATAACCAGAGAAGCATTTCAAGAACACCCACAGAAGAGAAAAATTTCTAATGATAAGTTCGAAGGCAAAAATTATAAAACATATACACCATGAATAACCAAGAGACAGATAGAAAATCAATAATGAGGAGAAATTACACAAGGATCTACAAATAGTAGAGCAGTATGAAAGCAACTATAGAATGGGTGTGTTTATTTTTTTAGAAGATTTAGGAATAAGATTTATAAACATAAAAACAAGAGAATATGAAGTAAAAATAGACATGTAAAAGAACCAAGTAGAATCTTAGGAATAGAAAATATAGTCACTGAAAAAAAAAACAGTGCAGATAAACCATAGACTAGACTTAAATGAAAAGACTATTAGTGATTGGCCAATTTATCAATTTCCCTAAGATAGTGGAGAGGAGTAAACAAATGGGAATTAGGTAAGAAAAGACAGAGTATGGATTGACTGGCTCCAAGATGTAGTTAAAAAAAATTCGGAAGGAACAAATACACAGAATGAGATAGAAGTATTTTTTAAAATGATAATAGCAGAGAATTTTCAATAAACTGATGAAAGATATCCTTATGGTAAAATGATTTACTGGGTGACAAGGCCGAATATAAAAATATATCCAGAGCTACTAAGGTACTATATTGATAAAGTTCTCATCAATAATTAGTAATTAAGTAAGATAAAAATATTTTGGTAAAATAAATTTAAGTCAAGAACTAAGTGAAATAAATTTAAAACCACAGAAAGATTTAATGGTTGAAGAATTTTTTTCAATAAATTGTGCTAGAGCTATTGGACATACATAGGGAGAAAGCAAATCTCAACTGAAATCTCAAATGTTATACAAAACTTGACTTAAAATGGACCATAGATCTAAATGTAAAACATAAAACTACAAAATATATATGAGTTGTGAGGCTTAAAGGGTATAGTCTAAACTTTGATTAATAAAATTATTTTTATCAATTATAATAAAAAACTATTATTCTATACATTCTGTAGCAAAATATATTACAAAATTATTGACATATAAAGAGGTTTTCAAAAATACAGAGCCAAAAATGTACAGCACAAAAGTATTATAGAACTGTGTTCATCTGTGAATAGGAATGTACATAGAGATTAATATAGATATATAACTGCTCTAGATTACATGACGTTTCCATGTCAGCTTTTTAAAATTTGTAATTTGTTGTCATTTCTTTTATTGTTCTAAATAAATATTTAGTTGTGTACCAAATTTTAATTTGTAATTTTGTATTCTGTTTTTTAAATGGGGGCACGCAAATTGTTTATGCCTCAAGCCCCACAAAATCTGGATCTGTCTTTGGGCTGAACAGACACAGAGAGTATAGGAGCTCTGACATCTGTGCTGAGGAAATACTTCTCTGGATAGCTTCCTGCTCCTCTATAAAACTGTTTTCCCAACATGATTTCTAAGAATGTGAAATGTGAAGGAATTGACACAAGAGAAGCCAAATTCTGCCAATATATTTAAAGAGGTTTATTCTGACCCAGTATGAGTGATCATAGCCTGGGGAAACACAGTCTCCAGAGGTCCCGAGAAAGTGCACCCGAGCCAGTTGGGTTACAGTTTGGTTTCATACATTTCAGGGACACAGAAATTGCAGGTAAAATTATAAATCAATACATAGAAGGCAAACATTGGTTTGGCCCAAATAGGCAGGACATCTCAAAATGGGAGCTTACAAGTCATAGGTGGGTTTAGGAATTCTTTAGTTGGCAATTGGTTGAAAGAGTTAAGCTTTGTCTAAAAATTTGGAGTCAGCAGAAAGGAATGTTGAAGTTAAGATAAGGGGATCTGCTGTTATGCAAAGCCATACCAGAGTCAGGCTGGAAAGTAAGCCACATTGAGCTGGTTCAAAAAAGACCTGTTTAATAACATTTTATGGTTTGTAAGGCATGACTCCCCAGGCCCCTTAGGAAAGAATTTGAATGTAGAAAAAAAATCAGAGTTTAGTACTCAGAGTAAACTACTTGCTTTAAAGCTCTTTCCCCAAAGATAAATTTTTTTCATATGTTTTTAGAATTCATTGGGAGAAGTCACTTTCAGGGGAAAAACACTTATAACATGTGTCTTTAAATTGCCCCTATTGTTTTTCTGAATTTTCTGTCATTCTTTGACTATGGGAAAAGGGCTGTGCTCTGATTAATTTCCTTAATCTGTACAATAATGAATTTGAATTATTAAGCATCATGGATAACAAAGATATATATTTTTAGCAAGACCTTATTTTTATTTCTGCCTATCTGATAAAATGGACTAAGAAAACTGTTTGCCAGATGTTTTTTAAATTGCAACCTGCACATCACCTCCCCCATAAAACCAAGCTCTACACTTCCTATTGTTAGGGTCGGTAGCTAGTCAGACATGAGCAGGGCAGGAGAGGGCTCCCTCCAACACACCAGGAATGTCAGGCGACCATCAGGTGATGGTCAGGCAGTTTTCACATTGTTTCTCTAAAATAATAATTGGTCACAGCCGCCACGGAAAGGCAGTTAGAAACACCTGAAACTGGTGATTAGCAGCTTCCCAATAAGATCTTATCTTCCCAATAAGTTGGGAAAGTGGGCTCAAGCATGCCCATTAAGAGGCAAAATGGCAAAGTTTAACTGGTACATGACCTTCCAGGGACATTCCACTGGTAAGGGAATAATGCCTCAAGTGAGCATGCATACAACTCCAGTGAACACGCTGTGCATGCTCCCCTCCCAAGTGCTAACAGTCACTGTTCATGCAGACAGCCCACCCCAAGGAAAGAATCAGGAGAGAAGGGATGCAAGACCCCAGAAGTATGCCAGCATATAAAACCGTAAGGCAAAAGTCAAATGGGGCACTTGTCTTCCAAGTCGTTCACCTGGCCCTCTTCCAAGTGTACTTTCTTTCCTTTTGTTCCTGGTCTAAAGCTTTTTAATAAACTTTCACTCCCACTCTAAAACTTGCCTTGGTCTCTCCTTCTGCTTTATGCCTCCTCAATCGAATTCTTTCTTCTGAGGAGACAAGAATTGAGGTTGCTGCAGGCCCATAGGGATTCACCACCCACAACACTATCTTTCTTCCTCACTTTCTTTTTTCCATAGCACTTATCACCAGTAGAATAAAACATATATTATTTACCAATTTATTTTATTGTCTAATTCCTCTGTAGGGGGATAAGGGAAAGTACAGCTGAATATGGAGCCAACAAGTCTCCATACCCCACCCCACTAGTATGTAAGCTACTTGAGGACAAGGAAACTTCTTCTCTGTTTTACTGCTGTACCTGCAGTGCTCAGAAGAGAGCTTGGCACAGGGAAGAAGCTTAGTAAATATTTATAAAATAAATGGATGAATTAGTTTTTGTGAAGATGGATTTAATTTTAATGTTGTTTTCTTGAATTTGTGATATCCAATATCATTTAAGAATCCAGATATTTACCATTAAATAGAGAAATGAATACTTAGATCTTATCCACGAGTTTACAGACTTCTGGAATTTTGTCTTATATTTGTTTTTACTTCTTCATTATCAGCTCTGAATCCCAATCCAGTAATATGTTTTTCTCAGTTTCTCAATATGCTCATAAAAGAAGCAAATAATAGTGTTTTTATCCTATTTATTACTATAATAAACATTCACTTACTTGTAGGTAGTTGTTCTCGGCAAAAATAAATGAAGTACTAATGCATGACTTGCTCAAAGGAAAAATGTTTTTAGAAGCAGCTCCTTAGGTGTGCAAATTACAAATAAACAAGCATTGTTATTGTAGGGGCCAAGGGAAAACTTCCCCTTCACCCTCTGAAGTTTCGGTGAAAATTCAACTCATAAAAGTCACATTAATTGGAGAAAAGGCATATTTATTAACATGCACACAGGGTAGAAACATGGAGTGATTACTCTAATCCCCCAATGAGGTTCAGAAGCTTATATACTATCTTGAGGTTACAGGAAGAATGAGGGCTTGGATTCTGGCAAAATAGGTTATGTTGGTAGTAAATCTTGCTATAGTGGCAAAACAGGTCATGGGAGTGAGAAAAGAGGAGGCCAGGCTAGCAAAGGCGATCTTGTTATGTAGACGAAACCTCACAGGTAGCAGCCCCCAGAGAGAATAGGTGGTAAATGTTTCTTTCAGACCTTTAAAGGTGTCAGACTCTCAGTTAATCTTTCCTAGATCTGGACAAGGGAAGGCCTCAGAGAAACCCTGGCTGCATCAATGTAGATTCTCTATAGATACAAATCTCCCTAAGGAAAGAGAGCTTTGCAGGGCTACTTCATATGGTTTGGCTGTGTCCCCGCCCAAAATCTGATCTTGAATTGTAATCCCCATAATCTCCATAATCCCCACATGTCAAGGGAGAGACCAGGTGAGGGTAATTGAATCATAGGGGCAGTTTCCTCCATGCTGTTCGTAAGTTCTCACGAGATCTGATGGTTTTATAAATGTTTGGTAGTTCCTCCTGCATTCATTCGCCTTCCTGCTGCCTTGTGAAGAAGGTGCCTTGCTTCCCCTTCACCTTCCGCCATGATTGTAAGTTTTCTGAGGCCTCTCCAGCCAAGAGTAGCTGTGAATCAATTAAACCTCTTTCCTTTATGAATTATCCAGTATTGGGTAGTTATTTATAGCAGTGTGAAAATGGACTAATAGACTACTTCTGTTTGTTTGCTTTCTGAACAGCCATCTCAAAATATAGTAAAGAAATATATTTTGGGGTGAAATATTTTTATTTCCTTCATTATTTTAAGACAAAATCAGCCAATAAAGAGCTGGCCTAAATCTAAGAAATAATAAAAACTCAAAAGAAGTCATGGAACTAAAGTGAGTTGCATTTGTTGCCACTCTTCCTGTTTTGTTTTCCACCTAATAATAAGTGATGAATAGGGACACTGTTCTATGTTCAAACCATGCTCAAACAGAATAGCATACTACTGGGGACTACTTTCTAGTGATATTGCATAATATGGTGTTTTGACATGCTGAAGAACCCTCAAGGTCCCTCTTACCTCCCCTCACCATCTTCTCTCCCAAAGCATAGGATAAAGTTGTTCTCTGAAGTTCCTTTAGCTGAAGTTCCTTTATCCTTATTTGACCCACCAAGGAGATCAATTGTTTTTTTACTCCCCTGCCTGTTATCTCATTATCTATAGTAGGAAAGAAGATCAAGAATGTAACCACGCCTGAACAGACCCCTTCACAAGATAATGTCTGTCTCTCAGACTCATTCAAATGCCGAGGAGAACTATTTACCAGGTTATTTCTGTTCCGTATTCATTCATTCTCCTTAGTAAATATTTGTTGCCCTTCAACAGAATTCCTTGTCTCCCACCTTAGATAACCTGTTTTGCCAAGATCCAAGACCCCATTCTTTCTGTAACCTCAAGATGGTATATAAGCTTCTGCACTGCATTGTGGGTTAGGGTCTTCATTCTGAAGGCTCCCTTGTGTACAAGTTAAATACATTTGTACGCCTTTTTTCTTATTAATTTTCAGCAGACCTTCAGGGAGCAATGGGGAAGTTTTCCTTGACTCCTATAATAATAATAATATTGTATTGTAAGTACCCTAGACTTGTTTGTTAACCCTTTCTCCTATATCTTCTTTCTCTCAATGTTAAATGTTACTTTGTTTGTTATGGAATGTTTAATCTATAACATTTATATATTAAGTATACTATTATGTATGGTTTGCAATATTAACTGACATGTGGAGTGGCTTGAGCCTGTGTGACCATGGCTCTAACAAGTGGAAAGGAAGTACTGAGGGGAACTACCTCCTTGGGAAATACATGTAGCTTGTGAATTTTGTGTTTGAAATAGCATCAATAGTCCAGGAGTGGTGGCTTACACCTGTTATCTCAGCAATTTGAAATGCCGAGGCAGGTGGGTCACCTGAAGTCAGGAGTTCAAGACCAGGCTGGCCAACATGGTGAAACTCAGTCTCTACTAAAAATACAAAAAAAAAAAAAAAATAGCCGGACATGGTGGTGGGCGCCTGTAATCCCAGCTAATCAGGAGGCTGAAGCAGGAGAATCACTTGAACCCAGGAGGCAGAGGTTGCAGTGAGATGAAATCATGGCACTGTACTCCAGCCTGGGCAACAGAATGAGGTTCCATCTCAAAAAAGAAAAGAAAAGAAAAGAAGAGAAAGAGAAAGAAAGAAAGAAAGAAATAGCATAAATAAAACCAATAAAAGTCTGATATTGGGGAAAGATGACACAAACATGCACGGAACTGGTTATCTCTAACTTTGTGCCACTCATGACTGGCGGATATTCAAAAGAGGACGTAAAGTATACTTGGTATAACTGAATGCAAACACAGTACCTGGAATGAGCTTGTTGTTGGAGCAAAGGAAAGAAGTATAAATTAGTGTATGTACTTAAATATTATTGAACACTGGCATTTACTCTACACTCAGATAAAACGTTTTGATATTAATAAATTATTTTGACTTTATTGGGGTAACTTTTTCTGTATAGAAGGACAATTGTGTCAAGAAGAGAAAAAGAAGTACAAAAAAAGTGTTTTTGCATTTTATTGAGAATTTCTTGATAGTAGTAAGCTCATATTTTGGTTTGCAAATGTATGGTAGAAACATTTAGAAATGTGTCAGAATGCCTCCCTGTTTAACATTTAGTTGTTTAAATATAAAATTTTACATGGAATAAGGGCATGTACTTTTTATTCTTTTTGCAAAATGTTTTGATATTGTCTAATATAACAGTAATATATTTATTATAAGATGTTCAAAACATAGTAATAATAATGAAAAAACTAAAGCCCCATAATCCCAATACTGAGAAAATACACATATTTCCTTTTATAAGAAATATATGAACTCAGGATATTTTCGCATCATGTAGTTTACATGGAAGGCAAAAGTGCGAAAATGGAAAAGCAGGTGGAAATATGTTGCAGGTTCTCCAGAAGACTGTATGTACTCTGAATCAGCAATCAATATATGATGCTTTTTCTCACATAGCCAGAATTCATGGGTACAGGAATCAAGTGGTGGAAATGAGTGGTGCCACTCACTATTACCCCTAGTAACCAACAAGCAGAATTTTTGCTTCTGGTCCCATGACCTTATATTCTGGGCTAATGGTCTTAGTTTCAAAGGGAGGGATTTTCCCACCAGGAGACAAAACAATGATTCAGTTGAACTGGAAGTTAAGACAACTGCCCAACTTCTTTGGGTTCTTCTCATCTCTGAATCAGCAAGCAAAGAAGGTAGTCACTGTGCTGGCTGGGATGACTGATCCTGACTACAAAGGGGAAATTGAACTGCTACTCCATCATGGAGGTAAGGAAGAGTGTGTCTGGAACTGCTACTCCATCATGGAGGTAAGGAAGAGTGTATTACCATGTTGTCTCAGTCCATTTTGTATTGTTATATACAATGCCACACACTGGGTAATTTATGAAGAAAAGAAGTTTATTTCTTACAGTTCTGGAGGCTGAGAAGTCTAAGATGAAAGAACTATAGAAGTTGAAGGCCTTCCTGCTGCATCATAATATGGAGGAAGGCATCATATTGCAAGAGAGTATACAAGAGCAAGACAGCAAGAGAAGGCTGAATTTATTTTTATAACAAGCCCACTCCCACGATAATGGAATTGATCCATTCATGAAAGCAGAGCCCTCTGACCTAATCACTTCTTTAAGGTCTTACCTCTCAGTATTGTTGCACTGGGGATTATGTTTCCAACACATGAATTTTGGGGGACATAGTCAAACCATAGCACTTGTCCTGTGATTAAGGTCAATGGAAAACTACAACCCAATCCAGGCAGGACTACTAATTGCCCAGACGCTTCTGGAATGAAGTTTTGGGTTACCCTACAGGGCAAAGAACCATGACCAGCTGAGGTGCCTACTGAAAACAGAGGAAATACAGAATTACTAGTAAAAGAAGGGAGTTATAAATACTAGCTCTAACTAGGTGTAAGTAAGAGTTACATAAACCAGGACTGCAATTTAATGAGTTTTAAATTTTTTATTTTATTATGAATATATTTGTGTACATGAATATGTTTGTGTACATGTGAGCATTTGTGTATATGTGTGCGTTTTGATTTATATATATTATCTTTGTTTTGGTTCCTCTCTTATTCCCTGATCATGTAACATAAGATGTATTGACTTTGTATCATAGTATTTAGGTGTTGTTTATTTTACATCATAGTATTTAAGTAATAGAATATTGTATTAGTCTGTTCTTGCATTGCTATAAAGAAATGCCTGAGACTGGGTAATTTATAATAAAAGAAGTTTAATCTCACAATCCTGCAGACTGTACAGGAAGCATTGAAGCATCTACTGGGGAGGCCTCAGAGAGCTTTCATTCATGGCAGAAGGCAAGGTGGGAGCAGGTGTCTTACATGGCAGGGGCAAGACCAAGGTGTGGGGAGGTGACAAGATCTCACAAGAACTCACTGACTACCACTAGAAAAGCACCAAGAGAGAAATCCATCCCCATGATCCAGTGACCACCTACCAGGCCCCACCTCCAACACTGAGGATTACAATTTGACATGAGATTTCAGTGAGGACAAAGATCCAAACCATGTCACTCCTTCCAGGGTCCCTCCCAAATTTTGTGTTCCCAAATTTTAAAATACAATCATGCCTTCCCAACAGTCCCCCAAAGTCTTAACTCATTTCAGCATTACCTCAAAGGTCTATAGTCCAAAACCTCATCTGATTCAAGGCTAGTCCCTTCCACCTATGGGCCTGTAAAATCAAAAACAAGTTAGTTATTCCCAAGATACAATGGGAGTGTAGGCATTGAGTCAATATTCCCATTTGAAAAGGGAGAAATTGGCCAAAAGAAAGAGACTACAAGCCCCCACGCATGTCTGAAACCCAGAAGGGCAGTCATTAATCTTAAAGCTCCAAAATAATCTCCTTTGACTCCACGTCTCACATCCAGGACACACTGGTACAAGGGGTAGTCTCCAAAGGCCTTGGGAAGCTCCACCTTAGTGGCTTTGTAGGGATCAGCCTATACAGTTGCTCTCAAGGGCTAGCATTGAGGGCCTGCAGCTTTTCCAAGCATGTAGTGCAAGCTGTCAATGGCTCTACCATTCTGGGGTCTGGAGGATGGGGGCTGTCTTCTCACAGCTCCACTAGGCGGTGTCCTAGTGGGGACTCAGTGTGGGGACTCCAATCCCACATATCCCCTCTGCACTTCCCTAGTAGAGGTTTTCCATGAAGGCCCTGCCCCTGCAGCAGGCTTCTGCCTGGACATCCAGGCTTTTCCATACATCTTCTGAAATCTAGGCAGGGGTTCTCAAGCCTCAACTTTTGCACTCTACCTGCCCACAGGCTTAACACCATGTGGAAGCTGCCAAGGTTTACAGCTTACACCCTCTGAAACAGTGGCTAGAGCTATATGTGTGCCCCTTTGAGCAAGGGCTGGAGCTGGAGTGGTTGGGATGCAGGAAGCAGTGACCCAAGGCTGCACAGGGCAGCAGGGCCCTGGGCCTGGCCAACAAAACCATTCTGTCCTCCTAGGCCTCCAGGCCTGTGATGGAAGGGGCTGCCACAGAGTTCTCTGAAATGTCTTCAAGGCCTTTTCCTCCTTGTCTTAGCTATTAGCACTCAGCTTCCTTTTAGTCATGTGAATTTCTGCAGCCTGCTTGAATTCCTCCCCTGAAAATGCACTTTTCTTTTCTACCACACGGTCAGGCTGCAAATTTTCTAAACCTTTATGCTCCACTTTTGTTTCAAATATAAGTTCCAGTTTCAGGTCGTTTCTTTTTTTTTTTTTTTTTAATCACAATGACACATTTATTCCTGGTTCTATTTACATCATGGAGTGTTGAGAGGGTACATTTCTTACACTAAAAATATATACTTTGGAATCTCTAAAACAAAAATATCTCTATCTCTACATGAGACCCACTAGAAAGAAGAACATAGAAAACAAGGGAAATGTACCAGCACCTTGAGTTGTCCCCTTCCGAGGGAAGGTTGCTCTGTTCTCCACCTGACACCATTAGCTTGGAAGGGCAGCCAAATCTAACCAATCAGACAGAGAGACACAGATAAACAAGAGGGAGGCTTTATGATCCTGGAGGAGTGAATATAGGAGAAAGGAAGGAGGAGGAGGATTTTAGCCTCTTCTACAAAAGGAGTAATTGTACAATCAGTTGGGTGCTTCTGTTTCCAGCATTATTGCACACATGAAAAGCCTGCATGTTGAAGTCAATTGCAAACCTGCTAGGTGAAGCCCAACCTCCGCTGATTTCTGCTGGGCTCAGAAAAGTGCCGTGGGTGGGTTCTTTCTGTCAAGAAATATTAATGCCATCAGCTAGAAGAAAAAGTTCTGTATTCTCCAATGCTGAAACTGGGTTAGGTTTAAGAAAAATGCTATTTCTTTTCTCTTCAGAAGGATCAGAAACCATTCCCTTCCCTTTGAGCACAGAATCTCCTAAAAGAATTATGCCTGTGGATGAATCATTCCACTTTCTGAATTTTCCTATTGAAAAGGTTCAAATAACACTCCTTTCCTCTTTTCACATTTCAAGCAGTAATATAGTTCCTTTACATCTCTTTTGGTTATGAATATTACCCTCCTTTCTGATGAAAAGATGTTAACTGACTCCACTGCCCATTCTCTATAATTAATATTAAGAGACCAAGGGTACCAAGAATCAAAAAGGATAGGCTTAGTAGAAAATCATTTCTATTTGGCTTTGAAATATGCTTTTCTGCTTACACTGAAGTATGGATGAAACTGAAGGCTTGAGAATTCTTAATCCCTCACCCTAAGTAGGGGAAATAACCATAAAGTCCCCTTTCAAAAAAGCCCTGGGACTGTCTAACTCCTTACCATATTCACCGCCCCCAGCTCTTGGTGGTTTTAGGACCTCTGACCAAAAACTTCTTTCCTCCAAAGAACTTGACAGACTGAGGAAAAGGCAGAAAAGAGAGGAGAAAGGGGTGCTTGAAAAAGCCGAGACAGTAAAGGAGGGAGGAACTTGGATGATGTCTCATTTGGCCATTTTGGGTCGCTCAAAGGACTTCTACCTAATGGGAGTCCCAAAACCTATAACCAGAAGAAAGTCAAAAGGGCTGAGAGGTTCAGTGCAAGGTTCCTGGATGCCCTGCTAGGATGTGGCTTGGAAACCTGAGAAGTTCAAGGAAAATCCAAGAACAAACTGGCAAAGACAACTGTTTAAAGTCCTGGAAGGAGGTGCTGACTCCCTTACAATATATATAAGTTCCAGTTTCAGGTCGTTTCTTCTTCTTTTTTTTTTTTTTTTCACTTTGCTTACATATATGAGCATAGTTTGTTAGAAGCAGCCTGGCCACATCTTGAATACTTTGCTGCTTAGAAATTTCTTCTTCCAGATACCCTAAATCATTTCTCTCAAGTTCAAAGTTTCACAGATTCCTAAGGCAGGGGCAGAATTCAACCAAGCTTTTTGCTAAGACGTAACAGAAGTGACCTTTGCATCAGTTCCCAATAAGTTCCTCATCTCCATGTGAGACCTCTTCAGCCTAGCCATCTCTGTCCATGTTACTATCAGCATTTTGGTCACCATCATTCAAAAAGTCTCTAGGAAGTGCAAAACCTTCCTTCATCTTCTTGTCTTCTGATCCCTCCACACTCTTCCAACCTCTACTCATTAGCCAGTTTCAAAGTCTCTTCCACATTTTCAGATATCTTTATCGCAATACCCCACTCCCAGTACCAGTTTTCCATATTAGTCCACTCTCACATTGCCATAAAGAAATGCCTGAGACTGGGTAATTTATAAGAAAAGAGGTTTAATGGATCACGATTGTGCAGGCTGTAGAGAAAGCATGGTGGCATCTTCTGAGGAGAACTCGGAGCTTTTATTCATGGTGGAAAGCAATAAAGGAGCAGATTTCTTACATGGCAGGAGCAGGTGGCAGGTGAGGTGCCACACACTGTTAAATGACCAGATCTCCCAAGAACTCATTCACTATCACTAGAACAGCACCAAGGGGGAAATCTGCCTCCACCATCAAATCACCACCCACCAGACCCCACCTCCAATAATGGGGACTACAATTTGATATGAGATTTGGGCAGAGACACAGATTCAAACCATATCAAATATCAAAAAGAAGAGTAAACATTGCTCAAGGACTTTACCTCCTTTCCTAGGGAAGGAGTTTGTGCATTTTTAGTTTTATGCAGGATAGCTATATCATATTAGGCAGAATTATGACCTTGTCATTCATTATCTTTTTTTGGATATTAGGTATGGTTTAAGGAGATAAGTATGGGTGCCAAGTTGACAAGAGGTGGATTTGTGATGGTTGATTTTATGTGTCTACTTGACTCAGCTAAAGAATGCCCAGATGTATTCTGGATATGTCTGTGATAGTGTTTCCAGAGATTAGCATCTGAATCAGTAGGTTGAGTAAAGAATATTGCCCTCACCAATGTGTGTGGACATCACCCAATCAATTGAAGACTTGAATAGAACAACAACGCTAAATAAGAGGAAACTCCTTCTACCTGACTGCTTTAAGCCTTGATGTCATTTGTTCCTGACCCTCATACTTGAACTGAAACATTGGCTCTTCTTGGGCCACAAGCCTGCCAGGTCCGAGCTGGAAGTTACACCACCAGTTCTCGTGGTTCACAAAACTTTGAACTCAAACTGGAATTACACATTGACTCTCCCAGGTCTCCAGTGTGTACCAACTGAGGGTCTTGGAATTTCTTAGCCTCCATAATTGTATAAGCCAATTGCGTGTGTGTGTGTGTGTGTGTGTGTGTGTGTGCGCCCCCATTTGGTTCTGTTTCTCTGAGGAACTCTAATACATATCCCTCACAACCTCCAGAAAGAACCAATCCTGCCTACCAACACACCTTGAACTTAGCCCAGTGAGGCTCATTTCAGACTTCTGACCTTCATAACTATAAGAGAATAAATTTGTGTTAAGTCACTAAATTTGTGCTAATTTGTTACAGCAATAGTTGGAAACTAGTAACCATATGTAATTAGGTCAAATTCTGAATTGTATTGTTCAGTTATTCTTCCTATATGCCTACTATTTCAGTCTGAGGTCATTTTTCTTCTATCAGAAGTATTCCCTTTAATAACTGTGTTAGATCAGACCTGATTGTGATGAATACTCTCAGGTCTTACTCATCTTTAGTTTTCAGAAAATTATGATGTGTCTAGCTGTGGTTTTCTTCATATTTATCTTGCTTGGGGTTTACTGAGCTTCTTAATGGGTAGGTTTATATCTTTCATCAATTTCAAAAAATATCATCGGCTATAATCTTTCTGAATATCGTTTCTGTCTTATCTCTTCTCTACTCTTTGGACCTGAATTACTTATATGTTTGATCTATGAACGTGTCCTATATATCTCTTATACTGTCATTTTTTATGCATTTTATATTTCTCCCTATTCTTCAGTTTAACTGTTTTCTATTGACCCTGCTCTTGTTTAACTAATTCTCCTATGTCTAATCTGCTATTAAGCCTATCTATTGAGTTATTAGTTTCAGATATTATATTTTTCAGTTTCAAAATGCTCACTTAATTATATACAGTCTTTGTTTGTCATTGTCCATATTAAATTGAAAATTTCATGCATATATTTTTAAGTATTAGTTCACTCATTTCAATATCTGCATGGCCTGTGAGAAAGCTTCTATATCTTGACTATCTGCCGCATCAGCTTGCCACTTCGTATGTCTCATAATTTTTTTTCTTTTTTTATTATACTTTAAGTTCTAGGATACATGTGCAGAATGTGCAGATTTGTTATATAGGTACATGCGTGCCATGGTGGTTTGCTGCACCCATCAACCTGTCGTCTACATTAGATATTTCTCCTAATGCTATCCCTCTCGCAGCCCCCCACCCCCACAACAGACCATGGAGTGTGATGTTTCCCTCCCTGTGTCCATATGTTGTCATTGTTCAACTCCCACTTATGAGTGAGAACATGCAGTTTTTGTTTTTTTGTTCTTGTGTTAGTTTGCTGAGAATGATGGTTTCCAGCTTCATCCATATCCCTGCAAAGGACATGAACTCATCCTTTTTTATGGCTGCATAGTATTCCATGATGTATATGTGCCACATGTTCTTTATCCAGTCTATCATTGATAGGCATTTGGGTTGGTTCCAAGTCTTTGCTATTGTGAACAGTGCCACAATAAACATACGTGTGCATATGTCTTTATAGTAGAATGATTTGTAATCGTTTGGGTACATACCCAGTAATGGGATTGCTGGGTCAAATGGTATTTCTGGTTCTAGATCCTTCAAGAATCACCACACTGTCTTCCACAATGGTTGAACTAATTTACACTCCCACCAACAGTGTAAAAGCGTTCCTATTTCTCCACATCCCCTCCAGCATCTATTGTTTTCTGACTTTTAAAAATAATCGACATTCTAACTGGCATGAGATGGTATCTCCTTGTGGTTTTGATTTGCATTTCTCTCATGAACAGTAATGATGAGCTTTTTTTCATGTTTGTTGGCTGCATACATGTCTTCTTTTGAGAAATGTCTGTTTATATCCTTCACCCACTTTTTGGTGGGGTTGGTTTTTTCTTGTAAATTTGTTTAAGTTCTTTGTAGAATCTGGATATTAGCCCTTTGTCAGATGGATAGATTGCAAAATTTTTCTCCCATTCTGTAGAATGCCTGTTCATTCTGATGATAGTTTTTTTTTTTTTTTTTTTTTTTTTTTTTGCTGTGCAGAAGCTCTTTAGTTTAATTAGATCCCATTTGTCAATTTTGGCTTTTGTTGCCATTGCTTTCAGTGTTTTAGTCATGAAGTTTTTGCCTATGCCTATGTCCTGAAAGTTATTGCCTAGGTTTTCTTCTAGGTTTTTTATGGTTTTAGGTCTTACATTTAAGACTTTAATCCATCTTGAGTTAATTTTTGTATAAGGTGTAAGGAAGGGGTCCAGTTTCAGTTTTCAGCATATGGCTAGCCAGTTTTCCCGTCACCATTTATTACATAGGGAATCCTTTCCCCATTGCTTGTTTTGTCAGGTTTGTCAAAGATCAGATGGTTGTAGCTGTGTGGCATTATTTCTGAGGCCTCTTTTCTGTTCCGTTGGTCTATATATCTGTTTTGGTACCAGTACCATGCTGTTTTGGTTGCTGTAGACTTGTAGCATAGATTGAAGTCAGGTAGGGTGAAGCCTCCAGCTTTGTTCTTTTTGCTTAGGATTGTCTTGGCTATGCAGGTTCTTTTTTGGTTCCATATGAAATTAAAGTAGTTTTTTTGTTTGTTTGTTCGTTTTTTATTGAGACGGAGTCTCACTCTGTTGCTCAGGCTGGAGTGCAATGGCACGATCTCGGCTCACTGCAAGCTCCTCCTCCTGGGTTCACGCCATTCTCCTGCCTCAGTCTCCTGAGTAGCTGGGACTACAGGTGCCCACCACCACACCCGGCTAATTTTTGTATTTTTAGTTGAGACAGGATTTCACCATGTTAGCCAGGATGGTCTTAATCTCCTGACCTCGTGATCCGCCCGCCTTGGCGTCCCAAAGTGCTGGGATTACAGGCGTGAGCCACCGTGCCTGGCTAAAGTAGATTTTTCTACTTCAGTGAAGAAAGTCAGTGGTAGCTTGATGGGGATAGCAATGAATCTATAAATTACTTTGGACAGTATGGCCATTTTCACGATCTTGATTCTTCCTGTCCATAAGCATGGATTGTTTTTCCATTTGTTTGTGTCCTCTCTTATTTCCTTGAGCAATGGTTTGCAGTTCTCCTTGAAGAGGTCCTTCACAACCCTTGTAAGTTGTATTCCTAGGCATTTTATTCTCTTTGTACCAATTGTGAATGGGACTTCACTCATGGTTTGGCTCTCTGTTTGTCTATTATTGGTGTATAGGAATGCTTGTGATTTTTGCACATTGATTTTGTATCCTGAGACTTTCCTGGAGTTGCTTACCAGCTTAAGGAGATTTTGGGCTGAGACAATGGGGTTTTCTAAATATACAATCATGTCATCTGCAAACAGAGACAATTTGACTTCCTGTCTTCCTATTTGAATACCCTTTATTTCTTTCTCTTGCCTGACTGCCCTGGCCAGAACTTCCAATAATATGTTGAATAGGAGTGGAGAGAGAGGGCATCCTTGTCTTATGCTAGTTTCAAAGGGAATGCTTCCAGTTTTTCCCATTCAGTATGATATTGGCTGTGGGTTTGTAATAAACAGCTCTATTATGTTCCCTCAATACCTAGTTTATTGAGAGGTTTTAGCATGAAGGGTGTTGAATTTTGTCAAAGGACTTTTCTGCATGTATTGAGATAATCATGTGGGTTTTGTCATTGGTTCTGTTTATGTAACGGATTACGTTTATTGATTTCCATATGTTGAACCAGCCTTGCATCCCAGGGATGAAGCCGACTTGATCAGGATGGGTAAGCTTTTTGATGTGCTGCTGGATTCAGTTTGCCACTATTTTATTGAGGATTTTCATGTCGATGTTCATCAGGGATATTGGCTTGAAATTTTCTTTTTTTGTTGTGTCTCTGCCAGGTTTTGGTATCAGGATGATGATAGCCTTATAAAATGAGTTAGGGAGGATTCCCTCTTTTTCTATTGTTTGGAATAGTTTCAGAAGGAATGGTACCAGCCCTCTTTGTACCTCTGGTAGAATTCGGCTGTGAATCTGTCTGGTCCTGGACTTTTTTGAGTTGGTAGTCTATTAATTACTGCCTCAATTTCAGAACTTGTTATTGGTCTCTTCAGGGATTCAACTTCTTCCTGGTTTAGACTTGGGAGGGTGTATGTGTCCAGAAGTTTATCCATTTCTTCTAGATTTTCTAGTGTTTATAGTTTTCTCTGATAGTAGTTTTTTATTTCTGTAGGGTCGGTGGTGATATCCCCTTTATCATTTTTTATTGTGCCTGTTTGATTCTTCTCTCTTTTCTTCTTTATTAGTCTGGCTAGTGGTCTATCTATTTTGTTGATCTTTTCAAAAAACTGCTCCTGGATTCATTGATTTTTTGAAGGGTTTTTCATGTCTCTATCTCCTTCAGTTCTGCTCTGATCTTAGTTATTTCTTGTCTTCTGCTAGCTTTTGAATGTGTTTGCTCTTGCTTCTCTAGTTCTTTTAATTGTGATGTTAGGGTGTCGATTTTAGACCTTTCCTGCTTTCTGTTGTGGGCATTTAGTGCTACAAATGTCTCTCTAAACACTGCTTTAGCTGTGTCCCAGAGATTCTGGTACATTTTGTCTTTGTTCTCATTGGTTTCAAAGAACTTATTTATTTCTGCCTGAATTTCATTATTTACCCAGTAGTCATTCAGGAGCAGGTTGTTCAGTTTCCATGTTGCTGTGTGGTTTTGAGTGAGTTTCTTAATCCTAATTTCTAATTTGATTGCACTGTAATCTGAGAGACTATTTGTTATTATTTCCATTCTTTTGCATTTGCTGAGGAGTGTTTTACTTCCAATTATGTGGTCAGTTTTAGAATAAATGCTATGTGGTGCTGAGAAAAATGTATATTCTGTTGACTTGGAGTGGAGAGTTCTGTAGACGCCTATTTGTATGCTTGGTCCAGAGCTGAGTTCAAGTCCTGAATATCCTTGTTGTCTGTCTTGTTGATCTGTCTAATATTGACAGTGGGGTGTTAAAGTCTCCCACTGTCATTTTGTGGGAGTTTAAGTCTCTTTGTAGGTCTCTAAGAACTTGCTTAGATAGTTAGGATAGTTAGCTCTTCTTGTTGCATTTATCCCTTTACCATTAGGTAATGCCCTTCTTTGTCTCTTTTGAACTTTGTTGGTTTAAAGTCTGTTTTATCAGAGACTAGGATTGCAACCATTGGTTTTTTTTTCTTTCCATTTGCTTGGTAAATATTCCTCCATCCTTTTATTTTGAGCCTATTTGTGTCTTTGCATGTGAGATGGGTCTCCTGAATACAGCACACCGATGGGTCTTAACCCTTTATCCAATTTGTCAATCTGTGTCTTTTAATTTGGGGCATTTAGCCTATTTATATTTAAGGTTAATATTGTTATGTCTGAATTTGATCCTGTCATTATGATGCTAGCTGGTTATTTTGCCCATTAGTTGTTGTGGTTTTTTCATAGTGTCAGTGGTCTTTACAATTTGGTATGTTTTTGCAGTTGCTGGTACCGGTTGTTCCTTTCCATGTTTAGTGCTTCCTTCAGGAGCTCTTGTAAGGCAGGACTGGTGGTGACAAAATCTCTCAGCATTTGCTTGTCTGTAAAGGATTTTATTTCTCCTTTGCTTATGAAGCTTAGTTTGGCTGGATATGAAATTCTGGATTGAAAATTCTTCTCTTTAAGATTGTTGAATAATGGGCCCCACTCTCTTCTGGCTTGTAGGGTTTCTGCAGAGAGATCCGCTGTTAGTCTGATGGGCTTCCCTTTGTGGGTAACCCAACCTGTCTCTCTGGCTGCCCTTAAGATTTTTTTCCTTCATTTCAACCTTGGTGAATCTGACAATTAGGTGTCTTGGGGTTGCTCTTCTCAAGGAGTATCTTTGTGGTGTTCTCTGTATTTCCTGAATTTGAATGTTGACCTGCCTTGCTAGGTTGGGGAAGTTCTCCTGGATAATATACTGAACAGTGTTTTCCAACTTAGTTCCATTCTCCCTGTCACTTTCATGAAAACCAATCAGATGTAGGTTTGGTCTTTTCACATAGTCCCATATTTCTTGGAGGCTTTGTTCATTTCTTTTCATTCTTTTTTCTCTAATCTTATCTTCTCACTTTATTTCATTAAGTTGATCTTCAATCTCTGATATCCTTTTTTCCGCTTGATTGATTCAGCTATTGATACTTGTGTATGCTTCACAAAGTTTTCATGCTGTGTTTTTCAGCTCCATCAGGTCATTTATATTTTTCTCTAAATTGGTTATTCTAGTTAGCAGTTCCTCTAACCTTTTTTCAAGGTTCTTAGCTTCCTTACATTGGGTTATAACATGCTCTGTTAGCTTGGAGGAGTTTGTTATTACCCACCTTCTGAAGCCTACTTCTGTCAATTTGTCAAACCCACTCTCCATCCAGTTTTGTTCCCTTACTGAAGAGGAGTTGTGATCCTTTGTAGGAGAAGAGGCATTCTGGTTTTTGCAATTTTCAGCCTTTTTGCACTGGTTTCTCCCCATCTTTGTGGATTTATCTACCTTTGGTCTTTGATGTTGGTGACCTTTGGATGGGGTTTTGGTGTGGATGTCTTTTTTGTTGATGTTGATACTATTCCTTTCTGTTTGTTACTTTTCCTTCTAACAGTCAGGCCCCTCTGCTGCAGGTCTGCTGGAGTTTGCTGGTAGTCTGCTCCAGACCCTGTTTGCCTGGGTATCACCAGCAGAGGCTGCAGAACAGCAAAGATTGCTGACTGTTCCTTCCTCTGGAAGCTTTGTCCTAGAAGGGCACCCACCAGCTGGAGCTCTCCTCTATGAGGTGTCTGTTGATGCATGCCGGGAGGTGTCTCCCAGTCTGGAGGCACTGGGTTCAGGGACCTACTTGAGGAGGCAGTCTGTCCCTTAGCAGAGCTCAAGTGCTGTGCTGGGAGATCCACTGCTCTCTTCAGAGGTGGCAGGCAGGAATGTTTAAGTCTGCTGAAGCTGTGACCACAGCTGCCCTTTCCCCAGGTGCTCTGTCCCAGGGAGATGAGAGTTTTATCTATATGCCCCTGACTGGAGCTGCTACCTTTCTTTCAGAGATGCCTTGCCCAAAGAGGAGAACTCTAGAGAGGCAGTCTGGCTAAAGCGGCTTTGCCAAGTTGCAGTGGGCTCCACCCAGTTTGAACTTCCCAGTGGCTTTGTTTATACTGTGAGGGGGAAAAAGCCTACTCAAGCCTCAGTAATGGCAGATGCCCCTCCCCCCACCAAGCTGGAGCATCCCAGGTCAACTTCAGACTGCTGTGTTGGCAGCGAGAATTTCAAGCCAGTGGATCTTAGCTTGCTGGGCTCTGTGGGGATGGGGTCCACTGAGCTAGACCACTTGTCTTGCTGGTGTTCCAGGCGCCACTGGGGTATGAAAAGAGACTCCCTGTAGCTAGCTTGGTGTCTGCCCAAATGGCCGCCTGGTTTTGTGCTTGAAACCCAGGGCCCTGGTGGCATAGGCATCACAGTGAATCTCCTGGTCTGTGGGTTGGAAAGACCATGGGAAAAGTGTAGTATCTGGGCCAGAATGTACCATTCCTCACAGCACAGTCCCTCAGAGCTTCCCTTGGCTAGGGGAGGGAATTCCTCAACCCCTTGGGCTTCCCAGGTGAGGTGATGGCCCACCCTGCTTCTGCTCACCCTTCATGGGTTGCACCTACTGTCTAACCAGTCCCAATGAGATGAGCCAGGTACCTCAGGTAGAAATGCAGGAATCTCCCACCCTCTGCGTTGATGTCACTGGGAGCTGCAGACTGGAGCTGTTCCTATTCAACCATCTTGCCAGCCGCCTCGTCTTATAATTTTTATTGCATGTCCAACATTGTTAATCAAAGGACCATAGAAAGTCCACATGATGCTGTCTTGTATCATAGATGGTTCTCCCTTTCATCTATTAAGCTAATGGGATGTGGGATGAGAGTAGGGAAGTGATAATGTCAATCTAATAAGGGATTGATCTGATTTTTGCTCAGTTTCAGTTTCTATAAGGCATATTCTATTTTATATCACTAATATTCCTATGTCATATCCATCTATTGTTTTCAACTAAAACATTAATGGAGCTTTGTCTCCTCAGCCTGAAAAATTGTTGGAGATTCAGTTCTGCCATTTAGAAATGCTCAACTTGAAAATTTGACAAATGTCTTGAGTAAGGTATGGTTATGTTTTTGAAGCCCTTCAAATTTTAAGTTTTGTCATCCCAACCTTACAAGAATGCTAAAATCTCTGCTGATCTGTTTGTCCCTGTAGAAGAGGAAAGATTTCTTTTCCTCACCCATTGTTAAGTTCATGTCTGAGGCCCTTATAACAAATGACAGACTAATATGAGAAAAGTATACAAATTTATTTAATATTAGTTTTATATGAAATGGAAGCCTTCAGAAATGAAGATTCAAAGAAAAAAGTAAACTTGTGTATTTTCATGCTTAGGTTTGATGGAGAGATGGATAGTTATGGAGAAGTATGATTGGACAAAATGGGTATGACCTAATGGTAATAAACCAAGGAGAAATCAGCAAGGTCTGTTTATTTAGCTTCTTCTTGGTCTGTAGGTATAGAGCAGGACACTTCTGGAATGAAGGTCTTATGACCTACTTTCTGGCTAGGTAGGCCAGAGAATTCTTTATGGCTTGCTTCAGAGAAGAAAGGTGAGAGAAGGTGAGAGAGTGGCCTTCCTGCTTCAGTTTTCTCAATTTCCTTCAGTTTAAAATATTTAGTATACCAAGTTGCTATATTTTGGGGTGGCATGTTCTGAGCCCCAACAAGGGCAAGAGAAAGGTGAGTGTGCCCTTCCTGCTTCTATTATTTTCTCAAATGCCAAGCTGCCATATTGTGGGGTAGCATGCCTTGAATCACATCAACCCCATAATCTGCATTTGTAAACTCTTAGTAAATCTAGTTTTAATAATAATAAATGTCTCTAGGTAAAAACAGGACCATAGAACCTTAGTGTCCATTCATCACTCCTTCTAGGACTTTCAGCTCTAATCTATTTTTATTTTGCAGGCCCTTCTTCCTGGCTAGTCTCTTTTTCCTAAATGCCATAAGACCGCAGGATTTTTTACTTTTCCCTTCAGAAGCTTTTAGCTTAGCCATTTAACTTCCCACATGGGCTCATAATATAGCAATCTCTGTGTACTTGAGGCCTCTCTAATTTACCATTTTGTTGCCCCAGCCCCATGTGACCAATAAAAGCTTTACTTGTTTCTCTTTCCCCAGCAGTTAATCTTTGTTCATGCTCAGAATCAGCAAATGACCCCAGTGAGAAAATGATGACCAGTAAACTGCCCATGTGTATAGAGATTTTTACTCTCTGAAATTTCATCAAATTAGGGATCATTGCTTCCATAGTTTTCTAGATTCTATTAGTTATGGTCAGTGGAAACATTAATCTGCTGTGACATATTATAGGCTGCCCAGAAATAAAAGCCCCTTTATTACTTTTTGGAAAGTGATTATAAAAACAAAACTTACTTTGGGTAAAATAATTATTGTTCACATATGCAGTCAGGGAGAAGGGTCCTTCTAACTCCATCCTTCTTAATCCCATATATCAGACATTATCATCATCATAGTTTTCTCATATGCCCTTACAAAATTCTTCCACACATATACATACATATGTGTATCCGTACTATGTGTAACTTTTATGTATAAAAGATACTACATAGCACTTAAGAGTTTTTCACTCAGCTTTATATTCCAAAAGCTTTTTAATTCAAATATGAAATTTAGAGCATTCTATGGAAAATCCAGAAATACAAAGCTGTCAGAGGCGTTTGAACCAGAGCAACTCCATCTTAAATAGGGGCTGGGTAAAATAAGGCTGAGACCTACTGAGCTGCATTCCCAGTAAGTTAAGGCATTCTAAGTCACAGGATGAGATAGGAGGTCAGTACAAAATACAGGTCATAAAGACCTTGCTGATAAAAACAAGTTGCAGTAAAAAAGCCATCAAAAACCCACCAAAAGCAAGATGGCGATGAGAGTGACCTCTAATCGTCCTCATGCTACACTCCCACCAGTGCCATGACAGTTTACAAATGCCATGGCAATGTCAGGAAGTTACCCTATATGGTCTAAAAAGGGGAGTCATAAATAATCCTCCCCTTGTTTAGCAATATAAGAAAACAAAACCACTAAAATGGGCAACCAGCAGACCTATGGAGTAGCCATTCTTTATTCCCTTAGTTTCTTAATAAACTTGTT
The DNA here is from genome assembly GCF_000001405.40 of Homo sapiens. Lineage (NCBI taxonomy): Eukaryota > Metazoa > Chordata > Mammalia > Primates > Hominidae > Homo > Homo sapiens. Next base: position 114,946,052 of record NC_000023.11, read on the forward strand.
TTCACTTTACTCTATGGACTCGCCCAGAATTCTTTCTTGTGAGAGATACAAAAACCCTTTCTTGGAGTCTGGATCCAGACCCCTTTCTGGTAACAAGGCTACTTACTTATTTGCCGAAAAATGCTTAAATGTATTTAAATAGTCTTCTTCTGCTGAAAATTTAGGGGTTTTCCAGTATCTTACTAATGCAATTCTGTAGCAAGCATGGATGGCTGCAGTCAAAAAAAGAGAGCTTGTGCAGGGAAACTTTGCCTTATAAAGCCATCATGTCTCATGAGAGTTACTCACTATCACCAGAAGAGCACAAGAAAAACCTGCCCCCATGATTCAATTACCTCCCACTTGGTGTCTCCCACAACATGTGAGAATTCAGGATGAGATTTGGGTGGGGACACAGCCAAACCATATCATTCCACCCCTGGCCCCTCCCAAATCTCATGTCCTTACATTTCAAAACCAATCATGCCTTCCCAACAGTCCCCCAAAGTCTTAACTCATTGCAGCATTAACTCAATAGTTCATAGTCCAATGTCTCATCTGAGACAAAACAAGTCCCTTCTGCCTATGAGCCTGTAAAATCAAAAGCAAGTTAGTTACTTCCTAGATACAATATGGTACAGGCATTGGGTAAATACAGCCATTTCAAATGGGAGAAATTGGCCAAAACAAAGGGGCTACAGGCCCTATGCAAGTCCAAAATCCTGTGGGACAGTCAAATCTTAAAGCTCCAAAATGATCTCCTTTGACTCCATGTCTCACATCCAGGTCACGCTGATGCAAGAGGTGGATTCCCATGGTCTTGGGCAGCTCTGCCCCTGTGGCTTTACAGGGTATAGCCTCCCTCACATCTGCTTTCACAGGCTGGCATTGAATGTCTGCAGCTTTTCAGGTGCCTAGTGCAAGGTGTCGGTGGAACTACCATTCTGGGGTCTGGAGGACGTTGGCCCCTTTCTCATAGCTCCACTAGATGGTGCCCCAGTAGGGACTCTGTGTGGGGGCTCTGATTCCACATTTCCCTTCTGCACTGCACTAGCAGAGGTTCTTCATGAGAACCCTGCCCCTGCAGCAAACTTTTGCCTGTACTTCCAGGCATTTCCATACATCTTCTGAGATTTAGGCAGAGGTTCCCAAACCCCAGTTCTTGACTTCTGTGTACTGGCAGGCTCAACACCAGGGGGAAGCTGCCAAGGCTTGATGCTTATACCCTCTGAAGCCAGTATAGAGCCAAGGTCTACATTGGCTCTTTTCAGCCACAACTGGAGTCGTTGGGAAGCAGGGCACCAAGTCCCTAGGCTGCACAGCACAGGGTTCCTGGGCTCAGCCCACAAAACCACTTTTTCCTCCTAGGCCTCTGGGCCTCTGATGAGAGGGACTGCCATGAAGACATGCCCTGGAGACATTTTCCCCATTGTCCTGGGGATTAACATTCGACTCCTCTAACTTATGCAAATTTTTGCAGCTGGCGTGGATTCCTCAGAATATAGGATTTTCCTTTCTATTGCATTTTCAGGCTGCAAATTTTCCAAACTTTTATGCTCTGCTTCCCTTTTAAAACTGAATGACTTTAACAGCACCCAACTCACCTCTTGAATGCTTTGCTGCTTATAAATTTCTTCCACCAGAAACCCTAAATCATCTCTCTCAAGTTCAAAGTTCCACAAATCCCTAGGGTGGGGGCAAAATGCTGCCAGTCTCTTTGCTAACACATAACAAGAGTCACCTTTGCTCCAGTTCCTGATAGGTTCCTCATCTCCATCTGAGACCACCTCAGCCTGGATTTCATTGTCCATATCACTATCAGCATTTTGATCAAAGCCATTCAACAAGTCTCTAGGAAGTTCCAAACTTTCCCACATTTTCCTGTCTTCTTCTGAGCCCTCCAAACTGTTCTAAACTCAGCCTGTTACCCAATTCAAAAGTAGCTTCCACATTTTTGGGTATCTTTTCAGCAGTGCCCACTCTTCTGGTACCAGTTTACCATATTAGTTCCTTTTCATGCTGCTAATAGAGACATATGTGAGACTGGGCAATTTACAAAAGAAAGAGGTTTAATGGGACTTCAGTTCCACATGGCTGGGGAGGCCTTCCAATCATGGCAGAAGACAAGGAGGAGCAAGTCACACCTTACATGGATGGCAGCAGGCAAAAAAAGAGAGCTCGTGTAGGGAAACTCCACCTTATAAAGCCATCAGATCCTGTGAGACTTATTTAATCTCACAAGAACAGTTTAGGAAAGACCTGCCCCCATGGTTCAATTACCTCCCAACAGCTTCCTCCCACAACACATGGGAATTCAAGATGAGATTTTGGTGGGGACACACCCAAACCATATCAATGCAGAAGACAATACAAAAGACACATGGTTAAAGAAAAAAATGATTTGATTACCCTTTTTAAAGCACAGTAAGGCAGACTTTATACAGGACCATTGCAATGGGTGTCGAGATAACTGCAATAGGGTTTTGCAGTAGGGCAAACTGACAAATTGGACTCCATCAAAATTAAAAACGTATGCACTTTGAAAGACATTCCTTAAGAGAAAAAAAAAAGACCAGCTATAGACTGGGAAAATATACTTGCAAATCACAAATCTGATAGAGGACTTGTTTCCAGAATATATAAAGAACCCTCAAACTTTAACAATAAGAAAATAACTCCATTTTGAAAAGATAAAATATTTTAACAGACCTTATTTTAAGAAGATATACACATGGCAAATAGGCACTAGTGTAATGAAAGTTAAAACCACAATACAATAGACCCTAGACAGCTATTCAGATGGATAAAACTGAAAAGACTAATCCCACCGAGTTTTGGCAAGGCTGTGCAGCAATTGGAACCCTCATACACTATTGATTGGTATACAAAATGATCCAAATACTATGGAAAACGGTTTGGCATTTTCTCAAAAAGTTAAACATATGTCCACCATATGATCAAGCCACTCCACTCCAAGAGAAATGAAAGCATATGTCCATACAAAGACTTGTGCACAAGTTTTTATAGCAGCTTTATTTGTCATAGCCAAAACCTGAAAATAATCCAAAAGTATATCAAGTGGGTGGATGAACAAAGTATGACATAACCATACAGTGGAGTGAAAGCTAGCAATAAAAATAATGAACTTTTTATCATGCTATGACATTCATATGTCATTAATATGATTCCATAAATGGAATTATGCACTGTGTATTCTTTTTTTCTTTCAGGCTTCTTTCACACAACATAATTATTTCAAAGAAGTAACTAGTGGCAAGATCATGTGGGGACTTTGGATTTTCAGGTTTTGAATGTGGGGGTCATAAGAACTGTTTTCAAAACATGATTCTAGTTTCTGTGTTGAATATAATGCAATGGAGTAAAGGTTAAAGCAAGGATACCAGTTAAGTGTCACTGTAATAGTCCAACTATGGTGAGAAGTGAGAAGTGGTTGCATTCAGAATATATTTTGCAAGGTGAATTTGTTGACAGATTGAATATCAGGTATGAGAGAGAAGAGAGTGAAGATTAACGGAGTTTAATGTTTGAATAATGGAGTGAATACTGCTGCATTTTACTGAGATGGGGAGCACAGAGGGGAAGCAGATTGGAAGTGAAAGAACCAGGCATTTGATTTGAACATTTCCATGTACATATGCATACAGCCATACACACACATCCATATATGTGCAAATATACATATATTCACACACATATACATATATATATAGATAGATGTTTCAAAAGAGAGCTAGATCTCTGCTCTTGCTTATTGCTCTTCACAAAGTTGTAAAAAGCTCTTCACATCAGTATACGTAAATAAATACCATTATTTTTAAGGTCCTCACGATATTCCATGGTATGAATAAGCCATAATTTATTTAAGCATTTCTCAACTGATAAGCATTTAAGTTGTTTATTAATTTTTCTGTTAATATAATTATTTAATATTTATACTTCTACATGTATCATCATAACTTTTGTGGGCATTTTGTATGACTTCCACAACCATTTAGGCAGAATTTTCATTATTAACAATTATCTTGAGAGAAAAATTTTTCGTTATTTTTTGTAGCATTAACCAAGAGACAAAATATCTGACTATATCATATTCCAACCAGGAACAAGAGACCACTCTGGGTCTTTCAAACAAAGGGAATTTAATACTGGCCTTTGTTAGTCAGAAGATGAATGTACTGAGAAGCCAAATAGAAAAAAGTGAGGCAACTTCAGAGATAAGAAATGACAGGAAGCCATATTGCCCCTATGGAAGAGTGACAAAGGATAAGGAGCTATTATTACCAGAGCCCAGAAACTGGGGCTACCACTGCAAGGGCCTAGAACCAAGGCTGGAATGGGACCATAGAGGAGGAAACCATTAGTGGCAGACGAAGCCAGGCAGAAGAATCGGCCATTGTTAGAGATACTAGAGAAAGCACAGAGATGGGAAGAAGTACTCTGTCTTCTTCCCTGTTCATACTCCAGCACCTCAGATTTATTCAACCTGCTCAGAAAGGAAAGGGCAAAGATGCCTAGGATAGACAACTGGTTTTGATACAGAATAAAACAAGGAAATAAGTTCTATACCAATCGACTAAAGCATGGATAAAGGCAAATATTATAATTAATGGCTAGCTGTACCCAAATATGCAGAATGAAGAATTCATCAAACTTTTCCATAAATAGATTAGTTCATGTTTATAGATCGGTGTTCTACTTAATGATTTGATTTCTGAGATTCTTAATACCAGGAAAATAGTGTCCTACGGAGTAAATATCAACATTCCTATATTGGCAAGTTCCCCTAACAATTATGAATTAATAAAGAGCCATTAGAATTTTTAACACAAAAACTGAAACTGAGGAAAGAAGAAAAGGATGAAAGAAAGAACAGAAAAAAAATAATTATAACATAACATGTCGTTACAGAATTTATTTTCTTGGCTAGATTCTTTGGGGAATTACTCTGGTGCCCAAATTACTATATTCCCAAATATGGACTAACATCACCTCCCAAGAAAGAATGATTGTGACTGATTTGGAGATGGAGTTCCCTGAGGCCTTAATTTGGATTGCCATGCCTAATGTGTTGGTACTTGCCAAAGCTGTTTGACACATAACCTTATTTTGTCTGGAGAATAGTTTGCATAGATAGCTCATCAGTGTTTATTGACAGGCATTAAGTTGGTTAGGAACTTGACTGAACAGTATTTTATTTTTCTTGGTTTGGCTACAACAGCCTGCTCACCACATAAGTCATTTTTTTTCTGTAGCCTCATCTACCATTTTATAATATGGTTGAATGACAGAAAAAGGTTCTCTGTCTAACACTTATAACAACTCCAGACCTGAATTCTATGTGTCTTTCTGATGTTAGTTGGAAGACTGACTTATTTCTTTACTAAGTGGACAGATATTCCATTATGCAGGGCTTGATGGAGGTTCTATTCATAAGTGTTGAAGGAATTACCTAGTTTTGCCTTATATACAGCAAGAATCTTACATCAATATAAGCAAACTGTATGTTTGGCAGACCTCTCCTAGCTATTTAGGTATCAAGATGAGACAAAAAAAAAAATGAAATTCTGCAGAACAGGGAATCTCAAATGCCTGTCTACAAACCTGTGCACAATCAGTGGTCTCATAACCACATGGAAAATTTGTTTCAAAAAGAACCGGGGGAGGCAGGCAGAGCAAGATGGCCAAGTAGATCCCTCCGGTGGTCATCCCTCCACAGGAACACCAAATTGAACAACTGTCTACACAAGAAAGCACCTTAATAAGAACCAAAAATCAGGTGAATGATCACAGTACCTGGTTTGAATATTATATCCAGGAAAGAGGAACTGAAGAGGGTAGGAAAGAAAGTCTTGCATTGGCTACACCACCCCTCCCCCATCACCTCTGAGTGCCACGCGAAGAGAGAATCCATGTGCTTGGGAGAGGGAGAGCAAAGTGATTGTGGGGCTTTGCATTGGAATTCAGTGTTGCACTGTCACAGCAGACCACAACACCAGGCAGAATTCTGCCATCACCTACAGAAGGAGCATTTAAACTAGCCCTGGCTAGAGGGATATCCTCCACTTGAACCATAGAAATCTGAGTTTTGGCTAGCTCCACCACCATCTGACTAAAGTACCCTGGAGTCCTGAGTAAATCTGAAAGGTAGTCAGGCCGCAGGACTGCAATCTTTAAGTTAGTCTAGGTGCTGTGCTGGGCTTGGAGCCAGTAGAATTGGAGTGCACACAACCCAGTTAGACACCAGTTGTGGCAACCAAGGGAGTGCTTGCATCACTCCTACCCTAACTCCTGACAGTGCAGGTGAGGAGAGACTTCTGCTTATGGAAAGGAGAGGGAAAAGTAGAGGATTTTGTCTTGTAACTTGGGTATTAGCTCAGCCACAGTGAAATACACCACAAAGCAGATTCCTAAAGCCCACAATTCTAAGCCCCAGCTCCTGGAAAGCACTTCTGGACCCACCCTGAGCCAGAACAGAACCTGCTGCTCAGAAAAGAAAGATCCAGTCCTCGCAGGATTTACCACCTGCTATCTAAAGAGGCCTTGGGCCTTGAATAAACATAAGTGGTAGCCAGGCAGTAGTTACTATGGGTCTTGGGCAAGACCCAATACTATGCTGGCTTCAGGTGTGACCTAGAGCGTCACAGCTCTGGTGGCCATGGGGGTGCTTGCATCACCCTTCCCCCAATTCCAGGCAGCCCAACACAAAGAAAGAGTCCTTCTGTTTGGTGGAACATGAGGGGAGAGAACAAGAGACTCTGCCTGGTAAACCAGGGAAATCTCCCAGATCTTACCCAAGCCCACCAAGGTGATACAAGTCTGCAAGAGTTGTAGTGTTACTGAGTGTGGGGCACCCTCTAGTGTAGTGACCAAAAACTTAGATCACAAGGCTCAATTCCCTTTGAATACCTGGAAAGCCTTCTCAACAAGGATGAGTACAAACAAGCCCAGGATGTGAATATTTGAATAAATATATAACTCCTCAATGCCCATACATTGACGAACATCTACGAGCATCAAGAACATCCAGGAAAATGTGACTTCACCAAACAAACTAAATAAGACAGCAGTAGCTGATCCAGGAATGACAGAGATGTGTGACCTTTCAGACAGAGAATTCAAAATAGCTGTTTTGATGAAGCTCAATAAACTTCAAGAGAACACAGAGAAAAAAGTCAGAATCCTATCACAGAAATTTAAGACAGACATAGAAATAATTTTTAAAAATCAAGCTGAAACTCGAGCTGAAATATTCAATTAACAAACTGAAAAATACATCAGAGATTTTCTGCAGCAGAATTAATCAAGCAGAAGAAAGAATTTGTGAACTTGAAGACATGCTATTTGAAAACATGCACTCAGAGGGGACAAAAGAATAAAGAATAAAAAAGAAAGAAACATACCTACAAGATCTAGAAAATAGCCTCAAAAGGGCAAAGCTAAGAGTTATTAGCATTAAAGAGGAGGTAGATACCTGTATGTCATCAAATTTGGAGAGATTTCAACCATTATTTCTTCAAGTAGCTTTCTTCCTCTTTTTCTCTCCTTGCCCTCTGGACTCCTATTATGCATATATTAATATGCTTGATTGTGTCACATAGGTCTCTAAGATTGTGTTTATTTTTCTTCATTTTTTCTATTCCTCAGATTCAGCACTCTCAATTGACCTATTGATGTGTTTTTTATTGTTGTAGTTCTTTCTAGTTTGGTCTTGATGTCTCTCTGCTGAGAGTGGCCTTAGGCCAAGATAACCACTCTCTAAGTGATCCCTGACTGGGAGAAAGTTAGGTTCAGGTGTGTTAGTCAGGTGAGACAGAATTAGGAGGTAAAACCAAAATACATGAAATAGATAAATTTTATTATTTACAGATCCCAGAGAGATTGGGGGTGCTGATGGGGAGTGGGAGGAGACAGGAAATTTGGAGGCAGCAGGGAGTTCAACCAGCAGGTAGGGAGAAAGAGCGAGAAAGAGTACGTATGGGACTATGCCTTTATTAAGGTCCATGGGCGTTATCCTTTAGGATTTCCCATAGGGAGTGTGGATTGGTTTGTTTAAAGAAAGCACACAAAAAGGGGGGAACTTATTGACATGACTGGTGTCAACCATTAGATTTTATCATGGTCAGCTGCTGTGGGGTGTGTTGGGTTTTGTGTCAGTGAAATGAGGAATGAATAGGCTATATCACAAACAATCACATAAGGAGGGGAAATTTTAACTAGAGCAAAGGGGATGGAGTATGACTGGTTTTCAAATAATTTATGTCAGGCCCCAAAATGAATGCCCAAGAAGCAAATATATTAAACAAATGTATGACGCTTATATTTAAGTTCACTGGTACTTTTTCTGTCTCCTAAAATCTGCTGTTGAGTCCCTCTAGTATTTTTTTTTTCATTTCACTTACTGTACTTTTCAACTTCAGAATTTCTTTTTTGTATATTTTCCCTTTGTCAATATTCTTTATTTGGTGATACATCACTCCCACATTTTTTCCGTCATTCTTTAGATATGGTTTCTGTTAGTTCTTTGAACATGTAGAAAATAACTGATATACCAGCACTTTGGGAGGCCAAGGCAGGCAGATCACGAGGTCAGGAGATCGAGACCATGCTGGCTAACACGTGAAACCCCATCTCTACTAAAAAAAAAAAAAAAAAAATTAGCCGGGCGTGGTGGTGGGCACCTGTAGTCCCAGCTACACGGGAGGCTGAGGCAGGAGAATGGCGTGAACCCGGGAGGCGGAGCTTGCAGTGAGCTGAGATCACGCCACTGCACTCCAGCCTGGGCAACAGAGCGAGATTCCATCTCAAAAAACAAAAACAAACAAACAAAAAAACAGTATTTGTCTAGCATATTCAATGTTTGAGTTTTCTCTGAGACTTATTTTATTTAATACTTATTAATCTTGTGTTTGGGGCATACTTTCTTGTCTCTGTGCATGTCATAAAGATTTTGTTGAAAACTGGACATTTTGAAAAATACAAATTGTCAGGTTTGGAAATCAGATTCTCCTCCAATGTTTGTTGCTATTGTGTTTAGGTCCTTTCCTGAATTTATTCTATTAAGTCTATATTCTTTGTCACCTGTGGCCATTATACTCTGTGCTTGGCTAGCTTAGTGGTCAACTAATTATTGAACAGACTTTTTCTTAAATTCCTGGAACCAGTAAAAATGATATAAAGTAATCATAACAAGTTATTAATTCAAAAGGAATAGAAAATTAAAGAGATGAGACAAACAGAAGGCGAATTACAATATGGGAGACTTAAACCAACATAACAACAATCCCATTCAGTCTAAATCAACTGGATTTAAAAAATCAGACTCAACTGCATGATATATACAAGAAATTCACTTTAAATATAAAAGTATAGGCTACAAAATGGAAAACATATATTATGAAAAAAGTGATCATAATAAAGTGGGAGAGGCTATATTAATATCAGACAAAGGAAACATCAAAACAGAATATTACCAGAGATTTAAAAAGACATTTTATAGTGATAAAGGAGTCAATTTATCAGGAAGACAGAACACCAGTAAAAAATGTGTACACAACTAACAGCAGCGTTTCAAAATACCAAAAGCAAAACCTGATAGAACTGAAAAGAAAAACAGACTAATCTATAATTACAGTTGGAGATTACAATATTTTTCTTTCTATAATTGATATAATAATGTAGAACAAAATCGGTATGTATATAGACAAGTTAAACAACACTAACAACCAGAGTTACCTAACTGACATTTGTAGAACATTCAGACAACCATAGCGGACTTTAAATCCTTTTCAAGTGTACATGAAACTTTCAGTGACAGACTACATGTTCAGCCATAAAATGTGTCTGAACTAATTTTTAAGATTGAAATACAATGGAGTATATTCTCTAACCACTATAGAACTAAATTTGAAATCCATAACAAAAGGATATCTGAAAAAGAAATCCCCTAAATATTCAAAATTTAAACAACACACTTGGCCAGGTGTGGTGGCTCATGCATGTAATCCCAGCACTTTGGAAGGCCAAGGCTGGTGGATCACTTAAACTCAGGAGTTCAAGACCAGCCTGAGCAACGTGGCGAAACCCTAGCTCTACAAAAATGTAAAAATTAGCCAGAGGTGGTTGCACGTGCCTGTAGTCCTAGTTACTCAGAAGGCTGAAGTGGGAGGATCACTTGAGTCTGGGAATGCCAGGACTGCTGTGAGCTGTAATCTGGCCACTGCACTCCAGCCTGGGCAACAGAGCGAGACCCCCATCTCAAAAACAGAAATAACACATTTTGATTCTGAAGTTTTCAAGCTCATTTTTTTAACAAATACATTAAAATCATAGATTCATTTAAATGATAATATAATAAAAGCAAAACATTTTATTCACTTAACATGTAAATCAGAATTCACTACTTGGAAGAAATATGTTGATAAGCTGTTGGGGGTGAATCCTCAAGGTGTATGCTGAAGTGCAAAAATTGGTCCCTTAGATGACCTTCTAAGACGAGCAGGTCCGTATAAATGTGGGGCCCTTTTAATTTGAGCATTTTGGATAAACATCTTTGCAAAGATGTTTAGGGTATGATCAAAGAGAAAAGTATTTGAAAGTGATATAGGTGAATGTAATCCAAGAGAGGTAGGAGACAGAAGCTTCCCACTGTGTAAAGAACTAAGGAATACAGAATCTCATAGGCAGGTTGGCCAAGAAGGGTCTTTGGAAAATGAAATGTCTAATATGAGTTTTTAGTGGATTGCTGTGTGCCCTCCTCATGTTCCCACAAAACCCAAAGGCTACTAATACAAATCATGATATGGTTGGTATGCTTAAACTTCTGAAAATCAAAGCTGGTGTCAAGCTGTGTATCCTGTTAGACCTGTCCCTGAAACACTGCTAGCACACACGGACTGGAGGACAATTGAAAATTGGGATACTTATATTTGCCAAGCTATTAGCAAATACTTATATTTGCAAATACTTATATATTGGCAAATACTTATATTTGCCAAGCTATTAGATAATATTTCTTTTCTTTTTCTTTTTCTTTTTCTTTTTTTTTTTTTTTTGAGACAGAGTCTCACTCTATTCTGTTGCCCATGCTGGAGTGCAGAGGCATGATCTCAGCTCACTGCAACCTCCACCCCCCGGGTTGAAGTGATTCTCTCTTGCCTCAGCCTCCCAAGTGGCTGGGATTAAAGGCGCCTCCCACTGCACCCAGCTGATTTTTGTATTTTTAGTAGAGATAGAGTTTCACCATCTTGGCCAGGCTGGTCTTGAACTCCTGACCTTGTGATCTACCCACCTCGGCCTCCCAAAGTACAGGGATTACAGGCGTGAGCCACCGTGCCTGGCCGATAATATTTCATTTCACAAACCATCTTGATAACTTGGCCAGCTTGCCTCACTTCCTCATAGAAATTGTCAGGTCTGTAGTACATAAAGTGAAATGCATGTTTGTCCAAATATAATCAAGATGAAATTTTTAAATTTTCCACAGTCCACTGATCAAAGGCAAAGCCTCTCTTCCTTGATAAACAGAATCTTCTCAAATTTCTTTTCACTCATCTTATACTTGGGCTCTGGCTAGGCTAGTGGCTCATGCCTGTAATCCCAACATGTTGGGAGGCCAAGATGGGAGGATCATTTAAGGCCTGGAGTTTGAGATCAGCGTGGGCAACATAGTGCGGCCCTGTCTCTATTAAAAACAAAAAAAGCCAGATGCAGTGACATATACCTATAGTCCTAGCTACTGGGAAGGCTGAGTGAGGTAAGAGGATCACTTGAGTCCAGGAGTTTAAGGTTGCAGTGAACCACGATCATGCCACTACACTCTATCCTGGGCAACAGAGAAAGACCCTGACTGGATAAATAAATAAATTAAATTAAACATAACTGGGCTCTAATGCATCATGTTTCATCATCTTTTTTTTTAAACATTAGCCAAGACATAAAGTTTTACCATGTCTCATGAGAACAGCTCCCTCAACTTTCATCTCAATATTTCTCACATTAGATCTAATCCATTGGCTGACCAGAGAGGGGACAGATATCATGATATCTCCTTCTATCATCACTGTCTTTATCCTCCGTCAAGTCCCTGTACACAATCCAAAAGTCCTCTGCTCTACTCTATTGAAAAACAAAATCTCCCATATTAAATAAGTACAGAAAAGAGATAAGAGGATAGAAAACCCTCCCTCTCAACAAAGCCTGGATTTCAAGAGGAAAACATTTCCTTCAAGTTCAGTCCTAAAATCTCTCACATTAGGGACTCATTCTAATCCCTCTTGAACATTATGAATATATTAACTGATCATATCTTTGAATTTCTGCTCTAACTATCCTAAATCTTACCAGACACATGTATGCATCTTCTAGAATAAGAGGGAGACTGGTGCAAGGCAAAGAAAAAATTATATTAAGATACATCAAAAAGTGTTCTGCTGGTTATAATAGTGTGTGATTTCCTAAAATGATGACTTTGAACCAGATATCACTAAATCTTTAATATATATTTTGGATGATTATGTACGTAATTACCCATACTACTTTACTTTTTCATGTTACAATGCATTATTATTTAGAGAAATTATGTTAGTCAAAATCTCGTAAACCTGACAACTTCTATTGTATTTTTGCCTTTGGTCTCAGAGCAGTGCCCGTATCACCCATTCCAAATCGATGTTCCTCACTGTTACCAGAGTGATGTTTCTATAACACTAATCATATAATTCTAGAGTTGAAACTCCTTAAATGAATTCCTTCTCCATCATTGACACTTATGTCTTCAACCATCACATGCTTATGACCTCCAAAACTTCAGCTCAACTCTTTCTGCTATATTACAGACCCATATTCAACCGTCTACTGGATGGATACACTCAGCTGGAAGTCGACACGTTCAAATCTAACCACTGATTGTTTGTCCACCATACTAAACAATTTTAAGTTCTCAAAATGCATTTATACTTTTGCAAATGCCATCAACTCTGGAAGGAAGTTCCAACCCTACGACTACCAACTCTCACTCCTATGTCCTTTCCTTACTGCCCCTTATAGCAACCTGTGGGTCCATTAATAACATTCTTTAACATATATTGAGTGATTTGTGCCCAATGCTTTAAATGGATTATCTCATTGCATTTTCAAAACAACCCTATGAGATGGATACTATTATTATCATCATTGTACATATGAGAAAACTAAGACTGAAAGAGTAAGTATTTTTGCTTATGTCGTATAATGGATAAAACCAGGGATGGGAATCCAAACAGACAGCCAAACTCCAGAGCCAGAGAACTCAGCCCCAATACTATACTGTCCACCCTTTACATAATACATATCATATATCACATTTCCTATAATTGTGATTTTACTTATATGTCTTCCGAACTAAATTCTGAACAATTTGAGAGAAGAGACAATGACCATCTTGTTCACCACTTTATCCACTGTCCCATGAACAATTCCTAACACACAATAAATGCTCAATCAATGTGTGTTGAGTGTATAATTGTAGAGTTGAATCAATGAGTGGCTCCCTTTAATTGTTTCTAGGCAATCCTGCTTAATGTAGCACTTAGTTAGCTTGAATCTACAAAAAACAAAACAAAGCACAAACCTTTAAGCTAACAGCTTAGTTACATATTCTTTTCACTTTCTTTGGGTCTTCAATTTTGTATGTCATCAAATTACAAAAAGTATCATTTATTATGCATTTTATAATTTTATGGTGGTTATGATACATTATCAGCCAGAGAATAAAATGACTAGTAATAGACAGCTAAAGATTGATTCAATAATAAGAATCTCCAAACAAATATTAAGTGCAAACAAAAAATAAGCTTTAGAACTAGCATACAACTTTTAGAGATTATGTGTTAAAAGTCATACATTACTGACACCCAGTGGAAATCAGATGTAAAGCAAGCTTGGTTTATGTAATGATTTTCATTTCCAACTATAAAATTAGTGGTTAGACTATCTTTATTTGCATCTACTTTCATTTTATGCTTTAAATTTATAATTTCACATTTCATATACATAACAGTCATCTTAGAATTTTTTGGGAAGTCCAGAAATTTCAAAGAAAAATATTGTTTATTAAACTATCACCAAGAAGCAACAACTCCAATATTTTAAACACAATTTTAAACTGGGTTCCCTACAACAATTGTGTTTTAGAGGAAGTATCCCGACATATTGCCTATGTCTTTAGTACATGAAAAGTTATATTCATATAATATTAAAACTATGAGTAGCTGGTGATGGAGTCTGTACTCCAAACCTCAGCATCACATAATATTCCCATATAAGAAATCTGTACATGTATCCTCTCTATCTAAAATAAAAGTTGAAATAAAAATAAACATTTTTAAATGGAAAAATAAGAAAAAGTAGGTTTTATATTTTTATAAGATACTATACAAAAATAAAAATGAACTACAGCCATATTCAGATATATGTATGGAACTTGCAAACATAATTAAATTAGTCCAACATAAGACAGTGAATTCTGTATGATGCCATTTAAATAAAGTTTAAAAACAACCAAAAAATACTATGAGGGAAGCAAACAGTAGAGGAAGTTGTATTCATTTCATGTAAGTACCATCTAATAATATTTTGCATTTTCCTAGTGCTTTAATCTTTACAAACCATTTTAAATGCCTTATACAATACTTCAATATAACACAAGAAGGTTTCTTCTTTTTCTTATAATACAAAACAGGAAGTTCTCTCCTTTTTTGATATAATTAATATGCAAGCATTAAACAAGCGAATCAACAGTCCCCTCTAATATTCTCATGTCTTGATTGTTTAACTGCCAAAAGCACTGTATCATTTTGCTGCTGGTGAAGTACATAAAAATTCCTAAAATGACAACAGGAGATCACGAACACCATTGTCCTGAATCTTGCCTCTTGCAAAAGGTTCAAGCAAAGTATTTTGCTACATTTAATGTTCAGGTGAACTTGTCAACTGAAAATCAAAACCACATTCACAAGACAGCTGGAAGAAATGTGTATTTTGCACTGGTAGATAGCCAAAAGAAATGAGAACTTCTGCTTTGATGTTTTAGCTTTAAATGAATCTCATAGTGATCGTAGGCCTCAGCATAGCGGTTCTTTTTTGAGATGGAGTCTCGCTCTGTCACCGAGGCTGGAGTGCAGTGGTGCGATCTCGGCTCGGTGCGATCTCGGCTCACTGCAAGCTCCGTCTGCTGGGTTCAGGCCATTCTCCTGCCTCACCCTCCCGAGCAGCTGGGACTACAGGCGCCTGCCACCACGCCTGGCTAATTTTTTGTATTTTTTAGTAGAGACGGGGTTTCACCATGTTAGCCAGGATGGTCTCGATCTTCTGACTTCGTGATCCGCCCAACTCGGCCTCCCAAAGTGCTGGGATTACAGGCGTGAGCCACCGCGCCGGGCTAGCATAGCGGTTCTTTTTTTTTTTTTTTTTTTTTTTTTTTTGCCTTTTGAAACCAAATATTTAATATTTTCATTAAATTGTTTTAATACAACTTTAATACATTTAATACAAATGCCAACTGGAAGACCAAGCCCAGAAATTCAGAGGAAATAATCTTCCAAACAAGGAACACCAAGGTGATCTTGTTCCACTCCAGCCGCAATAGTGGTGATCATAATGCTGCTAGTCAGTTATCCAGATTATCGAGTGTTTACCACATCATCGATTTTCAGAATGCTCCTAAGCTATTGCATTTCACTGACAAGTAAAATTTCAAAAAACTTGAGGGTTCTGACATAGGTTTGTCACTTTTAAAATTCTTTTCCAGGTATGGGAATTTAAAAAATCATACTTCAAGCCATTATGTCATTCCCTGAAAGCAGATAATTTAATATTAAAAATGCAGGAATAAAATAATCAGTATCTAAAGGGCAATGCTTCATAAGACATGACAATTGGCAATTATACCATTTTATATTTGCCACTCTTCACAGACAGGTGAAAATATGATCAAGTACTAGTCATTGGAAACCTCTCCTCTACAACACATTGTCAAATCTTGCCCTCTGTCACTGTTTGGAAAATGTGGCTTCTATGTGAGAGGTTGTTTTATTCACCAAAGTGTTTATCTTAAATAGTGGAATCAGAATTTTATGGAAATGTGATGTATATATATATATGTAAAAAATTTATTCATTAGTTAAAAGGAGATACACAAATAAATAGTCAGAACATTTGATTTGTCAAAAACTGTTTAAGTACATTATATTTATTGTCTCCTATTCTCACAACAATTGCATAATGTAGGAACTAATATTACCCCCATATTATGGTTGAAAAAACTGAGACACAGAGGTTAAGTAACCTGACTAAGCTTACACAATTGGCAAAGGGCCAATAAATATTTGAACACAAGGAGTGTGAATCTAGAGCCTGCACTGTTAACCAGAATACTAAAACCCTGAATCTGAATAGTTTGTTTGCCTTGCTTTCATAGGTAAAAGACAACAGAAAGAAAAAGTTAAATAGCTTTGAATGAATAATGCTAGTCCAAGTTGGTTAAATTAGGATTTTGAGACTATCAAAGAGCATAAACTTCTATATCTCTTGTGAGTTTGTAAATGATTACAGGGGAGTCAGGAATAGAATAGTCAGTTGCCTTCTTTCTCCTTTATTCCAGAAGAGAATATGTCTGATACAAATAGTCTTTATGGGGGCACAGCAAAAATTTATCTCCCATTTTGAACCAACCAATCCTCTTCCCTTACTTGGATTAATAAATGAGCACCTACTTTGTGCAAGCAGTGGGCTACTGATTTAGGACAATATAAAAAAGGAAGAAACTCTGCTTTCTGTTCTCAACAAATACAGATACAGAGAAAAATATACTGTGGCTTTCAAGCCTGTCTCCGTATTGAAATTACCTAGAAAGATTTTCAAAAAGTTTATATTCCTACACTCCATCCCAGATTTGCTCCACCAGAAACTCCAGGAGTATAGCTCAGGAATATGTATATTTAACAATTGCCCCCAAATGATTTGTTTTGTGTGTGTATTCGGGTTCAAAACTTCTGCTGCAGAGTACTGACACCCTTTGTAGTATCTGGATGATATTTTGTCTTTGAATTACAACACTTCTCTTTTACAAATATCATGTAGGGTCACAAAACTATTTCAGAAGTCTTCTCTACTACTCCAGTGGAAAGCTGAGAATGTAAAGGCAGGATAGAGCTAGATCATGTAAAGCGTTGAATGCTGTGATAGGGAATATGAATATTATTTTCTAAATTAGTGGTTCCCAAATCTGACTGCAAATTGGTTTTATTTTTAAAATGGGGTTTTAGGAAAATAGTTTATAAAATGTACTAAATTACTATCTCCAAGGACAGAGCTTGAACATCTATATTTTTAAAAAGTGTTGGCAAAGATTCTGAAGCAGCCATCCACAGAGCAGAATTTGGGATCCACTGCATGTAAAACCTGGTCTATATGCTCCACCAGGAGGTTGCAGACTTGGTTACAATTCAATGTCACAATTCAACTTCAATGACTCTGCCCTGGCTTATAATAAAACAATGATCATAATTTAATAATAGCAGCCGTCATGCATTGAATACTAACTACGAGCAAGGCCCTGAACAAAGTGACTGACATGCATTATCTCATATAATAGTTCAAGAAATCAGTGAAATAGATAATATATTTAGCTTCATTTCATTGATGAAGAAAAATAAGATGCACATAGGTTAAGTCATTTTACCCAGGTAATACAATTAGTAAGAAGCAGAGTTAGGGTTTGAATCCAACATTTCCCAAACTTAGTTTCCCCGAAAATAAATCCTTTTATTTCATGTAATATGTATTAAGTAGCATACCTGTTAATTAGAGTTTCATGGGGAAAAATTTAGTAATTCTTGGAATTTGCCTTTTTAGGAAGGAGATACATAACCAAAATGGAAAAGGAATATGCTGAAAGTGAAGGCTAATATAAGACTAGAAGGTCAGTCTCCTCAGGAGGTAGTAGCAGACGGCCTTTGTCTGTAAGGTAGCAGAGATTGGTGAGAATTGTGAACCCTGAAAATTTCAGACAGGTCTCAGTTAATTTAGAAAGTTTATTTTGCCAAGGTTGAGGATATGCACCCCTGACAGCCTCAGGAGATCCCGATGACCTGTGCCCAAGGTGGTCAGAACACAGCTTGGTTTTATACATTTAAGGGAAACATGAGACATCAATCAACTTATGTAAGATGAACATTGGTTTGGTCAGGAAATACAGGACAACTAAAAGCACGGAGAGGGCTTCCAGGTCACAGGTAGGTGAGAGGCAAAGGGTTGCATTCTTTTGAGTTTCTGATTAGCCTTTTCAAAGGAGGCAATCAGATGTGCATTTATAGCAGTGAGCAGAGGGGTGACTATGAATAGAATGGGAGGCAGGGTTGCCCTATGCAGTTCCCAGATTGACTTTTCCTTTTAGCTTAGTGATTTGGAGGGCCCAAGATATTTTCCTTATGATAAGGAACAACGAGTTAGTAACTAGTACCATGACATCACCATATAAAAATATACCAGTTAGCAGGGTGCGGTGGTGTGCACCCATAGTCCCAGCTCCTCAGGAGGCTGAGGCAAGAGTATGGCTCAAGTCCAGGGCTTTGAGGCCAGCCTGTGCAACATAGCAAGACCCTGCCTCACACACACACACACACACACACCCCAATTAATTCTGTTAGTGAAAGAATTCTAACATTCTCTCTAGTGAAGACGTCATGAATTTCTACACTATAATTTTAGATTAACTTAGGATCTCAGATGTCATTTTACTTCCATCCAGTCCTAATTTGTATGTCCTTAAATATCTGCTTATGTCATTTACAAATTTATTATCTCCCTATAAAGATTTTTTTAAGAGGAGCAAACCATTTAGCAAATCATTTCTACTTGTTTTATGACTTCCAATTTTCATAATCAGTTTGCTCATGATGTGGACAAATATAAGCAGCATACACAAATATATGATACACTATCTGCACATTACAAACTCCATGAAGTTTCCAAAGTTAAGAAAGAATATTGGCTTGAGGTTATTATCACTCAGTAGTGCTACAGAGTGAAATTTTCAGTGTGAGGAGCAGTGAGATTAAAAACTCCTGTTTCCGTTTGAATTTTTCTCATTAGGGATTTCTCTCTAAAGATTCTTGCTTAAAACCTTAGGAAACTGGTGCAATATCATGGGCCTGGGGCTGTTTCCCAATTAAAAGGACCCTGCTCTTGAGAAAACTAAGAGCATCAGGGAGAGGTCCAAGAGAAAGGAATTTAAAGTTGACAGCTCAAACAAGCTCTGTTTTAGACTTTCAGTAGAAGCTCTGATGTTTGATAGGAACACATTCCTTGGTGTTGTCTTTCTGATGCCTTAGGGATCAAGATTTTGGAACCTAAAACAAAACCCTACCTCTTACTATGTTGTGTGACCATGGGCAGGTCACTTAAATTTTTCAAGATTTGAGCTTCTTATATTAAAAATTTTAAAGATAAGAGTATCTACCTCTGGATACC
Source organism: Homo sapiens (assembly GCF_000001405.40). Lineage (NCBI taxonomy): Eukaryota > Metazoa > Chordata > Mammalia > Primates > Hominidae > Homo > Homo sapiens. The sequence goes on from NC_000023.11 coordinate 114,965,558, forward strand.
GCTGGGAATATTACATGGTATAATTTAAATGCTTTGCATATATTAGGCACATATTGCTCAATATATGGAACTATAATTATTCTTATAAGCATGGTAAGATCTGAGGGGCATAAATTAGAGTTGATGCTTGGGGAAAGAGAACACTTAGGTGAGAAGGACAAAGCTCAACAGAACCAGGATAGGTTTGGAATCAAAAGAGGCCTGGTTTTCAAAGTAGACACCTTAAGAGTACACACCCTAATTTCAACAATGACCATGTTGCTCAAGACATTATTGGACCTACTTTTTAAGAATTTTTTCTAGAGCTTATTAACCAAAGACACAATAAAAGGAATTCTGCCTGAGAGCTACAGTTCAATTTTGCTATTAACCAGCCTGAACATTCACTTATAATCCAATGCTCACTGCAAGTTCTTTATCCTCAACTCTGAGGATAAAGGTTTCTTATTTGGAGATTATAAAAAATTTGTGTGATTCTAAGCATAACTGCCCCTCCTCTTTGTCACACTTCTCTGCCACATTTCAAGTCATTATTAGATGGTTTCTCTTTCAAAGAAGTACCACCATTCATGACATACTTAAGAATAAACAATTTGGTTCATGAGAGCAAAAGAGTACATGATGTGATCTGCTTTGGGGCTAGAATATTCTGCATTTCTTAAGAATAGGGCACATGCCTGTAAGCCCAGCTACTCACTCGGGAGGCTGAGGCAGGAGAATCGCTCGAACCTAGGAGGCAGAGGTTGCAGTGAGCCAAGATCATGCCACCGCACTCCAACCTGGGCGACAGAGCAAGACTCCATCTCAAAAAACAACAAAACAAAACAAAGAACAAAAAAAGAATAGTTGTTATTCTACTACTGCAGAACATGCAATTTACTGTTAGATGCTTTTTTTGATTGAGGGTTGAAAACCCCAAAGACACTAAGAAAGGAACGCATGGAACATGTATAGAGAATGAAAATTAGTCCAGTGTGCCTGAAGCAAAATGTCTCTGTTGAAGCATGATGGGAGATAAATATGGAGACTGGGTTGTGATCTTATTGTGGAGGACTTTGCAGAGCAGGCTGAGGTCTTGTACTTTGTTCAGTGAGTAATGGGAATCCATTGAACGTTTTGAGCAGGTAAATAACATTATAGGACGAGTCTTTAAGAAACTTAACCTGAAATATTTTCATTAGGTATATTAGAATGGAAAGAAACTGAATACAGAAATATCAGTTAGAAAACTTTTAAAATAAGCCCAGGAGATGACCCAGTACTGAGATAATACTGGATCTTGGTAATAGAAAGGTAGGAAAGGGTAGGGGAGATAAAGTGTGAAAAAATGCTAGAGGTCTTGTAACTTAGTGAATGTTGGGCTCAGGAAAGAGGAAAGAGTCAAATATTAGAGTGGCTGGATGTATAATGATGTCATTAACAGAAACTGGAAATCAAAGGACAGAACTAATAAGAAGCAGAAAAAAGTATTGTTTTGAAAATCCTTGTTTTGATGAGTAGGTAGATACACAATGGACACCTTGAAATGCAACATTGGTTCTTAGAAGAGGGAGTGAGAATTGAGACATTCATTTCATAGACAACTATGCAGAGATGACTTTTGAAACTATAAAAGTTAAGAAAAACAGATAAGAAAGCCAAAAATAGAATGTTGGGGGAATACCCACATTTAAAAAGTGGAGAAGAAAGGAAAACCTTAAACACATTATAAGGTCAAAAATAGGATTATGGTAACAATTTTATAACTATATTCCCTGCCTCTACTTTGTGCTTCCTGGCCATCTTCTACATTAACCAGTAGAGTGATATTCTCAGTGTTAGAATCTGGCTGTGTCATTTCCCAATTTAAATTAGTTCAGAGGACTTTAGCATCAGGTGGCTTTGAATTCTAAATTCCCACTAGGGGTGTTGTGAAAATATCACATACATATGTCATTAAAGTCTCAAAAGGAGAGAAAATAGAGAATAAGGGAAAAAAGTAATACCTGTAGAGATAATGGCAGATAATTTTTCAAACCTGAAGAGATGTATTAAACTACTGATTCAAGAAGACCTGCAAACTTCAGGAAGGATAAATAATAACATATGACTCCTAGGCACATCACAGGAAAACTTCTGAAAACCAATGATGGGGGGAAAATGTCTTAAAAGAAACTAGATTTACAAAAAGACTTCTTTTCTACCAAAGCAGCAAAAATAAGAATGGCAAGTAACTTCTTAAATTAAAAATGAAAACCAAAAAAGAGTGGCGTAACTTCAAATTACTAAAAGTAAAAATGTCCAGACTATAATTCTATACATAACAAAAATATTCGTTAAGAAGAAAAGATGTTTTCAGATTAAAAAATTCATAGGACTTTATCCTTATCCAAAATGGGGGCAGAATGGGGAGGAGAACTTGCAGTTAAGCCAGTAGAGACCCTTCTGGTTTTTACCAGAAGTCAAGGCAGTACATACATAACATGGGGCCTTAATTTTAGGCCTCACATCACTGCTGATCACAAGATCAATATTTTAACAATGCATTTCTATATGCCAACAACAAATGATGAAGTTTTAAAATATATGTTATTTGCAGCCGGGTGTGGTGGCTCATACCTGTAATCCCAGCATTTGGGGAGGCTGAGGCGAACTGATCACTTGAGCCCAGGCATTCGAGACCAGCCTGGGCAAAATAGTGGGACTCTATCTCTACAAAAAACTTTAAAAAAATAGCCCGGTAATTAGCCGAGCGTGGTGGCGGGCGCCTGTAGTCCCAGCTATTCCAGAGGCAGAGGCAGAGGCAGGAGAATGGTGTGAACCCGGGAGGCGGAGCTTGCAGTGGGTTGAGATCGCGCCACTGCACTCCAGCCTGGGAGACAGAGCGAGACTCCAACTCAAAAAAAAAAAAAAAAAAAGCTAGGCATGGTGCTGTGTGTTGTGTGTCTGTAGTCCCAGCTATTCAGGAACCTGAGGTGGGAGAATCACTTGAGCCTGGGGAGGTCGAGGCTACAGTGAGCCATGATAGTGCCACTGCACTCCAGCCTGGGCGACAGAGTGATACTCTGTCTCAATAAAAAAAAAATACATATAAAATATATATCATTTGCAATGGCACTAAAAGTTAACAAATACTTACTAGTAAGTCTAACGAATAATATGCAAGAATCTTACATGGAAACCTATAAAACATTTGGGAAAGAAATGAAAGAAAACCTAAATAACTAGACTGTTATATCATGTTAATGAATTGGAAGGCTCAATGTTATGATTATGAGACTCCTCCCCAAAGTAATCTATATATTCAGTGCAATCCCAATACAAATATCAGCAGGGTTTTTTGTGGAAATTGGCAAACCAGTGCTAGAGTATATACGGGAATGCAAAGGGCCAAGAATATTCAGACAATTTTGTGTAAGAAACAGAACAAAACTGGAGGATTTATACAACCAGATATCAAAACTCATAAAGCTATAGTAATTTAGACATTGTGGTACTGCAAAAAGATAACAAAATAGACCAATGGAACAGAATAAAGTCCAAAATAGATCCCATGGTGGCACTGAAGAGAAGTGGGTGAAGACTTTTTTTTTTTTTTTAACAATAAGTGGTGCTACATCAATTTAACATGAGAAACAGAAAAATCCTTGTCTTTACTGGAGATAAAAGTTAATTCTAGGTAGACTGTAGATCTAAATATAAATAGTAAAACAACAAAGCTTACAGAGGAAGTAGCATTGAATATATTGTGTCCTTGAGGTAAGAAAAGCTTTCTTAAACAGGACGTATAAAAGACGAACCAAAAAGGAAATGATTGATAAACAACATTAAAATTAAGGACATCTGTTCATTGAGCTCACAACAAAGAGACTACAAAGGCAAGCCACAGTAAGAAAAGATATTTATTTGCAATGCATAATTAGCAAAGAATTCATATCCATAAGGTATAATATAAAAAACTCATAACAATAAATAATAAATGACAGATATACCAATATAAAATTAAGCAGAAGACTTTAACAAGTATTTTGCAAAAGAATATGGCCAATAAACATAAAAAGTCCTTAATCACATTACTAATAATGGAACTGCAAAATAAAGACACAATGAGACACAATTAAAAAAAACCATCAGAATAAGAAAAATCTAAAAATCCAATAATGCCAAGTGTGAGTGAATATATAGAATAACTAGAACTCTCATGCATTGCTGGCAGGAATGTTGAATGTTACAAACACTTTGAAAAAGAGGTTGGCTGTTTTTATAAAGTTAAACATACATTTACCATGTGACCCAAAAATCCACTCCAAGATATTTATCTAAGAGAAATGAAAACATATCTGCATACAAATAATTGCATATGAATGTTCATTGAAGCTTTATCCATAATAGCCATAATAGCCAAAATGCAGGAAACAAACCAAGTGTCCAGTAATCAATGAATTAATAAACAAATTTTTGTGTACCTAAATAACGGAAGACAACTTAAAAATAAAAAAGAACAAACTATTTATACATGCAACAACATGGAAGAATCTCTAAACTACTAAGAAAAGTGAAAGAGACTAGATTCAAAATACTACATGCTCAATGATTCCATCAAAGTGACACACTGGAAAAGACATAACTGTAGTAACAGAATACAGATCAGGGGATGCCAAAGGTCAGCACTGCGGAAAGGAGATTAAGTAGAAAGGGTCACAAGAAAACTTTTGGGGATAATAAAAATATTCTATATCCTAATTATGATAGTATTTATATGGGTGAAAATAGTTACAAGACTTATCTAAATGTATGCTGGAAATGAGTGCATTTTCCTATACGTAAATTAAATTTCAAGAAAGTTGATTTTTGAAACCAAACAAAAAACTGCCAAGGAAGATAGAAAGTAACTAATAAAATTCTGACATTAAATACTATTAAATCAGCAATGAAACATTCAGAGTAAGTGATTATACTTTGAAAGATAAAAAACTATTAATCAAAGACACAATTAAGAGGCTAAACATGCAAGAGCACAATGTGGGAAAATAGTCATAAACATAACCAGCAGGGTGGTATCATGAAACGTTCTCCCCTCTGTAAAAGCAATGAGAAAACTGGCAAAAATGGTCATCAACATTTTCGAAACTCTGCAAATTCACCAAAGCTTACAGCAATCCCAGGAAGATTTACTCAAGAAAAACAGTGAAATTTTGATAAGAACAGTGAGCTTTAGAAATATTTTGATTTACAGAATTCCTATTCCCCTCTCTCAAGCTCTGTGATACCCTTAAAAATTAACAGCTAGCTATCATGGTGAAAACCAGTAACCTGGCAACCACCAGAGGGGAAGAACAGAATCCGAGGTCCTTCAAAGCCTCAGTCCCAGAAAAGTGTTGTTAATTTAAATGACGGTTAGTTCCCTGGAATACTCCAATTGCTGCCTAACTTAAAAGAATCTGACTCAGAGCTTGCCCAACACCAAAAGTCTTTTCCCAAGGGAAGTTTGATGAAAGCATTTAGAGGTAGTTTGAATTTGAGGCCGCCTGAGGAAGTTGAAAAGAGTTGGGGTAAATGGTAGGCTAACCAAAAACCTAAAACAGAAAAACTGAAGAATGAGATATCCATAAGAGATTTGAAAAGCTCTGACATATTCCTGGGAATTCAGAAGACCACAGGCATGTGCAGGGCTATGTGCATACCCAGAGATGTGTACATGCTCAGGAAAGACCTAAAAAGGCCCTAAGCTATCTTTTCTGGCTGACCTTGAAACTTTCCACACGCAACAAGTATAGGCTAACGTAGATTTGTCAATTACCTGGCCGAGTGTTGTAAATTTGACCCTACATGCACACACAGCCCCTCAGCGAAAATGGAGAGACTAATTCGTTCCAGGTATTTAAGGAAATTTCTTTTTATTCATCAACTTATAAGTCAGCTAGCTAAGTGAGCAGAGATTTCAGTGACTATGCACAACATAGAATATAGATTTCGCAGATTTAGCTCAGTAAAGTAACTGAGAAGCAGTCAGCAGCAACACTAAAAATAACAACAAAACCAACACTGAGGAGGGACAAAAATCTGATTTCTAGAGGAGACACATTATATTAAATAAAATGTCCAATTTTGAACAAAACATTTGAGACATGCAAAGAAAAAAGAAAATAAAGCTCTACACAGGAAAAAAAGAAATCATAGAAACTATTCCTGAGGAAGCCAGACATTGGACATACTAGACAAAAATGATAAATCAACTATATAAATATGATCAAAGAGTTAAAGGAAATCATGTTTTAAAAACTAAAGGAAAGTATTGGAATTATATTTTACCAAATATAAACTATCAATAATGAAACAAAAATTATAAAAAGCCCAAATAGAAATTAAGGAGTTGAAAAGTACAATAACTGAAATGAAAAATTAATTAAAGTGGCTTGACAGCAGAATTTAGCTAGCAAAAGAAAGAAACAGCAAACTTGAAGAAGAAAGTTGGAAGACTCATACTTTCTGATTTCAAAACATACTACAAACCTACACAAATTAAGACAATGTGGCACTGGTACAGAGTTAGGCATGTAGATCCAAGGAACAGAATTGAGAGTACAGAAACAAAATTTCAGGTCAACTGATTTCAACAAAGGAGTCAGAAAAATTCAATAAGGAAAACATAGCCTTGTCAGCAAATGATAGTAGGACAAATGAATATCAACATGCAAAAGGATGAATTGGACCAACATACACAAAAATAATTCAAATTCAATTATAGATATGAGCATCAGAGTTAAATCTATAAAAATCTTAGAAGAAAATATTGGAGTGAATCTTCATGACCTTGATATGACACCAAAATTACAAGCGATAAGTGATTGATTACAGTTTGCTTTCATCAACATTAAAGATGTTTGTAATTCAAAGGCCACCACCAAGAAAATAAAAAGACAGGGGAGATAATTTTTGCAAATAATATACCTTATAAATTTTCATTTGAACACCTATTTTCAATTCTCTTGGGTATATATCTAGGGATATATAGTAGAATATATAAAGAAAACTTACAACTTCACAGTAAAATGATATGCAACTCAATTAAAAATGGGCAAAGGTTTCAAAGAGGCATTTCTCCAAAGAACATATACAAATGGGCAGCAAGCACTTGAAGAGATGTTCAATGTCATTAGGCATTAGGGAAATGCAAATAAAAAACACAGTTATATAGTACTCCACACCCACTAGGATAGCTACAATCAAAAAGGAAAACAGCAAAAATTGTTGGTAAGGAAGTGGTGAAATTCAAACCCTCATTCATTGCTGGTGAGAACATAAAATGGTGCAGCCACTTTGGAAAAGAATTTGGCAGTTCCTCAAAAAGCCAAAAATAGTTACCATCTGACCTAAAAATTCTACTCTTAGGTATGTAACTGAGAGAACTGAAAACAGGCATTCAGACAAAAACCTGTTCATAAATGTTCACAGCATTATTATTCATAATGAACAAAAAGTAGAAACAACCCAAATGTTCATTAACCAATGAATGGATAAACAGCATGTAGTATATCCATATGCCAGATTATTATGTAGCCATAAAAAGGAATAAAGTACTGATTCATGCTACAACAGAGATGAACCTTGAAAACATTATGCTAAGTGAAAGAAGCCAGACACAAAAGGCCACATACTGGAAGATACTATTTATTTGAAATGTCCATAATAGGCAAATCTACAGGCATAGAACATAAATTAATGGTTGCCTGGGGCTGAACAAGAGTTAGAGAGAGAAAGGGAAATGATTGCTAATGGGTAAAAGTTTATGTTTGGAGTGGTGAAAATGTTCCAAAATTAGATTATGTGATGGTTGCACACTGTGAAAATCCACTAAAAATCATTGAATTGTACATTTTAAATAAGTGATCTTTATCCCATGTAAATTATATCTTAGTATAGTTTAAATATTTAAAAGCATTTAAAATTTGTTTTAAAATAATGAAAGACATGCATATCTATAGAAACAGCAGAGACTTAAAAGACAATAGCATGAACAACTTTAATCCAATAAGCCTGATGTTCTACATTGAGTGGTTAATCACTTACAAAATATAACCTACCCAAACTGACTAAATATGATATAGGAAGTCTAATGGTCCTATCACTATTAAAGATTTGAAACAATAACTTAAATTCTTCCTACAAAAGTAAATGCTAGCCTTAGATGGTTTCTGGGTGGGTAATATCACACTTTCAAGGAATAGGTTATTCAAATATTATTCAAAATCTTCCACAGGCCAGAAGAGAAGGGAACACAGTGTTATTATGCTTCTGATTTTAAAATAAAACAGTATAAGTAAGAACTTATAGATAAATCTTGCCCATGATCATAGATGCAAAAATTCTAAAAACAAAATAGCAAACAGAAACCAATGGTACAGAAAAATAATATATATCACAATTTCAATAGATATAAAGCTTTTGGAAAAATTCAAAGTAAAAAAAAAAATAAAAACCTTACCGAATGAGGACTAATAGGAATTTCGCTAATCTGATAAAGAGTATCTGCCAAAAAGCTATAATAAATATTATTCTTAATGGTTAAAAGTTTGAAGCACTTCTTCAAAATCAGGAGGACAACAATAATACCCCTTATTGATGCTTCCATTCAATAGTGTAATGCATGAACCAGCTAAAGCAGTAAAGCAAGAGAAAGAAATAAAATGTATGAGGTTAATAAAGGAAAAATACTACTGCTGGTACTCACTATGACACACAGTTAGCTGTCTGACAAAAATCTATGATTTTTCCCCATAGTGTAGAATTTTCTCAGTCCCCTTACAATTTGGTGGAGCCACGTGACTAATTCTCAATAATAGAAGGTGAATGTAGGTGATGTGTGTCATATCTTGGTCAAGGTGGTAGGTGTGCTTCCTGCACACTCTTTTAGCTGGAAACAAAGGACTCCAAAGGCCTAGGAGATGGTAAAGCTTTAAAACAAAAGGTGACTCTGTCCTTGAGTTGCCAAATGGAAGGCTAAATCCTGAACATGCACATTGGACTTTACATTAATGACAAACTACTATTGCGTTAAGATACTGAGATTTATGGGTGTATCTGTCAAAAGAACAACTCTTATCTTAACTAATCCATTCATGGAAGATAGAATTATCTATAGAGAAAATGCAAAGGATATATAAATGAATAGAAATGATAACCATTTTGCAAAGGGGTGAATGTAAAATCAATATGTAAAAATCAATTTTCCATACCAGCAACAAACAGAAAAACATAATTTAAAAAATGATTCCAATAGCAACAAAATATTAAAGTGCATTGGAATACAGTTAATGAAGTTGTGAAAAATCTTTACATAGAAAATTATAAAACTTTATTACAATAAGAAGAAGATCCAAATAAATGGAGAAATACATTTGTTTGTGGATAAATGTGTTGAAATTAACAATATATCAATTCTACTAAAATGTATATATAGATTTAATGTTATTCTAATAAAAATTCCAACAGTTTTCCAAGGAACTTGACAAGCTGATTGCAAAATTTATATGTAACAGCAGAGGGCCAAGAATAGCCAAGGCACTTCTGAAGAAGAACAAACAAAAGGACAAGGAGGAAGAAGAGGAGGAAGGGGAGATATGGTATGAAAACTTGCCCTACCAGATCTCAAGACTGATTATAAAGCTAGAGAAATGAAGACAGTGTGGTTTTGCTGCAGAGGTAAACAAATTGATCAGTGGAACAGAATAGGAAGCCCAGATTCAATTTCATTCATATATGATAACAATATATGGCAAAGCCCATTGTAAATCACTGGGGAAAGAAGGGATGGCTGAATAAGAACTGATATAGAAAAAAATAAAATTGGATCCCTATCTTACACCATTCCCAACATTTAATTCAAGATGAATTAAAGACTTAAATGTTAAAGACAAAACTTTTAAACTGCCAGAAGGAAATAGTAAAAGAATACTTATATGACCTTAGGATAAGGAATGATTTCTTAAACAAAGCAACAAAAGGACCAAGCATGAAAGCATTCCCAAAGCATCTATTCCTTATTTCCAAAATGTTATTGTATTTAATTTCACATAGGATTGTAACTGCTTACTTGATTGTTTACTCCACTAAACTGTCAATTACTTGAGAATAGAGACTATATTCTCTTAATTTTATCTTCTCCCTTACCCTGGCATGTGTTAGTTGAAGACAGGAGAGAAGATAGAGTTTCAGGAAGCAGGGGGTAGATTTTACTTTTCTCTTGATTTGGCACTCAAGGGCTTTTCCTTCCCTGACAGCTACCCAAATTTTATCTCCTTGTTAGATATGTGAAGTGACATTCACATATCTATAACACTATCCTCCTCATCCAAGCCATGTTTTTCATTGACCACTCTTGGTCATCTTCCGCATTTGTAAAACCTTAGTCCCATATCCCATTCCTTCATGACCTGAACTTCTGGGCTTTCAAAGGGAACAATTAAATAAAAAAATAAAGCTCTATTAAAAACTAAAGAAAAAATCCATAAGACACCTTTCCCAGTATTATTTCTTCATTTCCTAATTAGATCTCTTGAGGTTAACCTCCAGAAGAGAGATTATAAAAGTGCAATTACAATTCAGAGTGAGAGGACTACATGACTGCAGACCAGTCTTAGATCTGGAAGAGACCTCCCCGAGATAATCTGGTCTAACTGTCCTTCCAATGTGAGAATTTCTTCTGTCACATTCTTGATCTTTAGTGAAACTGCTCAGCTGTAATCCTTCAAACAGAACACTTCTGGTAACAAGGGGCTCATTGTTTCACAGGGAAACCTGTTCCATTTTGGTTTGCCCCACCTAATTAATCTGAATCTAGAGAAGTGAACACACAGCCTTAGGGGAAGAGGAGTTCATGTGCGTTATCAAAATTTCCATATTTCTGTAGGTGTTTTCCCAAAGTATTTTCTCCAGAAAGTTTTTTAACATAACGCCTTAGATTGCATAACTAATGACAAACACAGAATGCCCCAAAGCCTCTACTAGTAGAAGCTGGTCACCATTCTGTAAAATCTGCATTCCAAGAATATTGAGTCATTTGAAAAGACATGAGAAACTGAATCATGAAAATGGTACACCAGTCACTTTGTAAGTAGGGTATGTCAATAATGGAATTATCAATGAATCAGAGAAGAATACTTAAGGCTGCTTTGGAAAAAAGTCTAAATAAGACATAGGGGCAAAAGAAACTACCATCAGAGTGAACAGGCAACCTACAAAATGGGAGAAAATTTTCACAACCTACTCATCTGACAAAGGGCTAATATCCAGAATCTATAATGAACTCAAACAAATTTACAAGAAAAAACCAAACAACCCCATCAAAAAGTGGGCGAAGAACATGAACAGACACTTCTCAAAAGAAGACATTTATGCAGCCAAAAAACACATGAAAAAATGCTCACCATCACTGGCCATCAGAGAAATGCAAATCAAAACCACTATGAGATACCATCTCACACCAGTTAGAATGGCAATCATTAAAAAGTCAGGAAACAACAGGTGCTGGAGAGATGTGGAGAAATAGGAACACTTTTACACTGTTGGTGGGACTGTAAACTAGTTCAACCATTGTGGAAGTCAGTGTGGAGATTCCTCAGGGATCTAGAACTAGAAATACCATTTGACCCAGCCATCCCATTACTGGGTATATACCCAAAGGACTATAAATCATGCTGCTATAAAGACACATGCACACGTATGTTTATTGCATCATTATTCACAATAGCAAAGACTTGGAACCAACCCAAATGTCCAACAATGATAGACTGGATTAAGAAAATGTGGCACATATACACCATGGAATACTATGCAGCCATAAAAAATGATGAGTTCATGTCCTTTGTAGGGACATGGATGAAATTGGAAATCATCATTCTCAGTAAACTATCGCAAGAACAAAAAACCAAACACCACATATTCTCACTCATAGGTGGGAATTGAACAATGGGAACACATGGACACGGGAAGGGGAACATCACACTCTGGGGTCTGTTGTGGGGTGGGGGGAGGGGGGAGGGATAGCATTGGGAGATATACCTAATGCTAGATGACGAGTTGGTAGGTGCAGCGCACCAGCGTGGCACATGTATACATATGTAACTAACCTGCACATTGTGCACATGTACCCTAAAACTTAAAGTATAATAATAAATAAATAAATAAATAAAAGAAAAACAAATGAGAAAAAAAATACATAGGGGCAGAGTGTGTCAACCAATTTCACTGAAAGAATCAAAATATGTCAAAGTTGGAAAGGCCCCCTAGAGATCATAAAACCTAGCTGCATTAAACAGAATACTATTCCTGCAAGAGATTCTGAATCAGGAGGTTTTCATGGAAAGTATGTGTAAAAACCTACATCATATTAACTTCCCCTCTAGAGGCCTCCAGATGACATTCACATGTTACAGGATCTTTATGATTGAAAGAAAACTGTAAGTATTGTTTAACTTAGGACATCCCAAACACATGTAGCCAATCACCCCTTTTTTTAGTAACAACTAGCAAAATATTAATGCATCTCAAATATACTCCAAGAAATACTAATTTAGTTAGATTTTCTCATTGTAAAGACCCAGAAAGATTTGTGAAATGCCTAAATCAACCAAACTGCTTAGTGGCAGAGCCAGGACTACAACTCAGGTATTAAACCAGCTTATAAGTCTGGAGCTTTCAACCACTCCTGCTTTCACTTGACTGGATGACTACTGTTTGTTCTTTCTTTCCTTCAGAAAGCCTTACATAAGGCTCAGTTATCTTCCCTTCATATATATTTCAGTGTGGCTGAAAGACAGATGGGGTAAAGAAAGAGAGAAAGAGAGAACCAAGAGAGTGAAGTGGTGGAGAAGCATATGCACTCAGAGATAAGTGACACAGTGAAGAACTAATGAGGGGCCAGATCATGAAGCGTCTTGTATCTCATGCAATGAAATTGATCTTTATCAATACAGCCATAGTAACACGTGGAAAGATTTAAGCAGGGGTGTTGTATAATTGGATTTGCATTATAGAAAAATTGCTCAGGGGAAAAATCCACACTGTCACAGAAGGAAGTTTCTATTGTGCTCAAATTTTTCTGGGGCTTAATTTCTATTCTCTTAACCAGTGTAGCCCCTGTTCTGAGTGTGGGACGATTAATCTAACAGGGCCTAAAGAGGAATTATGACAATCTAAATCACTCAGGGGTTAAGGTATAAGAGTCAGTATAACAAAATGGCACAGCTGACCCATAAGTAGTAACTTGAATCACCCGAGTCAGTACTTCAGGTGGAATAGTTCACAAAGAAACTCACACTTGTTATTTCTATAAGACAAGAGATTGGGACAGTGTGTTTCAAAACTGTTTTAAGTTAATAATGTTCTAACTAAAGAAATGAAAATTTTGGCCGGGCGCAGTGGCTCACGCCTGTAATCCCAGCACTTTGGGAGGCTGAGGCGGGCAGATCACGAGGTCAGGAGATCGAGACCATCCTGGCCAACACGGTGAAATCCCGTCTCTACTAAAAACACAAAAAATTAGCCAGGCATGGTGGCGGACACCTGTAGTCCCAGCTACTGGGGAGGCTGAGGCAGGAGAATGGCATGAACCTGGGAGGCAGAGTTTGCAGTGAGCCGAGATCATGCCACTGCACTCCAGCCTGGGCAACAGAGTGAGACTCCGTCTCAAAAAAAAAAAAAAAAAAGAAAAGAAAGAAAGAAATGAAAAATTTGAATTTTCTCTCATAATTTATTTGAACTTATCAGTCTTAGAATCGATTGTCCACCAAATTTTCTCAACCTCTTTCACCTCAAGACATACATTGAAGAAGCTCATTATCACAACTGTTTTGAAGACCCTGCAATAACTGTAATGTAGTGACCCTCATGACCAATCTACCTGAAGAATGTTCATTTTACAAGGAAGTATTGTCATGAAGGCGGCCAACTGTACTAGGGCCCTGTCCCACTTAATTGTCATGGAATCTATATGACTCCAATGTCATAGGACCATTCTTTGGTGCCTTAAATTCTTTGTCATCTTCAAGTTCCTATAAAATCCCTAATAATAATTACACAAGAAACAAAAATACTATGAATAATGTAGTACTTTCTATGTGCTAGACACCACATGCATTATCTCATGCATGTACAAAATGAGTTAGATACCGTTAATATTCCAATTTGACAGACGAGAAAATGAGCCCTTAGAAAGATTAAGTAAATTGCCCATGGTCACACAGTTGTTATACAGCACCTAGTATGTGCTTGAAACTGTGGCAGTCAATTTATAAGCACATCATTTAACCTTCAAACTGACCTACCAAAAGGTAACATTATTCATATTTCACAGATGAAGAAACTGAAGCTCAAAAAATAGATTTAAATTGCCAGTGGTTATACAAGTAGAAAGATGCAGAGGCAGGATTCAGATCTAGATTTCTCTGATTCTAAATCTGTATGCTGTGCTTAACCACTGGTAGTTTCCAGCTATTCCCTATAGAACTCCATGGCTCTGCGTGCCTGGATCAACATGACTATGGTAAAGGGAGGGCTTGGCAGGGATTGCAGAAGGGAGACTGTATTAGTCAGTTCTCATGCTGCTAATAAAGATATATCCGAGACTGGGTAAGTTATAAAGAAGAAGAGGTTTAATGGACTTACAGTTCCAGATGGCTGGGGAGGACTCACAATCATGGCAGAAGGCAAAGGAGAAGAAAAGTTGTGTCTTACATGGTGGCAGGCAAGAGAGTGTGTATAGGGGACTGCCTTTTATAAAACCATCAGATCTCATGAGACTTATTCACTATCATGAGAACAGCACAGGAAAAACCTGCCTCTATGATTCAATGACCTCCCTTCAGGTCCCTCACATGACACGTAGGGATTATGGGAGCTACAATTCAAGATGAGATTTGAGTGGAGACACAGCCAAACCAAATCACAGACGAAGGGATTATGCCCTTCTTTCCCACTCGTCTTATAATGGTGCCACTTGGGGTTTATCTGTTTTCTATTGTAGTGTTTAAGATTTCAAATGAAAAAAAATTCCTCTTTTTTCAAAAAGTTTTCAATCCATTGCTTCATGGTTTGTTTTTTTTTGTTTGTTTTTTTTTTTTGGTTTTGTTTTGTTTTGTTTGAGATGGAGTTTTACTCTTGTTGCCCAGACTGGAGTGCAATGGTGCCATCTCGGCTCACCGCAACCTCTGCCTCCTGGATTCAAGTAATTCTCCTGCCTCAGCCTCCCGAGTAGCTGGGATCACAGGCATGTGCCACCACACCCGGTTAATTTTGTATTTTTAGTAGAGATGGCATCTCTCCATGTTGATCAGGTTGGTCTCGAACTCCCAACCTCAGATTATCTGCCCGCCTGGGTCTCCCAAAGTGCTGGGATTACAGGCATGAGCCACTGCGCCCAACCACGTTTCTATCCACTAAAACTTTAACAGACATTAGTTGACAGTCATCCTTGAGCCAAAGAATTGGAAATCCAGAATGACACTGAGATCAGTGCAGCTATGAAGACTTGGTACTGAATCCAGCAGGAAAATATAGGGAATGAGGATTTTTATGAAGCACAAGGATCCCTTTTATTTCTCTCTTTCCTCCTGTGGTGATTCCAGTGTCTGATTCCATGAGCACAGAAAGAAGAGAGAAGCACTGTAAAGCTTACAGCAGCAATGTCAAGTTTCCTACCTGCGAATGTCTCAGTCAGCTTCAGACTCCAAGTCATGAAAGTCTCTCCAAGGCTGATCTTATGGATTAAAAGGTTACATCTTCCCTGTCCTAACCAGGAGCAGGAAGATGAGCCTCATGAAAACTAAATATTCTTTACTCTGCCTCAAGATGTTTACAGTAATAGAAATCAAATAGATCCAAAGACAATGTTTTCTAAATATAGTCTGTGGAGCCCATAAGTCACTCCTTGAAAAAAACGTTCCTTGAACAAGTGTTGGAAATGCTGCATAAGATATATGACTCAAAGATAGGGTGATCTATAATTCATTGTCCAAACTGGGCCATTTCTGAGTGACAAAGGGGATGTTATTAATAATTGCATTGGGGCAATAAGCACATACTAGAAATGTCCTGGGAAAATTAGGACCTGTGGTTAGTCTAATGTTTAATCAACGACTTTCCAAATTTATTTGGCTACCAAAAATTTTTCCCTTGGTAATACCTGCTAACATTATGAGAGACCAATATTCACAACCTACCTTGGAGGACATTAAACTTAGAAGTTTTATGAGAATCTGTATGAAATACAATAAACCTGTGTTTCCCAATCATTTCCTGTCAGTGCACACAAAGGAAGTAATTGTTAATATTTTTGTGCACAAAGAGATAAATGGATGAGGCTCCTTGTAGCCAAAAAGGGTATAGCCAAAAGGGTGGAGTGTGTGAGGGGATCACTATCTCAGCCCTCCTGTTATCCTCTGATACATATATAGGTCAGACACATAGATGAAAAAGCTGTGACCAAAACACACTGACAAGTGACCTCCATGTGTTTCCCTTCCTCGGAGACCAATTTCAGGTGATTAAGTTAAATAAAGGCAATGGGGGATTTGCAGGTTTTTCTGGCTTTTTTTTTTTTTTAAACAAAGTCTCGCTCTGTTGCCCAGGCTGGAGTGCAGTGGCATGATCTCAGCTCACTGCAACCTCTGCCTCCCGGGTTCAAGCAATTCTCCTGCCTCAGCCTCCTGAGTAGCTGGGATAACAGGCGCCTGCTACCACACCCAGCTAATTTTTGTATTTTTAGTAGAGATGGGGTTTTACCATGTTGGCCAGGCTGGTCTCAAACCCCTGACCTCAAGTGATCCACCTGCCTCAGCCTCCCAAAGTGCTGGGATTACAGCCCTGAGCCACCGCACCCGGCCTTTACTCGCTTTTTTAGCCTCCTCTTGGCCTTTTTTGTTGCCAAGGATTTGGGTCAGTGCTAAAAATCCTGAAAATGTTAAAAATGCAATAATTAACCTAACCGATTCAGACAATTTATTTCTGATTTCAAGACACTGAAAAATAAAAGTCACTTCCATGGAAAAATAGAATTCATTTTAGGTGTTTTGACATGGAGTCTAATACAAGGAGTTGGTTAAACAGGCAGTGGACAATTCAAAAAGCAAAAAGGGGAACACAGAGGTATCAGAAGATTGGCAGAGCTGGGCCTCAGAACTCTGAGGAGGGGACACTGCCCAAATGAGTACATCTAAGGGACACAGGGAGGCTGGTTCTGGAGCACTCAAAGAAGGTGAAGACTGGAACCCACTGCTGCTGCTTCAGTGAAGGGTCATTCCTAGAGTAATGTTGACAAGAACAGCAGGCAAAACTGAAAGGAGCAAGTCTGTTGTCCCATTTCACTGTCCTTCTCTAGTTCTCTCTTTTATCAGAACCTAATAGAGAGCAAGCAAAGATAAAATGTGATTTGTAGATTTCATGTCTAGCATCACAAGGAATGTAGAAGTGTAGCCCAGGGGACAGCAGCTTAATAACTGACCTACATTCCAACTGAGGGTGATAGAGAGAGGTAGGTAAGGTCACATTCATTCTGTGTCTACATCTCCTGGCTCCGGACCTGGGGAAGGAGCAGAAAGGGAAGGGGGTAGAGAACTGGATTGTGTGACCTCAAAATCACCATTATTTTGCCTTGGATTGTTTCTTCTCATCATTTAATCATGAAGGTCCTCCAGCCTTAGCAAGTTTTTGGGAAAACAACATGAATCCTAACTGAGTATAATGATTTTCAAAACTGTTTCCAGGAGTTTTTTTCCATGAAGGCCAGTGTAGAGACAACTGGAGTCTTTGGAATGTGAGGAAACCAAGCATGAAGCCCCGTACCTTTCTATTCTTCCAGGATCATTCTGAGGGCAGAGGAACACTGTGGAGATAGTAGAAGAGGAAGAAGCTCTCCTGCTCAGCCTCAAATAGGCAGATCTGAACCCACTGGCCTGAAGGCCCAGCTAACTATAAGGGTACCAGAGACTCAGAGAAAAACACATAAAGCCTGGGCATTAGAAAAATAACACTTAATTCTCCATCACTTTCCTCATGTGAATGCAATTACAAAAGGCCAATTGTTGACAAGTTTGTGTTGGTTAAGATGATTTGCCAAATGCCAGAACAGGGAAGTCTGAATTCCTTTGTTTAATCAAAAATTAGCTCTCCTCCTAAACTGATACCCTATTTAAAGCCAATAGAGAGAAACTAGAGTGTTTAAGGCACAAATGGCTAATGTCTGAAACTTCTTTTATAATTAAAAATATGCAAAGATTATTCATTTACATAAAAGAATGTATGGGTCACTTCACCACAAAATTGTGTTATGGCAAACAAACTATACGCTAGTAACTACTGGAGTTCTCAATGATATTTCACAGACTACCTACTAACTGGTCCATATCCTCACCAATTCCAGTAACTCATTTGGGAACATTTGAAAGACAGAAGGTGCTACATCTTCAGATACTGGATTTACCACCAACACCAGCAGATACTCCCTCCCAGAGACTCTTGACATAGATTGGCTCTCACATAGCTCTTGATAAGTCTAGGTCCAGTTAGCTCAATAACCCCACGGAATACACCTGGAGAGGAATTCTACTGAAATGAGAATTTAAAGTACTTGAGGTCATTACAAAGTTGCTTTGAAAATTTCAGTTCAGAAGAGAGAGGCAAAAGGGGAATGGAGGCAAGATGGTTTTCCACGTTGGAGAGAAAAAATGTGGGAAGTGTTCCAACTTTTTCTGTTCAGGAGGGAAAATAAATCATTTAAAAAGTGTTTTAACATTAGGTACTCATGGACATAAAGATGGCAACAATAGACATTGGGGACTAATAAACTGGGGAGGGAGGGAGCAAGGGTTGAAAAAGTAACCGGTGGGTACTATGCTCACCACCTGGGTGACGGAATCATTCATACCCCAAACATCAGCATCACGTAATATACCCATGTAACAAACTCCTATGTGTACCCCCTGAATCTAAAAAAAAGTTGAAATTATTTTTTAAAAAGTGTTTTAAGTGAGGAAACAATGTTTGAACGTTAGCCTCCTGCCAAATTGCTTTTACACTGTATTATTTATTTTATGATGATCATTTTGTCCCGTTAAGCTATTCAATTGAATGTCAGGAGCCATGCTCTTCAAGGAAACCTTTCAAAGCCTATTCCATGAAAGGTCACCCTCTGGTACCTTCCCCAAAGTTGCTGTGAAAGGAGGAAGGACAAAGGAATCCACTATACACTGACCAAGGAGAACGTGTTGCAGCGCTGCAATGAGCAGGAAAAATATGATGGGCCTCAGATTAAAGCTACTGTCTGAGATTATAAACTAATAAAAAACATTTAAAGCCAACAGACTCAGAAAGGTAATCTATCTTAATGGTTAAAAGCATAGGTACTTGGATAGTATGGGTTGATAGGTGCAGCAAACCGCCACAGCACATGTATACCTATGTAACAAACCTGCAGGTTCTGCACATGTATCCCAGAACGTAAAGTAAAATTTAAAAAAAAATGTAATCTCCGCATGTCGAGGAAGGGACCTGGTGGGTGGTGATTGGATTATGGGGGCAGTTTCCCTCATGCTGTTTTCATGACAGTGAGTGAGTTCTCATGAGATCTGATGGTTTAAACGTGTATGGTGGTCCCCCCAACTCCTGCCACCATGTAAAATGTACCTTGCTTCCCCCTTCGACATCCATCATAATTGTAAGTTTCCTGAGGCCTCCCCAGCCATGCAGAACTGTGAGTTAATTATACCTCTTTTATTTATAAATTTTTAAAAAAGAACAGGGCTTAAATCATAGCTTAAATCTTAAATCTTAGCTCCTTCACTTTTTTCCGAATGACCTTCTTAAGCTCTCTAACCCTCAGTTTCTCTATGTGTGAAATGGTATAATCCATATACTGGTACTATCTATGTACAACATTCCTTTTTTCTCCTGTACCAACTGTAAAGCAGGACACAGATTTGAGGCCTGATGGAATAAGTTTACAAAATAAAACATTTTCCTCCCCAAATCTCCATTAGATGTCTTTTTCCAAGTCTAACATCTCACAGCCAGTAGGTCTTCTTTTATGCTTAGCCTTCCCAATTTTGACTTCTCTCTTCCAGCATCATTATTCTTCTCTTTCTATCCCTTTCTTAGGCAGAGTGAAGTATCTCTGTCTAGGGTCTTCCAAACTCTCATACCCACACTTTGTTTGCTACTGACCAAACAAAGCACCTATCAGTTATTAGTAGGTCCGTTTATTAAAGGGCAGCAACAGATAATACTCAACATTTTTGCTGTCACATGTGGATAATTAGAGTAACTACTAAACAGAGTTATTGTGGGATTAAATGTGATAATGAATCTAAAGTGATTTGCACAGTGGCATTTAAGTGTTAACCAAATGTTCCCTGTTGCTGTGGTTATTATTTTGATCATTATTATTTAGTTTATGGACTCTTTCATTGAGCACACTTCTCCTGTGTCAGTGAAAATGATATGTGTCACAGATTTGTTTAATATTGTTGCTGCCTTGGCATTCATTTTTAGGCCTGACGTAGGTTGTTTCAAACCCGGTAGTACCCTGTCACCTTTGGCCTAGTTAAAACTCCCCGTCTCCATGTGGTTGTTTGCAATACAACCCAATATTTCCTCATCTCACAAATGCCAAACAACATACCTCACACTTGTTGACCACAATAAGACTTAATGGTCAACACCAGAATCTTGTAAATAAGTTACTCCTTTCATGAGTGTTTTCCTTAAACTTGCCAATCCACAACCTCCACAGCAAAGCCTACTAGATTACACCCAAGGACCTTAATAAAGGCCCAGTCCCACAGGTTCTCTCTCACTCTCTTTCACTCCTCACTCGTTAGTTGCACTCACTGCTGCCTCAGGACTTCCTGTCAGCTTCCTGTAGGTACCCCTCATCTTTCTGGGATGTGTGAAGAATAAATTTCTTCAGTGCCGTGCATTTTGGTTGCACTTCCTTATTCTCTCTCAATTGACAAACCCCCTGAACCCAACACCTTCCTTCACCACCATCAGGGCTCTCCTAAGGAGTGACACTCTCAAGAGAGAGACCTCAAGACCAAATTAGAAAAGAAATTTTAAAAGTATGGTGGAAAGAAAGTACTTAAGGTTTTAGTATAAAATTTTTTTTAGAAAAACACAAACTCAACAAATGAGATCCTGTATTTTTAAGGGAGGTCCACTTTGCCTGGACATTTGTGTCCTCTTTCCTTCCTGAATATTTGCAATTCAGTGGTAATCAAGTAGCAAAGTGGCTCAGGCACCATTCCCTATCTAGTGTTCTGGGGAAAAGGACATCATTCTACATCTTCTGAGAGAAATAAAATGAAACAATACTTATTGGGCTCTTACATTGTGATTAGTAAAGTACTAAATACTATGATTATTTAATACTTAAGAACACTCTATGAAGTAAGTGGTATTATTCCCCCATTTGCAATCGTAGTCTCCAGGATAATAATAAATCCTAATTTTGTTCCTTGGTTTGGATAAAACACCACCAAACCCACACCAGCCACAAAATCCCAACTATGATCAAATATCTCAAACTAGAAGAAAGAGAAAAAAAAGCTTTTCAAGGGTATATACAGTGTTTCAAAACATCTTGAAATCTGAAGTCTTTATAAAGGGATTTTCCTCATTTGCCAAAGGTTTTGCTTTGTCATAGACACCTTGTCACAGCTGTTGTATTGTCAAAAATAAATAAAAGAACTTCCTAGCTATTAACGTTGCCTCCCTTGATCTTTATCTATTTACATCCATGGAAAATAGAGAGGCTGAGTGACGGAAGCCCCTCTGCCAGGAGTGCACATCTGTTAGCAAAACTATGTCTGTATCTCAGCCAGATTTCTCATTCTTCATCGCTTTTCTCTCCAACTAACTACCGCACAAGACAAGAAGTCACAGGAACTCTGACCCTAGGCTTTGCCTGGTCAGGGACTTACAGTTCACTACTTCTCTTTTTAAACCAGCATCAAGAAAGGAGCCTAGAGATGATTGCTTTCACCCTCTCACTTAGACCATGTTCTCAGCACCAATCCATTCCAACATATGCCCAGAAGCACCCCTTTCACACAGCTCTTAGGAGAAGTAGAAGCATCAGGTTTTAAGTATGAAGGAGAGGGGACTTAGATTTTGGAGTGGATGAATTTGGGGTACCTGTGAGGCAAGTTTGGACTCAGGTTACAGCTCTGAGTCAAAGACAC
This sequence comes from Homo sapiens, assembly GCF_000001405.40. Lineage (NCBI taxonomy): Eukaryota > Metazoa > Chordata > Mammalia > Primates > Hominidae > Homo > Homo sapiens. Next base: position 114,987,769 of record NC_000023.11, read on the forward strand.
AGAAATGAGAGGTGGTACCCAAAGCCAACAGAATGGATGAGGATATAAATGAAGAAAGGGAAGCATAAATGAAGAGAAAGGGAGAGGAGGGAAGGGGTAGTGTTCAAAACAGACCTCTGGGATCTGGCTACTTAGCAACAGCAGGGGTAAGGGAAGATTTGTTAGGCAGGTAAGCAGAGAACACACTGCCCATCTATTTATTTAGCTCTCTGTCTGCAAGCTGTTGGCTTGTCAGTACTTGAGGAGGTAGGCATATGAACTCTATCATCAATGGTATATTTTGTATTGTTTCATATACTGACTGTTGTCTCACTTCTGTACACCTTTTTTAATGCTTGGGGAATCTGAAGGACAGCTTGTTTTTCATTCAGTCTCATATTGAATCACAGATTTTTGGTTAAGCAGGCAGTAAACAAATCTAAGCCTTCATGTGCCCAGGACATACAAATGCCTCCCCTTAATGCCTATATTCTCAGGGTTAACATAACCTCATTCAGTCCTCAGGGTTAACATAACCTCATTTGAACAGGGCTTGCAAGCCATTCATATGTCTCATATTGTTTTGTTCCTGGAATAGTCTCTTGAGAGATGTAACTAACTGTGGTCTAAAAGAGTAGTTCAAATAAATTTGGAAATGCTGAATTCTATAATCTGAGAGTCACACAACATATTAGTATAATAATGGCTCTGACAAGTCTGCAGTTAAAAAATAAAAACATAAAATATAATAAATGAATAAAAATAAATATGAAAATATAAAAATAAAAAATTTAACTTCACTTAACTCAGAATTTCCCAAGTTGTTCGATCCCAGAAACCCTTTCTCCATGGAATACTTATGTCTGGAGGAACAAAGTTCTACAGAGCACATGTAGGTATTTTATTAATCCAAAGACCCCTTTCTAACATGGACTACAAAATCCATCTTACAACTGGGGAAACTAGTCTGCACTTAAAACTGTTCTCATTTTTGTGGAAATTGCTACATGGTACATCCAGTTAAATAATATGGTCAGTGGTATATAGTGGCCAGAGAACTGAGGAGGGATGGAGGAAAGTTTCTGTTATGGAAGAGAGCAAACGTCACTGGCCCATATTGGAGTACAGCCTTTGCCTTTGGCCTCATTAACACTATGCTCTCCCCAAATAGCCAAAGCAATCATAAGCAAAATGAAAAAATCTGGAGGCATCATATTGCTGGATTTCAAGTTATACTACAAGGTTATAATTACCAAAGCAGGATGGAACTGGTATAAAAGTAGTCACATAGACCAACGGAACAGAATAGAGAACCCAGAAGTAAAGACAAATATGTACAACCGATTGACCCTTGAAAAAGCATACAAAAACATAAATTGGAGAAAAGACACCATATTTAATAAATGGTGCTGGGAAAATTGGCCAGTCACATGTAGAAGAATGAAACTGGATCCCTATCTCCCAACATATACAGAAATCAACTCAAGATGGATCAAGACCTGAAACCATACAAATTCTGGAAGAAAGTCTAGCAAAAACTCTTCTGGGCATTGTCCTAGACAAAGAATTCTTGACTAAGACCCCAAAAGACCCCAAAAGCAAAGGCAACAGAAACAAAAATAAATAAATGGGATCTCGTAAAATTAAAAAGATTCTGCACAACAAAAGAAATAATTTTGAGTAAAGAGACAAACCACAGAATGTGAGAAAATATTTGCAAACTATGCATTCAACAAAAGACCAGTATCTGAATCTATGAGGAACGCAAACAAATCAGCAAGAAAAAAAAAACAAATAATCCCATCAAAAAGTGGGCAAAGGACATGAATGGACATTTATCAAAAGAAGACAATCAACCAACAAACATTTGAAAAAAATGTTCAACGTCACTAATCATCAGGGAAATGCAAATTAAAACCACAATGAGATACCACCTTACTCCTGCAAGAATGGGCATAATTAAAACGTCAAAAAACAATAGATGTTGGCATGGATGTGGTGAAAAGGGAAGACTTTTTCACTGCTGGTAGGAATGTAAATTAGTACAACCTCTATGGAAAACAGTATGGAGATTCCTTAAAGAACTAAAAGTAGATCTACCATTCCATGCAGCAATCCCACTACTGGGTATCTGCTTAAAGAAAACAAAGTCATTATATGAAAAAGACACATGGATACATATGTTTATTGCAGCCCAATTCACAATTGCAAAGGTACAGAACCAACTTAAGTGCCCATCAAACACCATGGACTACTACTCGGCTATAAAAAAGGAATGAAGTTATGTCTTTTGCAGCAACTTGGATAGAGCTAGAAGCCATTATTCTAAGTGAAGTAACTGAGGAATGGAAAACGAAATACCATTTTTCTCACTTATAAGTGAGAGCTAAGCTATGAGGACACAAAGGCATACAGTGTGATATAATGGACTTTGGAGACTCAAAGCGGGGAGGATGAGAGGAGGGTGTGGGGTAAGAAACTACATATTGGGTACAATGTACACTACTCAGGTGATGGGTGCTCTAAAACCTCAGAATTCCACCACTATATAATTCATGCATGTAACCAAAAACCACTTGTACCGCAAAAGTTGTTGAAATAATAAAATATTTTTTAAAAATTCCTTTCCTCGGAGGATTTAGGTGAAGGGAGAGCCTCAGGAAGAATAGCTAATGCATGCTGGGCTTAATACCTAGGTGTTGGGTAGATCCATGCAGCAAACCATTATAGCACACATTCACCTATGCAACAAACCTGCACATCCTGCACAGGTACCTTGGAACTTGAAATAAAAGCTGAAGAAATAAAAAACCACTATATGTTCTCAACAGCTGAATGAACTAACTTCAGACAGAATAATACATACATCAGCAGCATGAAATTTTTCAGTGACCTCCCCTGTTCTTTCAACATGGACTTATTATTACATAGTGGAGCACTTTTGATTCTGGAAAATCACTTTTCAAACTAATGGTACTTGCTACAGAAAACACCTTACAAATACCTTTTAATTTAGCACTTGAGAAAGTACAAATGTGTACTTCAGCTATCTTTCTTAGCTGGTGCTATGATCTGGTGGTTAGGGCATGAGGGCCTAAACACAAATGAGATTAGTGCCTTTATAAAAGAGGCCCATGGGAGACTGTTTTCCCTTTCCATCCAGTGAGGACACAGCAAGAAGTCTCCATCTATGAACCGGGAAAATGGTCCTCACCAGACACTGAATCTTGTTGGCACCTTCATCTTGGACTTCCCAGCTTCCAGAACTGTAAGAAATAAATTTTGTTGTTTATAAGCCACCCAGGCCATGGGATTTTATTCAGTATCCCGGATGAACTAAAATAGCTGGTATCATATTGTGAGCAATATTTTGCCTTAAACATCTTTTTTGCTTCATTAGTTTCAAATTCTAATTACCCACAGCGAACGTGAGTTGCAGACCAAGTTTCTTCAAAATCAGCAGCTCAGGCAATTGTTCAACGTAAGATATTTTGTTAAAACCGCAAGAATTTTATCTGTACCTTAAATGATCAGATAGCATAGCCTAATTTTCTGACCAGTGGAGGAAATCAATGAAAAGCATTTCATTCATGCTTATACATCTTCCTTTATAGATAAAAGGTTTTAACTCTTTCTGGACACTATGGGAACATTTACTGAGCCCTTACTTGTTTGCTGTAGGATAGTATAGTGAATACAGCTCTAAAGTAAAGGACTGGCTTGTAGTCCCCTCTAATACTGACTTACTAGGTAATTCTCCCAGTCACATAATTTTGCTGTTTTCCAACTTCCTCCTCAATTGCTATGTTATATATAAGTTTCCCAGAACAGTTTAAATCTTACAGCTCACTCTTCCAACTACTTTACTTAACTGTAAGATAGAGTGCTCATGGAGATGACCAAAGCCTGGAATATTCTTGGGCATTCTACAAAAGACTGTAGCTCTCTTTATGATGAGAAAAAAAGGTTTAAATTTTCTGCTTCTCAAAGTATAATCTTTTTGGATTTGACTCTGCTAATTTACCCTTTTTGGGAATGTTCTGCATACAATCTACACAATAAGAAGCACCAAGAACGTCCACCTGTTTAGCAGGAGACAACTTCCAACTAACCATCCCTCAATAAATATACAAAAAACTATATGAAACTCAAAAATAAACCTCATACTTCATGCAAAATTTCACTCGAAATGTGTCATAGGTTTAAATTTTAATGTAAAACTATAAACTTTGAGAAGGTAAAATAGGAGAAAATCTTCTCCACCAAGAGCTTGGCTGGGAGTTCTCAAACATGACACCATAAACATAATCTACAAAAGGAAAAATTGATAGATTAGACCTCATCAAAATTAAAATGTTCTGCTTTATGAAAAGCCCTGTGAAGAAGAGGAAAAGACACCCTACATGCTGGGAGAAAATATTTGCAAACCGTTTTTCAGATATGAAAAAGGTTCATGTCTGAAACCTTGAAAAAGTTTCAAGACATGAAAAAGGCATGATGTCTGGAGTAAAAAACTATCAACAGTCAACCATAAGAAAACAACCAAATTAAAATATAGGCCAGAAATGAAAGACATTTAACCAAATAAGATCTAAAGATGTCCAATAAGGACACGAAAAGATGTTCAACATCACTAGACAATACGGGAATGCAAATAGAAACCACAATGACATGTCACAACACACCTATTTGAATGGCTAAAATAAAAAATAGTGATAACACCAAATTCTGGAGAGGATACAAAGAAACTGCATAACCCATACATTGCTGGTAGGAATGAAAAATGATATAAGAATTCTGGAAAATAATCTGGCAGTTCATTATAAAGCGACATATGCAATTACCATATGATCTGGCGATTGCACTCTTGGACATTAATCCCAGAGAAATGAAAACTACATTGAAAAACCTATATATGGATATTTATAGCAGCTTTATTCATAATAACCAAAAACTAGAATCAGTCCAGATGCTCTTTAGGGGGAAAATGGATAAAACAACTGTAGCACATCTATACTATGGCATTTATCAGCAATAAAAAAGAACAAGCTATTGACACACACAACTTAGTTGGACCTCTGGTTAATTATGCTGAATGCAAAAAGCCAACATTAAAAGTTACATAGTATGTGAATTCATTTATATGACATTCTCAAAATGATAAAATTATAAAGAGAGGAATAAATTAGTGGTTTGCCAGGGGATAAGGATTCAGCTGGGAAAAGGAGAGGGGAGGTGTGGCTATAAATAGCTAGCACAATGGATCCATGTGGTGATAGAACAGTTTTATATGTTGATATATTGATTGTGGTCTATGCATGTGATAAAACTGCATACAATTACACACACATGAGTGCATGCAATGTAGATGCTCCTCGTTTTATGATGGGGTTACCTCCTCATACACCCATCCTAAGTTGAAAATATCATAAGTCAAAAATGCATCTAACCCACCGACCATAACATCTTAACCTAGCCTACCTTAAACATGCTCAAGACACTTACATTAGCCAACAGTTGGGCAAAATTATCTGGCAACACAGTACCCTGTAGAGTATTAGTTGTTTACCCTTCTGATAGCATGGCTGGGATAACTGGGAGCTGCAGCTCTCTGCTGCTGCCCAGCATCATGAGAGAATGTAATACTGCACATTGCTAACCCAGGAGAAGATCAAAATTCAAAATTCAGTGTATGGTTTATACTGAAGACATATCACTTTCATACCATCATAAAGTCAAAAAATCATAACTTCAACTGTAGTAAGTTGGGGATTACCTGTACCGGTGAAATCTAAATAAGTTATGTAGACTGTACCAATGTTGGGTTTTTTTGTTTTATTGTTATATTATGGTTATGCAGGATGTTGTCATTAGAGGAAACTGGATGAAGAATGCTCAGGACCTCTTTTGCATTATTTTGGAAATTTTTGTGAATCTTTATTTAAAAAAGAGTTGCATTTTGTATTAGTCAGGGCTGTCTAGAGAGACAGAACTATGTATATATATATATATATATAGAACAATATAGAACTATATGTATATGTATATAGAACTATATAGAGAGACAGAAATATATATATATCATAGAAATACATATATATCATAGAAATATATATATATATATCATATAAATATATATAGGAGTTTACTAAGGAGTATGAAACTCCCACAATAGGCCGTCTGCAAGCTGAGGATCAAGGAAAAGAGTCCATGTCCCAAAGTGGAAGAACTTGAAGTCCGATGTTCAAGGGCAGGAGGTATCCAGCATGGGAGAAAGATGTAGGCTGGGAAGTTAAGCCAGTCTAGCCTTTCATGTCTTTCTGCCTGCTTATATCCTGGCCACACTGATAGCTGATTAGATGGTGCCCACCCAAATTAAGGGTGGGTCTGCCTTTCCCAGTTCATGGACTCAAATATTAATTTCCTTTGGCAACATGCTCACAGACACACCCAGGATCAATGCTTTGCATCCTTCAATTCAATCAAGTTGGCACTCAATTCAATCAGGTTGACCCTCAAGTTGAACCCATACACATCCCCTGAGATCATACATAATTTTCAAATAAAGACAACAATAAGGTCATAATTATGCCTAACGTAATACAACTATCCTTCATACAACCAGAAATGCATCAATCTCCACCCAAATGCCATTACACAAAGTTAACAATACTTAAATGCTGATATGAAGTCAAAAAATCGTATTTCACATGATAAAGGAAAAAAGAAATAAAATGAAGATTTTTTTAGTACAACTGTATACATGCACAAAAATGTTTTTAACAACAGAAGGGGGAAATACTCATGATAATTACATTCCTCATTCCTGAAAATGGTCATGTGGTCATAGCTGGTATTGATGACTACCTTCTTCTACTACCCATTCTGTATTCCCTTTGCCTTCAGCAAGCACCTCTGCAGGTTGTGGTTTATTTCCTGGTGGAGTGATGCAAATCTTCATTCCTGAATGGTCTGGGCCATTTGTAGTCCTGCCTGGTTTGGGCTGTTGTAGTTTCCCATTGACTTTAATCACAGGGCATGGTAATACTTAGAGATGCCCTAATGGATCTCCTGTATTCCGTGCATACTCTTCCTTACCTCCGTTATAGAGTAGTAGACTGATTTCATCTTGCTACTCCAGGTCAATCACCCAAGCCAACACTGTAACTCCCTTCTTAGCCTATTGACTTAAAGGTAGGAGGATCCCAAAGTGTCAAGGTGGCAATCTTAACTTTCAGTTTAATGGAATCATTGTTGCATCTCCTTGTGGCGCATTCCTCCCTCTGGAACTAAGACCTCTAGGCTAGCAGAACGTAACGTCGTGGGAACAGGAAGGAAAGATTTTGCTAGTGGATCACTAAGGGTGATGGTGGGTGGTGCCACTTCTACTTCCACCCCTTGATTCCTGGACCCATGAATCCTGGCTATGAGAGAAACAGTACCATATATTGGATGCTGATTCATAGCATACATAGCCTTCTGAAGAACTTCACCCTAAGTGTGCAAAGTATTGTAATCTAGTTCATGTTGTAAGTGTTATTTCAAAAGGCCATTCCACCATTCTATCAATCCAGCATAAGCCCAGGGGCCTACTGGACCCAATGTAAGTCAGACATGAGCTAAAACTCCATTAATTACCTGACCTCCATAAGCCCGTACTTTACCTGGAGGACCACAGTGATGTTTTGGGTCCCCTGGAATCAATGTCAGCTCAGAGCCTGTATCCAGTAGTCCCTGAAATGTCTAATCATTTCCCTTTCCTAATGCACAGTTACCTGGGTAAAAGGCCAGAGGTCTCCTCAGAGAAAGATGGGAGAAAGATTAATAGCATAAATTGTCGGTAGTGTAGCGGGATCCTTCCTTCCCAAATGCCTTCATTCAAGAGATTCTGGGTCTGTAAACTGACTGAACTCTGTTGATTGAGGGGCCATGATTGTCTGTTTTTATAACTCAAATTACTCTTTTGTCCATTCAACCTGGAAGTTTTCTGCTTATATAAATTAAGTAGGAATGCAGTAGGCTGCCTATCAATTTCACTTCTACGAACACTGTGTTAAATTAGTGAATGCCAGAGCTCTACATGAGTCTGACTATTCTGATTCCTGCTTTGCCTTTGCTGTCCATTAAGGTAGCTACACCAACCTTACCGTTGACAGTTGAGTGCCACCACTTGACCCCTGTCACATCAGGATCCAATTATTCCCATTGTATTTAAATTTTGTAGTTGAGTGACTGTGATTCCTACTATTAGATCTCACATACAGAGAAGAGCAATTACAGGGCTCTTCAGTGATGTACTTGCTGCCCTCACAAACCTATTTTACGAGACATTGGTGAAGGGTGTATCTTCTGGACCTTCCCAGCTGGGATGAGTAGGTCTAAAATAACTAATCCACTCCACCATCCCAAACTTCATAAGCCTTTGATCCCTTCCTCTACATTAAATGAAGGTAGATCAGGCATTTCCAGTTCGCTCACAATGGGCCATCTTTTAACCCCTATTTCAGCTAACCAAGCAAATAAACTATTAGTACCTTTTTTAACTCCCCGAGCTGCAACATTAAATGCAGAATCCTTACTTAGTAAGCCCAAATCAATAAATTCAGCCTGATCCAACTCTGTGTTCCTTCCACTATTATTCCACACCCTTAATATTCATTCCCATGCCTGTTCTTCAGATTTCTGCTTATATAAATTAGAAAACTCAAGCAGTTATTTTTGAGTGTAATGCACCGCCTCATGGGTCACACTCTGAATCTCACCTCTAGGGGCCTGCTGGGACTTTAGTCTAGTTATAGGTCTAGAAGCAAACAGGGGTGTTTAGTCTAGTTATAGGTCTAGAAGCAAACAGGGGCAAGATAAAGTTGATGCAGGCAAGAATCAACTTTATCTTGCCTGGCAACTGCCTCAGGGGAAGCCATCACTATTTCCTCAGGCAGCTCAGGGATTATCTCCTCAGACAAAGGTGGAAAGGCTGATGGCAGCATGGGTTGGAGAGTGGATGCTACAACTACTGGAGATGGGGAAGCTGTTTCTTCTGGCAAAAAAAGTTTCATCAGAGTTTACAAGCTCAGTGTCCTCAGCTTCATCAGGGTCCTCCCACACGTCCCCATTCCAAGATGCAGGGTCCCATTCTTTTCCAATCAATCCCCTCACTTTAACAGTAGACACCTGGCAAGGCTGTGCATGCACCTTTCATTGTAGGTCAGCCACTCGCATGATAAGAGTTTATGTCTGATTTTCCACAATTGCAGCTCTTTCTCTACAGGAGATAAGACTCCACTCAGAGCAATCTTAGAATATTTGAGGCTCAGTATCTGCTTCTGAAGCCAGGAGTTATAATCCCTTACTTAATTATTTTCTTTCATCACTTTGTCCACTGAACTTAGGAGCAACCAACCAGCTTCATTATGTTCCTTGGTTCTCCACGTATGGTCAAAGGTATTATGTATAGAGTCATTAAACTTGCCTCTCACAAGCAGTGAATCAGATATGTCAAATGCACTTATTTTGCATAACTCTCTAAACTGTTCATGCTAAAGACTCTCAGTGTTCCCCATACTATTAGAAGTAGAGCCCTTAGCATTATGGGGTCTAATCATGTCAAGCAGCCCACTCCAGAAATCCCAAAACCAATGAAAGAACTCCATTCTTAATATTCTCTTCCTCTAGAACCAGTTCTGGTACCAAAATCTGTATCAGTCAGAGTCTCTAGAGGGACAGAACTAATAGGATAGATATACATATGTAAAGAGGAGTTTGTTAAGAAGTATTAAACTCAAACAATCTTATAAAGTCCCACAGTAGGCCATCTGCAAGCTGAGGAGCAAGGGGAAGACAGTCCGAGTCCTGAAGCTGAAGAACTTGAAGTCTGATGTTTGAGGGCAGGAAGCATCCAGTATGGGAAAAAGATTTAGGCTGGGAGGCTAAGCCAGTCTAGCTTTTTCACATTTACCTGCCTGCTTATATCCTGGCCATGCTGGCAGCTGATTAGATGGTGCCCACCCAGATTAAGAGTAGGTCTGCCTTTCCCAGTTCACTGATTCAAATGTTAATCTCCTTTGGCAACATGATCACAGACACACTCATGGTCAACACGTTGCCTCCTTCAATCCAATCAAGTTGACACTCAGCATTAACCATCACCCACTTAGAACATTAAAACATTTCATCATGGAATACAAGGCCCCCCAATACCTGATTCCTACCTTTAAATCACGTGACAGTATTCTCTGCCATGAATAACACTCCAACAACACTGATGTATTTTTAGTTCTAAAGTACCAGCATTTTCCCACAATAGTTACCTCATATTTGCTCTGCTCTCAGATTAGTACCTTTTTCCTGCTACTCCTTCCATGTCTCACTTCTTTTTATTTTTCAAGTTTCCTCTGAGAGATTTTTCCTAGGCACTTTTAAAAAATACTGCTAGTTTTGTTGTATTTTTTTTTTCAAGATGACTGACTAGGGGCATTGGATGCCAGTTTTTCTCAGAAAGAAGATCAAAGGTACTGGTGAATTGGCAAGTTCAGAATATAAAGCTGAGGGAAGAGTGTTACAAGCTGTTGAAAGCCTATGGGAAGAAGTTGCGATGCCGAAAAGGAAAGCAACAACAGTCTGGCAGAGATCAACCCCCAAAGAACTTGAAGACACGTGGAAAGGGTAGGTGGGGCTGCTTCTCTGCTCCCCTCACCCCTATGACAGTCTGATGACCACCAAACTGTTGGAGAGCCCCTGTGCCCTTGTGACCATGGACAACACTGTCAGTGGCAATTTGGAAACTTCCTGCAGACAGAGAACTGGGTGGACAGCTCATGCAAGCACGCCCATACTTCCCTCAGACCTGTACTGAGATGGAAGGTATCATACTGGCTGTGCACTCATGGTGGGCCACTGCTCTGCCCCGGGATTCTCTGCCCTTGAATCACCATACCACCAGATCGCCTACAAATATGCCCCACAAGCCAGTCTGACTCTGGCAAGCACAGGGGACCAACAGTTCCCTGAGGAGTTGCAGGTCCCCCTGGAGATCTAGTTTTAGGTAGGGGCCACCCATAAGGGAGAGTAGCACAGCCCACCAAAGTCCCCCTTGGGACAAAGGAAACACAGGTGTGGCACCAGTCTCAAGAGGAGAGGAATTTACCCAACTTACAAGTATTTGAGGATAAAAACCCATGGCTGGGCTCGGCTTTAAAAAAGTCTTATTTGAGATTCCTTTTACAGAACAAAGTTCCATCAAAGTCAATTTTAAAAAGCCTATATGAAGGCTGGGCATGGTGGCTCATGTCTATAATCCCAGCACTTTGGGAGGTCAAGGTGAGCAGATCACCTGAGGTCAGGAGTTAGAGACCAGGCTGGCCAATATGGTGAAACCATGACTCTACTAAAAACACAAAATTAACAGGGCATGTTGGCACATGACTGTAATCCCAGCTACTTGGGAGGCTGAAGCAGGAGAATTGCTTGAACCTGAAAGGCAGAGGTTGCAGTGAGCTGAGATTGTGCCATTTCACTTCAGCCTGGGTAAAAAGAGCAAAATTCTGCCTCAAAAAAAATTTTTTTTGAAGCCTATATGAAAAACAATTATTCTTGCTGCACTTTATACAAATAATCAGGCCAAGCATAATATAGCAAATCAGTCTTATCACGATTTGTCTTTAGTAAAATTCAGTGACTGGAGAGAGAAAAAAATTATGTTCAAAAACTATGGTACACCTGGTATTAGACTCTATTCTTATCAGTTGTTTTTAAGGTTTTTTTTCTGCAACTTTGACTATTTATTCTTGTGAACCAATCAGTGATCTCTGCAGCTCAGAAGAAACAAGAGGGATGGATAATGTAAAAATCCAGATCAGTATTCTAATCCTGGACATGTATTATAATCAGATAGCAATCCCATATCAGCTTGGTTCCAACAATTGCCCAATTCATGGAAAGCCTTTTTACTTGGGCTAATTTTACTTATTTTGCTTTATTGTTGTGAAATATATTGCTGTTGTACTCTTTGTGTAGGAATGCAGGATAAGCTTACTCAATGTTTTCTTACATTGAACACTTATTAATCTTTCAGATATCACCTTTTGTCGGAACTCAGATTTATGAATGGCCCTCACCATACTGACTCTTTCTGACTGAGCTCCTCTCTACCCCAAATACAAGAGATCCTAATAGTTAGGCAGAAATATCATCACCCCTACTCAGCCTGAAGAAGTTGCAGACGAGGGATCTTCATCCCTCTACAACCCTCAGGATTGAGGTTTCCCTTGTAAAAGGGAGGGGGAAATATGTCAGAGGTATTTTAACCAGAGTGACTCCATCTTGAATAGGGACTGGGAAAAATAGGGCTGAGACCTACTGGGCTGCATTCCAAGGAGGTTAGGCATTCTTAGTCACAGGATGAGATAGGAGGCCAGCACAAGATACAGGTCACAAAGACTTTGCGGATAAAACAGGTTGCAATAAAGAAGCTGACCAAAACCTGCCAAAACCAAGATGGCGACGAAAGTAACGTCTGGTTATCCTCACTGCTCATTATACACTGATTATAATGCGTTAGCATGCTCAGAGACATTCCCACCAGCAGTTTTTTCCTCTATTCTAATGTCACAATCTCCAAAGTGATTAGAAACCTGCATTCAAGAACACCTGTTAGAATTGTATAGCTGGCGATAAAACCACCTTCTAAAGAGGCCCAAAACAAGACAACAATTGTCCATGGATGACAAACAGTTTTAGTTAGGACAGCCACTATTAAAGCCACAATTGACAGGGAAATTTTTGTTACTTCTGTGGCATACAACAATTTTACGTAACAATTATAGCCATTGACAGCATACACTAAGTCATATGGGTTTTATACCAAATAAACCAAATGATGTTATTTTTGGACTTTAGGGGACCTAATGTCTAAAAGATTAATTAGGTCAGAAAAAGACATAATTTATTACTTAATTTTGGAAAGTTTGCCAGATATCAAATCCCAGGTTACCAGCGTAAGTCACCCATTTAGCCAAAATAACTAAAAAATTTTAAAAAGGCAAAAACCTTTACTCATTAATTGAGGGAAGGCTTAGCTTTCCAAACAATTTGTCTCTTTTCTTCCCTTTCTTTTTCCTGTGCTGCTTTTTGTAGCCATGTACTGAACATATGAGCCAAAACACTATCTCCTGCAGGGCGTGGAGATAATGGTGTGGAGGTCTCAGGAAGCTTACCTTGTGCATTAGCACTATGCCCTCCTGGAAGCAGGTTATTTGGTGGTGCATTTCAGGCTTCATTCCAGTACGTGGCTCTTAAGAGTAAGAGCCAGCTTTTCCTCAGGTAGGCTAATTAATGGAAACACCTGCCCTGATGGGGGGTGGGGCAGGTGGTGGTGGTAGGGAGATTATGTCAGGGTGTGCTGAGGTCTCAGTTTTAGGGGCAGGAAGATGGGAGTGCACCAGCTCTTCATCCTGAGCAGGCAGGAAAGTGATCTTCCTATCATGCCACTGTTCCAGGGCTCATGATCTTCAGTTTGAATAGACTTTGTCTTTGGCTTCTGGCCTAAGGATATGAGGCACAGATAGACCCCTCTGGCAGCTACTGTTACCAGTGGTGAACCCATATGGGTCTGCAGCAACCTCAATTCTTGCCTCCTCAGAAGAAAGAATTTGACTGAAGGGCATAAGGCTGAAGAAGAGACTGAGGCAAGTTTTAGAGCAGGAATGAACATTTATTAAAAAGCTTTAGAGCAGGAATGAAAGGAAAGTAAAGCACACTTGGAAGAGGGCCAAGCAGCCAACTTGGAGGTCAAGTGCCCTGTTTGGCCTTGGACTTAGGATTTTCTGTGCTGGCTTACTTCTGGTGTCTTGCATCCTTTTCTGGTGGAATACCCCTGGACGTGATATACCAGTTAAATTCTGCCATTTTGCTTTTAATGTGCATGTGTAAGCCCACGCGCCCAACTCCTGAAGATCTTATCAAAAGGGGCTGATCACCAGCTTCATGTGTTTCCTATCTATAGCGAGACTGCCTTTCCCCGGTGCTGGCTATGACCAATTATTATTTTAGAGGGACAGTTAACAACTGCCTGACCATCAGCTGATGGTCACCTGACTTTTCTGGCGGGGTGAAGAGGGAGCCCTCTCTTGCCTTCTCATGCCTGACTAGCTACCTACTGTAACACTATCACCAAAATGAGCTTGGGGCAGAGCTTCCTCCTCCAGTCTGACAACTCTTGTGGTTTGTTTGCCTTCCATTGCCAAGCCACTGCCATTCTGTGTAGGGAGGGTGAGTTGGGCCCCATCCTTCATGCAAGCCCAAGTTGTTTGGGCTCCTTTTCAGTGGGGATGGGGCTACCATGTGAATACAAAAAGCACTTTCTTCAAGTGCATATGCACTGGCGCCCAGTTCAGAGAACCTCTGTTGTGTCCAAAACAGTGGACTGGGGGAGTGAGAGTTGACCCCTCTCTCCAAATCCATTCCTGGCTGCTTTGTGCAGGGCCCAACTATATCCGGATTTGGTGCTACTTGATTCCATTTTGTTGGGGCAATTCTGATTGGGGCTTCTAGGTTTATGGTAGAGAGGCCAGAATTCCTTTAATTAGTAGGGCTTGTTGTGCATGCACTAAACAAGGGAATTGGAAGAGTAGGTTGCCAAGATGCATGCAGCCTCCCAGGATGAGGTTGCCTACCATATCTCTACCTCACCTTGACCTCTCCACATCACATTCCTCCGTCCTTCCCTACACCCTTCAACTCACTAAGAACAACTTTAGCAAGATCTAGTTTGACAGCAATTGCCAATCACATTGCATCTTAATTTACACTATCACAGGAGTTTTAATGTTTAACAAGGACAAGTCTACTTAGGGAAATGGCAGTACATCCTACCATTGATTACAAGTGATAGTAAAGGATGGTATTGTGGTTTACACTTCAGTTTTAGCTTTTTTCATCTTTTAGAGATGATCAGTGGCAATGATGAGCACAGCTGTGGCTACCCTTCCCAGGAGCTTACCTCCTCTGCATTATATTATTTTAGCATTTTTTATTCTAAAATACTGCTATAAATCAGTGTTTTTCAAATTGAAAGTGCAAATGAATCATCTGGGAATGTTCTTAAAATGCAAATTGCTAACTGAGTAGGTCGGGGTTGGAGCAGTTCTAATAAGCTCCCAGGTGATGGCCACTCTACTATGAATAGTATTGAATAGAAACTAGTCCAAACGGAAGCTTGGCTCTTGATTGTAATCTACAATCCTGATTGGAGTCCATTATTCCCTAAGTTTTAAAGGAATTATCGACACCTAGGTTGTGACATACCCTGAAGGTTGATTGTCCTTTTAGAAAGCTTCTTACTAATTTCAGATGTTTGTACCTTTTGGTCCGTGAACCAAAAACACACACCATCAGAAAGTATAGGGAAACTCTCAAGTTTTACTGTGTAGTTTGTGACTTCCAATTTTTTCAAATATGATTCCTAATCATCTTACTACTTTTAGCTTTTTAAGCACTGCATTCTTCACACATTTTTCTTCATGAAATGCAAAGAATATACTTAGGACTATGAATGTATTTAAAATTCTTGCTTCCTAATACTTTTCACAGGTTACTTTTAAAGCAAAACGATTTTTTTTTTTTTGAGACAGAGTTTCACTCTTGTTGCCTAAGCTGGAATGCAATGGCATGATCTCGGCTCATTGCAACCTCCGCCTCCCAGGTTCAAGCGATTCTCCTGCCTCAGCCTTCTGTGTAGCTGGGATTACAGGTACGCGCCACCATGCCTGGCTAATTTTTTGTATTTTTAGTAGAAATGGGGTTTCACCATGTTAGCCAGGCTGGTCTCGATCTCCTGACCTCAGGTGATCCACCTGCCTTGGCCTCCCAAAGTGCTGGGATTACAGGCATGAGCCACTGCGCCCAGCCTAAAGCCAAACAGTTTTATTCATACTGTATACTTTCATCCCAAGTGCAGTTTAAAACAAACAACAACAAAAACTAGAATCTCATTTTCCAAGATCTGACAATATCTCTGTGGCTTAGTGCAATCTGTGAAGTCACATTGTTTTATTAATACATCATAAATATAAAACCTGACTCATACCTTGATTGGAGAACTACGTGCAGCACTCTCACTATGAATTTATGAGAAAAGAAACTGTTAATAGAATCCAGAAAATGTACTACTAGCTGAGGCTTTGAGTACTCAAAAGCCTATTTAAATACAACAATATTTAAAAATAAGACGTATTCAACATTCGCAAGAAAAATTCAGTTTATTGAGACTCATATTGAACATTTGGCCATGACTGGAAACTGTTGAGTCAATACCATGTCTCTTGATATGGAAAGTCTTCATGTATCACAGAAAAATTCTGGAATCTAGAAAGAACTCTGTTATTAACAAGTCATCTCTAATAACACAAACTATTTCACTGAAGATTAACAACTCAGAGAATAAGCACAAGAGCATTCAGCAAACAAAGTGAAGCATTCTATACACATTCACTTTTCTCTCTATCTTGAAAAGATATGGCATTGAGATATCTTTTCTCAGCTGGGCACAGTTGCTGGCACCTGTAATCCCAGCACTTTGGGAGGCCAAAGTGGGAGGAATTGCTTGAGCCCAGGAGTTTGAGACCAGCCTGGGCAACATAGCGGGACTCCATCTCTATAAAAAATCTAAACATTAGCCATTGTGTCTGGCTAATGTTTAAATTTTTTATAGAGATGGAGTCCCGCTATGTTGGTGCCTGCCTGTAGTCCCAGCTACCCAGGAGGCTGAGGCAGGAGGATTGCTTGAGCCCTAGATACCAAGGCTGCAGTGAACCATGATTGCACCACTCCTCTCCAGCCTGAGTGACAGAATGAGACCCTGTCCCAAAAAGATATTTTTCTCCAGGTTACAACTCCTCCTTAAAGCCCCCCAACCCAGAGTGGTCCTATTGTTTTCTGAAATTCTATAGCATTATCTGCACGACTCAAATGGCAATCATCTAAAATCATCTCAAAGGTTATATTTTTTTGTATGGATCCTGTCTCCCTTAACTTGAGTGTGTGCTCCAAAGGCAGGCACCATGCTTTATCATTTGCATGTGTTCTTGTGCCTGTGGCACACTGGTAATATGTGTTTCAGTCTATGATCATTTTAATTCACTCTTCTATTTCTCCCAATCCTGCTTTTCTCTTGTAACTCTTTCCGTATACCATTCTCTAATCTAGGGCCAAATAGTATTTCATGTTTAAAGTTTGATTTCGACAAAAGTAAATCCACCTCAAAATGAAGTCTTGTAAGCTTAATTTTTAAAAATTGCTGTATTTTCTGAAGATAACATCATAATCCATACGGAATCAATTGTACACCCACAGCGAACAAGCAAAATTATAAAATGTATCTCCATCAGTTCTAAGTGCAGAACATTTTAAAAATCTCCTATTCTCAGGCTAAACATCATAATGTTACACATCTTACCATTTTTGGGTAGGTGTTTGGCTTACGCAAAAGCAGACCGGTTACAAATATAACTAATATTAAGATGAAACCAAATGGTAGCCAGAAACGTAGCAAAGTTTTCTTCGATAGGTCTTCACCTAGGATTAAAAATCACACGGAAAGGGGAAGTGTTAGACATTTGCCACTATTTTTGAAACTGAATTATTTTATAAATACTTCAGAACTGAGTTGAGCTTGGAAACCCCTGTCATATTTGCCAGTGCATAAATACCACAATTGTGTTTGAGTATAGCGTTCCTTTCATTTGTGCAATTTTTATATAGAAAAGTACTTTACTGAACTGTGACATGTCTTATTTTCACTTAGAAAAATAACTTCCCCAAACACAATTCTTATTTCCTGATATGAGTTTGTTTATATTTGACCTTGTGAATTCTCCATTTAAAAATGACAAAATATTAGCCAAGTGATTAAACAAACATGTCCTGTGTGTCTGTCTCTTAACTCTCAGTAAGTCAAACGTGTACTTAGATCATAGGATACTGTACCAAGCAAGAGGTATCCTTCAATAAAAATTCCTGTGTGAGTAATGGAAATCATCTTTTAAGGTTACCTTTTTAAAGTTGTCTCATATTTTAAAGACCAAAGGGAGGGATAAGGTTTTTCTTTTCTTTTTGATTTTGCTTTGTTAGTTTAGGGATGGAGTTTTAATGGTTCTTCTGCATAGCAAGAAATGAGCAATCACTAGGCAAACTTAAAAAGCAGACGAAGTTTGGTCTCCCTAAACTAGTACCTCTCACTTGTTTTGGAGTAATATAAAAGATCTTGAATCTTAGCCACGCATCTACAAAGCTCTCTTGATCCCACCTTTTTCTTTGTCCTATTTCCTCACGATCTTGTTTTCTATTAGAAAATTATCAGTCAAATTCACGTGTTCAGAGAAGATTTACAAGAATATAATCCAGAGAAATTACTGATGTAAGTTATCTGTCATGCAAAATTAACAGTGGGAAGGCAGGAAGCTCCTTTGCTGAAGTTCTACTGGCTTTCCCCATACAGAGTCAATCCTGAAGAGGACATACTTTTATTTCCAAAAATATTATTGTCCTATTTTTCTATAACTTGAAACATCCAATAAGAAATGTCCTAAAGAACTGAGACCACATGCAACTCAAGAAATTCCTTGTTTCTAATTTCAAAGTCATTAAGATTCTATGAAGAGGGCTGGGCACAGTGGCTCATGCCTGTAATCTCAACACTTTGTGAGACCGAGGTGGACGGATCACTTGAGGCCAGGAGTTCAAGACCAGCCTAGCCGACACGGTGAAACTCTGTCTCTACTAAAAATACAGAAATTAGCCAGGCGTGGTGGTGCATGCCCGTAATCCCAGCTACTCAGGAGGCTGAGGCACGAGAATCGCTTGAACCCAAGAGGCAGAGGTGACAGAGAGCCAACATCATGCCACTGCACTCCAGCCTGGGTGATAGAGCAAGACTCTGTACCAAAAAAAGGAAAAGATTTCCCTCAAAGCAAGAGAAATCTTAGGCATCACTATCATTGATAAGATTGCATGTAAAATACAGAAAAGAATATATTTTTTGAGGATATGGCTAAAAACTCACCATAACCACTTTATACAATGCATTGACTAATGACGAGATATAGTTCAGGACATAACTTTAGAGTTTCCTGATTTTTTAAAACAGTAACAAAAATGAAAAACATAAAACTAGTAAGTCTTCTTTCTGATTCCATATAGCTCTTGGTTGAGTTTTCCACTGTCTTGCTATTTTTTCTCCATAATCCTTAGTGATTATATAATCTATTAGGCTTCTCGTTTATTGCCTATCTCTACCCAATTGGAAATAAAATGTAAGTTCACTGAGGGTAGAGATTTCTTTACTGCCATATCTGTAATGCTTGAAAAGAGTCTGATACATAGTAGGTGCTTAATAAATATTTGATGAATGAAAGGGATCAATGATACCACTGTATTCGTAGGGAGATAATAGAGATTCCACTATAGTAGAACAACATGAAAGGAGATGAATGATTGATAGATATGGCAGTATCTGTCTGTATCAGCATCAGTATATTTATTTAGAGCTGCATCTATATCTATGTACCTGAAAGAGCAATGCTGAGTTGATTTCCTTCAATTTTGAACATTTATTAGTAATTTCTACTCTTAAAGCTAATACATTGTGAAGCACAATCACATTTTACCTCATTCTTTAGGCTTTTTAGTTTATATTGCTATGTAATTTAAATGACTTTATCACAAATCACTTTAAATCAGTGTTAGAAGTGAATGGAATGAATATGTATTTTACTATTCATGACCTTTTAATTAGAAAAATATTCCTTTTGAATAGTATTAGACACCCAGAAACAAATGTATGCTGATCTATACTTGCTTTAAGATTTCTGTTCTCTTGAATACTGAAAGCATATGAAAATATTGATTAAAATAAGTTCCTGCCAATCTCTCAAAAGAATGAGCATATTATCTATATTGACAGAAAAACAAGAATTTTGATAATAGAAGTATAACAATATTCCTAGTCCTAACTGAATGAATATTAGACTTTTAATAAATCTTTATTCAATTGAAGTGCTCCCTAACTTATTCTCTCTGTTCATAGACTATATGGGAAAGTCCTTCACTTCTGTAATTACAAAATACACCAAAAGAAAATTAATTTTGCTAGCAAAGAGCTCATTATTTAGTTACTGTCCTTTTAGCTCATACCTTCCCAGCATTGTTTATCACTCCACTCACTCCAAATTCCGTCATCTGAGCAATAAATATTCACTTTGCTTCTTACTACAAAGCATAATTGTCGGGTTTCATTTGTTGTTTTCAAGGTGTATGTTTCATTTTCAACTGTAGCAGTCTGAAAGCCAAGGACAAAATCAGATGCCATTATTTGATCTAGTTGCAACTAGACAGATTCCATATCTGTCCCTTTCAAAGTGGGTTTTATTACATAAAATCTATGCAATCTATGCATCAAAAGACTGGATGCATAATCCCAGCAGTAATTAGCTCTCTGTATAGTGGGGGTTTTAAAATCATTGTTTCTTCCCTTCTTTATCTATATTTTATTTCTACAGTGATAATGGATCACTTACAGTGAAGGACAGCATGTGTGAGACAGCAAAATTCCTAGGTAGCCTTGGTGTTTATAACACCCAGTATGTGGACTAGTGTCAAATTTCCCAGATTCTATGAACTGGAAGATGCTACATACACTCAGTTACCAAAAGACAGAGCCAGCATGTGAATGTTATTACTATGGAAACTATAGAGTTCACATATTAATATATAGCTTTTTCTTTTTTCCTTATGCTTATTTCCTTATTCTGATTGTTAATAAGAATAAGGAAAACCTACATAACAATGCTCAGGGCTTGGAATAAGAATAAGGAAACAAAACCTGTATAACAGTGCTCATGGCTTGGTATGAAACTATTGCTACAGTTATGAGACTATCTCAAGGCTGGGTGATCTCAGAGTAAAAAAATCACTGAAGCAATTATTTCAATTTTGCATTTCAAAGAGCTGAAGAATTTTTCTCATTCAATATAATAGCTTTTCCTTTGGCATAACTTATCTTAGGAATCAACATAATGTAGTGTAGACTTAAGTGGACTGGGAACCAGATCTGATATCTAGTTCTAGCTGCATAATTTGATTGTAAGTGAATTTACATACCTGGGATCTATACATCAATTCAACAACCAGTTTTCTTATCTGTATATGAAAGGAATGAATTAGAACTACTGACTCACTAACTTCTCTCTACCACTCTCTAAACTGGAAACTAATAAGGAAAAATAATATATAACAATGTGTGATTAAAGGCATCACCACATTGTTGGTGCTGGTGGCAGTAATTAGTCTTGCAACCATTGCCTAATTCCCCAGGCAGCCCTTCTTGCCTGGTACAAGCAATTCTCTTGTAAGCCTGCCATACTGTAATTTTGACCTGATGGTTGTTCCTCAATAAGTGGTCTTTGTGGGTTTTTTTTTTTAATTTTGTTTTGCTTTTACTTGAGGCCTCTCCACAATCCATCTTAAGCCTTCACCAACTTTAATTTATTGACACAAAATTGAAAACAAGTGACTAGATAATCTCTAAGGTCCTATGTAACTTTAAAATTGGTATCATTCATTATACTTTTGTCCATTAGCTTATTTGGCTTTCTGGAAATTGAACTAAGATATATGTCATGTTCTGTCCCTCACGTGGATGCAACTGATTTTGGTTCTCACATTTGCTATTTTATTTAAAAGGCTGTAGTTATGATTTTCCCAAATAAATGCAATATTCATACCACCAAGGTAGTATCATCTTCTCTGATCTCAATTTCATAATCAAAACACCTTGCTGGAATAGGTCCCAAAGGTATGCTCCATTTCAGCTTAATTTCACATGAACTCTCCCGAGTAAAAGTAAGATAGACTGGCGGCAAAGGTTTAACTGAAAAGCAAAAGAGAACCATTTCAACACGGAGATTGTTGAAGTTTAGCAGTAGCCTTTATCCAAAGCTAGGGACATCTGGTAACAGAAACCTCCAGGGATAAACCAAGTGGCTCAGTAATATTCCCTATGATACGTATTAAAATCAAAGTTGCTTGCCAACCAAGATGAGTTTATTAACAAACTTGGTTATTTTGGAAACTCATTTTTGACAAGTCACCCACTGACAAATATATAAATCCAAGAGAAAAGTTCGAAGACCCAAATCATTACAACAATTTTCCATTTTGTAGCATTAGAAATAACAACCACAATCAACAATACTACTACTTTTACAAATAGATAACCCTATTTAGTGCTTATGCTATTTCAGACACTGTAAGTACCAAGGATGTTACATAATAATCTCATTCACGCCTCACAATAAACCTATCAGGTGGTCCTCTGTTATCCTCATGTTACTACTAAGGAAATTGAAACAGAGTAACTTGCCCAAAGTCACACGACTAGAAAAATGGTAGATCTAAGATTTAAACCCAGGTCTGGCAGACTCTAGAACCCATCACTCTCATAACCATTAGAACTGAAAATATAGACTCAATAAATATCCAGCCATTTGTCTATTGAGGCCTGGGAAGAAGTATCTTCATAATTAATCCATCACTAACACTAGACAAAAGTACTGTATAGCAGACAAACTGAAGATGGAAAATAAAATTGTGAGTTCTAAATGAAAATGATACTTTAACCTTTATTAAATTTCTTATCTTTCATCCTTAAATATTTAATAAGCGCCACCTCATACACTCTGCTGACTCTCATTTTTCTGTCTTTGCATTTCCATAGGTCTCTGTCTCTCTCTCTGTCTATGTCTCTCTCTCCTTCCTCCCCTTTTTCTCTCTCTCACCCTCTCAAGTGGTTGTAAATGGCCTAAACTAGAAACAATGAATTTGAAGTTGTTTGTTGGTTTACATCACCTATATTTTGAAGCTGAAAAGTGAAATAACTGGATCTGATAGGCTTGTTCTCTGATGATCCATTAACACAAATATAGAAATCTTTATAGTCTGATGCCTCCAAATAGGGAAATCTGCATCCTATATTTTGTCCATCAGCCTTGATGTAATCAACACACTGTAATGCATGATCCAAGCCCTCATACCTGTAAAATGAGTGTTGTGAGAATTGTGTTTAAATAACAATCTTTTCCAGTATCAAGGCACTTCATTTTCAATTATATTAGGATACCATGTCAGTTTAAAAATCATTTAATAATGTACAATATTTATTAAGCACCTACTATATGTCAGGCACTATGATAAGCAATAGGGAAAAAACAGTAGGGAAAGCAGACATAGTCCCCGATTTCATGGAGCTTACAATTTGTTGGGAGTCCTCGCAAAATCTCAAAGACAAGGATTCTTACTTGTGTACTTAGGTTATATTGATTCATCAACAAGGTTTGTGAATCAAAGAATAAGATTCCTAGTAAGAAAACCTGTGATTTGTACAAATAATCCTGCATGATATTGCCTTTTAAGTTATTTTACTGGGGAAGTTATTTTAAAAGAAAGCAAATTTTAAAGCAGACTTAGAAAATATTATGTTTAATAAAATGAATGAAAATCTGGAGTATACAATACACATCAAGAGATAAACCTCAGAAAAGCCAACTGTAGGAGGGCAAAAGGAAAAAGAAGGAGTTGTTTGGCAAGTAAATATTTAATTTTCTCATCTATTAAATGAGAAATGTTACCATATCATTTTAAGTTAACCTTATTCCAGTAATAAAGCTAAAAGGAACTAGGAGTGATTCCCTACTAAATTCGAAAGCAACAAATGCTTGCTATTTTCCTAAAGAATAGCTTGCAATGCAAACCATGACATTATCTGTAAAAGCAGTCAAATCCCTGTTGAAAAGAGGCCAATGTAGCAGCTGATAAGGTGCCTGTACACATATCTGGACTCTACTAAATTAACCTTATGCCAACTATTTACTTTAGGGAGAGTTTGCAAAATTGTTGTCTCTTGGTTAGTTCACTTGATTAGAGTTTGGGAGACTTCAGTTCCAGGCTTAACTCCATACAGACTTACTTGATGTCAGCAGGGAAGGCTTTATTTTCCAATCTCTAAAATGTTAATGTTTATTCCTCCCTATTTCACCAAGATGAGGATCAAATTATATCAAATATGAACCACAATGTACAGGAGGGCAGAGACTTTCTCTTATTCATGCTTTTGTCCTTTTTATCTAGAACACTGCCTGGCATTTAAAAGATGCTTAATATTTGTTGAATTAATGAACAAATAATTTAGATCTTTGAAATTTACCTATCCAATTCCAGATGAGGAAACAAAAATTCTAAAAGAAAAAATTACTTGCCCAAGGCCGCCAAGTTAAATGATGCTAGAGCAGGGATTAGAACCCAGATCTCAGGATTGTTAATAGTTTATAGCTTATGATTTATCTATTATTATTTTCTAAAGAAAGATGCCATGATAATTTGGAACTAGAACTCACCAATAGTAATGCTTAGTCCTCTCTTGATTTTTCCATTATTTAGTAAATGCATATGTTTGGATAATTACCTATCAGTTTATCAGTGCTATCACTTGTTTCAGCTATGTAATAAATATTTAGTGCTAATCTACTACGGGTATAGTACTTTGGAGGTAGGCAAGAGAAATATAATAAACAATTCATGCCCACCAATCCCTTAAAAATTTAACAGGAGACAAAGCACACATATATGAGAAAAAATTTAAATGCCATCTGGACAATAAACAATTACAGGCTATAAAAAAAAATAGTTCAAGGCCAGGCGCAGTGGCTCACGCCTGTAATCTCAGCGCTTTCGGAGGCTGAGGTGGGCAGATCACTTGAGGTAAGGAGCTTGAGACCAGCATGGGCAACATTGTGAAACCCCATCTCTACTAAAAATGCAAAAGTTAGCCAGGTGTGGTGGCACACGCCCATAATCCCAGCTGCTCGGGAGGCTGAGGCATGAGAATCGCTTGAACCCAGGAGGTGGAGGCTGCAGTGAGCCGAGATGGCACCACTGCACTCCAGCCTGTGTGACAGAGGGAGACTCTTGTCTCAAACAAACAAACAAAAAAAAAAACAAAGTAATAGCTCAAGAAAAACAAAACAGAAGCTGACATGATCAGTTAAAGGTTAATGAAACTGGGGAGCAGATGAGCCTTGAAAAAGATGGATAAAAATTGGTGAAAGAAAGATAGAGCCAGAGGGCATTCCAGAAGGTAATGCAAACAAAGGTATAAAAGGCAATAACACGGGTGAGAAAAAAATGTAGAGATGGATCTAAATTGAGTGGAGCATTCACATTGGTAATAGTAGACAGTATGGCAGCCTAGATTTTATCCTGGGGCAATGAGTAGACACAGGAGGTTTTTGAACAAGAGAGTGGTATATGAAAATGGCAATATAGGAAGATAAAGCTGGCTACAGTGTGCAGAATGAATAAAAAGGGGAGAGATTGGAAGGGGAGAGATTGGGAGCAGAGCGACCGTCATTTTGGAAGCAATGGCAATCATCCAGGTGTGGAATGAGGGAAGCCTAAAGTAGAGCTCTTACAGTAGAGATGGTAGGTACTTAACAGATGTGCAACCTTGCAAAGGAGCATCAGAACATGGTGATCATGTTACCCTAAAACAATTAAGAAATTAAGAAGATACACGAGTCACAATGTCCAAGTTTAAAAGCTTCAGTGACAGTTAACAAAGGAGGGAGTCAGAAAAAAATTCAGTTTAATAGATAACTGATTTTTTAAAAAAACAAGAATATAAAATATGTCAAAATTGTTTAAGTTCTAAATTCATCTATCTAAAGGATACAAAATTAACCCAGTACAGAAACAATTATTGCATTCCTTATATCACCCATAGAATACCTTCCAGTATCTACATCCTAAAACCACTTACACCCATTGAAAACCTCAAATAATTGTAAACAATTATCATCATAAATACAACTCTGACAAGTATAATGAATTTAACTTAGTGAAAATATAGTTTACTCATACTATCGACTAACTTGAGTAGACATTTTTTAATATGGAATTCTAATTATAAAAATACTTACCAGTAAAACAAGTTGTAATTGGTATCAAGAAGTACACCTATGCCAGGTTTCCAAGAACAGAGTAAATATTGCCAATTGTAATATACGCAATCCATATCCTGAACTTTAGTTTCTGGAATTCCTAAGGAACAAATCAACTGTGAATGTTTGAAAGGCTTGGTGATGAATCATTTGTGAAATCATTTCTCAATTTTACTTCATTTCCTATGACCTCTCCATTTTATTTTGCAATCAACATAACAGGATTATTTCAAAAGGAAGTTACTGGGAATCACTTCACGATAAGAGGGACATGCAAAACCAAAAAACATTTGAGGGCTCATTTACTCATATTAGTATAAGCATATGCAAAAGTAGTAAATTGATTATTCTAGGATGCTCTGAGCAGATGAGCAAATACTCATGAATGTTTACTAATATGACCCCAAAACTGGGAACTAAATCAATAAAATAATATACAGGTTTTGCCAAAGGTATTTGCTGATTTAAAGAATTTTAAAAGGCTAATCACCAACTACAAGAAAGATTCTATTTTGTGCCACACTGTCACAGGATCTATTGTGCCTACAGCCTGGTACATAAGATTAAGGGACTTATTCCCAAATGAATTGTTCTGATAGTATTAAATATGAAAAGAGAGCTTTGTTTTAACCTTGTGGTGATATCCAATAAGTAGTTTCTGCCCAGGAACTTTGAACTTCTGATCCATTTGTGCATTGCCATGGTAAAAGCGTGTGTATCTTCGCTTCAATGCCCTTGTTAAGATCAAACCCATCTTTGTAATGTAGATTCTTAGTAATGATGGTCTGTTTGACAAAAAGATGAGACAAAGTCAAGCTTAGAAACCTCCATGGTATAGTGAGCTATATTAATAAGACTAATAAATCATTAATACCCTGGAGAGTTCCCAATATCTAAGACAATCCTAGAGACTATTTGATACAATGCCACAGATACATTTCCAGCAGAGCTCACCTCTGTATGTCATATCATTTTATGAGATCATTTGAATCTTAACATCTAATTCCAAATAAAAACAAAAACTTTTGGAAGGGAAAAAAAACTTTATGGCAGAAACTTGAGCTATATCTGCTTGGAATCAAATAGATAATTTTCATATACCATAGGCACATTACTTGGCAAATCATGCCACATTTCAAAATATAATATGAAACCTTCAAGAAATACATAAACTAAAACCCTGGAAGTAACCAGAAAAATACAGACAAATCATGAGCTTCTGGAGGACAAAAATCATTTATTATTTATTCATATATTCCTGATACCTAGTAGAGTGCCCAGCACAAAGTTGATCAATAAATGCTCAATTTGAATTGTCTCTTGAAACTACCTAGCTGAATTAGAGAGGTAACAGAATGTCATCTACAACAGAAATCTTTGAATATACATGCTTGTTGAGTATATAAGTAGTTAATAATTCAAAACATTTTCATTGAGCTCTTACTACAATATATACAACGAACCATAATCCTGCGACCCTCTGTGGGAAGGGTACAAAGATAAATAAGCCTTGTCTCCTACAGTAGAAAAGGTCACAGGTCAGTAGCATGTATAAGGCCCACATCCAAGAATATAAGCAATTGTAAAATACAGTGAAATGCTCTTCTAGTGAAGTGCTGCTCTTCAAGTTCATATTGCACGAGACCGAGTTTTTTGTTTTTGTTTTTGTTTTTTTTCTTGTTCTTCCAATGGCAATCTTAACACTGGATGGGGTGAAAACAGATATAGCAGGATGCATAGGAGACAGAAGCGGGTGTGGAAGCTTTTTATATCCTAATTAGAACTATTGAGATATGGGAATTGGAGCGGACACTAAAGTCAGGAATCACAAAGTAACACCTGATGATCACTCTGATACGGCAAATGCATGCTTTACTTACCTTCCATGTTTCACTACCAATGTTTCGGTATTTTAGTTCATATTCCACTGTGCATTCCTTAAAATGATCCAGAGACAGTGGGGGTTGCCATTGCAAATAGAGATAACCTAAGTATCCGGGATCCACTATCTCAAAATCCTGAGGAGGGTTAACTGAAATAAATCAATAAAACACTTTTATTTTTTCTGTATTTTATGACAAATATTGCTAAATCTAGATGGCTTCCAAATGTGCACCAATTGATTAACAGATAAACAAAATGTGCTACATGCATACAATCAAATATTATTCAGCCATAAAAAGACATGAAGTACTGATTCATGCTACAACATGGATGAACCTTGAGAACATTATACTAACTGAAAGAAGCCAGACACAAAAGACCACATATTGACATAGTTCCATTTCTATGAAATTTCAAAATAGACAAATTCATAGAGAGAGAAAGTAGATTCGTGGTTGGTAGGGGCTGGAGGGAGAAACAATGCAGGGTGACTGCTTAATGGGTTTAGGGGCTGTTTTACGGGTGATGCAACTATTCTGGACTTTGATAGTGGTGATTGTTGCACAACTTTGTGAATATACTAAAAACCAACGTATAGTAAAGAGTTTTACTATACATGTATAGTTTTAAAGAATATAGTTTTGTATAAAGAGTTAGTTTTGTGTAAATTATATCTCAGTAAGGCTGTTAAAAAAATCTAGATTACTGCTATATAGTTGTTCCTTCTTTGAGAAATCACATATGCAAAATGTGACTTTGCCTCACTAGGTATTAATTTTTAGAGAAGCAAAAAATTCAATGTGGCTTTATCTCTGTGCTCATGTACGCCAGAATTTGGTCTAAGATGGGAACATTTTATTACAAAAATCTGTCTAACAATAACAATAACAAATAAGAACAACAAATAATAACAAATAATAACTAACATATCACTATAATATAAATATATGTATTTAATTATATTAATTATAATATAATATATAATATAATAATATACTATAAATAATTTTAATTAATTAATAATAAAACATTAACATTATATTAAATAATATAATATAATTGAAAAATTAAATAATTCTAATTATTTTTAAATTTTACGTTAAATTTCTGTACCTTTTTAATGTATCTAATTGTCATAAAAGCTAAGGATAGTAGCTAAGGATAGTAATTAAGGAACTGTTCCAGTTAGTTTAGTACCAGGCAATGAGGTTTCAGATACTTAATCTGTTAAAAAAGACTATACAAAAAGGTATGGAGAGTGTTTTTAATTTGGCATTTATCGCACAAAATGTGTGTCAACATCAGTTACCTTATACAAGAAAGTGACTAGTAAGAACATAGCTTTTTTTCATGAACTTCCTGAAATAGTTTCAATAACAATTCATCTACTAGTTAGTTATGCACTTCCATAAGGCAGGTCAAAAAGACAGTTAATTTTCCATTAAAATCCATTTAATTTTACTTTTCCTAATTTAAAAACTATTCCATTAAAATCCATTTACCTTTTATCTCGGTGTCTGAAGATGAAGTACAGCCAAATGTTGTGCTTATCAGAAAGGTATATAAGCATCCGATAGCCAAGCAAACGAAAGCCATTTCTCCGAGATTTAAAACCTTGATATTGCCTCTCTATGAAGGAAAAATATAACATTTTAACTTTATCTTACATCAAATAATCAAACTAAACGTGATTAAAAATACTTTGGAAAGCTCTCTGTGTGCTTCTCTACCAAGAACTGGGAAAACTGTGTCCACCTCAGACCATGGAAACAGAAATAATCAAGTTAGGAACCAATATAATTGGAAAGAAAGGATTCTAGTCTCATCCTGCTTACAAGAATAAAAACAAAGCTAAGCAAAAACCCTTGTAGCTCCTCACCTCCCCGCCGACAGGCACACTTCTGACCAGGTTATGGCGACTTCAAATAGCCTTCATCCGGAAGACCGTTAGACTCACGAGAGTGTTCTTACTGGTTCACAATGGAGTTATGATATCATCCATCTCCATAGCAACCGTCTCCCCTAGCAACACATAAAACACAGTCAAATACTCTTTTCTGAGGGGAAAAAAAGAAAAAAGAAAAAGAAAAAAGTATTTGAAAGTTATTTCGGCCGGGCATGGTGGCTCATGCCTGTAATCCCAGCACTTTCGGAGGCTGAGGCGGGTGGATCACCTGAAGTCAGGAGTTTGAGACAGCCTGGCCAACATGGTGAAATCCTTTCTCTACTAAAAATGCACAATTAGCCAGGCATGGTGGCGGGCGCCTGTAATCCCAGCTATTCGGAAGGCCGAGGCAGGAGAATGGCTTGAACCCGGGAGGCGGAGATTGCAGTGAGCCAAGATCCCACCATTGCACTCCAGCCTGGGCAATAGAGCGAGACTGTCTCTAAATAAATAAATAAAATAAAATAAAATAAAATAGAAAGTTATTTGACCACTGAGAAAGCTCAGAACCTAAACCGAAGCCTCAGAGAGTTCAAAACTTTGCTCTGTTTCCTCATAAATATTTCTTTTTTTAGTTTAAAAAAAGTGTTTATTTAGCTCTTTCGCCCCCTGCTGGACGATTGACTTTCTTCTTTGCTCCTTTTTTCTTTTAATTACTTCTTTTAATTAAAATTTTTTATTTCCATCTACTCTCATTATTGTTCCACTTTTTCCTGTGTTTCCTTTATTAGTAAATGGCATCGCCATCCTTCCAGTTGCCCAAACCAGAAACCTGGGAGTCTTCCTCAACTCCTCTCCCATCTAATCTCTCCATTACCACTACCACTTCCTAAATGGAGGATCTTAGCAGGGATCTCCTTATTCAGTCTTTCCTGCCTCTGATCCATTTTCCACACCATATACAGCAAGAGTGACCTTTCTAAAGGGCAAATCTGAACTTTTCATCTCTTTCTTAAACTAAAACAGCATTTCATTGCCATAGAATACAATTTAGTCATCTTTCTGTTCTTGGATATTGGTTCTTGACGGATATGATCAAAATTTAAAGGATTCATGCCTTCAAATAGCTACTCAATTAAAAATACTTTGCTTTTCAGGAAAAACTACTACTCCCAATTCCATACACTTCTCTTCGAATCTATATTCTGGAACCAACAATTTCACATAAAGTAAAGGATTAAAAGTCACTCAAAAGAAAAGAAGGGACTGCCCTTCTTTTCTTGTGCATAGATTAATTCAATAGGACAGACCCTCTCTTCCACCCCACCCTCTTCCCCCTACCTGATCCATCTGTAATATTGTAACTTTGGTAAGCCTCAATGGCTACTTTATAGAATCTTAGGATCAAATTTTTAGAACCAGTATGTATATTACAGACAAGGCTAGTCAAATTCTCTTTTATAAATTGGGCAGTAAAACTCAGACTTGCCCCACCCAAGATTACACAGCAAATTAGTAACAAAGCTGGAAGTAGAACAGAGATCTCATGATGCCCAGTCCTGTGCACTTCCACCCCATTCTGCTGGGTCCCACAGGCATGACTCAGGATTATGAACGCTTTTCCTCTGGAACCCCAGTGTTTAAATCTTCCTTTAATTAGCAAACCAAGCTGAATCAACACCATGTTATTTTAAAAATTCTGCGCCTCATAAAATCAGGAGAGAATGTCATTTCTCTCACTGAGGCCCAACAAATCTCTCTTTCTCCCCAATTCCTCTCTCTTTACTTGCCAGCCAATGGCTGCCCACTAATGCATCTGTAAGTACTAGGTAGATTTGGCTAACAGAAGGTTATGGATCTTCCACAGAGCTACCCTCAGAGATTAAGATGAACACACTGGTTACTACTGGGATCAGGGCAATAGGTCTGACAAAGAGAAAACCTTCCATATTACCTTTAAGGACTAAGGGCAATCAGGCTGCCCTTACAATGCTCTCAGAGAGATTCTAACAAAATTCTCTCTCCCCTATCGATCTGTCCTTTAAGATTTCGTAGCATTATGTCATGTACAGCATAAATGCTAAGTAAAGAGTTTAAAATCATTTGCTTCTATTCCATTTATAGGCTATGAAATCTGACTCAGGCTATCAAATAGCATTTCATGGATCAGACTGATCAATATACCCAAGCAAAGGTGGAAAATGGGATAACTAGCTTCTAGCATCACTTATGGATAAACCCACAAAAGGAGTTGCTGAATTACACCTAGGGCCCAACCAAGACTTTCTTACCCAAATGAACACAAAGACAATTCTCTCCTTTGCTTCTGGGTTACAGGATTGTCACTAGTGCAATGAGGGGCTTTATACACTATGTGGTTACCAGGAACACCGGAGTTTTTCACAAGGACCAGGGGGACCTGAAGACAAAGGGAAGATTAGAAAAGCAAATGCAGACATATTAGATTTGAAAAAGTTGTTTTTCTATATTTCAGACCCCCAGACCACAGTTCATAACCACTCATCTGGTCTTAGCTCCTCATTTTTAAAAATAAGGAAATAACAGCCAGAGAGGAAGGTAAGTAAGCCAAGTGTACACAACTTATTGGTGGCAGAGCTGGGATTGAAAACCATATCTCCTGAACCCTTTCCACTAACTAGCAAATAAATGTTCTTATCATAATGAATCTATCCTGCACCTATTTTACTAGAAGCCTCTTCCTAACTCCCAACCTTCCTCTACCTACTGTCACCACCCAAACCATCCAGCCCACCACACAGTTTTATCATTATGACATTTCTGACAGAGTAATAATTCAATAAATATTTATTGAGCATCTTTGGAAGTTTTTTGCCAGATACTATCCCAGCTAAATCTTGCAGAAGACACAAAGTGAAAGTGGCAACAGTCATAGTATCTGTCATAGTAATAGTACCTTCTAGTATTTATTCAACATCTCAGGCACTGCCCTGTGCTATGCAATTTATATGCATTATCTCATATAATCCTCACAATCAGACTTGGACATATATACTATTTTTAGTTCTATGTTATTTGTTTAAATTTTCTTTTTAACTTTAATTTTTAATTGATACATAATGATTGTACATATTTGTGGGGTACAGTGTAATGTTTTGATACATGGATAACGTTGTGTAATGATCAAATCACGGTAATTAGCATATACATCACCTCAAACATTTATCAGTTCTTTGTGGTAAAAACATTCAAATTCCTTTCTTCTAGCTTTTGAAAAATACAATTCATTATTGTTAGCTATACTCACCTTACTGTGCAATAGAAATCAGAATGTATTCCTCTTATCTAACTGTAACATTGTACCCATTCACCAACCTTTCCCCATCCCGGCTCCCTTATTCCCTCCCCAGCCTCTGGTAACTTCTATTCTACTCTCTACTCTATGAGATTAACTTTTTAAAGACCAGAAACTATGACATACAGAAGTCAAATGGCTTCCCTCAAGTCACACACCATAAATGGTGAAACTTGGATTTAAATCTAGACAATCTAGTACCAGAGCCCTTGATGGTAATCACTACACTAGGTATTTTCCATGCCTAAGATCAATGTGGAGGGGAGCTTTCTATTTCTACCCACTCAGTTTTACACAACACTTTTGAGATAGTTTCTCACTGAGAATCTCCTTTGGAATGGCAAACCTAAAGTGATTGCCTCTTCTCGGCCTCGCTTCTCCACCGCTTCAAAGTCATGCAACATAATACTCTCACTTTAACAGCTGGCTGCAATCTTTGCATTATTGGAGAAATTCCAGGTACTTACCAATCATATGGTTTCTCAAGAAATAGATTAACGTAAGCAGTTATCACAGGTCCTCTTTTGTTCTCCTCTCTACTTTAGAGACATTAATTAGAATCTCTAATACTTTCCTGCCTAATAATCAAGCACGTAGAAAATATTAGTTAGGTATTCCTGAAACAGTCACAGGGCCAGGACACAGATTCTACAAGCCACAAGATGGGGAAGTTATGGGTGAGGCCAAAAGCCATCTAAAGCAAATTTGGAATTATACCAAGGTGCTGTAAAAGCTGGCAGGACCAACTATTCTTTGGATAAAGTAACAGATACATAGCCGAGGAGCTTTTTATAATAAAAGACACAACGGTGTAAGTATCAATCTGGATTTCACTCCTGCCTCAACCACTGTGATAAGAGGTAAATTATATCTCAATTTGTATCTATAAAATGGAGGTAATGATACAAGCCTGGCAGGGGTGTCTTGAAGATTAAATAAGATAATGTATGTGAAAGTGCTAGAAGAATAGTAAATTGCTCTATATACTTGAGAGGGGTTTGCTTCTGAGGACACTGCCACTAAGCAACACTTGAAAATAACTTACCACATCCTACACATTTGCCTTTATTAATTCAGCAAAATAAACTTGTTCATAGTAGATAATTAGACACTTATTATTAATTTCCAATTTCTACCACCCTTGTTGATCCAATATGCTGCCTTTACTGATCTTTGCCATAATAACAGTAATTTCTTTCGTTTGTTTAGCTTTTTGTAGTTTGTAAAGAATTTGTTTATTTTTTAACAGGTCTGTAAGTGTATAAGGTTTGTACTGCATGTTTACAAACAGTAAAACTGGGGCTTAGAGAAGTGATATGACTAGCACAGTGCCCCACAGCTGATACAATCTATACAGAAAGGATAGGAAAAAGAAGGAAGAGACAGAAAAACATTGCTAGGCTAATAATACATAACATGGTCTTTTAGAAATGTTCTTTCTCTATGTTGACAAAGGAAAAAAAGATTCTTCTACAGTATCCAAAATGACCATATGTTTTTTGTTTTATTTTATTGTAAAGGCAGTGACCAATTTGCAAAGACAATTATTTATTAGAAAATGATAAATGGAATTTTTGCAATGTCACTAAAATGATTTCTTTAAAAAAAACACATAAAAACTATAGGCATGTTATTTCTGTTGCCTTTGCATAAAAAAAATCAATTATAAAATTTGATACTTTCTATTCACATTGTTTAAGCTATCTAAAAATACTGGCCAAAGCTTTTAGAATGGGGCTTGAGGAGAAAGAAAATTGAAAAATCGAGAAATAGAAACTGAGGAGAGAAAAATGGAAATGTAGTGTGATTGCAGACTTAAATGTCATTTGCAAATGAAATGATAAATTGATATAGTCTTACATGAGAAGGCATTGACTAGGAGATTTGGGCTCTCTCACCAGCTTTGCCAGGTGACCTCGGAAAACAATGATAATAATAATAATAATAATAATAATAATAATAATAATAGAGGTTATAGTTTATTTTACCTTTACTAGGTGTCAAGCTCCGTGCCAGATGCTTAAATGGATTAGCTCACTTAAGCCTTACAAACTTTGCTGACTACTATTATTATTATTCCAATATTACAAATGAGGCATTTGGGGCTCAGGTTTCTCAAGGTTATACAATTTAAGCAATAAAAGATGCCAATATCTGATTCTAAAGGTCATACTCCTTTTAAAATATAATACTCTCTTTCAAGTAATCTCACTCTGTGAAAGGCAATTTTCTCTCACACAAGTTATCCCTAGGCTATAATTCTCTATTTCAATGGTTAATCTGCCATGTATCCATCCGTGGTTTCAGGATGTGACTCAAGAGCACTGGCTTCCTGGATAGCTAATCTTATTTCAGGAAGGCCATCCAACATGTATAAATGCCTGTTCATAGCTTCTGGAGTATAGTCATGACTCAGCACCATAAACAGAATCTCTGGAACCTGCCAGGTTTTGAGGCCTGATAACACACTGAGATTAATACATGGCTCAATGATAGTACAATCAGCCTATGACCTGGTGGTGAATCAAATCTAATTTCGGTAATAACTAGTAAATAACATGTCCTGCAGTGGAGTAGCTTATAAAGAATGCTGAAGATGACTTTGTACTATGAAACACAAAAGGGCTTTGAATCACACAGATGCATCATGTTTGCCAGTAGTAAAGTTGTGTCAGTCATGTCCTATACATATACACAAGGAACTTAGGAAGATGCTGAATTATGAAAATCATTGTATGGAATTGAAATACATGTAGGACTTATTTTTAACAAATATCACTTTAACATCTAGCTCTATATATCATGATTATATTTGCATCCCTGATAAGATTACATACTAACATTATTTGATATTTATAAAATATGTTCAATAAATCTACAGTTCTTGTAAAACCATGGGTAGTTATTCTAGGCCATAATTATTTTCATATTTATTTTGTAGAGACAGGGGTCTCATTATATTGCCCAGGCTGGTCTCAAACTCCTGGGCTCAAGTCATCTTCCTGTCTCGGCCTACCAAAGTGCTGGGATTACAGGCCTGAGCCATAGCGCCAGGCCCCATAATGTTTTTTTAGATGCTTTTCCTGTATGACATCTTGAGTTCATGTGGCTAACAAGTTTCCTGCAACACTGTCAAAGCTAGACAATTCAGTTTGGAGCTACCATAGCAACATCTAGGTTTACAGTGTTAATTCATGAAGCAGTTTACAAATTTCAGAATTTGTCCCCGAACTGAGATCACAGGTTTATTAGTTTATAATTCTATCCAACAAACCACCAACATGCTTTTTGAAAACAACCCACTAAAATTTTTTTTTGCAACCCTTTAAATAAAATCCCCCAGGTCATCAATTAGTAAATATTTCTTGAACAGGTCAAATAGTTCTTACTAAATATACCTTACATTCTACTCCAATGAAGTCATAACTGAAGAGTAATGCACTGCCTTGAAAGGCACTACTGCTCTGGAACTAGCGAAACAATCTCTTTTGTTCAACACTGTTCTCTGTACTCCCAGATGCTCCCAAATACTTGTTTGCAAACAGGCAGGGAATACCCAAAACATTCATGTCATGTGACCCCTTTAAAAGTAAATAATAGGATATACTCTACCCACTCAATACTCAGTAAAAATAGAATACAAAATGTACAATAGCAATTTTTATATTCCTTCCAGGTAATCTACCAGTATGTTATTTATAGACTGTAAACACATGGAAATGTGGTATTATATTATATACAGGACTATTAGTTATAGAAAAGAATGTTATAAACAATTAAATATTAATATTTACATTACATATTAACTATTCAATTATTTCAGGAAGTCTACTACATGCTAGGCACTGTTATAGGTACTGGGGATACAGCAGTGAACAAGACAAAGTAGCTACCCTCATTTCTGGTGTGGGAGACAGACAATAAACATCAGATAACCACAAGATGTATAAAGAAAAATAAAGCAGGATAACATGAAAGAATAATGGGAGGTTCATTTTAGGTAAGGGTAGTCAGGGAATGCCTCTCTGAGAAAGTAGCATCAAGGACTTCAGTGATGTAGGGAATAAACCAGGTAAAGATACAGGGAAAGAATGTTTCAGGTAGAAGGAATAGCACATTCACTGAAATAGTAGTTTCAGGAATAGGAAGACCAGCAGGATAGGGAACAGAAAAAGTTAGATGATCTCACAAATATAGGAGAGGGTAGGCCATGGTGATGAATTTGCTATTTATTTTTAGTAAAATGGGAAGCAACGGGACAGTTGTGAGCAGTGACTTTGATATGGACAGGAGACAGGGAAATACTGGGTAGAAGAGGGCATTTCCCAGACAAAGGCCCCACCCTCAAGCCTGGAAACCCATGGCCCTAAATGGGAATAGGCATTCCTGTTTTCACGTCCAAAATGTTGCCTTTTTGCCCACCATGCCCCCTTATCCTGTACACGTATAAACCCCAAACCCTAGCCTCCATGAGGGGACAAACAGAAGCTTGGAAGAATGGCAGAAAGGCACAGCAGAGAGAAGAGAAGGAGCGTCTGAATGCCGAGAGGAGTTCGGCTGGAGACAATCAAAGAGGAGTTCAGCTGCTGAATGGCCAAATGCCAGGGGAAGATGATCCTCTCACTCCACCCCCCTTCCAATTCCACATCCATCCCACAGAGAGACACCTCCACCACTCAATAAGACCCCCGCATTCATCCTTCAAGTTCGTGTGTGACCTGATTTTTCCTGGATGCTAGACAAGAGCTCAAGATACAGAAAGCTGTCACACTGGCCCTCTGCCCTTGCAAAAAGGCAAGTCCACTGAACTGTTCAACACTTAAGCCATCCACAGATGACAAGGCTAAAAGAGTGCACTGTAACACATGCCCACTTGGGCTTCAAGAGTCACAGACACCCACCCCAAGATACTGCCATGGGTCCAGAGCCCAAAGCACTCATCCTGGCTCTTGCACCTGCCCCTCTGCATGCTCCCCCTCCCACATCCCCCTGTTGCCAGAGAGCCATATCCTCCTGTCGCAGGTTCTGCGAAGGGGCCAGGGAACTCTCCCACCTCAACATGATGTAGATTACATTTTAAAGGGCTATTGTATGCAATGGAAAGGTAGAAGCAATGACCCGGCCTAGAGATGATGGTGACTTGGACCAAGTTGATAGCCGTGCTGATAGAATTTACTGGTGGATTGAGTGTGGAGTATCAGAAGATGATGGCTTTATTTTGGCATGGCCATCTGGATAATTGTTTATGGGGCCTAGGGATGATGGTCAAGAGTTCAATTTTGGATGGTTAAGTTTGAGCTGACTAACTAATATCCAAGGGGAGATGAGTAGGCAGTTGGATATTCAACTCTGGAGATAGGGGGAAAGACCAGAGCTGTAAATATAAATTTGGGAATCATCAGGATATAGACAGCATTTAGAGCCATGTGATTGATTGACGTCACCTAAGGTAGAGTGTACATGAGACAAAGAAAAGAGGGCCAGTGACTGAGACCTTCGATATATAAAAGGCTAAATAGATTTTGAGGGGCTACCAACAAAGGAGACAAAAGAGAGGCCACAGAAGTGAAAGGAAAATCAAGTGGGGAAAATGTTTCAAGGATAAAGTGATAGACAATGTCAAAAGCTGCTGATAGGTGGAGTAAAATGAGGCCTGAGAATGGGCTAATGGTTTAAGCAAGGTGGAAATCACTGGTAATATTGCTAAGGGAATTCAGTCAGTGGCATGTTGGGGGAAAAACCCAGATTAAAATGAGTTCAAGAAAGAATGGAAGGGTAAATTTGGACACAGTGAGTGTGGATAACTATTAGGGATAGGAAAAAAACAATGTTTGTTCTATTCTCATGCAGGCAATACAACAAATTCTTCATCTCTGGTCACCAAAACGTATGGAGATTTCTCCTTCACCAACAACCAATCACTTCTCCACTAATTCAAGACAATTCTAAGGCTATCTACGAGGAGATAGTGTCAGATCCCTCAAGTTAAGAGTTTAGTCCCTCAAGACTGCCCCCATTTCAGATGCCAATAGCAAGCCCTGGGTTTTGACTTGTGTTTCTGACTTCTGGGTATGATTAATTTGCTAGGATAGCTCACAACTCAGGGAAACACTTTACTTACTTTTACCCATTTATTGTAAATGGTATTACAAAGGATACAAATGAACAGCCAGATGGAAGAGATGCATTAGCAAAACATGAGAGAGAGGGCACAGAGCTTCCATGCCTTCTCCAGGTATCTCCACATGTTTAGCTCTCCAGAAGCTCCCCAAACCCAGTCCTTCTGGGTTTTTATGGAGACTTCATTATTTAGGTATAATTGATTACATCATTGGTCATCGGTGATCAACTCAACATTCAGCCCCTCTCCCTTCCCTGGATGAGGGTGGTGAGGAGATTGAAGGTGAGGAGATCATGTGGTTGGTTCCCCTGGCAACCAGCCCCCATCCTGAAACTAACCAGGAGCCCCCAGCCAACAGTAATCTCACTAACATACAAAAAGACATTTACCACTTAAAAGATTCCAGGAGTTTTAGGAGCTATGTGCCTGGAAACTAGCCAAAAACCAAATCTACATATATCTTATAAATCACAAAAACACAGTCCACCTCCCCTTTTACAAACACAGATTCTTTACATCAAAATGATCATATAAATCAAAAGATACTGGCACACTCAGTCCCATTCAGTCATTAATACAGTCATGCACTGCATAATGATGTTTTGGTCAACAAGGAACAACATATACAACAATGGTCCCCTAAGATTATAGGTGAGCTGAAAAATTCTTATCATCTAGTGACATTGCAGCCATCATAATGTCCTAGTGCAATTACTTTATTTTTTATAAATGCAATGTAGCCTAACTGGACAGTGTTTCTAAAGTCCACAGAAGTATACAGTAATGTCCTAGGCCTTCACATTCACTCACCTCTCACTCACTGACTCACCCACAGCAACTTCCAGTCCTGCAACTTCCATTCATGTCAAGTGCCCAATACAGGGATCCATTTTTTTAATCTTTTATACCATAATTTTTACTGTATTTTTTCTATTTTTAGATATAGATACACAAATACTTAGCATTGTGTTATAATTACCTAAAGTATTCAGTACAGTCATATGCTGTACAGGTTTATAGCCTAGGAGCAATAGGCTATACCATATAGTCTAGGTGTGTAGTAGGCTACACCATGTAGGTTTGTGTAAGTACGCTCTAGGGTGTTCGCACAATGATGAAATGGCCTAATGACACATTTGTCAGAAATTATCCCCGTCGTTAAATGACACATGACTCTAATTAGTCCAGTCCATTATCATGTCTATGAAAATGTCTCCCAGGTTGGGGCCACTCAGGTTTGCAGGCTTCCAAACCTCACAATAACTCCTTTGAGAGGTTTGAAATGAAGGAACATAAGGAGCTATAGCTGGGAGGAAATCTCTTTTCTTCCCTCTTTAAAACATGGATGGGGAACATCACACATGAAGGCTTAATCCTGCCCTTCCTTAGATTCTTGTCACACCTATTTAGCAATGATGCTGTTCTTATTTTATGGATACAGGTCAGAGTACTTATCAAAAGGTACCATACTAAGGCAGAGCATTTTTTCTGAGGCATTTAGAAACTACCAAAGTTTAGTTTCACCAATGATTACATTAACAAATACTTTCCATCTGCTAAAATAGTTTTGCGGCCTGGCAAGGTGGCTCATGTCTCTAATCCCAGCACTTTGGGAGGCCAAGGCGGGCGGATCACGACATCAGGAGTTTGAGACCAACCTGGCCAACGTGGTGAAACCCCGTCTCTACTAAAGATACAAAAAAATTATCTGGGCGTGGTGGCATGCGCCTGTAATCCCAAGTGCTCAGGAGGCTGAGGCAGGAGAATCACTTGAACCCGGGAGGCAGAAGTTGCAGTGAGCCAAGATCCCGCCATTGCACTCCAACCTGGGTGACAGGGTGAGACTCCATCTCAAAACATAAAGTTTTGCGAAGCTATCTCCGACTTCTGGCATTTCTAATACAATATTATTTTTTTAAAACCTGCCCTTTCTCCAGACTATAGAACATTTCTACTTTCTGTGTGCAATCTGAGGTTTCATTTGTTTTCTTCTAAATTTGCTTTCTGCAGCAAAACTCATCAGAAACAAAAAAACCTTACTGTTATATATTTTTGTAAGGCAGTTTAAAATTGTGGTTGTTAGTCTTTGGCTTATATGATTCAGACCAAAGATCTGAATCAAAGGAATGGCAGAGGCCGGGCGCGGTGGCTCACGCCTGTAATCCCAGCACTTTGGGAGGCCGAGGCGGGCAGATCACGAGGTCAGGAGATCGAGACCATCCCGGCTAAAACGGTGAAACCCCGTCTCTACTAAAAATACAAAAAATTAGCCGGGCGTAGTGGCGGGCGCCTGTAGTCCCAGCTACTTGGGAGGCTGAGGCAGGAGAATGGCGTGATCCCGGGAGGCGGAGCTTGCAGTGAGCCGAGATCCCGCCACTGCACTCCAGCCTGGGCGACAGAGCGAGACTCCGTCTCAAAAAAAAAAAAAAAAAACAAAGGAATGGCAGAAATTTTGGTTCTAGTCCTAATTTCAAAATGCAGAATAGGAACACATAGACTTTATTGTATTTTGAAAACTTTGAAACTAAGGGATCAAGCAATATAGCTGTGCATATTCCCAAAGAGTTTTAGTAAGTGCATATCTCTAGGCAAAATTCTGTTTATTCTGGCTTAGCTAAGCAGGCTATTTGGAATGCAGAACATGGAGGGCAGCTAGTTCATCATTTCAGGCTCTTGCCATCTGCTTCTTCCTCATGCCCTCCTCTCTCCTGGCCCTCTCCTCTTTTTTTCTTCTTTCTACTTTTCTTTTTTTCTTTTTTCCCTCTTTTCCTCTCTCCTACTGATGTTCCTCTTTTCCATTAGTTGAAATTAATATATTTTTGCATCACTGGCTGTCCTTATTTTTAAAATCCTGGGGCATCCTCTCTTCACAGTACATTTTTCATTAGTTTTTTGGCTTCAGAATAATATTTTCCATTATGTCACTTGTAGATTAAACTTGCAACTTTGTAAGCTTACTTTTTAAAAGTGCTTATGACTTTAAAAAAAAGTCACTGTTCAGTTGCCTGTAGGCAGAGCTTTATTGTTTTGCAGCAGACTGATTGCCCTTCATAGAAATGAATTTCCAGCTTTAAGACGACTGGTTCCTTACACTCGTTGGCTTAAAGACTAAATCCACCTCATAATCCTAAGTGGTAGGTTTACTTACTTCTCCCACTTTCTCATTGTTTTGATAACTGCTTTTGAGCCTAGGCTAGACAATGTTTTTTAAGGTTCCTTAGAGTCTCTATTTTTATAACCTGTGCTTAATTTATACCTTTGCTTGCTATATTGGTGCTGACATGGCCACAGGCATCCATCCAGATCTTTATTTCACAGGCATTTCCTGAGATCCATTTTGTACTCAACGCCGCAGATATGAAAACAAGCAAGACACAGTGTTTCCTGCCCTCAAGTCTATTGACAGGGCAGACCAAAAAAATTAAAAATAGTCATAAAGTGTGGGCTTTCTCTCAGACTACTGGTCGAAATGTGAATTGATGCAATCCTTTTTGGAGGTGATGTGGCTGAGATTACTAGCTGTCTCTTAATATTCACTGTCCCCTCCTTCAGTGGTAATGGAACCCCCAAGTTGTAGCTGGGCACGTGGCCACACAAAACAAATACTATAGTTCTGAGTGTCCTTTCAGCTATATGTGGCAGGTGATTAAGTTCTGGTCTAAGAGAGGTAAATGGAAGTGTTATCTCCAGTCCCTCGAGTCAGGCCTTTAAAGAGAATAGACCTTTTCTCCCCTTACCTGTTTTTCCTTTCCTCCAGCCTGCTTGTTAGAATGTGGTCTTGGCATTGAGCCACCTTTGATCAAACAAATGAGGGAAACACCCTAGGCATGGCAGAACAAGTTGAGAGTAGCCCAAGGCCCTTGTTGGCCTCATGCAATAAAGCTGCGTACTTTATGACCAGACAGTCATGTGAGGGCAACATAAACCACTGTCTTTTTAAAGCAGAACCTGTGATCTAAAACTAATTAGAGGAG
Source organism: Homo sapiens (assembly GCF_000001405.40). Lineage (NCBI taxonomy): Eukaryota > Metazoa > Chordata > Mammalia > Primates > Hominidae > Homo > Homo sapiens. Next base: position 115,030,988 of record NC_000023.11, read on the forward strand.
TATTGAAAAATGCATATCAAAACACTTTAAAAGCTCATATCCTTTTAGGCCAGCCACAGTGGCTCACACCTGTAATCCCAGCACTTTGGGAGGCCGAGGCGGGCAGATCACTTGAGGTCAGGAGTTTGAGACCAGCCTGGCCAACACGGTGAAACCCTGCCTCTACAAAAATACAAAAATTAGCCAGGAGTGGTGGTGAACGCTTGTAGTCCCAGCTACTTGGGAGGTGAGAGAATTGCTTGAACCCGGGAGGCAGAGGTTGCAGTGAGCTGAGATCACGTCACTACACTCCAGCCTGGGTAATAGAGCCAGATCTTGTCTCAAAAAAAAAAAAAAAAAAGTTCATATCCTTTTAACCCCAAATTTCCAGGTAATCAAAGAAGTATGTGCTTCTACAATCTCTTTTCCACATAACCTTTGAGTCTGAAGCTCCTGCAGCATTCTTATGAAGGGCCACATTTAGCTTATGTAGCATTTCCTTTGGCTAAAGCCTCTGACCAAGTACCTGGGAAATAAACCATACTCAGCCACCCCACTTGCAAATATTACAACCACAAAATGTTGAAGTAGACATTTTTCACAGGGACAAAAATACAATATGACAACACTTCAATGTCCCCCTTTGAGGTTTTCAAAGTCCTGAATGTTGTAAATAAGAGGATATAAGTGGGCCAGACACTGAGGCTCATGCCTGTGATCCCAGAACTTTAGGGGGCCTAGGCGGGCAGATCACTTGAGGTCAGAAGTTCGAGACCAGCCTAGCCAACATGGTGAAACCCTGTCTCTGCAGGCAGGTGCCTGTAATCCCAACTACTCAGGAGGCTGAGGCAGGAGAATTACTTCAATCAGGAGGTGAGGTTGCAGTGAGCCAAGGTTGCACCACTGCACTCCAGCCTGGGAGATAGAGCAAGACTCTGTCTCAAGAACAAAAAAAAAAGGATATAAGTGCTGGAGGACCCTCTATGGCTTTCTAGTGATTCTGCTGCTATGAGCTGCTCACAGGTGCCATAGCACTTCTTCCACCATCATGAGTTGTTGCCACAGTTTTCCGAATGCTGTTCTGGCAGTGCACTCACATGGCTTTAATCTTTTGCTGTCTCCACATTTTCCAATGACTGGCAGCTCACTCCACATGCTTTGGTTATTATCAGAATATCCTGAAATTCAAGTTTTCTCTCAATGAATCATGTTATTTCTATCAACAGTGTACACTGTTCTTCCCGCAAAAGTGCTAGTTAAAGAAGATAGCTGATTCCATAACCTGAGATTAATCACTGCTGGATGAGCAAAGTCAAGCATGCCAGGGAAACAGAACTATATGGAGTAGAATCATTCCAAAGAGCATGGCCTTGTCTTCCATTTTAAAGCATCAATGGAGGGTTAGAATGACTAGCACCTCTTACCCTCTAGCCCCACTTTACTCCTTAGAAAAGGGTGGGGTTCTCACTTTAGCAATACATATACTAAAAATGGGATGATACAGATGAGATTAGCATAGCCCTTGGACAAGGATGACACATAAATTCTTGAAGCATTCCATTAAAAAAAAAGATTTTTTAAAAAGGTTGGGGAACTCTTAGGGAGGTCCTAAGCCCTCCTTATTTTCTTGATACTTACAACCAGAAGACAATGAAGTATACGTACAAATTTTCACATGCAAACACTTTCTTGGCTTCCACTATCTATGACCATGGCTTAAATACAGATGTAGAAATAGAGGCCAGAGAAGTTAAATGATGTTCCATCAATCTTCTTTCATTCTAGTTTGTGTATTTAAGTATTGCCACTGTGATCATTTTTCAGCTTTGCAAAAATTTCAGTTCACAGACTTGTCTGTTTTTACCAAATCCATCAGCCAGATTTTGCTTTTTCCCCTTCTTTATTAAATCGAGATCGGCTTGCATTCCCCAAACTAAACTTGTCCCTCTGCCTTTTTATTATAACTTCCTAACAAAATCCCAATTCTGGATGAATCAAACTCAGATTTTTTCTGTGCTTGTACCTGAGCAGGTGAGTGCCCATGAAAGAAGTCCCACTATAGATTAGTTCCATGATAAGTGCATAACATTTCATTTTAAATAAGCCCACAGTACTACTCAGAAGCCCTATTGCTTGTCTCTGTTCAACTTCATTCCATTACTGACCATTACAAACCTTTTCCATTCTCTTAAATCGTCTCATCCCTTCTCCCCTGATCTCAGCACATGAGCTTGCCTCTTACTTTGAAAAACAAAATCGAAACCATCAGATGGAAATTCCCTCATCTTTCTGATTTGAAACAAGAATCTTTCCACATTCTCTCCTTTCCCTCCTGCTCTTCGTGTCTGTTTTGAATTCTAACACTGCTCACACCTTCAAAAATGTTACACTCATTTTTTTCATCTCTCTTATATATCTTCCACATACATAAGATGTATGTATGGATACACACATCTCAGCTAAATGTATCTCATTCACTTTTAAACCTGTTCATTTCTCCCTGACCATAAATATAGAAACAAATTACCTTGCCTACATATTTGTCTGCAGCTACTGCCCCAATACTCCCATCTTCTTCACAGCCAAATTTCCAGAAACTTCCCCTCTAGCTCTTCATCACTCCATTTTCTTCTGGGTTCTTCCTTCACCTCACCACCAATCCATGGCTCTACTGAAACAGATGCCACTAGAATAAATAATGACCTCCACGTTACTGAATCTAATTAATATTTTAATCCCAATCTTATTTATATTTCAGCAGCATTCACCTGTTTATCATCATCCTTCTTAAAACACCTTTCCCTCGGCTTTTCTGACACCTGTTTCCCAGTTTTCTTTCTACCTCTCTGGTCACTTTTTCATTTCATTTTCAGGCTTATCCATTACTTATCCTAACAGTAAATGTCAGAGTTCTTTGAGGTTTGGCCCAAGGCCTTCACCTCTTCTGATTCTATATTCTCCCTAGGTAATTTTATCTGCCCCCACAGCTTCCATTATCCTCTATATACCAATGACTTCCAAACATATAACTCTGATATACTTTGGATATTTGTCCTCTCCTAATCTCATGCTGAAATCTGATCCCCAATATTGAAAGTGGGGCCTAGTGAGAGGTCTTTGGCAGATCCCTCATGAATGGCTTGGTGCTGTCCCCTTGGTAATGAGTCAGTTCTTGCTCTATTATTAGTTCATGTAGATCTGATTGTTAAAAAGAGCCTGGCACGTTCCTCCTCACTCTCTCTTCTTCCCTCTCTTGCATGTGACACACCTGCTCCCACTTTGCCTTCCACCATGATTGAAATCTTCTTGAGGTCCTTACCAGAATCTGATGACAGCACCATGCTTCTTGTACAGCCTGCAGAAACATGAACCAAATAAACTCTTTTACCTATAAACTACCCAGCCTCAGGTATTCCTTTATAGCAACACAAAACAGACTGAGACAATCTCCCATGTGAACTATTCTTCTAGCTCCAGGGATGTATATCTAATTGCTTTTAAAATATCTTCACTTGGAAGTCTCAAACATACGTCAAATGCAAAATGTCAAATGCCAGAATCATGATCTCCCACTTGAAAACAGGTGTTCTTGCAGTATCCATTCAACAGTAGAAGCCAGAGAGTTACCCTAGACATCTACGCACCACCATAGCCAATCCATAGTCAAGTCCTGTCCATTTCTCAAATATCACTCATCAGTCACCAAAGGATTTTTCTCAACAATATTTTTAAGCTATATAATTAACAAACTTATCAAAGAAGAGCATGGAGAAGAAAGTATATCTTCCTTGGAACAGTACTAAATTTCTGCTTAGTCAGATTATCTTAAAGTGTCTAGAAAATCCTTCAATACATGATTTCAAATTACTGATGGATGATATAATTCAGTTTTCTCTGTTTCAGAGAAAACGAAATCCATGAAGATTACAAATACCCAAAACATTAACACAACTTTTTTTTTGAGACAGAGTCTCACTCTGTCACCGAGGCTGGAGTGCAGTGGCACAATCTTGGCTCACTGCAACATCCATCTCCCAGGTTCAACCGATTCTCCTGCCTCAGCCTCCCGAGTAGCTGGGATTGCAGACACCTGCCACCATGCCTGGCTAGTTTTTGTATTTTTAGTAGACACAAGGTTTCACCATGTTGGCCAGGCTAGTCTCAAACTCCTGACGTCAGGTGATCCGCCAGCACCTCCCAAAGTGCTGGGATTACAGGTGTGAGCCACCACGCTCGGCCAACACAACTTATGATCTTCCTTTTCTTTATTTCCTTTATCAAATTCTAGGATGACTTCCCAAGCCAGAAACCTACAAGTCTTCTTAGATTCCTCTCTCTCATTTATCCTCAACCACCATTTTATGCACATACACAATATCCTAAAGATTCTAAGCATCTTTGCAGTCCATCTGTATCACTCCTTTTTCACTGCCACGACAGATTCTAGCCATCACCATCTCTTGCCTAATCAACAGCAATAACCTCCTAATGCATTTTCCGTCTTACAATAAGTCAGGTTCTGGTCATTCTCACACTGTAGCTAGTATGACCTTCTAAAAAGTCAAATAAGTTCAAACTTTTTCATTGGTTTCCCAGTGCTCTGCAGAATAATTTGTAATAACTCACAATTCAATGTGCTTCTGGTGTGACAGTGTTTTTCTAAGCACTTCACTGTATTAATTCACTTAGTCCTTACTATGGTATTATGAAGTAGGTACTGATGTTATCACATTTTACTAATATAGAAACTGTGACACAGAGAAGCTACATGATTTCCTTGGGGTCTCATAGCTATCAAGTGATGGAGCCAAAATTCAAAGCCTGGCAATGCCATTTCAGAGTTTGTGCCTTTAGCCTCTATATTGTGTTGTCGTATAAAACAACATACGAAATGTTTAGCATGGCAAGCAATACTTTTCCACTTTTAGACTCATCTTCTACTTATAGGTCTTGAAAAGTTGCGTCTTATTTTATCTCTAAGTCTTTTCGCACTGATATCAATACTGCTTTACCTAGTCTAGTCATTTAGATTTAGCTCAGGTACTACTTCATTCTATAAGCTTTCTCTATTCTCTCCCCCAGATTGCACTGTGAGTCTCCTCTGTACTCTCTGCTAAAATATAAGTGAATATAATTCTGCAATATTTTAAAAGGCACTCACCATTTAGTGAAGAGGACAGTCTTCTAACCAGACAAGTATGTGGCTACATTATTTTGAGACAATCATTTGTGGTTTGCTCTGTTTTTTCTCTTTTTCATCCCGTTTCTAGAAGATAAATGGGCCTGTTTATTGTTTCTTACCCAAGGGAATTCCTCCTCCCCTATTGCCACTTGTCCACACTTGCCTTCCTGGCTTTAATTTTTCCAAAACCCAGACTCATGGAGAGATTATGCTCTCTCATATCAGTGAGGATATCAAGAGAACAGATGAAATTCCTTTTAGAGCACTGAGAGATGGAAAAGGAACACAGGCTTTAGACAAAAAGAAGACAGGAGTCTGATAGGAGTTGGTGGTGGCAGGGAATATAGGGAACAGCTCAACATTTGATGGCAGCAGCCTAAAACAGGGGCAAAAGCTCAGAAAAGTTTCAATGAGTGTGCTGAGCCTGAAATACAGGGGACCCAAACTCAGCAGTGATCCAGTCCCCCAAGCCCCCAAGCACAGCATAGGAGCAGCAGCAGCAAACATGAAAGGACCATTCCAGGTGGAGACAAAATGGGGTATCAGAGAGTACATCAGGGAGTTGACAGAAGATTAATGATCAATAGCCAAAAAGGCCTCCCCAATACGGATGGTCTCCAACTTACAATGGTTCAATTTACAATTTTTTGACTTTATGATGGTGCAAAACCATCACAATTTTGATGTATGTTGAATTTTGATCATTTCCCAGGCTAATGATATGCAGTTACATGAGATAGTCAACACTTTATTATAAAATAGGCTTTCCGTTAGATGATTTGCTGAACTGTAGGCTAATGTAAGGGTTCTGAGAACGTTTATGGGAGGCTAGGCTAAGCTATGATGTTGGTAGGTTAGGTGTATTAAACGCATTTTCAGCTTATATTTTCAACATACAATGGGTTTATTATAACCTCATCATAATTTGAGGAGCATCTGTGTTTTGGTGTAGCCTAAGGCTTCAAAATATTTGCATAACTCAACAGGAGGCTTGAGTATTGACTAAAATTGTGTATCTTACTTTCCTGGCAGAATGTTGACTACAGGATAGCTCATAAGAACATTTTAAAATGTGAACTTTCTTGCATATCCATTTGCGGACTAGATTCATACTAATGTCACTTATAATACAATGTAGTAAGTTCCAGGAAAGAGGCAAGCACTTAGAAGCACAGAGGACAGGTACTCAATCTGGTCTTGGGAATGGTGGTCAGGTAATTAAATAAATGCAGAGAGTTGATAAAGTTTAATGAATTCAGGGATCTACAAATAGTTTGCTTTGGCTGCAGTATAAGATGTACATAGACATGCTTTTTGAGCCACATTAAATGACTTTGGACTTAATCCCGAGAGCTATCAGTTAGTACTGAAGGATTTCTAAACCTGAGGGATATATCCAATAGACAGCTCAGTTTAACACATATAAACTGCAAGAATAGGGCTTTTGCCACCCTTGAAAGAACAGATCTGAGGGGGACAAGAAAGGAGACAGAAGCAACAAGTTAGGAGACTTTTAAATACTTCGGGAGAGAGATAATGAAGGCCCACACTACGAAAATAGTAATGCTCTAAAAAAGATGGAACACATAACATATATTAAGAAGGTAAAATGGACAGGCTTTAGTGATCAGTTGAAAACAGAGAATAGAACTGGAGAGATTGTAGAGATATTTGGACCACTGAATTTGCACGTAGAATTTGCAATAGAGTAGTTCACAAATGAGACTACAGAGTGACCAGAAAAGTAGGAGGAAGGAAAGGAGAAAGTGGTATCACAGAAACTAATGAAGCAGAAGATTTCAAAGAGAGAGTATTCAAAAGCAAAGTGTGTCACATGTCAAAAAATTTGGGGGCTTGGGAAAGTAGGACAAGAATTGAAATGTGTCTGTTGCATTTGGAAATAAGAAGTAATTAGCCACCTTAGTAAAGGCAGTTATATGTGTGGACCACTTTTTATTGAAGCCTTGTTATATAGGTTGTACAGAACTTGGTTATACAGGGAATGGTCAAGAAAAGGTGTCTCTTTTATTTACTTTTTATTTTTATTTTTGTCGTGAAAAGAACTCAATGGGAGGAAAATGTTAAAACTACAGAGAAGAAAGAGGATAATTATGAAAAGAGACCCTGAGAAAGCAAGAGGACAGCATGGGCTCTAAATCACAGACAAATTGAACTGGGACTGATAGAGGGCGAGTTTTGCCTCTCGGACAGGACAAAAGCATGAGTGAAGATACAATTCAATGTGTGTGTAAAAAACAGGAAGGTGGGTGGATAAGTGGTTCAAACAGACCTGATGTCTTTTTGTGTGTGTGTGTGAAATAGCAGGCAAGCCCATCTCCTGAGATAAATGCATAATAGCTGAGTTGGAGGCTTAAAAAGAGAGGAAAAAGTTTGTAATAGCCACTAAAGAGGATGTAAAAGAGCCAAGGGAATTCCAGCAGAATCTGAGTAAGGACATGGAGAAGGATCATCTGGTTAGCACTGATTCATTCTGCAGTTCTCAGCTCAGACGTCACCTGCTCAAAGAAGATGAAGTCCCTGTTAAATGTTTTCAGAGAACTGGCTACCTTTCTTTTAGAGACTTATCATGGTTTTAATCTTATATTAATTTGTGAGATTATCTGATTAATTTATATTTCATTGGACTGCAATCATATTTGTGAGGTCAGGGATCATATTTATCTTGCTCATCATTGTATCATTTAACCCTTATTTTCCCATCTCTAAAATGTGGAGAACTATAATTCCTCTCTACATGACCAGGATATGGATATAGTTAGGTTAGCGTGAAACTGGAATTTAAGATATGAGAAGACAGGGACTTCCGATTGTTCATTGATGTATCCCTGGTGCCTAGCACAGTGCATGACACATTGTAGAAGCTCAATAAGTATCTACCTGAATGAATGAAACAAATATGGCTTCATATTTGGTGTCATAGGACACCAAGTCTCTTGACTTCCATTCTAGTGCTCTTCCCATTCTCCCACAGCTATCCACAGCAGATGATTGACACATTATGTTTATTATGCTAAGGGTCAATGCATATGCATTATTATCTTTGTTTTACTCAAGAAGAAAGTGAAGCTCTGAGAGATGAAGTATCATGTGCAAATTAAACAGCTGGTAAGTGGTGGATCAAAATTCAATCCTAGGTCTGCGTCACTCCAAACTCTGATCCCTTTCTAGTATTCCACACTGCCTACTCAGATATTAGACAATAAAAGTTTTCATACATGAACCTTTCTAGGGGTATGCATAGTTGAAATTGAAACTTTCCCATCAACCTCCCCACTGGCAAAGAAAACTAAACAAACAAAAAAGCATTACTTTAGTGGTAAAAATCTCAGGAAAAGTAACTATGACAGGCCAATGAAGATAACATTTATGGGCATTCACCTATCACTGCCTCCCACATCACACCATGGAAGCACCTACCAATCTACTCTATGTGACCCTATACATTATTCATCTCCCCAGAATAAATTTTTACCCCACAGGCACAATGGAAGACCCAATTCTAAAGAGCTTATCTTCTCAGAATTGTCTCAGAGTGACCACAGAAGCAGCATGGAGTAATGGAAAAAGCCACATAGATCTTGGCATGACAGTGATACGGGAGGGGGACAGGAAAGTGCTGGGTAGAGAAGGATGGAGTCCCTGGCAAGGGCTCCACCCTGGAGCCTGTGCCCATGGACCTAAGCGAGAACAGGCACTCCTGTTTTCATACCCAAATGTTGCATTTTCCAAGACCACTCTGGCCCACCATGTCCCCCATCCTGTGCCCATAAAAACTTGAGACCATAGCGGACATGGACACGAGCAGTTGGACATCAAGAAGAGCAGAGGAACACACCAGCAGACACCAGCAGACATCAGCAGACCAGTGATGGCAGAACAACGTGGACACCGAGGGGAGTTTGGCCAGGAGCGGTTGGGGGAGTATCCAGGGGAAGACCACCTTCCCACTACATCCTCCTTCTGACTCCTCATCCATCTCACTGAGAGCCACCTCCACCACTCAATAAAACCTTGCATTCATCCTCCAAGCCAACGTGTGATCTGATTTTTCCGGTACACTGGGCAAGAACTCGGGATACAGAAAGGGGGGAGGGATAGCATTAGGAGATATAGCTAATGTTAAATGACGAGTTAATGGGTGCAGCACACCAACATGGCACATGTATACATATGTAACTAACCTGCACGTTGTGCACATGTACCCTAAAACTTAAAGTATAATAATAATAATAATAAAGCCCTCTGTCCTTGCGGTAAGGCAGAGGGTCTAATTGAGCTGATTAATACAAGCCATCGGCAGACAGCAAAGCTGAAAGAGCACACTGTAACACACACCCACTTGGGCTTCAGGAATCATAAACACTCACCCCTAGATGCTGCCATGGGGTTGAAGCCAAAAGTGCTCCCCATGACTTCTGCACCTGCCTGTCTGCATGCTCCCCCTAGGGGTTTCAGCAGCCTGACACCAATGAACTGACCCCTGTGGCATGACCTGTGAGGGGCATAAGGGAACTCTTCTGTTTCAATACTTGAGCTATCTCTATCCCAATTTTCTTATCTATAAAACGAAGGCAATATTACTAGCCTACATAAGGCTTACGAAATGATTAAATGGAATAGTGTATGTAAAATGTCTGTAGCACAGTGGGCATAGTAATTCAATTGTTAGCTGTCTAGTGCTTCCCTCATATCCAGAAGCCAACTCCTATTGATTCCTTGAAGACACTAAAAATATATCAAAAGGAACAAGCAACCCACCCCACCCTGACTTCTCCAAGTTGTAGCAAAATACACATGGTACATTACTTTGATTTTCAAAAAAAAAAAAAAAAAAAAAAAAAAAAAAAAAAAAGCCCTGGAAGCAGCAACTAATCATTTACAGGTAAGATCTCAGCACCAAAAAAATAAAAACAATCAAATAGGCATTCTGCCTCTCCTTTGTCTTATCCTACTGTTTAAATAGTTATTTCTAACATTTTATTGCCTTTCATGACATTAGGTAGAGTCAGGACATCTGGTTCATTGTACAGATGAGGAAAGTAAGATAGGGAGGGTGGGGTGTCCATTCCAAGGTCACACAGCTATACAAGGGAGATCTAGAACTGGAAACCAGATTTCTTAGTCCTTCGTTTAGTACTCTCCCCACTTAGTAATAATAATGATAATAATAATTCTGTGCAATTTACTTGAGTCACAAACTCTCTAAAACATTATAGAATTTATTAAAATTTCAGTCAAAAATAGCTGAAATCTTTTATTGTCTAATACCTTAGTAAGCAGTGTGGAATAGGAGAAAGAGCTCAGATTTTGAAGTAAGGAAGACCTGGGATTGAATTCTAATTCCACTCTAAAGCATTCCAGAGTTTTAAAAATTTCAATCAAAAATAGCTGGTGTGTGCTTGTAGTACCAGCTACTTGAGGGGCTAAACAGGGAGGATTGCTTGATCCCAGGAATTCAAGTCCAGCCTGGGCAACAGAGTGAGAACCAATCTCTTTAAAAAGTTGTTTTTTAAAGAGCTGGTTAATCCTTGGTGTTCATGTCCTGGTTTTATGTATCTTCTTACATATTTAAAGAAGAAAACTAATCTGGAGGCATCCAAAATGGGTGCAGTTTGTAAAAGTGATGTTCATTATTTAAGTGTTAACTATAGAGGAAAACAAACATCAGAAGTATAAGATGATAGTTCATTTCAGAGCAAAAGCTGTGAAAATTGGAAATTTTATATGAATAACTCTACTGTATAATGAAACCATAATATATGAACAAATTATATCATGCATAAAAGGACATGCATATTCTATAACTTAATTCAAAACATCATACAAAGATAATGAAATCATTCATTTTAGAGAAGTTCTGATTATCTGTGAGCTTGAGATAAAAGTTGCTGCAAAGTCAAGGATTTTGACTTAAAGAAAAAAATCACATAGAAATTAATCTCAGAGAACATCCTAACTCTAAAATGCAACTACCTTACCATCACCAAAAAAACCAGGTTTGCTTTAAAGAGGTATGAATTTTATAGAAAATAAAGGCTAATAAGAAAACCACAATAAAAATTAAAGCAATAGTGCTATCCATACTGATGATCCAGCACCCACTAGCTTCATGTGGGAAAAAAATGCAGGACTCCCCAGATTATTGTTGTATCAAATCAATTTTTGCCCAAAAAAGATTCATGATCCCATTAGGAAAAGGTGAAGAAAGTGAAACAAATATTCAAAATAATTTACCTCTTACCTGCAAACTTCCTCCCCTAAAGTCCCATACTTACTCTATATGAACAATGTGTCCAGTTGTAACCAAATTCTGTAATACCACTGAAGTCTGTCTCAATGAACAGCTCCTTAGTTTAAATGGATTTTAAAGGATCTTAGAACTAAAGCCTTTCTTTTAAAAAGTAGGAGGAGCTCTTGCTTTATCCATGAAAAATACCAACTGTCATTAGAAAATTTGCATTCAAAATAGGTCAGCATTTAAGGTTACATTTGTCAAAAGATTCAGAGGAAATTACAAAGTTCATCTGAGTGGTTTTTTCCCCTTTTAATTAGTTCCTGATAAAACATCTTAGTATGCCAGTGTTTTCTTTTTGTTGTTGTTTTTGTTTTAGCTATGTGACTCATCACTTTGGGAATTAAAAGATAATCCAAAGGTAAGCATTTGATTGCTTCCTCAAAGTGTACTACCCAAAGGCATTATTATTTTGAGTTTCAAATACCTTTAAGTACGAAAGGAGTCATAAATAGATAAGGAATCCAGAAACCTGGATTCTACTCTAGGCTTTCCCTCCCAGTCAGCTCTGTGACCTTGGGCAATTTCCTTAACCTCTTTGGCCCTCAGTTTCAAAAATTTATTGAATAGGATCTCAGAAGTAATCTAGTCTAACCTCCTATTCCCAAACAAAAATTGTCCCTGTACTTTCCCTAAGCAATTGTCAGTTTTTCATGTGTAAAGTGAGCCAATAGAACTATGTCATGTCTAAAGCTCCCTTGATTTCTAAAATTCTTGGTGTTGCAATTAAAATTCAGTAAGTGTTGTGTGTACATTTTGTTTCCCATTGAAAATTTATCAAAACATTCTTTACACAATCAAACAAGAGTTTATTTCAGCCCAGATAAAATTAAGTAAGTTCAGGCCACCACCAAATTGTCCCTTACCTTCAAGTCTCCAAAGAGTTTTTGTCTGCCCCTGGTTTAATCTCCATGTCCAGGAACCACGCAAAGCCATAAGAAGCCAGAATACTTTTGATGCTTTTCTGGAGCAGATGAGATGCCAGTCATTTATTCCCAAAAGGGAATGGATTAAGGCTGTATCCAATCTCTACACCATCCAATAGATACAAATTATCTTCCTTGCTTTGGAACACAGGTTCAGACTTGATAATTTCTCTCAGATTCTAAAGATAGGTTTTACACTAAATATGTTAATAAACAAATAAAAGGCAAGAGTGTGAATGAAGAGTGGGCCATGTGTGCAATCCTCTCTCCACTATTAGCATTATGTTTTACCCCAAGATGTTTTTTACCCCTAAATGTCTTTCTTTTTTATTCATTTCCATAGCTGATGTTTCCCCCTAAATTAAAGTTAGGAGGGTGGGAAGAAACTGGGAATTGTTTAGGGAGTTTGGTATTTACTTTTCGGATGTCAGCTGATTTGGCTGTCTCACAATAATTTTTAGCAGAAATTATTTATCAGGCCTACGGGAGGAATTTTCTAATCAGAATTTGCTGACACGATGGTAAGAAAAAGAAGATCTAGATTCAAAATCTTCTTTCTTTTTCCTGAGATTGCATTTTCAATTAACTAATTTGTCTTCTTCTATTTAAAGAAAAGAAAAAAAAAACCTCCAGGAAGTTTTCTTCAAGCTTCCTGTTTCCCCTGAATCCTCTAGCTCCTGCAAATATTTCACTATGCTATAACTTATCTTTCAATGCCACTAACCCAGCTTTGTGATATTCTTATTATACACCATGATATTGGAGAAGTAGAATTCAAAGAAATAGAAGCATAATAATATCTTGGAGTAGTAAAGTACATTTATTTGTAGAAATGCAAACCACAAGTTAAATTTAGTTAATCAAATACAGTTGGAAACGATAATGCACCATGCCTTGGTTGTTAAAGTCCATTAGATATTCCCTTCCACCTTGATTTGATAGCTTAATCAGTGAAAGCATAAGGTAAGCTTTGCTTCTTGGTGTGAAGAAAAATACACTAAAAAGATAATTAATTTTAATCTACTAAAAGTCCTATTTGAATGCTTTCTATTGGCATCAATACAAATAAATATATTCTTAGCTTTGAATAAATATATTCTTTGTCATTGATACTTGTATGCTTGTACCTTAGCAATCATTAATCTCTGCTCCAGATACAAGGCATGTTTCAAGGCCTAAGAAAAGAAGATTTGGGGGTAAACTTGAATGGTGCAGAGAAAGGAAGATGGGCAAGACTACTTGGGGCAAACCCTCTCTAGCTGCAAAATGGTCTACACCAAATTGAAGAGAAGGTGTAAAACCAAATTTGATGCAGACCTGGGTAAGTGTTACCCAATGGGTGTGGAGTGAAGAGGTACATCAAAGCCTAAGAATGGGGAAGTTTTTCAGGACAGTTGAGATTAAGTCATTATTTTCAAAGAACTGAGCAAGATGATACAAATGATGCAGGCAGTCAGCAGTGCCTGGAAAAGGGCCAGCAGAACCAGGAAAAATGATTTAGGCCTGGGCCTCAATTTCAACAGAGACAGAGGAAAAAATTGAGCTTCCAGATTGAGGTCAATTAAATAGCCAACATCAGATGGTAGAGAAAGAGGTGAGAACTAAAGTCTGATGCTTACAAAGATTCCCAGGGGCCTAAATCAATTCCAGAGGCATAGCACACACTAGGCTATTTCCAGACTTCTACCTGTTAACAGAGAATGGTTCTCAATGGGCCAGGGCCATGTCAGGGCTCAGACTTCCTAGGCTGACACAAATAGGTGCAGCTAGAATGGAGCTAGGCTAGACGAGGACGTTCCATAGCCTCTCCAGCAGGAACATATATACTACTTTATTTTATCTATTATCCCCCTCAGATAAGCAAGTGGGTATTATTTTAGTTTTACAAATGGCTATTAAGTTACTTTCCAGAAGTCAAAAATTCAGAAGAAATCAAACCTAGGTCACCCAGATTTGACACCTAGGCTTATGCTCTTCCTGTAGAGTCATTCCACTGCTGGGATGTTTTGTTTTGTTTTGTTTGATACCTCAGTAGCTAAAATGGTCAACTGGCAGAAGTCATTCTGCAAAGCTTTATAATCCCAAATATTCTGTTAATTATCAAAACAGGAAATGAGTATTCCTAAACTGCTGTGCAAATGAGGTAATCAGCAAAGGCAGTATCTAATGTCTCAAGTATTTAATGGCCTTGGTAAGGTTAAAGGGCATTAAATAGGAAAAACAAGAAGAATAAACAACCCTTTGACATTTAGTTTATATGTGTATGTACATGTACACACATGGTTTTAAACAAAATTCCCTGAATTTGGTAACAGTTTTTAAACATTCATGCAAATGTCACTTCTAAGGTTCTAAAGGCATTTTTTAAAAATCAAACCATCCCCACAAGACTGACTTGAAAAGTTATTTGGTAAAGTTGGCATATTGCGTAGAACATCAGTGTCCTATAAAGAACACACTCCGTGAGATAGAGGGCATCAAGATTGCCTGCTTTCCCCCAAATCCAGTTAGTTTGATAAAACTAATTTATGAACTCTGAATTCACCCTCTAGACTACCACAGATTCAACAGCAGGAAACCTGAGCTGAGATTCTCAGGGAACCCACAAGATTTGGAAAATACAGTTAGCAATATCAGGGTCTAGTCCCTAGAAACTTAACTGGAATTAACAATTAACACCAGTCATGAACAGAGACCACAGAGGTTAGCTGTGCCAGACTGTTTGGCATTCACTCATTCAAGAGTTACAGAGCAATAATGTGCCAAGCATTGTAGCTCACATTCTAATTAAAGGGATAGAAACCAGAAACTATGAAATATTTACAGTACAGTGTGAGAAGAACAGTACACTATGATAGAGGTCATTGGCAGCAAAGGGAGCTCAGAGGAGAGAACAACAAACTCTACCTGTGCTGTCAAAATGGTGAGTATCTTCAAGCAGAGATGGTTTGGAGAACCACCCTGGCTCCTGATAATACCAAGTTGTAGAATAATAAAATATATATTTGACATTTGTCCCGGGTTATCTGAACAGAGTGCCTAAAACCCTTGGAATTTCCCGAGTAATAGGAATGCCTTCTGTTATTCATAATGAGCCCCTTTCAACCACACCTGAATTTATGCTAAAGAGGTGACTCTTGGAGGATAGGGGCTAGTGGCCAGAGGAACCAACCACTCAATTAGAGGGTTGGAACTTTCAGCCCCACCCCTGACCTCCAGGGATGGTAGAAGTTTCAGAGATTGAGTCAATCACCAATGGCCAATGATTTGATCGATCATGCCTACACAATGGAACCTCCACTTAAAAAAAACAAACCTAAACCAAAGGGTTCCAAGAGCTTCCACACTGAGGTGCTGGAAGGGCGGCATGTCTGAAGAGTGCATGGAAGGTCCACAACTCCCTACCCCATACCTTTTGAATTGTATTTTTTTTTATAATAAATCGATAATAGTAAGTAGTGTTTTCCTGAGTTCTGTGAGTCATTCTATCAAATTATTGAAACTGAAGAGCCAGTTAGTCTGAAGCATTGGGACTTGCTACTGGCATCTGAAGTGGGGCAGTCTTGTGGGACTGAGCCCTTAACCTGCCATGTCTGTGCTAACTACAGATAGTGTCATAATTGAATTGAATTGTTGGATGCCCAGTTGCTGTCAGAGAATCGGAGATTTAGAGAATTTGTTGGTATCAGAAAATACCCCAGACGAGTCAACCGTCTGTGAAAATAAGTAAAATTTGAAAACTGTGGAATCCCAAAAAATAAGCTTTGAGAGAAATGTAACTGTGATTCAAGTCACAGATGGATACAACTTCTGTTCTCAGTTTATACATTGACTCACTTTCTTATTGTTCTTGTTCTGTACAATTACTAGAGAGAATTAAACAATGTCAGGGACAAAAACCTCCTGCCTTCTTAACCAATGACTCTGTTATAGATTAACTTCCCCTCTGGTGTCCTGCTTTGCTCAAACTAGATGACAGAAAACCCATGATGATTACACTCTCTGTAAAAAATGCTAAATATATCCTTTCCAAAAAGAAACACTGACCATAACCAATCAAATTGCTATAACTAAGCACCAGCCTTGTATGAATAATGCTGTAATCCTGCTAAAAACTTCTCTGTCTCTGCCTGTATAAATGAAACCTTACCTTCCCTACTTCAGAATGTTGACTCCATTCCCTTGGAGTTGGTGTTTCTGAGGTCCATCCTCACACATTGCACTTGAATAAACTCTCTTTAAATTAGATTTTTACCTTTTTGATTATTTGAGGTTGACACTTCTTTATAACACTTTCTGCATCAAACTCACAGAGCCTACCTTTTTGTAAAAGCCTAGGGCTTTTAGGAAGCTAATCAAGATAAAATTGTTGATGAACTTCAGCAGAGACTAATTATGTCCCAGTGTCAAGTCTACTAATTTTCCTTTTATTATAGTGATAGAAACTCATGAGTTTTAGCTGTGTACATGGCCTCCAGTCTAGAGACTACATTTTCCAGATTCCTTTGCAGCTTGGTATGAAAATATGACTGAAATTTAGACAATGAGATGCAAGAAGTGATGTGTGCAACCTTTGAATCATGTTTTGACAAGAAAATCATTTCTCCTCTTCTTTCCCTCCCCCCAGCAGGCTGTAGCCCAGATGTAATAGTGGAAGCCATATTTAACCATATTGACAATGTCAACATACACTAGGAAGTGGCAAATCAACCAGGTAGAAGGACCCTAGGCCTTGAGTGACCTCCTGCAGCAGTGCTATCTTCCCATCTTTTTGTCTTTTGCTTGAGCTGTCATATTTTGAGGTTGCTTGATTATAGCAGTTTGCCCTGTAGCCTAATTAATACGGAAACAAATATCCATTAAAGTGTTAATTGACATTATTTACTCTTCCCAAAGATATTTGCTCATGGATTCCAAAAATCAAAGAATGTAGAAAATCCAAAGGGAAAATATGCTGATGGTGTTTCAAATCCAGTGACGGGCTGGAAATTTTTGTGTCTTGGTTTGTTTTTACTTCCCTTTAAATACTAGCATAACAGCAATTCCCTACTCTGCCACTCCATCAGGTTCAGTCCTGACTAATATTTCACATGTCTGTTTCTGACCTTAGCATGTGACTTCCTTAGGGGCAAGAAGTGTGCCTTACCTGCCTCTGTAAATCCATTTTCTAGAATATAGCATGTATTCAATAAATATTTATTAAATGTAACCATATTTCCTCCCTTACTTTTTAAAACTTCCTCCACATATAATTTTATTTGAATAATGCAAATAACCAAATGACAAAGATAATAATAACTGTTATGGGCTGATATTGCTGATTTAAACTGCATGTCAGGCAGTATGTTCAATGACTACTCATGTTCTTTAGTCCTCACAATAACCCCATGATGTAGAAACTACTATTGGCATTTCCATTTTACGGAAGAGGAAACTAAGGCTCAGAAAAGTTAAATCATTTCCCCAAGATTTCACTTTTAGGAAGTGGCTGAAACGGGCATTTGAATCCAAGATTGCTTGATATCAAGACATTTTCTTAGCTACAACAGTCTGCCCCACTTTCTTCCAGAAACGGCCTGGCAATATGTAGGATGTCAAGGAGAAAAATCATCCTGGATTTAAGAATTAGTTACAGATAATTAAGCCAACTTAAATTATACATTGTGGGTTACCAAGTCAGTAAAAATTATACTATGCTTGTGAAAAACTTTTGCTAGTTTCCTGATTAATGAATACCTTCACCTTGAAAATCTGTACACAGGGAAAATTTGCAATCTGGTCTGCACCTTGGCACGGTTACCCAAAAACTGAAGAAAACCGCCCTGGAATGAACATAAAGGGGCTGCTATTTTGTATAAATATTTCAGAGGACAATGAAAGAGAACATTATAGACACAAAATAGACTTTGCAACATCAGTTTGAATGTAGTAAATTATCATAAAATGTAATAATCAATTATATTTCTAAATTTGCTATTGTAAGAATATTCAAACATACACAAAAATAAAATTAATATAATGAAATCACATGTAACATTTATCTAGCTTCAACAATTATCAAGGTAACAAAATATTTATTAATTTATCCTCTCATGAAAACTGATACTCCAACGCTCAAAAGGCAGGAAGTATCGAATTCACAGAACCTTAAACTGGTATGACTGAAACAAATCTAAGAACTCTAGTCTAACTCCCTCTTTTACAGACAAGGAAATCGAGGCCTCAAAAGGAAAGAAGACCTAATCAGGGTTATTTAGTTAGTTAGTGACAAAGCCAATAATAGAATCAGTTTTCACTAGATCACACTACCATTTAATAATAAATAATCTTTATTTGAATCATTTGAAAATAGTTAATGTAACATGGTAAAAACTCCTTTCTCCATAAATGCATGAAAACAAACTAGGATATTCTTCAGCATTACCAAATATATATCTTTTTCTACGTATTTTTTCCAAGAATAGCAATTACAAAAAAATTCTTTTTTATTTGTCCCCCTTAGTGTCTAAAATGTGTTATAAAATAAACAGTTCTTCAATCAAAAGAGTTCAGAAAAGCAATCATATAAAATTTTGCCATAAAATCATGATCTTTCCTGGTTTGTTCTTGATAATGCTGAGACAGGAACGAACACATAATGAACTTGTTAATGAACTATCAACAGGAAACCAGAAGGTACACATGTGTGTCCTTGGATTGAGTCTTAATAAAATTAAGAAGTTAAGTCCCAGCTGGAGAGTAGACAAGCAACAGAAAATCCCTAATAGCCACAATACACCATAATTTCAGAAAAACAAGCATCAAAAATAAATATTAATTTTCTCAAGTTGTCATTTTATTAGTGGCATGTGGGTTTTAAAATGCTTAAACAAGTTACTAAACAGAGTTTAAAAAGCACCTCATCTATGAATTTTTTTTAATTTAGAAGAAAATCACAGATTTTATGGATCATATTCACTACATATTAGCACTGACTCTAGGCTGTATTGCCAGTAAAGAGAACAGCTAGACTTTTACATTAATACTGGGGTGATCTTGTAAACTATTTTAGATTGGCAGTATATCTTGTGTTTTCTTTCTTTTTTTCTTTTTTTTTGGAGACAGAGTCTCACTCACTCTGTCGCCCAGGCTGGAGTGCAGTGGTGCCATCTCAGCTCACTGCAACCTTCACCTCTCAGGTTCAAGCGATTCTCCTGCCTCAGCCTCCCAAGTAGCTGGGATTACAGACGCCCACTACCATGCCCAGCTAATTTTTGTATTTTTAGTAGAGATGGGGTTTCACCATGTTGGCCAGGCTGGTCTCTAACTCCTGACCTCAAGCGATCCCTCTGCCTCGGCCTCCCAAAGTGCTGGGATTACAGGCGTGAGCCATCATGCCCAGCCAAAAATAAATATTAATTTTCTCAAGTTGTCATTTTATTAGTGGCTTGTAGGTTTTGAAATGCTTGAATAGGTTATGAAACAGAGTTTCAAAAGCACCTCATCTATGAATCCTTTTATTTAATTTACAAGAAAATTACAGATTTTATGGATCATATTCACTACATATTAACATTGACTTTAAAGTGGCTGTATTCCCAGAAAAGAGAAGAGCTGGATTTTTACATTAATATTGGGGTGATCTTGTAAACTATTTTAGATTGGCAGTGTATCTTTGAAGACATGTTTTAGTTCTTTCCTAAGACTAAGACCTACTATCTCCCTAGGTTACTGCAATTTAGTGATTCGTTCATTCAGTCAGTCGTTTATTCAATTAATAATTATTAATTGAATTAATAATTAATTGAGTTCTGTACTAGGTAATTGGGATATAGCAATGAACAAATAGACAAATTCCTACACTTGTTGAGTTTACATTCTAGTAGTGGAGAGAGACCATAAACAAATAAACAAGCAAAAATATGTTAAGTAATTATAAACCATCAAAAAAAAATCAGGTAAGAGGCTAGATAGACTGGTGGCCTGAGAGAACAAGGCTATTTTAGAAAGGATGATCAGGAACATCCTCGCTGAGGAAGGACCCATGAAGATAATTGAGTAGTGAGTGCTTCAGACAGAAGAAATAGCAAATGCAATGGTCCTGAAGTGGGACTGTAACTGGTGGGTTGTGGCAAAGAAGCCTGTGTTGCTGGGGCAGAGTAAGCAAGGAGGAAAGTAGAAGAAAGAAAGGTCAGAGAGGTAGAGGGGTCAGTTTGTATGGTGCCTTATAGGCCGTTTAAAAGATTTCAGCTTTTAATCTAAGTGAGATGGTGAGCCTTGGAAGGTTTTGATCAGAGAGGTGAATGGTATTACTAATTTTTTAAAGATCACTCAGCTGCTGAAGAGACAATAAGTTGGATGGATACGAAATGGAATCAGGGAGATGATTTAAGAAGCTCCTGAAATTGTCTAGTCAAGAGATGATGGTGACTTGCACTATGATGGCAAAAAGTGCCATATTCTGAATACTTTTTGAACGTAGGGCTGGTATAATTTTCTAAAGGATTGGATGTGGGTTATGAGAGAGAGAGGTTAATCAAAAATGATGCCAAGGATTCCAGCCTAAGCAACTAAGTAAAGGGTGATGACATTTATTGAAATGAGGCACACTGGGGAAGAAGCAGGCTTATTGTGAAAATAAAGAATTCAGTTTGGGACATGATAAGTTTGAGCTGCTCATTAGACTTTAAAGTAGAGATACAGAGTAGAGAGTGGTTACATGAGTCTGGAGCTTAGGGTGGAATTCAGTACTAGAGATAAAAAATTGTGGAGTTAGTAATATATAAATGTTACTTTAAAGCCCTGAGCCTGAATGAGATTGCCTAGTGGTCATTTATGTACCAGGCTTAGGCATAGGTATTTCTAAAACTAGAAAATTATGACTTCTAGAGAATTAACACACTACTGAAGATGAATATTTATTGATAGGAATAATTATTAAATATCACTAGGTAAAGTAAATGATGTTCATTGATTATAGTCTTTTCTGTCCTTTATTCTCAATTACAAAAGTATATTATCTGACATGGTAACCTGTCATACAAATTCTGCACTCTTTCTTTTAACCTACTCTATTTTAAACAATCAAAGCTTCAGCAATGTTAACACTACATTAGTAATAACCAAGCTTTTAAAAGCTACACAGTCTCATTCACTTTATAAGACTCATTATCTGAAAGTTCTTATACTTTTCTAGAATATTTCCTTGCCTGGCTCATTACATTACCACATCAAAATATGAGATTTTCTTACCTATAAATATCTCATTTTCTTCCTTTTCAATTCAAATTTGAAGACTGACTTTAAAATTTTGCACTAACATGACAACTATGGAACAATAACTGAAGATTTTCCTGAAGAGGCCGGGCATGGTGGAGCACACATGCAGTCCCAGCTACTCAGGAGGCTGAGGCAGGAGTATCGGTTGAGCCCAAGTGTTTCACGCCAGGCTGGGCAACATAGCAAGACTCCACCTCTAAAAAATAATAATAGAAAAGTGCAAAATAAAATAAAATAAAAAGGTTTTCCTGAAGAGAGAGCTGTTCAAAGTTTTATAATCTCAGGACTCAAAAGACCCCTTTATAAAAAAGAAATACTTCTTCTTTCCTGTGTCACCAAATTGCTACACCAATTTTCTATTGGTGCTAGTTTCAGTAGATCTTTTTGGGGGATTCTCCATTAATCTTTGGGTGCTACATTTAAATGTTGAGAGCAAAGATGTATACCATCTTCCCTGGTTCTGAGCTGCTCTCTAGCAAACAGATGTAGCCCACATTTAGAAGAAGACACGGAGTAGCTGACAGAAATACAGATTTACCCACTAAATTAATCAAACAAGTTTCATACCGTAGTATATTGGCCAAGAACATAAATCTGGAGCCAGTCTGCCTGGGTTTGAATCTCAGTTCCATCATTTACTGACTGTATGACCTTGGAAAATGTACTAAAGTTCTCTATGCCTCAGTTTCCTCATCCTTTAAATGGGGATAATAATAGGGCTTAATCCACAGGATTGTAGTAAGAATTAAAGGAATTAATACGTGTAAAGCACCTACTATGTGCATGGCACATAGTAAGCCTACATGTGAATTAGGTGATGGAAAGTTTTGATTAGAAGAGTGGGCAAGGGGTGAATAAAATAAAGCTCCACCTGTCTATAACTTGCCAGGATTTACCCCTTTCCATGTTACTGGGGTTACAAGTCCCAATATTGGTATCACTCCATTGTGCCTGGGTCCTAAGGCAGGAATTACTTTCTCTAAAAAATACATTGATATTCATATAAAGTACTCAAGAGGGCTATGTGGGGAAGAAGCATGTATGTATTCGTCTTTTACCTTTGCACTTTTGCACAACATGACTAATTCTTTTCTTGAGTATTTTGTGAGGCACAGAGACTAGGACTGGAAAATTTTAGTAACGTGTAAAGAATGAATGTATAGACACATGGATGCATGCATAAATGAAATAATAATTCTAAGAAAATGGAAGGTAAACATAATGACAAAACATCAAAACAGAGGAAGACGGGAAAGCAAGAAGACCTCATTGTCTTACTTGGCAACTGTGCTTAAACCTCTTGAATCTTTTTTCAAGTAAAATAACTATTTTCAGTAAGCACTTAACAGAATGATGAGTTCATGTCCTTTGTAGGGACATGGATGAAGCTGGAAACCATCATTCTCAGCAAACTATCGCAAGGACAAAAAACCAAACACCGCATGTTCTCATTCATAGGTGGGAATTGAACAATGAGAACACATGGACACAGGAAGGGGAACATCACACACCAGGGCCTGTTGTGGGGTGGGGGAAGGGGGGAGGGATAGCATTTGGAGATATACCTAATGTTAAATGACGAGTTATTGGGTGCAGCACACCAACATGGCACATGTATACATGTGTAACTAACCTGTACGTTGTGCACATGTACCCTAAAACTTAAAGTGTAATTAAAAAAAAATGTTTCAAGGTCCACTGCTGATATATAAGAGGTCCTTCCTTTGGAGAAAATAAAGCAGGGATTATATTGGGATACAACATCTAGAGTTAATTGTAAGTCTCAAAAGATCAGATAGCAATGACAAGATTGCTTCCCTAGTTTATCGATTTCATATGCCTAAGTGAGTTGCAGAATCCCAGGAACCCACAAGATAGAATAAAGAATTTAAAGAAAGCTTGTGTAGGAAAGCAGTGTCATTTCTACTTTTTCCTACAAGTTTGAAAACCTAAATTAGGGGAATAGGGTAATGGAAAGTATCCTACAAATCTTTCAAGTAAAATTGGTCACACATGTGAATCTGATTTGCGATATTTGTTGAGGTATTTATAAAGATTTAAATGTCCTTTGCACCCTTTAATAAGTATTAAAATGTCATTCTTTTTCCTGAATGACCTCAGTTGTGAGGTGGCCAAATGCAAGTATTCAGAAGCCTTTGCAAAGTCCTCGCTCAGCCCACAAGTGAATTAGGCATCGCAAAAGGTATGGATGGATGTATAATGTCTGCCTCTGAAAAGTACACGAAAATAAGAAAAATAAAGGACTGGGACAAGCCAGTATGGAATCAAGGGCTAAGTTGTCAAAGATGAATTCTAAAAGCATTCAGAAAAAGCAAAGAAGGTAGAGTACATGCTGCTCTCCTGAGCTCCAGACCATTATATCAAATTGCTTAGTAGAAAATTCCACCGTGATGTCTCATAGGCAAGTCAAATTCAACATGTCCAAACTTGAACTCATCATCTTCCTCACCCACTCAGAAGTGTTCCTCCTTGTGCGTCCCATATTTTCAGTGAATGGCACCACTATCTAGTTGTTCAAGCCAGATAAGATAATCCTTGTTCTCTCTCTTCCCTCACCTACCACAATCAATCCAATACCAAGTCCTGTCAATATTAACTCCTAAATGTCTCTGGAGTCTGTCTACTGCTCTCTATTCCCACCACTGCACTAGCTGAAGATGTCATTACCTTTTCCATGATGACTCTTAACTACGCTTCCTGACATCATGGTTACCCTCCTCTAATTCAATCTAATCTTCGCTTAGATGTCACGAGATCAAAATGCAAACTGTACTGGGTAAATCTTCCAATTGCCAACACATTCAACCGCTCTTCTAGTTCTACAAGACAGGGTTCACGGTATACAAGCCACCTTATGATTTAGCCTCTGCTCATCTTTTTTACTTAGATCCCTTCATGCCTTCATAACGTCATACCAAACATTTTGCCTTTTTCCAAATATTCCCTGAATTTCTTATGCTTCATTGCCTTTGGACTGGAAGCTCCCTGAAAATTTGGGAGGGCAAGCATGTTGGCAAGAAGTCCAGTTAGGGAGTACTTTCAATAATCCAAGGAGAAGATAATGAGATCTTCCTATTTAGCATTCAAAACTCCACTCAGACGTCATCATCTCTCTGAAACCCATAGCCTGGGTTTCCATTGACCCATATGGAAAAATGCTTTCGTCTATTCAGTAGACTGCCTCATAATAGTTTACCTATCTACATTTTTATCTCTTGTACTGGACTATGAGATTCTTGAGGACAGAAAATGTATTTTTATTCATCTATAAGTTCTTGCAGTGCATATGTGGTAGGGCTAGAGAAGATGGATTAGAGGGAAGAAAAATATGACAGAGAGAAGGGAGAGAGGAGGAGTTAGAAGGGAAGGAGAGCAACCTATAGTTATTTGCAAAGACAGAACTTGAGACGTCAAGACAAAGTAGTTAATGGTGTGTAGATATGGGTTATCTGCTTTTTCCTTCATTTACTGTATCAGTGATATTGGCCTTTCACACTACCATGAGGTTTTCAGTCTGCACACTGCTGGACAATTTTTGTTTGCTATGTTGCCCAAATACTTGATGACACAAAAAGGCTCTCTAATTCCAAGCTACATAAATGTTGCTTACTATGGACATTTTAGAAAAGAACTTAATAGTTGTAAACATTATTTTTAATAAGGTTTGGTGGGATTTTGTTGTGGCTAATATATGCCACGTTTAATTTCTTAACTATCATCTATGATATTTAATATGAGGCAAATTCCCATGATACCAACTATTTGTATTTTCATGAATGATAAACCAATATCACTTTCTAATCCTCCTCTCCTTTTATTCTAGAAGAGTTTCAACATGAAAATGTTGTCTCTAAGGTCATGAAAAATATCTTCTTTATTAGTCTCCCTTTGCCATGGTACCCTTCCTGTGTTCCTCTTCTCTAAGGGACTTGCTCTTCTGAATCATCCCTCACTTACACTTCTATGGATCAATAGATTCTTAGCTCTAATAGACATACACAAACTCATGCTACCTCATCAGACAAATAACCACCAAAACAGAGCAAGATGTAATGATGTGTGTTGTAAAGAGCTCTAGACTGTGAGTTAGAGTACCCTAATACTACCACTGTTCTCTTGTATACACTCTTCCTTTTCTCAGGATTTCCGTTTTCTCAACAGATGAACCATAAACTCACATCCAGTTCTAATTACAGACGGTTTCTGACTTACACTGGTTCAACTTACGATTTTTCAACTTTTTGAAGGTGTGTGAGATGCATTTAGTAGAAACTGTACCCATTCAGTAGAAACTTCAAGTACCCGTACAATCATTCTGTTTTTCATTTTCAGTAAGTATACAATAAATTACATGGCATATTCAACACTTCCTAATACAATAGGCTTTGTGAATATTTTGCCCATCTGCGGCAATATAAATGTTCTAGGCATGTTTAAGATAGGCTACGCTGAGCTATGGTGTTTGGTAGGTTAGGTATTTTAAATGCATTTTCAACTTATGATATTTTCAACTTACAATAAATGTATTGGGAAATAACTATATTGTAAGTTGAGGAGGATCTGTACTCTTCAAAAATACTTTAAAATATATATGGCTTTATTACAAATATATTTATCTTATACAATTTTGTTACAAGTTTTAAGAAAATTAAAACTTACCTTTTCAAATATATGTGAGATTCAGCCACTTCTTGTGAATTGTCTCTACAAATCTTATGTAAAGAAAGTAAAATGGATTAAAAAGAAATTAACTTAGAGAAAAAGAACTTTTAATCTGGTAACTTCCTGATGAAGTCTGTGAAAAGAAAATTATTCAAATAAACACTGTTTTATTTTACAAAACGCTTAACCTAACAGGACTTGGGTGGAATGGCATAGCTCACACTATTTTCCCTCCTTTCAAAAAAGAATGAGTAATATTAATACTAATCATCACTGATGAAATAATAATTACAGAGACAGCAAACGATTATACTGAGCATATTATTCAAACTGTCATTAAAATCACGTTTGGAGATGAGAGGAGACAACTAAACATTATAATTTTACTACAGAGGATATATTTTTCAAATATATCACTTGACCACTTGTTTAAATGCAAATAATGCTAGTGCACCCCTGCGTTATATAAGGGCAACAAGATTCCAAAAGGGCTGATGTATCAAATCTAGCCCTACAGAAGAAACCTTGGGATCCCTAGGTCTTGCTGCTGCACTCAAACCATCATAGACAGACAGATTCTCTCCTATTTACAAACCTCTCTGGAGGAAAGATTCCACAACTTTCCTCAGAAACCATTTTCAAGGTTTCATGGTCAGGATTCCTCCTTAAGTCTAACCAAAATTTCCCATGGCCTTTCTTAAGTCTATTTAATCATCTAAGTATAAAGAGAATATTTATTGACTAATTTTGCATCTGAGTCATGGCTACATTTTTAAGACAATTATTAAATTATCCCTCACGCATCTTTTCTTCTGGGTCAATAAATACAGTTCCTTTAACACTCTCCTCAGAGGGCATCTCTTATATCCAGTGATTAGGTAAATGCCATACTTCAGGACTCTGGTAAGATCTGCCTGGATTTGAGTTTCTCTTCAGATGTTTTGCACTCTAAACTTGGTGTTTGGAATTTTGATGGGGTCTAGAGAATCTGGTCTTTCTCTAAGATTTTATCTCCCGGAATAATATTAAGCAATACTGCTGAGATTTGCCAAAATATAGCTGTATTAACACAGTGCAAAAAATGCAAGTAAAAAAGTTAAAAAGTCCTGGCTCCAGCTCACAGAAGAAAATAAGGACAATGTGGTTTTAGCTTTGTGATATCCTGTCCAGAGGCCAATGATTCAAGTGGTATTTCTCAGGAAATAAATGTTTAGACTCCTGGGGGGAAGCCAGAAAGCTTTAGTGGTGCTACAGTTCTTGGCTCCTCAATTCTTACGTCACGAGAGAAATATTTTGGCTGAGCACTGGATACTCATCCTCATTTCCAGACCACTTTAGCTTGTAAAGTTATATTCTTTGGATAATTACACAGCACATCTCAAGGTGCCCTTTTATGGTTTAATTGTCATACGTTATATATTTGAAATCTGAACTTTTGGAATTTATGAAGGTATTGCCAATACAAAAGCTGTCTTCTCATATATTACTCAATAACATGAGAACTAATGCCTCTCTAAGGCTTCTGTTGGCAGTTGCTGAATCAGATTCTCAACAAGAGAAGGGAATGTTGCCTTCTGGATTTAATGCTGACATGGGTTACAATTGGGACAAGCTCTAAATATAGGCAGAATAGGTGGACATTTTGTAGTGAGATTTAAGGTGCCCTAAAAGATCATTCGGGTTCAGGACCTGACTTACTCCTTTTGGTTCTCAAATGTCTCATCGATAAAAACCTACATCGTGGCCATCGTATTCAGAATTGCAACATGCACCAACCCCTCCACCTACAACAGCATACCTACTATTTCTTTCTTTTTTGTATTATTTTGTTGTTGCTTGGTTTTTTGAGACAGGGTCTTGGTCTGTCACCCATGCTAGAGTGCAGTTGCACAATCATAGCTCACTGCAAACTCAAACTGCTGGGCACAAGTGATTCTCCCACCTCAGCCTCCTGAATACCTGGGAGTAAAAGTGTGTGCCACAACACCAGGCTAATATTTTATTTTCATGGAGACAGAGTCTCACTATGTTGCACAGGCTGGTCTCAAACTCTTGACTTCAAGTGATCCTCTTGCCTCACCCTCCCAAAATGCTGGGATTACAGGGATGAGCCATCACATCCAGTCTATAATTTAACTTTTTAATCGAAAAATTAAATATATATATATACTTATCATGTACATCATGTTGTTTTGAAATATCTCTACATTGTGGAATGGCTAGATAGACCTAATTAACATATGCACTACCTCCCATACATAGCAATTTTTGTGGTGCGGACACATAAAATATACCCTCCGCAATTTTTAAGAATACAATACAGACATACCTCGTTTTACTGCACTTTCCTTTATTGCACTTCGCGGATATTGCATTTTTTACAAATTAATGGTTTATAGCAACCCTGCATCAAGTAAATCTATTGGCCCCAGTTTTCCAAATGGATGTGCTCACTTCTTGTCTCTGTGTCACACTTTGGTAATTCTTGCCATATTTCAAACTTTTTCATCATTATTGTATCTGTTATGTTAATCTGTGATCATCATTACATTGGAGTGACATGAGCCATAGTCATATAAGACGGCAAACTTCATGGATAAATGTGTGTGCTCTGACTGCTCCACCAACTGACCATTCTCCTGTTTATCTCCCTCACCTTGGGTCTCTTTATTCCCTAAGGCACAGTAATATTGAAATTAGTTATTATTAATAATCCCACAGTGGCCTCTAACTGTTCAAGTGAAAGGAAGTGTTGTATGTCTTTCACTTTAAATCAAAAGCTTAAAATGATTAAGTTCGGTGAGAAAGGCTTGTGGAACATCAAGATAGGGTGAAAGCTAGGCCTCTTGAGACAAACAGCCAGGTTGTGAGTGCCAAAGAAAAGTAATTGAAGGAAATTAAAGTGCTACTTCAGTGAACACAACGTGATAAGAAAGAGAAACAGCCTTATTGCTGATGTGAAGAAAGTTTTAGTGGTCTGGATAGAATAGTAAATCCAGCCACAACATTCTTTTAAGCTAAAGCTTAATGCAGAGCAAGGCTCTTAACTCTCTACAATTTTATAAGGTCTGAGAGGTGAGAAAACTGCAAAGGAAAAGTTGGAAGTTGGCAGAGGTTAGTTTATGAGGTTGGAGGAAAGAAATCATCACTATAACATAAGTCTAAGTTGAAGCACCAAGTGCTCATGAAGCAGCTGCAGCAAGTTACGCAGAAGATCAAGCTAAGTTAACTGATGAAGGTGGATACACTAAACAACAGATTTTATGTAGACAAAACAGCCTTCTATTGGAAGAAAATTACATCTAGGACTCTCACAGATAGAATTCAGTGCCTGGCTTCAAAGCTTCAAAGAACAGGCTGAATCTCTTGTTAGGGATTAATGCAGCTGCTGAATCTAAGTTGAAGCCAATGTTCATGTACCCATGCAGAAAATCCTAGAGCCCTTAAGAATTATGTGAAATCTACTCTTCCTCTCTTCCTGTGCCCTATAAATGTAACAACAAAGCCTGGATGACAACACATCTGTTTACATCATGATGTACTGAATATTTTAGGTCCACTACTGAGACCTACTGCTCATCAAAAAAAGATTCCTCTCAAAATATTACTGCTCATTTAAACTGTACCCAGTCACCCAAGAGCTGTGTTGGAGCTGTGCAAGATTAATGTTGTTTTCATGCCTAATAACACAACATCCATTCTGCAGTCCACGGATCAAGGAGTAATATTAACTTGCAAGAAATACATTTCCTAAGGCTATAGTTGCCACAGATAGCAATTTCTCTGATGGATCTGGGTAAAGTAAATTGAAAACCTTTAGAAAGAAGTCAGCATTCTAGATGCTGTTAAGAACATTTGCAATTCATGGGAAGAAGTCAAAATATCAACATTAATACAAGTTTGGAAGAAGTTGATTCCAATTGTCATGGATGACTTTGAGGGATTCAAAACATCAGTGGAGGAAGTAACTGTGGATGTGGTGGAAACACCAAGTGAACTAGAATAAGAAGTGGAATCTAAAGACATGACTGCATTGCTGCAATCTCATGATAAAACTTGAACTGATGAGGAGTTGCTTTTTATGAATGAGCAAAGAAAGTGGTTTCTTGAGATGGAATCTACTGCTGGTGAAGATGCTGTGAACATTGTTGAAATGACAACAAACAATTTAAAATATTACATAAATTTATTTGCTAAAGCAGTGATAGGGTTTGAGAAGATTGACTCCAATTTTGAAAACAGTTCTACTGTAGGTAAAATGTTATCAAACAGCATTACATGCTACAGAGAAATGTAGCAAAGGAAGTGCCAATTGACGTGACAAATTTCATTATTGTCTTATTTTAAGAAGTTGCCACAGCCACTCCAACCTTCAGTAACCACCACCCTGATGAGTTAAGCAACCATCAACATCTACATAAGGCCATCTGAGAGGTGAAGCCAGCTGGACTTCCTGGGTCTAGTGGGGACTTGGAGAACTTTTCTGTCTAGCTAAAGGATTGTAAATGCACCAATCAGCACTCTGTAAAAGCACACCAGTCAGTGTTCTGTGTCCAGCTAAAGGATTGTAAAGGCACCAATCAGCACTCTGTAAAAACGCACCAATCAGTGCTCTGTGTCTAGCTAAAGGATTGTAAATGTGCCAATCAGCACTCTGTGTCTAGCTAAAGTATTGTAAATGGACCAATCAACACTCTGTAAAAATGCACCAATCAGCACTCTGTGTCTAGCTAAAGGATTGTAAATGTACCAATCAGCACTCTGTGTCTAGCTAAAGGATTGTAAATGCACCAATCAGCACTCTGTAAAAACGCACCAATCAGCGCTCTGTTTCTAGCTAAAGGATTGTAAATGCACCAATCAGCACACTGTAAAAACACACCAATCAGTGCTCTGTGTCTAGCTAAAGGATTGTAAATGCACCAATCAGTGCTCTGTAAAACTGCACGAATCAGTGCTCTGTGTCTAGCTAACGGATTGTAAACACACCAATCAGCGCTCTGTGTCTAGCTAAAGGATTGTAAATGCACCAGTCAGCACTCTGTAAAAACGCATCAATCAGCACTCTGTTTCTAGCTAACGGATTGTATATGCACCAATCAGCACTCTGTGTCTAGCTAAAGGATTGTAAATGCACCAATCAGTGCTCCGTAAAAACGCACCAATCAGTGCTCTGTGTCTAGCTAAAGATTGTAAATTCTCCAATCAGCAATCTGTAAAAACGCACCAATCAGTGCTCTGTGTCTAGCTAACCAATCAGCATTCTGTGTCTAGCTAAAGGATTGTAAACACACCAATCAGCACTCTGTAAAAATGCACCAATCAGCGCTCTGTGTCTAGCTAAAGGATTGTAAATGCACCAGTCAGCACTCTGTAAAAACGCATCACTCAGTGCTCTGTGTCTAGCTAACGGATTGTAAACACACCAATCAGCACTCTGTGTCTAGCTAAAGGATTGTAAATGCACCGGTCAGCACTCTGTAAAAACGCATCACTCAGTGCTCTGTGTCTAGCTAACGGATTGTAAACACACCAATCAGCACTCTGTGTCTAGCTAAAGGATTATAAATGCACGAATCAGCACTCTGTAAAAACGCACCAATCAGCACTCAGTGTCTAGGTAGAGAATTGTAAACGCACCAGTCAGTACTCTATGTCTAGCTAAAGGATTGTAAATGCACCAATCAGCACTCTGTAAAAATGCACCAATCTGCACTCTGTGTCTAGGTAAAGGATTGTAAACGCACCCATCAGCACTCTGTAAAAACACCTTAATGCTGGCTGTGAACTTGTATTTCCCTTTAGCAGATATTAATTGAGCACCTACCACTGCAAAACCAAGAGCTACATAACTTAGGTACAAACATAAGACATGGTTCCGCTCCCCTCAAGGAAATTAGTATCTAATATAAAAAAGAGACATATAGATATGTATTGCAAATACAATAAAATAAAGGGTTGTATTTAGACAGGTCTCCAGGCCAGACACAGTGCCTCATGACTGTAATCCCACAACTTTGGTAGGTCAAGGTGGGAGGACCAGTTAAGGCCAGGAGTTCAAGACTAGCCTGAGCAACATAACGAGAGCTCATCTCCACAAAAAGAAAAAAAATTTAGCCAGACGAGGTGGCTTACTCCTGTAGTCCTACCTACTCTAAAAGCTGAGGTGAAAGGATCTCTTGAGCCCAGGAAATCAAAGCTGCAGTGAGCTTAGTTCATGTCACTGTACTCCAGCCTGGGTGACAGAGCAAGATCCTGTCGCAAGAAAAAAGAAAGAAAAGAAAAAGAAAAGAAAAAAGAAAAGATAGGTCTCCAAACTTTGTAGATAATATACCCCACTGTGCTTACTTATTTTGAACACATCCCCTCAGTAGAAGTATTTGTATTTATAAATTATATACATGCAGTGTCATATATGCAGTGTCATAATTAGCTTATATCTTAAGACAAAACATATTTAGG
The DNA here is from genome assembly GCF_000001405.40 of Homo sapiens. Lineage (NCBI taxonomy): Eukaryota > Metazoa > Chordata > Mammalia > Primates > Hominidae > Homo > Homo sapiens. Next base: position 115,063,791 of record NC_000023.11, read on the forward strand.
GCAAAGTTTACTGTTACTATACAAATGTAAATTTATATATCAAAGTCTTCTTGCTAATTTTTTTTTAAATTTTACTTTAAGTTCCAGAATACATGTGCAGAAGGTGAACCCTTTTATATCATTAAATGAAACTGGGACAATGGGATGCTTTCCTACATTGCTTACATTCATAGGGTTTTTCTCTAGTGTGAATTCTTTCATGTATTCTACAACTACTGAAGAAACTGAAGGCTTTACTACATTGTGTACATTTATAAGCTTTCTCTCCTGTGTGCGTTCTCTGATGTTTTACAAAATGAACTGAGAAAATCAAAGTGTGTGTTACTCTATTTCTTTGAACAGTCTTGAGAGAAATTAAGGCTTTCCCACATTGTTTACATTTATGTGACTTATCTCCACATTCCCCACACTCATGGTTTGTGTCCAGTATGACATATGATGTGCCTGTCAGGGGATGAATGACATGAAAATTTTTCCACACATACTACCTTCACACGGTTTTACTCCGGGAGGACTTTTCTTGTTCATATTAAGATTTGGAATCTGGCTGAAGGTTTCCCCATGATGACTACCTTCTTTACTTTCACACAGTCTCTCCATGATATAACTTCTTAGATTTCTCCCAGGATTTTTGAACTGATCTCCAATGTTCTGATCTTCCTACTTGTTTCCTACAGAAGCCAAGTTCCTGGAGGTTTTCTCCATCACATCTCTGTAGAGATTCTTCTGAGAAGGATCCAGCAAAGCCCACTTCTCCTGAGTGAGTTTCCTGCCACATCTTCAAAAGGCCACTGAGTCCATTTCCTAGCTTCTGGTATCTCTCAATGTCCTATCTATGGATCTCTCAGTACCTTCAGTTCACAGGGCAACAGAGGCTATGACAGAGCCACTTGGGACCTCTGGCAGCAGGGAAGATAAAGCAGTGGAGATGAAATCCCCAGACACGCTTATATTTCTATTTGCAACTCCAATGTCTAATTTAAAAAACCCAGAGTATATTTCTCTAGTTTTGGACACCATTGCATCAGTTTGTTCTATGATCAGAAAACGAATTCCTGAATTTTGAAAGATATCACAAAAAAGTGAGGACTAAAATACAAATCATTTTCCATTGCTTTCTGATCCTTCCGCAGGAAATCATCTCACCATGCTGTCTCAAATTCAATCAGCAAGCCTTCTAGCTGAGCTTTTACTATATTTACTCTCTCTATATATCTATACCTATATCTATCTATCTATATTTGTATCTATCTATCTATCTATCTATCATCTATCATCTATCTATTTTGAGACAGAGTCTCACTCTGTCACTCAAGCTGGAATGTAGTGGCACCATCATGGCTCACTGCAGCCTTGACTTCCCAGGCTCAAGCAATCCTCCCATCTCAGCCTCCCAAGTAGCTGAGACTACAAGCATGTGCCACTACACCTGGCTAGGTTTTTTCTATTTTTATAGAGATGGAGCCTTATTATGTTGCCCAGGCTGGTTTTGAACTCCTGGGCTCAAGTGATCCTCCCACCTCAGCTTCCCAAAGCACTGGGATTACAGGCATGAGCCACCATATCCAGCCTATATTTACTCTATATTTAAATATCACTTAGAAAGAGTGTAAGAGGTCATAAGTTGATTACCAGATTAATAAAATAGTTCTATTAATTGAGTAAGATTGCATAGCTCAAGTTTGACAACCTTGTTGAGGGACTTACTGGGTTTCAGGTGATTACACTTTGCTCTGAATCATATCCTCAAGATTACAGATCTAAACAAAAAATGTAATGCATTAAACCAAACATATCTTTAAGGAAGCATGATGTATTGGAAAGAGTTTTGTAGTCAGACAGGTTTGAATTTGAATCCTGGCTTACCTATGTAGGAGCTGTGTGGCCTTGGAAAAGTGCCTTAACTCTCTGAGTTTCAGTTTCCTCATGTGTTAAATGGAGATAATATCGTCTACCTTATCAGGATTTCTTGTAAAAGATTGTAATAAACAAGTGTTCAATACTTAAATATCAATTACCATTTAAAATGAATAAAATTATGTGTGAATGAAGGAATTTTGCAGCTTAGCATTCTATAGTAATTACACATTTTAGGAGATCTTTCATGAAGGGGCTAGTGTAGTAGCTCATTAATTCAACAATTATTTATTGAGCACCCATTCTGTGCTGAGCATTGTGCTGCATGTGGTAGTGGATATCATGCTCTCAAGGAACACAGTAGGGTAGGCTAAACTGCTATAATAAATTAACCCAAATATGTAATGGTTCAAATGCAACAGAGGGTCAATTCTTGTTTGTACAGCAACCAGGCTGAATATGGAGGTCACTAGGTGGCCTTTCTACTTTCAACATGTGGTTTCCAATGTTGGTTTGGTTTTCACCATTCCTTTCTGTGGAGAGTCAAATAAAGTTCTGAAGTGCATCTGTGGAGGTTCTATGGGCAAGTCTTGGAATTAACACATGTAACTTCTGCTCCCATTTGACTGGAGCGAATTTAGTCAGATGGTCTAACCTAACTGCAAGACAGGCTGGGAAATGTAGTCTAAGCTGTGTGCCCAGGACAAAGGGGAGAATAGATATTGGTAGACAATAATAACAAATCCTATTTATTATACCTCTATCTGTGTTTCATTTATTCAAACTGTTCTTTTTCAAATGGATCATAGAAGAACTTCATACTAAAGCACATGATTTCCTTATGGCCTGGCAAGGTTAGTATTTTCTCTCCCTCTTTCTCCTTCTCTTTCCCCAGTCCATCTTTAAGACCGAGGTGGCCTTAAATAGAGTTAAGCCTCTATGTAGTCCTTCTCTCCTCTCATATTTCTGAAGGCCATCTAGGCTGTCTCCTAGAGTTCCCTAGAGCAACAAGGCAGAAGTATCTGCCCCTATAGTACATACTGCTCCCCTGCAAAAATGGAGAAAAACCAATCAAATAGAATACACACACACACGCGCGCGCGCATGCACGTGAGAGAGAGAGAGACTTGCCAAACAGATTCTGTATAACTTTTTAAAAGCTTGTTTTTAAGCCTGCATCACAGATATGATAATCATATTTCACTGTAAAAGAATTCAAGAATAAGCTAGCAATCAGGTGATTATACATACAAGATGAGTTTCCTAAAATAGATAAAAATTCTCTTTCCCTGAATGCAATGGTCGAGCAAATGTCTCTTGTGGGAGAGGTTCTTATGTTATTGTTTGTTGTTTGGATGGATTGGAAGAGTCTTTATCACTCTGAGAATGGAATTATAGCTCTCAGTAAAGTTTGCAAATCTGCCCCTTCTTGAGTGTGTGTGTGTGTGTGTGTGTGTGTGTGTGTGTGTACATTTAGGTATTGTCCTCCCTCCTGCAACCCCCCACACACTTATCCACCACATACTTTCCTGGTGAGAGTACTAACATCTTCTGGGAATTGACCAAGTACAAAACCTGGTCATACTGAGATAGCTAGCAGAATGAGTTTTTTGGGGGGAAGAAGATATGAAAGTGAGAGGTATGGAAGTAGGGACACAAAGAACACCGTTATAGAAATGGTGAATCAAATTCCATTAAATCATCAGTAATTCATTCTTTGGGCCTCAAAAGCATTCTAGTCTTCAATAGACATTTAGTAAAATGCAAAAGCCTGGGGGAGGGATAATACTTTTAGATGTGCCCACTAATATGTCTACTAGAGGAAACAGCTGATGAGACAGCAAATGGCAAGGCCCTATAAGAAGGAAATCAGGCTAGGCATGAACAGGGGGAAAGTGAAAATGTAGGAGGGTGGGGATGGAAAAGGAGGCTGAATAGGAATAGAAGGCACCAAGATAAGAGTTTATCTGCTTCATAAATTCGATTGGGTCCATGTTCAGATCTTCTGGTTCCCTCTTTTTCTTTTTCTGCAGTTTCCTCATGCTATTTTATATTTCTTTTCCAAATCTCTATTTTTTTAACTACTAAATCAGATCCAGGGTTGATCTAGAAGATTGAAAGATGTGGAATCAGTGTGAAGTTTCTGGGCACAAATAGAGGAAGAATGCAACAGTAGAAAGCCAAGTTATAAGTCTAGCAAATGTCTCTTGAGAAAGAGAAATATGAAGTACAGGCAAATAGGTATTATGGCATTTTCTCTTTTTCCCATCAGAGTTTCAATCTCAGTTTGTTTTCTGGCCCCAAATAACATTCAGCATCAAAATTACATTACGCCAGTTTTAGAACAGAGGAAACTGGGAGATAGTCCAAGGAGAGAACATTAAAAAAAAAAAAAAAATCCGGGAAGATTGAGTTACAAGCTTTGCTCATTCCACAAAATAAAGTAAATTAAACAAAGAGGAAATTGGTGGTGGAGTTGCCAAAAGAAAGAACTTGCTTTGGGTTAGTGGAAACAAAAACAGAAACACCTATACCTTGAAACTTTTGAGTATGCTAGAATTCTTGAGGTTTCATTTAAAGTTTCATAAGTCTATCATTTATATTAAAATATTTTCAAAATGATAAACACTTTGTAGCTGAAAGGTTTCACTTTCCTAGGAATATATGACAGACATCTTTGTTTACATGCCATGACTTGAAAAACTCTAATAAAATAGAGATCTTACTACCAATGTTAAAATACTGCACATACTGTTATTCTTGGAAGGCACATATCATGACCGTAATTAAGGAAATGTTCTTAAGAACCCAGTGTCTTATTGGATGTTGTTTATTAGTGCATAGCCAGTTGTGCATGCTCCTCCATGTCATGGTGTTGGCTTATTTTCTCTCTTTGTTCATTATTTTTTCTCCTCTAGGGGATTTATTTTTAGAATCTATTGAAATTAAAGAGTTCAGTGGAATTGGACATAATAAATAAAAATGGCTTGACAGAAAAACAAAGAAATTCAAGAAAAAAAATACTTGATTTATCTTTGTGGGACAAACCCTTGGCTTCTAAGGAAAAAGAACCGTTTTATCTAATTAACTGTTGCAATTCCTTAAGAGTTAACCTCTGGGGTGATTATTCTTGTTTGAGAAATTAAATGGCTCCAGTGACTTCATAAAGCTTATCAGAAGTAGGTACACAGACCAGTAGAGCCAGGGACCAGCGTGGGGCAGAGGCGCAGGATGGGGGATGAGGGGCCAAGGCGCACCCCCCTACCCACCCAGCGGCCCTGAGAGAGAGAAGAGGGCCGCTCCAGCCACCCAGCGCCACCTGGCCCGAAGCCCTTGCCGCCTTCGTCATCTCGGCCCGTCGAGCCGGGGCGTCCTGGGGGAGTCCTCGCTCGCCTGGTCAGGGTTCCACGTGGGGGAAGGCAGAAGCTATGGATCCTGGGCAGCAGCCACCATCTCAACCGTCCCTCAAGGGCCAAGGGCAGCTGCCTGCGCAACCCTCCCAGGGGCAGGGTCTGCCGTCCAGGCCCAGGCAACCAGCACCCCAACCTCCCTGGCGACCCAGGCGGCGCCATAGGCATTCTTCACCAGGCACCAGATCGTGCACGTCCAGGAGGACTTGGAGACCGACTCGGAGGCGCTCTTGAGCGCCGTCATGAACCCTAAGACGACCAACATACCCCAGACCATGCCCATGAGGCTCTGGAAGCTGCCTGACTCCTTCAAGCCACAGGAGCCCAATTCCCACTCCGGACAGGCCAGTACTGACAAAGGCACTGCAGGAGCCCTGACTTCACAGCATGTTCCAGCTCTCTGTAGCTTCTCTGCAGTTAGGAGCTGTTTCTCCTGGGACTGCCACTAGAGTAGTCTGGCCCAGCTGCTACACCCACAGCTCAACATCTTCAACAGTCCTCTTTGGAGATACCTGATGATGTACCTCTGCCAGCAAGCTGGGAGATGGGGAAGACATCTTCTGGCAAGCGAAACTTCTTAAATCACATCAATCAGACAACATGGCAGGACCCCAGGAAGGCCATGCCCTCTCAGATGAACATTACAGCCCCCACCAGTCCACCAGTGCAGCAGAGTATGAACTTGGCCTCAGGTCCTCTTCCTGCTGTAGGGGAACAAGCCATGACTCAAGATGAAGAAATTACTATCTAAACCATGAAAACAAGACCATCTCTTGGCAAGACCCAAGGCTTGACCCTTGTTTTGGTAAAGGGTCATCTCCAAACCTTTTTAGATGTTTTTTATTACCATCTTTTGTATATGAATTTGGGAAAGCACATTTAAATAAAATTACATTGCTTTATAGTATTTTTTAAAAGTAGGTACAGAAATCCTTTGAGAACAGATCTTCCCTAGAGTTTTAATCCAAGTTTGCTCAAATATTCCAAAGTAAGACTGCCAATGTGCAGCCCAAGGAATAATTGATTGATTCCTGGTTATCTCTAGGTTAAACTATTTTGCTCTCTGTCATGTCCACCAGAAACGTGAGTGTTGTTCATATTACTCCAATTTCCTCTCTGTGATCCAAGTAGAAATATAAAAGAAAATAAGAGGGAGGAGCTTCATTTAAAAAATCAAATGGAACAACAGTAGGAAATGATACCCTTTAGGCAACTCAAATTCAATATATGTAGAACTTTATCTTCTCTACTCCAAATCTGCTTCTCCTACTAACTTACATTGCTAATGGCATCACCACCAATATGGTTCAAGTCCTAAAGCCTAGAATAGTCTTGACATCTCCAATGCCCACATGTAGCCACTTATCAAGTTTTCTTTATTTCACCTCAAAAAAAATCTCTCATATCAGTCCCTTCCTCTCTTACCCCACTGCCACTGACCTAGACTTTGCTCTCATCATTTCTCACAAAAACCTCTTAGTCCCTCAGATTTCCTCTTTGCCAATATTCCCCCCTTAATCTGTCTGCCACACTGCCATCCACACATCTCTCTAAAAGTCCAATCTGAGTATTCCTTTGCTTACAGTCCCTCATTCACGTCCACTACTTATAGAATTATAGCTAAATTCCTTAGCATGGAGTTCAAGGTTTTTCACAGCCTAACCTAGTCTACCTTTCCAATCTCATCTGCAGTCATTCATTTCCATGCATCTTATACACTAGTACCCACTAGTACCCAGGATTTATTTCTCCTAGCTGAACTATGTAGTTTCAGACCTGTTTTTTTTCCTAATGCTTTTTCTGTCTATCTGGGTGCCCTCATCACCTTCAGCCACTATTAACTCATGCTTAAAGATCCAACTCTCAAATATCACCTTTGTTCTTCAGCTTTCCCTTCATTTCCACAGCCCCCCCCCCGCCAACACACACACCCTAGGCACATAGAAATAATTGTTCACTCATGTATGTTCTTATGAGAACTTTTCTTATCGCTCTTACAAATTTATATCTTATGTGGGTTATATGTATAAACTTGTCTTGCCTTATTGCCTGTTTTCTCGCATTCCTGCCAAGTATGTATCACCATGGTCTATATCAAGTGTCCCTGTTAACCCTCATTCTATAGCTGATTGGTCCAAAGGAGAAACAGTGCTTCACAATGGACAGATCTCGTGGTCATCACATTAAACAAATGGTCAAGGTTGACATCACTAGCAGTGGAACAGCTTAAAATTACATGCCTACTTAAAATTATATGTGATACTTTGGGAAGTATACACACTGCCCTTGTGATCTTGCTAGACAAGTCTCACCTGGGGCTAATCACAAGTAAGCATTCAAATAAATCCAGAATGTGAGATATTCTACAGAATATCTGGCCTGGGCTCTTCAAAAGACTCAATGAAATGAAAATGAGGTGATGGGAATCTCACATCTACTCTAAATCTTTAGCGCTATCAGCCAGAGCCTTTGAATTCAAGCCAGATAATAATCCCTTCCCGTGAATGCAGCATGTCTCAAATCCTCTCAGAAGTGTAACCCACCTACAATTGTTCACTGCCATTCACCAGGGAAAGGCCAGGATTCTCAAGTAACTGTCAAGCAGCTAAATACACATATCCTGTTATCCTTGATTACCTTCCAAGATACAAATTCATTCAGCTGCCTATTCTTCCTTTAACTACTATTTCTTTTCCCCTGACTGAATTTACCACTGATGGCTTAATCTCTTAACTCTCCATCATGCCTTTTAAAACATCCATTACATTTTAACAAAGTGTGCTCCTTCACTGATGGTTAACTTTCTTCTCTGACCTTAATTTAAATAGAGTTATCTCTGGATAACACATCTCTTGCCATACCGTCAAGTGGAGGCTGCTATTTCTTCCACATTCAATTCAGCTCTGGGTCAAGTGATAGGATCAGTATCCTTTTAATTTTACACTACTGCTTCCACAACACACATCTACTTTGTGAAAACCTCAGTTCATGCAATTAGCTCTAACCCCATCTTCTTTGGTTGCAGATTCTACCAATTACTGCTAATGTTCCTCCATTCAATGAAGATTAAATATATTTCATTTGTCTTCTTTTCCATTCCCAGTGCCGAAGTCCTAGGGTATTTCAAATCTAAGTTAATGAATCACTCAGCATTCTGAACTTTCAGTACCTTAATCTCTTTATCTTCCATGACTTCTACCCCGTTTCAGCAATCCACTTCCATGGTGACACTCTGGACCTTGTAATCACTCATGACTAATTATCTCTGAAATAAATTTGGCCACTATACAATTTGACAACATTTTTAGGAATCTCACTCTATCAATCTCAAGATGTCAGTTCTTCAACCATAGCTCACAGACCCATTTACTTCATTCATATGAACCATCCTTTGTCTTTGCTTTACCTCCCTATCAAACTTAGGTTGCATGGTCTATCACTTCAACCCTCTCTTGGCAGTATCCTTAACTCCCATGCTATGTGGCCTACCACTTGCTTGATAAAGTGTTCTATCTAAAAGTATATTTAAATATACGTTAATTGTGCTATTAAAATCTTCTTTATCCTTACTGATTTTTTGGTCTGCTTGATGACTCGAACACTGAGAAAATTATGCTAAAATATTTGTGATAGATTTGTTAATTTTTCCTTTTGTTTCTATAAATTTTGCTTTATTTAAGGCAAAGATATTAGATGCATACAAATTTGGCCTTTTTAATAACTATGTGATGAGTTGAAATTTTTATTATATGGTAACTTTTTCTAGGAATGTGTCATATTTATTGCCTATTTTGTCCCATAATAGTATAATACATAAGTTCTCTACTGTTGAACTATATCTGCTAACTTTACTGGGATTTTACATTCAACCCTTCAGTGTATCTTTTAAATAGCATATACTTGGATGTTTTAAGCTCTTATATTTTTAAATTCAGTCTGTCAATCTTTGTCTTCAACTGGAAATTTAGCTCCATTTACACTTATTGCCTACAATTTTCATAGTTCTTTTGTCTTGCTTTTCTCCATATTTTGTAATCTTTTAAAAAGTTTTATTGAGATATAAGTCACATATCATAGAATTTACTCTTTTAAAGTATAAAACTCAATGGTTTTTAGTATACAGAGCTGTGTAACCTTCAACACTCTCAATTTTAGAATGTTTTTATCATCACAAAAAGAAACCCCATATGCATTCGCAGGCACAGCCCATGCCCTGCCCCAACCCTGTCAGCCCTAAGCAACCATCAATCTATGTTCTGTCTCTATAGATTTACCTATTCTGGACATTTCATATAAATGAAATCATATAATGTTGGTCTTTTGTGACTGGCTTCTTAGCATGTTTTCAAGGTTGACCCATGATATAGCATGTGTCAATTCATCATTCCTTTTCATTGCCTAATAATATTACATTGTGTGGATATACCATGTTTTGCTTATTTATTCATCAGTTAATGGACATCTAGGTTGTTTCCACTTTGGGCTATTATAAATAATGCTGGTATAAACATCCATGAACAAAATTGTGTGGACATATATTTTTATTTCTCTTGGGTGACACCTAAAAGTAAAATTCCTGGATCAGAAGTCCTAGTCTATTCATGTCATTTGCCCACTGTCTTCTGGTCACTTCTCACAATGTCCCTTCAGCTCCTGAGTCCGTATGGCCTGGTTTTTCCTCGGTTATAATAATAAAACAGAGATTATTATAATAGTAAAACAGAGATTGATACTACAGCTAATGATTAATAATATTCATATATGATCATCTCTATATCTTATTTCTATTATAACTTTTCTTATTCTAACTATTTTCTTTATTATATTGGAATGGGTTGTGCCTTCAGTCTCTTGCTTCGGCACCTGGGTTGCTTTCCGCCCACAATACACATTACATCTTTATACATTATAAACCGGTCAACAGTTTTCTCAATATTGCTTTATGCTGATGTCTTTCAAGTCAGATAGGAGAAGAAGAGTTACAAACAAGATGTATTTACATTGAGTATTATATTTACCTATAATGATGTTCTTTATCTCTTCGTGTAGATTCGAGTTACTGCCCATCATTCCTTCATTTCAGGTTAAAAGATTGATTACCTGTTAGTGTTTCTTATATGGTGGGTCTGCTAGGATGAATTCTGTCATTTTTTTTCTCCTTCATTTTTTAATAATCTTGTTACAGAATTCTTATTTGAATCTTTTCCTTTCAGCACATTCAATGCCATCCCACTGCCTTATGGCCTCTATTTTTTACTGATGAGAAATTAGTATTTTTATTGAGGATCTCTTGCACCTGATCAGTCATTTTTCTCTTGCATCTTTCAAATTTCTCTTGTCTTTTGATAAGTTTGAATATCATTTATCTTGGTGTAGATGTATTTGAGTTTATTTTACTTCATTTATTGAACTTCTTAGTATGTAGGTTTTCATAAAATTTGGAAAGTTTTCAGCCATTATTTCTTCAAAATGTGCTTACTGGCCTGCTTTTTTTTTTCATTGGAAGTCCCATTATGTGTAAGTTGGTACACTTGATGGTGTCCCACAGGTTTCTGCTTTTTCTTCATTTCTTTCTGTTCCTCTGAGTAGATCCTCTCAAGTGTCCTACTTTTAAGATTTCTGGTTCTTCTGTGAGCTCAAATCTGCTTTTGAGCTCTACCCTCTGCTATGCCCCCGCACCCTAATGAACTACATTTCGAATGCAAAATTTTTATTTGATTCTGTCATATAGATTTTGTCTCTTTATTGATCTTCTCTATTTTGTAAACATCATTTTCATAATTCCTTTAATTCTTGAAGCATGGTTTCCTTTAGTTTTGTGAACATTTATAATTGTTTATAAATTTTGCATAGTATATCAAACATGTGGGCTTCCTCAGGTCTAATGACTACTTTTCCTGTGTATGCACCATATTTTCCATTTCTTTGTGTGTCTTTAAATTTCTTGTTGAGAATTGGATATGTTATATAATGTGGCAACTCTGGAAATCAGACTCCCCGCCACTACCCACCCAGGGTTTGTTGTTATCACTGTTTGCTTAGGATTTCTCTGATCTAATTCTTTAGAGTCTGTATTCTTCATTGTGAGCAGCCACTGATGTCTCTGTTCAGATAGTTTAGTGGTCAGCAAATGATTAAACAGAGATTATCTTAAATACCTTCAATCAAAAAGTCTGCCCTCGGGGCTCTTTTATTTGTTGGAGAATGCCTTCAATGCTCTGACAGTTTGGAACTCCACCTTATCCTTCATCGCTTGCCTATGCAGAGCTTCAAAGTTAGCCAGAGGCAAGAAACTAGGGTCTTCTTAGGTCTTTCTTGTGTATGCACCCAGTCTTCCACTTGTGTATGGCCATCTAGATCTCCAGAAATACATCAGAACTTTTCAAAGACACCTTTGGACATCTCATTCTCCAAATTTTTATGTTTTGGGGCCTACTGTTTGTTTAACCCAACTGTTGCTGATGCCTCAAGAAACTGTGATGTCAAATAATTGCTTCTAATTTTTTAATGGAAAATATCCTGGAGATAGGCCTTTCTTCACTGAGCAAGTCATGAATCAAACCAAATAAAGACCAGTCCTGATAATAAGACTTTTCCAAGGAACTGCCAGAATGATCAAATAGTGACAATTATTGAGCTAGGACTCTTTTGGGAGCTGCAAGCCCATTCTGCCCCCTTCTGTATTTGCTAGGTTGCAGATATGCACAGATACATATGGTTCTGTGGCTGTTGGTTTTCAAGGCTATCACAGAGTAGGGGAGAGGATGGGAATAGGGCATGCTAACATGTCATAATTCTCAGCATTCTTACTGAATTCAGCCATTTTTATTAAATAAATGTTCCTTGGATTGTTGGAGACCTTTGGTTGATTTCCAGAATCATGAGAAAGTTAATTTTGGCAATTTTTGCTAGTGTTCTTGTTACTGATGGAGGTTCTTGACTACAAGTTGTCCAGATTCTTGGCATGTTGATCAAAGAATTGAACAAAATGCACAAAGCAATGAAAGAATGAAGCAGTGAAAGCACAGGTTTACTGAAGTGAAAGTACACTCCACAGGGTGGGAGCAGGCTCAATCAAGTGGCTCAAGATCCCCAGTTGCAATATTTTCTCGGTTTTAAGTACCCTTTAGAGGTTTCCCATTGGTTACACCATATGTAAATGAAGTTTTGGCCCATAACCCATCGTAGGCTGAAGGTTTGGCCAGTGAACAGAAGCTGAAGTGAAGGTTTGGCTTGTGACCAATCAGAGGCTGAAGGTTTGGTCTGTGACCAATCAGAGGCTGATGTGAAGGTTCCCTGTCTCTTGACTCTATTCTCCTGCCTCATTGTCATTGCCTTTATGAAGGAATGAATTTTCAGAGGTGCTTACCCCACCAGTGCAGACATGTTTCTCTCATCATCCTTCATGTTTTCCTCTTAGGTCATTTTACCCTTATTTTAGAATACTCTGTCTTTAACCATTTAATGGTTACCCTTGGTATTTTCTCATGCATACTTAATGTCTAAAGTTAAACATTTTACCTTCTTTTGAGAAGACAAGGGCCACAGAACATTAACTCAGATGATACCTCCCTCACGAGGTATGTGATATGGTTTGGCTGTGTCCCCATCCAAATCTCATCTTGAACTCTAGCTCCCATGATTCCCACATGTCATGAGAGGGACCCAATGAGAGATAATTGAATCATGGGGGCAGGTCTTTCCCACGCTGTTCTCACAATAGTGAATAACTCTCACAAGATTTGATAGTTTTATAAAGGGGAGTTCCCCTGCACATGCTCTCTCTTGTCTGCTGCCATGTTAAGACTTGACTTTGCTCCTCATTCACCTTCAGCCATGATTGTGAGGCCTCCCTAGCCATGTGGAACTATGAGTCAATTAAACCTCTTTCTTTTATAAGTTACCCAGTCTTGGGTATGTCTTTATTAGCAGTGTGAGAACAGACTAATACAGTAAATTGGTACCAGGTAGTGGGACGCTGCTGTAAAGATAACCAAAAATGTGGAAGCAATTTTGGAACTGGGTAACAGGCAGAGGTTGGAACAGTTTGGGGGGCTCAGAAGACAGGAAGATGTGAGAAAGTTTGGAACTTCCTAGAGACTTGTTGAATGGCTTTGATCAAAATGCTGATAGTAATATGGACAACAAAGCCCAGGCTGAGGTGGTCTCAGATGGAGATGAGGAACTTGTTAGAAAATGGAGCAAAGGTGACTCTTGCTATGCTTTAGCAAAAAGACTGGTGGCATTTTACCCCTGTCCTAGAGATCTGTCAAACTTTGAACTTGAGAGAAATGATTTAGGGTATCTGGTGGAAGAAATTTCTAAGCACTCAAGAGATGATTTGGGTGCTGTCAAAAGCATTCAGTTTTATGTATTCACAAAAATATGGTTTGGAATTGGAACTTATGTTTAGAAGGGAAGCAGAGCATAAAAGTTCAGAAAATTTGCAGCCTGATGATGCGATAGAAAAGAAAACCCCATTTTCTGAGGAGAAATTCAAGCTGGCTGCAGAAGTCTGCATAAGTAAAGAGGAGCCAAATGTTAATTGCCAAGACAATGGGGAAAATGTCTCCAGGGCATGTCGGAGGTCTTCACGGCAGCTCCTCCCATCACAGGCCCAGAGGCCAAGGAGGCAACACAATGGTTTTGTGGGCTGGACCCAGGGCCTTGCTGTTTTGTGCAATCTTGGGACTTGATGCCCTGTGTCCCAGTCATGGCTAAAAGGAGCCAACACAGAGCTTAGGCTGTTGCTTCAGAGGGTGCAAGCCCCAAGCCTTGGCAGCTTACACATGGTGTTGGGCCTGCGGGTGCACATAAGTCAAGAATTGAGGTTTGGAAACCTCTGGCTAGATCTCAGAAAATGTATGGAAATGCCTGGATGTCCAGGCAGATGTGTGCTGCAGAGGCAGAGCCCTCATGAAGACCCTGTTAGGGCAGTGTGGAAGGGAAATGTGGGTTGGAACCCCCACACAGAGTCTCCACTGAGGCACTGCCTAGTGGAACTGTGAGAGAAGGACTACCATTCTCCAGAATCAAGAAAGGTTGATCTACTGACAGCTTGCACCATGCACCTGGAAAACCTGCAGACACTCAACGCCAGCTGGTGAAAGCAGCCAGGAGAGGGGTTTTACCCTGTAAAGCCACAGGGGAAGAGCTGCCCAAGACCATGAGAACCCACCTCTTGCATCAGTGTGACCTGGATGTGAGACATGGAGTCAAAGGAGATCATTTTGGAGCTTTAAGATTTGACTGCCCCCTGGATTTCAAAGTTGCATGGGGCCTGTAGCCCTTTTGGTTTGGACAATTTCTCCCACTTGGAAAGGGTGTATTTACCCAATGCCTGTACCTGCATTCTGTCTAGGAAGTAGCTAACTTGCCTTTGATTTTTCAGGCTCCTAGGTGGAAGGGACTTGCCTTGTCTCAGATGAGACTTTGGACTGTTGACTTCTGAGTTAACGTTGAAATGAGTTAAGATTTTGGGGAACTGTTGGGAAGACATGATTGGTTTTGAAATGTGAGGACATGAGATTTGGCAGGGGCTAGGAGTGGAATGATATGGTTTGTCTGTGTTCCCACCCAAATCTAATCTTGAATTCAAGCTCCCATAATTCCCAAGTATTATGAGAGGGACCCAGTGGGAGATAATTGAATTATGGGGGTGGTTCTTTCCCATGCTGTTCTCATGATAGTGAATAACTCTCACAAGATCTGATGGTTTTATAAAAGGGAGTTCCCCTGCACATGCTCTCTCTTGCCTGCTGCCATGTAAGACTTGACTTTGCTCCTCATTCACCTCCAGCCATGATGGTGAGGTCTCCCTACCCATGTGGAACTGTGAGTCAATTAAACCTTTTTCTTTTATAAATTACCCAGTCTTGGGTATGTCTTTATTAGCAGTATGAGAACATACTAATACAGTATGTAAATATGGTCTGGTATTTTATTTTCATCTTATATTTTCTTTAATTCCTCAAATTAGCCACTGTTATCACTTAGTACAGACAATATTTGTTTTTATTTTCCCATGTACTAACCTATACTGCCTCCCTCCCCAAACTTAACTCTAGAGAAACTATAAAGGGAAATGTAAGGCTCAAGAACTAATAAAATATCCTTGAAACCCCACTGTGAAGACATGAATGTATGTATGTGAAGTGGAACAGGGGGCTGCACCTGGTGCAAACAATAGTTGGAGGCAGCAGAGAGAAGAATGGTTAGGAAAAAGAAGTTGATGTTTTGGTTTTGCCTCTACACTGCATTGCTTTGAGACAATGATTACACTACAATGAGAGTAGATGCATATGACCATAGGGCTAATATCAGAGTAACCAACTGAAATATAAAGTACTATAAAATTATGAGCAAGTGGGATTTATCTCATCAATACATCAGAAAATCTATTCATGTAAATCGTCACATAACAGATTATTGGATTAAATTATAATTGATGCAGAAAAGTATTTGATAGGTTCAACATCTCCTTTTGATTATGTAGAAAATCTAGAAAACTAGGATACTTGATATTCAAAAACCTACAGAAAATATTATAGTTAATGGAATAACATTAATGACATTCCTGTTAAGTCCAAGAAGAGAACACAGAAGCTAGCCAACACCATAGTTTAACATAGTACTGCAGGTCCTGGCCAATGTTATAAACAAATAAGAGGTTTGTGTGTTAGAAGACCTTAAAATCATTATTATTTGAAAATTATATAGTCATTCACATAGAAGAATCAGTAGAATCAGCAAATCATTAAAACTAAGAATAGTTAAGCAAAATTATTAAATACAAAATCAACATTTTCCCATGCCAGAAATAACCAATTAAAAACATACTTTTAATAACATACCATTTACAATTGCCTCAGAATAATATCTAGGGATTAAGTTAATCAGGGAGGACCAAGACCTCTATGGAGAAAATGACAAAACTCTTAATAGAGGACACAGATGATCTGAATAGAAATACATTCAATGTTCTTGAATGGGTTGACATTATAAATATATCAATTATCCCCAAATTAATATTTAAACATAATGTAATCTCAGCCAAAATTCCAGTTGAAATCTTTAAGTCAATAAATGTACTAAAATGTATGCAGTAGAATAAAGGTCCACAAATTGTTATGCCAACCTTAATAAGGATAAGGAAAGGGCCATAACAACTTTTTACATTTTAAAAAACCTGTGATATTGGTGTAACTAATCTAATAGACCTATAGAATAAAATAGAAGTCTCAGAGATAGACACACGTATATATGGAATTTGGTAAATGATAAAGGTAGCACCACAAATAAAAAAACAAAGGATCATGTAGTAGGTACTATTGAGAAAACGTACTCTCCATAGGAAGAAAATAAATGAGTTTTTTTTCTTTTTTTTATTATTATTATACTTTAAGTTTTAGGGTACATGTGCACAATGTGCAGGTTAGTTACATATGTACACATGTGCCATGTTGGTGTGCTGCACCCATTAACTCGTCATTTAGCATTAGGAATATCTCCTAATGCTATCCCTCCCCACTCTCCCCACCCCACAACAGTCCCCGAAGTGTGATGTTCCCCTTCCTGTGTCCATGTGTTCTCATTGTTCAATTCCCACCTATGAGTGAGAACATGTGGTGTTTGGTTTTTTGTCCTTGCGATAGTTGACTGAGAATGATGGTTTCCAGTTTCATCCATGCCCCTACAAAGGACATGAACTCATCATTTTTAATGGCTGCATAGTATTCCATGGTGTATATGTGCCACATTTTCTTAATCCAGTCTATTGTTGTTGGACATTTGGGTTGGTTCCAAGTCTTTGCTATTGTGAATAGTGCCACAATAAACATACGTGTGCATGTGTCTTTATAGCAGCATGATTTATAGTCCTTTGGGTATATACCCAGTAATGGGATGGCTGGGTCAAATGGTATTTCTAGTTCTAGATCCCTGAGGAATCGCCACACTGACTTCCACAATGGTTGAACTAGTTTACAGTCCCACCAACAGTGTAAAAGTGTTCCTATTTCTCCACATCCTCTCCAGCACCTGTTGTTTCCTGACTTTTTAATGATCGCCATTCTAACTGGTGTGAGATGATATCTCATTGTGGTTTTGATTTGCATTTCTCTGATGGCCAGTGATGATGAGCATTTTTTCATGTGTTTTTTGGCTGCATAAAAATGTCTTCTTTTGAGAAGTGTCTGTTCATGTCCTTCGCCCACTTTTTGATGGGGTTGTTTGTTTTTTTCTTGTAAATTTGTTTGAGTTCATTGTAGATTCTGGATATTAGTCCTTTGTCAGATGAGCAGGATGTGAAAATTTTCTCCCATTTTGTAGGTTGCCTGTTCACTCTGATGGTAGTTTCTTTTGCTGTGCAGAAGCTCTTTAGTTTAATTAGATCCCATTTGTCAATTTTGGCTTTTGTTGCCATTGCTTTTGATGTTTTAGACATGAAGTCTTTGCCCATGCCTATGTCCTGAATGGTATTGCCTAGGTTTTCTTCTAGGGTTTTTATGGTTTTAGGTCTAACATTTAAGTCTTCAATCCATCTTGAATTAATTTTTTTATAAGGTGTAAGAAAGGGATCCAGTTTCAGCTTTCTACATATGGCTAGCCAGTTTTCCCAGCACCATTTATTAAATAGGGAATCCTTTCCCCCATTGCTTGTTTTTCTCAGGTTTGTCAAAGATCAGATGGTTGTAGATATGCGGCATTATTTCTGAGGGCTCTGTTCTGTTCCATTGATCTATATTTCTGTTTTGGTACCAGTACCATGCTGTTTTGGTTACTGTAGCCTTCTAGTATAGTTTGAAGTCAGGTAGCGTGATGCCTCCAGCTTTGTTCTTTTGGCTTAGGATTGACTTGGTGATGTGGGCTCTTTTTTGGTTCCATATGAACTTTAAAGTAGTTTTTTCCAATTCTGTGAAGAAAGTCTTTGGTAGATTGATGGGGATGGCATTGAATCTATAAATTGTCTTGGGCAGTATGGCCATTTTCATGATATTGATTCTTCCTACCCATGAGCATGGAATGTTCTTCCATTTGCTTGTATCCTCTTTTATTTCATTGAGCAGTGGTTTGTAGTTCTCCTTGAAGAGGTTCTTCACATCCCTTGTCAGTTGGATTCCTAGGTATTTTATTCTCTTTGAAGCAATTGTGAATGGGAGTTCACTCATGATTTGGCTCTCTGTTTGTCTGTTATTGGTGTGTAAGAATGCTTGTGATTTTTGTACATTGATTTTGTATCCTGAGACTTTGCTGAAGTTGCTTATCAGCTTAAGGAGATTTTGGGCTGAGACGATGGGGTTTTCTAGATATACCATCATGTCATCTGCAAACAGGGACAATTTGACTTCCTCTTTTCCTAATTGAATACCCTTTATTTCCTTCTCCTGCCTAATTGCCCTGGCCAGAACTTCCAACACTATGTTGAATAGGAGTGGTGACAGAGGGCATCCCTGTCTTGTGCCAGTTTTCAAAGGGAATGCTTCCAGTTTTTGCCCATTCAGTATGATATTGGCTGTGGGTTTGTCATAGATAGCTCTTATTATTTTGAGATACGTCCCATCACTACCTAATTTATTGAGAGTTTTTAGCATAACGGTTGTTGAATTTTGTCAAAGGCCTTTCCTGCATCTATTGAGATAATCATATGGTTTTTGTCTTTGGTTCTGTTTATATGCTAGATTACATTTATTGATTTGCATATGTTGAACCAGCCTTGCATCCCAGGGATGAAGCCCACTTGATCATGGTGGATAAGCTTTTTTGGTGTGCTGCTGGATTCGTTTTGCCAGTATTTTATTGAGGATTTTTGCATCAATGTTCATCAAGGATATTGGTCTAAAATTCTCTTTTGTGGTTGTGTCTCTGCCCGGCTTTGGTATCAGGATGATGCTGGCCTCATCAAATGAGTTAGGGTGGATTCCCTCTTTTTCTATTGATTGGAATAGTTTCAGAAGGAATGGTACCAGCTCCTCCTTGTACCTCTGGTATAATTCGGCTGTGAATCCATCTGGTCCTGGACTTTTTTTGCCTGGTAAGCTATTGATTATTGCCACAATTTCAGAGCCTGTTATTGGTCTATTCAGAGATTCAACTTCTTCCTGGTTTAGTCTTGGGAGGGTGTATGTGTTGAGGAATTTATCCATTTCTTCTAGATTTTCTAGTTTATTTGCGTAGAGGTGTTTGTAGTATTCTCTGATGGTAGTTTATATTTCTGTGGGATCAGTGGTGATATCCCCTTCATTATTTTTTATTGCGCCTCTTTGATTCTTCTCTCTTTTATTCTTTATTAGTCTTGCTAGTGGTCTATCGATTCTGTTGATCTTTTCAAAAAACCAGCTCCTGGATTCATTAATTTTTTGAAGGGTTTTTTGTGTCTCTATTTCCTTCAGTTCTGCTCTGATTTTAGTTATTTCTTGCCTTCTGCTAGCTTTTGAATGTGTTTCTCTTGCTTTTCTAGTTCTTTTAATTGTGACGTTAGGGTGTCAATTTTGGATCTTTCCTGCTTTCTCTTGTGGGCATTTAGTGCTATAAATTTCCCTCTACACAATGCTTTGAATGTGTCCCAGAGATTCTGGTATATTGTGTCTTTGTTCTCGTTGGTTTCAAAGAACACCTTTATTTCTGCCTTCATTTCGTTATGTACCTAGTAGTCATTCAGGAGCAGGTTGTTCAGTTTCCATATAGTTGAGCGGTTTTGAGTGAGTTTCTTAATCCTGAATTCTAGTTTGATTGCACTGTGGTCTGAGAGACGAGACAGTTTGTTATAATTTCTGTTCTTTTACATTTGCTGAGGAGTGCTTTACTTCCCAGTATGTGGTCAATTTTGGAATAGGTGTGGTGTGGTGCTGAAAAAATTGTATATTCTGTTGATTTGGGGTGGAGAGTTCTGTAGATGTCTATTAGGTCTGCTTGATGCGGAGCTGAGTTCAATTCCTGGGTATCCTTGTTGACTTTCTGTCTCATTGATCTGTCTAATGTTGACAGTGGGGTGTTAAAGTCTCCCATTATTATTGTGTGGGAATCTAAGTCTCTTTGTAGGTCACTCAGGACTTGCTTTATGAATCTGGGTGCTCCTGTATCGGGTGCATATATATTTAGGATAGTTAGCTCTTCTTGTTGAATTGATCCCTTTACCATTATGTAATGGCCTTCTTTGTCTCTTTCGATCTTTGTTGGTTTAAAGTCTGTTTTATCAGAGACTAGGATTGCAACCCCTGCCTTTTTTTGTTTTCCATTTGCTTGGTAGATCTTCCTCCATCCTTTTATTTTGAGCCTATGTGTGTCTCTGCATGTGAGATGGGTTTCCTGAATATAGCACACTGATGGGTCTTGACTCTTTATCCAATTTGCCAGTCTGTGTCTTTTAATTGGAGCATTTAGCCCATTTACATTTAAAGTTAATATTGTTATGTGTGAATTTGGTCCTGTCATTATGATGTTAGCTGGTTATTTTGCTAGTTAGTTGATGCAGTTTCTTCCTAGCCTTGATGGTCTTAACATTTTGGCATGTTTCTGCAGTGGCTGGTACCGGTTGTTCCTTTCCATGTTTAGTGCTTCCTTCAGGAGCTCTTTTAGGGCAGGCCTGGTGGTGACAAAATCTCTCAGCATTTGCTTGTCTGTAAAGGATTTTATTTCTCCTTCACTTATGAAGCTTAGTTTGGCTGGATAGGAAATTCTGGGTTGAAAATTCTTTTCTTTAAGAATGTTGAATATCGGCCCCCACTCTCTTCTGGCTTGTAGAGTTTCTGCCGAGAGATCAGCTGTTAGTCTGATGGGCTTCCCTTTGTGGGTAACCCGACCTTTCTCTCTGGCTGCCCTTAACATTTTTTCCTTCATTTCAACTTTGGTGAATCTGACAATTATGTGTCTTGGAGTTGCTCTTCTCGAGGAGTATCTTTGTGGCGTTCTCTGTATTTCCTGAATCTGAATGTTGGCCTGCCTTGCTAGATTGGGGAAGTTCTCCTGGATAATATCCTGCAGAGTCTTTTCCAACTTGGTTCCATTCTCCCCGTCACTTTCAGGTACACCAATCAGATGTAGATTTGGTCTTTTCACATAGTCCCATATTTCTTGGAGGCTTTGCTCGTTTCTTTTTATTCTTTTTTCTCTAAACTTCCCGTCTTGCTTCATTTCATTCATTTCATCTTCCATCACTGATACACTTTCTTCCAGTTGATCGCATCGGCTCCTGAGGCTTCTGCATTCTTCACGTAGTTCTCGAGCCTTGGCTTTCAGCTCCATCAGCTCCTTTAAGGACTTCTCTGCATTGGTTATTCTAGTTATCCATTTGTCTAATTTTTTTCACAGTTTTTAACTTCTTTGCCATTGGTTTGAATTTCCTCCTGTAGCTCGGAGTAGTTTGATCGTCTGAAGACTTCTTCTCTCAACTCGTCAAAGTCATTCTCTGTCCAGCTTTGTTCCATTGCTGGTTAGGATCTGCATTCCTTTGGAGGAGGAGAGGCACTTTGCTTTTTAGAGTTTCCAGTTTTTCTGCTGTTTTTTCCCCATCTTTGTGGTTTTATCTACTTTTGGTCTTTGATGATGGTGATGTACAGATGGGTTTTTGTTGTGGATGTCCTTTCTGTTTGTTAGTTTTCCTTCTAACAGACAGGACCCTCAGCTGCAGGTCTGTTGGAGTTTGCTAGAGGTCCACTCCAGACCCTGTTTGCCTGGGTATCAGCAGCGGTGGCTGCAGAACAGTGGTGGCTGTAGAACAGCGGATGTTGGTGAACTGCAAATGCTGCTGCCTGATCATTCCTCTGGAAGTTATGTCTCAGAGGAGTACTGGGCTGTGTGAGGTGTCAGTCTGCCCCTACTGGGGGGTGCCTCCCAGTTAGGCTGCTCGGGGGTCAGGGACCCACTTGAGGAGGCAGTCTGCTCGTTCTCAGATCTCCAGCTGCATGCTGGGAGAACCACTACTCTCTTCAAAGCTCTCAGACAGGGGCATTTAAGTCTGCAGAGGTTACTGCTGTCTTTTTGTTTGTCTGTGCCCTGCCCCCAGAGGTGGAGCCTACAGAGGCAGGCAGGCCTCCTTGAGCTGTCGTGGGCTTCCCCCAGTTCGAGCTTCCCGGCTGCTTTGCTTACCTAATCAAGCCTGGGCAATGGCAGGCGCCCCTCCCCCAGCCTCGCTGCCACCTTGCAGTTTGATCTCAGATTGCTGTGCTAGCAATCAGCAAGACTCCGTGGGCATAGGACCCTCCAAGCCATGTGCAGGATATAATCTCCTGGTGTGCCGTTTTTTAAGCCCGTTGGAAAAGCACAGTATTAGGGTGGGAGTGACCCGATTTTCCAGGTGCCATCTGTCACCCCTTTCTTTGACTAGGAAAGGGAACTCCCTGACCCCTTGCGCTTCCCAAGTGAGGCAATGCCTCTCCCTGCTTCGGCTCATGCACGGTGCCTGCACCCCCTGTCCTGCACCCACTGTCTGGCACTCCCTAGTGAGATGAACCCGGTACCTCAGATGGAAATGCAGAAATCACCCGTCTTCTGCGTCGCTCACGCTGGGAGCTGTAGACCAGAGCTGTTCCTATTCGGCCTTCTTGGCTCCACCCCCAATAAATGACTTTATAAAGTCTCTGCCCCCACGTCTGTCCCTGTTGCCAAAAGCAGGACTGAGAACTCCATTTTGACCAAGATTCCTTCCTTTTTAAATAAACTGTCTTTAAAAAAAACAATAATAATGTTTCCCTAATTGCAGCATTTTAAAAAATGTTAAATATATGGAATTTTAAACTACATAGAAGGTCAAAGAACTTTCTTGCTCTGGCATCACTTTGCAGTAAGTAAATCAGCCCCTTTGCAATCTTACAACTTTTATTTCAGTGCCTGCAAGCCCTACCACCACTGGTTAATATTTTTTAATACAATATATTTTGTCAACTGCTTGTAGAATGTACCAATACCATTTTAATGAAGAAGGTGTGAACAAAACACAACTTCTTTGATGGCTCACCAAGCTTCCAAGTTAAAAAAAAAAGTGGAGATGCGTGCTTGATCATATCTAATTACCACTTAATCTTGTTAACTGAAAACCTGTGGAATAAGAAAGGAACTCACTCATATTTTTAATCAAATGACAAGAAATATTAGTAACTGGCCCTTCTCTACTTATCCCTACTGTGATCACATTTCCCTTTATCTCATTCAGTGACAGACAGGGAAGCCCACTGGAGGCTGAGAGATATTTCTCCTAGCTTTGTAGCCCCATGTTTTACATATTGCAGAATTCTAATCATCCCACCAGTTACTGTTCACTTTATTAACTGCTTGAAGTTTAAAGCTGGAACCTTTTAAACTTTGTGTAAAAGTTTAAAAGTCCTGAAAAGAATCTTTTTTGTCGTCAAAATTATTGAAATCATTGGAACTCCAATCTTTGGAAAACCTTTTACTCTAAATGTTCAGGTATAATTTAGGCAGCAAGGAATCAAAGTAATGTTCATCCCATTTCCAAAATGCTCTCTCCAAGATTAGAATTCAACAATTTCCTAAATATCTCCTCAAAATTGTGTCCGTTTCCGCCCTTTTTTGCCTCTCTTCTTTCCTTCTGAAAATCCTGTTTTAAAAACACAAATGGTCTTCTTTTGACTATTATGTAACTCTCTATTTTAATGCAATTGAGAAGTTAATAATGACATAAGAATTTTACAGAATATAATGAAAGACATCTGACCTGTGAATTTATAGATTGGAGCCACCTATGAATCATGCTATAGTTTCCAGGGTTTAATATTTCTTCACTGTCTTATAAAGTGAACTAGGTGGGAATGATCCCATCTCTAACATTTTTAAGAAACTTGTTATAGTTTCCGATTTTTTGATATACCATTCATTGATTAAACAAACACTGACTAGGAAAACAATTCTTAAAAGTGTATGAGAATGTCTAAAAGAGAGCTCAAACTTGTATGTGGCAGAGAAGAGGGTGGTGTTGACAAAGGGTTCCCTAAGAAACCCTGTCCCTAAATGGTAAATTGGAACTTGCCAATGTCAGTGAGCAGGGAAGGGAGGTTCAGAGAGTTATTTCATTTAGTTATCTGGGGATATTAATTAAATCTGTTTAGTCATACCTCAAATTTGTATTGAGCTCCTACTAGGTACCAGGCGCTTTGTTAGCTGTTAAAGATACACTAATGAACAAAGCACATTAAGATCCCAGCCTAGTGAATCTTATCATCTGGTGTGGAAGTGTTATGAACACATAAATTGTCACATTGAGAAGTACTATGCAAGAAATAAACAGGCTGCTGTGTCACAGAATAACAGGGGAGAACTCTTGAAGAGAAGACTTTTAAGATAAATGTTAAGAAGTCAGCCTCTGTGAAATTGCATTTCAGGCAGCATACAAAGGTCCTGATACATTTCGTGAGGTCAGTGCACAGTAATGAGGCCCATATGGCTGGAGCATGATGGGTTGGGAGAAGAAATATAGTGGAGCTGAAGATGAAGAGGTAAGTCAGGGTTTATTCTAAGTGAGATGTTTTAAGGAAGAGATGACATGATAATGTATGTCTTTAGGTCACTTGACTTTGCCATGTGGAGTATGAATTGGAGAAACAAATGTAGAAGCAAGGCCAGTTAGGAGGCTATTGCAGCAGTCCAAACAACAGAGGATGGTGGCTTGGACTTGAATGGTGACAGTGGAGATGGAAAAATGAGACAGTGTTGAGGTAAATTCTGAAAACAAAACTAACAAGTCTTACTAATGACTTGAATATAGAAAATAAGGTTGAAAAAAAAAACAAAGATGACTCCCTGTTTCCTGTCATGAGCCACTATCTTCTGGACAGGGTGCAGAATCAACAGTTCTTTATTGGCCATTTTAGGTTTGAGGTGTCTGAGATATAGCAATGTGATGTCAAGCAGGCAACTGACTACATAGATTTGAACCACTGAGGAAAGTGTTGAGCTAAAGATAAGGGTTATATGGCTACAGATTAGCGGTTCTCAATCCTGGCTGCAAATGAGAATAACCCAGGAAGGCTTTAAAACTACTAAAGCCCCAGTCTAATATATCTGTAGAGCTTGTGACTTAATTGGTCTGGAATGGACATTGGCATTTTTCAAAAGATCCGTAGGTGACTCTATATGCAGCCAGGATTGAGAGGCATTGACAAAAGTAGAAATGGATGAGCTCTCCAAAGGAGAAAGTATATAGAGAGATGAGGAACAGAAATGAGACCTAAAGAGCAAAGTTTATCAAAAGTATGATTCATAAGCCATCTACATCATAATCTTTTGGAGTGTTGCTTAAAGATAAAAATTCCTAGGCTTCATCCAGAACTATTATATCAGAAACTCTTGAGAATAAGCCCTCAAAATCTTCCATCTTAACAAGCTTTCCAAGTGATTTTAATGTACATTAAAATTTGAGAACTATTTATTTAGAAGTAGAATAGGAGTACCCAGGGGGATAAGGAAACAAACTGGGATACAATAGGGTACAAAAAGCTGAGAAAAAAGAATCTTTCAAAGAGGGTGGACTCAACTGAGATGAAAGCTGCTGAGAGGTCAAAAAAGGTGAGTATGAAGCGACCATATCTGGCAACATGGAGTTCATGATGATTCAGCAATCATTTTCAGTGAGATGAAGTAGGAAGCTAAAATAGAGTGTGTTTAAGAATGAGTGGAAGGTGATGAAGTGGAAACAGCATATATATAGTACTCTTTTAAGAGACTTGGGTTTGAAGACCAGCAAAAAAACAAGCCAATTGCTTGAAGTATTGTGGGAATTTTATGGTCATTTTCAAATGGGAGATACTAGCATGTGCTTTCATGCTGAATGTAACAACCCAGGTAGAGAGGGGGAATCAAAGATTCAGGAAGAATAATCACCCCCAAAAATGAAGTACTTAGTTGTTTATTTAGAGAATATGTGCCTTTGATAAGTAGAAAGACACATCTTCCATTGTAACCATACTGAATAATCCAATAGGTGTAAGGGTAGTTAAGTTTGTAAGTGGGAATATTAGGGGGTTCCCAACTGATGGTTTTTCAATGAGGTGTAAGGCAAATTCATCAACTGAGAACGCAGGATAAATTTTTTTAAGGGTATAAATTACTTCTGGTTGGCCCACTGAGATAGCATTCCAGCTCAGAAATCAAGTGTCCTTTAAGAACCATATTATTTTGTTGCTAAGGAAGTTATCTTAGTACTTTTTGGCTTAAAGTCATCTCTTTTACATTATGGGGAAAGTCTGCAATTTCAACTGAGCAACTGCTAGACTTTTAAATAGATGATACTTGTTTACAAAACAAGTTTGGTAGCTGCCTACAGGTAATCCTGCAGATGAACAATGTAAAACCTCCATCTGAATTAGGATATAATTTTCACAACAAAATATCTCTGGCCAGGTATATGTTTAAAATACCCAACTGAAGGAAACTTACTTTGCATGAGATGCTATGCTAGGCAATCTGTGCAATTCTCATTTCATCTACTCAATTCTGTGTAGTACTGTAGCCATGTAGAGGGTGAAATTAACAAAGTTTCATAGCTAGTAAAAGAACTGGGCATTAAAGCATTTGTCCTACTGCAAAGCCTGTACTCTGCACAATATATAACAGTGTTTACTACATTTAAGGTTCAGCAAATGCAGTACTGAATGATGTCCAAAGCCTAGAGAAAATAACAATCTAGGTGCATTAATGTATTCCTTGTCTGCCAGGAGGCTCATAACTAAATTTTAAACAAAATCATAATAATTTACTTTAGCTTGGGTTTTCTGCTATATTTGTTCTCCCATCCCATTCATTACTTGGCTCTTCTTTATCAACTAGTTATATGGGATGGACATAGAGGTTATTGATTGCTTTTATTTCAAACAATCTTATTATTTTTAAAAGTAAGTGAGGTATAGACCAAATAGAGTCTTAGTCTGTTGGGGATACTATAACAGAGTATCATAGACAGGATGGCTTATGAACAACAGGAATTTATTTCTCACAGTTCTGGAGGCTAGAAAGTCCAAGATCAAGGTGCTGGAAGATTTGGTATCTGGTGAGGGTCTGCTTCCTAGTTCATAGATTTGTCTTCTTGTTGTGTCCTTGTCAGAAGGCGTAAGGGAGCTTTCTGAGGTCTCTTAAAGATGAGGGCACTAATCACGTTCATGAAGGTTCTGCCCTCATGACCTAATCAACTCCCAAAGGCCCCACCTCCTAATACCATCGCAATGGGGGGAGGGGTTGTTAGCATTTCAACATATGAAACTGGGGGAGATACAGAGAGTCAGTCAAGAGTATTCTGTCACTGATGCCCGCCAAATTCCTGTCCTTCTCACATGCAAAATACATTCATTCCATCCCAATGACCCCAAAAGTCTTTACTCATTTCAGCATCAACACAAAAGTCTAAAGTCTAACATCTCATCTAAATATCTAAATTAGATATAGGTGAGACTCGAGACATGATTCTAAGGAAAATTCCCCTCCAGCTGTGAATATGTGAAATCAAACATGTTATGTATTTCCAAAGCACAATGTCATTAGAGTCTGGGTTCTACAGAGAAACAAAACCAATAGGATATACAGACATATATAAAAAAGAGATTTGTTATGAGGACTTGGCTCACACAATTATGAAGGCTGAGAAGTCCCATGATCTGCCATCTGCCCAGGAGCCCACATGATTATGGAGGCTGAGAAATTCCATGATCTAACATCTGTCTGCTCAGGAAAGCTAACGGCGGACTCCAGTGCAAACTCCAAAGCCTGAGAACCAGGGGAGGCAATGGTATAAGTTACAGTACAAATCCAAAGGCTAAGAACAAGGAGCACTGATGTCTGAGGGCAGGGGAAGATGGATGTCCAAGCTTAAGTAGTGATAGCAAATTCAACTTTCTTCCACCTTTTTGTTCTCTTAGGGCCTTCAATGGAGTGAATGATGCCCAACCACATCGATGAAGGTGATCTTCTTTACTCAGTCCACTGATTCAAATGCTAATCTCTTCTAGAACCACCCTCCCAGACACACACAGAAATAATGTATTACCAGCTACTTGGGCATCCCCTCATTCAGTCACGGTGATACACAAAATCAACCACCACAGTAAGTAATAATCTCTGTAATTTACATTTTTAAGAGTCATAGAAGGCTTAGAAAGAACTCTTAAACAAAGCACTCCATACAGAATAATCCAATGACTATGAGCCTCCTGAGGGTAATGATACCTGTCTTAATCACCGGTAAATACCTGGCATTTCTACAGAATGCTTGACACAAAAAAGGTACTCAGTATTTCCTGAATGATTTGCAACTGAAGTGTTGAAACATGCCATGGAATGTACTGTTTATTATTTCAAAGATGCAATTTCATCAAATTTCTCAATATATTAAAATTTATATTAAATATTATAATGCAAATATGTATATGGTCTAATACCCTGTGGAGGTATACACAGAAAACAGATATATACATTTTTTTTTAACTTTTAAGTTCAGGGGTACATGGGCAGGTTTGTTATACAGGTAAAACTGTGTCATGGAGATTTATACAGATTATTTCATCATCCAGGTATTAAGCCTAGTAGCCATTAGTTATTTTTCCTGATCCTCTCCCGCCTCCCATTCTCCACCCTCCAATAGGCCCCAGTGTGTGTTGTTTCCCTTTATGTGTCCATATTTTCTCATCATTTATCTCCCACTTTTAAATGAGAATACACAGTATTTGATTTTCTGTTTCTCATTAGTTTACTAAGGATAATGGCCTCTATCCATATCTCTACAAAGGACATGATCTCGTTCTTTTTTAGGGCTACATAGTATTCCATGGTGTATATGTACCACATTTTCTTTATCTAGTCTATCACTGATGGGCATTAAGTTTATTCCATGTCTTTGCTATTGCTGGGATAACTGGCTAGCCACATGCAGAAAACTGAAACTGGACTCCTTCCTTCCACCGTATATAAAAATTAACTCAAGATGGATTAAAGATTTAAATATAAAACACAAAACTATAAAAACGCTAGAAGACAATGTAAGCAATATCATTGTGGACATAGGAATGGACAAAGATTTTATGACGAAGATGCCAAAAGCAACTGCAATAAAAGCAAAACTTGACAAATGGGATATAATTAAACTAAGGAGCTTCTTCACAGCAAAGGAAACTATCAGCAGAGTAAACAGACAACCTACAGAATGGAGAAAATATTTGCAAACTATGCATGTCACAAAGGTCTAATATCCAGCATCTATAAGGAACTTGAACAAATTTACAAGAAAATAAAACATTAAAACGTAGGCAAAGGACATGAACAGACATTTTTCAAGATAAGACATACATGTGGTCAACAATCATGAAAAAAAGCTCAACATCACAGATCACTAGAAAAATGCAAAACAAAACCACAATGAGATGCCATCTTATGCCAGTCAGAATGGCTATTAATAAAAAGTAAAAAAAAAAAAAAACAGATGCTGGTGTGGTTTCAGCAAACAAGGAACACTTATACACTGTTGGTGGGAATGTAAATTAGTTCAACCATTGTGGAAGACAGTGTGGCAATTCCTGAAAGATATAAAAACAGAAAACAGATATAACACTTTTCAAAAACAAATATAACTTAATCCACAAACTAAGCAGGCATAATTAATTCCTTAGAAGGGACACAGAACTTTATTTCCCACAGGCGATGTGGTAGAACAAACATTCTTTGATGTGGCAAAGGCTCGGAATCCTAGATTTTACACCTACAACATGGGTAAACTTGAGCAGATTACTTAACCTCTGGCCTGTTTCCTCATCTGTAAAAGTAGCATGAGAGTACTCTTCTCATAGTGTTATTCTGAGGATCACACAAGATAATACTTAAAGCATACAGTACA
This sequence comes from Homo sapiens, assembly GCF_000001405.40. NCBI lineage: Eukaryota > Metazoa > Chordata > Mammalia > Primates > Hominidae > Homo > Homo sapiens. The sequence continues at coordinate 115,093,884 of NC_000023.11, forward strand.
ATGCTATGTACATATGTATTAATAAGAACTCAATAAATCTTGGGTTTTATTATTCAGCAGTCCCACTTCATCCCTTTAGCAATAAAACATACTTCTATCTAGTCTGCCTAAAAGACACTTAGGTGTAGGTCATAGGACTAAACAAGATAATCTGTGGCATTTTTCTCTTTCATTCCTGTGGATCAACCAAACTGAAAAGTACAGAAGCAACATTAAAGAGACATGTTGGTTTATAAAAATATCCAGTGGAGAGAAAAACATTTCCATTTGTATTCATCAGCTGCAGGTTTGCCATAGGAAGAAAGAGAAAACAATATATATGCACACAACATCAGAACACCCAAATACATAATGCAAATAGTAACAGAACTGAAGGGAGAAATGGATAGCAATACAATAATAGTAGGGGACTTCAATACCCCATTTTCAACCATGGATAGACCATCCAGACAGAAAAATCAATAAGGAAACAGTATACCAGGACAAAACTCTAGAGCAAATAAACCTAACAGACATATACAGAACATTCCATCCAACAGCAGCAGAATACACATTCTTCTCAAGTGCACACAGAACATTCTCCAGGATAGGTTGTATGTTAAGCCACAAAATGAGTCTTAAAAAATTTAAGTATGAAATATTATCAAGCATCAATTCTGACCACAATAGTATGAAACTAGAAATCAGTAACAAGAGGGAAACTGGAAAATTCACAAATGTATGGAAATTAAACATCACACTTCTGAACAACGAATGGGTCAAAAAACAAAAGGGAAATCAAAAAATAAATGGAGACAAACAAATATGGGAACACAACATACTAAAATGTACTGGATGCAGCAAAAGCAGTTCTAAGAGAGAATTTTATAGTGATAAATGCCTACATTGAGAAAAAGAAAGATCTCACATAAAACATCTAAATTTACACTTCAAGAAAGTAGAAAAAGAAGAATAAATTAAGCTAAAAGTTGGCAAAATGAAAGAAATAATAAAAATCAGAGCAGAAACAAGGCAAATAGAGACCAGGAAAACAAGAGAAAAGATCTGTGAAACTAACAAGTTAGTATACTGAAAATATAAACAATTTACAAACCTTAAGAAAGATTAAAGAATGGCAAAAGACTCAAATAAATAAAATTATAAATAAAAGAGGAGACCTTACCACTGATACCACAAAAATGCAAAGAATCATAAAAGACTATGAACAATTATACTGCAACAAATTGGATAACCTTGAAGAAATGGATCAACTCATAAAAATATACAACTTACCAAGAATCATGAAGACATAGAAAATTGAAACAGATCAATCAAGAATAAGAAGATTGAATCAGTAATCAAAAATCTCTCCATGAAGAAAAGCCCAAGAACAAAGGCTTCACAGGTGAATTTTACCAAACATTCAAAGAATTAACACCAATCCTTCTCCAACTCTTCAAAAAAATTAAGAGACGAGAATACTTCTAAACTCACCTTACAAGGCCAACATTACTCTGATACCAAAGCCATATGAAGAGAGTACAAGAAAAGAAAATTAGAGGCCAATATCCCAGTTGAATATAGATGCAAATAGCCTCAGTAAAATAGTAGTAAATTGAATTCAACAGCACATTAACAGATCACACACCATGATCAAGTGGGATTTATCCCTGGGATATGAGGGTGGTTCAACTTTCACAAATCAATAAATGTGATGCACCGCATTAACAGAATGAAGGACAAAAATCATATGTCATCCGAATAGATGCAGAAAAAAGCATTCAACAAAATTTAACATCCTTTTGTGATTAAAAAAAACTATCAACAAATAAGGTGTAGAAAAAATGAAACTCAACATGATAAAAGCCACATATGACAACCCCACAGTTAATATAATACTCAATGGTGAAAAGCCAAAAGCTTTTTGTCTAAGTTCAGGAACCAAATAAAGATATCTACTCTCACCACTTCTATTCAGGATGATCCTGGAAATCCTAGCCATAGTAATGAGGCAAGAAAAAAAAAAGATATCCAAACTAAAAAGGATAAAGAAAAATAGTCTCTTTGCAGATGTCATAATCTTATATATAGAAAACCCTAAAATCTCCACCAGAAAACTGTTAGAAATAATAAATTCAGTAAAGCTGTAGGATACGAAATCAACATACAAAAATCAGTTGCATTTCTATACGCTAACAATAAATTATTGAAAAAGAAATAAAACAATCCCATTTACAATAGCATCAAAAATAAACAAAATACTTAGGAATAATGTTTAAAAAGGAGGTGAAATATCTGTACAATAAAACTATAAAAAATTGATTGAATAAGACACAAATAAATGGAAAAATATCCTGTACTCATGAGTTGGAAAAATTAATATTGTTAAAATGTCCATACTACACAAAGTGATCTGCAGCTTGAACACAATCCCTATCAAAATTTCAATGACATTTTCCATAGAGATCAAACAAAATAATCATAAAATTCATATGGAGCCACAATACACCCAGAATAGCCAATGCAACTGTTACCAAGAACAAAGCAAGAGGCATCATATTACCTGATTTCAAAATATACTACAAAAGCTATAGCAATCAAAACAGCATAGTACTGAAATAAAAACAGACACATCAACCAATAGAATAGGATAGGAAGCCAATAAATAAGCCTACATATCCATGGTCAACTCATTTTTGACAAAGGCCCTAAGAACACATAATGGGAAAAAAACAGTCTTCTCAATAACAGTGTTGGGACAACTGGATATCAACATGTAGAAGAATGAAACTGGACCCTAATCTCACACCATATACAAAAAAACAACTCAATACGGATTAAAGACTTAAATGTAAGACCTGAAACTGTAAAACACTAGAAGAAAACATAGGGGCAAAGCATCTAAACATTGGTCTGGACAAAGAATTTTTGAATATGACCCCAAAAGCAAAAATAGACAAATGGGTTTGTGTCAAACTAAAAAGCTTCTGTGCTGAAAAGAATCAACGAAGGGAAGAGACAACCTTTGGTATGGAGAAAATATTTGCAAACTATATATCTGATAAGGGGCTAATATCCAAAATAAATAAGAAACAAACAGGAGGCGAGGCGTGGTGGCTCACGCCTGTAATCCAGCACTTTGGGAGGCTGAGGCAGGTGGATCACGAGGTCAGGAGATCGAGACCATCCTGGCCAACATGGTAAAACCCCATCTCTACTGAAAATACAAAAATTAGCTGGGCATGGTGGTACATGCCTGTAATCCCAGGTACTCAGGAGGCTGAGGCAGGAGAATAGCTTGAACCAGGGAGTCGGAGGTTGCAGTGAGCCGAGATCACGCCACTGCACTCCAGCCTGGCGACAGAGCGAGACTCCATCAAAAAAAAAAAAAAAGAAACAAACAAACAGGGTTGCATCAGACTAAAAAGCTTCTGCACAGCAAAGGAAACAATGAACAAAGTGAAGGGACAACCTATGGTATGGAAGAAAATATTTGCAAACTATACATCTGACAAGGGGCTAATATCCAAAATATATAAGAAACTCACTAGCAGGAAAACAAATAACCTGATTAAAAAATCGTCAAAGGACCTGAATAGACATTTCTCAAAAGACATACAAATGATCAATAGGCATATGAAAAAATACTCAACATCACTAATGATCAGAAAAATGTAAATCAAAACCACAATGAGATATCACCTCACACCTGTTAGGATGGCTGTAATCAAAAAGTAAAAGATAACAAGTGTTGGTGAGGATGTGGAGAAAAGGGAACCTTTGTACAGTATTGGTGGGAATGTAAAATGGTACAGTCATTATGGAAAAACTATAGAGGTTCCTCAAAAAATTAAAAATAAAAATATAATCCAGCAATTCCACTTCTGGATATACATCCAAGGGAAATGAAATCAGTATCTTGAAGAGATATCTGCACTTTCCTGTACATTGCAATGTTATTCACAATAGCCAAGATATGAAATCAACCAAAGTGTCCTTTGATGGAAGAATGGATAAATAAAAGTTTTCTATATACACACATATAGTGGTATACACAAACAAAAAATGAAATACTATTCAACCTTAAAAAAGAAGGAAATTCTGTCATTTGCAATGATACAGATGAACCTGAGGGACATTATGCTAAATGAAATAAACCAGGCGAAGAAAGACAAATACTGCATGATTTTGCTTAGATGTAGAATCTAAAACAGTCAAACTAGGCATATAACTAAACAGTAGAATGGTGGTTGCCATGTTCTGAATGTGTCCACCTCCAAAATTCATATGTTGAAACCTAATTCCCAGCATGATGGTACTAACCTGGACTTTTGGAAGGTAATTGGTTTATAAGGATGGAGCCCTCAGGGAGAGGCCAAGATAGCCAACTAGAAACAGCTGCAGTCAGAGGCTCCCGCAAGAACAGAAATGGTGAGTGAATCCTGCACAGGCAACTGAGGTACACAGGTTCTCTCACTGGGACTGAGTAGGCGACTGCTGCAACCCACGGAGAGCAAGAAAAAGCAGGGTGGTGCAATGACCCACCTGGGAGCCACACAGGGCAAGAGGAGCTCCCACCCCCAACCAAGGGAGGCAGTGAGTGATCCTGCTATCCCACCCAGGAAACCAGACTTTTTCCACACGTTTGCACAACCCAAGGATCAGGATATCCTCATTGTGAGCCCATGCAAATAGAGCCTTGGGTCCCAAGGACAGCTGTGCAGATTCTCAGTGGCCACTTGGCTGGAGACTGCCTAAGTCTACCAAGTTCCCAGGGGGAGGGACAGCCATCATCACTCTGGCTGCCTGCTGCCTAAGATGACTGAGCTCCTGCAGGGATGGGTTGCCACCATCATTGTAGCTCTAGGCTGCCATTTTTCTCCTGCTGGTACCAGGGAGACTAAACAGTTTGAAACCAGGAGGAATTCCCCACAGTGCAGCACAGTGGTTACAGCAGATCACGGTCAGACTGCTTCTTTAGGCCGGACCCTGACCCATCCCTCCTCACCGACAGGGCCTCCATGCAGGAATTTCAGCAACTCCAGCCAGGTGTTTAGGGACAGAACTCTGATCTCCCTGGTACTGAGCCCCTGTGGGGAGGGGTGGCCAAAATCTATGCGGATCAGCAGACTTAGTCTTTCCTCCTGCTGGCTCTGAAGAATCTGGGCAGTCTGGATAAGTGGGACTGCCCCCAGTGCAGCACACTCCATCTGCCAAGGGGCAGCCAGAGTGCTTTGTTAAGCGGGTCCCAGATCTCGTGCCTCCTAACTGGGTGAGACCCCTAAACAGGGGCCACCAGATCACCAGACACCTTATACAGGAGTGTTCCTGCTGTACCAGTGCCCATCTCGGATGGAGACCCCAGAGGGAAAAGCAGGCAGCCATCTTTGCTGTTTTGCAGCCTCCACTGGTAACACCTCCAGGAGTGAGAGGGACTCAGGAGAATAGGGTCCGAAGTGGACCCCCAGCAAATCGCAGCAGCTATGGAAGAGGGGCCTGACTGTTAAAAGAAAAACAAACAGAAAGCAACAACAACAACAAAATCAACAAAAAAGTCCCCACAAAAACCTCATCCAAAGGTCAGCAGCCTCAAAGATCGAAGCTAGATAAATTCACGAAGATGAGAAAGAATCAGTGAAAAAACGATGAAAATTCAAAAAGCCAGAGTACTTCTCCCCCAAATGATCACAACGCTTCTCCAGCAAGGGCACAGAACTGGGTGGAGGCTGAGATGGATGAATTGATGAAAACAGGCTTCAGAAGGTGGATAATAACAAACTTTGTAATAAGAGAGTAAGACAAGATTAGAGAAAAAAGAATGAAAAGGAATGAACAAAATCTCCAAGAACTATGGGATTATATAAAAAGACTGAACCTATGACTGATTGGGGTACCTGAAAGAGATGGGGAAAACAGAATTAAGTTGGAAAACATACTTCAGGATATCATCTAGGAGAACTTCCCCAACCTAGCAAGACAGGCCAGTATTCAAATTAAGGAAATCCAGAAAACCCCAGTAAGATACTTCATGAGAAAATCAACCCCAAGACACAAAATCATCAGATCCTCCAAGGTTGAAATGAAGGAAAAAATGTTAAGGACAGCCAAAGAGAAAGGCCAGGTCACCTACAAAGGGAAGGCCATCAGACTAACAGCAGACCTCTCAGCAGAAACCCTACAAGTCAGAAGAGACTGTGGGCCAATATTCAGCATTCTTAAAGAAAATAATTTCCAACTCAGAATTTCACATCTGGCCAAACTAAGCTTCATATGTGAAGGAGCAATAAAATCCTTTTCAGACAAGCAAATGCTGAGGGAATCAGTTACCACCAGGCCTGCCTTGCAAGAGCCCCTGAAGGAAGCACTAAATATGGAAAGGAAAAACTGCTACCAGCTGCTATAAAAACACACTAAAGTACAAAGACCAATGACACTGTGAAGCAACTACATCAACAAGTCTGCAAAATGACCAGCTAGGATCATAATGACAGGATCAAATTCACATGTAACAATATTAACCTTAAATGTAAATGGGCGAAATGCCCCAATTAAAAGACACAGAATAGCAAGCTGGATAAAGAGTCAGGATGCATCGGTGTGCTATATTCAAGAGACCCATCTCATGCACAAAGACACACATAGGCTCAAAATAAAGGGATGGAGGAAAATTTAACAAGCAAATGGAAAACAGAAAAAAGCAGGGGTTGCAATCCTAGTTTCTGACAAAACAGACTTTAAACCAACAAACATCAAAAACGACAAAGAAGGGCATCACATAATGGTAAAGGGTTCAATTCAACAAGAAGAACTAACTATCCTAAATATATATCCACCCAATACGGGAGCAACCAGATTCATAAAACAAGTTCTTAGAGATCTACAAAGAGACATAAACTCCCACACAATAACAGTGGGAGACTTTAACACCCCACTGTCAATATTAGATCATCAAGACAGAAAATTAACAAGGGTATTCAGGACTTGAACTCAGCTTTGGATCAAGTGGACCTGATAAATATCTATAGAATTCTCCGCCCCAAAACAAAAGAATATACATTCTTCTTGGTGCCACATGGCACTTACTCTAAAATCAATACAAAATTGGAAGTAAAACACTCCCCAGCAAATGCAAAATAAACTGAAATAATAACAGTCTCTCAGATCACAGAGCAAACAAATTAGAACTCAAGATTAAGAAACTCACTCAAAACCACGAAACTACATGGACATTGAACAACCTGCTCCTGAATGGCTCCTGGGTAAATAATGAAATTAAGGCAGAAATCAGGAAGCTATTTGAAACCAATGAGAACAAAGAGACAACATACCACAATCTCTGGGATACAGCTAAAGCAGTGTTAAGAGGGAAATTTATAACACTAAATGCCCACATCAAAAAGCTAGAAAGATCTCAAATTGACACACTGACATCAGAACTAAAACAACTAGAGGATAAACAGCAAACAAACCCCAAAGCTAGCAGAAGACAAGAAATAAACCAAGATCAGAGCAGAACTGAAGAAGATAGAGGCATGAAAAGCCATTCGAAAAATCAACAAATTCAGGAGCTGGTTTTCTGAAAAAGTTAATAAAATAGATAGACTGCTAGGTAGACTAATAATGAAAAGAAAAGAATCTAAGAGAGACAATAAAAATGATAAAAGGGATATGACCACTGATAACTCAGAAATACAAACAACTATCAGAGATTACTATAAACACCTCCATGCAAATAAACTAGAAAATCTAGAAGAAATGGATAAATTCCTGGACATATACACCCTCCCAAGACTGAACCAGGAAGATGGAATCCATGAATAGACCAATAATAAGTTCTGAAATTGATGCAGTAATAAATAGCCTAGCAACCAAAAAAAAAGCCCAAGACCAGATGGATTTACAGCTGAATTATACCAGAGAGATACAAAGAGGAGCTGTTACCATTTCTTCTGAAACTATTCCAAACAATTGAAAAGGAGGAATTCCTCCTTAACTCATTTTATGAGGCCAATATCATCCTGATACCAAAACCTGGCAGAGATACAACAACAACAACAACAACAACAGCAGCAGCAACAACAACAACAACACTTCAAGCCAATAACCCTGATGAACATCGATGCAAAATTCCTCAGTAAAATACTGGCAAACCAAATCCAGCAGCACATCAAAAAGCTTATCAATACGATCAAGTCAGCTTCATCCCCAGGATGCAAGCTGGTTCAACATACGCAAATCAATAAAAGTAATTCATCACATAAACGGAACTAAAGACAAAAGCCACATGATTATCTCAATACACGCAGAAAAGTCCTTTGATAAAATTCACCATCCCTTCACGTAAAAAAATCTCAATAAACTAAGTATTGATGGAACATACCTCAAAATAATAAGAGCCATTTATGACAAAGCCACAGTTAATATCATACTGAATGGGCAAAAGCTGGAAGCATTCCCCTTGAAAATCCACACAAAACAAGGATGCTCTCTCTCACCCTCCTATTCAACACAGTATTAGAAGTTCTGTCACGGAAATCAGGCAAGAAAAAGAAATAAAAGGTATTCAAATAGAAAGAGAGGAAGTCAAACTGTCTCTTTTTGCAGATGACATGATCCTATATTTAGAAAACCCTATTGTCTCAGCCCAAAAGCTTCTTAAGATAAGCAACTTCAGCGAAATCTCCAGAAACAAAATCAATGTGCAAAATTCACAAGCATTCCTATATACCGATAACAGACAAGCAGAGAGCCAAATCATGAATGAACTCCCATTCACAATTGCTACAAAGAGAATAAAACACCTAGGAGTACAGCTAACAAGGAAGGGAAGTGAAGGACCTCTTCAAGGAGAACTACAAACCACTGCTCAAGGAAATCAGAGAGAACACAAACAAATGGGAAAACATTCCATACTCACAGATAAGAAGAAGAAATACTGTGAAAATGGCCAAACTGCCCAAGGTAATTTATAGATTAATTGGTATTCCCATTAAACTACCATTGACACTCTTCAAAGAATTAGAAAAAAAACTACTTTAAAATTAATATGGAACCAACAGAGAGCCCACATAGCCAAGACAATTCTAAGGCAAAAGAACAGAGCTGGAGGCATCACGCTACCTGACTTCAAACTATACTGCAAGCCTACAGTAACCAAAACAGCATGGTACTGGTACAAAAACAGACACATAGACCAATGGAACAGAATAGAGATTTCAGAAATAAGACTGCACACCTACAACTATCTGATCTTCAACAAAGCTGACATAAACAAGCCAATGGGGAAAGGATTCCCTATTTAATAAATGGTGCTGGGAAAACTGGCTAGCCATATGCCAAAAATTGCAACTGGACTCCTTCCTTACACCTTATACAAAAAATAACTCAAGATGGATTAAAGACTTAAATATACATCCCAAAACGAGGAAAACCCGAGAAGAAAATCTAGGAAATAGTATTCAGGACATAGGCACAGGCAAAGATTTCATGATGAAAACATCAAAGGCAATTGCAAGAGAAGCAAAAATTCACAAATGGGATCTAAATAAACTAAAGAGCTTCTGCACAGCAAAATAAACTATCATCAGAGTGAACAGACAACCTACAGAATGGGAGAAAATTTCTGCAATCAATCCATCTGACAAAAGTCTAATAGCCAGAATCTACAAGGAACTTAAACAAATTTACAAGAAAAAAAGAAACAACCCCATTAAAAAGTGGGCAATGGACATGAACAGACACTTCTCAAAAGAAGACATTTATGTGGCCAATAAGAGAAACACAAATCAAAACCACAATGAGATACCCTCTTGTGCCAGCCAGAATGGCAATTATTAAAAAGTCAAGAAACAACAGATGTTGGCAAGGTTGTGGAGAAATAGGAACACTTTTACACTGTTGGTGGGAAGGCAAATTAGTTCAACCATTGGGGAAAACAGTGTGACGATTCCTCAAAGACCTAGAACCAGAAATATAATTTGACCTAGCAATCCCATTATTGGGTATATACCCAAAGGAATATAAATCATTCTATTATAAAGACACATGCATGCATATGTTCACTGAAGCACTATTCACAATAGCAAAGACATGGAATCAACCCAAATGCCTATCAATGATAGACTGGATAAAGAAAATGTGGTACATGTACATCATGGAATACTATGCAGCCATAAAACGGGATGATATCATGTCCTTTGCAGGGACATGGATGGAAATGGAAGCCATTATCCTCAGCAAACATACGCAGGAACAGAAAACCAAACACCACATGTTCTTGCTTATAAGTGGAAGCTGAACAAAGAGAACAAATGGACACAGGGAGGGGAATAACATACACTGGGGCCTTTCAGGAGGTAGGGAGTGGGGAGGGAGAACATCAGGATAAATGGCTACTGCATGCGGGGCCTAATATCTAGGTGATGGGTTGATAGGTGCAGCAAACCACCATGGCACATGTTTATCTATGTAACAAACCTGCACGTCCTGTACATGTACCCCAGAACTTAAAATTAAATTAAGTTAAAATTTAAAGAATGAAGGAACCGTCATGAATGGCATTTGTGCCCTTAGGAGGCCGAAGGGAACTTGATTGCCCCTTCTGCCATGTGAGGACACAATGAGAAAGCATCATCTATTAACCAGAAAGTGGGCCCTTACCAGACACCAAGTCTGCCTGTGCCTTGATCTTGGATTTCTCTGCTTCCAAAACTGTGAAAAATAAAATTCTGTTATTTATAAGCTACAAAAGTTATATGGTATTTTGCTATAGCAGGCTGAATAGACACAGTTGTTTCCAGGGTTTAGGGCTAGGGGAAATGGGTCAAAAGGTGTAAAGTTTTAGTTATGCAGCATGAATAAGTTCTAGATATCTAATGAACAGCATGGTGACTATAGTTAGTAATATTATATTGTATACTTTAAATTTGCCAAGAGGGTAGATCGTAAATGTTTTCACCACCAAAAAAGAAAGGTAATACTTTGAGGTGATGGATATGTTAATTAGCTTGATAAGCGTTATCATTTCACAATGTATACATATATCAAACATCAGGTTGTATAGCTTAAATATATAATTTTTATTTGTCAATTATACTTCAATAAAGCTAGAGAAAAATGAAATGGGAAAAAATAAACATGTAAAATTATTTTTCAAAAAAATATAACTGTTAGAACCAACTAGCAGCAATAAATATTCAATTACGATGTTTAGTACTAAGAAGTAAACTTTAAAAATTGCTTACAAAACGTAAGAATTAAGAATAATACATTTCTTCTTTCCTTTTTTGAGACAGGTCTCACTCTGTAATCACAGCTCACTGTAGCCTCAGTCTCCCTGGGATAAGGTATCTTCCCACCTCAGCCTCCCAAGTAGCCGAGACCACAGATGTGCACCACCACATCAGGCTAATTTTTGTCTTTTTTGTAGAGAAGGAGTTTCACCATGTTGCCCAGGCTGGCCTTGAAGTCCTGGGCTCAAGTGATCTGCTTGTCTCAGCCTCCCAAAGTGCTAGGATTACAGGCGTGAGCCACCATGCCTGGCCAATGATAAATTTCAGCAACAAAATTTAATATTATAAATGTTGATCTATTTTAATGCAACAGCCAGAAGCCAGCAACTGATTTCCTTTGTAAAGCTCTCTACAAAAAGACCATGTCCTATTCATTGCCATACCCACAAGGCCTGCAATACCAATACTTGGTATGTAGTAAGAGCTCAAAAAAGTGTTTCAAATTAACTAATTCAGAATTATTTTTTCAGAGTATGACAATGTTACCATATTGAAAACAAACGGTCATACATAAAAGCTTTAAAGACTTGGAAAAAAAATCATACATACAAACTATGTTTTAGTACAGTAGGTAAATGATCCAGGGATGGTTACGAAAAAGTTCAGTCCTTAAATAATTGTTCAAATCATATTTCTGGGCCTTAGTTTCCTAGCCTGAAGAATGAAAACATGGCAATACCCAAATTCTAAAAATCTTTAATGGTTTAAAATTTTTTTATGATTATACCTAGGAGTATCATAAACTCTTCTTTATCTTTCACAATGAAAAACTAAAAACTTTGATGGTACAAATACCTAAAAATTATACCCATATTTTAAAATGTATATTTGTAAATATATTTTATTCACTACTAACCATGATTATATCCAAGTATGTGGGATTTTAAAATTTGAGTTACAGCATGATATTCATTTCTACTCAGTTGTTAATCTTAGATGTTAAAGATAATGAATGACAGACATATATAAAGATATATTTTATTTATAATTCAATTATAGAAAAAGGTTCTAGTTCAATGTTGCACGTCTGTGCTCTTCCTTTTCATATTTAATTATTAATATTTCCATCTATCGTCAAAGTAAATGAGTCATATCTTGCCAAGAAAGGCATTTGACTGCCTTTGGCATTTCAGGCTAACTTGGATCTTAATGTTTTCGAATTAGCAATGTATCCAGAACTTTTGTAAGGCTATTAAAATGAGTAAAATGATTCCAAATGTTTTAAATGAAGGAAATAGCGTTTCTCATTTGTTTTGTGAGGGGGAGAAATTTATCTTTACCTCAAAATTAAGCTCTGATCACGGAACATAACTATTATGTTAAATATATATTAGTTTATTTGTATATGGTCTACATTTAACATGTTATCCTAAAAAAAACATTATGTATTCAACTTAAAAGCAAGAATAGCAAGAAAATGGACGGACCTCAAGACTATAAAATATTCATGTAGTTTTCTAAGTGCTCCAAAAAAGAAAGATAACACCTTTGTGCTTTAATATTTGTTAATTTAACACTACATTTGTTAATTTAACTTGTTTAGATATATATGACCATTTTATAATCACAAATACCTGTGACTAGTTTCATTTATCTTGAAAATTATACAGCTGTGTGTGTTTAAAATTTTTTCAGAAATGAAAATGTGAGATAGTACTAATCACAACAAAAAGTATACCTTTTTAAACCATAAAGAAAATCCCAAAGCCCTTAATAAAGTAGAACACATTTTAGAATAGAATTTAAAATGTTAAGTAAAGATCTTGAAACATCACTTAAAATATCAAACTACTATACTATCGTACAGTAAATTGATATTACTACAGCACTTGAAAGACTATAGGGCTTTATTATTCAAGTTGGCTATTGGACCAGCATCACTTGGAAGTTTGTTAGAAATGCGGAATCTCAGACCCCACACATGACCTATTGAATCAATCTGTACTTCGTTAACAAAATCCCTAGGTGATCCATACTGATCCATATGGATTTCTTAAAATCCAAAGTTTAAGAATCACTGCCCTAAGGTATTATTTTAATTACTACTTCATAAATTATACAAAATCACTTTGTGTTTATTTGAATTGGAAATGAATATCTGAAGTTTTATAACACTCAATTTGCTATTGAAAAATCTATTTCTATTTATCGTTTACACATGTACATACCCAATACATTTCTCACCTATTTAGGTAGATAATTAATTGATGCATATCAATAGACTAGAGTAAAAATAAATTTATTTTTCTCTAACCATAAATGGCAGGGTACTCAAAATAAAGTATCCAAGAAATGAGGAAAATATGCAATAATTTAAATTTTTAAATTATCATATTTTAAAGAAACTTCTGTTTTTATTTTGGTAACTTTCAAATTATTCAATCACCAACCTTCCATCCTAAACTCTTTATGTAAGAATTCTCATAACTTCTGAACTCTGGTTTTCCAATGCAAATGCAATAAGATTCTACTTTGCTAAAACAACTGGAGCCTTACATGAAACATACACACACACAGACACACTACTACTGTGGAAATTCTAAGCTATTTAAACACTGTAAGCATAAGGATATTTTTCATGCTTTAAAATACAGGATTAGAAAAGTTTATGCCTTAAGAAGTAGATGACATTCGATATTTTCCAATTTACCAATTCCAGAATATATCTGGGCATTTCCACATGAATCTAATATACAGTAAATGTATCAGTACCCTGGAGTGCTCTGGATAGTGAGATAGGTTCCTGAGAATTCTAGGACCATTCCATGTAGTGTACCAAAACTGTACATTTACTGAAGGAGAAAACAAGCTTAGTACCATTATCTAAAGATAATTCAAAATTCTGTGATGAACTTAGAATCATTTTCAAACAACTTACACCAAATATTTACTTACTTAAGTACTTGTTTAAATCTGAAAGTTTAGGATGAGTAACTATAAAACAGGGAATAATATTATCTTCAATAACATTTACCTGGATGACTTTCTACTTGTAGGGTAAATCACAATTACAAATTAATAAAAGTTATTTTAATAAAATATGTGGATTTTTAAAATATTAAATTTACCTGAAAAAAGAAAGATTAATTTTTTATCATACAGCTTAAGGGCAATTCAATAATATACCTTTCACTAAAACTACAATAAAATTAATCACAATTGGCTGGGCGTGGTGGTTCACGCCTGTTAAATCCCAGTACTTTGGGAGGCCAAGGCGGGCAGATCACCTGAGGTCAGGAGTTTGAGACCAGCCTGGCTAACATGGTGAAACCCCATCTCTACTAAAAATACAAAAATCAGCTGGTGTGGTGGTGCACGTCTGTGGTCCGAGCTACGAGGGAGGCAGAGGCAAAAGAATGGCTTGAACTCAGGAGGTTGAGGTTGCAGTGAGCCAAGATCACTCCACTGCATTCCAGCCTGGGCAACAGAGCAAGATGCTGTCTCAAAAAAAAAAAAAAAATCAAAATTTTACCTATTCTACATTTATTTAACATAAGGTTCTCTTATATTGGCTGGGTGCGTTGGCTCACACCTGTAATCCCAGCACTTTCAGAAGCCAAGGCAGGGTCGTAACTTGAGGCCAGGTGTTCAAGACCAGCCTGGCCAACACGGCAAAACCACATCTCAACTAAAAATACAAAAATTAGCTGGGTGTGGTGGTGCGTGCCTATAGTCCCAGCTACTCAAGAGGCTGAGGCATGAGAATCGCTTGAGCTGGGGAGGTGGAGGTTGCAGTGAGCTGAGATTGCACCATTACACCCCAGCCTCCGCGACAGGGCAAGACTGTCGAAAAAAAAAAAAAAAAAAAAAAAAGTTCTCTTATATTTATGTTATATAGTTTATCTAACATAAAGGCAATATTATTTGGTGAGGATATCATAAAAATTATTGTTATTTAAAGAAAATACTACCTACTGAAAATGACATATTGTGAACCCCAAATATCTGAGACAGCTCTCAGTTAATTTAGACAGTTTATTTTGCCAAGGTTGACAACACAGAACACCCCAAAAGGGGTGAGTGATGCCTTTGTTCTGAATTTTTTAAAGTGGTTCAAGTCATTAGAAGCCTCCTCTAGATTTTTTTTTTTTTTTTTTTTTTTTTTTTTTTTGGTACTGCAAATGGCAAAAAATAGGGTGGAAGAAAAGTAAATGAAAGAATGTTTGTTTTTCAAGACAGGAAGCAACACAGAAACCAAGTGCACGGTTTTTTTTTTTCCTCTTTTGCAGCTGCAAGGAATTTTAGACAAATTAGAGAGGCTTTCTTACCCATAATTTGGAATCCTCACTCAGATTTGACGAAATCAGGTAGAGATGGTCAAATCTGATGGGAGAAAGACCAGAACAAACAACAACAAAAAACCCAACAATATGATCACTGAGTGCTCTAATGGTAAGGAGAAATTAAAACCAGCTGGTTGTTAATTTTAGTCAAATCAAAACCTCAATTCAGTTACTTACCTAGGGATGGGTCTCAGGCTGAACAATGTTCTCTACCATCCTAAAAGCACGAAAAAACTCAATCCCATCTTCCCTGTTGGGAGCGAGCTCAGACTCCATAAAGGATTACCTGCCTTCCATTGTCATGGAAGCAGGAAATCTTCCCTTCCTTGTTGGGAGCAAGTAAAACTCCAAAAAAGGGAATCATACAGCAAAATAAACTTTAGATTTCGACCAGATTTTGGGAGATCAGGGATTCTCTGGAGGGGGTGCTCCCAGACCTCAGCAAATTGCCTTATTCGTTTGAGCCATACAGTTAGCTCATGTTGGTACCAAGCACCAATAAGAGATTTGTCAAAGGTCAGGGGTACCTCCAATCAGAATCCCTTCATGGTTACCAAATGTGAAGCCTGAATATCTGAGAGAGGTCTCAGTTAATTTAGAAAGTTTATTCTGCCAAGGTTGAGGATGGTGCCTGTGACACAGCCTCAGGCAGTCCTGATGACCTGTGCCCAAGGTGATCAGAGCACAGCTTGGTTTTATACATTTTAGGGAGACACAAGACATCAATCAACATATGTAAGACAAATATTATTTCAGTCCGGAAAGGCGGGAAAACTGGAAGTGAGGAGGGGGCTTCCAGGTCATAGGTAGATAAGAGACAAATGGTTGCATTCTCTTAAGTTTCTGATTAGCCTCTCCAAAGGAGGCAATCAGATAGGCATTTATCTCAGTGAGCAGAGTGATGACTTTGAATAGAACTGGAGGTAGGTTTCTCCTAAGCAGTTCCCAGCTTGACCTTCTCCTTTAGCTTAGTGATGTTGGGGCCCCAAGATTTATTTTCCTTTCACAATATAAAGTGAATCTGGACCTCTAAACCACTTACTTTGAATATTCCCTCAAAGTCTGGCTATTTTTCTACACTAGGGAACACAGACACCATCTATCAAATGCTGACAAAAAATGGATGATGTGATGGTAAGAAAGGAGGTAGAGAGGGAGAAAAGAAATACCAGACTTAAATTTTTTCTTTCAACTTTATCCACAGTTTGCATCGGTAATATACATTTAAGTGTTCCATTTATTTTTAAATGCATCAGAAAAGCAATTATGATAGATCTGTGACCAATACAAACATTTCTGATTTATTCAAAAAATTCAGTTAAAAAAGTCATTAAACTAGCATTCTGTAAAGATAATTATTAAACAAATGGTAATGCATTTTTACTCCTTATTTCATTTCTAACATACCCAATGTCACTTCTTTCTTGTGCCATACAGTAATAAAATGTAACAGAAATAGATATCTATTAAATTTTGGGGGCCTAATAAAATATTTTTGATTATTCAACTGTCATTAAATCACAAATCCCACTCAAGTAATGAAAATCATTCTTAATTCAATAACTGATGAAATAGATAATAGCCATAAAAACATTTAGAATAAATTTTACACTTAGAAACTACTAAAAGAAATACATCAGAGCCTTGGTATAACATTGTAGGGGACCATGCTGTGAAACTGCTTTAGACGTGGTGTTGCCATTTGGCACAAGAGTAAATGAACTGCCATGATGTGGACCTCAGAGAAGCCCATCTTAAATTGAATTTTGCTCTGCAGTAAAGAATGCTACAGTGAGGTTCTGCTGTATTTTCTTTTTAAAGGAATAATTAACTGAAAAGTAACTGAAATGTTATAAGAAAATGGCCTACAATTTCACTACTACTTCAAAGATATGAAACAGGACAACACTTGTAAAATAATTCATACTAGATTGATTAATCAGAGACTATCATAACACCTATGAAAGCAGTATGAATGATTGCTGTGTTTTTAATGGTCACTTAATTTGTAATGCTGTCAAATTTCTACATAAAAAGTCATTAACTAAGGTATTTATTTGCCATTTCTTACATATATTACCCAAGTTTTCACTAGGGAGATTATGTCAGCGAGTTTTTTTTTTATCCAACTAAAAAATTAACAACTAATGAGGTCAAATATTTAAAATAATAAATTACTAATAATTTAATTCTTAAACCATATACTCATAGAAGCTTTAATTCTTTAAAAGCTCCAATTTGACCCTTGGGGAATGTAATGAACACATCTGTATTCTAAAGCCAAAATTTAATTCTATGGCTTCATGCCAACTGATCAAAAAAAGTACAGTTGTTCCTATACCATTTGGCACACTAGTTTTTTACCTTTTATATATACCCTTTGAAATACCCAGGCCAACATTTTTAATAAGTTGCATCCATATTAAGAGGTAACAAGTGCAAATGATCACATACTTAAGATATGATGCTTGCTTGGTTACTACAAAAGTAATTATTCAGGTTCTTCTATAGGAAACTCAGTTATTCATTACAGTAATGTTTTTGAAAAATTCCTGCAATACCACCAATGTAAATTTACCCATACCTAAGTTAAAACAAGGACTTTGTGTAACACAGTATCTCATGAAAATATTTATAGAAGAGTCTGTGTTTAATTTAACATCAAAGTAATTGAAGATCACAAGGTTTACAGGATTCACAAATGGCCAGATTTTGAGTAAAAACCTATTCCTCAACTGCTGCTCTCTGAGTATAGCTAAAGGCAGCACTGATAGAATGCTGCTCAAAGGGAAGATATAAACCCAAACTTTGGCAGTTTTATCAAAATGTCCTTGATAATTAGTACTTCACTAGTTCTCAAAAACTTTACTGCTTTGTGTAACATTTTCAATACAGAAATAAAATACTCTTCAAATAATACATTTTAAAAGATGATTAAGTTTCACAAAATTAAATAGCATAAATTAATCATATTAACATTGGTATTTTTGACAACATGAAATAACCAATTTAAGGGAAACTGCAATGGACTAACTAAAAAACCACAAATGTCACAATGTGAGGCTCATTTAAATCCTCACATATTACTGACTTTACAAAATCTACTAAAATATTTTAAAGTTCCATTGACTCTATTAATACATTTAAAAAATTGCAAAAATGCTTAAGACTATGTAAGAGTCATCAATTACACAGGCACTTCACATGTAAACAATCTACAGTACAACTGAAAATATTTTGGCACCAACCTATAATACTAAAAGAATTTAATATAAAGCCAGAATTGTTTTTTCTACTCCTTTTTTCTAGAAAACTAAGACCAAAGATTGAAGAAATTGTGTATAAACTAGAATTAGAAGTGTATTAAATAACTCAAATATAGAATTGCTCTAAATTGCTAAAAAAAATTACCTTTATCCAGATGTTTACTAATATGCTATGATGTAAAAAAATTAAACCTAATGTGATTATTAAATTGAAACTACATTTTAAATTTAGTATCAGTCTGCTTTCTGAAAAATAATCAAGATTATCAACTGACTTAGTAAAAAGAGAATTTGAGTTTATCAAATACTCTTATTAAGTTAATCCAGTTTTCCCCCAAAGAAGTTCGGGCAATTCAATGTTTAAGTTTGATGTTTCAATGTAATTTTTTTAAAATCCTAAGGCGTGACCTAAGGCAAACTATTTTTGACGGAATATTCTTATTCATGAATTTGAAATATTTGAAATCACTTCAAATAAATGAAACTATACACTTAGAATTTTAAAATGTTATATTAAGCCACAGAAAGCTGAGATGCCTTGGTTGTTGGTAATTCAAGGAGCGCCTGAACTGTGACACCAACTTTCACAAGTCCTCGTTCTTCCAAAATATGATGAGGCAAACAAAGTCTTTCCTGGAGAAAAAAAAGAGATATTTGAACATTCATTTTTTAGAAGTGTAATAAAATTAAGTCAGAATTTGATTTTAAAAACATGATTTCTATAAAATGTCAAGAAAACTACATAATTCTAAGTTTTCTCTTATAAATATTGTAATCTAAAATGTTTTTAGATTCTTAATTTATACTAAGAAAAAAGATTATAGAAGTCGGCCTTGTTTGAAATGCTGTCATTCCACACTTGTACCTCTTTCTCTACAAAGAAAATGTTTATAAAAGAGTTGGTCACCACTTTTGGATTTCCCACTCACTACTCAACCACTGCTATCTTACATCTAACCCTAAAGCATATGCCCACTAAAACTATTTTAGTAAAAATCACCAATGCCATCTTAAATGTCAAATGTTGCACATGTCTAGTTGACTGCTCAGTCATATTATGCCTTTGATTAATGCCTTTCTGGGAACCTTACTCCTCCCCTGTCTTGTGTGACACCATTCTTTTCTACTTCAACTTTTCTGACAGCAATTGTGCAGTAGCTTTCATTAATTAGCCCTCACCGATCCTCTTCCAACATTCCAAATGTTTCCAAGGGTTCTGTCTTCACTCTCTTCTCTTTTACACTATACCCTCTCTTTTGGTATTCTCATCTATTTCTAGTTTTAACTACCCCTTCCATACCGATGGCTTCCAAGTTTTTATTTCCTCCCAAGATCTCTCTATTGATCTCCAAATACAATATCAACTGGACACAGCCAAATGGACATCTAACAGACATATCAAAATCAATGTGTCCACAACAGAACTACTTTACCAAATTAATTTGCCCTTCTGCGATCCATGTCTTAGTAATACACTATTCAATCTCCATTGACAAACCTGTGAAATATAATAGTCTTCCTCTTTCTTCCTTACTCCCATAACCCATTCTCCAAATACTAATGATGGTATCCCATAAAGAGTTCTCAAAATTATTGCCTCATCTCCATCTTCACTGCTATATTTGTTGCCCTCTTAATATTTTGCTTATTTATTCAAATAACCACTGAAGTGTATGCTAGAAAAGAAGGAAGGCTTCAAATCAATGACTTCAGCTTCCACCCTAGAAACTAAAAAAAGAAGAGCAAATTAAACCAATGGCAAAAGAATGGTGCAAATAATGAGAATGAGAGAGGAAAACAATAAAGTAAAAAAACAAAAAACAATAGATAAAAAAAATCAATGCAACCCAAAGTTAGTTCATTTAGAAGATTTTTAAAAATTCATAAACCTCAAGCTAGGCTAATCAGGAAGGAAAGAGAGAATACACAAATTACCAATATCATAAATAAGGGAAGTGACACCACAAGATATTCTACAAATACCAAAATGATAATAAGGAGACATTATAAATAACTTCATAATAATAGTTTGACAAGTTAGATGAAATGGATGAATTCTTTGAAAGAATAATTAAATGATTCTGTAAAGAGAAACTCCTAAGGCACAGAAACACACACAAAAAAACTATTATAGAACTAATAAATGAGTTCTGCAAGGTTGCAGAATACAAGATCAATAAAAGAAAATCACTTCTATTTCTATGAAGTAGCAATAAAAAATTGACAGTGGAATTAAAGAAATAATTATATTTATAATAGTACCAAAGAGAATAAAATACTAAGCATTTAATTTAACAAATCTAATGAAAGACTCATACACTGAAAACTACAAAACACTGTTGGAATAAAAATTAAAAGATATAAATAAATGGAAAGATGTCTCATGTTAATGGATCACAGGAATAAACATTGTGAAGATGACAATATTCCCCAAATCATTTTAGATTCGGTAATCCCAGCAAAATCCCAAGTGGCTTTTTTGCAGAAATTGACAAGCTAATCAATCCTAAAATTGATATGGAAATGCAAGGGACTCAGTATAGCCAAAACAACCTTGATACAGAACAAATGTGGAAGACTCACACTTCTTGATTTCAAAATGCATCACAAAATTACAGTAAGCAAGACAGTGTGATACTGGAATAAGGAATTTAGTGGTAAAAAAAACTGAGAATCCAGAAATAAAGCCTTATATTTATGGTCACCTGATTTTTGACAAAGGTGCTAAGACAGACAATTCAATGGGGAAAAGAAGAGTCTTATCAACAAATGGTGCTGGGAAAATTGGATATCCACATGTGAAAGAATGAATTTGGATCCGTACCTCATACCATGCACAAAACTGATCTCAAAATGGATCACAGACAAAAAGGTAAGCCCTAAAACTATAAAACTTTTAGAAGAAAACACAGGTGTAAATCTTTGTGACCCTGAATTACACAATGTTTTCTTAGATATGATATCAAAATCATAAGCAGCAGAAGAAAAAATGGGATAAACTACACTTCATCAAATTAGTAACTTTTGTGCTGTAAATGATACCATCAAGAAAGTGAAAAGACAACCTGCAGAATGGGAGAAAATATTTGCAAATCATGTATCTCTTAGGCAATTTGTATCCAGAATACATAAGGAACTACAACTCAAAAAAAAAAGATAAATAATCTAACTCAGAAATGAACACAGGGTTTCAATAGACATTACTCCAAAGAACATATACAAATCAATAAGCACAAGAAAAGATGCTCAACATCATTAACTACTAGGGAAACGCAAATCAAAACCGCAATAAGATATCACATCACATACACACTAAAATAGCTACAACCAAAAAGGTAGACAGTAGTAGCCATTGTTGGTGATGATGTGAAGAAATTAGAACCCTCATATATTGCTGGTGGAAATGTAAAAATAGTGCAGCCACTTTGCAACATATTTTGTCAGTTTCTTAAAAAATATAAACATAGAGTTACCATATAACCTAACAATTTCACTGCTAGGTATAACCAAGAGAACTGAAAACAAGTGTTCAAAGAAAAACTTATTCACGGATGTTCAAAGCAACATTATTCATAATAAACAATGAGTGATAACAATCCAAATGTCTATCAACTGATGAATGGATAAACAACATGTGGTATGTATTTAGAACAGAACACTATTCAGCCATAAAAAGAAATGAAGTACTGATTTAGGCTACAAATGGATGAACCTTGGAAAAATTATACTAAGTCAAAGAAGCCAGACACTAAAGACCACATATTGTATGATTTCATTATATGTCATGTCTAGAGTAGGCAAATCCATAGAAAGAACAGAGGAAGGACTGCGAATGGGCAAGGGCTGTGTTTCTGGGGTGACGAAAATATTTTAAACAGATTGTTGTTAACTGTTGCTGAACTCTGTGATTATGCTAAAAACCATTTAATTGTACACTTTAAATCAGTGAATGCTATGGCATTGTAATTATATCTCAATAAAAATATTTTCTTAAAAAAATCAATGTATATGCCCAATCTCAGGCTTAAAAAAAGAGAACTTCAATCCATACTTTTTAACCACATACAAAAACTAACTCAAAATTGATCATAGACATGAACACAAAACCTAAGATTATAAAATTTCCAGAAGTAAACATAGGAAAGAAATCTTTGTGGCCTTGGATTATACGAAGATTTCCTAGGTTTGACACAAAAAGCACAGCCCATTTTAAAAAATAAATTGTACTTCAATAAGTGAAGATCCTGCTCCTTGAAAGACACTCTAAGGACAATGAAAGGACAAGCCAAAGATTTGGATGCAATATTTATAAATCTGGTAAATGTCTTTATCCATAACTTGTAAAGAAATCTGAAATTCAATCATAGGAAAATAAACAACCCAATACAAAATATACCTCAGATTAGAATATGTACTTCAAAAAAGAAAGTATACTTCAAAGTACTTCAAAAAGAAGATATACAGGTGGCAAATAAGCCTTGAAAAGATGATCGGCATCATTAGTCTTTAGGAAAATGCAAATTAAAACTGCACTGGCAAGTCAGTACATACATATCACAATGACTAAAATTTTTAGAAGATTGATCATACTGAATGTTAGTGAGGATGTGGAGGAACTGGAACTCTCACATACTGCTGACAGGAATGTAAAACAGTACAACCACTTTGGAAGAGTTATGTAGTTTCTTAAAATGTTAAGTATGCACTTCCATATGTTCCAGTTATTCCACTGCTAGGTATTTACTAAAAATTAAAGAATGTATAAATCCATACAAAGACTTGTATACAAATGTTCATAGCAGCTTTATTTGTAGCAGCCGCTAAAACTGGAAACAACCCAAATGTCCATCAGCAGGTCAAGGGATTAACAAACTGTGGTATATCCATACAATAAAATACTATCCAGAAATGAACAGCAATGGTCTATTCATACATGCAACAACACTGACGAGTCATAAAATAATTATGCTGAGTGAAAGAAGATAGAAAAATATAATACATATTGTATCATTCCATTTATATAAAACTCTAGAAAGTGCAAACTAATCTGCAATGACAGAAAGCAGATTAGTGGTTGCTGGAGAAAGAAGGATTGCAAAGACACATGAGGAAATTTTGGGGGGCAGTAGATATGTTCATTATTTTGACTGTGGTGATGATTTCATGGTGTATGCATATGTCAAAATTGATCAAATTGTACACTTTATTTATATGCCCTATATTGTATGTTAATAACTCAATAAGGCTGTTAAAAATTGGAAAACATCCTAAAACAAAGAAAATTAATTTAAAAATTATTATATATTACCAATTCTGAGTTCAGAGAAAAGCAATGAAGCTAAAAATAAAACCCTTAAAACAAAAATGACATAATATTAGTGAGGTAGTGAATGCTTGTAATCCCAGTTATTTGTGAAATGGAAGTCTAGAGCTCAGGAGTTCCAGTCCAGCCTGGGCAACACAGTCAGACTCCATCTCTAAAAAAAGGGTTTTTTTTAACCCTTCAAAAAATTAATGAATCCAGGAGCTGGTTTTTTGAAAGGATCAACAAAATTGATAAACCGCTAGCAAGACTAATAAAGAAAAAAAGAGAGAAGAATCAAATAGACACAATAAAAAATGATAAAGGGGACATCACCACTGATCCCACAGAAAAACGAACTACCACCAGAGAATACTACAAACACCTCTACGCAAATAAACTAGAAAATCTAGAAGAAATGGATAAATTCCTCTACACATACACCCTCCCAAGACTAAACCAGGAAGAAGTTGAATCTCTGAATAGACCAATAACAGGATCTGAAATTGTGGCAATAATCAATAGCTTACCAACCAAAAAGAGTCCAGGACCAGATGGATTCACAGCTGAATTCTACCAGAGGTACAAGGAGGAACTGGTACCATTCCTTCTGAAATTATTCCAATCAATAGAAAAAGAGGGAATCCTCCCTAACTCATTTGATGAGGCCAGCATCATCCTGATACCAAAGCCGAGCAGAGACACAACCAAAAAAGAGAATTTCAGACCAATATCCTTGATGAACATTGATGCAAAAATCCTCAATAAAATACTGGCAAACTGAATCCAGCAGCACATCAAAAAGCTTATCCACCATGATCAAGTGGGCTTCATCCCTGGGATGCAAGGCTGGTTCAATATACGCAAATCAATAAATGTAATCCAGCATATAAACAGAACCAAAGACAAAAACCACATGATTATCGCAATAGATGCAGAAAAGAACTTTGACAAAATTCAACAACCCTTCATGCTAAAAACTCTCAATAAATTAGGTATTGATGGGACGTATCTCAAAATAATAAGAGCTATCTATGAC
Organism: Homo sapiens; assembly: GCF_000001405.40. Taxonomy (NCBI): domain Eukaryota; kingdom Metazoa; phylum Chordata; class Mammalia; order Primates; family Hominidae; genus Homo; species Homo sapiens. The sequence continues at coordinate 115,119,044 of NC_000023.11, forward strand.
AAACCCACAGCCAATATTATAATGAATGGGCAAAAACTGGAAGCATTCCCTTTGAAAACTGGCACAAGACAGGGATGCCCTCTGTCACCACTCCTATTCAACATAGTGTTGGAAGTTCTGGCCAGGGCAATTAGGCAGGAGAAGGAAATAAAGGGTATTCAATTAGGAAAAGAGGAAGTCAAATTGTCCCTGTTTGCAGACCACATGATTGTATATCTAGAAAACCCCATTGTCTCAGCCCAAAATCTCCTTAACCTGATAAGCAACTTCAGCAAAGTCTCAGGATACAAAATCAATGTACAAAAATCACAAGCATTCTTATACACCAACAACAGACAAACAGAGAGCCAAATCATGAGTGAACTCCCATTCACAATTGCTTCAAAGACAATAAAATACCTAGGAATCCAACTTACAAGGGATGTGAAGGACCTCTTCAAGGAGAACTACAAACCACTGCTCAAGGAAATAAAAGAGGATACAAACAAATGGAAGAACATTCCATGCTCATGGGTAGGAAGAATCAATATTGTGAAAATGGCCATACTGCCCAAGGTAATTTACAGATTCAATGCCATCCCCATCAAGCTACCAATGACTTTCTTCACAGAATTGGAAAAAACTACTTTAAAGTTCATATGGAACCAAAAAAGAGCCCGCATCGCCAAGTCAATCCTAAGCCAAAAGAACAAAGCTGGAGGCATCACACTACCTGACTTCAAACTATACTACAAGGCTACAGTAACCAAAACAGCATGGTACTGGTACCAAAACAGAGATATAGATCAATGGAACAGAACAGAGCCCTCAGAAATAACACCGCATACCTACAACTGTCTGATCTTTGACAGACCTGAGAAAAACAAGAAATGGGGAAAGGATTCCCTATTTAATAAATGGTGCTGGGAAAACTAGCTAGCCATATGTAGAAAGCTGAAACTGGATCCCTTCCTTACACCTTATAAAAAAATTAATTCAAGATGGATTAAAGATTTAAACGTTAGACCTAAAACCATAAAAACCCTAGAAGAAAACCTAGGCATTACCATTCAGGACATAGGCATGGGCAAGGACTTCATGTCCAAAACACCAAAAGCAATGGCAACAAAAGCCAAAATTGACAAATGGGATCTAATTCAACTAAAGAGCTTCTGCACAGCAAAAGAAACTACCATCAGAGTGAACAGGCAACCTACAAAATGGGAGAAAATTTTCACAACCTACTCATCTGACAAAGGGCTAATATCCAGAATCTACAATGAACTCAAACAAATTTACAAGAAAAAAACAAACAACCCCATCAAAAAGTGGGCGAAGGACATGAACAGACACTTCTCAAAAGAAGACATTTATGCAGCCAAAAAACACATGAAAAAATGTTCATCATCACTGGCCATCAGAGAAATGCAAATCAAAACCACTATGAGATACCATCTCACACCAGTTAGAATGGCAATCATTAAAAAGTCAGGAAACAACAGGTGCTGGAGAGGATGTGGAGAAATAGGAACACTTTTACACTGTTGGTGGGACTGTAAACTAGTTCAACCATTGTGGAAGTCAGTGTGGCGATTCCTCAGGGATCTAGAACTAGAAATACCATTTGACCCAGCCATCCCATTACTGGGTATATACCCAAAGGACTATAAATCATGCTGCTATAAAGACACATGCACACGTATGTTTATTGCGGCATTATTCACAATAGCAAAGACTTGGAACCAACCCAAATGTCCAACAATGATAGACTGGACTAAGAAAATGTGGCACATATACGCCATGGAATACTATGCAGCCATAAAAAATGATGAGTTCATGTCCTTTGTAGGGACATGGATGAAACTGGAAATCATCATTCTCAGTAAACTATCGCAAGAACAAAAAACCAAACACCGCATATTCTCACTCATAGGTGGGAATTGAACAATGAGAACACATGGACACAGGAAGGGGAACATCCCACTCTGGGGTCTGTTGTGGGGTGGGGGGAGGCGGGAGGGATAGCATTGGGAGATATACCTAATGCTAGATGACGAGTTAGTGGGTGCAGCGCACCAGCATGGCACATGTATACATATGTAACTAACCTGCACATTGTGCACATGTGCCCTAAAACTTAAAGTATAATAATAAATAAATAAATAAATAAATAAATAAAGGGGTTTTTTTAATTTTAAAAAAGAAAAAATGGCAAAACGGGAAAATCTGTATAATGTAATGGCTGCAGAAAACGTTGCTAAGTTTGCTATTTCCCCACTGAAAGATTGAGAGTAGAAAAAAGAAACAACAAACATTTTTAAGAATTAAAAATTTAAAACATCACATCAGCCAAGCACAGTGGCTTGTGCCTGTAATCCCAGCACTTTGGGAGGCTGAGGCGGGTGGATCACTTGAGGTCAGGAGTTCAAGACCAGCCTGGCCAACATGGTGAAACTCCGTCTCTATTAAAAATAAAAAATTATCTGGGTGTAGTGGCATGTGCCTGTAGTCCCAGCTACTTGGGAGGCTGAGGCAGGAAAATTGCTTGAACTGGGAGGCGGCGGTTGCAGTGAGACGAGATCGTGCCACTGCACTACTCCAGCCTGGGCGACAGCGTGAGACTCTGTCTCAAAAAAACAAAAGCAAAAACAAAAACAAAACCATCACATCAACTATATACAAGAGGTAATTAGAGAACATTATGTAATTTCCAAATTACCCAACAATTCAGATTCTCTACACATTAAATTATGTTTACTTACTTGAGGGAAGAGATTAAAGTGGGATCTGTAGACCAGATTATTAAGACACTGTTCAAAAGACAGCTTAACAAGCACAACTTAATTGTGCTCTGATAACAATGTCATTTCTCTCCATAGTCATTCATGTTGAGGTTAGGTTTATAACACTTTACAAAGAAGCAATATTGTGATTATATATCTTCCTTACATATTTACAATACTGCTTTAATGATTATTGTATAGTAGTGCAATTATTACATGAAACATAAGACAATTCCTAAAAATTTCAAAGTTTGTCCAATACAGGTATTATCATAATATGCTGGTATAATTTCCAATTTTGCATTTTAAATAAAGTTTAAAAAGCTATTCACACTGAATGCAAATCTTCCAATCAGAATCTATCCAGTGAATTACAATGGGGTCCAAATGTTCTCTAGCAAAAAAAAAAAAAAAAGAAGGAAAAAAAGATGGTAACAATGACATCACAACCAAGTTGTAAATATGGCCACCGAGTTATGTTTGGTCAGTGATGTGCATGATTTTCCATATTTGTAGCTATTTTATAAATTACTTTAAAGGTAGCTTAAAAACATTCATTAGATAACTGCTACAGTGAAAGCTGGAGCTTAGGAGAAGGTACCAAGAGAAGGCATTCATTTTCATGTTCAGAAAGCATTATTCATTGCTCTAAGAAGAACCCCAGTTTGCATGTAATAAATTCAAATTTAAGTGATCACGTTGTTAGATAAATAACAATTACCTGTGAGACACCCAACTTTTTACAAGCATCAAGAAAATTTTCTACATTTCTTCGACATTTTGCCATGCTCAGTTTGGGCTGTAAAGTAAGAGGGAAAAAATGTACTTTTAGGCATTTTTCTATGGAACTTAATCAAAACTGAAAACTAAGTTCACTGAGGTATATTATTTAAAGACAATTTTAAGAAGCTATATCTTCCTTTAGAGAACTAACAAATTGTAAACAAAACTTACCACTGCTGGTGATGGTACATGAATACTAGCAACAGAACGTGGCCTTATATGATTGGCTAAATGGCAAAGAACAACCCCATCCATCAGTGCAGCTCCAATGTCATCAGGCAAAATTACTTTTAACCTGGATTCAAGATTCTATAGAAAAACAGGTATAAATCAGATACTCTATCTAAACATACATGTTAAATGTTTATATTACTAATTGTTGTATATCCAAACATTTTAAGGAGCATTGAAAATGAAATCTGTACGCCTTATTAATTTTCCAAGTTAAACCCATTTCCACAAAGCAGATCTGAAAGAGCAATCTGACTTACGTTGCGAAGTTGTCGTATTTGCTCTCGCTCTTCCCGTAAATGTTCCATCTTTCTTCTCATTGTAAATCCTGGATCTGCTGCCCCATATTCTTGGCGAGATGAGCGGCTAAAAGCTATAAAAACAGAAATTTCCTAACTTGTTACAAAGTTAATGGGAAGGAGCAACTATTGATGGGGAAAGAGGCATGATGAATCAATACAAAATTACATAAAATATTATTACTCACTAATACATTCCAAATATTTTTAGAGAATATATTTGAACTCTATTTATGTGCATAATTGAAAGCAACAGGGAAGATAAGTGTAATGATTTCTACCACCTATACATGTTCTTATTCAAACATACGTTATTAGAAACTTATGGCCCAGGTTAAAAATGATTACTGAACATATGTCAGCCTTTTATCTTTTAAAAAAGGAAATTATTCTTGAAGGTCAATACAGTTATTCAGGAATAAAAACTATAGTTCAATACCTTGACAAGTAACATGGATCCATTTTCTTTTGGGCTTGCCAAATGCGAAAAGATCCCTTTATAAAACCACAATATAATGGAGTGCTATAATTTCAAACAGTGTTTGGTCTGCTGGCAGAGTGGTCATTCTAACAGCAGTCACAGTAGAGTAGAAATAAGACTGCAGTATATCTAAGGCAAAAAGCTGAGGTTTCAGGAGCTTGAAGGTAAAGAGGAAGAAAGAAATGGGAATGGGAATTGGAAAGACAAATATCGTTAAGAGAAAATTGCTTTTAGGAGAGGGGAAAGAATCTATGTGTACTTAAGACTATGGAATCAATCCCATTTAAGCTGGGAAACTAGTTTCATATATAACTAATAAATTTTATTTACAGAATATCTATTTACCTGATCTAGGCTTCAAGCCAAAGGGACTGTGTGAAAAACCATCAGTTCTGTCATATTCCTAAAAAAAAATTAAAAAGTTAAAAATAAATAAATAATAAAACTTCTTTTCTTTCAAAATAATCAAGGTGCTTATTCACATCCATTCCAATTTGGGGAAATACTTATTTTCCTATGATTAGTGAAGAGAAAAGTAACTTGCATTTCAATTCAAGTTGATACATGTCACTTTTAAGAGGTCAACTAATATTTGCTAGTTGAGCTAACCATATAGGCTTTAAATACTTTCATAGTAGAAAGAAAATGAAAATCATTAGTGAACTGTATAAAATAGATCATACTTTTTGAAAGAATCAGACTGAAGTTTCCGAAAAAAAGAAGTAAGCTTCAATGAAAAGGTAAGTGAATTTAGCATTTACTCAGCATCTACTATGGACTTAACACCTAACAGTAGATAATCTGAAGGCAAACATATTTGTATAGGGACTGCAGAATGATAGATGATAAATATCATCTCTTCTATTTGAATGAATATTTTTTCAAATCTTTCACACACAGTGGTTTGCTATGGAAAGATTTGTAGTACATTAAACAAATCTGAAGATGGAGTTAGAAAGCTTAGGCTATGTTTTGAGCACAACATATAATTTCTCTGTGATTGTTTCTTCATCTTTCAAATGAGGTTACTGTGAAGATTAAATGAGATAACTAAATGATGATAAAATAATGTAATCTTAGCAGCACCTTATTTAATCTGTGCAACAACTCTGTGAAGTGAGTAGGGCTCAGCTTCAGTCACTTCTCTGCCATTTATTAACTAAGATAGTTTGGAAAGTTACCCATCTCTTCAGCTGTAAAATGATGAGGATCATACCTATTTTATGGGGCTGCTTTTAGGTACAAATATACAGGCAAGCACTTTGTTAATACTAAAGCATTACACCAATTAGTTTTACTCTTTTCCATTCACACATGAAATTAATGTAATCAGAATTCTGTAGATTACCTAAATCTTCTGTTAACACGTGATATGCAGTTCAGGTTAAATGTCAGTTGAGTTACCAAAGCACATACATACTCACCACCCTATCCAAATCTACAAGCCTCCCAGTTTGTCTTCACTATTTTGGTTAAATTAATATGAATTCCTAGATGAAAATTTCACTGATCCAAATGAAATAAAAAATATATTACAAAACTCACACCTGTAATCTCAACATTTTGGGAGGCCAAGGCAGGTAGATCACTTGAGGCCAGGAGTTCAAGACCAGCCTGATCAACATGGTGAAACCCTGTCTCTACTAAAAATACAAAAATTAGCCAGGTGTGGTGGCATGTGCCTGTAGTCCTACCTACTCGGGAGGCTGAGGCACAAGAATCGCTTGAATGTGGGAGGTGGAGGTTGCAGTGACCTGAGATCGTGCCACTGCACTCCAGCCTAGGCAACAGAGTGAGATCATGTGTCATATATATATATATATATATATATATATATATATATATATATATATATATATATATATATATATATATATATATATATATATATATATATATATATATATATATATATATATATATATATATATATATATATATATATATATATATATATATATATATATATATATACACACACACATATATATATACACATATATATACGTATATATATATGTATATATATACATATATATACATATATATATACACGTATATATATACGTATATATATATCAATGTAAATTATTTGGGAAATTTGGTATGAATAGTCTTCCCTGTGAACACAGATCATAAAATCATATATCAAGCAGACAAATAAGTAGTAGTCACTTATATGCTTATACTTGTAACTTAAAGTAAAAGAATTACAAAAGCATATGACAAAGACTAATTTTAAGATATCCTAATTTAAATTGTTTTCTAAAAGTGTGTATACCATTTTACCTATCATATGAATAATTTAGAAACATGTTTATAAAATTAATGTCCAAATCCATTCAAAAGTTTTGTAATGCAGATCACCCACAACAACAAAGAATCCTAGCCTATTAAAAAAGCAACACCACCTACATATAATGAAATATTAGCAGCATCTATGTAACCAAAGTTACACAGTGAATTTGGGCCATCCAACACTTTGAGCAAAGTGTTGAATTCATCAAATGAATGTGTAATCATTTACTTACTAATGCCAATACACTTTAAGGTAATCTTAAGTAGAAGAGATAGAGTTTAGAATTTTTTAAATTTATCTCTTGTTGTAAAGCAATAGACTTGAATAAATAAATTAGAAGAATCAGTCATTCAAGCCACCAGAGTATTTGATCGAGATTTCACAAACTCTAACTTTCTGATACCCATTCTCCCAAAAACGTGTAACCTCCTGTCGATAGGAACAACCCACTGCAGGGATGTTTCTCGTGGAAAAAGGAAATTTCTTTTGCATTGGTTTCAGACCTAACTGGTTACAAGAAAAACCAAAGGCCATTGCACAATGCTGAAGTACTTTTTTCAAATTTAAAATTTGAAAGTTGTTCTTAAAATCTATCATTTATTTTAAAATACGGATGAATGAGAAAGCATAGATTTGATAAAGTGAATTCTTTTCTGCAATCTACAGACACTTCCAAAAATCACTACAGACACTACAGACACTACAGAAAATCATAAATAAACAAGTGCTAGTATCAATATTTTTACCAAAAAATGGCATTCTTAGAATTTTTTATAGGCTAGAAGGTTTGTACAAACTAATCTGCCACGGATTTTAAAATATGAGTGAATAAATTATATTGCAAAAAAAATCAGGTTACAGAGAACTGGCAAGGAAGACTCTTATGTAAAACACAGAAAACATACAAAACGTATTTTTAAGACAAATAAAAACAGAACTTGTACCTCAGATGATACTGGAGATTGTGTTGACATATTAGCATTATCACTGTCTTGCTAAAACATAAAAATAAAAAGATGGAAGATGAAATTACAATACAAATGATGATTTAAACATATAAAAGGAAAATAAAAATTGTTCTGACCAACTACTAAAGGAAGACCTACTAAAGATATGCCATCCAGCACATTGCCACTCTACATGTGGTCTGTAAACCAGCAGCATAGGGATCCTCTGGGAGTTTAGAAATGCAGAATCTCAGGCCTCACCCGAGACCTAACTAATCAGAATCTACATTTCAGTAAGACCCTCAAGTGGTTCGAAATATAGTAAAGTTTGAAAAATACTATCTACATATAATAGCAGGGACGTGTTACCAATCTGAGACATGTAAATGAAGGCATGCAAAATCTCCATCACCCCAAATAACTTTCATCTGAAAATTTACATGTATCTAATATAGGCTTATTGATAATTACAAAGAATTTAATTTAATAAAACATTAAATGGTCCATGATTTTTAAATGACTATTCTACTGCCAACCAAATATGAAAATTTTGACATTTAACTTTGAATATGCACACTACATAGAAAATGTATTCATTCAACAAATGATTATTGGCTACCTACTATATGTCAGACACTATGCTAGACAGTGAGAGTACTGAAATTTAGTAAAATATCACCCATTCAAGGACCTTTCAGTCGAGGACAGAAATAGATTAATGTATACAGGTAATACAACATTCTCAGTATAATACAGAACAATGCATGGCATATTATGAGGCACAGATAAGGGGCACTTGGGGGGGATGATGAAGATGGTAGAGAAAGGCAAGTTTCCTGAGAAAGTATAAATTCAGTAAAAAACTGAGTGTCTACCAGAAAAAGAAAGAAGGGAACAACATGCTAAGATGAGAGGAGAAGAACCAAAGCATGGAAGCAACAAATGTAAAGATGAGTGCAGAAAACCTCTGAGCAGTTTTGTCTTGTTGGAGGGTAAGGTGAATGGAGGGTAAGGTGAAAGAAGAGCAAGTTGTGAATTAAGGCTGATGTGGCAAGCAAGGGCTTGATAAAGGAGGATCTAGAATTTATCTTCTAAGTTATGGGGGGAAACTGAAGGTTTCCAAGCAAGGGAATGGCCTGATTGCATCTGTGTTCTTTGAAACGACCACTCTGGCTGCAGTGAGAATGGACTAGAGAAAGGGAGAAGTGCAAGGAAGTTATTGCAGTAGAACAGGCAAGAAATGGACGAGGGCCTCTGCCGGAGCAGAAACAGTAGAAATAAAAGGGGAATGTATGCAAAATATTTTAGTGCAAATAAACAAACAGTAAGTCTTGGCTGCTGATTAGATATTGAGGCAGGCAAGAGAAAAGAGGGTATGAGGAGGCAGGGATAAGAAAATGTTTTCTGTCAAAGGCAGATGACAAATATTTTAGGCTTTGTGACAACTAACTGTCCCCCAATTCATGAGGAATATGTTCCAAGAACCCCAGTGAATGCCTGAAACCACAGATAGTACCAGACCCTTTATAATATATGTGCTATGTTTTTTCCTATACATACATACCTATGATAAAGTTTAATTTATAAATCAGGTATGAGATTAACATCAATAACTAATAATAAAATAGAACAATTATAACAATGTATTGTAATAAAAGTTATGTAAATGTGGTCTCTCTCTAAGTGTCTTATTGTACTGTACTCACCTATTTTTAGACTGTGGTTGACCACAGGTAACTGAAACCTTGGAAAGTGAAATGGAGAAAAAAGGAGAGCTACTATACTCAAACACTGCCACAGTAATGAAAAAGTAGCCATAGGCAAATGAGTATGGCTGTTTTCTGATACAGCTTTACTTACAATCCCATACAGCATGTCAAATTTGGCCCCTGGATCATAATTTGCCAGCCCCTGCTCCAGCTAGATGATGGAAGGTGATTCCATTAACTCAGTAGTTCTCAACCTTGGCTGGACATTAAACTCACATGGGAAACGTTAAAAACTTCATTGCTCAGTCCATACCACAACATACCACATGTCAATTAAATTATAATATCTAGGGGGTGTGACCCAGGCGACAGTATTGTCTAAAGCTCACCTGGTAATTTTAGTGTACAGCCAAAGTTGAGAGCCACTACACAAACTGTCGGATATTAGCGAAAAAGTGGGTTTAGAAGCAAAAACTTTTTAAAAACTCAGTTTTGAACATATTTAGTCCTATTGGGTTTATGAGATATATCCAGCAGAAATTCTAAGCAGGTAGGAAGATGGATAAAATATTGCAAGGGCTTGAACCTCAGGGGAGAGGTCTGGACTACAGACAAATCTGAGAGGCTTCAGCAGGTACACAGGTGTTATTCACTGAAGGCTTGACAGCTGGTGAAGACATGCTAGAGACCACACAGTAGGCCATTCCCTGGGAATAATATTTAAAGGGTAGGCTGGGATCTTGTGGAGTTGGTGCAATGGAAAGCTTGGGCAGGTGTACAGGAACTGATTGTGCTGATGCATGGGTAAATATTGCCAAGCATACCCATACAAAACATGTAATTTAGGCTTAAATATAAATACTAACAGTGAAAATATGACCAGCTATAGCCATAACTGACTTTTATTCATCCCAGTAAATACTACTGGAGAGGCCAATGGAGAGAAATCGGCATCTGAGCTGGCAGACGACCAATCATCTGGCTCTATTCATTATTTTTCCCTGTGTGATTCTATTTCCTAAAACTGAAGACATTTTCAGAAGCCCTGCCAAGTACCCAACATCAAATTAAATACCAATCTCTCCAACAAAAATACACAAAACTTAAGTATTTATGGTAATGAGAATATATCTTTTCAACAATGATAGGCTGCTGCATAGTTTACACTGTGCAGTAGAAAGGTTTATGGTAATGCACAAACTGTAGAAGTCGAATTTTAAATTTTAAAATAGCATGCAGAATTTGTGGAAGGAGTTCCTAAACAAAGTTCCTAAAAAAAATCTCAATTGACGACCAGGCTGATTTAGAAAGATAAAAGATGTGAAAGACAACACACACTCACATATGACAGGTCTAAGACGAATGATGATAAAATTCTAAAACTGAATTATTAGTAATTCCATTCTAAAGGACATATGGAAATTAAATGATTAAATTAATAATTGTATGATGATGCTCATATGTTTTTATTGTTGAAAAAAAACCATGCATTAAATCAATAACAAAGAAACTGAAAAATGGATTACATTTTACTCTCACTGAGCCAACTTCATATGATAAGTAAACATTTCAAATAATTATTAATATTATCTTTTCTCACCTCATCATTTTCATTGCCACTTGAACTCTTCCTCATTGATTTATACTGAAAAATATTTAAAACACATAATTTATTTTCCCTTGAACATATAAATTCTCTACTAGTAAATTATGTACAAGGTTCTTTCATATTTTGGTAGCTTTATTACATTACCTGATAACAAATTTAAGTATATAACAGGTGTAAATAGTCCTACTACTAATAACTAACAAAAATAATGCTTTCCATGTGCAAGGCATTGTTATAAGTACTTTATACAGATCAAGTAACATTTCTTTCTTAAGCCAAGCTATTTCCCATTCATTCAGGTGTGCAATCTGAGGGTTGTCTTAGAATTTTCCTTTTTCTTAATTCACTATATCCAATATGTCATCAAGTCGATTCTTTTTTTAATCTCTCTCAGACTTACTTCTTTGGAATTCTCACAACTACCACCCTTTTCCAGGCCCTCATTATCTTACACCTGGTCTATAATCTCACCATTCTAAGATGTCATTCATTATTAAGAAACCTACTGCTTTCATGTTAAAAAACACTACATTAAATGTATATATTGATTGTTCAATAACTGTAATAATGATGACAGCTAACACTTGTACTAGTGCTTGCTATATGCCAGGCACTGATTTAAATGTCTTACATGTATTAACCCATTTAATCTTCTTAACAACCCTACTACATAAGAACCATGCTTATATGTGAAAAAATGCTTCTTAGAGTCAAGAAAATACAGTATGACAACCACTGGAATTCTTACTTCTGACTCCTCTTCACTGCAAATGATCCTGCAAATCAGTGGCAGATTAACCTTCCGTTTACAACTCATGACTGCCCTGTTGTAACACCTACTAACTTTCAGATTATGTCCAAATTTCTATGCCTGGCATTCAAGGTTCTTTTTTGTAAATTTTTTTAAATTATTATTATTTTTACATTTGTATATAGTTATATTTGTGGTCAATTTTTTTTATTATATTTTAAGTTCTAGGGTACTTGTGTACAACGTGCAGGTTACATATGTATACATGTGCCATGTTGGTGTGCTGCACCCATTAACTCGTCATTTACATTAGGTATATCTCCTAATGCAATCCCTCCCCCCCCCTCCACACCATGACAGGCCCTAGTGTGTGATGTTCCCCACCCTGTGTCCAAGTGTTCTCATTGTTCAATTCCCACCTACGACTGAGAACATGCGGTGTTTGGTTTTCTGTCCTTGCGACAGTTTGCTCAGAATGATGGTTTCCAGCTTCATCCATGTCCCTACAAAGGACATGAACTCATCCTTTTTTATGGCTGCAGAGTATTCCATGGAATATATGTGCCACATTTTCTTAATCCAGTCTATCATTGTTGGGCATTTGGGTTGGTTCCAAGTCTTTGCTATTGTGAATAGTGCTGCAATAAACATATGTGTACATGTGTCTTTATAGCAGCATGATTTATAATCCTTTGGGTATATACCCAGTAATGGGATGGCTGGGTCAAATGGTATTTCTAGTTCTAGAACCTCGAGGAATCGCCACACTGTCTTCCACAACGGTTGAACTAGTTTACAGTCCCACCAACAGTGTAAAAGTGTTCCTATTTCTCCACATCCTCTCCAGCACCTGTTGTTTCCTGACTTTTTAATGATCGCCATTCTAACTGGTGTGAGATGGTATCTCATTGTGGCTTTGATTTGCATTTCTCTGATGGCTAGTGATGATGAGCATTTTTTCATGTGTCTGTTTTGAGAAGTGTCTGTTCATCTGCTTTGCCCACTATTTGATGGGGTTGTTTGATTTTTGCTTGTAAATTTGTCTGAGTTCTTTGTAGATTCTGGATATTAGCCCTCTGTCAGGTGGGTAGATTGTAAAAATTTTCTCCCATTCTGTAGGTAGCCTGTTCACTCTGACGGTAGTTTTTTTGGCTGTGCAGAAGCTCTTTAATTAGATCCCATTTGTCAATTTTGGCTTTCGTTGCCATTGCTTTTGGTGTTTTAGTCATGAAGTCCTTGCCCATGCCTATGTCCTGAAAGGTACTGCCTAGGTTTTCTTCTAGGGTTTTTACAGTTTTAGGTCTAACATTTAAGTCTTTAGTCCATCTTGAATTAATTTTTGTATAAGGTGTAAGGAAGAGATCCAGTTTCAGCTTTCTACATATGGCTAGCTAGTTTTCCCAGCACCATTTATTAAATAGGGAATCCTTTCCCCATTTCTTGTTTTTGTCAGGTTTGTCAAAGATCAGATGGTTGTCGATGTGTGGTATTATTTCTGAGGGCTCTGTTCTGTTCCATTGGTCTATTTAATGGTCCCCTTTACATACGCAGCATTATCTTCCATAACCCTTGGAAAAATAGATAACCAACCTGATATCTCAACCACAACCCTTGGAAAAATAGATAACCAACCTGATATCTCAGCCAAAAACTGGGAAGTGAGCTATATTAGGGATAATAAATACAAAACGTATTCTTCCTCCACTGTCTCTCCTATGGCAACTATCACTAATCTAGCAGCATGTTCTTTCCAGGTGATCTCACACAGAATCTCAATATGCCTTCAACCCAGTGTGCCAGAGAGCCACTGAATGAAATTGGCACGTGTGAAAAAATCCTATTTATCAGGCAAGACAATCACTGAAGTCACTTATTTTTGGTTTTAATCTATGTCAATGAAACAGTGATACTTGAGTGAATATGCTAATATTTACTAAGTGGTTACTCTGTGGCAAGTGTAATTCTAAGTACTTTTATTATTAAATAATTTAATAGTTATGAGCAGACCAGATTCTGCTTGCTCAAACGCCTTACTCCACTTCCTTGGCAACCACATCCAACAAACCCGATATGGCTGGGATTGAGAAATTTGGTAAGTCAAAATTGAAGAAGACAAAAAACACAAGAAAAAAATCCACTGCCTTCCAAAGAAATGACCAAACAGGAGAAGCAAGCAGACAAATCATAATGAGGTATACATCATGAAAACGAACTGTACATTGCACAAGCATTGCCTTCATATTTTACTTCTTTTGGCTGATTGACTTTGCAAGATGCAAAGAGGTTGGATCAAGTTTAAACGACTGTGCTGCTCCTCTCACATCAAAGAATCAAGAGCTACTGAAAATGAAGACCGCTCTTGCCTCTCCGATCTGCCTGGCTGGCAGATAAGGAAAAGAATTTGAATGTTGGTGAAGGAAGAAGCAGGGTGGAATGACAGTGAAAGCTAGAGTAAAACCAAGCTGGCCCAAGGTGTCCTGCAAGCTATAAAATTCAGTTTAATCAGAGTATCAGTTTTTTTGTTCCAGTGATTTTATTTATCGGGATACACAATTTTTTAAATGTGCAAATACAAAGTTTCAAAATGTGCAGAAAAAGTTTGTGGCAACCCTGTATCAAGCAAGTCTATTGGTGTCATTTTTCCAATAGCACGTACTCACTTCATGTCCGTCAAATTTTGAGAATTCTCACAATATTTCAAACTTTTTCATTATTATCATGTCTGTTATGGTGATCTGTGATATTGATCTTTGATGTTACTATTGTAATTTTTGAGGGGTGACTCAAACGACGCCCATATAAGAAAGCGAACTTAATCGATCAATGTTGCATGTGTTCTGACTGCTCCACTAACCAGTTGTTCCCTATCTCCTATTCCCTGACACACAATAATATTGTAATTAGGCCAACTAATAATCCCACAATGGCCTCTTTAAGTGTTCAAGTGAAAAGAAATAGTATGTCTTTCCCTTTAAATAAAAAGCTTGAAATGATTAAGCTTAGTGAGGAAGACATGTAGAAAGCAGAGATAGGGTGAAGCTAGGCCTCTTGCTCCAATTAACCAAGCTGTGAATGCAAAATAAGTGTTGAAGAAAAGTAAAAGTGCTACTCATTCCAGTGAACACACCAAAAATAAGAAAGTGAAACAGCCTTATTGCTGATATGGACAAAGTTTGAGTGGTCTGGATAGAATAGCAAACCAACCACAACATTCCCTTAAGACAAAGCCTAGTCCAGAGCAAGGCCCTCTCTTCAATCCTATGAAGTCAAGGTGAGGAAGCTGCAGAAGAAAAGCTGGAAGCTGTAGAGGTTGGTTGGTTCATAAGATTGAAGGAAAGAAGCTGACTGCGTAACAAAAGTGCAAGGCGAAGTAGCAAGTGCTGATGTAGAAGCTGAAGCAAGTTATAGAGAAGATCTAGCTAGCTAAGACAATTGATGAAGGTGACTACGCTAAACAACAAATTTTCTATGTAGACAAAATAGCCTTCTATTGGACTGCTGTAGATAGAGAGAAGTCAATGCCTGCTTCAAAGCTTCAAAGAACAGGCTGACTCTTGTTAGGGGCTAATGCAGCTGCTGACTCTAAATTGAAGCCAATGTTTATTTAACGATTCCAAAACTCCTAGGTCCCTTAAGAATTATGCTAAATCTATTCTGCCTGTGCTTTATAAATAGACCTGCAAAGCCTGGATGACAGCACATCTGTTTACAGCATGCTTTACTGAATATGTTAAGCCCACTATCGAGCTCAGAAAAAAAGATTCCTTTCATAATATTACTGCTCATTTACAATGAGTCTAGTCAACCAAGAGTTCTGATGAAGACGTTCAAAGACATCAATGTTTTCATGCACAACATCCATTCTGCAGTGCATGGATCAAGGAGTAATATCAACTTTCAAGTCTTACTAAGTAATAACATATCATAAAGCTATTGGGGCCATAGATAGTGATTCTTCTGATGGGCCTGGGCAAAGCAAATTGAAAACCTCTGCAAATGATTCATCATTCTAGATGCCATTAAGAACATTTATAATTCATGAGAGGAGGTCAAAATGTCAACATTAACGAGAGTTTGGAAGAAATTCATTCTGATCGTCATGGACGATTTTGAAGGGCTCAAGACATCAGTGGAGGAAATAACTGTAGATGTGGTGGAAACAGCAGGAGAACTAAAAGTAGAGTTTTTATTTCCTTTTCTTTTCTTTCTTTTTTTTTTTTTTTTTTGAGACAGGGTCTCACTTTGTCACCTGGCTGGAGTGCAGTGTCGTGATCTTGGCTCACTGCAGCCTTGACCTCCTGGGCTCTAAGAATCCTCTGGCCTCAGCCACCCCCGACCAAGTAGAGGGGACTACAGGCATGTGCCACCGTGACCAGCTAATTTTTTTGTATTTTTTGTAGAGACGGGGTTTTGCCATTGGCCCAAGCTGGTCTCAAACTCCTGAGCTCAAGGGATCCACCTACCTCAGCCTCCCAAAGTGCTAGGATTACAGGCATGAGCTGCCACGCCTGGCCTAGAAGTAGAGCTTAAAGTTGTGACTCAATTACTGTAATCTCATGATAAAACTTTAACAAATAAGGAGTTGCTTTTAATGGATGTGCAAAAAAGGTAGGGATTTTTAAGGTAGAATTTACTCCTGGTGAAGAAGCTGTGAACACTGTTGAAATGACAACAAATGATTTACAATGTGACATACCCTTATTTGATAAAGCAGTGGCAGGGTTTTAGAGGATTGACTCCAATTCTGAAAGAAGTTCTACCGTACGTAAAATGCTATCTAACAGCATCGCATGCTACAGAGAAATCTGTTGTGAAAGGAAAGTCCATTGATGTGGCAAACTAGAAATTGCCATATTCACCCAATTTTCAGCAACCACCATCAACATCTACACAAGACCCCCCACCAGTAAAAAGATTATGACTCACTGAAGGCTCAGATAATTGTGAGTAATTTTTAGCAATAAAGTATTTTTAATTAAGGTATATCATTTTTTCATACATAATACTATTACACACTTAGATTATAGAACAATGTAAACATAACTTTTATGCACTGGGAAACCAAAAAATATTCATGTGACTTGCTTTATTGATATATATTCATGTGACTTGCTTTATTGAATAGATATTTGCTTTAATGGCATTGTCTGGAATCAAACCCACAATATCTCTTAAGTATGCCTGTACTGTTACACTCATTTATAAAGTTTTAAAAAACAAACTTAATTAAGGTTACATGACTTGACAAAGTCACATAGTTAATAGGTATCCAAGTAAGGACTGGAACACAAGTGGTTTGATTCTATAAGCCCAGGCACTGTGCCATAAAATCATCTCTTGATATCTGCAAGGGATTGGTTCCAAGACCCCTACCCCCGCCTCACCCATGCCAAAATTCACAGATATTCAAGTCCCTTCCCTTACATAAAATGGCACAGTATTTGCATATAAGCTACTCACATCTTCCTGTATAGTTTAAATCATCTCCAGATTACTTATAATACTGAATACAATGTAAATGATATCTAAACAGTTGTTACACTATATTTTTTATTTGTATTATTTTTACCTTTTTTTTTTGCCTTTTTTCCCCACATATTTTCAATCAAGGTTGGCTGAATGCATGTGGAACCTGCAGATACAGAGGGACAACTATACTCCCATTTCTAAACACTAATTAATAGGAATTTGCCAGAGATAAAAGGGCTAATGGGCATTCTCAGAAGAAGAAAAGCAAAAAGAACTAAGAAAGCACAGCCTGTGTAGAAAACAAAGAGCAGTTTAATGAGGCTAGTGAGGAAAGTGAATTTTGGCAGGTAATGAAATATAGAAAAGGAAAGAAGGAATGGTCCACGAAGATTTTAACAAATCCAAACTTTATCTTATTGGTAATGGGAAGCCAGTAAGAAGTTTTTTGGATGATTTACAGTTTTACAGATTTAAGAGAAAATTTACAGATTTACAGTTTTATTTAAGGGCATTTTCTCACATTGTCTGATAATTATTTTTTATTGATACATAATTGTACATATTTATCAGGTACTTGTGATATTGTGATACATGCATACAATGTGTAATCATCAAATCAGGGTAATCACCTCAAAGACATTTATCATTTCTTTGTGCTGGGAACATTATCAATCTTTTCTTCTAGCTATTTTAAAATATATAATAAATTATTATTAACTATAGTCAACCTATGGTGCTACTGAACACTAGAATAAAGAAATTTAAAGCCAGAGAATTATCCAACGGCTGAGAAAGGAGGACCATTAATCAGTTATCACAATTGCCTGGGCAAGAAAGTATGAGGGTTCCAAAAAGGGCAAGGGCAATAGAGATAGACATGAATTGCAGAAACGATGCATATATTAGGGCTGATAACCAATTAGGTGATGGGAATGAGGGCATCCAAACAATTAGAAACACAGATTTAGGGAACAGAAAAAAAGTTATAGGATGTAAATTTAGACACAGCAGAATATAAGAAACATCTAGAGTCATTAACACTCCAGAGAGAGCTTTTTAGAGTAATAAAATGAGGATCAGACCCTAAGAGCAAGCAGAAGAAAAGTTAGAGAAGGACATCAAAATGATAACAGGGAAGAAAAATGAGATAGAAACCAAGACAGGAGTATCAAGAAGGAAGATGTGGTCATCATTGTCAAATGCTACACTGGATTTTGCCATTAGTAGGTGCATGTTAAAATCTAGCGAGGGGCTATTTCAATGGAGAAATGGAAGCGAACGCCAGATTGCAGTGGGTTAAGGAATGATCAGAAACTGGAGAACTAGAAATAGAAAGTTTGGCCCTGGCCATGGTCAGGAGTTCAAGACCAGCCTAGCCAACAAAGTGAAACCCCTTCTCTACTAAAAATACAAAAATCAGCCGGGTGTGGTGGAGGGTGCCTATAATCCCAGCTACTCGGGAGGCTGAGGCAGGAGAATCACTTGAACCCGGCAGGCAGAGGTTGCAGTGAGCTGAGATCACGCCATTGCACCCCAGCCTGGGTGACACAGCGAGGCTCCGTCTCAAGAGAAAAAAAAAAGAAAGTTTAGCCCTAAAAGAGAGCAAAGAGATAAGGCAACAGCTAAAAGGGCAGTCAGGGATAATGGTAGTGTCAGGGCTCAGAAAATACTACCCCAAGATATGGCACCTTCAAGGTCACTCTCTGACCTTCTCCAGGCCCCCCTTTCTTCGCCCCCCTTCCTCTCCCTAAGGCAGGTAATAGAAACTAGAATTCCCCGTCTCACAAAGCAAGCCATACAATCTAGAAAGGTCACTCTCTGACCTCCTCCCTTCTCCCTTTAAGATGCATGTGACAGGTTTCCTGCAGCATACCGAAGGAGAAGGAATGTCATAGAGAGACACAGAAAAGATTCTCAACAAACAGGCCCAGTTTGTTACCATTAGATCATACCCTTTTTTGTTCAATCACGTGTCTCCACAACTATTCATTTCTTTCATCAGACTTAGCATGAACATACGGTTTTCCCTGGGTCTTTGGGTCTTCATTTCTGAAGGATCCTGTGTCACATAAAAACTTGAGTAAATTTTTATGCTTTTCTCTTGTTAATCCATCTTTTGTTATGGGGTGTCAGCTATCATTCTTGCAACGAGTAGGGAAAAGATACTACTTTTTCTTCCCTATAACAGAGGTTTGAGCATATTTATAAGGTGAAAGGTAAAGAGGCAGGAAAGACATAGAAGAATAAGAGGATAACTGAAATGCAAAGAAATACAAGATGATATACTTAAGAACTTAGAAAATGGGAAATGTATTACTGTTACTCAACTATAATTCTAATTTAAAATACTCATTATACATGAAAACTTAGAAAGATGCTAAGTTTGCATTACTGCACATATTTAAATGTCTTGAAACTCCAAACCTAATATATACATAGATTTGAAAATACTCTCTAATTCCAAGTTTTTACTAATTCAACTCGGCTATCCCCAACTAGTATTAATCTGAATTCTGAATTACTGAAGTTTTATTACATCTAAATTCAAATGTTACAATAAAGGCCTAGTTTAAAAACCAGAAAAACAGAAAGGTCAGTCCATCTCAGAAGCTTTTATGTACATATACATATACATATACATATTTTTTGAGGCTAGTCAAGTGAAGCAGCAGGAGTGGAAAATAAACAAATGTGTAATTGTGAGCAATTCGTTGTAAACACCATTGAATTCGGACTAGCCTCAGAAGCTTGTAATAATTTCAAAAGAGAGACAATAACTTGTGCATAAACTCTGACTCAGAATAAATCAGGTTATTTTACAATCCCAGTGGCTTCTTTACTCCCATATAAAACGAACAATGATCATAGAAAATGTGTCAAAATATTTTCCAGGGGGTTAACCTTTAAATAAAAATAGTGTACTATATTTATGAAATCAATATGTATTTTATGAGTTATTATGTTTTATCATAATAGTAATGAGATACATTTGAAGACATATATGCCACTTAAATAAATCAAATAATATTTAAAACTAACTGGCTACAGATACTCTAATACTTTTTAACTGTTTTGTCTAGAAATCAATTATTAAATGCATTTAGAAATTCACCTGTGGCCGGGCACGGTGGCTCATGCCTGTAATCTCAACACTTTGGGAGGCCTGGGCAGGCAGATCACGAGGTCAGGAGTTTGAGACCAGCCTAGACAATATGGTGAAACACGGTCTCTACTAAAAATACAAAAATTAGCCAGCTACCCACAGTAGCCAGCAGTGCAGGGAGAGAAAGCCTGTATACTTGGGGGAGGGAGAGCACAGGGACTGGGGGGCTTTACATTGAACTTAGTGCTGCCCTGCCACAGAGGGGAACAAAGTTGTGCTGTGCTCAACAAGCACCCAGGCATGGCGGGAGCATTTGGATCAGCCCTAACCAGATGGGAATCGCTCATGCCAGCAGCTTGAACTTAAGTTTCTCAGTAACCTCACCAATCGCAGGCCAAAGTACTCTGGGGTTCTAGGTAAACTTGAAAGGCAGTCTAGGGCACAAGGATTGCAATTTCTAGGCAACTCCTAGTGCTGTGCTAAGCTTAGAACCAGTGTACTAGGGTGGCATGTGACTTAGGGAGACACCAGCAGGGGTGGCTAAGGGAGTGCTTGCACCACTCCTCCCCCAACCCCAGACAGTGCAGCTCGCAGCAATGAGAAAGAGACCCCTTCCTTTCACTTGAGGACAGGACAGGGAAGACTGAGGAGGACTTTGTCTTACCTCTTGGATACCAGCTCAGCCACAGTAGGATGGGGCACTGGCCAGAGTTGTGAGACCCCCATTCCAGGCCCCAGCTCCTGGATGACATTACTAGACATATACCCCTGGGCAAAAAGGGAACCCACTGCCTTGAAGGGAAGGACCCAGTCCTGCCAGGAGTCATCACCAGCTGATGAAAGAGCCCTTGGGCCCTGAATAACCAGCAGAAATACCCAGGTAGTATGCTGTGGACCTTGGGAGAGACTGAGATGTGCTGGCGTCCGGTAAGACTTAGCACAAAACCAGATGTCGTGGCTACATGGAGAGTCTCCTGTTTGAGAAAAGCAGAGGGAAAAACAAAGGGGAATTTGGCACCTTAGGAACCCACTCAGACACAGTGAGGTAAGCAACAAGCAGTCTCTTGGAGTTCAGGAATCTAGGCCTCGGCTCTTGGGCAGCATTTCTGGACCTGCCCCAAGCCAGAATTCAGGGTGAGTCCCAGGACTGGCAGCATTCACCACAAGCTGATTGAAGAGCCCTTGGGCTTTAACAGAACATGAGCAGCGGGCTAGCAGAACCTCCCATGGGCCAGTGGTGGTGGTGGCCACTGAGAGAGGTTCCTCTACCTGTGGAAAGGGGAAAGAAGAGTGGCAAGGACTTTGTATTGTGGTGTGAGTGCCATCTTGGCCGCAGTAGAATAAAACATCAATAATAACACTAAATGTAAATGAACTAAACTATTAAAATAAAAAGACATAGAATGGCTGAATAGATGAAAAAATAAGACACAATGACCTGCTACCTACAAGAAACACACTTGAGGCCAGGCGTGGTAGCTCATGCCTGTAATTCCAGCACTTTGGGAGGCCGAGAGGGGTGGATCACGAGGTCAGGAGATCGAGACCATCCTGGCTAACACGGTGAAACCCCGTCTCTACTAAAAATACAAAAAAAAAAAATTAGCCAGGCATAGTGGCGGGTGCCTGTAGTCCCAGCTACTCTGGAGGCTGAGGCGGGAGAATGGCGTGAACCTTGGGGATGGAGCTTGCAGTGAGCCGAGATCACGCCACTGGGTGACAGAGCAAGACTCTGTCTCAAAAAAAAAAAAAGAAAGCTTATTTTGCCAAGGTTGAGGATAGTGCCTGTGTCACAGCCTCAGGCAGTCCTGATGACCTGTGCCCAAGGTGGTCAGAGCACAGCTTTGGTTTTAAACATTTTAGGGAGACACAAGACATCAATCAACATATGTAAGACAAACAATATTTCAGTCCAGAAAGGCAGGAAAACTGGAAGCGGCCAGGGGACTTCCAGGTCATAGGTAGGTAAGAGACAAATGGCTGCATTCTCTTAAGTTTCTGATTAGCCTCTCCAAAGGAGGCAATCAGATATGCATTTATCTCAGTGAGCAGAGTGGTGACTTTGAATAGAATTGGAGGCAGGTTTCCCCTAAGCAGTTCCCAGCTTGACCTTTCCCTTTAGCTTAGCAATGTTGGGGTGAGGCCGAGGGGGGTGGATCACTTGAGGTCAGGAGTTCAAGACCAGCCTGGCCAACATGGTGAAACCCCATCTCTACTAAAAATACAAAAAATAAAAAATTAGCTGGGCATGGTGGTACATGCCTGTAGTCCCAGCTACTCAGGAGGCTGAGGCAGGAAAATTGCTTGAACCCAAGAGACAGAGGCTGCAGTGAGCCGAGATCATGCCATTTCACTCCAGCCTGGGTGACAGAGGAAGACTCCACCAAAAAAAAAAAAAAGAAAGAAAGAAAAAGAAAAAAGAAAAAAAAAGAAACACAGTTCACTTACGAAGATACACATAGACTGAGAATAAAGGGATGAAGAAAGATATTCCATGCCAATGGAAACCAAAAAAGAGCAGGTGTAGCTATACTTATATCAGACAAAATGGATTTCAAGATAAAAATGAACAAGAGACAAAGAAGGTCATTATATAATGAAAAAGGGGTAAACTTAGTCAGAGGATATAGTGATTTGTAAGTATATATGCACCCAATACTGGGGCACTCAGATATATAAAGCAAATATTATTGGAGCTCAAGAGAGATAGATCTCAATACAGTAATAGCTGGAGACTTCAACACCCCACTTTCAGCACTGGACAGATCTCCCAGACAGAAAATCATCAAAGAACAATTGGACTTAATCTGCACTATAGACCAAATGGACCCAACAGATATTTACTGAACATTTCATCCAGTGGCTACAGAATATATGTTCTTCTCCTCAGCACATGGATCATTCTCAAGGATAGACCATATGTTAGGTCACAAAATAAGTCTTAAAACAGTCAAACAACAAAGAAGTTGCTGAGATAACATGAAGCAACTTCTCTGACCACAATGAAATAAAACCAGAAATCAATAAGAAGAAGAATTTTTAAAACTATACAAACAAATGGAAATTAAACAATATGCTCCTGAATGACCAGTGGGTCAATGAAGAAATTAAGAAGGAAATCGAAAAATTTCTTGAAACAAATGATAATACAAATACAACATAGCAAAACCTATGGGATACAGCAAAAACAGTATTAACAGGAAAATTTCCAGCTATAAGTGCTTACATCAAAAGAGAAGAAAAACCTCAAACAAATAACATAATGATTCATCTTAAAGAACCAGAAAAGGAAGAGCAAACCAAATCCAAAGTTAGTATAAGAAAAGAAACAGCCCAGGTGTCATGGCTCACACCTGTAATCCCAACACTTTGGGAGCGTGAGGTGGGCAGATCGCTTGAGCCAAGGAGCTCAAGACCAGCCTGGGCAACATGGCAAAACCCCATCTCTACAAAAAATACAAAAATTAGCTGGGTGTGGTGGTGCCTGTAGTCCCAGCTACTTGGAAGGCTGAAAGGTGAAAGGATGGCTTGACCCTGGGAGGTCAAGGCTGCAGTGAGCCATGACACCACTGCACCTCAGCCTGGGAGAAAGAGTGAGACTCTGGTTTAAACAAACAAACAAACAAACAAAAACAAAAGAAATAATAAAGATCAGAGCAGAAATAAATAAATTTGAAATGAAGAAAAATAAAAAAGATCAATGAAACAAAAATATGGTTTACTGAGAAGATAAACAAAATTGACAAACCTTTAGTCAGATTAAGATAAAAAGGGGAGAAGACCCAAATAAAATCAGAGATGAAAAAGGAGACATTACAACTGATACCACAGAAATTCGAAGGGCCACTACTAGCTACTATGAACAACTATGTGCCGATAAATTGGAAACTCTAGAGGAGATGGACAAATTCCTAGACACATAAAACCTACCAAAATTGGATCATGAAGAAATCCAAAATGTGAACAGGCCAATAACAAGTAATGAGATCAAATCTGTAATAAATAGTCTCCCAGGAAAGAAATGCCTGGGACCTGAGGGCTTCACTGCTGAATTCTACCAAAAACTTAAAGAAAACCTAATACCAATCCTACTCAAAGTATTCAAAAAATTGAAGAGGAGGGAATACTGGCAAACTGATTCTACAAGGCCAGTATTAGCCTAATACTAAAACCAGACAAAGACACATCCAAAATAGAAAACTACAGGCCAAAATCTCGGATAAATATGGATGCAAAAATCTTCAATAGAATACTAGCAAACCGAATTCAACAATATATTTAAAAGGTCATTCATCATGACCAAGTGGGATTTATTCCAGGGATGCAAGCATGGTTCAACATATGCAAATCAATTGTTGTGATACATCATAACAACAGAATAAAGGACAAAAATCATATGACCATTCCAATTGATGCCGGACAAGCATTTGCTAAAATCCAACATTCCTTCATGATAAAAACCCTCTGATATGGTTTGCTTGTGTCCCCACCAAAACCTCATCTTGAATTGTAACTCACACGATTCACAAGTGTCATGGGAGATACCAGTGGGAGGTAACTAAATCATGGGGGCAGGTTTTTCCCGTGTTGTTCTCATGATAGTGAATAAGTCTCATGAGACCTGATGATTTGAAAAACAGGAGTTTCCCTGCACAAGCTCTCTTCTCTTGTCTGCCACCATGTAAGACGTGCCTTTCACCTTCCACCATGATTGTGAGGCCTCCTCAGCCATGTGGAACTGTCAGTCCAATAAACCTCTTTCTTTTGTAAATTGACCAGTCTCAGGTATGTCTTTATCAGCAGCATAAAAATAGACTAATACACTCTCAAAAACTGGGGTATAGAAGAAATATATCTCAACATAATAAAAGCCAAAACTCATAGCCTTTCCCCTAAGATCTAAAAGATGACAGGGATGCACATTGTCACCACTGTTATTCAACACAATACTAGGAGTCCCACCTAGAGCAATCAGACAAGAGAAAGAAATAAAGGGCATCCAAATTGGAAAAGAAGAAGTCAAATTATCCTTGTCTGCAGATGATATAATCTTGTATTTGGAAAAACCTAGACTCCACCAAAAAAAAAAAAATAGAACTGATAAATTCTGTAAAGTTGCAGGATACAAAATCAACATACAAAAGTCAGTAGGATTTCTATATGCCAACAGTGAACAATCTAAAAAAGAAATTTTAAAAATAATCCCATTTACAATACTCACAAACAAAATTAAACACCTAGAAATTAACCAAAGAAGTAAAAGATCTCTACAATGAAAACTATAAAATACTGCTGGAAGAAATTGAAGAGGACACACAAATATGGAAAGATATTCCACATTCATGGATTGGAAGAAACAATATTGTTAAAATGTCCATACTACTCAGAGCAATCTATAGATTCAATGCAATCCCTATCAAAATACCAATGGCATTCATCACAGAAATAGAAAAATCAAGCCTAAGATTTAGATGAAACCACAAAAGACCAAGAATGGCCAAAGCTATCCTGGGAATAAGGAACAAAACTGGAGGAATCACATTACATGACTTCAAATTATACTACAGACCTATGGTAACCAAAACATCATGGTACTTGCATAAAAACAGACACACAGACCAATGGAACAGAACAGAGAACCCAGAAACAACTTCACACACCTACAGTGAACTCAATTTCAACAAAGCTGCCAAGAACATACACGGGGGAAAAGACAGTCTCTTCAGTAAATGAGGCTGGGAAAACTGGATATCCGTATGCAGAAGAATGAAACTAGGCCCCTATCTCTTGTTGTACACAAAAATCAAATCAAAATGGATTAAGGACTTAAATCTAAGACTTCAATCTATAAAACTGCTATAAGAAAACATGGGGGAAAATCTCCAGGACACAGGTCTGGGCAAAAATTTCCTGAGCTACCCCATAAGCGCAGGCAACCAAAGCAAACATGGAGAAATGGGATCACATCAAGTTAAAAAGCTTCTGCACAGCAAAGGAAACAAGAAAGTGAAGAGACAACCCACGGAATAGGAGGAAATATCTGCAAACTACCCATATGACAAGGAATTAATAACCAGAATTTAAGGAGCTCAAGCGACTCTTTAGGAAAGTATCTAATAGTTAGATTAAAACATGGGTAAAAGATGTGAATAGACATTTCTGAAAAGAAGACATACAGATGGCAAACTGGCATACGAAAAGGTGCTCAACATCATTGATCATCAGAGAAATGCAAATCAAAACTACAATGATGTATCATCTTACCCCAGTTAAAGTGGCTTATATCCAAAAGACAGGCAATAACATACTGGTGAGGATGTGGAGAAAAGGGAACCCTCGTACACTGTTGGTGGGAATGTAAATTAGTACGAACAATATGGAGAACAGTTTGGAGGCTCCTCAAAAAACTAAAAATACAGCTACCATACAATCCAGCAATCCTACTGCTGGGTATATAACCCAAAGAAAGGAAATCAGTATATCAAAGAGATATCTGCACTTCCATATTTATTGCAAAACTATTCACAATAGCCAAGATTTGGAAGCAACCTAAGTGTCCATCAATAGAAGAACAGATAAAGAAAATGTGGTACACATACACAATGGAGTACTATTCAGCCATAAAGAAGGAGAGTCTGTCATTTGCAACATGGATTGAAATGCAGGTCATTATGGTAAGTGAAATAAGCCAGGCACAGAAAGACAAACACCACATGTTCTCACTTATTTGTAGGATGTAAAAACAATTGAACTCATAAAGATAGAGAGTAGAAGGATGGTTACCAGAGGCTAGAGAAGGGTAGTGGGGGAGTAGAGGGTAGGTGAAGATGGATAATGGGCATAAAAAATAGAATAAATAAGACCTAGTATTTGATAGCGCAATGGGGTGACTATAGTCAATAATAATTTAATTGTACATCTCAAAATAACTAAGAGTATAATTTGATCATAACACAAATGATAAATGTTTGAAGGAATAGATACCCCATTCCCCATAATGTGATTATTGAACATTGTATGCCTTTCAAAATATCTCATGTATCCCATAAATATATATACCTAATATGAACGCCAAAAATTAAAAATTTAAAATAAAAAAAGATGTTTAATAAAATACTTCCTGGCATCATGAAGTTCCCTGAAATACAGTGATTTTATTTTGGCTATAAGAACACTAAATTTTATATACTAGAATAATAATCTATACGATAGCGGCCTGGGAATCTAAAAGAGTCAATGTAACTTTCCTACCATGATTTACTTACTAACTTAACCTGACCCAATTTGTGTTCTTGCTCACATAATCTAGCCAATATGTTGAAACAGTTTTACCTAGTTTCAGGGACTTACCTGAAAAAAATACTATCCAAAATTAGCCTTCAAAACTAAGAAGAAATACAGTTGGATTTCTTACATACATACACACACACACACACACACACACACACACACACACACACACACACACACACATTCAATAAATACACTGAATAACCATGACAAATAATTTACCATGGGACAGAAACAAAGAAATCCTGTGCCTCAGTCATTTATACGTATTAAGATAAAGTTGCACAAAAGTTCTGTACATTTCGTAACATAGCAAAACCTAAAAGAGCCACCATTGAACAAACTCAGTGATAATCTGATATAAACCTCAAGTGTAGTGTATTTTACTGTTTAATGAACTATAAATCCAGATTAGCTTTAATAATACAACCTACCAATAGCACTTTCAATTATCGGGAGATAGGTGATTAAGAGAAATTTCCTCTTAGAAGCTGCTGATGTTTTAGTCATGAAAATAGTGACAATTCTGAATAATAGTGTTGATTTAATTTAGGAAACTGTATGTCAGTTTTATATTTTCTTGACATCTTAGGAAAAAAAACTAGTGACATACTCATTTTACTATGTCCTAATACTGACATCTTCTGACAATTTAGGAGAACTACACATCTCCTTAAAACATTTCCCAGTGACTGAAGCTTATCTTTGCACCTAATTTATTAAGGAAAAAAATTAACATTTGTTGAATGATGATTATGTAATGAGCACTTCAAATATTATATCATTTGATCTCTTTTAATAACTTTATAACATAACTAATATTATAGAAGATGTTTATTTTATAAAAAATAAAATACCAATAAATGATGCTATGAAACCAAAGAATTATGTTTTTAAAATGCTCAGTTTTTAAAATGCACATTTTTAAAATGTGGCCTCTATTAAGACATCTTGAGAAGTCCACTCAAGTTACTGTAAAACGTTTTTTAAACACTAAAAGTGGGCCAAAAATGTCAGTAATCTCAGCACTTTGGGGGGGCCTAGATGGGAGGATCTCTTGAAGCCAGGAATTTGAGACCAGCCTGGGCAACATAATAAGATCTCACCTCTACAAAAAATTTTAAAATTTGTAGGGCACTGGGGGACATACCTGTAGTTCTAGCTACTGGGGAGGCTGAAGCAAGAGGATCACGTGAGCCCAGAGGATGGCCTGAGCCCAGGCATTTGAGGCTGCTGTGTGCTATGATCACGCTATTGCACTGCAGTCTGGGCAATAGAGAGAGACTCTGTCTCTTAAAAAAAAAAATTAAAAACCAGTAAAACTGTGTTTGTTTGAAAGTGTTTGCTGATATGATATTAAGCTATACACAGTAGATAAAGAGGCAGCCTAGCATAGGCTTTGGGTTCAAATCTCAACTCTGCCACTTATTACTAAGTGAACTGAAGAATACTACTTTGCATCTCTGTGCCTTAATTTCATCATCTGTAAAACAGAAATAGTCATAATTGTACTTACCTCATAAGGTTGTTATGAGGATTAAATGAGTTGATCTTTGTGAAGTCTTAGGACAGTGCCTGGCACTTAATAAGTGCTATGTAAGTTTTTTGACAAATAGTCAGAATTGGTATTGTTACTATGATAAAGGAGAACTGGTTTTGTTATACTACGATATTGGTAGTATACTAAGAATTTGTATTGTTATACTACAATAAAGGAGAGCAAATAAATATTAAATTTCTTTTATTATATGAAATACTACTAAAATTTCCCCCATACCATCAGTCATTCACTAAGTTTTATCTACAAGCAAATTTTATTCAGTGCTTTGTTCAAGGTCCAATGAACTAAAAA
Source organism: Homo sapiens (assembly GCF_000001405.40). Taxonomy (NCBI): domain Eukaryota; kingdom Metazoa; phylum Chordata; class Mammalia; order Primates; family Hominidae; genus Homo; species Homo sapiens. The sequence continues at coordinate 115,148,629 of NC_000023.11, forward strand.
GGGAAACTTTAAAATAATGCTGGAATGTAAACACAATTACAGATGTATAAAGGGTTAGGATAAATAAACTTTCACTATTATTGACCAGGGTTCTACTTAGAATGTCCTTCCCTTTTTCCTCATGTCTTCTGTTTCTTTGTTATCTCTTATATTGACCAGGAAATGTAAGACTCATTAAAAGGACTCAGTATTTATTTGTTGAAGGCTTAAATTTACCACAGATCCACTAAGACATATAACAGTTTTGTTTTAGTCATGATACTATTTCCAAATGTATGTTACACACCCATATATAGAAACAAACAAATGTGCATACAGACCTATTTCTACCAGAGAAAAACAGAGAATATAATCCTATTTATTAGTGATATAAACTTGAACCTACAATGTAGACTAGTACTATGTTTCAGATGAAATTACTATTATCATCTAATAATAATTAGGCTTTGGGAAACATAAAACGTGTACAAAGACAACAAAATTTGCTATTCATGGAGCAGAAGCTTGTTTGTACTATTCATTTGAGTCAAATCCAGTAATGAATTCTGGCTAGTATTGAATATTATTCTGAATTCTAATGATTGGCTTCTACAAATACAGCAGACCCCAATCACAAATAGACAATAATACAATATTTACAAATGTGTACACAGTAAAATTTCATTAAAACCCTGCTAACTAGAAATGTGGGATAATTTGGATGATCTGAGCTTTTCTTTTAGCTAAGATAAAAGACACTCAAGCAATCTACTAAGGTAACAAGAAGAAAAAAATGGAAAAATCTGCCCTCAAGCATTTTCAGAACTATATAAACAACACTTATTTACATAGGAACAGTTAAATGCTAATTGTAAATATGTGTCAAATATTTATTGAAACAAATCCAATGAAAGACTTTTCCTGGACAATTCTTTTAAAACATACTACATATTGCTACAACTAGCAGTGCAGCAAACATTCGTCTATCTTGCAAAGTATTTGGTAAATCATAATTTATATTTATCTACTCAATTATTCTCAATTACTGAAACCTTATGGATATAATTAGATTGTATTACCCCATATATGTGAGAAATCAAAATAACACATTTACTACATTTAACTAGAGAGTTACAGTCTACCTTATTAACTCAAAACAAAACTGACAAAATAAAAACTAATAATTACAAAGTAAATTTAAAAACTTAATATAGAGTACCTTGAAATATTCTTTTCTAATCTGTTTGCTCCGCCTCCTTTCTTCACTCTGCCAGATTATAGGGTGAGATTCTGGCCACGGTTGTTCATCTATTTGATCCTTCTGATTTTCTAAGGGCTATAATGAGACAATTTATTTTAACTAAATAAAAGAGAACAAAATGATAGATATAATTGTAATTTAATTTCTTCTTACCTGCCAGGTGAGGGGTGATAATGGTGAATTAACTTCATCTGCTGAGACACTAAAAAATTGAAGATGCCTTAATACGTTAAAATATTTAGAATAAATCCTTAAATATATATTATGAACCTTAGATGTTATCTTTTTAAAAACATTGTAAAGAATTTACCCATGTCTACACTTTGGCCTAACAACATAAAACTTAAAGTTGACAGAAATATATTTAAGTTTCTAAAACCTGTTGCTCTACAGGAAATATCAAAATGGGTTTATTCTATGTAGGCCCTATGCATAGGTCTATTCTAAGGAATTCCCAGAAGCTAAAATAAGTGAAATATCTAAAGATATATTGTCAAAGGACAGACAGGATATTTATTATATTAAAATAATTAACAAAGACTAAAAAAAACTAATAATTTCCTTTGTCTAAATGCCAAAGAGCTCAAGCGAGTAGTTATTTTTGCCTACTGAATTACTGATTATGAGATGCAACCTGTTCATTCTAACAAAACAGGGGCTATGAAGGAAATTATTTTCATCTAATTTTTTGTTGTTGAGATAAGGCAGACTATGCATGCTGTTGTTAGATGGCAATTTTGAACAAGGAGTTCCTGTGGAAAAAATATATAAACAAAATGTCCACTGAAGCTGCTATAACTTAACACTATTGTGGAATTTCTGTATAGTGCAATAACAAAAAGAAAATAAAAATTGGATATAAAGATCCAATTTTTAAAATTTATAGAACACATGATTATCCAAGAGAAAAAGACAAAAAATCTATTATTATAAGAGGTAAGGTTACCAGTTAAAGAAAAACATACAAAAGTTAATAGCTTTCCTACATATCAACTATAATGAGTTAAAAGATATATTAGAAAAAAATGCTATTCATAGAAGGAAAGAAAAGTATAAAATACCTAGGAAGAAACTTAACTATACTTCTACAAGACCTACATGAAAAAACTACAAATGTCTAGTAAGAGACTTGAATAACCAAAAGGTTCTTGGATAGATAAGTATTACAGGTATAACTTCTCTTTCAACTTAATTAATAACTGAAATGAACTGTAATAATAATTTTTTTAACTCAAGAAGTATTTTTTGGTTTGTTTTAAACATTTGACAAAGGAGTTCCAAAGTTAATTTGGAAGAATGGATGATCACGAAGAGAAAAGTTATATAATAAAGAGGACTTTTCAACCCTCCTTTCTACTAGCTCCAGAATCTACAGATTTTTCAATGGAAGAGGAGTACAGGACCACGAGTATAATAACTTCTGAAAAAAATGACATTTAAGATCATTGTGAAAGTAATGGCTTATATAACAAGTAGTAGAGAGACACCTGATTGATCACGTGTAAAATATACACTGAAAGAAAGAATAAAAAAGGGGGAGGAGACACAGTGAGAAAAAGGTGGGGGAGGAAGAAAACTAGATTCCTTACCTCATACCAAATATCAAAATGAAAAATTAAAAGATTTAAATATAAAGAAGAAATCACAAAGTATCAGAAAAATACAGGCAGTAATTTTTTAAATATTGGAATAGAGAGAGCCTATGGGACAAACAATCAAAATTAAATACTAACAAATTTGAACACATAAAATGTAAAAACTAGACTTTGCTAGTGGCCAAGATAGGCTAACAGTGACCAGATTTATATCCTGACTGAAAAAACTAAAAGAATGGGCAAAATATTTAAAATTATGCCTTCCATGACATTGAATATTAGGCAAAAAATGACATTATCCTTTAGAGATGAGTAAGGAGGTAAATCCCATAACTGAGCCAAGTTGCTGCATGGAAAGAGTTTCCAGTCCACATCCCAGGAGAAAAAAACTAAGGCAGAGTCTAGCAGGCCCAGAATTCAGGAGACAGAGCTGGAGCCAGGGAGAAAAGGGCAGAGTGAGTTCATAGCACACAGTAACAAACAAAAGGGCAATGCACAGAGAAAGGAAAGAGATCTACAGAGGCATCCCTCAAATTTTCATCTGAGCGTACTGATCATTGAACATGTATGTGAGGAAAATACCCTAGGCAAAAGGATAAAATCACCCTCAAAGCTTAGAGGGAATAATTCCCAGATTCTCAGAGGACCAGGAGTAGTACCAGTTCCCACCAGCTAAACTGGAAAACCTCATAATTCACAGGACATCCAGTAGAGAAATGTCTTGCCTCATTAAGGGGACAAATTTATTCCTAGACTAAATGCTGCACTGGTCCCACATAAATAAATTATAAAACCAAGTCCCAAAATATCAAATTATTTCCAAGTAATTTAACCATATCCCAGAACAAAAGTCAAAAGTATGTATAATAATACAATATCCACACTCAAGAATGTAAAGTACACAATGTCTGTCATTTAATCAAAAATTCAACCAAGCAATGTTCAAGAAGCTAAAGGAAAAGACTGAACATGTTAAGTACAGACATAATCAAACTTCTAGAAATAAAAAGTGCAACATCTGAAATTAAAACAAACTGGATGGAATTAACTGCAGATTAGACATTTCACAAGAAATGACTAGCAAACACAAAGACAAAGCAGAAGGACTTGCCAAAACCCAACACAGACAGAAAAATATTAAAGAATGAATAGAACATCAATGTTCCATGGCAAACTTCAAGTGGCCTAATTGGAGTTCCATAATAGAAGAGGTCAAATGATAGAAAACATATCTGAAGAAATAAGGGCCCCAAAATTTCAAATTTCATGAAAATAAACCCACAAATTCAAGAAGCTCAATGAACTCCAAACAAAAGTAACATGAAGAAAACTACACCAAGATATATCACCATCAAATTACTTAAAACGAGTGATAAAAAATGTTACAGACACCCAGAGGAAAAAAGGACACATTAGGCAAAGTAAAACAAAGATAAGAATATTCTCATAGAAAACAGTACAATCCAGAGGATGGTGGAGAAACCTCTTCAAGGTACTCGAAGAAAACTAAAATGTCAAACTAGAATTGTGTATGAGCCAAAATATCTTTCAAAAACGAAGGTGAGCTAGGCATGGTAGCTCATGCCTGTAATCCCAACACGTTGGGAGGCCAAGGAAGGAGGATTCCTTGAGACCGAGAGTTCAAAACCAGCCTGGGCAACATAGTGAGACCCTGTCTCTACAAAAAAAAAAAAAAAAAAATGTTTAAGTTGGCTGGGTGGGATGACACATGCCTGTGGTCCCAGTTACTTGGGAGGCTGAGAGGTGGGAGGATCACTGGAGTGCAGGAGGTCAAAGCTGCAGTGAGCTGTGATGGCGCCACTGCACTCCAGCCTCGGTGACAGAGCAAGATCCTGTTTAAAAAAAAAAAATTTAAAAAAAGACTTTTTCAGACATAGAAAAGCTAAAAGCATTCAATCAGCAGACCAGTAGTAAAATTATGTTAAAATCTCTCTTTTAGGCAGAAAGAAAGTGATGCACATGTAAATATGAATCTACACAAAAAATAAAGGGCACTGGAGATAGTAACTAAGGGATTGAACACATAAAAGACATTATTCTGATTATCTAAATGTTCTTAAGAACAAATAACTGTTTAAAGCATAAATAACAACTTGTTATGGTACACATAACAGATACATAAAAAGTAAAATGTATGACAACACACCAAGGCTAAAAAGGAAAAAAAATAAGTATACTGTTCTAAGGTTCTCACATGACACACGAAATGGCATAATAGCCCTTGAAGATAGACTGTGATAAGCTAAATATCATACTCTAACCCCTAAAAAAACCATTAACATAACAAAAAGTTACAGCAAATAAGCCCACAAAGGAAATAAACAAAAATTTTTAAATATAATTCAAAAGACAACAGAGAAGGAGGAAAAATGAATAAAAAGGATAGAACAGAAAGAAAACATACAGCAAACCTCAAAATATCATTAATTACAAAAACATAAATGATTTTTAACATTGCAATTAGAACGTAGATTGTCAGATTCAATAAAAAGCAGGAAGATACTACCATATGCTAACTATAAGAAATGCGCTTTCTCTACAAAGACACAAATCAGTTAAAAATAAAAGGATGGAGAAACACGCATCATGCTAATACTAAACAAAAGAGAGCTGGACTGACAATATTAATATCAGAAAAGTGGACTTCAGAGCAGAGAATATTATCAAGAATATAAAGAAAAGTCATTTCAGAATGACAGTACAAATTCACCAAGAGGACAATACAATCCTAAACATTTATATATCTAATAATAGAGCTTCAGAATGTATGAAGGAAAAATTATAGAACTGCAAGGAGAAAGATAAATCTACAATTAGTGTTGGAGATTTCAATAACCTTCTCTTACTAACTGATAGAACAAGAAAACAGAAAATAGGTAAGGTATTGAAGATTTAAACAATACTATCAACCAACTTAACATAGTTGACATTATATAAGACTCTAACCAATAACCACAGAATACATTTTTTTCCAAGTTCCTAAAGAACTTTTACCATGATAGGCCATATTCTGGGCCATAAAAATACTCAATATATTTCAACAATAGAAAGTGCTTCTGACCACAACAGATGCAAACAAACAAATTACAAAAGAAGCAATATAGATAGGCAATAAAAACTTGAAATAATACTCATCATCACTAATTTAATCACTGAAATGAAAAATAAAACATTTTGATATAATTTGTTCTTTTTAGAATGGCAAAGATTAAATAGATTGATAATGTATAGTGTTAACAAGTATGGAAGTAAAGCTATCCATGTGTTACTTGTGGGAATGCAAACATAAAAGCTTCTGGAGACAACATATCAAAAGCTTTAAATGTACACTCATGTTTTAATCCATCAATAACATATCTTTAAGCATTTAAGTTAAGAAAATAATACAAGTGGGCCAGGTGTGTGGTGGCTCACACCTGTAATCCCAGCATTTTGGGAGGCTGAGGCAGGTGAATCACTTGAAGTCAGGAGTTCGAGACCAGCCTGGCCAACATGGTGAAATCTCATCTCCGCGCCACTGCACTCCAGCCTGGGCGACAGAGCAAGACTCTGTCAAAAAAAAAAAAAAAAAAAAAAAAGAGAGAGAGAGAGAGAAAGAGAAAGAGAGGAAGGAAGGAAGGAAAATACAAGTGTACAGGATATATAAAGTTCATCAAAATGTATATTTAGATTTAGTAGGTATATAAAACCATCACTATAATATTAAGTGAAAACTGCATATTACTAAATAGTATACTCAGTATGATCTCATTTTTGTTAACAGAAAGTATGTGAGATTTTTCTAAAGGTGGGGAAGGGGTGGGGTGTGCTCACCCACGTACTGCTGAAAAAAGTCACAGAATTTAAAATATATTCCCATAATTTAATGTGTTTTGATACGTGCAGCAAACCATCAGAGCACATGTATACCTAGTAACAAACCTGCCGATTCTACACATGTATCTCAGAACTTAAAGTATAATTTAAAAAAAGAAAAAAAAGTTAAGGTCATATAATACTTCTTAATACCAGAAAAAGAATACCCACAAAGCTATTTCCCTTTTGAACAAAAAAGGAGGTTAGAATTGAAAAAGGAAGGGCTGAGATACAAAAGAAAGGAAAAATAAGAAAGTTCACAATAGTAATAACTTAGTTTAACAACTAATAACATATGTGACACTTTCTGTGTGCTAATCACCGTCATAAGCAATTTACTACATTAACCCATTTCATCCTTACAGTAACCATGAGGTAGACACTGTTATTATTTGTGTTTTATAGAAGGGGTAAATGTGGCTCAGAGTAAGCTAAATAACTTCCCCAAGAGAATGAAGAAAGAAGTTCTGTTCCTAAATGCAAATGGTGCCAGTGGGGGAATGTACAAGATGAAGCTCTCAGGGTAAGCAGAAACCCACCTCAATCTTATGGGTTAAGTTAAATATTTTAAGGTTTATTCTAAAAGTTGTAAAGAGTCATTAGAAGATAATAAATGGGAGTCACAAGTAAGATTTGTTTCAGAATTATCACTCTTCCATTGTGCAGAAGACAGACTTAAAGCTAGGCAAACCTGAAAAAAAGGAGCTATGTCTTGGGACTGCTGGAATAAGCCAAGCAGAAAAAGACTGGGCCTGAACATTCTCAGAGGATTGACTCAGGAGTTGAGTCTAATCTAAATTCAAACCATCAAAAAGAATAAATAGAAACTTTCAAGGTCTTCTAGTTCTCAGGAATTCATATATGTGGATTTATATCATGTATTCACATAGAAGAATTTAGTACCACCCAATTGAAAAGAAATGAAAACATAAACAGTATCATAGAGAATAAACACAATCAATGATAAAGAAACACATTATTCCTGGCAGGAATAGCAATATAATAAATGTTCACTGAATGAACAAATAAATGATTCTATCAAGACAAAAATGCATCTATGAGCAAAAAAGATCAGCATTTTTTATTTTGCTTACATCAAAAGTAAATTTAACTCATGTTCTAAAACATTTCCTATTTAAATTATCTAGTTATATTAAATCTGTATCACTTATTTAATTAAAGCCTATATACAAAAACATCACTGTCAAAGGATCAATACTCATTATAAAATATTAAATGTAAAAACTAAGATATTTTTATACCTCTTTTCACATTCCACAGTTTGTTTTGGCTTGTTTCTCATCACAGAAGTTGAATGATTAAGAATCCTAGAAGTAAATCAACACATTAATTCCCAAATCTATTAAGAATATTACATCACATGATATAAAAAAAATCTCTAAAATAAACTGCATCTGGTCCTTGAAGATCTTTGCTAGAAAATAATATTTAAATATTATTTAGATCAGATGCCCATAAGTGTACTATTTTATAACAAAATGAAGCTCGGCAACTTTTCCATGCATCTTCGTTTATAAACCCTTTCTCAAAGTTTGGATATCTTCTACCCATGCTATTATTGCCCTTTGCATATCTAACTTTTGGCTGAGATAGAAGATAAAGAGATACAGAGGTACCATCGTGACTGATTTATTTTTCCCAGCACAGCAAATGATATGAGGTATGTTTATGTAATACATAGTTATTTTGCCAAATGAAAAATTTTAATTCTAAATGCAAAATCAGCGCTCCAGTCCAATTCTTTAAAAAAACACAAGTTTCTTAAACTTTTAATAACTAAATAAAACCATTCAAAGAAAACCAAAGAAAGAAAATGATGAACCATTATAAGAGAGAACTATTTCTACATAATGTTACATAATTCTAAGTATTAATCTCAAAGTCAAAAGTAATGAATTACTGTCCTTAACATAAGGAACTATACTTAAGAGTTCTTAATGTTACTATATATAAATATAATTTTCACTTTTAAAATTTAATATAAGTAAAATCTCGGCCTTTTATTCAAAATAAAATCTCCAGACGTCAACTGCCAAAAGAATACAGAAATGGATTTTAAATAAAAGCTATATATTGACTAATAAAATACATAATGAATTAAATATAAGTTGGTAATTACAGAAATATGGTTAGCATAAAGAAACCAAAGTCCATTACGCTGGATTCCTCACTAGCGTGGATCTAGTAGGGCCTCACTAGGAAAAAGTGATAATGAGATGCAAAGGACAAGTATCACACACCAATCAGTGTAGCTTTGGGCCAAACAATTTCAGAATTAAGGACACTTCTTCTTTGTATAGGCATGCATTAAAATTGCCTTAAATTCTTAAATACAGAAAAATTAAGGTAATGAAATATCTAAAACTATTAGGAAAAATATATTTTAAAAGAGTGATTTTTTTTTAAAGAAGAGACCGCAGTAAGTACTACCCTGGGGGAAATTTCAGAATTATTGCAGGGGAGGGGACTCAAACTACAATGGCCTTCACTATAGTAAATTCTAACTCCTTCTCACCACACATTCATTAGCATTGTGATTACGGTTGTGTATGAGTTATATTGAAACAGAAAAACAAGTTGAGATCCACTTACCTATACAATATATTTTATGTACTTGAGAATTCACCTATGTAAAATTTTGCTATGTTCATTATTTTATGATTTACTCTGATACCAAAAGTCAAAACAAACATCTATTCTAATTAAACATCTAGATTATTAACATACTTCCCTAATCCAGTTACTAGTACTTATTTTAAGTAAAAGACTATACAATTCAGCTATGTCAACCTGGCCCCATAATACTTGAAGGCTTCCACAAACTCTAGATACCTTGATTCATGTCCTGCTGCTCTGGTCCTCTGGAAGAGTTTATCACTGAATGATGCTCCTACAACTTAAAGGCCTCTGTCTGTATTCATATTTCACATAAATCAACCAAACCAAAAGATGGGAGAAGATGTTTTTGGAGAGACAGGGTAGTCATTTGTAAAGAAAGCAGAAACAAAAGAATACATAGATTTCAAGGACTGAGAGATCCACCTAATTAGTTATAACAAGCTAGAGGTTAACATGATGCTCCTCAAATTGAAATGTTCACATGATCAGGGAAAAATCATAATAAAACAGGTAATGTCCATAATTTCTATAATTCTAAAACAAAATTATAAACTTCCTAAACCTAGTTTTGCTTTCCATGATCCTTAATTATACTTTAATTATAACTTTTCATAATTGCTTTTTGTTATTTAGCTGTATCACATAGTAATTAGAAGCACATCTTTCCACAATAAAGAAAAACTCTCAAGACACACCTAAAAGCAAATAAAATAATTACTAAAAGGAAAGACACAACAGAAAATACTACAGCGTAAGTTAGCAGGAACAAACATGCAATGGGAACCAGTTAAATGAAGCTATTTACTGCAAAATCACACATATATTTTAATCCTTTCTTTAGAATAGTAACTAAACAAAATTTAAGAAGCCAGCTAAACATCTACTTATTACGCCCCCAAAGAAAATCAGTATAAGAAAAAGAGCAGTAGCCACCTTTTCAACACTAACATAAATGAGTAAGACTCATGGAAATTTGTAAAACTGGCTCAATAATTAATAATACATATCAACTTTTTTGTTTTTCAACAGAATTTCCTTTTTTATTATCAAGTTAATATTAAGAATATTCTAATAGTATCATTTTATTCTCAGTTCCTTCCTTGATTTTTCTTGGTCTAAAAAACATGCTCCCTTTTGTCAATTTTATTTTATTTTGGTAAGAACATTTAACAAGAGATCTACTCTTTTAACAAATTTTTAAGTATACAATACTGTACTGTTAATTATAGGCACAATGTTGTACAGCAGATCCCTAGAACTTACTCATCATGCAACATTATTTTTAAGATAATGATTTTTTTTCAAGACTTGTTTTTATTTCCCAAAATAATAGTGAAGGTAAAATTAGAACTTGATGAATAGCTATTTAAATATAGTCAAAGTCATTGATTCAGAGTGACTTCAATACACTCAGATGCAAGTAGAAATAATAATCCAATATTTTGACAGGGGATGATAAAGACTGTTTATCAATTAAAAAAAAAAATTCAGGCCCGGCGCGGTGGCTCACGCCTGTAATCCCAGCACTTTGGGAGGCCAAGGCAGGCGGATCACGACGTCAGGAGATTGAGACCATCCTGGCTAACATGGTGAAACCCCGTCTCTACTAAAAATACAAACAATTAGTCGGGCGTGGTGGCAGGCGCCTGTAGTCCCAGCTACTCAGGAGGCTGAGGCAGGAGAATGGCGTGAACCCAGGAGGCGGAGCTTGCAGTGAACCGAGATCACGCCACTGCACTCCAGCCTGGACGACAGAGTGAGACTGTCTCAAAAAAAAAAAAAAAAAATTCAACAATAAACTGTAAACATAAAGTAGCTTAACCTACACATCTTAATCAGACAAAGTGGAGGCAGTCTTCTAAACAACTAGGCTTCAGACTTTAAAACCTTATGAGTTACCAATTTGATGGTTTATTTGCTGATCTCTTTTCTCACCCTTTTTGAGTATTAATTCTGTACAATATCCTCTTGCTGCTCCCCTAGGATAGTTTCATGTACCAAGTACTGGCATAAAGTTTCTTAAAGAATCAAAGACATTTTAAAAAATAATATGAACTGCCAGGCGTGGTGGCTCACACCTGTAATCCCAGCACTTTGGGAGGCTGAGGCGGGCAGATCACGAGGTCAGCAGTTCAAGACCAGCCTGGCCAACACAGTGAAACCCTGTCTCTACTAAAAATACAAAAATTAGCCAGGCATGCTAGCGCATGCCTGTAGTCCCAGCTACTTGGGAGGCTGAGCCAGGAGAATTGCTTGAACCCGGGAGGTGGAGGTTGTGGTGAGCTGAGATTGCACCACTGCACTCCAGCCTGGGCAACAGAGTGAGACTCCGTCTCAAAAAATATTAAAAAAAAATAAATTAAAAAATTAAAAATATATATGAACTAAGCAAGTGGCAAAACTGCCATAAGGAAATCATCACTGAACTCAATGTAAGCTGTTTTTTAATTACCTCTAGTTTGGGAGAAGATACATGGCTTCATTTAGCTGAGAGCTAACATTGCATTTGTCTTCTACTAGTAGCAAGTTAAAGAACAGTTAAGTAATATACAGTCAAAGTAGCAGTCCTGGATGATATTTCCTGGTAGGCGAGGGTAATCTTAATCCAGTTAAATTATTTTTAATCAAGACTAAAAACAAACAAAATTTACAATAATTATTTTAAAACCTAAAAAGAGATGTTACAACTCCTGGCCTACAATTTTAAATAGCATTTCAGATCCTTCACTAATATATTTGGAATATAAGACACAATAATACAGCATGAAAAGGAAAATCCACAACCAGAGAAGGTATAAATTATATCAAATCCACTGTAGGATATATTCTCATATAGGATTACGCTTAGATTTTTGGTCTCATTCAAATTCAAGTATTGTGACAGTAAACTAAAAATTTTAAGTCCCTAAATCTAAAAGATCTAAGCAATAGTAACATATTGTAGAAGGAAGAAAGATTATTTAATAGAAAAAATATTAGATTTAGCATTTAAAAATTCTGAGATCCAGTTTAAGTTCAGGCATTAACAGAATTGGCTAGGGATCTAAAATTCTCCATACGTTATAAATTTTAAAAGTAAAATGTGCTCTTTGGCCGGGCGTGGTGGCTCACGCCTGTAATCCCAGCACTTTGGAAGGCCGAGGCGGGTGGAACCCCTGAGGCCAGGAGTTTCAGACCAGCCTAGCCAACATGGCGAAACCCCGTCTCTACTAAAATACAAAAAAAATAGCCGGGTGTGGTGGCACACACTGGTAATCCCAGCTACTTGGGAGGCCGAGGGATGAGAATGACTTGAACCCAGGAGGCAGAGGCTGCAGTGAGCCAAGACTGTACCACTGCACTCTAGACTGGGCAACAGAGCAAGACTCTGTCTCAAAAAAAAAAGTGCTCTTTACTTTATGATCATATTATAAATATTTTAATGTCTGAAAAAATTAGACATACTTATCACAACAATGTCACTGTATATTAATATTTAATCTAAAAAGTTCTTATATTAGTATGTACTAACATCTAAAAAGGATGATAAAGAAGAGAATTAGAAAAAGAAATTACTTTTGCATACATCTTGAAGAACAGCAGAAGTTTTTTTTAGGGAGAACATATAATTTTTTAACTAATTTCTCCTACTAGTTTTAAATGTATTGATTTAATTTTCAAGCAGTCAATCAAAAATATTATGTATTTACTATGTATAAGGCACAGTGCTAGATGCTATTTTGTACTGATTACAAAACTATCACAAAAATAAAACCAATGAAAGATTAACTATTCAGTCAATGTTGTACCTAGGCTAGAAAGAATAATTTAAGTCACATGGATAGATGAAAAACTAATATGCTAATAAGAAAATGGAAATACAGAAATATCGTATATGACAATGTAAAAATCTATAATTATGCACTCAAATGCTATTCCTAATACCACGAGAAAAATGGATAGGCCTGTCGGTTTTTTTTTTTTTTTTTTGAGATCTGTCACCCAGGCTGGAGTGCAGTGGCATGATCTTGGCTCACTGCAACCTCTGCCTCTCAGGCTCAAGCGATCTTCCCACCTCAGCCTCCCAAGTGGCTAGGACCACAGGTGCACACCACCATGCCCGGCTAATTTTTTGTATTTTTGGTAGAGACGGGGTTTCGCCATGTTGCCCAGGCTGGTCTTGCACTCCTGAGCTCAAGCGATCCACCCACCTCGGCCTCCCAAAGTACTGGGATTACAGGCATAAACCATGGCACCCAGCTAGCTGTGGGTTCTTAAAAAAACAATATTATCGTCCCATAATGATAAATACAATTCTTTCACCTGCTAGGTAGAGGAGACAGAAACTTTTTAAGCTCCACAGAACAGGTGGTGGCTTGCTTCATCAAACCTTTTAAATCACAGGGCAATCAACACTTAAATTATATTGGAGGGGGAAAAACAAACACAGCCTCATAAGTAGCCAATTTTTAAAAGGCCCATTAGAAAAGAATCACAGGAAAAGTTGAAAAGATAAACATCACAGAAAAAGCAGACCGAAAGTTACAGCAGAAGAAAAATGTGAACTGCTGATGAAGATACATTTGATATGAAAGGAATAAAGGTTAGTGATTTTCTAGTATGATTTTGTATATCTATAAATGTAGCAACTGTGCAAAAAAGACACTTAGGCAATTTAGCTTATTAGCTATTATATAGATTGCCCCTAAAAAGTGGCCCCTAGAAACCATATATTTGTCATTTGATAAGTTTTAGTTGTATTTTTCAATGTACATTTAAACAAATGCCAGTATATTTAAATTTGAAACTTCCCAAAACATGGTCATATTAACCATAAACATTTATTATTTTGAATAAATGAAATAAAATATTTTACTTATCCATGTTAAATGCACCAAAATTATTCTCTTTTCTCAAAGCAAAAAAAAACCATTCAGATCTTTATCATTTCAAAACTATAAATGTAGTCCTCTCAGTACATGAAGATGGCAATAACAGCTGACCCTCAGCAGCATATGGAACTTTTCCTGCATTAGAAGTGGACATGTCTTGATTTTATTCTCATTCACACAGTACCCTTCTCATTGCCAACAACATGTACTTGAAGAAAGCCTAGCCAAAAGATGAGGAAAATGGTCTTTGACCAAGAAACAGACCAAAGTGAGCCAGTGACCCTCAAATCATCATACTGATTTAATCAACTCTTGCAAAATTCAACTCCATTCTAAGGAGTTTAGACGTATGCCAAGTTTGGAATCTGAGTTTTAAAAAGCACGTTATATTCATGACATGTACCTAGAAAAAAAATGCTTACAATGTAAATAATGCTACTGTGAGCTAAAATTAATATCAACAAATAAATCAGTTATTATGATTCAGCACACACACAGGAATAAAAAAGAAATACCTAGGCAATATTAAATATAGTGACTATATATATGAGTACATTCTGTTAGTTGTAAATGTAATTTTATATTCCCGTCCTAAGTATTTCCTATTGCCTTTTAGTACAGGTTGAGTATCCCTTATTTGAAATGCTTGGGATCCGATTTCAGATTTTTGAATGAGGAATACTCAATCTGTAGTTAGTCCCTTGAGATAGATCTTAAGAGGGCACTATTGTTTACTCAAAACTTCATATACTTTGATAATCTTTAAATAATCAATTTAATGATTATAAAATTTGCCAATTCAAATCTCATTACTGAAAGGAATACCTGTTCTTCTGTTCTTGCTGCAATAACTGAGCAGCTATTTTCCTCAAATCAGTTACTTCCTTCAAATCATCATCCTCTTCCTCTGCCAGTAACTGTTCTTTCTCAAGTCTGAAAGGTGACACAAACATGGTTATCCAAAAAGTAAGGCAGACTACATTTTATGCCAGCTTCCAGAAATAGAAACCATTTTTGTTTTTAACACCATATGAAAGTTAAAATCCTAGGTCCTTCTTTTAAAATGCTAAAATAAGAAATAAGGAAAACTTCTGTGTTCTCTACTCATTATGAAATGTAGCATACTGGCTGTATTAATATAATTAATGACTAACAAATAATAGCAAAGTATATAAACCATTTTTTAGATTTCTGAAATGTGTAATGGTTAATAGTAATCTAAAAATGTATATTCTCCAGCCTTCAGTATAAAAAGGACTGCAGAGTTCTATATGGCCTGTCTTAATACATAAATTTAAAATATTGTAAAATTTTGTCATTTAATTGCACCATCCTGTTTTTATCAGTTTATTGATTTTGATTTTAAAAATCTGTATATGTCTAAATAAAGAAAATCCAAAATAGGTTCAAATAAGATTGGCAAATTTGCGTGAAAATACTAATATGTCATCTTTATAAAAGAGAACAAAAAAATTTTAAAATAGTTATCCAAACTCTAGTCATTTTATCTTTAGATTTCACTTTAAAAACAGTATCAAACCATGAATCTTTGTGACTTTACCACATCGTACATGCTACAGGTGTTTCTCAAGTTTAAGCAACTGACCTCATTAGATGAGGTGAGAAAGTAAAAGAATGAAATCTAAACAGTTCAAGACAAAGCAATGTACCTCCTTACAGGACATCAGAGATGATTAACTAATAACTGTGAAGTCATTTGGAGGAAGCATAATGTAGAGAAAAGAGAAAAGTTTAAAAATCAAAGAGAGCTACTTTCACACTCTAGGTACTAGTGGACACTGGCTAAGTGGTTTTAGGCATAAAACTTAAGAGTCTTTGAACTTCACCTTCCTCACCTGAAAAAATGAGGTCAGTATCTACCCTACAGGATTTTAATGAAGATAAAATGAGAAACATGGGAAAGCACATAGCACTAATCCTGGTATATGGTAGGTATTCACCAAATGTTTCTTCTTTCCTTTCTGCATCTATAAAGCAACCTGAAGGAGTAACTGAAAAAAATGTGGTAGGTCATATTTCATCATTTTATAAGATGAATGGTTCAAAAAAGATCCAAAGCACAATTATTTTAATAAAATATGGACATAAGTACCCTTAAAAGTCATAATCAGCATGACCAAATGGAAAGTATAGTAGAACAAGAGACAATACATCTGAGTTCCAGCCATTTAAAACTCCTGGTTTCAGTGTCTTAATTGGTAAAGTGATGTCAATACCATCTATTGTTATGGTTGTTAAATAGCTCAAATGAAGCAATGTATATGACGGTATAGTCCTCCTCAATAATAATAATAGAAGTCATCATTACACTTCAGGGGTAAAAATAGTGCACATCCTACACTCAAACGCTTACTATAATTTTGTGTTTACTTGAGGAATACAGACAGATGTGAAGTATTTATAAATTAACTATCTAAACATAAGAGGTAAGTGAACAAAAAATTATATTTTTTTCAAGTACTCTTTCAAGTAGGAATATCTAATGAATGGCTCAAGGGCTTATAAATAACATTTCATTTTCATATGTGCTTACCTTTTTTCATCTCCTAATTCTTCATTTTTCCGAGATTTTTCAGAACATTTTTCTTTTCCCTTATATAAAAGAAAGTTACATTTTAAATTGTATAGTCCACTTTTATAAGATCAAGAGAACATGTTATTAATATTTGTTCAAAGTTTTATTTACCTTAAAGAATGATACAAATGATCCAATATGTGCATTTCCCTGTTCAGGAACTGCTACATCTTCTGTGTTGGGGTCAACAAAATCATATACCTCCTGGTCTAGGTACAGATTAATATTTATTAGAAAATGTACATAGTAAACTGTATGCTTGACACTGCTGTCCTTAGAAAAATGTGTATTTTCTCAATGTAAGAGTTTGCTAAAGACAATATAATTTTTCAAAGCCCATTTTTAATGTGGGCTATGTACATGAAACAAAAATAGCAGGTACCATATGAATTACCTTTCTGAGAATCAGTCTTACTTCCTATTATGTGACTGTCATTTCTTGATGTCTGCTCTCTATTTGATTCTGAGACTTGAGAATGAAGGCTGACTGTGTCATCATCTGATGGCTAAAAGGAATAAGCAAAAAGTACAAATGAGGCATTTTAAACTTACGATATGGATTATGTTACTTCAATTTTACATATGAATTACAGAATGTCTGCTTTACATCTCCAGTTTTCAAACCCAAAATTAACATAAGGTTTACTGCTCAGCTTTAAAAATCAGCATGCCCTTTTTTTCAGTTTTAGTCATAAAATATAATGATCATATTTTCAAGCAAAATAAACTCAAGTATGCACAAGGGTCTCTATTTCAATGCTCTAATAAAATTGTAAAACAGAATGGATCAGCAATAGAAAATACTCACTTCTGTTGTGGATAATCGTTTCTCTCCATTATCACTTCCAATTCCAGAGTCAGGGCCATGATTTTTATTTGGATAAAAATCTTCCATACTATGGAAATAGAAATCCTAAGAGCAGTTAGGATTTTCTTCTTAAATAGATAATGCACATTTGACCTAAAATTTCCCTAGATAATACAGAATATATACTTTTGATGTCTAAGATCCTTAATTAGGGACATGAGGAGAAAAATATCAGAACTCTTCCTACAAAACATTTTATTCATGCCACTCATGCAATATTGTTCCCTTCGTGTACTCTATAGTGTCAATTGTCAACAATAACCTATTATTTCTCCTCAGAGATTCAGAAAATCAGGCTGCCTTGTTAGAACATTATCTTGATGGAAGACCTGTTTTTCCCATTGGTTTGTCAAATTTCATCACAGAGCTTCGAAACATCTTTTAACTTCAATTTATATGCTTTACTCTTCATTGGCTCTAAAAATGTTTTATTTATATAAATAATGCCCATCTAATAAAGAGAGGATGTAAAAATGAAAGCTACAAAGTATTGAATATGCACTTTAATACTTTCAAATTCACTTTGTCCTTGCAAATTTCTGATTTACAAAATATGCCACCCAGGAAGCAAAGTATTTTTCACTTAATTTGCAATTTTACCACACAGTCTACAATGACCACTTATTATGTATGAGGAACTGTGCTAAATGTTTAAAAGACAAAACATTACATATTTATTGTGAAAAACTGTAGCAAATTGATGGTGTTTTCTCATTTTATATATGATAAAACTTTGACTGGAATGGATTAAGCAATTTATCCAAGGATACGCAACTTGCAGCCAGCAGTCCAAATTTGATCCCTCAATTATCTAGCACCAAAGTCCCTGGTGGTAATCACTATGTTTTAATTCCGCTCCTAAAACCAGTTTCATGCTAAAAAAAAAAAAAAAAAAAAAAAAAAAACAATAACAACAACAAAAAAAAACTTTTTTTTGTACTTTTCAGAAGTATATGAATACATTTAGGGAATCACCTACCAAGTATCAGGTACTATGCTGAATGCTTAAGAGAAAATACATTTTTAAAACTTGCCTCCAAAGAGCTAGCTCTCAGCCTAGAGGAAAAATGAATGTGTTTAAATGTTTTGAAGACTATGACAAAGGTAAATACAAAGTGCTATGAGAAAAAAAAAAAAGGTCAACTAATTCTCCTCGGTAAAGTTAGGAAAGGCATCACTCAAGAATGTGGCATTTGAGCTTAGTCTTGTGGATGAAGAGGCAATAACTGTTAGCATTCATTGAGTGTCTATACTGTGTTATGTACTGTGTTAGATGCACCTCATATTTTAGACATAATTCTTACAGTCTTGAAGTTATAATTATTATCTTTTTACAAAAAAAAATAAAGCTTACAAAAGTTAACGTCCCAAGGGGAAAAATTATAACATTTGCTGTTTATCATTTATTGAACTAATTGCTAGGCACACATTTAATTCTCACAACTGTAGAAGTGGGTATGGTTAACATTTTAGGTATGGAAACAGGCTCAGAGAAGTTAAATAACTTACACAAGGCCACAGAGAAATTAAGTAGTTAAACCATGATTAGAGCCAAAATTCATCTGACTGCACTGCACAAAATACTCCATGTATTTGTAGTAAATGACAATGATGATAATAAGCTATTTGTTGAGGAAATGTTATGGGTAAGGCATTGCACTAAGTGCTCTACATACATTGCTTCATTTAATCCTGACAGCACCTGTGTAATTATTTTCTTTTTTACATATGAGAAAACTGAGGACCAGAGACATTAATACACAAGGACATACAGTTATTAAGAGTCATAAAAGGGCTTCAAAGCCATATTATGTCTGACTCCAAAAGCTATTATATGTAAGTACTGTAGTGCCTATCTATGTATAATAAAGAGTTTACAAAACAGACAAGGCATGGAAGGGCATTCTAGGTAGTAAGAACCATACAGCCAAGAGCCTGAGTATGAAAGTGGAAAGCACATACAAGAATTTTCTAAGTAGTTCAATACAGGCTGTGAGTGAGAAATTAATACAACTGACAACCCACTCTATAGACCTGCACTGTCCAATACGGTAAGCAGCCAGTAGCCATATACAGCCATTCCAAATCGAGACACACTATACACATAAAGTACATACCAGATTTCAAAGATTTAATATTAAATAAGCATATAAAATATCTCACCAAGTTTTCACATTAATTACATGTTGAAATGATAATATTTTGGATATACTCAAATAACATGTATTTCTTTTTACTTTTTTCAAAATGGGTAACAAAAAATTAAAAATTATATATGTGGCTCACATTATATTTTTACTGGATGGTCCTGCTAGAGAATATCTCCAAAATATATCTTAATTCTGCCCATTTCTTTTCATCTGTATTGCAATTACTTTATTCTAGACCCCCTGATCTCTTGGCAATACTACAACAATCCAACTGGTCCCTGTGCTTCTATTTTTGCTTACTTCCAATCTATTCTCCTATAAGCCAAAATAGTTTTTTTTAAAAAAATGAGTCAAATCATGTTATTCCCCCACTTAAAACTGTCCAATGACTTCCCACTGTACTTTAAGTAAAATTCAAACTTCTTACCACATCCTACAAAGCACCCACATGACTTGAACTCTGACTACCTCTCTAAAATCAACATGTACCACGTTTCCCTTCAGCTACTCTGCTCCAACCACGCTGGTCTCCTTTCAGTTGTTTGAACACACAAAGTTCCTTCCTAACTTAAGGCCATGGCAATGTCATTCTTTCTGCCTAAGATGCTCTTACTTTGCTCTTCACAGAGCTGGCTTTTATTCATTCCCTGACGACACTCTTGAAATACATTCCTTCATAGCACAGAATACAATTTGAAATTTTATATGTGTGTGTATTTCCTTGCTTTGTTTATTCACTGACTCCTGCTCCACTACATTGTGAGCACCAAGAGGCCAAGACCAACATATATGACATTCAACAAAACATAACTGAATCTACCAGTAGGCATTCAACTGATATTTGTAAAATAAATGACTAAAACAGTAAATGCCATTACTAAAAGTAAATTCATGTTAAAATAAATATAAAGCAGATTAATAGAGATTAGAATGCCTTAATTCCAATTTTTGGAGCCTTGTTTGGTCTAATACTGTTCATAATATTAAACAAAATAATCTTTAAAAACTGAATCTAATGTTTAGATACTTAATTCTACTTACAAAATAAAAATATTCAAGAAAAAGTCCTATTTGGGAATTCACAAACTTGTGCTGTTAACAATAGTACTTACTATATTGCCATTCAAAGCAATATAAAATTTATATATATGCAATGACAAATCTTTAAATATTTTAGGCAAGGGCATGGTCTAGCTTTCTGTAGTCTCACCCCATTCTAGGTTATTTTCTAAACTATTACATGGATTTATACTTTCATAAAATCTTTCAGACCAATCTACATCTTGAAAGGATGAATTAAAAACAGAATGTTCAATCTACTATCTCAAAATCTCATGAGGATCAAAACACTGAAATCATAAAGAACATCAAAGATGTTCATCAAAGATGATATATCATTATATGTCATTATGATATATCATCTTTGATCCAGACATAAAGACTATGATGAAAGGGAAAAGGTACTCCCCAAATGTCTTGCTCTTCCACCAACCTCAGTTCAAAGTCAAATTCTACTTGTTGTTACAAATGTACAATACAGTGATCACAAAATAAATTAACAGTTGTCACATGCTGAGAAATTAGTGTTTCCGTAATATAATGTCAAACATTTACATTTTTACTACTAAAACTTTAATGATTGAGAAAATGTCAAAAATATTCTAGTATCCTAGAACTTCATTCTATGATGGTGATATGTAGCTTCAGCCAATTATTTATTTTAGTGCTGGACCAATCAGCCTAAATATATTCGGAACACTCAAGATTAATAAGTATATTTCATAAAAAGAGAAGACAGCAATCATCAAATGAAACTGTAAGAATGTTACATTACCTGTCTGTGAGAGGCTGTGAGGGCATTCGTTTACTCAATGATGGAAGATCCAGGGAATCTGGTTTCTTATCCATTCTGCAACATGCTTGAATATTTAAGTACTTAAATATGTGCACCTTACCCTTTAAACATATCTGTCAATAAAAAATAAAGATTTAATTATATAGTTCCAAATATAAATGACATCTATCATTTTAAACCATTCAATAGTCTCAAATTACATTGAGACATCACAATCTTGATTGATACTTTGCATATTTAAATAATTTGTACTTCTGACACCAGGTGGAAAAATCTGACAACACTGATACCAACTAAAATTCTATTGCCATCTCTGTTCTTATTGAAAAAAGTTAATTTTTCTATATTTCACTAGAGTTTTCTTGTCAAAAGCAGAATGTACAAACTATTAAACAATATGAAGTTTACAACTCATAAAAGTGGCCTTTATTTGAAAAAATGAAAAATATATATTCATTGGAATGGTAAGAAAAGAACAAATAATCTATGTGATTCTTTAAAGTAATCTCATCAGAACCACTAAGATGTTTGGCATAAAACCTGGAGAAGGCTAACATAAAAAATATAAATATAGGAAAAATGAATTTTTTGAAAGGTACGATATTAGGCTGGTGAGACTGAAATAATAAAAGAAAACACTGGTCAATTCAACTAGAATAATATCCTAAGAAATTACTTTCGTTGGCCATAGAGAAAATGAATAATGAGGAATAAAATACTATGTGAGCAAAGATACTCTGTATAAAAACAATAGAAAATGAGAGGTAAGAAAACTGTAAGTCAGCTTTATCAAGGTTAATTACAGTCACTAAGTGACATCAAATAAATATTTCTCAAAATTCTAATAAAAAATGTAACATTTTATGGGCTCACATAAGCTTACCTCACATGCAAAAAAATCAGCAAAGAAAACAGTAAGACAACAACATTAAAAAGCAATTATCATTCCAGGTCCAAAGGAAGAATGTTTCTTAGATAATTCTAACAGATACTAGGTCTGACTTGACCACTGAAAAATTTCATTTAAAAGGAAAATTAAAACTTTTGAGCTATTAGAATATAAATATATTGCCAATTAAATGTTGTAAATATCATTGATTTTTCTATTAATTATAAATTATTAATATTAAATACTATCAACTAAAATGTGCTAAAATTAAAATGTGAGGTAGTATTCTATTATACGTCCAAACTAAACAAAAATTTATCTTAATTACCAAATTAAGTGCTGGTAAATCACTCTCTTGTAAATTTTAACTTTTTATCATAGTACTTCATGTACACAGTTTTTAAATTTAAAAATAATTACAAAGCTGACAAGACATAATCCTCAATTCTACTTCTCCTTTTTTTTGTTTTTTTGTTTTTTTTTTGCTTGTTTTTGGAAAACAGCGTCTCATTCTGTCGCCCAGGCTGGAGTGCAGTGGCACAAACATGGCTCACTGCACCCTCGACATCCTGGGCTCAAGTGATCCTCCCAGATTAGCTGGGATGAAATTACAGGCACACACCACCATGCCCGGCTAATCTTTCTTATATTTTGCAGAGACAGGGTCCCACCATGTTGCCCAGGCTGTTCTCGAACTCCTGGGTTCAAGTGATCCTCCCACCTCGGCCTCACAAAGTGCTGGGATTACAGGCATGAACCACCGTGCCCAGCCCATTCTAATTATTTCAATCTCTAAGATCAAATTCCCACTTTAAACTCTTTTAGTTTAATTTCTATTTGCCCTCATATTTATTAATAACATGCTTCTACTGCTATTTGTTTTAAATTTTCCAATGGTAGATTTATTGGAGTATCACTAAGGAAGATGAGGACTTGGATTTCTTACATTACCCACACCACCACCACCATCCCAGCCTCCCCGCTTCCTATCAATTCACATAAACATACTTCTCTCTTCAGAAGTATAACATAGTGGTTAAAGAGCATGGACTCTGCAGTCACACTGCCTTAGGTTGAATCCTGGCTCTAACCCATGCTAGCAATGTGACCTTGAACAAGTCATTTAACTTCTATGCCTCTGTTTTCTTACATGTAAAATGAGGATAATGACAGTACTTGTTTTACAGGGTTAACATAAGAATTAAATGAGTTAATATATGTAAAGCATTTTCAACAGTGTCTAGAACACAGCAAATACTATATAAATCTCTGCTATTATAACTATGTCACAGTTTTTCACTAAATCAAAATCTAGTGTTTATATTATTATGACCAAGAAAATATTCACAGATAAACTCTACAGAGTAATATGATTACATTTCCTTTCTCCTGTAAGTTTTTGTTTTTCCTAAAGTAATTAATGGCCCCATTTTTTCTTTTGAAAAATTTTCTATATGCCTATTATAAATTCATTCTTGACTCTGACAGAAGTATAAAACATCTCTCCATGTGGACAAACGTATCAAATCATCTCTTACTTTCTATTTTTTTTTTTTTTTTTTTGGAGACAACTCCTGTACTCCAAACTACTGACTGGCTGCTTACTAGGCCTATGCATATCTGTCAATCTCAGACAAGAAGAATTCCCCTTTTTTTAGTTTACTCCCTCACTTTGGTATAGTACACCCTCTGCTAGCATCCTAAGAAAGGGTACATGGGAGTAAAAATTTCTAAGATCTTGCATGTTTGAAACCTTTTTCTACCTCACATTTGATGACAGTTTGAATGTAGAATGTTAGAAATACTCCCTTAGTCCTCGAAGGTATCATTCCAACATCTGCCAGTTTCCACAACTGCTGCTAGAAAGCCATGCTGATTAGCACTCCTATGAATATGCTCCATTTTTCCTCTTTATTTTTTCTTCGAGCTTTATTAAAGTATGAGTTACAAATAAAATTTTTTTATATTTAAGTGCCATGTCCATCCCGCTGACCCTGACCCAATGACGGATGAAAGACGTACACTGACACAGATACTTTGCCTGTCAGTCTGGCTAAGGGGCTCTGCTGCCTGAGTCTGCAGCATCTGCCTCGATAAGCCGGGGAAGTTCGCATTTATTTAGTACTGATTAAATTACAAAGGTCTCGAGTAAACACCGCTAGAAGGTAATTAACACTGCCAACCCCTCGAGTAGAGAGCAATCATGCACTCACAGATGATAAAAGGTTGGGCTTAGGGCCACATGAGTAAACAAGCTATTTAGATAAACTCCCTTACATTCCTTTGTACCTACTTTAAACTATTAACTCAAGGTAAGAGGATTAGGCTGACTTCAGCTGAACTTTTTACTGAAGCTATGCAACCCCCCCAGCCTTCCAAGAAGGTTTGTGTCTATTTCCTATAACTATCTTCATAACTTTTCTTCTATAATTTTTCCCACCACCCTGACTGAACTCCCAAATTTAAGGTGTACAACGTGATGCTTTGATATACAGTTGACCCTTGAACAACACAAGTTTGAACTGTGCAGGTCCATTATACATGGATTTTCTTCCACCTCTGCCACTCCTGAGACAGCTAGACCAACCCCTCCTCTTCCTCCTCTTCAGCCCTGTTCAATGTGAAGACCATGGGGATGAAGATCTTTATGATGATCAACTTCCACTTAGTGAATGGTAAATATATTTTCTCTTCCTTATGATTTTCTTAATAACATTTTCTTTTCTGTAGCTTACTTGATTGTAAGAATACAGTAAATAACATATAACATATAAAATATGTGTTAGTCAACTGTTTGTTATTGATAAGGCTTCCAGTCAACAGTAGGCTATTAGCAGCTAAGTTTTTTGTGATTCCAAAGTTATACATGGATTTTTTACAGTATGCAGGGTTCGATGCCCCTAACCCTCATGTTGTTCAAGGATCAACTGTATTATACATTGTGAAATGATTACCACAGTCAAGCTAATTAACATGCCCATCACCTCATGTAGTTACCTTGTTTGTGTGTGTAGTGAGAACACTTCAGTTCAACTCTCTTAACAAATTTCAAGTAAATACAATATTATTAACTATTATCAGCATGATATACATTAGGTCCTCAGTACTTATTCATCTTATAACTGAAGGATGGTACCGTTTAAAATCTCCCCTTTATCCACACCCCCCAGCCCCTGGTAACCACCATTCTACTCTCTGTCACCAGGAGTTCAACTTTTTTTTTTTAAGGTTCCACATATACGTGAGATCACACAGCATTTATCTTTCTGTGTCAGGCTTATTTCAATTAGTATAATGTCCTTAAGTTTCATCCATGTTGTTGCAAATGACAGGATTTCCTTCTTTTTCTAAGGCTGAATAATATTTCATTACACACAAACACACCCCCCCCCCCACACACACACACACACTATATTTTCTTTATCCATTCATCTGTTGATGGACATACAGGTTGTTTCCATATCTTGACTGTAGTGAATAATGTTGCAATGAACATGGGAGTGCAGATTATTTCTTTAAGATGGTGATTTCATTTCCTTCGGATATTGTAATTTGTAAGGAATGTATACTTGGTTTTGCTCCCATTTCCTATACACAGCTCCTAAAACTCTTACACGATCTCTTAAGTGGTAAGTATCCCTTTGCATGCTAATGAATGACTGGTGGCTGGGAGCTCCTGGATAGCCACAGGATAAGGGACTGATTGCCAGGAAAACCAACCATGGGATTAGGCGGTTGAAACTTTCAATCCTACCTCCCTCACCTCCAGGAACCAGAGAAGGGCTGAAAGTTGAGGTGATCACCAATGGCCAATGATGTAACCAATTGTGCCTCCACAACGAAGCCTCCATAAAAACCAAAAGGACAGGGTTCGGAAAGCTTACAAATTGCTAAACACGTGGAGGTGCCTGGAAGGTGGCGTGCCCACAGAGGGCACAAAAGCTTCATTGAGGTTCAGAAAATGATACCCCAAAATGAAAGCCTCAGAAGCAAAGTTTTTCTCTGACCTTCTCCAGACGCCCCTCCCCTGTCTCTCACCTCCTCATTCTCACTAGAGGCAAGTCATGGAAACAAGAATTTATCGTCCCCAAGGCCAGTCATAGGCACTAGAACCCCTTTTTTCCAAAGCCAGCCATAAAGCCTAATCTAACCTTCCCCTACCTTTCTGTGTAACCACTGGCCATAAACAAATTAAAACCCTCATTCCAGAGAAGTATTACCCTACACCCAGAAGGAACAAACGCTACAACAGAGACACCAAGAAAAGGCCTTGCTAGGTTTTCCCACTCCATCTATTACCATTAGCTCATGCTTTTTTTGTCCAATCACATTTCTACACTGCTGTCCCAGTCTGAATTGAATCGAAGCATAAAGTCAGCTAACTTTCTCTATATCCTTGGGTCCTTATTCTGAAGGCTCCAGTGTCACGTAAAACTATGATCAAATAAAGTTGTTATCCTTTTATCTTGTTTACTTGTTTTTTGTTATAGGGGTATCAGCCGTGACCCTTATGATGGGGAGGAAAGGGAACATCCCCTCTCCACCCCTTCAGTTAGCACCCCTTCTCATATGCCTTGTCCTATCCTTCTCTTCCATCTGGCTATTCATTTGTATCCTTTGTAATAAATTAGCAATAGTAAGTAAAGTGTTTCACTAAGTTCTGTGAACCACTCTAGTAAATTAACTGAACCTGAGGAGGGGGTCATGGGAACCTTAACTTATAGTTGGTCAGTCAGAAGTATAGGTGAGCAGTCTGTGGGACTGAGCTCTTAACCTGTAGGATCTGATGTTAACTCCAGGTAGTGTCAGAATTGAATTGAATTATAGGATACCCAGTCAGTGTCTGCTGGAGAACTGCTTGGTGGTGGGAAGAAATCTGACGCATTTTGGTGACCAGAAGTGAAGTATTCTGTATTGAGAATTAAAATAGAAAAAATAGTTTGGTTTATTTTTCTATCTCTTACAGATGTATACCCAGAGGTAGGACTGTAATATTATATGGTAGCTCTACTTTTAATTTTTTGAGGAAGCACTATACTGTTTTCCATAATGGCTGTACCATTTTACATTCCCATCAATAGTGTACAATGGTTCCCTTTTCTCCATATCCTTGCCAGCACTGGTTATCTTTTCTTTTTGATAACAGGCATCCTAACAAGTGTGAAGTGATATCTCATTGTGGTTGTGATTTACATTTCCCTGATGATTAGGAATGCTGAATATCTTTTCATATAGCTGTTGGCCATTTGTATGTCTTGTTTGAAAAAATGTCTATTCAAGTCCTTTGCCTATTTTTCAATTTTTTTTTTTTTTTGCTATTGAGTTATATGAATCCTTTTTGTATTTTGGCTATTAACCCCTCATCAGATATATGGTTTACAAATATTTCTGGATATCCACACACACACAAAAAATAAATGTGCTCCCTTTCGTTTCAATGAAAGCCTTTGGTGTTTTGGTCTCTGTCTTTCATGTTAGAGATTACTCTTGCAATGTCTAATGATTCTTGGCTGGCTGTTCATTTTCTTTTTTCTTTTTTTTTCTTTTTTTTTTTTTGAGACAGAGTCTCACTCTGTAGCCCAAGCTGGAGTGCAGTGGCACGATCTTGGCTCACTGCAACCTCCTCCTCCAAGGATCAAGCGATTCTCGTGCCTCAGCCTCCCCAGTAGCTGAGACTACAGGCGCGTGCCACCACACCCAGCTAATTTTTTGTACTTTAGTAGAGACGGGGTTTCACCATATTGCCCAGGGTGGTCTCAAACTCCTGAGCTCAGGCGATCCATCTGCCTCAGCCTCCCAAAGTGCTGCAATTACAAGTGTGAGCCACCGCACCCAGCCTTTTTTTTTTTTTTTTTTTTTTTTTTTAAAGACAGAGTCTCACTCTGCTGTCTAGGCTGTAGTACAATGGTACAATGGTGTGATCAGGGCTCACAGCAGCCTCAACCTACTGGGTTCTAACAATCCTCCCACTTCAGTCTACCAAAGTTCCAAAGTACTGGGATTATAGGCATGAGCTACCATCCGACCTGTCTGTTAATTTCCAAAAGGGATAATAAAAAACAAACTGGAAGCTCTGTGTGCATGGGGAAGTTTCCTGATGGTGAGCTTCCATCTATCTGGTGATCAGACACAGACTAGCCATTTCATCAGGTGACTCCAAAAATTCAGTATATAGATAGGTCTCTTCTCCTGCTGCAGTTTACTAAGGAAGAAATCCACCAATTCTGCCTGAAATATGTAAGACAGGTTGCAAGCATTCTGGGAGCCAAACTGGAGCGTCTCAACATTCAGTATGCAACCATTCACTGTTTTCAGTATGCGGTCTCGCTCTTGCTATATAAGCTGTACCTGGAGCCCCTGACTCTGTTTCAATCCCTTTATAGCTTCACTGTCCAATAGGGTACCACTAGCCACATGTGTCTATTTATTTATTTTACTTTAAGTTCTGGGATACATGTGCAAAATGTGCAGGTTTGTTACACAGGTATACATGTGCCATGGTGGTTTGCTGCACCTATCAACCCATCATCTAGGTTTTCAACCCCGCATGTATTAGGTATTTGTCCCAATGCTCTCCCTCCCCTTGCCCCCCACACCCCCACAGGCCCCAGTTTGTGACATTCCCCTCCCTGTGTCCATGTGTTCTCATTGTTCAACTCCCACTTATGAGTGAGAACATGTGGTGTTTGGTTTTGTGTTCTACATGTGTATTTAAATGTAAATTAATCAAATCTAAATAAAATAAAAATTCAGTTCTTTTGTCACACTATACACTTTCAAGTACTCAGTAGCCACTATGGCTACCGTATTGGACAATGCAGATACAGAACATGCTCATCACCACAGCAAGTACAAATGGGATGGTGCTTCTCTAAGGAGTAAACACCAGTCTTCTGCTGAGGCAAGAAGTGAGTCATCATCTGGCCACTGAGCTAACGGAGAAAACCTAAGGATCTACCTACTCCTTAGAATAAATTCCGGACTTCTGCTGATGCAAGTAAGGAATGGTCTGTGGCTGTGGGGCTGAGGGCAAGAATCTGAGGGTGTAAATCTTAGAGCCGTGGTGTTTAATATGGGAGCTACCAGTCACATGCAGCAATTTAAATTTAAATAAATCAAATTAAAATAAAATTTAAAATTTGGTTCCTTAGTTGCACTAGCTATATTCCAAGCATTCAACAGCCACATAAACAAGTGGTTACAGTATTGGACCAGTGTCGATTATAAAACATTTCCATCATTCAGAAAGTTCTACTGGACAGCACTGCCTTAGACATTCCACAAACCATCATGTTTTCAGTACTTAATCCCTATATTCAGAGTTACATGTTTCCTCCAATACTCAAGCCATTCCCAGGTTTGACGCTGTAAATCAACTTGAATCTGATTGCCTTCTCCCATAGCAGGCACAAGTTTCAGCTTTCTTCATTCTGCTAAGGTTGCTACCACCAGGACTCTAGCCAGTCTTTATTTGAATTAGAAAAGGTAACCCCTTTAGAATGAGTGGAATGTACTTTTGTAGGAAGAAAAAGAAGACCTTTCTTCTGGATGTCTGCAAACCCTCTGCCAGGGCACACAGCATAAAGTACCATTTCACTGCTACTTGCTCCTCAGCCAAATAATTTTGGGCAATCTAAGTAAAGGTACTTGTTTCTACTATTCTATTTTCCATTTTCAGAAATTCTATTGACATCTCTTCCCCACTGTCCTCTTTCTTCTCTTTCATACTTTGTCCATAGGGGATTATATCATAGTTTATTCCTTAACTATCATTTAAGAGGATTCCACATGGATTTAATCCTCACTAAACTAAAAGTCATAATTAATATTTTCCACTTGTATTTTGTTCTTTCTGTTATAATTCCATCTCTCAGTGCCAAGAATGTACTCCAATCAATCCCACAACAAATCCCAAGTAGATATATACCTGAGTGGGAAATAGGTAGAGAGACTTCAGAGTCACTTTTGTAAATAACTAACAACCAGAATTATCAGTTCACAAGCAGAAAGTTATTATCTGGGTTTTCCAAATGCTATCCTAGAGCCTAAGCTAAAACTCCTACCAAAGTGCAAAAGGCAATGCTCAGAAAAACTTTAGACAACAGTGCTTGAACAACAAATTGGCTCTTGATTTAGGTGCTTTTTGATTTACCAGTCATAAACAGATAAAATTATGAATAAAAATGAGAAGAAACATTATAATATTTTTATTACAAACCTGTGCTGGTGGTACTTGCAATGGATTGTTATCCAAAATTATTACTTGTAAATGATGCAGCTTTCTGTAACAAACTGGAATTTCGGTCACTTTATTACAAGAGAAATCCAGCTTGACTAAGGGAAGGTCTCCTAATTCTGGTCAGAAATGAAAAATAATTAATTAAATTTTACATAGTTACTCTCTTATTCATGTGAGTAAAAACAGTGAACATCTTACCATCTGGCAAAACATGAAGATTATTTCTTCTTATATTTAGCTCTCTAAGTGAATGTAATTTTCCCATTTGTTGGGGAAGGACTTGAATCTCATTGCAGCTAATATCCTAAGGAGAACAATAAAACAGAATTATAACAAGCTAACTGAGAAATACATATATTATATATATATATTCTAATTTTTAAATTAAAGCACATGGTTAATAGCTAGCAAAAGTTATCCTCTAATGTCATTGCTCTAAAGATGGATTATCTGGCAGATTTCTATTTATACGACATCATGAAGCCGACCTAGTACAGTAAATAGAAACTTCCCATACAAAAATTTGAGGTTATATCTTAGTAACTACAACCTCTCGAAAATCTCAACTAAAGGCCAACTCATACCAGCCAAAACCAGAAGTAAGAATGATCCAGCACTCTTCACGTGGAGGTAAAGTAAAAGACTAACAACTCTCAAACATTGTGTAATCTGTCAATTACAGTAGTTGTCTCGAGATACTTGGCTGGGCAGAAGCTAAGAAAGTCAAGGATTTATAAATGTGCACTGGCGAAACAGACTATGATAAAGATTGATTTAACTAAATCTCTTTCTCCAAAGGGATACAAAATGAGAAGTTACAAGCCCCAACACTTGTGACTCATCTCATAGCTCAAAGACATTCTAAGAGATCTGAGTTGGAAATCTCTCAGGTTATCTAAGGTGTCTCTCAGGAAATCTCTGTGGTTAAAATCCAAGCCCCAATTTAAAGGCAAACGATATCAAGTTTCCATAATAACAAATTGAGGTTTTTATTTATTATCATAATTAAAAAAAACAGAAAAAAGAACAGTTTAAGTTAACTGTGCTCTCTCCCCTCTTTCTTATAATAACATCAACAACAAAAAAAAGAGAAATCTACAACATGGTCTCAGACAGTAATCATTCCAGACACACTTCAAATGAAATTCATATTCTAATGCAACTGCCCCCAATTTCCAACTTTTAGTGAAAATGATAATAGCTTGGAGGGAGGAGAATAGTACATACATTCAGTTTTCAAAATAATATTAAAACCATGTAGGGAAGAATATAATAATGCTATAGATGATTAGGAAAATATATCCTACATACCTCTTTCAAACAATATCTAAGGCATCTTCATTCAACAATAAATATTTGTTGAATACTATTAACATTTGCTAGGTACTGTTCCAGGGACTGGGGATTTATCAAGGGGCAAAACAAAATTTCCTGCTGTCATAGCTCCTCATGGAGTTTACATGCTAGCAAGGGGAGTAAATTATATAATATGCTAGAAGGTGATAAGTGCTATTTAAAAAAGATAACAGGGTAGGAAAATGGCTATGCTCGCAATAGTGGGGAGGGATACTACTTTATCTCATAGAGAAGGTGATATTGAGCAGTACTGTCAGAGCTAAAAGGTGAACCATACTAATATATAAGAAAGGAATATTCCAGACAGAAGGAACAATAAAAGTGAAGGCGCTCAGGCAGAGCGCACCTGACAGGTACAAAGAACAGCAAGGAATCCAGTGTAACTAGAGGGAAATGGGCAAGGGAGAGAGTAGAATAGAGGGAGGGATATGACTTTAGCTTTTATTCTGAGAGATGTGGGCAGGATCCAGAAACTTTTGAACATGGGATTGACATGATCTGACTTATATTTTGACAGGATCACCTTAGCTGCTATGTTCAGAATAGACTACTATTCAAACGATGGATAATAGAAGTTTGTGAAAATGTTATTTAAACATTATTGCTTCTTTCTAAAGGTATTTGATACTTATGATTTCCATATGGAAAATCCATAGAAATTTGAGAGATAGCTGTCATTTCCCAAGAGAAATAAACCCAGGCATAGGAAATGAACCCACTCCAGTGGGTGCTCTACAAAATAGTCTGCAAAGGATTGGAAGCCAGAGAGTATTTCCTAGGTTTCTAATGACAGAATTTCATTGCAGTTGATTATCACATGATGTGGAAAAGTATCAAGAGAAAATATTCCAATGACAGGGAATATCCACCAATTCAATATGTGATTTACAACTGTCAATTAGCCCTCCTAATGCTATCTACCCATCTACTGTTACTGATTTCAAGAGTTTAAAGCATAATAATTTTACAGTACCTAGTAAAATAATAGTGTTAAACATTTTAGAATTTTCTACATAAATTAAAAAACAGTTGGTCCTCTGTATCCATGGGTTCTGCATCCATGAATTCAACCAAATACAAATCAAAAATATTCAGGAAAAAAAAAGCATGGTTGTGCCTGTACTGAACATATATTAACTTTTTTTTCTTGTCATTACTCCTTAAATAATACAACGTAACAACTACTCACACAGCATTTACACTGTATTAGGTATTATAAGTAATCTAGAAATGATTTAAAGTATATGGGAGAATGTATTTAGGTTATATGTAAATATTACTATTGTATATAAGAGACTTGAGCATTCGTGGATTTTGGTATGGGGTGAATCCTGGAACCAATCCCCCATAGAGGGACAACTGTACTAGAATTAATATAAAACTCCTAATTATTTTTTACATTTCATTTATCTAAAAATTACATCATGTAATGTAATTAAAAACGTAGGGCCAAAAACTAAATTAAAAACAAATAAATTACGGAGACATAAAATCTTAAATTATAACCTTTATAAAATCTGGAAAAACATTAATAGTGTTCAAGTCAAACAAAATAATGGTACCTTTTATTATGAACTTGTTAGATCATATCTGGAATCTCTGTTCATTTTTTAGTACAACATTAAGTGAGACTTTAACTAAAAGGAACATTTTCTAAATCGAATTAGCTAAAAGTAAAAAGTCATAAAAAGGAATAAAGGTAATAAGGATGTTTAAGCTATAGAAAAACACATCTTAAGAGTTTGGTACGCTGGGCGCGGTGGCTGACGCCTGTAATCCCAGCACTTTGGGAGACCGAGGCAGGTGGATCACGAGGTCAGGAGTTCAAGATCAGCCTGGCCAAGATGGTGAAGCCCCATCTCTACTAAAAATACAAAAAATTAGCCGGGCGCGGTGGCAGGTGCCTGTAATCCCAGCTACTCGGGAGGCTGAGGCAGGAGAATTGCTTGAACTCAGAGGGTGGAGGTTGCAGTGAGCCAAGATCGCACCACTGCACTCCACCCTGGGCGACAGAGTGAACTTCGTCTCAAAAAAAAAAAAAAAAAAAAAAAGAGTTTGGTAAAATGGAGTGTAAACACACAACAGATTACAAATATCTGAAGGGGAGAGAAGTTGTCATTATCTATATTTCTTCACATGGTAGTCCCAGGCCCAATGGAAAAAAATGATAGAAGCATGTATTTTGGTTCAAAATAAGAAAGATTAATAACAAATAGAGTTTTGCAAAGAAGAATTAGGACAGTCACGCATGCACACGCACGCACACGCACACACACACACACACAGAGTTGTCCACCATTGAAAATATACAGTAGATGTATCAGGGATTCCTACATTAGAAAGTGGTTGTATCTGATCACTTCTAAGATCTTTTATAACTTCAAAATTATATGGTTCTAAAACATAAGGTGAAATTCAAGGAAGTTTCCTTGTATTATAATTGGACATGCAGGTATTCCTTAATGAATAAAAGGTATTCCTGAAATTTCTGCTCATTACATTCTGTTAATATTAATTTCTCATTATGAAATTGTAGGTAAGTTCCTCAAGAAAACTTTTGACCTCCCCGGACATAATAAAGTCATACATAAGAATATTTTAGGACTTTAGTCCATGCACAGTGGCTGACACCTGTAATGCCAGCACTTTGGGAGGCCGAAGCAAGTGGATCACTTGAGGCCAGGAGTTCAAGACCAGCCTGGGCAACACAGTGAAACCCCATCTCTACGAAAAATGCAAAAATAAGTTGGGTGTGGTGGCGCATGGCTGTAATCCCAACGACTTGGGAGGCTGAGCACGAGAATAGCCTGAACCTGGGAGGCGGAGGTTGCAGTGAACCAAGATCATGTCACTACACACCAGTCTGGGCAACAGAGCGAGACTCTATCACAAAAAAAAAACTTTAAAAATACCTGTTTATTAGGAAAGCATCATTCAAAATAAAAGAAAAACATGAAGCATGGTATACTGCGTAAAGTGGAGGTAACCAGAAGATATGAAAAATAGCTGAAAGCTTCGAGGCTCTGAATATGTTTCTCTCAGAATTCAATGTCCTTTAATACCTAAAATGTTATGTCCAAGGTAATTAATTTAAATTATTCTGTATTTCTACAATCAATTGCATATAATGGCCTTTTACCATTTATTTCAGTCTAAAAAGTGTCATAACGTCACATAAGCAAACAGTGAGGAAGAGTTATGTTGCTAATTCTGTTTGCAGACACTCTCTTCTTTTATCTCCTTTGTTTAAGGATATATCATAGTCCTATAAAAGTTTTATTTTAAAAATTCCCTTAGCTTTCCTCTAAGACCTTTACTGTCCACAAAATGAGTAAACAAATGCTTATTCATTTGAAAAGTATTTCTTAAAGTTTGTAAGCAAGCCTTCTGACGTCACAAGGACTAAGGAAGAACCATGCTATTTTGTGACTGGAAAAACTCAGACATATAGTATCTCAAGATTTTACTAAATCTTACTGAATTTAGACATATACCAAGTTAGTACTTTTTTTAAAAATTACAATTAAATTCCATTAAAAATAGGTAATCTTCCAAAATGTAGATATATTACGCATATTGCATTAATTAATACAACTAAGTTACTCACCAATTCCATTAAATCTTTTAACTTCCCAATTTCTTCTGGAATGGATACCAGTTTATTATTACTGACGACCAAAACTTTAAGGGGAAGATCAAATAGGTATTTTGGCAATGTTGATAAAAGATTTCGGCTGAAAAGAATGAGAAAGTTTCATTACGAGAATATGTATGTAATGTGACATATTAAAAACGAAGAAATCACTTTGTAAGTAAATAATATTCTATCACTAAGTAATAACTTAATAAGTACTTGCTGAGTGCTCACTTTGTATCAGGCACAGTGTTAAATTTCTTATATGCACTGTCTCATTTAATCCTCATGTTAATGATACAAGATTAAGTAGTTATTATCTCCATTATACAAATCAGAAAATGAAAGTTAAAACTGGTTAAGTGATTTGCCCAACTACAGCAGAGATCCATAGCATAGCAAACCCTATGCAGGCAGACCTATGATACTACTCCACACACCATCAGTTCTCAAAAACCCAGAATGATTCCTCCGAGCTCAATAATGTCAGAACTTTGCTCCTTGATATAATTCTGGTATATTCAATACTTCCATGCTAGGGAAAGTCTCCAGGGATAAATGTGCATGCACTATGTTTAAGTTTATAAAAGAGTGAATAGGACTATATCTTCAAAAACATGTAGTAACCCTAACCCATTCCCTTTTAAGGTTTAACAGCCTATTAGCACCTTTATCTCAGCTCAAAGTTGATAAAACATTCTTATCTCTGTAGATACATTTAAATATAATAACTAACATTTACTGAGTGCCTACTATTGCCAGGCCATGTTCAGGGCAGCTCATGTGAATTAACTCTCACAGTGATCCTCATTTTGCAGCAGGTCATGTGAATTAACTCTCACAGTGATCCCCATTTTGCAGATGAAGAAATAGTCACAAAGAGTTTAAGTAAACTGCTCAAAGTCACACAGCTGTTAAATGGGAGAGGCAGGATTCAAACTCAGGCAATCTGGCTCTGGGGTCTTTGCCCTCAAAGTACTATGGTCAAATTTATATGCCAAAACAGACTGACTGACCCAAAGGAACCACTAACAAAATGTATATTTTTCCATTCCATTTACATACTAACAAGCACTGGTAAGCGATAAGCTATTATTTTTCCTGTTTTTCAAAGTGTCATTTATAGACCTATACCTAGCATTTCGTGTAACATACACAGCAACAAAAGTCCAGTGTTACTCAAGGGGGACTTGAAAGACCCTCCTCCCCATCTTTTCTCTGGCAAAGGACATCCAGAAATACTAGACTGGCTTTAATAACACGGCACAAACAAACAAACAAAAAAATGGCAATGCCCCTCAACAAGCAATAATGGCCAGACTGCTGGAATGTCAAATGTGCTAGGGTCCTGTCATAATCCTTCATACTTTCAGGATGAAGCAGGCTCCTTGGAAAAATGGTCAGTCTGGGTCCCTTCATACCAGGGCACACAAGGATCTTTCTACAGGATTCTACTGAAAAAGGGGGGTAGTATATAGGAAGAGAGAAGAGTTGAAAAATTATTTTACAAGTTTATTAAGAGATTTTCACCAAAATAAATAAATACATGGAAGAAATAATGGCAAACTCATTCTAATACATCTTCAGGCCAAAAATAGCTTAAAAATCAATTTATTTTCTTCCCTTAAAAAGCATATTCAGGCCGGTCACAATGGCTCACGCCTGTAATCCCAGCACTTTTGAGAGGCCGAGGCGGGCAAATCATTTGAGGTCAGGAGTTTGAGACCAGCCTGGCCAACGTGGTGAAACACTGTCTCTACTAAAAATTAGTCGGGCCTGGTGACAGGCGCCTATACTTCCAACTACTTGGGAGGCTGAGGCAGGTGAAACATTTGAATTTGGGAGGCGGAGGTTGCAGTGAGCCAAGATGGTGCCACTCCACCCTGGGAGACAGAGCAAGACTCCGTCTAAAAAAAAAAAAAAAAATGCATATTCATTGAGTTAACACAATCATCTTTCACCAGAATCTGGTTTCTTAATACCGGCAAATAAATTATTAATTGTCACTATTTTACTACATGCCTTAGAGAAGAATTCAGTCACTAGAACAAATGTTATTTCAATATAGTTTGCTCAAAAATTTTTGTGACTGTAAAAAAAGATCAAAGTTGACTTTTACAGATCGTGACAGGATAGAATCAGAGAAAGTTTTAGTAAAACTAAGATTACCATATGTGTTAATAGAGAAGTGTAATTCAGTTTTTGGCGAATCACTTTTTCCGCAAAAGAACAAAATGAAACAGAAACAAAGACAAAACTTAAAAATACCTCACTTTCCTCAAACCTCTCCTAAGCCAGGCCAAGGAGATTTATACCTACTTAGAGAAAGGAGCAACCCAAATGATTGATATCTTTGGAAGGAAACTTCCCTCACACTTTTTTTTTTTTTTTTTTTTTTTGAGACAGAGTCTTACTCTGTCACCCAGGCTGGAGTGCAGTGGCGCGATCTCGGCTCACTGCAAGCTCCGCCTCCCAGGTTCACATCATTCTCCTGCCTCAGCCTCCCCAGTAGCTGGGACTACAGGCGCCCACCACCACGCCTGGCTAATTTTTTGTAATTTTAGTAGAGACAGGGTTTCACCATGTTAGCCAGGATGGTCTCGATCTCCTAACCTCGTGATCCACCCGCCTTGGCCTCCCAAAGTGCTGGGATTACAGGCGTGAGCCACCGCACCCAGCCAGGAAACTTCTCTCACACATTTTAAGGTGTAAAGTGGTTTCAGTTAAAATAGCTTGTACTGTCAGGTAACACCACTGGGGGAGTCATACAAAAGAACTGATATATCACAGTGAGAAGGGAACATTATCATTTATGTATATTAATTATATTTACTACTTCTCTATATGGGAATTTAGACAAGTAACTTGGTTAATGAGGAGATTATCCCTTCCAACTGAATAAAAAAAGAAAAAAATTCTAAAATTAAGTCACAATATATCAATTTTCATTCAATGTTACTGATTTGGCAGGGAAAGTTTTTTTCTTATACTTACTGAGTGTTCATTCTTTTACATATATAGGGTAAAAGCTATGTATGAATGAGAGCTCTATAGCCAGACTGCTTTGATTTTAATCTTGGCTCTACCACTTGCTGAATATATCTATGAATTTGGACAAATAGCTTAACCCAATTTCCTCATCTGTAATGCAGGGATAACAATGGTACCTATCTCAAAATGCTGTCATGAAAACTAGATAAGGTAATATGGGTAAAGCGTTTGGAACACTGACTGCCTGGCACATGGTAAGCACTTACTAAGTATAAACATGAACTGTCATCCACTTCCAAACCTTTCAACATTCTCACCCCACTCTAACCATCCTTGAAGTAGAAGCAAGAAGTCACAAAAGTGAGAAAAAATAACTCAAGCACTGTTTGTTTCACATATCTAAGGATGCATATAAAATCTGTATCGTGGTGCTATAATTTCAGGAAATATTTATGGTCTAAAGCCTTGCTACTCAAACTGAGGTCTAAGGACCAGCAGGTAGGCATGAGCATTGCCAAGGGGCCTGTTAGAAATGCAGGCCCCATAACAGACCTAAGAAATTAGAATCTGCATTCTAACAGATCCCCGGGTAATTCCTGTGTGTTAAAGTTTGCTAAGCTCTGCTCTCAAGAACAAGACAAAAGCCTACAAAATAATGTGAACATATAAAAAACACAAATAAGATACTGTTGAGATAAATTTAAGCTACACAGCCAAATCAAACATATTCCTTTGCGACTAAAAAAGGATTAGAACAACAATAAAAACCAAAATTTATTTTTAAATTGTTTCCTTACCTAATGTTAAGGTATGTTAACATCTGCAGATTTTTAATGGCTTCAGGAATGGTTTTGATGCAATTATGATATAAATTTAATGTTTCAAGGGGTGCAAATAACCAGACATCAGAAGGAATTTCTGTAAAACGATTTCTGGAAAGATCTGAAAAGAAAATAGTGAGTATTAAACATATACCTATATCTATGGTAATTAAAAGAACTATTTTCACACTTGCTGAATCACTTAGAATCTAAGCAACTACTTAAAATACTTTAAAATATACAATATTATCCATCAATACCTTGAAGGCAAAAAACATCATTTAGAAATACACTCATACGGCTGGGCGCGGTGGCTCACATCTGTAATACCAGCACTTTGGGAGGCCAAAGCAGGCAGATCTTTTGAGCTCAGGAGTTGGAGACCAGCCTGGCCAACATGGCGAAATCCTGTGTCTACTAAAAACACAAAAATTAGCCGGATGTGATGGTGGGCCCCTGTAATCCCAGCTTCTCAGGAGGCTGAGGCAGGAGAATCGCTTGAACCCAGGAGGCGGAGGTTGCAGGGAGCTGAGATCACGCCACTGCACTCCAGCCTGAGTGACAGAGCGAGACTCTGTCTCAAAAAAAGAAAAAAACCTCATAGAACGCATGTTTATTAACCAGATGTATTTGATATGCTTCAGTATACCTAAATTCCAAATATGCTATTTGTCTTTTAAAATACCAACGAAGAATTATCTCTGATCTTTAAAAGCAAACACAAAAATACCTCCCACGATCCCACAACCCCCTCCATCTGCCTCTTCTTTTACAGCCAAACTCACATAAACCCACAACACAACTAAATTTCTTACTTACCATGGACTTCTTAACCCACTGCAATTTGGTTTCTATCCACTCTCACATCCACCAATGTAACCAACAACCACCATATCAATAACCATTCCATATGTCTGGAAAGATTATTTTCCTCTGGCTTAGAAGACTACACTTCTGGGATCTCTTCCTACCTCTCTGGCTACTTCTTATTTTCTATTCCTAGGATTTCCTCTACCTGTATCATAGACGTTGGTGTTCCCAAGAACTATGACGTAAGGTACTCTTTTCCTTCTTGAGACATCCACCCCCCCAACCGGTAGGAGCCGCCCTCCACGAGAGCGCTCGAAGGCCGCGACTGAACTGCCGCGTCATCACTTCCCACTTCCTCTGACCCACCATTCGGCAGGGAGACATGATGGAAGCGGATCGCCCAGAGAAGCTTTTCATTGGGGGCCTCAACCTCAAAACCGACGAGAAAGCCCTCAAAGCCGAGTTTGGCAAGTATGGCCACATCATCAAGGTGTTCCTGATGAAAGACCGAAAAACCAACAAGTCGAGGGGCTTCGCGTTCGTCACCTTCGAAAGCCCTGCAGACGCCAAGGCTGCCGCCAGAGATATGAACGGCAAGTACCTGGATGGTAAGGCCATCATGGTGGCCCAGACCATCAAACCGGCATTCAAGAGCAGCCGATGGGTCCCGCCAACCCCCGGCAGCGGCAGTCGCTCAAGGTTCTCACACAGAACCCGTGGGGGTGGCAGCAGCCCACAGCGACCCCCCTCTCAGGGCAGGCCTGATGACGGCCGCGGCTACGCGGGGTATTTCGACCTGTGGCCCTACAGGGCCCCGATGCCCAGGAAGCGCGGGCCGCCACCGCGGCACTGGGCCAGCCCACCCCACAAGAGGGCCACGCCGTCGAGCCTGGCTCACAGCGTTGGCTGTGGAATGCGCGGGAAGGCACCGACTGTGTCGGGGCAAGATGGCTACTCAGGCTTGCAGCCACGGCGCTGGGCCGGCCCACCCCACAAGAGGGCTGTGCCCCGGTCAAGCCTGGCTCGCATTGGCGGCAGTGGAATGCCTGGGAAGGCCCCGGCCGTGTGGGGGCAAGATGGCTACTCAGGCCCGCGGGTCCGGGAGCCACTGCCCCCGTGCCGCGACCCTGGGGATTTTGTCCCTGCGCTCAGAGACTACAGCCGCCGCTATTATGGCCACTCCAGTGTCCCGGACTACCGTCCCTTGAGAGGCGACGGCAACCAAAATGGCTACAGGGGTCGCGACCATGAGTACACAGATCATCCCAGCAAAGGCTCCTACCGAGAGCCCCTCAAGAGCTACGGAGGCCCATGCGGCGCTGCCCCTGTGTGGGGGACACCGCCATCTTATGGAGGAGGATGCCGCTACGAGGAGTACCAGGGCAACTCGCCCGATGCCTGCAGTGAAGGCCGCTCGTCCGAGGCCTTGCCAGTCGTCTTGCCAGACGCCTACAGCAGGGACCACTCGCCCAAAGCCTATAGTGGGGGCCGCAGCAGTTCCAGTAACGGTTACAGCCGGAGTGACCGCTACGGAGAAGAAGGCTGCTACGAGGAGTACAGAGGCCGCTCGCCCGACGCCCACAGCGGGGGCCGCAACAGTTCCAGCAACAGTTACGGCCAGAGCCACCACTATGGAGGAGAAGGCCGCTATGAGGAGTACCGAGGCCGCTCACACGAGGCCCGCAGCGGGGGCCGCTCCACTGATGCCCACAGCAGGGGCCGGTCCGACGACGCCTACAGTGGGGGCCATGACAGTTCCAGCTGGAGCGACTGCTGCGGAGGAGGAGGCCGTTATGAGGAGTACCAAGGCCGCTCGCTGGATGCCAACAGTGGAGGCTGCTCGCCCGAGGCCTACAGTGGGGGCCACGACAATTCCAGCTGGAGCGACCGCTACGGAGTAGGAGGCCACTATGAGGAGAACCGAGGCCACTCTCTGGATGCCAACAGCGGAGGCCGTTCACCCGACACCCACAGTGGGGGCCACAGCAGTTCCAGCAACAGTTACGGCCAGAGCCACCGCTATGGAGGAGAAGGCCGCTATGAGTACCGAGGCCGCTCGCATGACGCCCACAGTGGGGGCTGCTCTGCCGACGCCTACAGTGGGGGCCACGACAGTTCCAGCCAGAGCAACCGCTACGGAGGAGGAGGCTGCTACGAGGAGTACCGAGGCCGCTCCCTCGATGCCAACAGTGGAGGCCGCTCGCCCAATGCCTACAGCGGGGGCCACGACAGTTCCAGCTGGAGCCACCGCTACGGAGGAGGAGGCCGCTACGAGGAGTACCGAGGCCGCTCCCTTGATGCCAACAGTGGAGGCCGCTCGCCTGATGCCTACAGTGGGGGCCACGACAGTTCTGGCCAGAGCAACTGCTACGGAGGAGGAGGCCGCTACGAGGAGTACCGAGGCCGCTTGCTCGATGCCAACAGTGGAGGCCGCTCGCCTGATGCCTACAGTGGGGGCCACGACAGTTCCAGCCAGAGCAACCGCTATGGAGGAGGCGGCCGCTACGAGGAGTACCGAGGCCACTCGCTTGATGCCAACAGCGGAGGCCGCTCGCCTGACACCTACAGCCGGGGCCACGACAGTTCCAGCCAGAGCGACCACTATGGAGGAGGAGGTCGCTCACTCGATGCCAACAGCAGTGGCCGCTTGCCTGACGCCTACAGTGGGGGCCATGACAGTTCCAGCCGGAGCCACCGCTACGGAGGAGGAGGCCGCTACGAGGAGTACCGAGGCCGCTCGCTCGATGCCAACAGCGGAGGCCGCTCACCCAATGCCTACAGCGGGGGCCACAACAGTTCCAGCCGGAACGACCCCTGCAGAGGAGGAGGCCGCTACGAGGAGAACCGAGGTCACTCTCTCGATGCCAACAGCGGAGGCCACTCACCCAACGCCTACAGTGGGGGCCGTGACAGTTCCAGCAACAGTTACGACCGGAGCCACCGCTATGGAGGAGGAGGCCACTACGAAGAGTACCGAGGCCGCTCGCACGACACCCACAGCAGGGGCCGATCGCCCGATGCCCACAGCGGGGACCACTACACCGA
Source organism: Homo sapiens (assembly GCF_000001405.40). Classification (NCBI taxonomy): domain Eukaryota; kingdom Metazoa; phylum Chordata; class Mammalia; order Primates; family Hominidae; genus Homo; species Homo sapiens. The sequence continues at coordinate 115,192,105 of NC_000023.11, forward strand.
AGCCTACAGCAGGGGCCGCGACAGTTTCAGCAACAGCTATGGCCGGAGTGACCATTACGGAAGAGGAGGCTGCTACGAGGAATACCAAGGCCGCTCGCCCAATGCCTACGGCGGGGGCCGCGGCCTCAACAGTTCCAACAACAGTCATGGCCGGAGCCACCGCTACGGAGGAGGAGGCCGCTACGAGGAGTACCGAGGCCCCTCGCCTGACGCCCACAGTGGGGGCCGCGACAGTTCCATCAAGAGTTACGGCCTGAGCGACCGCTACGGAGGAGGAGGCCACTACGAGGAGTACCAGGGCAGCTTGCCTGACGCCTACAGCGGCGACCACGACAGATCCAGCAACAGTTACGGCCGGAGCGACCGCTACTCGAGGGGTCGAGACCGGGTAGGCAGACCGGATCGTGGGCTCCCTCTGCCCATGGAAACGGGCAGCCCTCCCCTGCATGATTCTTACAGCCGGTCAGGCTGCAGGGTGCCCAGGGGCGGAGGCCGTCAAGGAGGCCGCTTCGAGAGGGGGGAAGGCCGGAGCAGATACTAAGCAGGAACAGACTTGGGCCCAAAAATTCCTTTTCAAAGAAACAAAAAGAAGAACCTGTTCTATGTTAACTACCCAAGGACTAGTATAAGTAGGAGTTGTTTTTACCTTTTAAGAATTTCCTGTTAAGATCTCCATTTTTATGCTTTTGTGAGGAAAAACTTAAAATTAGTTTGAAATTGTTAATGTTTCTTTCAACAAGTTCTTGTTAAAAGTATAAGATATGAACCTGAGTCTTAGTCTTCTTCTATTTACAAGTTGAAATACGATTAATGGCTTCTTCCCTTGTAAATGTTCCTGATAAATGAGGCAAACAGTTCTAAGATCTTTCATAAACATCTGCTCACCTAAAATGGAAAAATGGATCATTCTGCTCACTTAAACCAACTAGATTGTGGGTGGAGAGTGGGAGGGATTGGTGTATACTACTCTTAAGATTTTAGGGTATCTTTCAAACTGAATCTCTGTGTTCCCAGTATTAAAAACCAAACAACCAGCAACAACAACAACAAAAATGATTTAGATCAAATGTTTATGAAAAATTATGTTCACTCAGTAAATCTGAAAAGTAAATGGAAAAAAAAAAGATACTCTACTGGGTGATTTCATCCAACCTAGATCCAAATTATATTTACATACCGATGAATTGCAAATTAAGGATATGTCTAAAAGCCTATGTTCTGATCTTCAGGACTTCACCTTGATATCTCTCAGGCACCTCAAATTCTACAAATATAACATCTGAAATGAAGATCTTTTCCCACAATTTTTTTTTTCTCATCTCAATGTCAACAACATCCTCCTGGTGAGTTGCTCAAGCCAGAAACCTGGTATTCATCCTTGATTCATTCCTCTCCTAAATTATTGCAAGTACACACAAATATACTTCCATTCATTTAAATTTTCACAAAAATAAAATCATGGAATCGTTATAACCATTACTCCTATTAAGGGTTTATTTGTTAAATGAAATTTTGAAAAATACTTAGGACATTATAGCAGTGGGTTGAAAAATAAATACTCTAGAAGAGAGTTGCTCAACCCCACCACTGTGGACCTTTTTGGTCTGGATAACCATTGTAGGGGGCTATCCTGGGCACTGTAGGATATTTAGCAGCATCTCTGGCATCTACCCACTAGATGCCAGCAACAACCTCTATTCATGGCAGACAAATAATGTCCCCAAAGGTGCAAACCCCCAAAAACTACCTGAGTAACTATCAAGTTAGTTACCTTATCATAGAAATTTACTTTGCTCACACTAGCTCATACTTATTTAGTTAAAAATGTAAGAAAATTTTGTGCCTCTGTCAGGAAGAGCATCCAGCCTAGCTCAATGTACCTCATTTAGCATCTGGTCTGCCCTCATAAAAACAACCTCCTCTCAGTAATGCTCAACTTCCTCATTCCAAGGGATGAGGCCTATTCACTTAGCAATATAGTAAATTCCTTATTCAGAACATTAACATATGCATTACTATATATGTAATATATAGAGATACATATAGAGAAGGAGAGAGATATATATTCTCATTCTTAACCTTATGTAAAATTGTATAACTGGCAAAAAATAGCTATGTTTATATAATATGAAAATTTCTATTCTTCCTCCTCCCACCATAAAATTCTGAATAACTAAAAAAACAATAGAATTACTAGAAACCAAAATCTAAACTAGAAATAAATGTTTCCCAATATTCTGGCTTACCTCCTCTGGATACCCAAGCATCACACAGTTCTATTGGGGAAGAAAGTGAAGTCACTGTTTTTAGTTTAGGATATGTTTCTTTATATTTAGGGTTTTACCTCTTATTCTTGTAACTTCAGAATTCTGGGAGTTCAAAATTACTGTTTACAAGTAATTTGAAATCCTAAAAACAAAATCATGCCCAGTTTGTTATTCTGTATAATACCTAGTATTAAGTACTCATAAATAATATAGTGGTCTCAGAGATTAGACGATAGTAACTTGTATTAAGATTGCAAGAATAGGGTTAAGAGAAAATGGATAAAATTTGAAATATATTTTGAAATTAGTACTCATAGGGGATGGCAAAGAGCTAGGTATGTGGAAGAAATGAGAGGAAAGAATCAAGAATGGCACCCAGGATTCTGGCCTGGACAGCTAAAATAATAATATCTAATAAACAGTGGGAGTGTAACAGGATTTTTGTAGCTTCTTCTACTGGTGAGGTTTTTGCTTTTTTGAAACAGAGGTGCAATGAAGGGTTCAAGTTTATATCTGTATAAACCGAGACATCTGAGAGAGACTCAAAGAGGGGCTGTTAAATGGGCATTAGACAGATGAATCTTGATCTCCTAAGTGAAGTCTGGGATGGATATATAAAATTGAAAGTTGTGGCCAGGCACAGTGGCTCATGCCTATAATCCCAGCACTTTGGGAGGCCGAGGTGGGCGGATCACAAGGTCAGGAGTTCAAGACCAGCCTGAAGAATATGGTGAAACCCCGTCTCTTACTAAAAATACAAAAATTAGCCAGACGTGGTGGCGCACGCCTGTAATTCCAGCTACTCAGGAGGCCAAGGCAGGAGAATTGCTTGAACCCGGGAGGCAGAGATTGCAGTGAGCCGAGATCGTGCCACTGCACTCCAGCCTGAGTGACAGAGTGAGACTCCATCTCAAAAAAAAAAAAATTGAAAGTTGTAGGAATATGGTTAGTTCTATTAAATCACAGAAATGGAAGGCATCACCTAATATCAGAGTATTGAATTAGAGAGATCAAGAATGGGCTATCAGGAAGGCCAACACTTAGTGAGTAGAGAAAAAACAGCAAGCAGAGAAGGCTGAAAATAATAGTCATGAGAAAACACAGTAACCAAAGAAGTTCAAAAAGTGACAGGAGGATGACCTTTGTTTTCCAAGATAGCTGACTAAAAACATTTCCAGCACACCTCATCCACTTAGAAAAACCAAAGTGGTATGTAGACAATCACACTTTGAATACATTACCCAACAGGGAACACAGGGTTCAACAGAAAAAGTGAAAGGAAACTCCAAAATCTGGGAATGAGAAGAAAAGCAGACAGCCTGTCGTGGTCAAGACCGGCTGGGAACTGGCAATGAATCCCTAAGAGAGAGTGAGTGAGTATCTTTCTGCAGTCCACTTTCCCACTGGGGAATCATACAGTCCAGGCCACAGCAGAGCACCCTGACCCACCCAAATCCTGAATCTGATTTAGGGAGCATCCAAGAGACTGTGAGAAGGAACTGCTTCAAGGAGGCAACATGCCCTGGGTCCCACACAATTCCTGAGAACTAAGTAGCCACAGTAAGATGCGATTCTTAATCCTAGCTCTTAGCAAACTATGAGTGGTCCTGGGAATCTGCAGCACCAGTCTTGGCCATTGGGGAAGATCAGGTTGCATCTTGTGGAGCAGGGGCTTGAGCAGGAATGGGGATCAATGGGGAATCCCACAATCAAAACTAAGAAACGGACATGGCATGGGCTCCAGCCTCTGGCACTGGAACCAGGCTCCCAATGCTCCAATCCTGAGCAGGATGAGTTACTGCAGAGGCTTGGTCTTGAGCTGGGTGCTGGCTTCTATGGCTCATGGCTGAATTATGGGCTGGGTGCAAACTGCCATACTAACAGAACAGCCAGGTTGGCTGCCACAGATGGGATGAGGGAGGGACAGCAGTGGTCTCATCCTCCCTGGCACCCATGGCAGGACCTCAGCACAGCAGCAGTCACCTCTCACCCAAGCATTTCACCAGGGGCATGACGACTACACTGCCTGCCCCACCCCCACATCATGGCTCATGCACGCACTTGCCATTGGGAGGTGTTGAGTACAAGCTTGCCCAGTCTGGATCCACCCAGCTTCACCCTCCTAACCCTATGCCAACATGAACTGTGGGGGCCAGGTTCTGGGTGTTCCACAACCCAATCTACCACCAGGGGCACATGAGCACCAAGGGGACAGAGACTGAGCATAAACACCCTGCTTCTACAGTCTCAGCTGGCTCTTACCTGAAAGCACCACCTTCTGGCCTAGAAGCCAGTTTGCACAGCCTGTTGCAACCACTTCCAACACAAGAGCACAGTGCATGGGAACAAGGAGACTATCTCACCACCACTGCTACCTCTATCACCCACACTACTCCAACTGCTCAGGAGCTTGAGAGCCTGCTTATCTGCCTGGTATACTGCTACTAAAACTGGCATCTGAGGAAGCCACCCAGATGCCCAAACATGAGCCTGCCTGGAAACTGCCAACACAGGAGCCAGCATATGCTGTCCCAGGTCACAAGGATAGACATACTTAGCACACCTCTGCTACCATTACAACCTGATGATGGGCCCATCAGGCATTCCAGTCACAAGCACAACTTCACCACAGGCCCCACCAAGAACAACACATTAACAGAATAAGGATAGCCATACAAATTATACAGAGTCTTCACTACTGCATGCACCTGGAAGCAAAGCCAGAAGGCCTTACCCAACGAACATCATTGTCATATCTTCAAGAAAAAAGTCCCCCATCCACGTGAAAGTTATTTTTTTAAAAAGATGTAACTATGAAGCCAGATGAGCAGAAACCAACATAAAGATACAGAAAACATGAAAAAGCTAAGTAATATTATGGCCTCAAATGAATGTAATAATTCTCCAGCAGTAGATCCTAACCAAAAAAGAAAAAAAAATCCTCAAAATCCCAGATAAAGAATTCAAAACATTGATTTTAAAGAAGCTCAATGAGATGCCAGAGAAATCTAAAAACCAATACAAAGAACTCAGAAAATCAATTCAGAATACAAATAAAAACTTATAACATGGAGATAAATATCTTTAAAAGATAAAAAGCCCGAGTGTGGTGGCTAACACCTACAATCTCAGCACTTTGGGAGGCCGAGGTAAGAGGACTGCTTGAGCCCAGGTGTTTAGGACCAGCTTGGGCAACATAGAGAGAACCTGTCTCTACTAAAAATACAAATATTAGCTAGGCGTGGTGGCACATGCTTGTAATCCCAACTACTCAGGAAGCTGAGGCAGGAGGATCACTTGAGTCCAAAAGTTTGAGGTCATACTGAGCTATGATCACACCACTACACTCCAGCCTGGGCAAAAGAAAAAGTCTCTCTCTCTCTTTCTCTCTCTCTCTCTCTCTCACTCTCGCTCTCTACTACACTCCAGCCTGGGCAACAGAACAAGTCTCTCTCTCTCTCTCTCTCTCTCTCTCTCACACACACACACACACACACACACACACACACACATTCCGAAACTAAAGGATTCATTGAAGAAAATACAAAATACATTTGAAATACTAGATCAAGCAGAAGAAAGAATTTCAGAACTTGAAGACAGGTCTTTTGAAATAATCCAGTCAGACAAAAATAAAGAAAAAGAATGAACAAAGCTTTTTCTTTTTTTTTTTTTTTGAACTTGCTTATTGCTTTATTTTATTTTTTTATTATACTTTAAGTTCTGGGATCCACATGCAGAACATGCAGGTTTGTTACATAGGTATACATGTGCCAATTGAGACTGCATAAAATGACCAAACTTACAAATTATTGGTATTCCTGAGGGATATGAGAGATTAAAAGGCTTAGAAAGCCTATTTAACAAAATAAGAAACGAAACTTTTCCAAGTATAGCAAGATTTAGACATCCAGACACAGGAGACTCAGTGATTCCCAGGAAAACACAATGCAAAAAGGAGTTTGCCACAGCATATTATAATCAGACTGTCTAAAGTAAAAAGAATTCTAAAATCAGCAAGACAGCATTCCACCACAGCCACCATTGCAGAGCAGCAGCAATGGTTCTGTGCTACACTATGGTCGTGGGCCTCAACAAGGGCCACAAGTTGACCAAGAATTTGAGCAAGCCCAGACACAGTCGTAGCCTTGGGCGCCCGACCAAACACACCAAGTGTGTGCGGGGCATGATCCAAGAGGTATGTGGCTTCACCCCATACGAGCGGTGCACCATGGAGTTACTGAAGGTCTCCAAGGACAAACAAGCCCTCAAGTTCATCAAGAAAAGGGTGGGGACACACATCCACACCAAGAGGAAGCGGGAGGAGCTGAGCAATGTCCTGGCCATCACGAGGAAAGTTGCTGCTATGAAAGACTGAGCTCCCTGTCCTGTCCTCTCCCTGAAATAAAGAACAGCTTCACAGAAAAAATAAAATAAAATAAAATCAGCAAGAGAAAAGCACCCTGTCACCTACATAAGGAAACTCCATTAGACTAACATGAGACTTCTCACCAGAAACCTTAAAAGCCAGAAGAGAAGGGAATGACATATTAAAAATGCTGAAATAAAAAAAACCAAGACTGCCAGCCAAGAACTCAATATCCAGCAATAAGCTTCATAAATAAGAAGAAATGAAGTCTTTCAGAGACAAGCAAATGCTGAGGAATTCATCGCCACTAAACTGGCCCTACAAGAAATGCTCAAAGAAGTCCTAAACGTGGAAGTAAAAGCGATATTCATCATCATAAAAACACACAAAAGTATAAAACTCACTGGTAAAGTAATCACACAAAGGAGGAAGAAAAAGGAATCAAATGGCACCACTACAGAATTCCACCAAACCAAAGGCAAACATTCCAAGAAAAAGAAACAGAGAATTTATAAAACTAGAAAACAATTAACAATACGACAAGAACAAACCCTCACATATATCAATATAAACCTTGAAAATAAATGAATTAAATGCCCCATTTAAAAGATATAGATTGGCAAAATAGATTTTAAAAACATAATCCAACTATATGATGCTTACAAGAAACTCACATTACTTGTAAAGACACATATAGACCAAAAGTAAAGGAATAGAAAGACAGTCCACACAAACAAAATCCAAAAGTGAGCAGCACTAGCTGTACTTGCATCAATTAAATCAGATATTAAATAAAAGACGGTTAAAAAAGACAAAGAACTTCATTCTGTAATAAAGGGATCAATCTGGCAAGAGGCTATAACAATTTTAAATGTATATGCACCCAACACTGGAGCACCCAGATCCATAAAACAAATATCACTAGGCCTAAAGAGAGAGATAGACAGATACAATAATGGTGGGAGACTTCAACGCACCACTCACGGCATTAGACAGATCATCCAGGTAGGAAACCAACAAAGAAACATTAGATATAAATTGGACTTTACACCAAATGGACCTAACAAATTTACAGAACATTCTGCCCAACAACTGCAGAATATACACTCTTTCGATGAGCACATGGAACATTCTCCAAGATAAACCACGTTAGGCCATAAAACAAGTATCAACAAATGTTTAAAAATGAAATCCTATCAATTATTTTCTCATAACACAGTGGAATAAATAGAAATCAATACAAAAAGGAACTTCAGAAACGATACAAACACATGGATATTACACAAGCTCCTGAACAATCATTGGATCAAAGAAGAAATTAATACAAAAGATTAAAAATTTTTTGAAACAAATGAAAATGGAAACACAACAAACCAAAACCTGTGGGATATAGCAAAAGCAGTGGTAAGAGGGAAATTTGTAGCATTAAATGCCTATTATCAAAAAAAAGAAAGATTACAAATTATCAACCTAACAATGCATCTCAAAAAACTAGAAAATCAAGAACAAACCACACTCAAAACTAGCAGAAGAAATAACAAAGATCACAGTAGAACTAAATGAAATAGGGACCAAAGAAATACAAAGTATTAAAAAAACAAAGAGTTGATTCTTCAAAAAGATAAATAAATCTGATAAACCAGTAGCTAGACTAACCTAGAAGAGAGATGAACCAAATAAACACAATGAGAAATAAAAAAGGAAATATTTCAACTGATACCACAGAAACACAATAGATCATCAGAAACTATTATGAACAACTATATACTCAACAAACAAGAAAACCTAGAGGAAAGAGATAAATTCCTGGAAACATACAACCTACCAAGATTGAACAAGGAAGAAATAGAAAATCTAAACAGGCCAATAATGAAGAGCAAAACTGAATCAGTAGTAAAAAAAAAAAAAATCCCAATAAAGACAAGCTCAGGGATTGTTGAGGGAGCTTGGCTGAGGGATTCACAGCCAAATTCTATCAAATATAAAAAGAAGGAATACCGCTCCTCCTGAAACTGTTCCAAAAAATTGAAGAGGAGAGTATTCTCCCTAATTCTTTCCATGAGGCCACTATCACCCTAATACCAAAACTGGACGAGGACACAACAACCAAAAAAGGAAAACAGCAGACCAATATCCCTGATGAACATACATGCAAGAATCCTCAACAAAATACTAGTAAATTGAATACAGGACATCAAAAAGATAATGCACTGTATCAGTTCATTTTCATGCTGCTGATAAAGACATACCTGGGACTAGGCAATTTACAAAACAAAGAGGTTTATTGGACTTACAGTTCCAAATGGCTGGGGAGGCCTCACAATCATTGTGGAAGGCAAGCAGGAGCAAGTCACATCTTACATGAATGGTGGCAGGCAAAGAGCCTGTGTAGGGAAATTCCCGTTTTTGAAACCATCAGATGTCATGAGACTCATTCACTGTCACAAGAACAGCACAAGAAAGACCCACCCCCATGATTCAACCATCTCCCACCAGATCCCTTACACAACACATAGGAATTATGGGAGCTATAAGATGAGATCTGGGTGGGGACACAGAGCCAAACCATATCATACACCATGATCAAGTGGGTTTTATACCAAGGATGCAAAGATGGTTGAATATATGCAAATTAATAAATGTGATACATCACATAAACAAAATTAGGACAAAAAACATATGATCATCTCAATAGATGCAGAAAATGCATTTGATAAGGTTAAGCTTCCCTTCATGGTAAAAAAACCCTCAACAAACTAGGCATAGAAGGAACATACCTGAAAAAAATAAAGGCCATATACAACAAACCCATGTATCATACTGAATGGGGAAAAGCTGAAGGCCTTCCAACTAAGATCTAAAACAAGACAAAGATGCTCACTTTCACCATTGTTATTGAATATAGTACTGGAAGTCCTAGCCAGAGCAATCGGGCAAGAGAAAGAAATAAAACACATCCAAATCAAAAAAGAGGAAGTGAAAGTATCGCAGATTGCTGACGATATCATCTTATATCTAGAAAAACCTAAAGACTCCACCAAAAAACTCTTAGATTTGATAAAGTTTCAGGATACAAAAATTAACATATAAAACACAGTAGCATTTCTAAATACCAATAATGATCTCACTGAGAATGAAATCAAGAAGTCAATCCTATTTACCACACCTACCAGAAAATAAAATACCTAGGAATAAATTTAACCAAAGAGGTTAAAGATCTCTACAAGGAAAACTATAAAACACAGATGAAAGAAATTGAAGATGACAAAAACAAATGGAAAGATATCTCATGCTCATGGATCAGAAGAATTAATATTGTTAAAATGACCATACTGCCCAAAGCAATCTACAGGTTCAATGCAATCCCTACCAAAATACCAACATCATTTTTCACAGAATTAGAAAAAACAATCATAAAATTCATATAGAACCAAAAAAGAGTCCAAATAGCCAAAGCATTGGTCTTTTGCAGCAACATGGATAGAACTGAAGGTCATTATCTTAAGTGAAACAAACCAGACACAGAAAGAAAAATATCACATGTTGTCACTCACTCATTTTTTAGTGAATGCTAAAAAATGGTGTATACATAGATATAGAGAGCAGAGTGATAGACAATGGAGACTCAGAAGGGTGAGAGAGTGGGAGAGGGGTATATAATAAGAAATTACTTAATGGGTACAATGTATGTTATTTGGGTGACAGATTCTCTGAATCCCCTAACTTGACTACTATGCATGTAATAAATTTGCACTTGTATGCCATAAATTATATAAATAAATTTTTAGTGAAAAAACAAGAACAGCCACACTGGAAGACAGTCTGGTATGCTTTTACAAAGATAAATATGGTCTTAATTCAGCAATTGCAAGCCTGGGTATTTACTCAAATAAGTTCAAAACTAATGTCTACACAAAGTCTTCACACTAACATTTATAGCAGCCTTATTCATAATTGTCAAAATTTAGAAGCAAACAAGATGCATCTTTCAATAGGTTAATGGATAAACTGTGGAATATCCATACAATGGAATAGCTTCCAGGAAACAAGCTTTCAAGCCATGAAAAGAAATGGAGAGACCTTAACATATATTGCTTCTTGAAAGAAGCCAGTCTGAAATGTCTACATATGCTAGGATTCCTAGTAAATATCATTCTGGGAAGGGTAAAACTATGGTGGTAGTAGAAAGATCAATGGTTGCCATAATTTGGGAGGAAAAGAGGGAATAAGGGAAGAGGAAGAGAGTATTGGTCCATTTTCACACTGCTGTAAAGAACTACCAGAAACTGAGTAATTTATAAAGAAAAGAGGTTTAATTGACTCACAGTCCACATAGCTGGGAGGCCTCAGGAAACTTACAATCATGGCAGAAGGCAAAGGAAGAGCAAGCACCTTCTTCACAAGATGGCAGGCAGGGCAGGGGAACTGCCACACACTTATAAACCATCAGATCTTGTAAGAACTCACTCACTATCATGAGAGCAGCATGAGGGAAACCACTCTCATGATCCAATCACTTCTCACCAGGTCCCTCCCCTGACACATGGCAATTATAATTCAATATGAGACTTGAGTGGGGACACAGAGCTAAACCATATCATTCTGCCACAGCCCTTCCCAAATCTCATTTCCTTATCACACTGCAACACATTTGCAAAATTCCATCTCAACAGTCCCCAAATGTCTTAACTAATTCCAGCATTAAGTCAAAAGTCCAACTCCAAAGTCTCATCTGAGACAAGGCAAGTCCCATTTTGCCTATGAGCCTGTAAAATCAAGTTAGTTACTTCCTATATACAATGGGGGTACAGGCATTGTGTAAATACACACGTTCCAAATGGGGGAAATTGGCCAAAATCAAAGGGCCTCAGGCCCCATGCAAGTCCAAAATACAATGGGGAAGTCATTAAAGCTTAAAGTTCCAAAATAATCTTCTTTCAATCCATGCCTCACATCCAGAGCACACTGATGGAAGGGGTGGGTTCCCAAGGCCTTGCGTAGCTCTACCCTTGTGGCTCTTCAGGGTATAGCCCCCGTCGCTGGTTTCAGGGGATGGCATTGAGAGCCTGCAGCTTTTCCAGGTGCTCGGTACAAACTGTCAGTCTAGAGGTATGGAGGATAGTGGCCATCTTCTCACAGCTTCACTAGGCACTGCCCCAATGGGGACTCTGTGTGAGTCTCCAACCCCACATTTCCCCTCTACACTGCCCTAGTAGAGGTTACCCATGAGGGCTCTGGCCCTGCAGCAGACTTCTGCCTGGACGTTCAGGCATTACCATACAGCTTCTGAAATCCAGGCAGAGGTTCCCAAACCTCCACTCTTGTCTTCTAAGCACCCACAGGCCCAACACCATGTGGAGGCCACCAAAGCTTGAGGCTTGCACCCTCTGAGGCAACATTATGAGCTGTGCCTTGGCCCCTTTTAGCCACAGCTGAAGCTGGAGTGGCTGGGACACAGGGAACCATGTCATGAGGCTGCACAGAGCAGTAGGGCCCTGGGCCCAGCCCATGAAACCATTTTTCCCTCCTAGGCCTCCAGGCCTGTGATGGGAAGGGCTGTCATGAAGATCTCTGAAATGCCCTGAAGACATTTTCCCCATTCTTTTGGCAATTAACATTTGGCTCCTTTTTACTTATGCAAATTTCTGCAGCGGGCTTGAATTACTTCCCAGTAAATGGGTTTTTCTTTTCCACCATATAGGCTGCAGATTTTCCAAACTTTTATGCTTTTCTTCCTTTTTAAACATAAGTTCCAATGTCAGACCATCTCTTTGTGAATGCATATGACTGAACACTTTCAGAAACAGCCAGGTCACATCTTGAATGCTTTGCTACTTAGAAATTTCTTCTGCCAGATACCCTAAATCATGTCTCTTAAGTTCAAAGTTCCACAGATCTCTAGGGCAGGAGCAAAATGCCATCAGTCTCCTTGCTAAAGCATAGCAAGAGTGACCTTTACTTCAGTTCCCAGTAAGTTCCTCATCTCCATCTGAGACCACCTCAGCCTGGATTTCGTTGTTCATATCACTATCACATTTTGGTCATAACTATTCAACAAGTTTCTAGAGAGTTCCAAACTTTCCCATATATTCCTGTCTTCTTCTGAGCCCTCCAAACCGTTCCAACCTCTGCCCATTACCCAGTTCCAAAGTTGCTTCCATATTTTCAAGTTTCCTTATAGCAATGCCCCACTTCTTTAGTACCAATTTTCTGTATTAGTCCATTCTCACACTGCTATATAAAACCACCTGAGACTGGGTAATTTATAAAGAAAAGAGGTTTAATTGACACACAATTCTACATGGCTGGGGAGGCCTTAGGAAACCAATCATGGTGGAAGGTGAAGAAGAAGCAAGCACCTTCTTCACAAGGCAGAGGGCAGGAGGAGAATGCTACACACTTATAAACCATCAGATCTCATAAGAACTCACTATCATGGGAACAACATCGGGGAAACCACCCTCATGATCCAATCACCTCCTACCAGGTCCCTCCCCTGACACATAGTGGTTACAATTCAATATGAGATTTGGGTGGGGACCCAGAGCTAAACCATATCAAAGAGTGATTAATACATGGATCACAGAATTTTCAGGGCAGTTACACTCTTCTATGTGATACTGTGATGATGCATACATGACACATGCATTTGTCAAAACACATACAACTATACAACACAAAGACTGAATCCTAATGTACAGACTTTAATAATAAAGTATAGCTTCATCAATTTTCATCATCATCAAGTGTACCATATATTGGTTCATTAATTGTAAAAAATACATTACAAAAATGTAAGATGCTAAAAATAGGAAAACTATGAGCTGGAGAAAAGGAGTATGGGGTACCTGTACTATCTGCTCAATTTTTTTGTAAACCTAAAACTTCTGAAAAATAACATATGAAATAAAAAGTCAGCTGGGCATGGTGGCTCACGCCTGTAATCCCAGCACTTTGGGAGGCCGAGGCAGGTGAATCACAAGGTCAAGAAATCGAGACCATCCTGGCCAACATGGTGAAACCCTGTCTCTATTAAAAATACAAAAAATTAGCCAGGCATAGTGGCAAGCACCTATAATCCCAGCTACTTGGGAGGCTGAGGCAGGAAAATCACTTGAACCTGGGAGGCGGAGGTTGCAGTGAGCCGAGATCACGCCATTGCACTTCAGCCTGGGCAAAAAGAGCAAAACTCTGTCTCACAAAAAAAAATGCAAAAAAAAATGAAATAAAAAGGCAAATAAACTACCAAAAAGGGACAGAAAAATATACTAAAACATCAGTATTAATAACAAGAATAATTTAATGATTTAAATAATATCAAGACATTACTAATCTACACATTTTTCATGCTTCTTTATGTTCGTTCCCCTCCAAATAAAAGATTATTTAGTTAAATTACAAAGTAATATTAGAAGCTCCCTCAGGGAATTTAATTAAATGTGCATTCATAAACTATTTTCTGGATGATTTCATGTATTTATTTAGTAAACACCACTTAAAATTATAATTATTATTCTAATTTAATGGAGTTAAATAAAGAATAATAAATCTTGCTGGGAACAGGCCCCCAAATCTGGCCATGAACTGGCCCCAAAACTGGCCATAAACAAAATCTCTGCAGCACTGTGACATGTTTGTGATGGCATTGACGCCCACACTGGAAGGTTGTGGGTTTACCGGAATGAGGGCAAGGAACACCTGGCCCACCCAGGGCAGACAACCGCTTAAAGGTGTTCCTGAACCACAAACAATAGCATGAGCGATCTGTGCCTGAAGGAGATGCTCCTATCGCAGGTAACTAGCCAGACCCACCCCTTTATTTCAGCCCATCCCTTTGTTTCCCATAAGGAATACTTTTAGTTAATCTATAATCTATAGAAACAATGCTTATCACTGGCTTGCTGTCAGTAAATATGCAGGTAAATCTCTGTTCAAGACTCTCAGCTCTGAAGGCTGTGAGACCCCTGATTTCCCACTCCACACTCTATATTTCTGTGTGTGTGTCTTTAATTCCTCTAGCGCCGCTGGGTTAGGGTCTCCACAACTGAGCTGGTCTCAGCAAAATCTAATTCTTAGGTGTTTCAGATTTAAAATCAGTATAAACATCCTAAGCATTGGGTAAATACAATAACAGTGCCAAAAAAAAAAAAAAACTCAACCTTGGAAAGAAAAATGGGAAATAACATAAAACTATTTGTATCTTAATTTCTTGAACTATCTCACACTAACAGCATCTCATATTTTCCATCAAAAAAGTGAAGATTAACTTTTATATAGCTATAATTAATAAAATTTAAACTGATTTAAAATGTTTATCTTGTGATATACAATAAAGGAGCTTTTTAAACATTAAAAATCAATTAACATGTATACTAGGGCAACTAGAAAAATAAAATATGACTAATAATGAACAAATAATTGAGAAATACATGCAAAACTGGTATTTTAACTGAGTTCCAGCAAAAAATTAAATAAATAAAAATTCCACCTAAAAATCGGGGGAAAAAAAAACAGCTGGGTGCAGTCGGTGGCTCATGCCTGTAATCCCAACACTTTGGGAGGCCCAGGTGGGAGGATCATTTGAGCCCAGGTGTTCCAGACCAGCCTGGGCAATATGGCGAAACCCTATCTCTACAAAAAAATACAAAAAGTAGCTGGGCATGGTGCATGCCTGTAGTTCCAGCTACTCGGGAGGCTAAGAGGTGGGAGGATGGTTTGAGCCCAGGAGGTTGAGGCTGCAGTGAGCCATGATCATGCCACTGCACTCATGCCTGGGTGACAGTGAGACCCTGTCTTTTTCAAAAAATAAAAATAAATAAAAATCGGAAAACTGCTCACTTATTCCTCCGTGGGAGATTCACTTCACAACAATTTCAAAGCCTACCTTCTTAGGCAACAAACAGCACTTGGGAAAAGACAATTATAAAAATGGTTCACCTTTTCCACATAAAAAAGGACATTAAAATGTGTATTTATCTTCCTGTTGTAGGCTGAATGGTGGCCCTCAAAGATATCAGACCCTAATTCTGGAATCTGTGAGTGTTATCTTATATGCTAAAGGTTTTACAGATGTAATTAAGAGTCTTGTGATGAGATTAGCCTGCATCATCCATGTGGACCCTAAATGCCATCACAGGTATCCTTATAAGAGGAAAGCAGAGGGTAAACCAGACAGACTGAAGAGGGGGCCATGTGGAGAAGGAGGCAGCCACTGGAATAATTGTGCCACACAATGCCAGTAGCCATCAGAAGCTGGAAGAAGCAAGGAATGGATTCTCCCCTAGAGCCTCCCCATAGGGAGTGCGGCCCTGCCAAAACCTTGATTTTAGCTCAATTAAATTTGTTTCTAACTTTCAGTCTCCAAACCTGTGAGAGACTAATTTTCTTTTTTTTAAACTATTAAGTTTGTGATAATTTGTTATGGCAGGCACAAGAAACTAATATATACCATAATGATAGTTTATTGGAATTAATAAGAGAATGATTGTAAATATTTTTTAATTACATAGCTGTGTATTTTTTTCTTGTGCAGTATCGATATCTCAGTTAATTAGCATCCAAAGGGATAAGCACCTTTATAACCACTAAGCTGTTTTTCTTGTCTCATTTTTAATCATAAAATCCAGTATTGGCAGTAAATCAACAGTAGACAGATTGCTGTGTCCTGTTTCCTGCCTTCCTTCAAGACATTCCTTGTAAAACTGCTGGCAGTCTATTAGAGATCTTGGTCAATAATCTTAAGTAACCCAATCTAAATTATGTTCTGTATCACTCTTGAGCTTCAGAGGTCAAGGAAGCTAGAGAAGAAGGAGAGGAGTCAGATGGAATGGAAATCTGCTGTCTCCCAAGCTGCACCCACAGAGCCACAGATTGGTCTATCTGCGGCCCATTGAAATTCCTGGCCCACTGGCTACCATTTCTGCCAAATATACAAAATGACTTTCAGAAATTATACTATTATACTATACTAATTATAGTCTTAGTCTTATCTTATTCAGTGTATAAACGGGTAGAGAGAGTTTTTTGCACAAATTGTTAAACTTAAGTTTAAGTGCTGTTTAATAATATAGATTACCATAGTCTCTCCTTTTAAAAAAATCCTAGGTAATATTTGAAAGCCTGACACACTTTTATCTCTGGCCCTAAAAATGCCATCACGTGTATCCTTATAAGAGGAAAGCAGAGGGAAATTAAACAGACACATTAAGGAGAGGGCCATGTGATTTTTACCTCTGATAAAATTCCTAATAATGAAGTGTGCTGTTTGAACACATCTTCATCATTAGAGTAATCACCATAGAATTGTCTGCTTGAAGGAACATGGGAGTTAATGGAGAAATAACTTGAAATCAGAACTCTAAATTCACATCAAGAATAACCTAAGTGGAATTGAGGCAAATATTATACACATACACCCTATATGCTAGATCACAGTACTGTGCACTTTGCATAGATTATTTCTAATCCTTTTAACAATTTTGTAAGCTAGTTACTGTTTCTCATTTAACATACTGATATGGTCTGGCTGTGTCCTCACCAAAATCTCATCTTGAATTCCCACGTGTTGTGGGAGGGACCTGGTGGGAGTTAATTGAATCACAGGGGCAAGTCTTTCCCATGCTTTTCTCATGATAGTGAATAAGTCTCACAAGATCTGATGGTTTTAAAAAGGGGAGGTTCCCTGCACAAGCTCTATTCTCTTGTCTGCCACTATGTGAGATGTGCCTTTTACCTTCCACCATGACTGTGAGGTTTCCCCAGCCACATGGAACTGTAAGTCCAATAAACCTCTTTCTTTTGTAAATTGCCCAGTCTTGGGTATGTCTTTATCTGTAGCATGAAAATGAACTAATACAGTAAATTGGTACCAGTAGAGTGGGGCACTGCTGAAAAGATACCCAAAAATGTGGAAGTGACTTTGGAACTGGGTAATAGGCAGAAGTTGGAACAGTTCAGAGGGCTCAGAAGAAGGCAGGAAAATGTGGGAAAGTTTGGAACTCCCTAGAAACCTGTTGAATGGTTTTGACCAAAATGCTAATAATGATATGGACAATGAAACCCAGGCTGAGGTGATCTCAGATGGAGATGAGGAACTTGTTGGGAACTGGAGCAAAGGTGACACTCTTGTTTTGTTTTAGCAAAGAGACTGGTGGCATTTTGCCCCTGCCCTAGAGATCTGTGGAACTTTGAACTTGAGAGAGATGATTTAGAGTATCTGGTGGAAGAAATTTCTAGGCAGCAAAGCATTCAAGAGGTGACTTAGGTGCCGTTAAAAGCACTCAGTTTTAAAAGGGAAACAGCATAAAAGTTTGGAAAATTTGCACCCTGACAATGTGATAGAAAAGAAAATCCCATTTTCTGAGGAGAAATACAAGCTGGCTACAGAAATTTGCATAAGTATCCAGGACCCGAATGTTAATCCCCAAGAAAATGGGGAAAATGTCTCCAGGGCATGTCAGAGGTCTTCACAGCAGCCCCTCCCATCACAGGACTGAAGGCCTAGGATGAAAAAATGGTTTCGTGGGCCAGTCCCAGGGCCCCTGTGTGGTGTGCAGGCTAGGGACTTGTTGCCCTGTGTCCCAGCCACTCCAGGCATGACTATAAGGGGCCAAGGTACAGCTTGGGCCGTGGCTTCAGAGGGTGCAAGCCCCAAGCCTTGGCAGCTTCCATGTGGTGCTGAGCCTGCAGGTGCACAGAAGTCAAGAATTGAGGTTTGGGAACCTCTGGCTAGATTTTAGAGAATGTATGGAAATGCCTGTATGTCCAGGCAGAACTTTGCTGCAGGGGCAGGGACCTCATGGACAACCTGTGCTAGGGCAGTGCAGAAAGGAAATGTGGGGTCAGAGGCCCCACACAAAGTCCCCACTGGGGCACGGCCTAGTGGAGATGTGAGAAGAGGGCCACCATCCTCCAGACCCCACAATGGTAGATCCACCGACAGCTTGCACCATGCACCTGGAAAGGCCACAGACACTCAGTGCCAGCTTATGAAAGCAGCCAGGAGGGAGGCTGTACCCTGCTAAGCCACAAAGGCGGAGCTGCTCAAGACCATAGGAACCTACCTCTTGCATCAGCGTGACCTGGATGTGAGACATGGAGTCAAAGGAGATCATTCTGGAGCTTTAAGATTTGACTCCCCCACTGGATTTCAAACTTGCACAAGGCCTGTAACCCCTTAGTTTTGGCCAAATTCTCCCATTTGGAATGGCTGTATTTACCCGATGCCTGTATCCCCATTGTATCTAGGAAGTAACTAACTTGCTTTTCATTTTACAGGCTCATAGCCGAAAGGGTCTTGCCTTGTCTCAGGTGAGACTTTGGACTGTGGACTTTTGAGTTAATGCTGAAATGAGTTAAGACTTTGTGTGACTGTTGGGAAGGTATGATTGGTTTTGAAATGTGAGGACATGAGATTTGGGAGGAGTCAAGGGCAGAATTATATGGTTTGGCCGTGTTCTCACTCAAATCTCATCTTGAATTCCCATGTGTTGTGGGAGGGAACTGGTGGGAAATAATTGAATCATAGGGGCAGGTATTTCCCGTGCTGTTCTCATGATAGTGAGTAAGTCTCATTAGATCTGCTGGTTTTAAAAAGGGGAGGTTCCCTGCACAAGCTCTCTTCTCTTGTCTGCCACCATGTGACAAGTGCCTTTCACCTTCTGCCATGATTGTGAAGCCTCCCCAGCCACGTGGAACTGTAAGTCCAACAAATTTCTTTCTTTTGTAAATTGCCCAGTCTCGGGTATGTCTTTATCAGCAGCGTGAAAACAGACTAATACACATATGAAGCAAAGATAGACTGAATGACATGCCTTCCCAAAGGTAAAAAAAATGAAAAGCTAGTAATAACTGACAGCACTGGGGTTCCAAACTCATGTGTCTTCAAAGCCTATGTTCTATGTGTGATTTTCCACTCCTTTAACACACTACTGTGGCCTTCTGTCCCACATCTCAAATATTCTGTCCCACTGCAACCACACACCAGGGTCAGAAGAATTCTAAATCTAACAACATCCACACACCCCCCCAAGATTGCTTCTTGCAATAGGAGGCAGAATGTAAATCTTACTTCTAGGTTCAATTTTTGTTTTAGAGAATAATGAACACCATTATAAAGCCCTCAGCTTTTCCCAATTTACCAATTCAAAATTGTTTCATCTGAGATGACACACAGCTTTCTTGGCCCCTTAAAGAGATGGGCTCTTATTACTTTTCAATATTTTTAACCAATTCAATAAACAAGGATTAAAGAAAATTAGTCAAACAAATTTTGTCTAAAGGAGGATAACATCTTATAGCCAAAAGCATTGTGCTGAGTACCTGTCAAGAACTCTGAAGGGTCGGATTTTGCCCTACTTGTAAGCCAGTATGTTAGCCTAACACTGTTGTATAGATGCTAGCAGAAGACATGAGACTCCCGTGTGAGAGACAGAGGCCTTTATTGCTCACAGCACAGCAAATGGCATGAACAGTATATTTGGGTCAGTTCCCCGTACTCCCCAAAATCTCATGGGGGCAACACTGATGGGCCCAGATGGATGCATGCACATGCAGTATTATCACATTATAGGAAAGGAACCTGAGCTGAGGGAACCCAAATCTTTTATCATAGTAAGCATGCCTGCCTTTTATTCTAAGGGAGACATTATCTTTATTTTATTCAACATTAAGCATGATTATCTTTTGCTTTGGAGAGAAATACTATCTAATTTGTCCAAGGATGCAAGCAAATCTGCCCTTTGCTTTGGTTTGTTTCTGTTTTCTTTGTTTGCTTTTTAAGACAGTATCTTGCTTTGTCGCCCAGGCTGGAGTGCAGTGGTGTGATCACAGCTCACGGCAGCCTTGACCTCCCAGGCTAAAGCAGTGCTATTGCCTCAGCCTCCTAAGTAGCTGGGACTACAAGCATGCACCACCAAGCTTGGCTATTTTTTTTAAGAGACAGGGTCTTGGGTGGGGGCAGTGGCTCATATCTACAATCCCAACACTTTGGGAGGCCGAGGAGGGTGGATTGCTTGAGTCTAGGAGCTTGAGACCAGCCTGGGCAACATGGCAAAACCCCATTTCTACAAAAAATACAAAAAAATAGCCGAGTGTAGTGGCATGGACCTATAGTCCCAGCTACTTCGGAGGCTGAGGCAGGAGGATCACCTGAGCCTGGGGAGGTTGAGGCTGTGGTGAGCCGATTGTGCCACTGCACTCCAGCCTGGGAGACAGAGCAAGACCTTGTCTCATAAAAAAAAAAAGGACAGGGTCTTGCTATGTTGCCCAGGCTGGTCTCAAACTCCTGGGCTCAAGCAATCCTCCTGCCTTGGCCTCCTAGAGTGTTGGGATTACAGGTGTGAGCCACTGCGTCCAGTCTGCACTTTGTTTTGAAGGCAAACAGTAGGTTTATCTTGCAAAGCTGTTCACTGTACCAACATCATTGAAAATAAAGTTCAGAACACAGGGCAGTTAGTGTCTCACTTGTAAGATGCGCAGAAACATGAAGCCATGGTGAACTGTCTTTGAACAGTACCATTCCTTTTCCAGCAGGGCTTAGAAGTTGCAGCCTAACCACGGAAAACATACAAGGTAAAATATTCAAATATCTTAATATCAAATTATCTGTCGTCCTGCATTTCCAGAGTCTGTGATAGAGGCAAGCAAATTCTGATCCTCACCTTCCAAGCCTCATTCTCCATATTTGCCAGGTAGCATCCTGACTTGACTCACAGCCTTTATCATCCATTTGACAAAATTCCATTAAACATTAACTATAAACTAAGCATGAGATGTTAGGGTAAATCAAAAGCTCAACCAGACACCAACTCTAGGTAATATCAATTCTTATTCCACTCCAACACCAAATAATACCTGCTTAGATAGTAACACTTCAGTGAAAGAATGCAAAAAGAATCACCTCCATTTAGTTCTACTAAAATTGTAGTTTCTATAATATAAAGCTCTTGGGGCTAGACCAATACAGCATCATCCTTGGGGTATGTCTCAAAGTTCACAGAAGTCTTACTGACTAAAAAAGAGGGGAGATGAACACTAGACTTGATCTGAACTGCATTTCTGAATCTACTACTACCTATTAAATAGTGCCAAAATCACTTAATTCCTATTTCAGAGCTATTGGTAATGACTAAATATTCTGCAACAACCTAAAATCCCTAGAAGAAATAATCAATAGAAATGAAGGGAAAATTGTCAACTTGTACATAATGATAGGTAATGTTCATAAAGATAGAAAATAAAATGATGGAAATTAGACCATTATATTCATTTCTTGTAACATAAAAAATATATAGCAGAAATATGTCTTCAGGAGAGTGCATAAAATCAGCCAACTCAGATACTTATTTCCTAACATGAAAATGAAAAAATTAAATGTTCTCTGTTCTTTGGTAACTATTATTACTCAAATTTGAGCACAATTACAGTATGTAAAATCTGATTAATATGTTCTCAAATGTTAGCAATTCCTCATCTATTTTTCTATCTAAAAGAACTGTTAAGACTAGAAACAAAAGCAGCAAGAAAACAGAAGGCACCACAGCTGTCTGTCGGATGCAAGGATGGAAAGTGTCTTTGAAGTATTAGAGACTGATACTGGATGGAGCCTGATGGGAAATGACAACCCCATGGCTCTGGCATCTGCCTCAACAGATGCCCTCTGCAAAGACAGGTGATTTCTTGATTCAGTATTCCCTAGAAGGGTGTTGTGCAGGACAAAATAATGAACAGTCTATAACACTGAGACCTTGTTGAACAAGTAAGATGTATGGATTACAGAATTTCTAAGCTACTCCATGATGAATTAAAATTTTAACCATAAGTGCAGCAGAGAGAAAAAAACAACTTGTAGACATTGGAAAAAATGAAGGAAAAAAATGCTTCAAAGTTAACAATTATGATAAACAATAACAAGGAGATCTCACCGACCTGAAGCAACCAGTAATGAAAGGCTCATTTTCAGCACAGGAACCTTGAGAAGCAAAGGTGCAAACAAAAACAGATATTGCAAGGGGAAACCACAGCTGCTAACCAGAGGGCAGATACGTGCATGCTCAGTAAGGAAAGGACTGTGAGTCTCGCAACAATTAAGCCACATGGAAAGACAAGACCTTATTTAAAAGAAGAGGGAGGGGCAGCTCTATGCAGTTATCTGTAGGAAATTCTAGTAAGTTTTTCAGTTTCACCAAGAAATAATGACTAATGAATCACTGTAACAGCATTCAAACATCAAAGAGATATTTAAGAATGGCACTATACTTCAACCATTATAAAATGTATTATAAATTTGTCATTTCAAATCAATGTAGTATTACTTATTAAATGGCTATTGAATAACTATATTTTCAAGACAAATACTATTGCTTTATCACATAACTTTTACTAAAATAAAATCCAGATGGAAGAAAAAGATAAACATGAAAATGAAGCTTTAAGAAAAACATTATAGTGACTAGTCACCTAATATTAGAATGGGGAAGGAGTTTCAAAGTGTTAATATAAAGAAAGAATTCACACATGAAAGATTTCTAGGTTAAGTTACATAAAAAGAAGGAAAAACTTCAGTCTATCAAAAAGCAAAAAGATACCAACAACTCATAGATAAAACCTGGGCCAAGGACATAAACAGTTTCAAAATGAAAACTATCAACGACCAAGACGCATATGAAAATATCTTCAACCTCACTGTAATCAAAATAAACGTAAAAATTATGATAACATAATTTGGCCAGGTGCAGTGGCTCACGTCTGTATTCTCAGCACTTTGGGAGGTCAATGCCGGAGGATCACTTGAGGTCAGGAGTTCAAGACCACACTAGCCAACGTGATGAAACCCCGTCTCTACTAAAAATACAAAAAATAAAAATAAAAAATTAGCCAAGTGAGGTGCCGTGTGCCTGTAGTCCCAGCTACCCAGGAGGCTAAGGCAGGAGAATCACTTGAACCCAGGAGACAGAGGTTGTAGTGAGCCAAGATCGCACCACAAAACTCTAGCCTGGGTGACATGGGTGACAGAGCAAGACTCCATCTCAAAAAAAAAAAAAAAAAAAAAACATAATTCATTAATCAAATTTAAAGGTTTTAAAACTATCACTTGGTGTTGGCAAGGCTATTTTGAATTAGGCACTTCCATACATCATTGGTGGGAATACAAAATGAGGTAACTTCTCTGAAGTGCAATTTGGCAAAGTGAATCAAGGTCCTTAAAACTGTTCATAATAATTGATCCAATAATTCAATTAATAGCAATTTTTGATTGAAACCTAATAGAGATATGTAAAAAATATGCATATTTCAGGATTATTTAAAATAGTAAAAATTAGAAACAACTTAAATGTCCAACAATAAGATAAAGGCTAAACAAATTTTTATATCTTTAACATGGAATATCCTGTAGCCTTTAAAAATCATATTATAGACTCGATTCCTTAGTATGGAAATATGCTCACAGTATAATAACTAGAGTATTTAAAATGTAAAACTATATACACCAAGTGCAGCAATAGTTTTCTTTAAAGACCATACATAAATTTATAAAGACCTACAGGTATGTGCAAGATGATGAGTGTTGGGAATATAAAGGAAATATACCAAAATATTAATGTTTATTCAAGGTTGCTGGAATGAGAAGCAATTTGTATTTTTTTCCCTATGCTTCTATTTTCCAAATGTTCTACAATAAGCAAGCACCGCTTTTGTTGTATGCATACAAATGGCCAAGAAGCATATGAAAAAATGAAAAATATGAAATGAAGAAATACTCAACATCACTAAGCATCAGAGAAATGCAAATTAAAACAGACAAAATTTTGAGACAGCCAATGTACCACCCTACACCAGTCAGAATGGCTATTACTAAAAAGTCAAAAAATAACAGTTGGTGAGGATATGGAGAAAGGAGAACGCTTATATATTGTTAGTGAGAATGTAAATTAGTACAACCCCTGGGGAAAACAGTATGACGATTTGTCAAAGAACTAAAAATAGAACTACCATTCCATCTGGCAATCCCACTATTAGGTATCTACCCAAAAGAAAAGAAATCATCCTCTTTTTCCAGCTGGAACCATGGAGGGTGTAGAAGAGAAGATGAAGAAGGTTCCTGCTGTGCCAGAAACCCTTAAGAAAAAGTAAAGGAATTTTACAGAACTGAAGATCAAGTGCCTGAGAAAGAAGTTTGCCCAAAACATACTTCAAAAGGCAAGGAGGAAGGTTATCTATGAAAAAGCGAAGCACTATCACAACGAATATAGGCAGATGTACAGAACTGAATTTCGAATGGCGAGGATGGCAAGAAAACCTGGCAACTTCTATGTACCTGCAGAACCCTGAGACTCAGAAATGTAGGAAGGTAGGAGCGGGTTGAGGGGTGAGAAACTACCTAATGGGTATAATGTACGCTATTCGAGTGATGGTTACACTAATAGTCTAGACTTCATCACTATGTAATATATCCATGTAACAAAACTACACTTGTACCCCCAAACTCATAACAATTTTTTTATTATACTTTAAGTTCTGGGATACATGGGCAGAACGTGCAGGTTTGTTACATAGGTATACAAGTGCCATGGTGGTTTGCAGCACCCATCAACCCATCATCTACATTAGGTATTTCTCCTAATGCTATCCCTCCCCTGGCCTCCCACCCCACAACAGGCCCCAGTGTGTGATGTTCCCCTCCCTGTGTCCATGTGTTCTCATTGTTCAACTCCCACTTATGAGTGGGAACGTGCAGTGTTTGGTTTTCTGTTCCTGTGTTACTTTGCTGAGAATGATGGTTTCCAGCTTCATCCATGTTCCTGCAAAGGACATGAACTCATCCTTTTTTATGGCTATATAGTATTCCATGGTATATATGTGCCACATTTTCTTTATCCAATCTATCACTGATGGACATTTGGATTGGTTCCAAGTCTTTGCTATTGTGAACAGTGCTGCAATAAACGTACGTGTGCATGTCTCTTTATAGTAGAATGATTTATAATGCTTCGGTTATATACCCAGTAATGGGATTGCTGGGTCAAATGGTATTTCTGGTTCTAGATCCTTGAGGAATTGCCACACTGTCTTCCACAATGGTTGAACTAATTTACACTCCCACCAACAGTGTAAAAGTGTTCCTATTTCTCCACATCCTCTCCAGCATCTGCTGTTTCCTGACTTTTTAATGATCACCATTCTAACTGGCATGAAATGGTATCTCATTGTGGTTTTGATTTGCATTTCTCTAATGACCTGTGATGATGAACTTTTTTTCTTATGTTTGTTGGCTGCATAAATGTCTTCTTTTGAGAAGTGTCTGTTCATATCCTTCGCTCAGTTTTTGATGGGGTTGCAGTGAGCCAAGATTGGACCACTGCACTCCAGCCTGGGCAACAGAGGGAGCCCCCGTCTCAAAGAATAAAAAAGTTAATTAATTAATTAATTCAACAAAATCATGCTTTCATGTAACATTTTTTAAACCAAAAAAAACCCCTAATATCTGAATTGTTATGATTATTCTGATTAATGAAGTAACCAATGGCAAAACATGTATCTTAACCATGTCTAGTACATCAGAATTGATGATGTTCAATTAGTTTTGAGGCAGGAGTATAGGATCTGGAGGCAGGGCCGTTTCACGCTGACTTCCTAGAACTAAACTGAAAGGAAAACCCTAACTTTCCACACCTAAGTAACAAAAGGACCAGAGACTAGCCCCTTGGCAAACCCCCACTATTTCTGCATGGCAGATGGGAAATAGAAAGTACCTCTGATTGGTTGCTTTCTGTAACCAATCAGACTTTTGCATAGGCGTATAACTTTGTAACTTCAGCCTCTGATTGTTTGTTTTTTGCAACCAATCAGACTGATTGCACGCCAAGTCTTCGTTAACATAGCAGTGCAGCTTTGTAACTTCACTTTAGGCTCTGTTTCATCGCTTTCTGCAACCAATCAGATTGATTGCAGGCCATCACTTCATTTATATGAGGTAAACACAAAGTGGCCAATGGGAATCCTCTAGCAGGGTATTTGGACCCAAGAACATTCTGTATCGGGGCTGTGAGAGGCTGCTCGGCCTGCTGCCACCCTGTAGAGTGTACTTTCCCTTTCGATAAATCTCAGCTTTTGCTGCTTCATTCTTTCCTTGCTTTGTGCATTTTGTCCAATTCTTTGTTCAAAACACCAAGAACCTGGACACCCTCCACTGGCAACAGTTTGACTTTGATCTTTCTGCCTAGGTCAAGGTCAACCAGCCACTGAAAATCAGGTAGATCTGTGTATACAATATACATTTTATTTGCATGTTAAGATACCTTAGTACCTTTCTACTGCATGAGAAAGGAAAGTCTAATATAATACGAGAAAGGTCTGCATCCAACTGACTCTCCAGGACAACTTAAGCAGGCTTCAGATTGCAAAACAAAAGTAGTCCTTGAGAAGAGAGGAAGAAAAAAGAAAACCAAGTGCAGGCCACTGTACTAAACAAAACTAATTGCTTTATCTTTGATTTATTCAGATTAAGACTAATTTTATAGCTGCATGCTGTACCCCCTAAAATAATACTGTATTTACAGAGCAAGGACCATCCTTACCTGAGCTATTTGATAGCAAAGCACTAACCACTGAATCCTGAAATTAAAAGCAATTTACAATAAATTGACCAATTAAAAAGTAATGACAAATTCCACAAACTGGAAAAAAAAAAAATCCCATTTGTTTACATTAAGTGGTCAAGCAGCCCCTACACATCAGCACGGCGGCAGCTGCCAGTAAGACAAGACCAAATGGATTCAGATGGTTTATTACTAACACAGGCAGAGAAGGCATGATCAGTATGGTATCAGCTCCCCATGTCCCTAGTCCTACAAGAGAAACCCAAACTGGAGGGACTAAATGAAAGACAACACACACAGTGGGTTGCTCTGTTGTTGAGGAGTCAATTCTAGACTGCAGCTATGTCATTTTATAGTCACAACTGTGCCTGAAGGAAACTCCCATGCCTTACCAAAATGAAAATAGGAGATAATAAGCTGCCTTGAGGCCGCCTCCTGTAAGATACAGAGGTGGATAGGAAATGGCCTTGTGACAGCTCCTCACAAGTCTATCTTACCATGTATCAAGGAGGATCACAGAGTATTCCCCCAAGACTTGAGACAGATTGTGGTTGAGCCTTGCCTATGTGGCCTATGTGGGTACATGCAAGATCACCAAGGCACCATGGCAGAGGCATTGTCCTACACACAAATAGTATAGGAAGTCAGTATATAAAATTGTCACACTCTTTCCCATAAAGTTTAAAAATTTGAGAAGCATCTATTATAAACTATTTCAGAGAGTCATAGCATTGAACCAAACACTGTCGAGAATTTATATAGAGAATGCATTATCTGTCCTAAAGAAGTTTAAATTTCTCTGGGGAGAAAGCAATGTAAAGCCAGGAGCACAATTACACCTGGTTGTTTATTAATATTAAACAGTAACTTAAACATCTAATGATAGAGGAATGGTTAAATAAGTTATGGTGCATCCATACATTTTTCTTCAGTGGAATGGTGGCATAAGGAAAACTTTCTGAAAGAACAATGTAGAAGAAGAGTATACAATAGACTACAATGGAAAGATGTTTAAGGCAACAATATTATATTGATAAATGTGAGAAAGTTTAGTCATTCATTAAGTGATGAGGCTTTTTGCAAGAGAAGAAGCAGTGAATACAGAGAGCTGTTGTGAGTGCCTTTAAGCTCTGATCCTACTAAGGATGATAAACTTCGTAACTGAAAGGTAGCAGATCCTGGGATCTTAACTTTGCACATGGCTAATGGAGGAGAGCAGACAGTAAGAGGACAAAGTAAGACCAAGACATGCTAAAACACAATTTTAAACAATTCAGAGCTATACTACCGAGAAAACTCCTAAACCTAATCATGAAATGTCCATTTATCTCTAAATTTTTCCTGGACTTCATCTACAAACGTGATTTTCAAAATAGAATTTGTTAAAAGAACATATTAATCCTCAAAACATTTTGTAATGTAGTATTTTCAATGTCAATCTTATTTAACATCATAAACAGTACTTTCAAATCAATTTTAATGAAGCGCTAACCTAAATATTTTTAAACGGCCAGCTACTCTAAAATAAAAACATATCTAGCGGCATAGTATAAGAATATATAAAAACCGGCCAGGCGCAGTGGCTCACGCCTGTAATCCCAGCACTTTGGGAGGCCGAGGCGGGTGGATCACGAGGTCAGGAGATCGAGACCATGGTGAAACCCTGTCTCTACTAAAAATACAAAAAAAATTAGCTGGGCGTGGTGGCGGGCACCTGTAGTCCCAGCTACTCGGGAGGCTGAGGCAGGAGAATGGCGTGAACCTGGGAGGCAGAGCTTGCAGTAAGCCGAGATCACGCCACTGCACTCCAGTCTGGGCAACAGAGCAAGACTCCATCTTAACAAAAAAAAAAAAAAAAAAAAAAAAAAAAAAAATATATATATATATATATATATATATATATATATAAACTACAGCAAATTTCCAAACTGTTAAAGTTTAATACTCATATATCTGCTTATGAAGCAATAACAAGATATGTCTTTTTTCTAATTTTTTTCATTTTTAAAAATAACAAAACAATAAAAACAAAAATCAGGAAAACAATGAGGGGTTCAGATATACACCCTGAAGAACAGGGTATATATTTATGAAGTAGTGGAAAACACAGAGGAAAACCAAAGGGACAAATTGTGCAGGGACTCAAAAAGGCACCCATGGGAAGAAGCAGGCTTAATTGAACAAAATATGCTAAACAACTACTATGTACCACACACTGTACTACTAGCTACTGGAGTGGCAACAAAGTCACTATACTCAAATAACTCTAAAACCAATAAAAAGGGAAATGCAAACAAATAACCCATATTTCTTTAATTCAACAATGCATATTTTCTTCTAATGCTAACATTTTTGAAATCTATGTATGCATTTACTGAAGTGGTGTTTATTTGTCAGAAAAGTTATTAAATTGATGGTGCATACTAGGGTGAAGGAAATATATTCACTGCAATACAAAATCACAGCGGCTATAATAGAGGTATAGAGTAATCACTGTTATGTAGAAGATGAGGGGAAAGGGAAAAGATAAAGGCCTGATCTGGGATACAAAGAATCAATAGGAGTTCACAAGGTGGAAAGCCAAAGAAGGATATTAACAGGAAAAAAAAAAAAAAAGAAAAACCCTGAGGCATCGAACAGCATGATACTTTCAACGAGCAGCACATATTATAGTTTGATAGGCTGGAATGTAGAGGTCCGAGGCAGTATGAGACTAAACTGAAGTGCAGGTAGGTCAGGAATGCAAAGTGGGGTCATCTTATATTCAAAAACCAAACAATATTATATACCATGTTAATACAACAAAGGACAAAAACCATATGATTAACTCGATAGAACAGAAAAAGCCTTTGACAAAATTCAACACCCTTTCATGATAAAAACATTTGAAAAGCCAGGTATAGAAGGGAATTTCTTCCACCTGATAAAGACCATTTACCGAAAAAAACAGAGCTAACATTATATTTAATGGTTAAAGACTGAATATATTCCCCCTAAATTCAAGAACAAAACAAGAATGTCCACTTTCACAGCATCTGCTTAACATTATTGAAACTAGAAGTTCTAACGGGGACAATTAGGCAAGAAACAGAAATAAAAGGCTCCAGATTTGAAAAGAAGTAAAACTATCTCTATTTGCAGATGACATGACATAGAACACCCTAATGAATCCATTTAAAAGACTACTAGAAGAAACAAGTTCAGCAAGGTTGAAGGATAAATGATCACTTATAAAAATCAATTGTATTTCTACACACTAGCAATGAACAATCCAAAAACTAAATTTTTAAAATTCCAATTACAACAACATCAAAAACTAAAAATAGGAAACTACAAAATAATTGTTAAAAGACATTAAAGATATAAATAAATGAAAAGACATCCCCTATTCATGGATTGGACAACTTAATATTGATAAGATGGCAAAATTCCCCCAAATTGATGATTCAACACACTCCTTTTCAAAATCCCAACTTGCATTCTGCATTTTCCAAAGAAATTGTGTAGCTTATCCTGAAATTCATGCAAGGGTCCCAGAATAGCCCCAAAAATCTTGAAAAAAATGTCGGAAAATTCACACTTCCCAATTACCAAACTTACTGCACAGCTACAATAATCAATACAGTGTGGTATTGGGTTAAGAACAGAAATATAGATCAATGAAATACAATTGAGAGTTCAGAAATAAATCTTGACATTTATGGTCAACTGATTTTAAACAAGGGTCACAAGACAATCAGATGAAGAAAAAAATGACCTTTTCAAAAAATGGTGCTAGGACAACTAGATACCCACATGTAAAAGAATGAAGTTGGACCCTGATCTTACATGACACACAAAAATCAACTTAAATAAGCAGTAAAGCTAAATGTAAAAAAATGAAAGAGCTAAAACTATAAACTCAGAATACATAAGGATAAATCGTTCTGACCCTGGGTTAGGCAATGCTTCCTTAGACATGACACAAAAAGCACAAGCAACATAAGAAAATAGATAAAATAGGTGATATCAGTATGTTTTAATTTTGTGTTTCAGAGTAGATGAACCAACAGAATAGGAAAGAAATATTTGCAAGTGATATATCTGATAAAAAACTTGAATATAGAATTTTTTTTTTAAAAAAACCTCTTACAACTCAGTAATGAAAAGACACCCCAATTAGTAAATGGACAAAGGGTCCTAATAGACATTTTGCTTATGAAAATATACAAATAGTCAATAAGCACATGAAAAGATGTTCAACATCATTAGTCATGAGGAAAAGTCAAATCAAATCCACAATGAAATCCTGACTCACGCTGGGCACGGTGGCTCACGCTTGTAATCCCAACACTCTGGGAAGCTGAGGCAGGTGGATCACCTGAGATCAGGAGTTCAAGACCAGCCTGGCCAACATGGTGAAACCCCGTCTCTACTGGAAAAAAAAAAAAATACAAAAATTAGCCAGGCATGGTGGCACACGCCTGTAATCATAGCTACTCAGGAGGCTGAGGCAGGAGAATCGCTTGAGCCCAGGAGGCGGAGGTTGCAGTGAGCCGAGATTGCATCACTGCACTCCAGCCTGGGCGACAAGAACGAAACTCGGTCTCGAAAAAAAAAAAAGAAGAAGAAGAAGGAAAGAAATACTGCCTCATACCCACTAGGATGGCTATAAACAAAAAGATAAAAACAACTGCTGCTGAGAATGCAAAAAAAATTGGAATTCTCATAATACTGGTACATGCTACAACATAAATGAACTTTGAAAACATAGTAAGTTAAAGAAGCCAATCATAAAAGGTCACATCCTGAATTAAGTCATTTACATAAAATGTACAGATGGGGTAAATCTATAGAGACAGAAAATAGATGAATGGTTGCCTAGGGTTTGATTGGTTGGGGAGGAGGCAGGGAGAATGGAAAGGGATTTATTTGTACAGGATTTCTTTCAGGGGGAGATGAAAATATTCCAAAACTAAATTATAGTGATGGGTGCACAGCTAACAACCAATCAACAATATACTTTAAATTGGTCCACTTTTGGTCTGTGAACTCTCAATAAAATGTTAAAAAGAAAAGAAGTAGGCCAGGTGCAGTGGCTCACCCCTGTAATCCCAGCACTTTGGGAGGCCAAGGCAGGTGGGTCACCTGAGTCCAGAAGTTCAAGACCAGCCTGGGCAACATGATGAAACCCTGTCTCTACAAAAAAATACAAAAATTAGCTGTGCATGGTAGCACACCCCTGTGGTCCCAGCTACTCGGGAGGCTGAGGTAGGAGGATCACTTGAGCCTGGGAGGTTGAGGCTGCAGTGAGCCGTGATTGTGCCACTGTACTCCAGCCTTGGCAATACAGCGAGACTCTGTCAAAAAAAAAAAAAAAGAAAAAAGAAAGGGAGAAAAGAAGTAGATACAGAAGCCAAGGCCCTTGGTCCCTAAAGTTTCACAATTTCACTGAAAAATCACTGAAATGAGGCAGATTGATTAAAAGCAGAAAAGGCATACAAGTTTACTTAAAGTATATATATGGGAGCCTTCAGAATTAAGACCCAAAGGAGGAATTGCCTATTTTATGCTTAGGTTCAACAAAGTATGGACAGCCCAGCTGTGCAGAAATATGATTGGCCAAAAAGAATATATTCTAAAGCTGACAGACTGAGTGGGGAAACCTAGCAAGGCCTGTCTGCCTATTAAATAGATTCTTCTAGGCCTCTCTGAGCCTGTATTCCTTCCTTCTGACTGTGGGGCAGGGCCCTCTCTGGAATGGGGGTCTTAAGACCTACAGTCAAACAAGGTAGGTTAGATCATTTCTTTGTGTCCAGTTTTTACACAGAAAGGCAGAGGGGAAATTAGAGTAATATTTTTAGGTCTTATGGCTGGCTTTCAGGAAAAGGGGTTCTGGCTTCTGTGATCCTCCTTGGGGAAGAGGGATTCTAGTTTCTACGGCTAGCCTTGGAGGAGAATGGGACAGAGAGACAGGAGGGCAGGACAAAGTCAGTGCAAAACTTCTGCTTCTGAGGCTGCTGCTGAGGCCTTCATTTGGGGGTATTGTTTTCTGAGCCCCAACATAGGTAAGGATGGAT
Organism: Homo sapiens; assembly: GCF_000001405.40. NCBI lineage: Eukaryota > Metazoa > Chordata > Mammalia > Primates > Hominidae > Homo > Homo sapiens. The sequence continues at coordinate 115,225,397 of NC_000023.11, forward strand.
CTGAAAAAAGATAATCCATATGTAAAAACAGGAACATGGAACTCCACCTCGTGCTATACATAAAAATCGATTCCATATGAATTAAGAACTTTAATACCAAAAACAAAACTAAAACTCTTAGTAAAAAATGTAGATGAATATATTTTACATATTCTTAAACAGGACACAGAAATCATTGACTACAAAATTCAAGATTGATACATTTGGCTGTATTAAAATTTACAAATTTGTCCATCAAAACACCCCTCAAAGAGCAAAAAGGCAAGTTATAAACAAGATATTCAAAATATACAAAACAAATGATTAGTATAAGGAGTATTTTTTTAAACCCATAGAATTCTATTTTTTAAAAAAGGACAACCAACCAACAGAAAATGGGCAAAATAAATGAAAAGCTATTTCACAGTACAGGAAAGACATATGACCAACAGACATCTGAAGAAAGGTTAACATCATTCGTGATCAGGGGAATGTAAATCAAGAAAGACTTCATCGAAATACCTTTTTAAACACACTTGGTCAAAATTTTTAAATTTGACAGTACTGTTTTGGAGGGCACATAGATTCATAGGATCTCCTATACATGTCAATGGAAACAGAAATGATAAATCGGTTTGAACACTGACATACTATACAACCCAGCAATTCCATTTTCAAGTATATACACAAGAGAAATCCTTGCACAAGTACAAGAGACATGTATAATAATGATAGTAGTGCTATTCCCAAGAGAAAAAGGAGGAGGGGGGAATGAAAATGGCTATCAGTGAGAAAGTGAATAAAGATGGTATATTCACATGATGCAAGATAACACAGCCATCCAAAAGAATGAACCACAGTTTTACATAACAATTTGGATGAATCTTAGCAATTTAATTTTAACTAATAAAATATAAAAATTACCACAGTTAAATAAAACATAGTGTATGTATTACTTTTTTTAATGTTCAAAACAAGGAATAAGGAAATAAGATTTTGAAACGTACGGCTTGAAAACTGGCTACTGGCTTGAAGGTGTTTTAGTAACATTGTTTTAGTAACACATGACAATCAGATTTGCATATTAGAAAGAATGGTTTAGCTACAGTGTGGAGGACTAACTAATTTAAGTTGAAGAAAACTTGAGACAGAGAGATCATTTAGAAAACTACTGACAGGTCCAGTTAAAGGTAAGGAATAGAGGAGAATCTGAACAATGACATTGAGAATAGAAAGGAATGAAACTGATCTGAAAGCTATTCAAAGAGTTATGACCAACAGGCCTTAGTCCCTCACTAGATATAGAGGCTGAGGGAAAGGGAAGAGTGGAGAATAACTCCCAAGTTTTAGATCTGGGTGACAAGGGGGCCTAGGGTGAATAACGAGAGTTCATTATTTGACATATTGAGTTTGAGGAGACTCTGAGATATCAGCATTCATGTAGTTTCCTCCATCTAAGAATAACTATAAAATCTGATGCCTCCTCTCTAAAGGCCAATCCTCCAACTTCTTTATAAAGCCCCCCTCTGCTGTTCAAACGACCAAATCAAATGTTATCCCTCCCTCTTTGAACCTATGCTGCACTTTCCATTTATCTTACTCTAACCCAGGGTTTCTCAACCTTGGCACCATGGACATTTTAGACAAGTTAAGTCTTTGTTGTATGGGGCTGTCCTTTTCAATGTAGGATGCTTGGCAGCATCCCTTGCCTCTACCCACTAGATGTCAGTAGCAACCCCCAAATTGTGATAATCAAAAATGTCTTCAGCCAGGTGTGGTGCTGCAGGACTATAGTCCAAGCTACTCAGCAGGCTGAGACAGGAGGATCACTTGAGCCCCCGAGTTAGAGCCTGTGAACAGCCACTATATTCCAGCCCAGGCAACATAGCCAGGGCAACATAGCAAGGCCTTGTCTCTTAAAAAAAAAAAAAAAAGTCTCCAGATACTGTCAAATATCCTCTGGAGGCAACCTCTCCAACCCTACCCTTCCCCACAATGAGAACTACTGATCTAGGATATAATAGGTATATGAGTTCTTATTTTAAACCATTATGAAATCATTAACTCACTGAAAGCAGCAACTTTACAACCTTTACAAAATATCTATATGACAAATCCATTCTTACATACTCATTAAGGTAGTTTAAGGACACAGTCATCTATGTTTAATTTACTATTTCTAATTCACAAAAACCTTTAAATGTAATTATTTCCCATTGACATAGACATCCCCAACCAAGTAGCTCAAAATACTAAGGATTTACGTATTGCAATTATTTTTTTAAGAAGTGAAAAACTCTAGACTATACATACTAGATTCTCTTAGGAACATAATCATTAACAAAAAGCCATTTCTGAGTGAAATCCAAATTCACAAATGTTCTAGAATCAGTTCATCTCCATATGGTTCAAAGAAAAGTTTATGTCACAGTTATCTTATACCTGTCTCTTGTCACCTTGAATCTCTAATATTCTACTGAGACAAGTAATTAATCTAAAAATAAAGTGACAACATTCTCTGTCACAAATTAGAAAAGACTACACAGAATCAAGTGTTCCTGAAAAGGAAAGAACTTACTTTCCTATTTGGAAAAAACTTTTCCTCAAAGAATTTGATATAAAAAATACATTAGAAAATATCTACTGTTGAATTATCCATTACAGTCCATTGACAGGTATTCTGTTAATGGAATGCTATCTATTTACATGAAACAAGAGAAATGTAAAGATTAAACATTACAGTTTGACCTTTAGCAGATTGAGTGCACTAGCTGAAAGTGAGAGTAAACATAAACTTACATTGTTATTAAATTGGCTTATACAGTTTTCTTTAATTACATTAAATGGTTCCCTGGCGTGTAAGGTATTTTTTTTTCTGTAAATGAGAAGCAGACAACCCTTTCTGAAACTTTCCAGATAACTGATTATAAGAGTATTACAATGTTTTAAGAAGCACCCAAATACACTCAAAGTGTAGAGAAAAAAAGAAAACTAAAATATTTCCCTTTCTAGGTCATGATGATCACTAGCCTCTGCAGAATGGGGAGGTGTGTATCATGCAGTTAAGGCATCTCACAGAGTGGGCTGCTAGGCTGGGCTGGGAGAACAAGATGCCTCTTTTGCAAAGTTTCACTGTGTGCCTAGGAACTTAAACAAATGGCACCTCCCAGCAAATCAATTTTGTAAGTCTTCAATTATCTTTATTTGTAGTAAGTGTCCCTAGCATTACTTCTTATGTTCTCAGTGAGGTTCTGGATCTTGTCTACCTTCATGCCAAATAAATGCTTCAGAATTTATATCACAAATAATCTAAATTGAAATATTAAATTTAAACCTTAAGCAAAAGTATTCCACTAACCCCAATTTTAAAACATCCCAATCAACCACTTCTGTTCTTATACCTGTCATGCAACAAATACCTAACCTAACTTTTCAGGAAGCTTTCTCAAACTAAATTAATCCCCTCTAAAATTAAGCCTTATGCCACAGTTCCAGATCTCTTATGTGTACAGTATATTAAAATATATTATTTTGAATACTATTATATATTATAGTGAAATTCTTTTCTAATGGTTATATTACTGTATACATTTGACTATTGTATAAATCCTTTAAGTACAAAAACCATGTCTCTTTTTATTAGCCATAATCATGTTTCCAAAGTAGGAGTTCAATAAATGCTTGCTTAATGAATCTATTCTAAAACCATAAGAGAGGCATGATAGCTATGCAAATACACACAAAACAAAACACACCATACCACAAACAAAAAGTATATAACCTACGAAGTTAAATAAGCATTGAATTTTCAGAATAAATAACCTATTTATTGGCATGGTGTTTAATAACTGCTTTTTTATAAAGAGAGAATGTGTTACACTGGAAATAACATTAGGATAGCACTGGAGTTGAAAAACCTAGGCTCTGACCCACACACTCTGCCAGACTCACCATTTAACTTTGGACAAATCACTTAACCTGTCTCTCAACCACAACGAGCAATTACTATGTACTCTGCCAAGCTCACAGGGTTATTATTAGGATACAATAGGATAATATATATGAAAGTACTTAAAAATGTATAAAGAGCTGTATAAATGGTATTATCTTAATGATGAATGTACCCTTCAATTAAAGATAACATTTTATTTTAAATGAAAGAAATTAAGGGATAAGTATGCTGTAGAACTTATCACTGAATAAATCAGTACAAGGTTCAGTAATTCAGATTCAATCTATAGCAATTAAAATATGAGTCAACTGTCAAAAATGTGCTTCACATTCGATTTTTCAGGAAGACATTTATTAAATGAAGCAAGGCAGATATTTGAATAAGGCCACAAAATCACAATCATGAGCTCATTCCACTAAATGCACTGAGAGGACCTTCACCTCACAAAATCAAATGCTGTGTTTATCTGGCTCCATTTTACAACCTGATACAATGCACCATGCCCTACAGTTGAAAAGGTGAACCAGCACATGTAGGAAATACTAGAGTTGACTCCTGGTTTACAGGAAAACACGTGATTATCCAGGACACGGCAGAATCTGATGTAAGAATTCCTAAATCTGTTTCACAGACCTACTGCTCATGTACATAAACAGGTATAAAGAAGCAGAGGGAGCAGCAGCAAGTACGCTGAAACATATCCACTTATTTGTAGCACTGGTGACAGAGTCAACTATGCAAGGTTTCAGGATTTGTTTGGGTAACAATTAAATTCACTTTCAAGTCAACAAATTATCATAGTATCCAGATGGACCAAAAAGTTCTATGCAATTTCCCTTCATCTTGTCAAATCTATCTACAGACCATCTCGGAGAAGACATTACAGCAAGAGTCAGCTACTTTACTGAAATGGGTTACCAACTTTCTGATCACTGTTTTATGTCCTTATGTGGGTGAAAATTTTAATCAAGGAGTATCTGGAAGGGAGATCTACTCAAAAAGGTCATGAATCTCCAATCACCAATTGGAGATTCAAGTAAATTAGCAAACTCCCCCTTTTAAATGTTAATCTCCTAGAGAGGCTGCCATAATCATTTACCTGAGCTCTATCCCAATAAAGTAAGAGGAGTGAGGTTGAAGAGAGAAAGAGAAAGGAGAAAAGTGTGATGGGGACAAAGGGAGGAGGCAAGTGAAGAACAGACACTAGAAATGCAGAGAGAGGTAAAAAGACACCAAAGATAAACTCTGCAAACAGCTGCCTAAAATACATTTTCCCTCATAGGAAGCCTGTTAGCAGAGAAAAGATTTTGCTGCTACATGTTTAGGGGGCATCATTTTCTTCACGTAAATTTATCAAACAATTTGAAACAATTTTTGAGTATTTAGTTCCTAGTTTTGGTTTTGACTTTCTTGACAAGTGGCTTTAAGGTTAATAACTAAACTTTTATCAATGTTCTTATTCACTCAAAGAACAAATATTTCTTGAGTGCTTAAAAAATAAACAATTTTAGGGTTTCTCAGCCCTGAGTGCATATTAGAATTACCTGGGAAGATTTTTTTTCCTTAAGTTCCTTGGCCCCTGAGATTCTGATTTAATTGGTCTAGGGTGGGATCCAGGCAGGGTTGAAAAAACAAACAAAAAATCTCCCTTGCAATTGTAATGTGCAGCCAGGGTGGAGAACCAGGGGTCTATTTCATCTTAATGTAAAAAAACCTTCCCCCATTTATTTTGAAATGTATTAATTTCTCCTTATTCAATATTGTTTCACCCAGATTCTCACCACCTCTCACCTAGATTAACATTAACCGCTTCTTAGCTATTTTCCCTTCCTCTTGTCTCTTCCTAATGCAATAAGGAATGCTTGTCTAACTAATCGGTTTGGTTCTGAAACAGTATTCCACTGAGTCATTTTAAGTATAACAAGATCACCAAACAGATCATTTTCATCAAATAGAGAATATACTGTATGTGTGTTCCTGTATGTATGTGTGTGTATGTATGTACATATGTATGTATAATCTCAAACACACTCTATTTTTCTTCAGTTCCAATGTACCTGCCGTCATTTACACATAATGAATAGTGGTCTCTCTACATTAAAAAATACTGCCCCTAAAAATTTCGTGGCTAAATTTTATCAAAAACAAATGGCAAATGAGTCACCCAAAGATATCTAATTTAAATGAAAAAAAAGAGCAGCACAAGATCTTGTTTACTCTGATTTTTGAAATGTTCCCACAAGAAATGCTCATTCAACTGAAGAGAAAAAGTAAAATGAAACTTATGATGAATGAATGTTTACCATGAACAGATATGGTTCTGCTTTGTGTTGAAGCTTGCCTCAGAAAACCAACTGAAGGCTTAAAAGCCAAAGGCTGTAACTGCATCAGATGATATTCATATTTATGAGAAATATTATCAAATACAATAAAGGGGATATATAATAAGAAGACTGAACAAGTATATGGCTTACACCCTGCCTTTTAAGGGGCTCTATTTCTTCTCAGGGATAGCAAGACAGAAACATAAAAAGAAAATAAAACCAGCACTGCCAAGTAAGTGGTAAAGACAATAAGTACCATGGGAATTCAAAGAAACAGGAGATTCTTGTGGACTAAGGGAGTTGGAGACAATTTCTTGGAAGAGCTGGGGCTTCAATAAAATTAAATAGACGGAGAAAAGAGGGAAATCCCAAGCATACAGATGATCTTGTACAAAGATGAGGCAGAAATGCACAAAATGTATTTGAGAGACAGAGAGTTGACCTAGTTGGAAGAGAGGATTCTATGTGGGAGCATTTTGGGGAATAAGGTTGCAACAATAAAGTGGAGCCCAACAATGAAAGTCCTGAATGCCAAGCTAGGATGCTTAAACTTTGTCCTGCAGGTAGAAGGATCCTTTATAGGTTAGAAAGAACAATAAGAAAAAAAAAAAAAAGAGGAAGAAGAAGAAAAGAAAAAAATCACTATAATGATGCAGTCTGAAACTGTTTTACTTGAAGCCTTTGAAGAACACACCAAGTTGCATAATATCTTGCTAACAGTCATGAATATGTGAACATATTATTTAGGAAATCTGTTCTGAGTGAAGGAGTAAATACTCCAACATGCTTTACAAAATATAAAATCAGTGGTCGATTACACATTCATAGTTCTTAGGATCATTGCTAAAAGAATCACTGGGTGGAAAGCTTCAATTTTAGGTTTTCCTCCTCTCCCCACTTTGTTCCAACACAAATACCTTGATTTAAGATCTAAAAACTGAATACATCTGAAATTGTCTTGTTTTGAAAATAAGTGGTATTTTACTACTCCTCATTATGGGTGAATTTACTTACTATATTGTTTCAAAATGACGACATCTATTAAAATAATTTTGTCCAGATTTATTTCAGCAAAGCAGATGAAAACAGAAATAAATAACAAATTTAAAGATTATAAAAAGTAAAAAAAAACCTTTCATCAAATCAAGACATATCTAAAATAATCCAGCATTGGTTTATAAGAGAGTGTGTCCCTAACAAAAAATGCCAGCCACAACAAAGACTACCAGAGAGTATATGAAGAACATTACAATAGCCAATTTCTCACCCAAAGTGATAAACCTTTAATCCACAACTCCATAAAGAATGGAGATAATTTTTTCTCAAAAATACCCTTAAAATTGTTGGCTTTCTACTATAAAAATTAAGACTCTAAGATAACTCAAAACAAGGATTAGCTTTCTTCTAGTAAGCAGACATGTAAGTGATTGATGATTTAATTTACCACTGCAGCAAATACTAATTTAACCACCACTACCTTCTCAACACCAGGAAAATGAAAAATCTCAGTCTTTAAAGGCATACGTGACAAGAAAGAAGCCAAGAATATCGTAGGATGATTAAACCACACAGAAAAACCATGGCAATCCTGCTGCTGTACTCTGAAAAAGGATATGCCATTCTTTCAGGCACGTATGCCTTTAAGGAATATGTAGAGATTATGATTTTTGTGTTTCGTTTAGTTTGGTTGGGTTTGGTTTTCCGGGAAAGACGGGAAGATCCAGGAGAGTTGAAAGAAGTGCATTAAGGAAGGTGTCAATGACTCCCTCCCACCCAAACTGGGGAAACTTGCTTTAACAATGATGCTCTTTCACCCCTAACATCCTACCAGTTTCTATACATCCTTCAGGCAGCATTCCTCCCCTCCCCTATTGCTTGATTCGCCCCTCACGTTCAGGAGAACGGGCTGCCCCGACTTTGTTAGTCTGGCGGTCCCCGCGCACCCGCCCAGACCCGCAGAGTCCAACAACGCAGCCACGCAGCCACCCACTCCCCGCACCTCCTCCTTCACAGCCAGCTTCCCCTCCCCCCGTCCTGTCACCTGCTTGGGTGGTGTCCGTCAGGTCGTAGCCGCTGCCCGGGAAGTCTCGGAGTTTCCGACCACTGAGGCTCAGGATGCCGGAGCTGCCCGCCTCTTCCAGGGCCCGGTCCAGGCTCCTCACGGTGTGCTGAGGCTGCAGGCTCCCCGGGTTCCACGGCGGCCCGTTGGGGAACGGCTGACCGAAAAGAGTCGGTACCGGGATGGGGACCACCAGGGTCCCGCCGCCGCCGCCGCCTCCCCCTCCAGCCCCGCCACCTCCCCCTCCAGCCGTGCCACAGCCACCGCTACTTCCACCTCCACCACAACCGCCGCCCCCACTGTTACCGCCTCCTCCCTGACTCGCCGCCATGTTCCTGGGAGAGAGAATAGCCCCCGACAATACTGTCAGCCTGTGCCGCGAGTGTAAGGGGTTCTTAGGACGCATGCGCAGACTGGGGGCGGGGGGTGGGGGGCGAGGTAGAGAGTGGGAAGGAACCAGGGGGCGGGCTGGGAGGAGGTGTTGGATAGAGAAAAGATGATGTTTGAAAGTGCAGAACGCTTGCTTTAAGAAATGTATGATAAGAAGGATGCTAAATCCCGGTTCTGCTGCTTTGGGTACCAAAGTCTTGCGAAACGACACCAGGCGAACTATAGGTCATCTGGGCTGTATGTCCCCAACTCTCTAAGTTGCTTCACTGTTTCCGTTCTGCAAAACAGAAACAAATATATGAGCTAGGGATGAAAGGGATTCGTTTCAGAATATACAGAAACAGCACTTAGAAGGGCTATGGGGCAGCTTATTGAGAAGCTTACTGCAAATGCCTCAGGAATCCTTTACCAGTGTTAGAGAAACGCTGGGGAGTCACTTGGGGAGGGAAATGAGTGCAGTGTTGAGTTTGGGGCATATATGAATTTCTCCATAGTTTAGAATTCTATAATAGGAAAAGATTTGTAAAATGTTTTCAAGGAAGCCTCTCGTTTCAATGTATGTAAGTCTCAGCCAGACTGTTGCCTTCCAAAACTTGGAAGAGTTATCCACATTCTGTTCTATCACTCTTTGAAGTTGTGCCAAGATCTCCAAAATACCTCTAGTTTCTTCTCATCGTGTCAGTACTGCCTGATGAAAATCTCTTTGATCATCAAACAATCTTAAGTTATTTCTGAAATACAGGTTTTGTTTTTAGATGGAATTCTGAAGATTTAACCCTGGGTATTATGAAGCCAATCGATCTTGAATTTTAGGAGTTCATTCTCAGAACCTGAAGATATTTTTAATGTAGAAGACATAGAGAAGAAAGTTCAAAGTCCTTTATCTGGCATTCCAGGCCTCCATAATTTAACCCCAGACTATCTAGCCGAGTTTATCACCCAACCATTTAGGCCACTGCCATCCCTTTACCCACTACCCTCTCCACTCTCAATCATAGTCATTCAAATCTTTTTCTCTAGTATTCAGTAAAGTTGATGAAGAAAACTATCAGAATGCTTGGACATATTCACTTATCATTGAGTATCCTATGTATCTCTTTTACACCTATTTCAATTTGAGCAATGTGTCAACAGCCTCATTTTTTAAGAGAAATCTCCACTTCAAAAAAGTATATCTGCCATAGGCTCTACTTTATAAAAGATTACAGGAAAGAATTACAACTTGTCTAAATTGATTTGTGGCTATACTGGTTAACTAAAATGATTATGTCATGAGAAATTACATTCACCATATGCATGACCCAGAAGGAAGAAAACAGAGAATCAGACTCTGTATAGTGAATTAGCAAGTGAGATAAATTATTAAAACACACCGGTGTCAAAAAGGCATGTTGCACCTTATATCTCATCTTCCTTATATCTTAAATCAAATTATTAATTCATAATTCATAATTAATTGAGAACTTCAGAATTAAGATGAATGAGAAAGGACACTAAGTTCATTAGAGAAAAGATTAGGAAAGAAAATATTTTAATAATTAGCCAATGAGAATTTTTGCAATTATTTAAAACAATGTATTGGACTCCAGGAAAAATATGTCCTATCAGGATACCTGTCCAGTGAAAAAAGGCATGTACAGCCAAATTTAAGAAGGAAAATAATTTTTCAAAAAGTTGAAAGATAATCTAAGAAAATGGGACGCTTATTAAGTAAGCTATGTATACCTTAAAATCAGACAAAATAACATGTTGTAGAGCTCTTTGACAAGAACACCAAGGCCAAAAGATTTAGAAGAGAGGGCATAAAGTTTAGAAATTTATTCTGAACTTTTAACTCCCTGTGTAATACTTGGGAAAGTGGCTTAAAAGCTCAGTACTTCAGTGTCTTCATATGTAACAATGGAAAATAATAATAATAATAATATTTTTAAAGTGCTTGCTACTTGCCAGGGAGTGCTTTGTATATACTTACTTGTCTATCGATCCTCATAACAACCTTGTAAAGTAGGTACTATTATTCTTCCATTTTATAGATGAGGGAAAATAGTACATACCTACTATATGATTGTTGTAGGAATAAATAAAGTCATACATGTAAAGTGGCAGGCACATACCTGACATTCATTTATTCATTTAATAAGCATTTAAGGAGCAATTACTCTGTGCCAGAAACTCTCCATGCCAGTAATACTATAGCATTGGGCACTCAATAAGTGTTAATCTCTTTACTACACCTCTACTCCTTCAAAAACTAAAATAATAAAGAACATTCAAAATGTAGGACGCCAAGGAAAAAATTAGTAAATGTCCTGATAACTGTGGGTAAAGACATTATCTGACATATTGCATGAATTTTTTGATTCAGTCTATACTAGAGGATATTTTACATTGATTACCACTGCAATGCAGTCCCTGAAATGACACATTGGTAACTGGTTGAATTACAGCCAGCAGTCAGAATTATCCAAGCCAAACTTATGAAATGTATGTTGGTAAGTCACCAACTATATGACATATACCAAAGATTATACAAGGAGAACAGAGGGAAAGTAGGGGAGTTTTGAACAAAACATGCAGCCTCTACTAAATCACTGGCAGACTCCAAATGTAGTTTCTGTTCAAAAGAACTCTAGAGAGGATTTCTGAAATTCCAGGCCAGTTTATAGTCACTGCTATTCCAAACAAACACTTATAAATATATGGAGAAAGAAAGGCACAACCAAATGTCCAAAGCTACAAATTCTATTAAAGGTCAAGATTATTGGGCTAAAGTACAGGATGTTCTTACTAATCTGTAAATAAATCAAATGTGAGATATGTTTTAGCTCAGGATCCAGAAAAAGGCAACCAACTTGGAGATTAAATAGCTCAAAGTATATTACGAATTTTTAAAAATCTTGATCAAGACCCAGGAAAAAAACATGAAAATCTCTGTAGTCTGTTTTTTGAAAACATCAGCTCAACTAAATGCTAACTTTAGGGGGAAAAACGAAATGTTGGGTGTCATCAAAACATGTATGAAAAACCTGAGAAAACATGTTGGTTTACCCCATACTAAACTATTGGAGTGAGCTGCAGCTGGAATGAGATATGCAGTTCTGCTCACTCCAATCTCAGCACAGTCTTGAATTAGAGAAAGCCTTGAGAAATGCATACAAAATGATTAGAGATAAGGAGGAGGAAATTCACTTGGCCCTCCTCTGTCTAGTAACTTGATCTTCAGTCTCTTCCAAAATCCCTGTTCTTTCATGGAGCCTTGTAAAGGACTATACATTAATGTGTTTTAGCATAATTTACCACATACTATATACAGCATCTCTGATCCTCCTTCACCTATCTGTTCTTGATTCTGCCTTTTCAGATAATCCTTTGTCCTGCTTTAACCAATCCTAACAAATTAATTAATCCCAAAGTTAATATTTATTAACTCATAAAGCATTTGGACAAATGTATGAATGATCACTATTACTTAAAAGGAGCTATTACATACCTAGTCTTCAAGGTTGATGTCAACAAGCACTATTATGTTCCATCTCGGTTAGAATCTCTGCCCTGACATTTGAAAAATGTGAGATGTTAGACAAGTCACTTAACCTCTCAAAGTCTCAGATACCTCATCTATAAACCAGAGATCATTACATTATTAGCTATCTTTAGGAGTGTAGTGAGAATTATATGAGATAATTGTATTAAGTAACTAGCATATTAATGATTATTTTCAATGGTTCTGGGTTCATTCTGTCAATAGGACACCTATCTGAGTGGACCATGAGTTAACAGCAGAGCAGTTCCTAAATTCTTCCATACTATTGTGCTACCAGCACTAATAGGCACTTCCTTTAGTGTCACTGTTGAGGTTATAGCCTTGTCAATTCACCCCAAGTTCCTGCCTCCCCTAATCATTGTGTTTTCACTATAAACAGTTAACCTGACTCCAATTTCTGCTTACTGCCTCTAATGCAATCCCGGATTTTGACCTCTGTGTTTCTAGTATTTTAACCTGATATCATGAAATTTATTTAAAATATATGTTCCATATCCTTCTTTAAAATATGTCCTAAATGTTTTTGTGTACACAACATCGGTCTGTTACAAATTTTGAAGTTTTCTTATTAGAGTAGTATGTAAAGATACAGAGATTGTTAAATTTTGCTAGTGTAGCTTGGTCAAAGGAAAGTAAGTAAAACATCACACAAAATTACTGTAAACCTGTTATGTCCAATTAGAAAACATAATGTTGAGGAAGATTTTTAGTCTTCCTTAAGATTACATTGGAAAATCTCCTCTTCATATATAAACATGGAAACACACATGCTATGATGTATAAACATGGAAAAACACCTGTTTGGGAGATGATTTGCCCCCTCCAAAACTCATGTTGAAATTTGATACTTAATGTGGTTGTGTTGGAAGGTAGGGGGCCTACTGGGAGGTGTTTGGGTCATGGGGCAGAACTCTCATGAATGTCTTGGTGCTGTTTTCGTGGTAGTGCATTTTCAATCTCTTGAGACTGGATTAGTTCCAGAGAGAGCAGATTGTTATAAAGCCATTTCCCTCCTCCTGCTTGGTTCTCTTCTTCCCACTGACCACTTCCCCTTGACCTTCTCTGCTATGTTTTGGCCTAGCACTTGGCCCTCACCAGAAGCCAAGCAGATGCCAGCACCATGCTTCTCATATTTCCCAACTTGTAAAACCATGAGCTAAATAAACCTTTTTTCTTTATAAATTACCCAGTGTCAACCGGACTTGATGGTTCATGCCTAAAATGCTAGTGCTTTGGGAGGCCAAGGTGGGAGGGTTGTTTGAGGCCAGGAGTTCGAGACCAGCCTGGGCAACATAGCAAGACCCTATCTCTACAAAAAAAAATTACTCAGTCTCAGATATTCTGTTATAACAACACAAAACAATCTAAGACCATGACATATGCCCTTTTCGGCAAGTGTGTCTTTTATATTTTCCTCTTCTTGCAGTATGGGAGAGGGAACAATTAAATAGGGTCTTTTCAAGCGAAATCCAAATGCCTAAAAGTAAAACCTAAGTAATTATCGTACTACCTCTAAGCAGGCATAATAAAGTGCCCATAATAAAATGCCCATAATCCTAACAGGTTGGGATGTGAAGGAGAGAAGATCCTTGAGCCCAGGAGTTCAAGACCAGCCCTGGCAATATAGTGAAACCCTGTCTCTACATAAAATTAAAAAAATAAAAATTTAGCCGGGAGCAGTGATGTGCACCTCTAGTCCCAGCTACTCAGGAGGCTGAGATGGGAGGATCTCTTAAGCCTGGAACTTCCAGGCTGAGTAAGCCTTAGCTGCTCCACTGCACTCTAGCCTGGGCAACAGAAGGGAAAAAAAAAAAAGAAGATTGGAATGAAATGTTGAAGAATCCAGTTGGGCATCTATGAAATTCTAATCATATTTTTTTACTTTAAAATTTGCTTCAATCTTAACCATTCTATATAGCATTTACTTCAAGTAAAGTTGACTGGTTTACAAGTTTATGTTTTTTAGTTTATCTTCCTCAATTGATTAAACTTATGAATTTCTGTTGGACTGTTATGAGGCATCTCCTAATGGCAATGCACCCAAATTACAAGGGGTTTTGTTTTATTTTGTTTTGTTTTGGTTTTTGAGAGTCTGGCTCTGTCACCCAGGCTAGAGTGCAGTAGTGCAATCTCAGCAGCTCACTGCAACCTCTGCCTCCAGGGCTCAAGCCATTCTCCCACTTTAGCCTCCCAAGCAGCTGGGGCTACAAGCACTCACCACCAAACCTGGCTAATTTTTGTAATTTTTGTAGAGATGGGTTTCATCATGTTTCCCAGCCTGGTCTCAAACTCCTGAGCTCAAGCGATCTGACTACATTGGACTCCCAAAGTGCTGGGATTACAGGAGTGAGCCACCGTGCCCAGCCACAAGGGTTCTTTTATTTTGTTTTGATGAATGATGAAATTTATTTTAAAGTCTAAATCTGTAAACTTAACACTAAACATAACAGGGTCACACATTACCCTAAAATCCAATTTTTCTATTTGGTGACAAGATTTGCTTCTTCTTGACCATGGACTACATCATGACCCTATTTAGCCTATTAGTAGAGAGTATGTGAGAAAATATTGCAGAATATCTTAAATGTGTTTTGTTTTGGTGAGGCAGTCAGAAATTCCAGCTTTCACTTACATTACAGGTTTAGGTTGGCAATGATAACCTTCAAGAGGATATTTATTTCTGCTTAAGTACATTGTCTACATTTATGGTATGATTCCACAAAGTAGGAAAAAATATATTGGTTGTTATGGTCTCATGTTTCACACTACCAGGTGTAATTAAGGTAGAAGACTAACATACTTTCCCCGTCTCTTGTGGTTTTAACAGTATCTTTATTAAAACAGCTAACACTAGTCATTAAATAATGGAGTAGATATTTCTAAGGTACTAATTAGTAAACAACTAGGTTCTTCTTGATGAACTCATCTACTTCTTCCATATTGTATATCTTAAGCACTCCTTAATAAAAACCTTCTATTTAAACACCTCTACTTAGATTAAAGCCTTTTATTCCAGGACACATACATAAAGTTTCAAGGAGCTTAAAATTTTCTTAGCTTCCAGTGGCTTCTTCTACTGGTGGTAAGCGATAGCTTTTTGAGAAGGTAGCAAAACTACAGACATTAATGCACCATACTGTTTGACCTCTGTTACAGTATGTCCCTGTATGCTTAGTCAACAGACAAAATGGACTCTTTGTGCTTAACTGAGGTGACTTAAAACAGAACCAGGTGGCCATCATGAGAGAGCCGTCATTTATTCTGTTCTCAGAAAGATGTTGTAAAGATATCACAGGACCTCACTTTCTACAGTCAAGCCAAACCAGTTCCTATTGTTGGTGCCAAGATAAACTTCAGACAGATCACCCCTCCCCAAGCTGTTTGAAAGAAAAGTCTCACAGACTTCTAGTTTGGAACTTGGAAACCAACCAATCAGAATTCACCTGCCCTGGACAATCGGGGTCAGTTGTATCAACCAATCAGGACTTGGCTGTGTCAACCAATCAGAACTAAGCAAGTTTGAATCCTTCATTTGCATAAATGGACCTCATTGGGAAACTTGGTTGGAATTTTTGCTATAAAAGACAAACTCAACAGGCACGGTGGCTCCTTCCTGTTATCCTAGCACTTTGGGAGACCAAGGTGGGAGGATCACTTGAGCACAGGAGTTGGAATCCACCCTGATCAACACGGTGAGACCCCCCATTTACAAAAGAAAAGAAAAAAAGCCAGACATGGTGGTGTGCACCTGTAGTCCCAGATACTTGGGAGGCTGAGGCAAAAGGATAGCTTGAGCCCAGGAGTTTCAGGTGGCAGTGAGCCATGATCGAGCCACTGCTCTCCAGCCTGGGTCACAGAGTAAGACTTTGTCTCAAAAATAATAATAATATTAATAATAATAAATAACTTTATTATTATTATTATACTTTAAGTTTTAGGGTACATGTGCACAATGTGCAGGTTAATTACATATGTATACATGTGCCATGCTGGTGTGCTGCACCCATTAACTCATCATTTAGCATTAGGTATATCTCCTAATGCTATCCCTCCCTCCTCCCCCCACCCCACAACAGTCCCCAGAGTGTGATGTTCCCCTTCCTGTGTCCATGTGATCTCATTGTTCAATTCCCATATATGAGTGAGAACATGTGGTGTTTGGTTTTTTGTCCTTGCAATAGTTTACTGAGAATGATGATTTCCAATTTCATCCATGTCCCTACAAAGGACATGAACTCATCATTTTTTATGGCTGCATAGTATTCCATGGTGTATATGTGCCACATTTTCTTAATCCAGTCTATCATTGTTGGATATTTGGGTTGGTTCCAAGTCTCTGCTATTGTGAATAGTGCTGCAATAAACATACGTGTGCATGTGTCTTTATAGCAGCATGATTTATAGTCCTTTGGGTATATACCCAGTAATGGGATGGCTGGGTCAAATGGTATTTCTAGTTCTAGATCCCTGAGGAATCGCCACACTGACTTCCACAATGGTTGAACTAGTTTACAGTCCCACCAACAGTGTAAAAGTGTTCCTATTTCTCCACATCCTCTCCAGCACCTGTTGTTTCCTGACTTTTTAATGATTGCCATTCTAACTGGTGTGAGGTGGTATCTCATTGTGGTTTTGATTTGCATTTCTCTGATGGCCAGTGATGATGAGCATTTTTTCATGTGTCTTGGCTGCATAAATGTCTTCTTTTGAGAAGTGTCTGTTCATGTCATTCACCCACTTTTTGATGGGGTTGTTTGTTTTTTTCTTGTAAATTTGTTTGAGTTCATTGTAGATTCTGGATATTAGCCCTTTGTCAGATGAGTAGGTTGTGAAAATTTTCTCCCATTGTGTAGGTTGCCTGTTCACTCTGATGGTAGTTTCCTTTGCTGTGCAGAAGCTCTTTAGTTTAATTAGATCCCATTTGTCAATATTGGCTTTTGTTGCCATGGCTTTTGGTGTTTTAGACATGAAGTCCTTGCCCATGCCTATGTCCTGAATGGTAATGCCTAGGTTTTCTTCTAGGGTTTTTATGGTTTTAGGTCTAACCTTTAAGTCGTTAATCCATCTTGAATTAATTTTTGTATAAGGTGTAAGGAAGGGATCCAGTTTCAGCTTTCTACATATGGCTAGCCAGTTTTCCCAGCACCATTTATTAAATAGGGAATCCTTTCCCCATTGCTTGTTTTTCTCAAGTTTGTCAAAGATCAGATGGTTGTAGACATGCGGTGTTATTTCTGAGGGCTCTGTTCTGTTCCATTGATCTATATCTCTGTTTTGGTACCAGTACCATGCTGTTTTGGTTACTGTAGCCTTGTAGTATAGTTTGAAGTCAGGTAGCATGATGCCTCCAGCTTTGTTCTTTTGGCTTAGGATTGACTTGGCCATGCGGGCTCTTTTGTGGTTCCTTATGAACTTTAAAGTAGTTTTTCCCAATTCTGTGAAGAAAGTCATTGGTAGCTTGATGGGGATGGCATTGAATCTATCAATTACCTTGGGCAGTATGGCCATTTTCATGAATATTGATTCTTCCTACCCATGAGCATGGAATGTTCTTCCATTTGTTTGTATCCTCTTTTATTTCCTTGAGCAGTGGTTTGTAGTTCTCCTTGAAGAGGTCCTTCACATCCCCTGTAAGTTGGATTCCTAGGTATTTTATTCTCTTTGAAGCAATTGTGAATGGGAGTTCACTCATGATTTGTCTCTCTGTTTGTCTGTTGTTGGTGTATAAGAATGCTTGTGATTTTTGTACATTGATTTTGTATCCTGAGACTTTGCTGAAGTTGCTTATCAGCTTAAGGAGATTTTGGGCTGAGACAATGGGGTTTTCTAGGTATACAATCGTGTCATCTGCAAACAGGGACAATTTGACTTCCTCTTTTCCTAATTGAATACCCTTTATTTCCTTCTCCTGCCTAATTGTCCTGGCCAGAACTTCCAACACTATGTTGAATAGGAGTGGTGAGAGAGGGCATCCCTGTCTTGTGCCAGTTTTCAAAGGGAATGCTTCCAGTTTTTGCCCATTCATTATGATATTGGCTGTGGGTTTGTCATAGATAGCTCTTATTATTTTGAGATAGGTCCCATCAATACCTAATTTATTGAGAGTTTTTAGCATGAAGTGTTGTTGAATTTTGTCAAAGGCCTTTTCTGCATCTATTGCGATAATCCTGTGGTTTTTGTCTTTGGTTCTGTTTATATGCTGGATTACGTTTATTGATTTGTGTATATTGAACCAGCCTTTCATCCCAGGGATGAAGCCCACTTGGTCATGGTGGATAAGCTTTTTGGTGTGCTGCTGGATTCGGTTTGCCAGTATTTTATTGAGGATTTTTGCATCAATGTTCATCAAGGATATTGCTCTAAAATTCTCTTTTTTGGTTGTGTCTCTGCCCGGCTTTGGTATCAGGATGATACTGGCCTCATAAAATGAGTTAGGGAGGATTCCCTCTTTTTCTATTGATTAGAATAGTTTCAGAAGGAAATAATAAATAATTTTTTAAAATTAACACAAACTTGCAGGGACAAGGAAGAAGCTGGAAGGGAAGCCATTATTCTCAGCAAACTAATGCAGGAACAGAAAACCAAACACTGTGTGTTCTCACTTATAAGTGGGAGTTGAACAATGAGAACACATGGACACAGGGAGGGGAGCTACACTCACTGGGGCCTGTCGAGGGAGGGTGGGTGGAGAGAGCATTAGGGAAAACAGCTAATGCATGTGGGCTTAATACCTAGGTGATGGGTTTATAGGTGCAGCAAACCGCCATGGCACATGTTTACCTATGTATCAAACCTGCACATCCTGCACATGTACCCCAGAACTTAAAAATAATAACAATAATAAAGAAAGAAACACACACTTGCCAGGTGCAGTGTCTCATGCCTGCAATCCCAAAACTTTGGGAGGCCAAAGCAGGAGGATTGCTTGAGCCCAAGAGTTCAAAACCACCCTGGGCAAAGTCCTCTTCATCTCTACAAAAAAATTAAAAATTTAACCAGCCCTGGTGGCATGTGCCTGTAGTCCCAGCTACTGGGAAGGCTGAGGTGGGATGATTCCTTGAGCTCAGGAGTTTGAGGCTCCAGTGAGCTGTGATCATGCCATTGCGCTCCAGCCTGGGCAACAGAGTGAGGCCCTGACTCAAAAAACACACACACACACTCTCTCTTTGTTCTCTGGAACACAACTTCATTTTACACCAAAATCTGTATCTCCCCTGTTTGCAAACTGTTCACTGGAATAAAGTCTCTTTGCACCAAATTCCTTTCCAGAGAACTTCTGTTCACATTACTAGCATCTCCACTGCTGTAACCTTAATTCAAGTCACTATTTTCTCTGGACTACTACAGTAACTTCCTGATTTAGGCCTTTCTGCTTCTACTCTTCTGCCACTTAATAACTATGTGGTTTTGGGCAAGTACTTATCTTCTCTTTGCCTCTGTTTCCTCATTTGAAAAATAGGGATGATAATGCTACCTACCTGATAGGAATATTGAGAGGATTAAAATTAGTTAATATAAATACAACACCTGAAAGAGCTTGTAGCACATAGTAAGTACTCAAAGAATGACAGCTAGTATTAAAGGTAAATTAACTCTCTTAATTTCACAAGAGTCTTGTGAAGCAGGCTTTTTTTTTTTTTGGACAAGTTCTTGCTCTGTTGCTCAGGCTGGGGTCCAGTGGCACAATCACGGCTCACTGCAGCCTCGACCTCCCAGGCTCAAATTATCCTCCCACCTCAGCCTCCTGAGCAGCTGAGACTACAGGTTTGCACCACCACATGGCTAATTTTTGTATTTTTTGTACAGACGGGGATTCACCACGTTACCCGTGCTGATCTCGAATTCAAAGCAATCCTCCCACCTTGGTCTCCCAAAGTGTTGGGATTACAGACGTGAAGCACCACACCCTGCCACAGGCATCATTATTATCTTCATTTTGTAAGTGAGGAAATGATTGTTCAGAGAAATTAAGTTATTTGTCTAAGGTTTCAGCTGAGAAGTGGCAAAGCAAAAATTTTAATAGAAGCATGCCTGACTCCTAAACCCAGTTTCTAAACCATTGTGACTCCTGGCAGTTATCCATCTGCATTAGTGTCCTTTCTCGCCCCCAAAATTTTTAGTTACTTTACTCCTTCCAAGCTATCCCCAAGTAGTAGTGATTGCCAATTGCTAAGTGCTGCCTGGTTAACTTAAGAAAAATTACAAAGTTTGCTCGTTAACAACTTCCATTAAACTTCAAATCAACCTACTTTCTTACATGGACTTAAATAGACTGGCTTCTTTTTTAAAGTATCATAAACGTAAGAGTATCACAACCTTTTTCAAGGTTTTTTCTTCATTATGAAAACTTACTCATAAACGCAGTTCCCAAATACAACCATTTCGTTGTATTTGGTGATGATATTTTTATATATTTGGTTCTATGTTTTCCTATTAGCACAAATTCTTATGTCATTCATTATCTATTTTATTTATAAATATTATTAGCATTTATTTTTATAGTGATATACTCTTTAGAGATGTTATAATCATATTCTATATACCATATAACAGCAGTCCTCAACCTTTTTGGCACCAGGGACAGGTTTCATGGAAGACAATTTTTCCACAGACCAGTTGGTGT
Source organism: Homo sapiens (assembly GCF_000001405.40). Lineage (NCBI taxonomy): Eukaryota > Metazoa > Chordata > Mammalia > Primates > Hominidae > Homo > Homo sapiens. The sequence continues at coordinate 115,246,268 of NC_000023.11, forward strand.
TGGGTGGTGGGGTGGTTTCAGGATGATTGAAGCGTATTGTATTTATTGTAAACTTTATTTCTATTATTATTAATTATTATTATTTATTATTATCTATATATTATATATATATTATCTATTATTATTATTAATTTCTATTATTGTAATATATAATGAAATACACAATTTACCATAATGTAGAATCAGTGGGAGTCCTGAGCTTGTTTTCCTGCAACTAGATGGTCCCATCTGGGGTGATGGGAGGCAGGGACAGAACATCGGATGTTAGATTCTCATAAGGAGTGTATGACCTAGATCCCTTGCGTATGAAGTTCTCAATAGGGTTCATACTCCTATGAGAATCTAATGCCACTGCTGATCTGATAGGAGGTGGAGCTCCGGTGGTAATGCAAGTGATGGGGTGCGGCTGTAAATACAGATGAAGCTTTGCTCGCTCACTAGCCACTCACTTCCTGTTATGTGGCCCAGTACCAGTTCGTTACCCAGGGCTTTGGGACCTCTGCTATATGATATATATTACCTTATATTACATAATCATACACTACTTGACCTGTGCATTTATTATTTGCTATTTGAGTTCTTACCAATATTCCTTTATTATGTATAACCTTGTTATTAAGATATTATGAAAAAAATTTTATTTATATTTCTGTATGCTAGATTTCAAGATCAGTTAATCATACAGTAGAAATATATATATATATGCACACACACACACACACACACACATTTATTTATTTATTTATTTAGACAGGGTCTTGGTCTGTTCCTCAGGCTAGAGTGCAGTGACGTGAACACAGCTCACTGTAGCCTTGACCTCCCGGGCTCAAACTATCCTCCTTCCTCAACTTCCCAAGTAGCGGGGACCATAGGCACATGCTACCATGCCAGGCTAATTTTTATTTTTTGTAGAGACAGTTCTCATCATGTTGCCCAGGCTGGTCTCAAACACGTGGGCTCAAATGACTCTCCCACCTTGGCCTCCCAAAATGCTGGGATGAAATATTTTAAAATATTTTAGTAAGTATTGGCCAGGCGCGGTGGCTCACTCTTGTAATCCCAGCACTTTGGGAGGCCGAGGCAGGTGGATCACAAGGTCAGGAGATCAAGATCATCCTGGCTAACGCTGTGAAACCCCGTCTCTACTAAAAATATACAAAAAAATTAGCCGGGCGTGGTGGCGGATGCCTGTAGTCCCAGCTACTAGGGAGGCTGAGGCAGGAGAATGGCGTGAACCCGGGAGGCAGAAAGTGAGCTGAGATCGCACCACTGCTCTCCAGCCTGGGCAAGAGAGTGAGACTCTGTCAAAAAAAAAAAAAAAAATTTTGGTAAGTATTGCCAAGTTTCTTTCCAAAAGGTCTGTACCAATTTATATTGTCAACAATAATATATGCAAGAACATTGTCAGTGCTGGGTATGTTAAGTTTTCTAATACTTTTACTATATTATATACGACCCAAAAAACAGTGTTGGTTCTTCTGCTGTAAGCCAACATGGAAAAACAGGGACTGGATTTACCCTCCCACCTGAAATAACCAAAAACTTAGACAAAGTATATGAGACAGTGGTTTTCAAGACACCGAACATCAAGCAACAAAAACAGTAACACCTGAGTTATGGGACACAAAGGAGGTGAGACCTGCAAATGCCCAATCTTACTGCTTTAAGAGAGTTTCCAGGCCATGAAGCAAGGAGGGGAAATCCAGGCAGAACCTGGAGGGCAACCTAATTTTAGGAGAGAAAACTGAAATTTCATGGACACCAAGACAGCTACAATTTGCAGAATAGTTCACTGGATAGGAGAGAGCTACACAGAGAACTCAGGAGATATGCAGAGAGTCTACCTTAAATATTCATCAGAATGTGAGAAAACTACCCAAGGCTCAGGAAACAGCCCTCCAAAATGAGTAAAGGTAACAGTGTTTGGAACTCACACATGGCAGGGATTAGCACACATTCCTATAAACAAGACTGGAAAACCTTATAATTTGTGGGTATTGAGTACAGAGCCAAGAAGGATCTTGTCTTCGTAGTGGGGAATAATTAACCCTAAACTAAACACTGCTGTGGTTTGGCCTAACAAATCTTAAAAGTAAGAGTTAAAAGGATCAGTTTCCAAGTAACTTAACTGTGAAAACAGTTCAAGAATTTTATAGCAATACAAAAATATCCAGCAAGCAGAAAGATAAAATTAACAATTTCTGGCATCCAGTGAAAAAATTACCATACATGCAAGGGAACAGAAAAATATGACCCATGGCAAGGAGAAAATCCATCAATTGAAAACAACCTAAAATGGATACAGATGTTAAAATTACCACACATAGATATATAAACAGTCATTATAACTGTGTTCTATATGTTAAAACCTATAGCAGAGACATGCACAATTTTTAAAAAGACCCAACTGAACATCTAGACATGAAAATTGCAATAACCAAGATGTGAAAAATAACAAGATGTGATTAACTACAGGTTAGGTATTTTGGAAGAAAAGATTAGTCTAGACATAAAAATTACAATGACCAAGATGAAAAATAACAAGGTGAGATTAACTGCAGATTAGATATTGTGGAACAAAAGATTAGTGATAATAAAGACATAGCTATAGAAGCTGTTTAAAATGAAACACAGAGATTTAAAAAAGACCAAAAATAAATAAATGAATAGGGCAAACAGACACATTCAACTGGCCTAATATGTATGTAATTGGAGCCTCTTGCCAAAAAAAGGCAAGAGAGGTAAGTGACAAAAAAGTTTTTGAAGAAATAATGAAAAATTTTTTTCCCATTTGATGAAACTGATAAACTAACTCATCCAAGAAGCTCAATTAACCCCAAGCAAAAGAAATACAAAGACAACTACACCAAGGCATATCATAATTGAATTGCCCTAAGCCAATGACAAAGGAGAAATCTTAAAAGCAGCCAGAGTAAAAGATACATTGTGTACAGAGAAAAAAGCTAAAGATTACAGTAGATAGAAGCAATGCAAGTAAGAAGATATAGGAGCAACATCTTTAAAATATGGGGGAATAAACTGTCAACCTAGGTAGAGTTCCATATCCACTAAAAAAGCCCTTCAAAAATGAAGGATAAAAAAAGAGATGTTTTTCAAACATAGAAAAGCTGAAAATATTCATCACCAACAGACTTATACTGTAAGAAATGTTTGGCTCACGCCTGTAATCCCAGCACTTTGGGAGGCCGAGGCAGGCGGATCACAAGGTCAGGAGATCGAAACCATCCTGGCTAACACAGTGAAACCCTCTCTCTACTAAAAATACAAAAAATTAGCCGGGCGTGGTGGCGGGCACCTGTAGTCCCAGCTACTTGGGAGGCTGAGGCAGGAGAATGGCGTGAACCCTGGAGGCAGAGCTTACAGTGAGCCGAGACCGTGCCGCTGCACTGCAGCCTGGGCAACAGAGCGAGACTCTGTCTCAAAAAAAAAAAAAAAAAAAAAAGAAATGTTAAAGAAAGTGCTTCAGACAGCAGGAGATAATACCAAACATAAACATGGATCTACACAAAAGAATGAAAAACACTGGAAATGGTAACTTCATGGGTAAATATATATTTTTAATGTTTATTATTTAAATTTCTTTAAAAGATAAATGGCTGTTTCAAAAACAATAATGATAATGTAACATGGGCTTCTGACAGATGTGATAGTAAAATGTATGGAAACAAAAGCAAAAAGAAAAGGTTAGCAAACTATGGGGTCTGTGGGCTAAATCCAGCTCACCGTCCATTTTTGTAAATAAAGGTCTATTGGCACACAGTCATGTTAATTCATCTTTGTATTGTCTATGATTGCTTCTGTTTTGCAATTGCAGAGTTGACTAGTGACAGAAACTGTATGGCTCACAAAGCTGAGAAAACTTATTTGGCCCCTTACAGATAAAGTTTATTGACCCCAACAAAAAGGTTGTGAGAGGAAAACTGGAAATGCACTAATGTAAAGTTTTTATAATATATGTGAACAGGAAAAATATTACTTGAAAGTAGACTGTGATAAATTATACTATAAACCCTAAAGCAAGTACTAAAAAACAAAACAATGAGTTATAGCTAATAAGCCAACAAAGAAGATAAAATAGAATCGTAAAAATATACACATTTAATTCAAAAGAAGGCATTAAAAGAGGAAAAAGCAAGTAAAAGACTGGCGGAAGAAACAGAAAATAAATAGCAAGATGATAGAAGTAAGCAAAACCACACTAATAATTATTAAATGTGAATGTTAATAAATGTAAATAAAACCCCATTTAAAAGGCAGAAATGGTCAAACTGAATAAGAAAGCAAGACCTAATTACTTTCTACTTACAAAGAGTGCATTTTAATATAAAGACATAAATAGATAAAAAGTGAAAAATAGAAAAAGATATGCCATGTTAACGCTAATCAAAAGAAAGCTACATTAGTATCAGACAAAGTATATTTCAGAGCAAAGAACATTACTAGCAATAAAGAAAGTCATTTCACAATGGTAAAATGATCAATCCATTAGGAGGACATAACAATATTTTTATGAATAACAGAACTTCAAAATCCAGAAAGCAACAATGGACTATAAGGAGCAATAGATAAATCCACAATTATAGTCAGTGATTTCAATAACTCTCTCACAATAATTAATGGAACAGGAAGACAGAAAATCAGTAAGCATATAAAATACCTGAACAATACTAAACCAACTTGACCGAATTGACATTTACAGAATATTCTATACAACAGCAGAGTGCACAGTCTTTTCAAAGGCACACAGAACATTTAACAAGGTAGGCCATATGCTGGGACATAAAACATGTCTCAATAAATTCAAAAGAACTGAAAATATACAAAGTATACTCTCTGACCACAATAACAGAAAGAAATTTTGGATTCACAAATATGTGGAAACTAAATAGTATACTTTACATAGTCATAGGTCAAAGAATAAATCGTGCCTGGCTTCAAAATATATTACCAAACTATAGTAACCGAAATAGCATGATATTGGCATAAGAATAGACACATAGAACAATGGAACAAAATAGACAGCCCAGAAATAAATCCATGCATTTACAGCCAACTGATTTTCAACAAAGTTGCCAAAAACACACACTGGGGAAAAGATTGTCTCTTCAATAAATGGTGCTGGGAAAATTGCATATCCATATGCAGAAGAATGAAACCAAACCTGTATCTATCACCATATACAAAAAAAACTAAAAATGGATTAAAAACTTAAATATTAAGATGTGAAATTATGAAGCTACTAGAAGAAAACATAGCAGAAACACTTCAAGACATTGGATGGGGCAAGGATATTTTTGGATAAGACCTCAAAAGTACAAGAAACAAAAGCAAAAATAGACAAATGAGATTACATCATACCAAAAAGCTTCTGTGCAGCAAAGGAAAGACTCAACAGAGCAAACAGGCAACCCACAGAATAGAAAATATTTGCATACACTACATCTAACGAGGAGTTAATATCCAGAATATGTAAGGAACAAACAACTCAATAGCAAGAAAATATGAAAACAAATAATCCAAAGAAAAAATAGCTAAAAGATCTTAATAGATATTTCTCAAAAGAAGACATACAAATGGCCAACAGGTATATGAAAAAAATGTTCAACATCACTAACCATCAGAGAAATGCAAATTGAAACCAGAATGAGATACCATCTCACTGCAGTTAGAAAGGCTATTATCAAAAAGAAAAAAGATAACAAATGCTGGCGAGGATGTGTAAAAAAGAGATCTCTTAACCACTGTAGGTGGGAGTGTAAATTAGCACAGCTAATTTGGGAAACAGTATAGAGGTTGCTCAAAAAGTTAAAAATAGAAATACCATATGATGCAGTAATCCCACTACTGGGTATGTTGTACCTAAAGGAAATGAAATCAGTATGTCAAAGAGATATTTGCACTCTTATGTTTATTACAGAACTATTCACAACAACCAAGATGTGGAATCAACCTAAGTGTCCAACAACAAATGAATGAAGAAAATGTGATATGTATACACAATGGAATACAATTCAGCTATTAAAAAATAATCAAATTCTGTCATCCAAGAGATTAAAAAAAAGAATAAGTGACAGGATTTCATTCTTTTTAATAGCTGAATTGTTTCCATTGACAACTTGTTTACTTATTTCACATAATGTCCTTTAGGTTCATCCAAGTTGTCAGGAATACATCCTGAGGCCCAGGCTAGAGAATGACTTGTGTCCAGGAGTTCGAGATCATCCTGGGAAACATAGTGAGACCCCCTCATCTCTACAAAAAATAAAAAATTAGCCGAGTATAATGGCAGGGGCCTGTAGTCTAAGTTACTCAGGAGACTGAGGTGGAAGGATCATTTGAGCCTGGGAATTGAAGACTGCAGTGAGTTATAATCATGCCACTGCCCTCAGCCTGGGCGACAGAGTGAAACTCTGTCTAAAAAAAAAAGAAAAGAAAAGAAAAGAAAGAAAGAGAGAGAGAGAACAAACAGTGAGTTGATACAGAAAAATCAATGAAAGGGAATACTGGTTTTTTAGAAGATCAGTAAAACTGAAAAACCTCTAAACAGACTAATTAAGATAAAAAGTGAGAAAACACAAATTACCAATATCAAGAATGAAGAGGGAACATCACCACAGAATCTACAGACATTAAAGTGATAATAAAAGAATATTATGAATGGCTTTTTGGCAATAAACTTGATAACAGGTTAAATGAACAAATTCCTTGGAAGACAGACGGGTCACTCAAGAAGATAGAGGTAGACTGAGGAGCCCTATATCTATTTTAAAAATTGAATTCATAGTTTTAAAACTTCTCATAAAGAAAACTCCAGACTCAGATGGCTTCACTGGAGAAATCTACATTTAAGGACAAAATAATACCAATTCTATACAAGTCCTTCCAGGATATTTAAGAGAAGGGAGATTATACCACCTTATTATACCAGGCCAATCTTGTCATAAAAAAAGACAAAGACATTACAAGAAAACAACAGACTGATAACTTTTGTGAATATAGATGCAAAATATCTAAAAATAAAATCTAACCAAAAATTTATCAAACTGTATCAATATATTAAAAGAATAATACATCGAGACCCAGTAGGGTTTAACATTTAAAAAATCATACAGTGTAATTCACCATATAAACAAACTAAAAAGAAAAGCCATATGAGCATCTCAATTAATGCAGAAAAAGCTTTTTTTAAAAAAAGTCCGATATTATTTTTAATAAAAACTCTGTGTAAACTAGGAATAGAAAGAAACGTCCTTCTTCAACCAGAAAAAAAGAGGAAGATCTGTGAAACACATACAGATAACAAGACACTTAGTGATGAAAGATTGAATATTTTATCTCTAAGATCAGGATTAAGACAAGGATGTCTGCTCTCACTACTCATTGAACATTGTACTGAAGTTTCCAGAGAAAGAAGGCAAAGAGGAGAAAAAAAAAAGGCGTTGAAGAGAGGGGGAGGGGAGGGAGGGGGAAAAGAAACGGGGAAGGAAGGAAGAAGACATAGAAGGAAGGCAGGGAGGGTGAAAGGAAAGAAAGAAAGAAGGGAAGGAAAGAAAGGGGGAAGGAAAAAATGACATCCAGATTGGAAAGAAGTAAAACCATTATACTATTTTTATTTGCAGATTCTATGATCATTTGTGCAGAAAATCCAGTGGAATCTACAAAAAAGCTACACAAAAAAATAAACAAGTTTAGCAAAGTTTTGGCATAGAAAGTCAATATACAAAAATCAATGGTATATTATACACTCAAAGTAGATAATTAAAAATTCAAATGAAAATAAATACATTTCACCATAGTATCAAAAAATATAAAATACTTGGGTATAAATCTCACAAAAATGTAAAAACTTGCATGCTAAAGACCACAAACCATTGCTAAAAGAAATTAAATAAGACATAAGTGAATGAAGAGCTATATCAGTTTCATGGATTAGAAGAATCAATATTTTTATGATGTCAGCTCGCCCCCAAAATTTGGCAGGAATTTTTGTAGAAACTGACAAACTAATTTTCAAACTCATATGAAAACGCAAAGGATATAGAATAGTGAAAACAATCTGAAAAAAAAGAACACAGTTGGAAGACTAAGACTACCAGATTTTAAGACTTCCTAAAAAGTTACACTAATCTAGACAGTGTAGTACTGGTGTAAAGATAGAGAAATCCATCAATGGCACAGAATAGAAAATCCAAAGATAATCTCACACATATGGACAAATGGCTTTTGACAGAGGTATAAAGACAAGTCAGTGGGAAAAAGGCTAGTTTCAACAAATGCCGCTAAGCAGAATTGGATATCCATATGCAAAAAAAGATTAACTTGAATCCATATCTCACATCCTATGTAAAAACTAATCTCTAATGCATCATAGACTTAAATCTGAAACCTAAAATATAGGAAGAACTATTTGTGGCCTTGATTTAAGCAAAGATCTCTTAAGTAAGTCATTAAAAAAAAATGAAATTGGACTTCATCAAAATTATAAACCTCTGCCTTTTTTTTTTTTTTTTTTTTTTTTGAGGCAAGGTCTCCCTCTGTCACCCAGGCTAGAGTGCAGAGGCATGATCACAGCTCACTGCAGCCTCAACTTCCTGGGCTCAAGCAATTCTCTCACCTGAGCCTCCTGAGTAGCTGGAACTACAGGCCCCCATACCACCAGGCCCGTCTAATTTTTTTTTTTTTTGTAGAGATGAGGTTTTGCTATGTTCCCCAGGCTGTCCTGCTCTTTTTAAAAATAAACCTCTGTTCTTTGAAAAACACTGTTCAGAGAATGAAAAGACAAATGACAGAATGAGCAAAAATATTTGCAAATCATGTGTAGGTTAAAGAATTATATCTACGCTGTGCATACAACTCTCCAGAGGAATGAGTCACAAACAATAATAAGAAAACAAACAACCCAATAAAAAAGGAGCAAATGATTTTAACACTTTAACAAAGAAAATACATGAATGACAAATAAGCACATAAAAAGACGTCAACATCATTAGTCATTAAGAAATGAAAAATAGGTTGGGAGCAGTGGTTAATGCCTGTAACCCCAGTGCTTTAGGAGGCTAAGGCAGGAGGACTGCTTGAGTTCAGGAGTTCAAGACCAGTCTGGGCAACATAGCAAGGCCTTATCTCTACAAAAAATTTAAAAATTAACCTGGCATGATGGCACACACCTGTAGTTCGCGCTACTCAGGAGGCTGAGGCAGAAGGATATCTTGAGTTCAGGAGGTCAAGACTATAACAATGAGCTATGATCACATCACGGCACTTCAGACGGGCCAGCCTGGATGACAGAGCAAGACCTTGTCTCAAAAAATAAAATAAAATAAAAAATAAATCAAAAATAAAACTACATGAGATAATACTACACACCTACTAGAATGGCTAAAATTCAAAGGATTAGCCTTAGCCTTACCAAATATTGACAAGGATGTGGAGAAACTGGAATCCTCATACACTGCTGTTGGGAAGGTAAAATAGTAAGACCACTTTGGAAAATAGTGTGGCAGTTTCCTAAAATGTGAAACATACACTTACCATATGATCTACCCAAATGTATGATTCCATTTACATAAAACTCTAAAAAATGCAAACTAATCTGTACTGACAGAAACCAAATTAGTAGTTTCCTGGAAGGAATGTGGGTGTGGAAATATGGGAAGAGAAATTGCAAAGAGTTATGAGGAAACTTTTGGGGGTGATGTGTATATTCACCACCTTAATCCTAGCGATGGCTGCATGAGTATAAACATATGCCAAAACTTACGAAATTGTACACTTTCATTATGTGCAGTTTATTTTGTCAATTACACCTCCAGAAAAAATGTTAAGGTTGATAAATATTCATTGTAAAATTAATATGAAAGAGATTGTTTAAGATTAAAATTCCCATAAAATAAATTTAATATAGAAATATTAAAATGTTCTGATACAATTTAATAGAAAATTGGTTGAAGAGTTAAACTGAGCGAACTGGCTGGGCACAGTGACTCACACCTGTAATCCCAGCACTTTGGGAGGCCAAGGTGGGTGCATCACTTGAGGCCAGGAGTTCAAGACTAGCCTGGCCAACATGGTGAAACCCCATCTCTACTAAAAATAAAAAAATTAGCCAGGTGTCGTGATGTGCGCCTGTAATCCCAGCTACTTGGGAGGCTGAGGCATGAGAATAGCTTGAACCCAGGAGATAGAGGTTGCAGTGAGCCGAGATCATGCCACCGCACTCCAGCCTGGGTAACAGAGCAAGACTCTTGTCTCAAAAAAAAAAAAATGAGTGAACTGTGTTTATTCTTAACATACTTCTTCAACAAAAAGGGTCAGTGATATGTAATTCAGAACCAAATGCTTGTATGTATAAGTGAGAAGTCAAAATGTCTTTAGGGTCCAAATGTCATAGTCTACATTATCTACTGTATCAAAATGTTAGAATAAAAATGGCCTAAACTCAGTTGGGATGATTGAGGTAATATTGCATTATTATCCCCTTAGTGAATTTACAATGTAGTTGAAGAAGTAAAACTTGCCTATATTAAATACTTAAATTGTCTAGAGAGTATATGATTCCATCTAAAATTGTATTGGGAAATCAGAGAAGTAAGAGAGTGAAGGAAATCTTTATGAAGGGATTGGAACTTGACCTGAGCCTCGAAGGAAGATAGGGCAGGCAAAGCAGAAAGGATATGACACCTCAGGAAGGGACAAAGACGGAAATGAGCATGTAGTATTTTAGGGACAATATGCAGCATGGCCTCATCAGAGCAAAGGGAGAATGTTGGGGAGAATAGGAAATATCTTACGCAGGTAGAATGGAACTGAGTTATGGAAGACCTTCAAGTCAGAAAGAGGAAATTAGATTAGATTCATCAGTCAAGTTTCTCAGAGAGGATCTGGCATCATTATGCTCAATAGAGAAGTGGAGTGGGAGAGATTATTGTGGCAGACTAAGGTAGTGGTTTTAGAAATGTTTAAGAGACAAATTTAAGAGGTATTTTATGGGAGGATTCAACAGGACGTGGAGACAGATTAGACACTTATTTCTCTCACATTGTTAGTTCTCTCCCTTATTTCCTTAACATTGCAATCTAGTGTTAATTTAATGTTTATGTCACCTTTCACATCCATATTAAAAAATAATCACGTAATTTCATTTACATAATCTAAGCCTGGGATATTTTCTATTCTCATTCAGACATAATATTTCATGGAATTCTTCCTGATTAATTTATTTAGTATAAAGAATTTAGTTTCATCAATGTCCTGTGTATAATTGTGTTCCATTATAACTTCGTTTCATAATCCAGTACACTATTTATTCTGATTTTCGTTTTATACAAGATTCATTTTTAAATGATTATATCAATCTGTAATTTACAAAACTTTTTAAAGTATTTTAAACTTAATTCTCAGTGATTCTGCATCATGTCTTAATAATTTATTATTTATTCTGGTTATTTCTTCTTACTGTTCTTGCACATTGTGAATTAAATATCATCATCAATTGCATTCCATATGGTCTTCTGGACTCTTCCTTTGCAAAATAAACAGATTTCTGGCATGGAAAGCTTCTTTTTTGTGGGATTGCTTAGAGGGTATTTGTGCTTCTGTAAAGAAGAAAAAGAGACAGCTGGCTGATCCTTTCTCCCTCACTGTGACCCTAACTTGCCTTATTCCCACTGCACAAATTCCTAGAACATGCTAAACCACATGAGTTATTAACCCTCAATAGGCTAAGCAACCAATCTTCAGCAAATAATTACTCTTGCAAGTTGAGTAAAAAAACAAGGAATTTTTAAAAAGAGCACTTTCAGAATTAATTCTTTTTCACAAATATCTTATCTCAAATAAGCTTTTGTGATATTGCATCACACTATCCCATTGCCCTCTTTCTGCTGCTACCACATCAACTACTTTGACTTCCAAGTCAAAGTAAGCCTTGAATCAAAACAATACAAAACAAGGACAACAACAAAAGTTTTTCTCAATAGTCTCAAACCCATCTCCTTGCTGCCATCCCCTATGCTACTGCCTTTGTTGTGACCCCACTTACCTCTCTCCTCGACTATTACCACTCTTAACTAGTCCCTCTGCACTGGACTTGCCTCTGGTTCTTTCCATTCTCCATGCTGTTACCAGAATGAATATCAAAAATGGTCACTTACCAGCTTCTCTGTAGCCTGTAGGAGAAAGTTCAGCTGCTTTGGTAAGGCCTATGGGGTCTTCCAAATTTGGCTCTTGCCTATTTCTCTGTTCTCATCTCTCATCATTCACTTGCTTTGCACTTTATTATCTAGTCTAACCATGCTGAAATACTTACATATCATGCAGTTCCTCCTGACTAAAATGACCTCCTCAAACTCTTCCTTCTAGGTAAGTCCTACTTATCTTTTAGGATTCAGTTCAGGCATTGCTTCTCCAAAAAGCCTTTCTTCAACTTCTCATCAGTTGGCTTCCCTCCAGTTCACTGTGTTCTCAAAACATCCTGTGCTTAGCTCTATCAGATAAATTATTACAGTATATGACCATCCTTTTAATTGTCTTGTTTCTTCTCACCTGGACAAAAACTCCTAAAAGGCTGTATCAAATTCATATTTGTGTTCTGGCACACATTTGGTATTCAAAAATGTTTGTTCCATGAATAGAGAAATGCAAAGGTGACTACCTCCACCTCATATTTGGCTTCTAGGTACCACTTGAAAGAGTCTGATGCCAACTCTTTTTGAGGCACACATGTATGTGTGTGATCATTGAAATCATTTAATCCTAATGTCTGCAATAGTGTGATCCTTTTTTTCCTCAAAACCACATTCTAAATTCTCCTCTCCCCACATCACAGTTGCGATCATCTCTCTATCCTTGCATTCAACATAAGGCTGCTGTGTTTCAAAGTTTTGTTATTTGCAATCCTGTGTTTTCAGTTAATGTGACTATGCCCCCCACTCCCTGATTCCTGGGAGCCTCACACTCTAGCCTCGTGAGCAACAAAATTCCACTCCTTACTTCCCTAAGGCCAAATCCAAGAGAGGTTTTCTAGCTCATAAATTTTTCCTGCTGTTTAGAGTAGAAGGCACAGAGCCTGGGTGTCGTAACAGAAAGTGCTAATCTGTACACCGGGTGTATTGAGGCATGTAAAGCCAATTCATAACATTCTATGACACTTTTATGAGCTTAAAAGCATCTTTCCAGACCTATTCAAATTGTATGCATGTGAAAGAATTGTGCTTATAGCTATTTTTAGAGTTTTAGATAATCCTCCACAAATATGTGAAGGTACCCTCAGTAATCTGTTAGAGATCAAACACATTTTTAAAGAAGCATGCCAAGGTTCCAACTCCTCCTCATGTGGCAGGGTTTGGAATAAGGAAGACTGATTACAGAATTCTGATTCTTTTTGTGGGTTAAAAGGGTGGACAGCAGGTCTACTAGATTTCTCATAAGAGGCAAAGCAGACTTTAATCTGCTGATTGCAGACAGAAGATAAGTAGGTGACAGTGAGCAGTAGTTCTTGCAAATGGCTGGCTGTGAAAAACCTGATGGGCTGTGGGAAAGGGGAACTGGAGTTACTGAGAAGTCTGTGTGCCACCTTTGGTGGGAATACTACATATTGCTACCCCTCTCAGGATAAACTTTCATCTACTGTCATCTCATCCCATTCACACATCCCATTCAATTATGTTGCACATTAAAGCTTGAGAAATAATGACTTAGGAAGTACACGACAACATCCTTCAAATATTTGGAAGTGTTTTTGTTTTGTTTTGTTTTGTTTCGTTTTGTTTTGTTTTGTTTGAAACGGAGTCTCGCTCTGTCCCCCAGGCTGGAGTGCAGTGGCGCGATCTCGACTCACTGCAAGCTCCGCCTCCCAGGTTCACGCCATTCTCCAGCCTCAGCCTCAGCTGGGACTACAGGCGCCCACCACCACGCCCAGCTAATTTTTTTGTATTTTTAGTAGAGACGGGGTTTCACCGTGTTAGCCAGGATGGTCTTGATCTCCTAACCTCGTGATCCACTCGCCTCGGCCTCCCAAAGTGCTGGGATTACAGGCGTGAACCACCGCGCCCGGCCTGGAAGTGTTCTTATATGGAAAAAATAAAAAGATCAGTTTTGTGTTGCTCAAGAAGACAGAACTTGGATGAAAGAAAGAAGGTAGAGGAGTGGATGCAAATTATCACAGAAGAGTGTCTTGCTTCTGTTTTGCTTACATATTTGTGAGCTTTGAGTCATCCATTCCTGAAACTCATTCCTGCCCTAAGAGGTTTCAGTTAACAATACAATCACAGAGTAGATAATGTGACCAAGTCTACTAAAAATTGTTGAGATAATTGTGGACAGTTTCAGTAGAACATAAATCAGGTTAAATGTGATAATATCCTAAGTCCACTTCTAATTAGTCAAAATACACCTGAATATTTGGTTTCATTGTGGGGACTACACCTAAAGAGAATAGATACAAATATCCAGTGACTTTGAGGATTAAATTTTATAAGTACTATTTATTGAAACATTTAAAAAATATTTTTGCCTAGGCAGTGTTTCGTGACAAGTAGTCTGTGGACTACCTGCATCAAAATGTTCTAGTGTGCTTGTTAAAATTTTATATTTGCTGGGCACAGTGGCTCACACCTGTAATCCTAGCACTTTGGGAGGCTGAGGTGGGCAGATTGCTTAAGCTCAGGCATCTAAGACCAGCCTGGGCAACATGGCGAATCCCCATCTCTACGAAAATAATGTAAAAATTAGCCATGCATGGTGCATGCCTGTAGTCCCAGCTCCTCAGGAGGCTGAGGTGGGAGTGAAGCAGGATATTTCCCTGACCCCTTCATGGGCCTCGTGACGAGGTGCCTTGCTTACTCAGCCCACAGCACTCCACTTGCAGGAGGGAGAATGCAGGTGAGTGGGTGCAGGAGCCAGGGTGATTGCTTTTGGGCACCAACAAGAGCAAACTCCTTGTGGGGCCCCATGGCAGCATCTAGTAGGGTGACCATGACCCCTGAGGCCCCAGAGGGAGTGTTACAGTCAGTATTCTTTTAGCTCTGCCATCCGTGGACAGCTTAAGTGTTAATAGCTCAGTGGGCCCCCTTGTATCCACACTCATGGCTCTGAGCTCTTGTCCAGCATCCAGGAAAAATGAGGTCACATGAACAAACTGAATATGGTAAATGGGGAGATTTTATTGCCGATACAAGTGGCTCTCAGTGGGATGGGGAGTTAAAAAGGGGATGGGGCAGGAAAGCAATCCTCCCCTGAAGTCCAGCCATCCCCTGTCATACTCCTCTTCAAAGCTATGCTGTCAAGCTGTCCCTCTGAAGTCAAGCTGCTTCTGTCCGACATCCAACCATAGTCTCTGACGTCCAGCAGCTTATCCTCTCTCTGCCAGCTGAACCTGAGGTTTTTAGGGGCACAGGATTGGAGGCAGGATGGGCCATGGATGGTTTTGGAAAAGACAACATTCGAGAGGGAAAACAGGGATGTATATTCTCACTCTGGGTTGTGGTATCAGGCCTTTCAGCTTGAGGGTGGGGCCCTCGCTGGGGACCTGCTCTCTTCTGCCCAGAATTTCACTGCCTCCTGTCCCTATCACAAGGATTGCTGGAGCCCGGGAGTTTGAGGCTGCATTAAGCTGTGTTTACACCACTGCACTCCAGCCTGGGTGACAAAGCAAGAACCTATCTCAAAAAAAAAAAAAAAAAAAAAAGTATTTTCCTAGGATTCATACCAGACCTATTGAATGCGAGTCTTGGAAGGTGGGACCAGGAAATCTTCGTATTTAACCTGCTCCCTAGGCAATTCCATTGCAAATGAAAGCTTGAGAATTAATGGTTTAGGAAGCACATGACAACACCCTTCAAATACTTGGCAGTGTTCTTATATGTAAAAAGGAAAAGATTCATTTTGTGTTGCTCAAAAAAACAGAATATAGATAAAAGAAAGAAGGCAGAGGAATGGATTAAAGTTATAACAGGAAAGTGTTCAAGTATGAGAAAGACAAAAAATAGATATAGCCATCAATGGGATTAACTGTCTTGCAAAATAATGCATCCTTTAAAGTATTCACATAAAGATAGAGAGCTCTGTTTAAGAGATGAGGTAGTAGGGATTTTAACATTGAGTGGGAGATTGAACAAAGGGACTTCTCTAGTCCCTTCAAGCTAATGGATTTCATTGATTGATTTATACCAAAAGTTTCACATTAGTCAGATTATGCCATGGCTTCTGAAGTTGATAACCCTTGTCTCTTTGCTCTTTCCCTTAATTAGCATGCATCTGTAAGCAACTACTTTGTACTGGACACTGTGCTAAGTTGCAGGAATACAATGGTCAGCAGGCAACAGTGTTGCTGCCTTCATGAAATTTATAGCATAGTGAGGGAAATAGGTAAAGTACAAGGTTAGAGTGCTACTTGCTGTGGTGAAGGAAATAAAAGATGTGAAGGGAAAATAGAGAAGGGATACCTTATCAGACTTGGGAGTCAGGAAAAGCTTTCTGGAGGAGGTAATCTCTAAACTGAGAACTAAGGGATTACGAGGAGCTGTTGAGGTAAAGAGAGGGAGGAGCCCATGCAAAGGCTAGGAGGAAAGGTATAGGACGCCCATTCAAACAAATGAAAGTGGTTTGAATGGCTTAGAACAGAAGTGCCAGGAGACATAAAATGAGACCAAAATGGTATATATGGTCAAAATCTCTCTGAGCCTTGGATTTTATCCCAAGGGCAATGTGGAGTTACTGAAGGGTTTTAAGAAAGGAAATAGGCCAGGCACAGTGGCTCATGCCTGTAATCCCAGCAGTTTGGGAGGCCAAGGCAGGCGGATGACCTGAGGTCAGGGATTCGAGACCAGCCTGGCCAATGTGGTGAAACCCCGTCTCTACTAAAAATACAAAAATTAGGCAGGCATGGTGGCGGGCACCTGTAATCCCAGCTACTTGGGAGGCTGAGGCAGTAGAATCCCTTGAACCCAGGAGGCGGAGGTTGCAGTGAGTGAAGATCGCGCCATTGCACTCCAGCCTGGGCGAGAGAGCAAGACTCCGTCTCCAAAAGAAAAAGAGAAAGAAAGGAAATAAATTGACCAAAAACCATTCTTCAGTGAGGAGAAAGTTTTGGAGAGGAGGCAAGACTAGAGGGCCAAAGACAGATACAAAAGGCTTTTTTCAGTAGTCCAGAAGAAAGACAGTATTGCTAAGATGAGTGAAAGGGTATTGGAGATGGTGAGAAGTAAATTATTTGAGAAATATTTAGAAGCTATTATTGATGGGACTTGGTAATAGATTGAATATAAGGGCTTAAGGGAGACAGGAGTCAAGAATGACTCTCAGGTTTATGGCTTGAGCAGTTGTCTGGATAGTGGCACCACCGAGAGAGTGAGCCAGGAGTAGGAGGCTTTGTGCAGGGAAAATGGTTGTGATGAGTTAGATTTTGAACATGGAGAATTTGAGCATCCTATAAGATTTCCAGATAAGACTTCTTCCTAGGCAATAGAAAGCTGGGTATGTAAAGCAAGAGAGGGATCTGAACCAGAGATGTAGGTTTTAGAGTCATCAGCTTTTGGAACTATGTGAGTGGATAGGCTCACCCAGGGAAAATGTATTAACTGAGAGGGGAGTCTAGGACAAATCTCTTTGAAAACGATTAATTAAGCTACCAGATAAGGAAGAAGAGAATGCTGAGAATGTTCAGATTTTTTTTTACTAATTCATTTGTATTGTTATATCTCTTTCTGTGAGTCACTGAACTCTAATGATATGGTATATATTAGAATGAACTCTTTGTCCCATTTGACTAGTTGCTTTTCTGATAATTTCCTTCATGCACATAACAATCTCTTGCTCTGACTTTCAACAGCAGTGTTCTGGAATCCTACCTGCTTATCTAGTGCCTGAGTGTAATGCCTGGAACTAGTGATGGTTCACAAATGGTGGCTGTTTTTCTTATCATGATGCCTTGTTGCTCTTGGTTCTGACGTACCACTTTATCTCCCAACTGTAATGTAGTTTTCAGTCCTGGATGGACACCACTGACTCTGGGTTTTCTCCTCCTTTGCATAATGAAATTGCCATTTGCCTCAACGCTTGGTAATAGTTTCA
Organism: Homo sapiens; assembly: GCF_000001405.40. Taxonomy (NCBI): domain Eukaryota; kingdom Metazoa; phylum Chordata; class Mammalia; order Primates; family Hominidae; genus Homo; species Homo sapiens. The sequence goes on from NC_000023.11 coordinate 115,264,358, forward strand.
ACTTTTCTTGTATTTCTAACTCAGTGATTCTGGTTTCATCCAGACCCAGAAGATTAATACAACGTTATTTTAAAAATTCTAAAGTTAGGCCAGGCATGGTGGCTCATGCCTATTATCCCAGCACTTTGGGAGGCCGAGGTGGGAGGATTACTTTAACCCAGGAGCTCTAGACCAGCCTGGGAAACATGAGACCCTAGCTCTACAAAAATAAAAATTAAAAAAATTAGCTGGGCATAGTGTTGCACATCTGTAGTCCTAGCTACTCAGGAGGCTGAGGTGGGAGGATCACTTGAGCCCAGGAGTTCAAGCCTGCAGCTAACTATGATCATGCCACTGCACTTTGGCCTGGGTGACAGAGTGAGATCCTGTCTTTAAAAATAAAAATTCTAAAATTGTATTGATATTAAATGCTGAAAATGTATAATTCAGGATATTAAGAAAGAAATACATTGTTTACAACCTTCATAATAAAAGTCTTTGAAATTTAAGTTGTAATTAAAAAGAAAAGGAAGGTGAAACTATCAAAAACCAGAACACATTTTGATGCATTTTAAGTGCTCTCATCACCAGAAAATATTAAGTACATGAGGTAATAGATACGTTAATGAGCTTGATTTAGCTATTCTACAGTGTATACATATATCACAACATCATGTTATATACCATAAATATATACATTTTTATTTATCAATTATACAAACTTCTTAAAAAATTCAACAACTAGAAAAAACAAGAATGCATACTACAAAATTTAGTAAAAGAAAAGAAATCCTGTTAACTAATATTAAAACTGATGGGGTACAACTTTGGGTTCAGTTTCTGTTATACATTAGATATGCTCAAATCCTTAGAGAGCAAAAGCAGAAGATTTGGAAATTATGATAATGTGAAATGAATGAGGGAAAGATGGAATTGGTGAATTGCTTTGTTATCCCTGAGGCAGTGAATAAGTCTGTTTACCAGCTGTTTGCCTATTTTCCTAATGCATCTGTTGGGTATTTGCTGTAGAGATGAAAACAAATAATAGTCTTGCCAATACAGGTGAAATTCTAAATAAGTGGCCTAAATAAAAGTAATTGATATGGGAAGACAATGCATAATGTTATATAACACTGCTGAATTATGTATATTTAATGATTTAGTCTCTAAAAAGAGACATAGAGCAGTTCATGGAAAGAGGACTTAAATTTGTGCAGGCCTAATACTAATAAAATTGTTAATTTAGCCAAAGGTAAAAATACTTCAAATAACTAGAATCAGAAAAAGACATAAATGTTTGACAGTACATTGGTTAGCTCGATGTCATAGATCAGCTTTAGAATACTATTGCAGATGCAAAATTATAATACATGTATATATATTTATGTAAATATTTGAGAAATATTTGATAATACATAAGAATATCTAATTATATAATTATGACTATTATATAATAAGTAAAGAACTAATCCTATTTTTGTCCTCTGCTTAGAACTGAATTCATTCCATAACCTTTAATTAAAACAGATTTTAAAAGATAAAATACATGTTACGGTAAAAATAATAGCATAATTATATTAGCCTAATAAATCAAACCTCTTCATAGAAGAATAGGTTTCATCAGTCTATTAACTGGATTACATAATGAATCCCTATCAAAGAAGATCCTCCCAAGAACATAAATAGATTTTAAATTCATTGTTTTAGAGTATGTATAGCAACGGCCACAAAGTACAAGAAGAATGCATGAAGGATCACACTTACCAAATTAAAGGGTGTAGGCAGAAATAAGTCTTTCTCCCCAAGATTTAATATGTCTTCCTGAGAAGGAGAAAAACTAAGCAAATCTCTCTTTTCCTTATCTGCCAGTTCAATCTTGAATATAGGCCTTATTGTCAAGACTAACTAACATCTAGGAAACTATGTGTCTGCACTATAAGGTCTTTAACAAAGATGACATACCGACTGAGGCAGAGTGTAGAAGAGAATGAAACAAAAATGTGTAGCTTAAATGCTGCCAGAAAATCTCTGACAAATTAAGGCTAAATCCTGTTTACCTGTAACAGAACCAGTTCTGGAAGTCTGCAGATACCTCAAATATATTAAAAGAACTACGTTCTTCTAGCCATCTGATTTGGCAATGCAGTGCCTCTTAGTGTCCATGGTAACGCCCACAGAGTGGTTTAGAGATTCACCATTAAAAGGCTTGCTCATTGAAATATAATGGTGGGTCAGCCACAGTACTTAGGTAATGTTCAGTTTCTGAACTTCAAAGCAAGCTTAAACCATTCTACATCTTTAGAAACATATTGTCAGAGGAACATATGGAACTAGTGAGGGTCCACAAATAGTGGCTGTCTTTATTATCATGATGCCTTGTTGATATATTTTATATATATATATATATTTATATATATATATGCCCAAATTTTATTTTAATCCACAGCAATATAAGTTCTCTATTATTACAAAGTATACCTAGTGGTTAAGGGGTAGAAAAAGTAAAAACATGAAAGCATTTTAAAATCTACAGTGGCCTCACAAAATATCAGTATATATAATGTTATCATAAAAATGTAAATTTTAAAAATGGGAATTTCTATTCATGTCCTCAAATGGCCATTTTGGTTTTTTGTTCTTTATTTTAAAGGACTGTAACATGGTTGTATTTTTAAACTTCAAAACTGCTAACGTTTTTTGGTTATCCTTTAAGCAGTAAGAAGATAACTAAATTGAAGTAAGACAAGATTTAATTTAGTGGGTTGAAACTAAAGAAATGTGTCATGGTTCCTGCTTATAATCCTTCCTTGGCAGGTTGGGTATGATAATTTGAGAAATTGGTTAAATGCATGAAAATACCTCATGGGTTCATTGGTCACTTAAAAGCAACTGACCTTTACTTGGCCTTTAATCAGTGAGTGAATTCAGTGAGATGTGACTAATCCCAGAGGAACAGCTTTTGAATATACCTTAGTGTGGGTAAGAGCTGGCAGAAACTCAGGATCCATTTAGCTAAAATTAAGAATATGAAAGTCTTAATCCTTTAGTAGTTTGAATGCATTATATACATTTTAAAAGAATAGATGCCTCCATTTGAATTTTATCAGTCAACAGAACTGTAGGCTCGAAATACAATACACCCCCAGAATTGTTAGATGAGGTCAAAAAATGTTACAGTCTGAACTGGAAATTTAAAAGAAGCAACACCAAATGGATAAAATTAACCACCTGGACAAATATTTTCAGGAAAATAGCCCATGTAAGAGATGATCTCTGAGCATGTTGCCAGTTTGACTAGGGGTTCTTTGAGTCAGAACCACCTCCTTTAAAAGGAAATGTTGATTTTAAACATAATAATGGCCTATAATCAGTCTATCATGAGGAAGGATTGAAGTGGGAAAAAAGTTTTGATGATTGACAGAGCAATACATTAAAATAAGGGATTCAGAGTAAAACAATTTGTCTATTTCTCCAGTACCACACAAGAAAGGAGATTCCATTCTTGGCAACATCGTCCCTATAGAGGCAATGGATGCAATTGATTATCATAGTTGGATTACAGCAGCCCATTGAGATAATTCAGTTCTTCGTGCTATCTCTAAAGGAGACTTTTATCTGACGGTAATGCTTTTCATTGTGAACATTGCCTCCCAAGTCTCTGATGGGTAGACTGTATGCATTGTAACTCCCTCCCCCATACATATAAACACTCTGTAAGACACAACCTAAGCAGCTAGTGAGGCTCTTTCTGTGCTATCCTATGTAAAATATGGATATACTTGAGCTGCTCCTCTGCCATAGAGAATAGATGTCTATAGCTCCATTCAACGAAAATGTTCCTGATCTACAAAAGGATCTTATGTTTTATGTAAAATCAGGTGTATCCTGCTTTTAGAAAACTCAATAACATATATAAACTATGACACCAAAAACAGAAATTAGAGAATGAGTAAATTATTTATTTTAAAAGTCCTTTTCTTATGGTTTCACTATGTGTTTCTCTTAAATAAGAAATTACTCTGATAGGTTTCAAATATGAATCAGTTACAACTTTTTAGACATGCTCCTTATACATACTGTACGTAAAGTGAGAAATAACTTGAAAATATGTAGAACATTTGACAATCTTAATATCTCTATTTTTCTCACATTCTACATCTATTTGTACTCCTTCAAAATTTATTCCAAATCTAACCATTTCCCATTACCCTGTTCCAAACTACCATCGTCTCTCACCTGGACTCTTGTAATAGCACACGATTGATCTATTTCCTGCTTCCACTCTTGCCCCCTACAGTCTGTTCTCAATACAGCAGGCAGAATGACTTGTTTACAACAGAAGTCAAATTATTTCATTCCTCTGTTCAAAACCCTACAATAGTTTTTCATCACGGTCACATAAAAAGCCAAAAACTGTATGATGGCTCCTTCATAGCTGTAAGAAATGTTCTCCTTTCCTTCTTACTACTCTGACCTGATGTCCCTCTACTTTCTCGTCTCTCTCACTCTACTCACGCTACTTTAACCTGTCCCCCTAACACACCAGCCACTCATCCAACCTCATGGTCTTTGCATGTAGCTATCCCTTTTCCCTGTGAAACTCTTCCACCAGATTTCTCCTGATAGCTGACGCCCTCATCTCCTTCAGGCCTTTGCGCAAATGACACTTAGCATCAAGGTCTTTCCTGACCCTGCTATTTAATATTACAACTTTCCCACACACACAACTTCTTATCCTCCTTTATTGTTTTTTTTTTCTCCACAGCACTTATCATTATCTAATATCCTATTTATGTTACTTACAAGTTTATAGTCCACCTCCCATCACTGGAATGTAAGCTCCATAAGGGCAGGGATTTTTGTGTTCTTTGGTCACCGTTGTATCCACACAACCTAGAACACTATCTGGCTCAATAAGCATTTGTTGAGTGAATGAGTGAAGCACATGAGATGATGCTTCCAGCTGAGAGCATTCCTTCTACATATGCTATATATATTAATATGCTAAATAATTCACTATGTGTTAATATGGAGATAACATTCTCTAGGTTCTTCTTTCAAACCTCTACCACTAGACATTATTCTAAAGCATATTCTGCTAGTGATTTCTTTCTCATTCCTAAGTGTACACACTCAGAGAGCCTGCTCTCCCTTGCTTTTGCATTGCAGAGCAGTGGTAAGGGCTGAGAGCCAAATTCATGTTCATGGAGAGCAGTTCTACCACTGAATTTTATTTTCATTTTTCACTGAAAAACTTGGTCTACACATAATGACTGTGTCTGTGTATAAAGGATAGATATTTTTCATTTGAACACAAAATGTTTAAATGAACATTTAAGTAATGTATATTTCAAATTGACCATATGGTTCAGAAAGAGGAGTCAAACTCACATAGAGTTAAATATACTCCTCATTCTCCTACCCAAAGTTAACGAAAGTAGCTATAAACAATCCACCAGTTTTTAGAGGAAAAGGGGAAGCCTATAGGAAACCTTTCCAGGTGAGTGGAGTTAGTAACCAGTTTGCTGTGTTCAAGTAACAATATACATGTTTATTAGCTAGTATAGATAGTATAATTTAAAGTATGTGCATAGATGGCATTGTACATGCTATAGCAGAATTATTAGTCACAAAACTAAAGCAGTAACAACATCTAAAAAACAAGTATTGGTTCCTATCAAAACCAAAGAATAGATCCAAGGGAGTTTAAATCCAAAAGCTAAAGGTGAAGGCATTTATTTGTTATCTTTAAAAGGTGTTTCAGTTCATGTACTTTTACTTGTTTCTGTGTTCTGAAATATGAAAAGCAGCAGATGCTACATCTATTTTAAAGCATCAGTTTAGTATATAAAGCTGCAATTATGGCAAACTCTTTTTGTATTAAAAAATCAGAACAAATGGTGAATGAAACTTAACAAAACCACCTGAGCATGAATGAATACTTTCAGTGGGATACTTAAGGAAAGAAAAAAAAATTGTTATTATTATTATATGGTACTTTGTATACTAGTGGAGAAACCACAAAATGTTCCCTCCTATCCTTTGCAGAAGGTTATTAACAAAGAGCTCATATATTCCTAAGAAAATCTCAGATTTGCAGAGTATGCCTAAATATACAGCTGGTAATGCTTCACCACGCTTGTGAAAGTAGATAATTTATCTGAATATCTGAATGTAGAAGTACAACAGACAGGCTTCAGCCCAAAAAATGAAGCAGTCACATTAATAAAGGGTGTAGCTCTCCTACCAAACGTATCTTTTTACCCAATACACATAGGATATTTGATATAACAAATATGGAAAAATATGGTGGAACTGAACAATATGTTTCCCCTATTTTTAAATGTATATTTATTTGAATTTAATAGAAATAGGATTGTTTGAATACCATGTCTGTAACACGACTTTAGGGATAGATACTAAATTTTGAATTTTGAACAAAATGTTCAGATAAGAGGATGTCTTAACCAAATATATTTTCTGATTAAATGTAGGCTGAGCTAAATTCAGTTTTCTTCCAATTTTTGTTAAATAAAAATATTCTAAAGGATATTGTTCTTTGTTGAATTAATTTGTGCACCAAAACTTAAACGTTTTTTATGTTTGAACGTGTGATATACTTTAGAATCATCCTGTTGGACAGCAATCATTTTTCAGTAGTCTAAATATAGAAGGTGAAAGAATTTGTGATTGCTTGAGGTGTCAACAAACAGAAAAAAATAATCTCTGACAACAGGTTTATTGTGATGTTTCACTTTCTTTTCCAAGTGGAAGATAGCAAAATACCTGGATTAAGTAATTGGAAGTTATATTTAAGTGGATAATAGGACTGTAAGATTTCCCATATATAAAGAAAATGAATTGAATGAAAGGAATTCAAATATTTCACAGTTAGGCATTTTAATCTTTTTTTTCCTCAATTTCCAATGAAAGGAATTCAAATATTTCACAGTTAGGCATTTTAATCTTTTTTTTCCTCAATTTCCAAATTCAGGTTTGTGAATTTTCTCCATACAGCTAAAACAGAAGCTATGTGCCCGGCCCCAGCTCTGCAGCTCTGCAGCTCTGGATGTTGGTCCAAGTCAGGCTACATGCTGAGGGCTAAAAAATTCACCAGCTGTATATAGAGTGTATGAGCACAGGAGGATCTGCCACAAACTGTTCCTATTCATTGCATGGGAAAGATAAGGAACCAAAAAGAAAAAAAGAGAGAGAGAGAGAGAGAAAGGAAAGAAGGAAATTGATTTTTTTTTCTGGACTCTACTCTTTAGGAAGGACCTCAATTACATCTCTCCTCTCTATCTGAGCTTAAGTAATGGAACCCATGAAGCTGGCAACTCTTAATGAGAAAAAAAAAAAGGCTGGGGGGTAGAGGGAAGGAGTGAAGGCACCTTATCCAATGTAGTGGAAAGAGAAAAAAAGCAAAGACAATAGCTGTAGACAGAGGAGAATATGTGAAGCATGTTTCTCCTGAAAAACCTTACCATGACTCCGTGATGATTCATGAATTGATTTAAAAAATACAGAAATGCATATTTTAATGTGATTGAAAAAATACAAGGAATAAAAAAGGAGCAAGCTTAGGTCATTACTTGCCCAACTTCATGTTTTTTGATGCATTTATTTTTACCTCCCATTTATTTGAAGGTAGGTAGTTCAAAATGGTAGCAAAATTTTCACCCCAAAGTCAAACTTCTTAGCTAAGTTTTCTAAATTTTAAGACGATCTAGGTATGTTTTGACAATTAAAAAATTAAAATACCCAATTACCACCTTTCTCTCCTAAAATTTCCTTGATGGACAATGCAATGTGACTCAGAAAATCTGTTTATTCATCCTGTTTCACCAATTCCTAGTTGGGTGTCATGGGGAAAATAACAGACTTCTCAGGAGTTAAGTTTTCTTTGTCCCTAAAATGACAGGGTTGGACTGGACCACCCTCAAGGCTCTTTTTCCATTGCAAAATTCTGTACCATTTTAGAATTATTATTCCTATTTTTAAGTTGGGCCTACTTGATACAGAACAAAAGAGGGCACTGGAAGAATATGAGTTAGAAAACCAAAGCCAATTTAGGCCAGAGGAAAAACATGTAGGCTTGAATTATCCAAATGTACACAAACTAAGAGATATAATTTCTGAAATTTCCCTTCATTTTGTAGTGTACAATTGTACTATTTTGTAATGCAGTTAATAATATTCAGAATGTCACCATTTAGAGGAAGATTAATTTAAAATCTTTTACCTACAGATATAAAAGTACAAAACACCTTTAAAAATACTCAGAAAGCAAATATGTTAATTGGTAGCACCATTCAAGGCAGAATTGCTTTTCCAGGATCCTAGCAAGAGAGCATTTTCAAAGTCACACAAACCTAGGATGTTGCATACTCTTCAGTTGTGATATTTAGTTATTATAACAGGATGTATTTTTTCAGTGCCTCAGTTATTATGACATCTTTTGTGACTTGAATTCCAGGTTTGAAACTAAATGTTCCTTTGTCATCATGAAAATGGATAATGCCAAAAGGAATAAATTTAATAAACAGTTTTTTCTGACATCAAATTTAAGGTAATAAAAGTAACACATCTTATTGAAAATAATAATAAATTGTTTTCAAGACTTAATGCATTATGTCTTTTTAAAAATAGAAAAAAATAACATAAGTATCTCACTAGAGGGTGTTATTATCTAACAATTAAATATTAAAATCTGTTGTTTTCAATACAAATGATATTACATAAAATAAAATATAGCATCACCTCTCAAGCCTTATGTTTGCTATTCTGCACACAGGATATGTCATTATGTTGATTTATGAAAATTATCTTAGCAAGCCAAAAAATGGCATTATGCATATTGACCAAGAAAATTACATTTCAGAAATAGTACCCGTCTCAAGTGTGTTAAACCTCAATGTTATAACTAATATACGAAGATGCCATTTGGGTTTTTGTTTTCTTTTGTTTTTAATTTTTTATTTTTAATTTTTGTAGGTACATGAGATGTTTTGATACAGGCATGCAATGTTAAATAATCATATCATAGAGAATGGGGTCTCCATTCCCTCAAGCATTTATCCTCTGTGTAAAGGTGCAATTTTATAAACTTGCATTAGTAAATTAATATTTATAACTTTATTTTCCTCAATAACATCTTAATGCCTTGTATATTTATTTGCAAGAAGAATCTTTATTTTTCTAACTTTGTTTCAAATTTTCAATAATGGAAAATATCCATGTGGAAATTAGGCATATTTTTATAAAACCCCTAAGAATAAATAAAATTATTAAGTAGTGATCTGTAGGGAAGTAACATTTGTTGTATTTTTTAATATGTTACTGTAAGAGTATAGATTTGTTGTACAACAATGTGAATATGCCCAACACTGCTGAACTGTACACTTAAAAATAGTTAAGGTGGTACATTAAGATGGTAAGTTTTATGTTATATGTTTTACCACAATTTTTAAAATAAAAAAAATAAAGGGGTTTACATTTCTAAATCAATCAATGCTTTTGCAATGTTCTCTTGCTATTAAATGAAGTATGGGATAATATCTCAAATATTTTTTTCTGTACAAAGGATATGGCATTATGTCAATCTTTAAACAATTATCCTAGCTGGGGGAAAAAAAGCATTGCACATTTAACTTTGTGTATGAATAACCCCTTGAAAACATGGAAACAAAGAAGGTAATGCTGCCCTTTTAGGAGGTAAACTAGCCAAAATTGAGAAAGATCTGGTAATCTGGTAGGGAGACAGCTTTGATTTTGAATTTGGATATTGTATAAAGTCTATGTAATAAAGGTGAAGGTTAGTTTAAATTCAAACAGTTTCTGATGTGCATCACAAAAATCACAGACTTTCCATCAAAATCTTCTTGCCACTTTATACATATTTATGTGAGAAGGGGATCCTGAAAGACATAGATAAGGAATAGGAAATATAATGTAGTTTCCATCATGTTATAGGCAAATGTGTATGAGAGGACTTCCAATCATATGACAGGCCAAAGGCTAATATCCATAAGATTCAGAGACCTCCTAAAGTCAAGGAAATATAAATATCCCAGTTGAAAAACAGGTGTAGCATGTAAAATATATTTTGCAAAAGGAGAAACAGGAAATAGCCAGTAGACATGAAATAAAAAATCAGCCTCCACTGGGCAGGGTGGCTCACGCCTGTAGTGTTGGCACTTTGAGAGGCTGAGGCAGGAGGATTACTTGAGTCCAGGAGTTCGAGATCAGCCTGGGAAACATAATGAGACCTCATCGCTAGAAAAGATTTTTAAAATTAGCCAAGCATGGCGGTTGATACAGTTTGGGTGTTATTGTTGCCTTTAAATTCCATGTGGAAATGTAATGCCCAATGATGGAAGTGGAGCCTGCTGGGAGGTGTTTGGGTCATGAGGGAGGATCCCTCATAGCTTGATGCTGTCTTCGCAAAAGTAAACAAGTTCTCATGAGATCTGGTTGTTTGAAAGCGTGTGGCACCTACCCACCCTCTTGCTCCTGCTCTCACCATGTGACACCCTGCTCTAAAAAAATGAAAAAACAGTAATGTAGTCAGGTGTCGTGGTGTGTGTCTGTAGTCCCAGCTATTCAAGAGGCTTAGGTGGGAGGATAACTTGAGCCCAGGAGTTCAAAACGGCAGTAAGCTATGATCCTGCCACTGCACTCCAGCCTGGGCAACAGAACAAGACCCCATCTCTAAAAAATAAAAATAAAAAATAGAAATTAAACAGGTATGTTGATATATAATTTACATACCATACAAATCACCTACATGAAGTATACACTATACCCATTACTGAAAGTCTCCAACTATTGTTGTTGAATTTTCTCTTTCTCCCTTCAATTTAGTCAGTTTTTGTTTCATGTATGTGGGGCTCTGTTGTTATGTGCAAATATGCTTGTGATTGTTTCTCTACACCTTTATACCATAAGAGAGAATTTTTATTCTACTCTCCAATTCTACAGCACATTGATGATTAGTCTATTATATGACTTTTTCACAATTCTCTGTTATTTTATGATTTTGTATTTGTTGCTCTCCCTACTGCGTCTCAGTTTTCTCTGCACTACAGAACCTAGTGTGATCTGAGAGACCAAAATAGACACCCCTCTGTCAACTAAGATGAACCCAAAGGTTAAGGAAACAAAGTTATGGGTCGAAGATTCAGGGTCTGGTTGAAATGGCAAATTTCTAAATTCCTACAGCTAAACTCTCCAACAATGGGAGCTATCAGCTATAACTCTGATTGGACAGAAGACCAACCAACCACACAAACATTTTTTTTTCTGATAAGCTAACAGAAACCTTAGGCCAGTTTCATCCATCTTATAGAGGCTACACACAAACCGCTTTTGTGTCCTGGAGTTCACCTTTTCATGTAAAGAAAGCCCTGCCCCAAAGTGAACGTGGGATGTGTGTTTACTCAATCCATATGTACTTAGCTCCCCTCATAAATATGTAAAGCTTTTCCTCCAAACCTACTAAAAATGTATAATATCCTGAATATGTATGAGGCTCTGTAAGGCATAAAATCCAACCTGCCCTTCCCCTCTTCAGAGTGAGCACCTTCAGTCCATGCTGGGGATGTTCTTTTTCCAGCTTGCAAACCAGTATTGCCAATGAAGCTCTCCTTTCTACTATTTAGCCATCTTGGCAGTCTTTTGGAAGACACTAGTAAATTACGAAGGAGAAAATAGGTAGTCAACCCATGTTGTGAAATGACTGAATGAATGCCATTGTTTCGTATTAGCCTCAAAGATATTCTTGCCATGCTTAGCATTTGAGTTCAATATTCTGATATCCTACTGTCTTAGTCTATTTTTTGTTGCTGTAATAGAATACCTGAGGCTGGGTAATTTATAAAAAAGAGAAATTTATTTGGCTCCTCGTTCTGCAGACTGTACAAGAAGCATGGCTCTGACATCTGCTCAGCTTCTTGTGAGGGCTTTCGTGCTGCATGAAAACATGGTGGCGAAGGTCAAAGGGGAGTCAGGCACATGGGAAAAGAGGGAAACCTGAGGGGCATACTAGCTTTATAACTACCAACTCTGCAGGAACTAATCCATTCCATGAGAACAAATTCAGTCTGGAGAGAGTGAGAACTCAAGAATAGCATCCAAGCCACTCATGAGGGATCCACCCCATTGCCTTAACACCTCCCACTAGGACCTACCTCCCAACACTGCCACATTGGTAATCAAATTTTGACATAAGCTTTGGTGAGGACAAACAAACCATAGCCAAATTGCAGCACCAACTTTCTCAAAGGCAACTTTAAAAATGCAACCAACACTTGAAAATGTCAAGTAGAGAACCGGCAAGGTGGCTCACACCTGTAATCTCAGCACTTTGGGAGGCCAAGGTGGGCAGATCACTTGAGCTCAGGAGTTCGAGACCAGCCTGGCCAACATGACAAAACCCCGTCTCTACTAAAAATACAAAAATTGGCCAAGTGCGGTAGCTCACGCCTGTAATCCCAGCACATTGGGAGGCCGAGGCAGGCAGATCATGAAGTCAAGGGAACGAGATGATCCTGGACAACACTGTGAAACCCCGTCTCTACTAAAAATACAAAAATTGGCTGGGCATGGTGGTACGCACCAATAGTCCCAGCTACTCGGGAGGCTGAGGCAGGAGAATCGCTTGAACCCGGGAGGAGGAGGTTGCAGTTAGCCGAGATCACGCCCCTGCCTTCCAGCCTGACGACAGACCAAGACTCTGTCTCAAAAACAAACAAACAAAAAATAAAAAAATTAGCCAGGCATGGTAGCACGCACCTGTAATCTCAGCTACTTGGGAGGAGGAGACAGGAGAATCACTTGAACCCAGGAGGTGGAGGTTGCAGTGAGCCGAGATCATGCCACTGCACTCCAGCCTGTGCAACAACAACAACAAAAAAGGAAATGTCAAGTAAAATTTGGATAAAACTTCCCCCAAAATTTCCTTCATACATTTCAGCATATCCCATATGTAATTCATTTATGTGAGAAAATTAGCATAGTTACAAAGGGAGAGTTCTGCTCCTTTCTAACTTCTTCTTGTATATATTTACAACACTTTTACATAAATGATTTCATTTCTCTTGGTGTTTTTAAAGCATTTCATTTATTTTATTCATTGATAAGTAAAAATTGTACATATTCATGGCATGCAACATGATGTTTTGGTTTTTTTTTGGCTCGGAATCATTTGCTTCCAGTTATGTTTGGTTTCTTTGTATTTTTTGTTTTTTAAAACAATATTTTTTATTTATGCATAATAGATGGACATAGTTTTAGGGTGCATGTGATAATTTAATACATTCATATAATTTGTAGAGATCAAATCAGTGTTACTTGGGGTATCCATCAACTTAAATATTTGTCTTTTCTTTATGCTAGAAACATTTTAATGATTCTCCTCTAGCTATTTTGAAATGCACAAGATATTATTGTAAACTATAGTCACCCTACTGATGTATCAAACACTAGGTCTATGTCTTCTATTGAACCTTATATTTGACATGATGTTTTGATATATTATCCACCTGATTTTAAATTTCGACACCACTAATGTGTTCAGTGAAAGGCCAGGAGTAAGAAAGTGGAACAGGAAAAAAAAACTAGTAGCATTAAATATTTGCTCCACTTATATCTATTTTATTTGCTGTCTACCATTAGCCAGGCTTGTAATCTAGAATTGCAGGATAAGAGAAATAATAGATTATTTACTCTCTAGGAAAGTACTTAGGCAATTTTAAGAAATATGAACATGAGCTTTGATAAAAGTTCAAAGAGTTTACTCTCTTTAAAAGTTATATAATCCTCTCTTTATATGATTTTGTATTTATACTGCTAAATATTTGGAAACTTGTTTGGCTACCTAATAAGCAGCAGAAATTAATACTTAGAATATGCTTTTTAAAAGTCACCTTAAATAAATAATGCAGGCTGGGTGCAGTGGCTCAGGCCTGTAACCCCAGTCCTTTGGGATGATCGTTTGAGCCCAGGAGCTCGAGACCAGCCTGGGCAACATAGTGAGAACCTGTCTCTACAAAAAATAAAAAGTTAACCAGTCATGGCAGTGTACACTTGTAGTCCCAGTTACCTGGGAGACTGAGGCAAGAGGATTGCTTGAGTCCAGGAAGTCAAGGCTGTGGTGAATCATGATCACACCACTGCACTCCAGCCAGGGTGATAAAACTATATATACACACACACATATATGTGTGTGTGTGCGTGTCTTTTTAAAAACAAAAGGAAGTACAGCATCTTGAAAAGAGTTTTAAAAAATCTAATAGTATAACTAACAATCTTGTTTAAAATATTAGCCTTTAAAAGAAAGTCTCTTTAGAAACCTTATGTTTGAAACATATAGAAATATTTCTACAAGATCATAATCCATATTTTTTCTTGCAGAAAATTCAGTAACTAAGTTCTAATGAAATATTTCCAAGAAAGCAAGATGTTTGGATTGCATTCTATTAAATCAGGAGATTAAAAAATTAGTTAAGGTAATCCACCACATCAACGGGCTTAAAAAGAAAAATCACATGATCATATGAGTAGATGCAGAAAAAGCATACAACAAAATCCAACACTGATTCATAACAAAAACTCATAAGAAACTAGTGATAGAGAGGAACTGCCTCAACTTGATGAAGAATAGCTACAAAAAACCTACAACAATTAAAGTGGGTGGGGAAAGAGGGAGAAGGCAAATTTGCCTGGTTCAATCCCCTGTATAACATCGTTTCTTTTCTTCTTTCTTTTTATTTATTTATTTATTTTTTTTTTTTAGAGATGGGATCTTGCTCTGTAGCCCAGGCTAGAGTACAGGGATGTCATCACAGCCACTGGAGCCTTGAATTCCTGGGCTCAAGTCATCCTCCTGACTCAGCCTCCTAAAGTGCTGGGATTAAAACGTCATTTCTTTTGTGATCCTATAACACATTTCAATTATCCAAAGATAGAGGTGAAGCATGTGATTATATAACAAAACTAACTGACCACATGTATAACCACATGTTCCAAACATTCTTTGTTCTTTTGTCCATCAAACATCAGAATACCGACTATGTGCCAGATACTATGCTGGAAATATTGGTGGCATAAAGATGAAAAAGACTCATAAAGATGAATTCACCACCATTTAAGAATTCACAACTTAGTAGGGGTTCAGGGGATAGATTCATTTATTTATCATTCACTTACTCATGCGTGCATTCTCAGTTTAAATCCTGGCATTGTCACTTACTAGCTTTGTGACCTCAAAGAAGATACTTAACCTTTCTATGTTTCAATTTCCTCATATATAAAATGGGAGTAAAAATAATATCCAAGGCCAGATGCTTCTTAACAGCATGTACAACTGAGTTCAGTGGCTCGTGCCTGTAATCCTAGTACTTTGGGAAGCTGAGGTAGGTGGATTGCTTGAGCCCAGGAGTTTGAGAATAGTCTAGGCAACAGGGTGAAGCCCCGTCTCTACAAAAAAATATAATAATAAAAATATTAGCCAGGCATGGTGGTGCATGCCTGTGGTCCCAGCTACACGCGGGGCTGAGGATTGCTTTAGCCCAGGAGGACAAGGCTGCAGTGAGCTGTGTTCGTGCCACCACACTCCAGCCTGGGTGACAGAGTGAGACCCTGCCTCAAAAATAAATAAATAAATAAATAAATCCATTTCATAAGACTGTTTACAGAAAGTATGTTCTTAATAAATACTACTTAGTATCATTGTCATCAGAGTACTAGGTGCTGGTTATTATTATTATCATTAAACTACTAGGTTAAGAAGAGAAACATAATCCTTGACTTTTTGTAGTTGCAGTCTAGTGGAGGAGATGCATAACTGACAAATAAACAAACAAATTAATATGAAATACAAATTGTGACACATACAATTGAGGTAGATATGCAAATAATTCATATGCAACATGATATATGCTATGGTATAAGAGGGATACATAAAGTGCAACAGGAGTAGAGAGGAGGTAAAAATTCTCTTTGTCAGAAGAGATTTGGCAAGGCTTTACAGAGGTGGTGACATTTGAGATTGGTTCAGAAGAATAAATAAGTAGGGGCTTAAGTTGGAGGGAGAATCTTTAAGATCATTCTAATCTAAGGGGACAGTATATACAAAAGCACATAGTTTGCAAATGTGTTCAGAAAACAGTATTTCTTTTCATGTGGATGAAGCATGATCATGATAACATCATGCTCTTACATGGTAGGGGTGGTAGGGAGTAGCAGGAGAAGCTCTGAGAGACAGTGAAAATATTATGGGTTATGGTGTCAAAGAGTCTTAGGTTGTTATGCTGGTATTGCTACTTACGAGGGATAAAACCTTGCACAAATTACTTAAACTTTCTCATTCTTGGTTTTTTCATTTTAAAAATAGAGTTAACTGCCCCCCACCCTGTTGCTTGGGTATTAGTTCCCACTTGCCTTTGCAGTATTCAGAGTTGAGCTTAATCTCTCTCCCCTACTGGCTTTTAGGCTTTTAGCAGCCTCAAGACATAGTTTTTAGTTTCTGTCTCCAGTAATAAGCAGAAAAGAGGGATGAGGAAGGGGTTTTACTGGCTCAACCAGAAACAGAAACTAAGAACCCATGACTATATTCTCTCCCTTGCACACCCCTGCGAAGGCACTAGGAAAGAATCCTTCCTTGACTCTTCCTAGCTTCTTGTGGTTGTCAGCAATCATTGGTGTTCCTTGGCTTGTAGTTGCATCTCTTCAATCCCTTCCTCCGTCATCACATGGCCTTCTTTCCTGTGTGGCTGTATCTCTGTTATGGCTTTCTGATCAGGACAGTAGTAATTGAATTTAGGACCCACCCTAATCTACTATGACCTCATCCTAACTAATTACAGTTATGAAGGCCTTATTTTCAAATAAGATCACATTTTGAGATTCTGAGTGGACATGAATCTTGGAGGGACCCAATTTAACCTAGTACATCATGGAAGTAGAAAGCTCTATTGAGATCACATTGTGAGGGGACTCTTGTATGTTTGGATAAATGTTTTTTACTTTTGTTATGCAATAGGAAACTATCAAATGCTTTGAAAAAGTGGAATGACCTTATCAGATCTGTACATTTAAAACATAATCCTGAAGTATTAGGATGGCTAAGTGACCTAAAGTACCAGAATCATAGAAATGCAGTGGGTAAATCATAGTCTTTTATTTTTTTTTAACAAATGCTGACTCAACTGGATATATACATAGACAAAAATGAACTCTCACTCCTACTTAGCTCATATAAAGAATCAATTCCAGGCAGATTGTTTTTCTACATGTCAAAGGGAAAACAATAAATCTTTTAGAACAAAACATAGGATAATACCACCATGAACTAAGGGACAGGCAAAAATTTCTTATCAGATAGAAAAAGACCTAGCTACAAATGCAAAATTGATAAATTGAACTTCATTAAAATTAAGAACTTCTGTTCATCAAATGATAGCATTAAAAGAGTAAAAAGGCAGGCTACAGCCTGGGAGAAGATATTTGCCACGTGTAGAGCACTCATGCAAAAGATATCAAGAATCCCTACAAGCCAATAAGAAGACCAAACCCAATACAGTATGTGCAGAGAATTGAGCAAATACTTCACAGAAGAGGATATTCAAATGTCCAGTAAGAACATGAAAAGATGCTTAACATAATTACTTATCAGAGAAATATAAATTTAATTCATGAAATGATATTATTACATACCCACCAGAATAAACTCAAAAGAGGGAGAAAAAGATTGACGAGAAATTTGCAGTTTCATACACTGGATGTGAGAGTGTAAGTTGGTATAATCATTCTGGAAAACTAATAGTATCTACTGATGCTAAACATACATATAAATGATGACCCTGCTATCTATCAGTTCATCAATCTATCTATCCATCCACTAAGGAGAGAAATTAATGCGTATATTCCCCCAAAGGACTTATTGTACACAAATATTTATAATAGCCATTGACATTATGAAAATAAGATTACTCAGGAAGAGTATGATGAAGATGCTGCTAGTAATAATAATAATAAAAGTGACCATTAATATTTACTGAGGACCTACTATGTGCTAGGTGCTTTATATGCATTAACTTTAATCCTAATAACCCTTCAGGATAGATAATAATCCTGTTTTACAGGTGAAGAAATTAAGACTCAGAGGTGCCCTAGGCCCTGCAAATTATAAGTGAGCAGAGCTTGGAATTAAACTCATTTGTCTTAAGTCCCTTATTCATTCTAGCATGTCATACTACCTCCCCAATTTAAATATCTGACATAATCATGACAGATTTATTTACTTCTTTAATAAAGTTTTATTTTATTTGTTCCTACTGTATAAGCAATTAAAATAAAAAAATCTGAAAATACCAGAAAATAGAAACAAAAGTAATAACGCTTCAGTCCATGAACCCAAAACATTAGTTACCATTTGATGTATTTGTAAATCTGTTTTTTCTATAAAGGTTCAAATATAATTGTAAGTAGACTAGACTATTTTGTATTCAGCTCTTCACTTAAAATTAGAATATAAGCATTTTCATTATTTCACACCCTTCATGAGCATCACTTTAAATTAGCCATTTTGCAAAGGATCCAAAAATTCACATTGTACAGTATTGTATTTTGAAATTTTACCTAACAATAAAGGGTCCATGTTAAAACTGGAGTTATTTGGCTGTGAATTAAGCCTATCACATTTTGTTGTGGCATTGAGGTTGGCTATAGTATTCATTATCTGTAAACAATAACCTTTCATAAAATTGTTTTTTAAAATCTGGATAAAATTACCCCCAAATCAATGTCAACTGCTAGGGCTGTACTTATAATCATGAAATTAGGAATGTATCCCTTATATTTAAGTAACAACAACATTAGGTAGGTATTTAAAGCCATGCATTAAAGATTTATTTTTTTAGTTACACAACCAGAAGCTTACAAATCTGAGGCAGAAAAGCAAGAAACAAAATTTAATATATATACATACATATATCTATACTTTTTTTTTACTATGTACGGTTTTTTAACCTTTATTTTTTATTGATATATAATAGTTGTAATTATTTTGGAGTTACATGTGATATTTCGATACCTGTATACAATGTGTAATGATAAAATCAAGGTAACTGGGATATCCATCACCTCAAACATTTATCTTACCTTTATGTTGGGAACATTACAAATCTTCTCTTCCAGTTATTTTGACATATACAATAAATTATTGTTAACTATAATTTCCTACTGTACTGTTAAATGCTATATTCAAATTATTTAACGTAGAAAGTGTGGCTAGAAGGAAATAAATGAAATGTTTAAAATGATCTTTGAATATTTGGTTTTATTTACTTACTTTTTTTTTTTTTGAACTGGAATCTCATTCTGTCACCTAGGCTGGAGTGCAGTGGTGCAATCTCGGCTCACTGCAACCTCTGCCCCCCGGGTTCCAGTGATTCTCCTGCCTCAGCCCCACAGGTAGCTGGGATTACAGGCGTGCACCACCATGCCCAGCTAATTTTTGTATTTTTAGTAGAAAGGGTGTTTCACCATGTTGGCCAGGCTGGCCTCGAACTCCTGACCTCAGGTGATCTGCCCGCCTCGGCCTCCCAAAATGCTGGGATTACAGGCGTGAGCCACTGTGCCCAGCCTATTTATTTACTTTTTTATGTTTTCCAGACTGCCTACAAAAATATGAGTGAAACTGATCATTTAAAAGTATAATTTAAATATTGGGTTTGTTTTATTTTTGGAAAAGGAAGAAATAGAGGTTTGCCCTAGATATTGTTGGAACATATATCAGTTGATCTATTTAGGGATCAACTGATTACCCACGGAAGAATAAATTAAGCTTATCTTAAAAAGCACACAACCTAGCAATAGAAATTATTTTATTCCTAAAATGTGTTGGCCGAAAACAATATAACCGAGCTCTTTCTCTAAAGAACTTAACCTTGGCCAGGTGTGGTGGCCCACGCCTGTAATCCCAACACTTTGGGACGCTTACGTGATTGGATTGCTTGACGTCAAGAGTTTGAGAGCAGCCTGGACAACATGGTGAAAACCCATCTCTACAAATAATAAAAAAATTAGCAAAATGTGGTGGCACACACCTGTGGGCCTGGTTTTGCAAAGGAAATCTGCCTAAGAATTGATAGCTAAGGCCAGACACAGCAGCTCATGCCTGTAAATCCCAGCACTTTGGGAGGCCGAGGAAGGCAGGACACTTGAGCCCAGGATTTCGAGATCAGCCTGGGCAACACAGGGAGACCCCTATCTCTACAAAAAAATAAAAAAATTAGCAGGTTCAGTTTTTTACTGAAATATCATAGTGCTTAATTTCCATTCTAGGTACTTAAAATCGTTTATGTTGCTACTGCCTGTCTAGTGCAATGATTAACTATGTGTTCCTTTATTACTATGTTCATTTGTATTTTAAAAACCTGAGAAACTGAGAATGGTCTTAAGTCATGTGATTTAAATAACTAGCAAGAGAAGTCTCTGTGTGTCTGTTTTTTCTGCAATATCAGATTAAAAGGAAGCTCAGTAACCACTGAACCTAACTCATTGAAGTAGGCAGTAATCTAGCTTCTGCTTTAATATTCACAGTGTCAAGTATGTCAGTTCAATGCAGCTTCTCCTGTTGTAGTTTCGTCCCATTGTTTTAGTTTTCATTATTAGAAAGTTTGTCTCTATATAGTGCAGAAATCTGTTTTCCTGTAATTTGGGTCAACTTGGGATAATGCTGCCCTCTCCTGCCAGACCGAATAATAAATTCACTCCCTCTTCCATAAAATTATTTGAAGACAGTTATTATGGTCCCCTGAGATTTCTGTTCTACGGGCAAAATTTCTTCAACCATGCTTCAGATGACATGATTTAAATCTCCTCACAAACCTGGTTGATTTTCTTTGGTTTCACTGCAGTTTGTCCGGTAACAACTGGTGCCCAAAACTGAAGCAAAAAGCAATGAATTGTCTCCTTTATATTTCTCTTGATGCCAATAGAAAGAGTTCTTAGTTGAATGTGACAAATCCTAGCTGCTTTAAGCATAGAAGAAATTTATTGAAAGCCTGTTATGTTACATAGCTCAAGGAATAGCCATGACGTCTAAAGAATCAAGCTCAGGAAAAAGTGCAGGAACCAAGAGAGGTGAGAAATTTATAGTATTAGCTAAAATCACACATCAAAACGAATCTGAAGAGGCCACCACTGCCACACACTAGATACTGTGATTTGCAACACTGCCATTGCTGCCTCAAGAAACTGGCTTTTGCTGTTGCCACTGCTGTTGCCAGAATTCCACACTGTCCCTGCTGTTTTGTTTTGTTTTGTTTGAGACAGGATCTTGCTCTGTCTCTCAGATTGGAGTTGCAGTGGTGAGATAATGGCTCACTGCAGCCTCTGCCTCCCTGGCTCAAGCGATCCCCCCATCTCAGCCTCCTGAGTAGCTGGGACCACAGGTATGCACCACTACGCCTGGCTAATTTTTTAATTTTTTGTAGAGACGGGGTCTCACATTGTTGTCACTTTGTTGGCTGACCTCGAACTCCAGGGCTCAAGGGATCCTCCCGCCTCAACCTCTCAAAGTGCTGAGATTACAGGCATGAGCACCACGCCAAGACTGATGTTTTAAAAGGCTCACTTTGGTTTCTGCGTGGTTTTGCAAGTCTGTCCCTGGATGCTAGATTTGTGCTCATTCTTCGAATTTGAGAGAACCTATTTGAATGAAGGCAGAGAAGTTCAACTAAGAGAAGTGAAAGTTATGCAAGATCAAATTAATCAAATAACAAGCAATTTCAAGCAAAGCACGATGTCTTTCAAAGTTATCTCCTGGTCCCATCTCTACTATGGCTCAATTCTGAAACCTAGGGAGAAAGGAAATTCATTGATTATTTCCTTACTTCCTTTTGTTTATTTTTATTTATTAATTTAATTTATTTATTTGAAACAGAGTCTGGCTCTGTCGCCCAGGCTGGAGTGTGGTGGTGCAATCTCAGCTCACTGCAATCTCTGCCTCCTGTGTTCAAGCAATTCTCCTGCCTCAGCTTCCCAAGCAGCTGGGATTACAGGCGCACACCACCATGCACGGCTAATTTGTGTATTTTTGGTACAGTTGGGGTTTCACCATGTTGGCCAGGCTGGTCTGGAATTCCTGACCTCAAGTGATCTGCCTGTCTTGGCCTCCCAAAGTGCT
Source organism: Homo sapiens (assembly GCF_000001405.40). Classification (NCBI taxonomy): domain Eukaryota; kingdom Metazoa; phylum Chordata; class Mammalia; order Primates; family Hominidae; genus Homo; species Homo sapiens. Next base: position 115,286,529 of record NC_000023.11, read on the forward strand.
GGGATTACAGGTGTTAGCCACTGGGCCGGCCTCCCTTTTCTTTATTTCTAATGTGTCTCTCTTTGCTAGCTCCTTTCTCATGACCTATAAGCATGTTTAATTTAATCTCTTCCATTAAAAAAAAACTACCCTCATGTCCTTTGTAGGGACATGGATGAAGCTGGAAACCATCATTCTCAGCAAACTATTGCAAGGACAGAAAACCAAACACTGCATGTTCTCACTCATAGGTGGGAATTGAACAATGAAAACACATGGACACAGGAAGGGGCACATCACACTATGGGGCCTGTTGTGGGGTGGGGGGAGGGGGGAGGGATAGCATTAGGAGATATACCTAATGTAAATGACGAGTTAATGGGTGTAGCACACCAACATGGCACATGTATACATATGTAACAAAGTTGCACGTTGTGCACATGTACCCTAAAACTTAAAGTATAATTAAAAAAAAACCACCCTATACTACCTTGTGTAAAGGTAGTAGTTACAAGCGTGATTTTTAGAGCTGAACTGCATGGGTTTGAAGTAATTGCAACATTTACCAGCTCTGTGTCCTTGGGCAATTTTTTAAATGTCTTTGTGCCTTCTTTTCCTTGCTGGTAAAAGGAGATAATATTATTTCTCATGGGGTTATTGTGAAGATTAAATTATTGAATATTTGTAAAGCTCTCAGAACAATGCCGGGCAGATAGTAAATGCTTTATGTGTTTGTTAAATAAAAATTAGTTGTTTATCAGTTTATAGCCTGCTAGAACTCTGCTGAAGGTAAAAACCGGATCTCATAATTACTAAATTTAATGAATTAATCAGTTCTTAGCTTATTTGACTTTCTATCAACCCTTGACAAGATGGACCCGTCGGTTCCTCCTGGAGTTCTCCCTTAATAAATGAATACCTCTTTCCTGGTTCTACCCATATCTCTCTGATATTTTCTACTCAATGTTCTTTTTAATTTTCTTGGGGTTCTATCTTTGATCCTCTTTCATTCTCACTTCATACCTGACAGAAAAATAAATCTGACAGAAAAAAAGGCCCAAACCATTAGCATAATATATTATAAAAGTCACTCCATGATCTAATATCTGTTGATCTCTTTAGACTCATCTCTCAGTACCCACCACATGGAATGAATAGAACTTTCCACAGTGTGTTAGTGGTGCTGCTTCCTCTGCCAAGAAATACCATTCCCACCCCTACAATTATTCCCTAATTTCTCAGGATTTAAATAATTTTTTCTTGATTCCTTGGGTGAATTTTCTCCTTTGAATCCCAAATACATTTTGTACATACCTGTATCCTCAGAACCTAACACAGCAGGAGCTCAGTATTTGTTGACAGACTAAATTACAGCACCTAAATTAATATTTTGCATGCATTTATTGTCTTCAGGCAATTGTATATGCATGGAGAAACAGATTTATTTATTAATCTTTAGGTCCCAGGTGCGAAGCATTTACTTAAATACAATAAATAGTTAAATAATTTACATTTTTCAAAATCTCTTCCGGCATTTATTTATGTTGTGGATTCTGTAATAGCTTGAACATATTTTTACCTTTGAAAATGTATTAATTTGATTTTTATTTCTACTGAAGAGCCAGTGACAAGATTTCTCTAATATTTTAAAGTAGCATTTGATTGAGCAGTATTAGGTGATAACAAGAACAATTACATTTTTCTTAAGAAATGTCATGGACACATCTTCAAGGTCATTGAACAGCATGTGGCAGGCCGGGTATGGTGGCTCATGCCTGTAATCCCAGCACTTTGGGAGGCCAAGGTGGGAGGATTGCTTGAGGCCAGGAGTTTGAGATCAGCTTGGCCAACATGGTGAGATCCCCATCTCTACAGCCCAAGAGGAGCCTGGGAGGTTAAGGCATGCCAACCTTGGCAACAGATCGAGGAAAGAAAGAAAAAAGAAAAGAAAGAAAAGAAAGAAAAAGAAAGGAAGGAAGGAAGGAAAAAAGGAAGGAAGGAAGCAAGGAAGCAAGGGAGAGAAGGGAAGGGAAGGGGAGGGGAGGGGAGGGGAGGGAAGGGAAGGGAATAGCCGGGTGTGGTGAGGGAGGAAGGCCGAGGCGGGTGGAAAGAGAGAAGTTAGGAAGAAGGAAGGAAGGGAGGGAGGGAGGGAGGAAGGAAGGAAGGAAAAGAAAGAGAGGAAGGAAGGAAGAAAGAGAGAGAGAAAGAAAGAAAAAAAGAAAGAAAGGGAAAAGAAAGAAAGAGAAAAAGAAAGAAAGAAAGAAAAGAAAGAGAAAGAAAAGAAAGAAAGGAAGAAAGGAAGGAAGGAAAAGAAATAACCAGGTGCGGTGAGGGAGGGATGCCAAGGCAGATGGAAAGAAAGAAGTTAGGAAGAAGAAAGAGAGGGTGGGAGGGAGGAAGGGAGGGAGGGAGGAAGGAAGGAAGGAAAGAAGGAAGGGAGGGACAGAGGGAGGGAGGGAAAGTGTGGGCGCTGTGGTATGAGGGTAGCACAGACGGGTAGATCACTTGAGCCCAGGAGACCAGCCTGGCCAACATGGTGAAACCCTATCTCTACTAAAAACACAAAAATTAGCCAGGCGTGGTGGCGCGCTCCTGTAATCTCAGCTACTTGGGAGGCTGACGTGGGAGAATCGCTTGAACCCCAGAGGCGGAGGTTGCAGTGAACGGAGTTGGCGCCACTTCACGCCAGCCTGGGTGACAAAGAGATACTGTGTCTCAAAAAAACAAAAAACAAAAAACAAAAACGAAAAGAAAGACAGAAAAGAAAGCGTGTGGCATTGCAAACCTGTGAATCCTCCCTAGATGTTAAATTTGTGCTCCCTCTTGGAATTTGAGAGAAGCAGAGCATCAGCCCATTAAGTCAAGATTATAAGGTTTTATTCGCCATGAATGTCAACAGCAAAGAGGAGAAATGGGTCCTAGGAACTGTGAAAGGCAAGGGCCGGAACACCACATACACTAGAAACTTGTAGCCAACTACATAGTGCTCTAGGTGGAGAGAATATTTTTAGAAAGGGGTATCGGGTGGGAGATGGGCGGGTCTTTCCTTTTTTTTTCTTCTAGCGAGCCAAGCTCCTGATAGGAGACTTGGTGAGGGGTAACGCCAAGCTCCACCCCTTGGGGCTTAGCAACACCGAAGGGAGAGGCTATGATTGGAGGATCAGGTTAGTCCACCACTCTGCTCCTCCTGCGCGGTGAGGGGGTGGTACACGCGCCCTACCTCGGAGTGTGTGGCGCCATGATGCAGGGAAGATGGCTTCGTTTCGGAAGCTAACGCTTTCTGAAAAAGTGCCGCCAAATCATCCCAGTCGGAAAAAGGTTAACTTCCTAGATATGTCTCTAGGTATGTAGATCTCGGATCCCAGTCTCCACTAGTTTGGGCTCACTGGTCTTGAGCGCAAGACCTCGGCATAGCGCTTACTAGAAGTGGCGTCGGGAGGAACACACCAGTTCGAGGAGAGGCTTCCCCTTCAGGGCATCTCCGCACCTGCCCCACCCTGACGAACCCTGGGACCACTTGGCCCCTATCCCTCCTCTCCTCTTTTTCTCCTCACCTCCAGCCCTCTCCTTTCAGGTGGGGAACTGAGGGAGGCTGACCAGAAGCGCGTGGGGATTAAGGATTGCTGAAAGGGGCAGGCGGAGAAAATAGACCGCTATTAACGTGTATTTTACTCTCCTAAGAATTGATACCTAACTACTGGCCTCCTTCAAACACATGGAGCCAAGTGCTCTTCTCAGTCCAAGCGGATGTCATAAATCACTAGATTCCAGGGCCCGGAGGAGCAAGCCTTAGGCTATTTTACTAGGGATCCCGGCGTGGTAGTGCTAGGAGTTGTTGGTGGGTTGGTGTATCTGCTTTGTTGGCTGGTGGTTATTCGAAGGGGTGGTTGGTCCATTTATTTGCTTGTTGGCTGGTGGTTATTCGCTCTGGATAGCCTTTCTTTGCTGGCGCTCTCTAGTCTCTAACCTGAGACCTCTACACGGAGAGTGGAACCTTAGAAAAAAGAACTCCTTTATCAAGGCCCCTAACCTCCTCCATTCGCACCAAACCCAGAAAAAGTGGATTTTACTTGGACCAGTTCCTCTGCTATTATCCATCTTAGAAATGGGGGAGGAGGGGAGGGAATAGACTTTCCAAGCCAGATAGGGAGTGAGCAGAGCTGAGTAGAGAGGATGGAAGCTGACTTTAGAAATGGAGAAGGGCATCAGAGCACGGAAGAAGGAAACTGTAGAAATGGGGGAAGGAGGACAAAACAGAAAAGGGCTACTTTAGTTAGGGGTGTGTGTGTGTGTGTGAAACGTGCTTGCTCTGTTTCTCAGGCAGGTGTGCAGTGGCATCATCTTGGCTCAGTGCAGCCTCCGCCCCCTGGGGTCAAGCGATCCTCCCACCTCAGTCGACAGAGTAGCTGGGACTACAGGCACGCGCCACCACACCTGTCTAGGTTTTTGTTTTTTTGTTTTGTTTTGTTTTGTTTTTTAGTAGAGCGAGGTTTCACCATGTTGCCCAGACTGGTCTCCTGGTCTCAAGTGATCCGCCCTTCTCGGCCTCCCAAAGTCCTGGGATTACAGGCATAAGCCACCGCCCCCGGCCTAGTTAGTTATTTTTGAGATAAGGTCAGGGACTGTTGTCTGGGTTGGAGTGTAGTGGCACGATCACGGCTCACTGTGGCCTCAAGCTCTCAGGCTCAATCAAGTGATCCTACCACCTCAGCCTCTCGAGTAGCTGGAACCACAGGTGCTCACTACCATGCCCACCTAATTTTTAAATTTTTGTAGAGATTGGGTCTCCTTATGTTGCCCAGGCTGGTCTCGAACTCCTGGCCTCAAGCAATCCTCCCGGCTCGGCCTCCCAAAATGATGGGATTGTGGGCCTGAGCCACTGCGCCTGGCCAAGGGCCACTTTAGAAATGAGAGGGGGAGAGGCAGAGCAGTGGGAGCTGAGCTTCAATGTGGAAGCGCAGGAGTGGAGCAAGGAGAAGCAGGAACAAGGAGGGTGGACCTCAGAAATTGATGGAGCAGTGGAAAGAGGGTTCACCTTAGAGATGAGGGTAGGGGAGCAGAGCAGGGAGGGCTGAACTTTAAAAGGGGCAGGATAAGTGGAGGGAGAGTGTACCATAGAAATGAAGAGGGTCAGCTGGGCTTGGTGGCTCATTCATGTAATCCCAGCACTTTGGGAGGTTGAGGTGGGTGGCTCACTTGAGGCCAGGAGTTCGAGACCAGCCTGGCCAACATGGTGAAACCCCATCTCTACTAAAAATACAAAGATTAGCTGGGCATGGTGTTGCGTGCCTGTAGTCCCAGCTATGCAGGAGGCTGAGGCAGGAGAATTGCTTGAACCTGGGAGATGGAGGCTGCAGTGAGTTGAGATCGCCCCACTGCACTCCAGCCTGGGTGCCAGAGTGAGACTTCATCTCAGAAAAAAAAAAAAGTAATGAAATGAAGAGGGGCGCCATGGCTCATGCCTGTAATCCCAGGAGGCAGAGGTCAGGCTGGTCTTGGAACTCCTGACCTCAAGTGATACACCCACCTCGGCCTCACACAGTGCTGCGATTACAGGCGTGGGCCACCTCACCCGGCCTAAACTTTCTTTATAGTGTCCTTTGAAGTCCCGAAGTTTCAGAATTTGATAAAATACAATTTATCTGTTTTTTGTTGTTGTTCATGCTTTGGTGTCAAATCTAGAAGATCATGAAGATCATACCCTTGTTTCCTTCTGAGAGTTTTCTAGTTTTAACTCTTAAATTTACATCTGTGATCCATTTTGAGTTAATTCTTGTATATGGGGTGAGTTAAGAGCCAACTTCATTCTGTTGCATTTTGATGTCTAATTGTTCCAACACTACTTGTTAAAAAGACTAATTTTCCTCCATTGAAAGCTCTTCTTGGTGGAATTGCTTTCTTAATTTCGTTTTTGGATAGTTCATTGCTGGTATATGTACATAGAATTAATTTTTGCATATAGATCTTGTATCCTGCAGCCTTGCTGAGTGTGTTCATTAGTGCTAATCTCCGTGTGTGTGTGTGTATCTTTAGGAATTTCTGCATACAAGATCATGATATCTGAGAACAGAGATTTACTTTTTTCTAATCTGCTTGCCTTTCATTCTTTTTCTTGACTAATTGCTCTGGATGGAATTTCTAGCAAAATGTTAATTAGATGCGGTGAGATTGGACATCCTTGACTTGTTTCTGATCTTAGGGAGAAAAGCTTTCAGTTTTTCACCATTAATCATCATTTTACCTTTGGTTGGGTTTTTGTAGATGCCCTTATGAGGTTGAGGAATTTACCTGCCTCCCACTTTACTTCTGAGGGGGAATGGCCCTGAAAAGTAACTAAGTATTTTTTGTTGTTGTTGTCTTTAAGATGTTTTTAGCAATCTATTTTAAGATCGGTATCAATTTCCTCTTCTAAGACATGGTCCCTGTTGATCCCATACTGCTACTTCCCCCTACCCCAACTTCATCACAAGTTCTGAAATATTTTGTGGCATTAAAATGACTTTAAAAATAATATTTGGTCACTGGCCAGGGCTGGGACTAGGGTGAGGTAAATGAGGCACTTGCTTCCAGTATAAAGTTCAAGGAGTCACAAAAAAAAAATTTGTTAATAGGGATAATTAATATTTTAATGAAATATTTAAAAAATCAAATGGACACACTACAGCCATCTGTCTGGCCACCTGTTTTTGTAAATAAAGTTTTCTTGACCTAAGAACTAGAGTGAAACAAGTGAAGGAGGGCTGTGCAAGTACAGGGTCTGATCTGATCCTATTTTTTTTTTTCTTTTTTGAAATGGGATCTCACTCTGTCACCCAGGCTGGAGTGCAGTGGCATTATCACAGCTCACTGCAGCCTCGACTTCCTGGGCTCAGGCAATCCTCCCACCTCAGCCTCCCAAGTAGCTGGGATACAGGCGTGTGCCACCACGCCCAGCTAATTTTTTTGTATTTTTGTAGAGACGGGTTCTCACTATATTGCCTAGACTGGTCTCGACTTCTGGGCTCAAGCGATCCATCCACCTTGACCTCCCAAAGTGCTAGGATTACAGGTGTGAGCCACCACATCCGGCCTTTGATACTATCCTTTTTTTAAAAAAAAAGCTTGATATTTTGTTCATCACGGATTGGTTTTGCATTGATTTTTATTTTTGAAAATACTGTGAGGCGGGCGTGGTGGCTCACACCTATAATCCCAGCTCTTTGGGAGGCTGAGGCAGGTAGATGACCTGAGGTCAGGAGTTCGAGACCAGCCTGGCCAACATGGTGAAATCCTGTCTCTCCTAAAAATACAAAAATTAGCCGGGCGTGGAGGCAGGCGCCTGTAGTCCCAGCTACTTGGGAGGCTGGGACAGGAGATTTGCTTGAACCCGGGAGGCCGAGGTTGCAGTGAGCCGAGATTGTGCCACTGCACTCCAGCCTGGGTGATGGAACTAGACTCCGTCTCAAAAAAAAAAAATAAAAAAAGATTGAAAAAAAGAAAATATTGTGTTGAGATATTTTAATCTTGATTACTGAGTTTTGGGGGACCTCCTTGAATTTTGTGCCTGAATTCCTCACTTACCTCACTCTAGGCCCTGCCTTGTCACTGGGACCTTGAAGGGAGAAAAACCTAGAACTGAAGGGAATTTATAGCACTGAGGTAAAACTTCATGCTTCCTGCACTTTTCTTTGTGTTGATTTCACTGATGTTTTTGCAACTGCTAACAGAAAAGACAAAACAAAACTGATAAATAGCTAAAGCAATGGGTTTATCTCAAAATTCAGAGAAATAAGGGCCATAGTTGCAGAGTGGCTTGGTCCCAAAAATGTAGTAGTTGTGTGACCTTGTGCAAGTTGCTCCATCTCTTGGGGCCTGAGTTTCCTGATCTGAATAAAATCTACATCATAGAGTTGTTGAAGATTAAATGAGAGAATACAGGTAATGTTCACAAAGTATGCTGCCTGACGTGGAAAAAGCTGAGTAAATATTTGCTATATGTGCCCCGGAAAGTGGGCCTAAACGCTCACGTTTGGGTAGCCAGCAATTTGGCAAGCTGGAGAAGTTACCTCTCCTCTTAGGATTTTGTTATCAAACTTCATAGATACAGTAGACATGAAAGAGATTAAAAACCATCTAGGTGAAAGATGGGGTTTAAACAGCTCACGTCAGTCTCTGGGAGACTGAGAGAGATGGTGGTGTCGTGTAACTTGAATAATAGTGAAGTAAACGGACTTAGGAGGCACTTATATTTTAGTAGATGATTACAGCTGGAAGGATACTGGAGAGTCTGCTTTGGGAAAGATTGCTTCAGTTATTTGAAAGGCTGAGGAAAGATGTTGAGTTGAATTTGGTAGGTTAGTTGGAGATTAAGTATGACTGTAAGATCTCATAGTCACCGAGTTGTAAAAAATCTTGAGGTCACTGTTTTATCCTTTTAAACGTTGGTTCTCTATATCCATATTTTAAACATTGGTTCTCTATATCCATATTTATACCTTTTTAGACAGATGAGAATCCCAGTTTTGATCATGTCAGGAGGAACAGCAAAACTTTCGACTAGTTATCACAGGCCCTTGCGGTTTATTTTATTTTTACTTTTATTTAATTTTTTGAGACAGGGTCTCTGTCGCTGAGGCTGGAGTGCAGTGGCACAATCACAGCTCACTGCAGCCTGGACCTCCCAGGCTCAAGCGATCCTCCCACCTTTGCCCCCAGAGTAGCTGGGACCCTAGGTGTGCACCACCACACCTGGCTCATTTTTGTATTTTCTTTGGTAGAGACGGAGTTTCGCCATGTTGCCCAGGCTGGTCTCGAACTCGTGGGCTCGAGCGATCTTCTCGCCTTGGCCTCCCAAAGTGCTGGGATTACAGCCGTGAGCCACCGTGCCAGGCTGAGGCCCTTGCAGTTTGAAGGCAAGAAAAATACACAATAAATAGCAAATACATGTTGCTTTCTATGATGTAATGAGAACGCCATACTTTTTCCTGATAAATTTCCCCATGTTTTTCTCAGTGAAAATAATACTTTTTAACAATGCATATCTTTGTTTTTAGATAACTAAACACATGCTTTAGAAAAGCAGTAGTATGTTGGATGCAAGGTTATTACTTCCATTGTAATACACGCTAAAGTAGGAAAAGGCTCTACAGATTTATTTTTGTTTTTGCCCTCAGTAAACATACCCAAAAAGTATTAGAGTCCTTTTTTTTTTTAAAACAAATAAAAGGCAAAAATAAGACCAAAATTCGAACTGGTAACAGCAAGAACTTAATAGGAACTCCACTCCCCTGTTAATTACTTTTACCTAAAAGAGACTGATGCAAAAGTGTTGTAGTTAGAAAGAAAAGAACTCTTTCTGCCTGCTAGATATGTTGGACCACGAATCCACAAATATGGATTATCCACTCTGTATTCTGTGCTAGGCACTTAGTACACTAGTAAATAAACAGTGGTCTCTTCTCAAGTACCTCCTAATCTAGCTGGAGAGACAGCTAAGTAAATATGTGCAATTATACATTGTTTTAAGTATTCTGGAAGTATGTATAGTCAGAATTTTTCAGAAGTTGAGAGGAACCTAAGTCACTTACATTTTTTGAGGTTTCCAGTGTTTTAAATATTTAAAAAATGGCAAAACAAAAATTGTGGTGTATTTTACATGTTTATAAATATAAAATAGTGGTTTCAACCCACTGTAAAATAAAATGCAATATAAGTATACTTTTCACAAGAAAATTAATTATGCAATTTAAATAAAAATGTAATTATTCATATGGCACCTCAAGCAGTGTGATCAGTTTTAAACTGTGTGAGGAATACTGTCTTTCTTCAGTCCTGACAGTTTATTTCTGAGAGTAAGTATATCAAGAATTCAAATTTAAGGCTCTTTGGTGAGGCCTGGATCAAATGTCTCTCCTTGAGAGATTGGCTAAGTGTTCTCTAGGTGGATTCAGTGGAGAATATCATTACAGAGAGCAGAATGAACAAAGCCCCGTGTCTCTGTAATGATATATTCTGAGAACTAAGGAAAAGGACATGAGAATCTGCAAAAATACTGTAGCATTAAGGACGCTTTCTTCATAACCTCATAGCCTATGTTGGAAGGGCGTTTAGACAGCTTACCCAGGTTCATAGGCATTTGCTTTCTCTTCAATATGAAGAGGCTGAGCAGCAATTTGATTTCATCTCTAAGTCGTAGCTGGTGAGATCTACCCAATTCCATTACAATCCAACAAATCAAATGGTGGTCTCTGGAACTACAAAGTCTAAGGATTAAAATTACGTATGATTTCACTTAAAGAAAAACCTTGCAACACATTCCAAGGTGTGGATAATTCAAAAACATTTTTAAAAATAAGTTTTATGCTGGGCGTGGTAGTTCACACCTATAATCCCAGGAGATGTCAGCCATTTCAAAGAAAATCAGAATCAGATTTTTTTCTTATTATTGTAATTGTTTATTATTTATTTGTAATTTTTGTGGGTATATAGTAGGTGTATATATTTATGGGGTACATGAGATGTTTTGATACAGGCATGCGTGCAATTGCAATGTGGAATAAGCACATCATGGAGATTATCCATCCTCTTAAGCATTCATCCTCTGAGTTACAGACAATCCAATTACGCTCTTTATTTTAAAACATATAGTTATTATTGACTATAGTCACCCTGTTGTGCTATCAAATAGTAGGTCTTATTCATTCTTTCTATTTATATTTTATTGTACTACCTATGTATTGAAAAGTTGTTGTAGTTATTTTTTATTGGTTCATCGTTTAGTCTTTCTACTTAGGATGAGAGTAGTTTATATACCACAGTTACAGTATTATAATATTCTGTGTTTTTCTGTGTACTTACTATTACCAGTGAGTTTTATACCTTCAGATGATGACTCATTACTCATTAATGTCTTTTCTTTCTGGTTGAAGCACTCCCTTTAGCATTTTTTGTAGGACAGGTCTGGTGTTGATGAAATCCCTCAGCTTTTGTTTGTCTGTGAAACTTTTTATTTCTTCTTCATGTTTGAAGCATATTCTCACTGGATATGCTATTCTAAGGTAAAGTTTTTCCCTTCAGCACTTTATATCAGCCCACTCTCTCCTGGCCTGTAAGGTTTCCACTGAAGGGGCTGCTGCCAGACATATTAGAGCTCTTGTTTGTTATTTGTCTCTTTTCTCTTGCTGCTTTTAGGATCCTTTCTTTATCCTTGACCTTTAGGAGTTTGATTATTAAATGCCTTGAGGTAGTCTTCTTTGGGTTAAATCTGCTTGGTGTTCTATAACCTTCTTGTACTTGGATATTGATATCTTTCTCTAGGTTTGGGAACTATTTTTTTTTTCTTTGACAGAGTGTTGCTCTGTAGCCCAGGCTGGAGAGCAGTGGCGTAATCTCGGCTCACTGCAACCTCTGCCTCCCAGGTCCCCGTTAAGCAATTCTCCTGCCTCAGCCTCCTGAGTAACTGGGATTACAGGTACATGCCACCATGCTCAGCTAATTTTTGTATTTTTAGTAGAGACGGGGTTTCACCATGTTGGCCAGGCTGGTTTTGAACTCCTGACCTTGTGATCCGCTCACCTCAGGAACTTCTCTTTTATTATCTCTTTGAATAAACTTGCTCTGTCACCCAGGCTGGAGTGCAGTGGCACTCTTGGCTCACTGCAACCTCAGCCTCCCAGGTTCAAACGATTCTCCTGCCTCAGCCTCCCAAGTAGCTGGGATTACAGGTGAGCACCACCACACACAGCTAATTTTTGTGTTTTTAGTAGAGGTGGGGTTTAACCATGTTGGCCAGGCTGTTCTCAAACTCCTGACATCAAGTGATCCACCTGCCTCGGCCTCCCAAAATGCTGGGAATACAGGCGTAAGCCACCACTCCCAACCCCTTTGAATAAACTTTCTACCCCTATCTCTTTCTCTACATCCTCTTTACAGCCAATAACTCTTAGATTTGCCCTTTTGAGGCTATTTTCTAGATCCTGTAGGTGTGTTTCATTGTTTGTTTGTTTTTTCTTTTGTCTCCTCTGATTGTATATTTTCAAATAGCCTTTCTTCAAGCTCACTAATTCTTTATTTTGCTAGATTTATTCTGCTATTAAAGGACTCTGCATTCTTCAGTATGCCAATGGCATTTTTCCAGTTCCAGAATTTCTGCTTGACACTTTTAAATCATTTCTATGTCTTTGTTACATTTATCTGATAGAATTCTGAATTCCTTCTGTCTTTGCTTGAATTTATTTGAGTTTCCTCAACACAGCTATTTGGAATTCTCTGTCTGAAAGGTCACATATCTCTGTTTTTCCAGGACTCGTCCTTAGTGCCTTATTTAGTTCATTTGGTGAGGTCATGTTTTCCTGGATGCTGTTGATACTAGTAGATGTTCTTCAGTGTCTGGGCATTGAAGGGTTAGGTATTTATTGTAGTCTTCACTGTCTGGGCTTCTTTGTACTCATCCTTTTGGGGAAGGCTTTCCAGATATTTGAAAGGACTGCAGTGTTGTGATCTAAGCAGTTTCTACTTTAGGGGACATCGCAAGCCCAGTAACGCTATGGTTCTTGCAAACTCATAGAGGTACCGCCTTGATGGTTTTGGACAGGATCTGGGAGAATTCTCTGGATCACCAGGCAGAGACTCTTGTTCTTTTCCCTTATTTTCTCCTAAACAAACAGAGTGTCTCTGTTCTGAGCCACCCAGAGCTGGGGTGGAGTGACACAAGCACCCCTGTGGCCGCCACCACTATGACTGTGCTGGGTCAGACCCGAAGCCAGCACAGCTCTGGGTTTCACTCAAGGCCTGCTGCAAATACTCCCGGCTACTGCCCAGCTTGCTCAAGGCCCTGAATCTCTACAATCAGCCAGTAGCAAAACCAGCCAGGCCTGTGTCCTTTCCTTCACGGTGGCAAGGTCCCCCAAGCCAGAGGTGTGTCCAGAAGTGACATCTGGGACTCAGGACCTAGAGTCAAAAACCTTAGAAGTCTACCTGGTGTTCTATTGTATTATGGCTGAGCTGGCACTCATACCACAAGATGCAGTCCTTCCCACTCTTCCCTTCCCTTTCCAAAGGCAGAGGAGCCTCACCCCATAGCCAGTCATCCTAGGCCAGGTAGAGTACTGTTGGACTACCATAGATGTTCCCTTGAGGCTCAGGGGCTCTTAAGTCAGCTTGGGATGAATGCTGCCTGGTCTGAGACTCACCCTTCAGAGCAGTGAGCTCCCCTCTGGCCTAGGGCAGTTCCAGAAGTGTTATCCAAGAGTCAAGTCCTGGAATCACGGATTCCAAGAGCCCACTTGGTGTTCTACCCTTCTGTAGCTGTGCTGGTACCTGAAGCCAGCAAGTCTCGGAGTCTCATCCAAGGCTCTCAACATAGTACCTGGGTATTGCTGCTAGTTATTCAGAGCCCAAGAGCTTTTCAGTTAACAGTTGATGAATTCTGCCAGGGCTGGGTCCTTTCCTTCAAGGCAGTCGGTTCCCTTCTGGCCTACGGTGTGTCTAGAAATGTGGACCAGGAGCTAGAGCCTGAAACAGGAACCTCATAACTCTAACTGGTGCCCTATCCTGCTGTGGCTGAGCTGGTATCTAAGATGTAAGACAAAGTCCTCCCCACTCTTCCCTCTCTTCTCAAGTGGAAGGGTGGGTCTCTTTTGGAGCTGTGAGCTGTCCAGCCTGGGGTTAGGGGAGGGGCGATGCCACCACTCCCTTGGCTGCCCCAGCTGGTGTCTCAGTATGTCATGTGGCCCCCCCAGTCCACACTCTGTTGGCCCAGTTCAGCACTAAGTCTTGCCTAAGAGTTGCAGTCCTTATGGCCTAGACCAGGTGTTTCCAATCTTTTGGCTTCCCTGGACCACACTGAAAGAATAATTGTCTTGAGCCACACATAAAATACACTAACATTAACAATAGCTGATGAGCTAAAAAAAATTGCAGAAAAAATCTCATAATGTTTTAAGAAAGTTTACGAATTTGTGTTGGGCTGCATTCAAAACCGTCCTGGGCTGTGTATGGCCTGCAGGCCACAGGTTAGAAAAGCTTGGCCTAGACTACCTTTCAGGTTTACTTGGAGATCCAGAGCACTGTAGCTCTTGATGGAGAGGTTTGTGGGAACTCATGTTCGGGCTGCCGGGATGGGTGATTCCTCTCTGACTGGGGCTGGTTTAAATCTTCCCTCCATGGGCAGGTGTCAGGTGAGTTTGGTCCACTTTTCCTTTCTGCTCTAACAGGACAGCACTAAATTCAATGCCTCATGATTGCTGTGTTCTTCCTTCCCCAGTGCCCAGAGATGCTCTTGGCACCACCATGTCATTGCTGCCGGGAGTTGGGGGAAGGGTGACATTGGCGATTCAGGACTGTTTTTTCTATCCCTTCAGTGCCTCTTTCAGTGATAAGAAGTTAAAACCAGTTACTATGAGTGCTCACATGATTTTTGGTTTTTATGAAGGTGTTTTTTTCTGTGTAGATAGTTGTTAAATTCGCGTCCTTGCTGGGGGGACGATCGGTGGAGGCTTCTATTCTGCCATCTTGCTTCCTATCCCAGAATCAGATATTTAGAGACCTGAGGCAGCACTAGTACTAAGCAAAATAATAAAGGAGTGGTTAATCTGTGTCACCCAACTGCCTCTTTTGTACCCTTTTCAGCTCTTCTTTTCTTTTAGAATCTCCAGTTTTTTCCAAATACCTAGCTTGTCCTTCTTTTTTTCTTTTTCTCTTCTTCCTGAGTGTAGCTTCCAGAAGGTGTGGGGGGCTTTTGCTTATTTCTAAAGATGCCTTAACATGAGTAAAGTTTTATCCACTGATAGAGCATCCCACCTGTAGACTCTTCCATTCTAAATGTTAGGAGAGATATTTTAGAGCAAGTTGTACCTGTCTGCCATTCTTTAAATTATGCCATGTAAGTGCTTTCTGCCTGAGTACGTAAATATGTGCCTGACTACAGAGTCAAGTCTGATTGCTTCCTGCTACTACAATAATCTAGGTTCCTCACTTCTGTGGTGTCTTCTATGAACTTCCATCACCACTTTCTTACTTTTGTCACTTCTTTTTTCTCTGTTAGTTTTTGATAATATACATGTAACTAATTGTCTATCACATTTAATCAGATAGACATTTAATGGTCTATCACTTTACATTTAATTGCTGATTTACATTTATTTAGTCAGCAACTTAATGACTCTCTTGCTCTATATTTCTATGACACTGAAATAACATTTAGTAAAATCATTTATTTAGATGATATCCCCCCTGAGCTATTGCAGTGTGAAAGTATTTTGCTTTTGCATAAATAAAGTTACCATATATCTAACAGGAATTGTTCTTTCTTGTTCCAGCAAACCTAAGATGTCGGTACTGTTTGACCTTTGTTAGAGTTTAACAAATTTATTATTATTATTATCATTTTTAGGGCTACCAGTTTTTAGGTATTCTGAAATATGATGAGATAAGATATAGATTATTCACTCGAGACATTATTTGGCTTTTGCCATTTTATTCATTTTTTATGTATTTTCTAATACAGACGACATTATAATCTATAAAGAGTTAGAAGGGACAAATGCTGAAGAAGAAAAGAATAAAAGACAGAACCATAGTAAAAAGGAATCGCCTTCAAGACAGCAATCAAAAGCTCATAGACATCGCCATCGGAGAGGTAAAGTATGCTGAAAATAGTCACACGTGGTAAAAAGAGTCTGAAATATTTGTGAATAACTAGATAAGTAAATCAAGAATTCACAATATTGTTCTAAAGTTGCATTATGTTGCTTGTTTTATTTTTTCTGGGCATGGGCTCATACAGGGTTGGTAAGAATTTATGCCATGTCATATGAATAAAAATTTATTTTAATTTATAAGAATTACTTCCCTAATGGAGAGTGGGATAAAAAAAGTAACCATATGAGCTGAGAGTTATTTTGTACTTGTTTACAAGCCTGGGTTGGTTGGTCCAGTTCCACTTTTAGGAGGCAATACAGGAGGGTTAAGAGCATAGTCAATAATCTGAACACTATGGCATCCACATTTTGAAAATACAGATGTTGTAAGACAAAAAGAGAAGGGTAGAACATGACAAATGTCCTCTATATACTTAACCTCATTGGTAATTGCAGTATGCATTTTTTAATATGAATGTGCTACAGATTGCCACGATACAGAAGTCTTTTCAACAATTAAAGGTCTTCATAATCTAGTCAACAGATTGGAACCATTTTGACATTGTGATTACTATAAGCCCCGACAGTTGCCTATGCAGCTTCATTTAAGTTCTTGTGTGAATCTTCAGTGGCTCAGCATGTTCTGAGAAGAGAAGCGATGATAGTTATTACAGGGGCAGAGCAGCCAAAAAGGGTAACGTGGCCCATTCTTATGTGCCTAACCAGTCATCACAAAATTGATCTTTGTGAGCCTTTTGGAGATATTCTTTGATGGGTTTTTAAACTGTCTTTATACCCAAACAAAGCAGACAATTGAGACAAATATTCACATGATTAATACAAAGCAGACAATTTCTCTCCATCTCTCCTTTTTCTACTGGAGTATTCTTTCATTTAATTTCAGATAGTATGTCCCAACTTTGGTGGCATATGAAACCAAAATTGACGTATTATATACTGAGAAGACTACCCTATTAAGGTATGCAAATTGAAATAGTATGGCAAAGACTGTTCTAGAATTCAGTGAGACTCCCAGATGATACCAGAGTAATGAAATATCAAAAGTTTTGCAAAACCCAGTGCATAGCCTTAAAAAAATGAGATCAGAGATAATACTTCTGAAAGATACATTGAATTTACTACTTGAAAATACAGAAAATATTTATTTTTCAAAGGCTACTCAAGATGCAGAAGCAACTCTGAGGAAGGAAATCATGATAAAAAACCATCCCAAAAACCTTCTGGATTCAAGTCTGGACAACACCCTTTAAATGGGCAGCCTTTAATTGAGCAGGTAGATAAGTACCAAGAATTAACCAATATTAAAAATCCTACATTTACTATATTTCCTAATATTAATGATTTACTTTAAATTCTATTGAAAGCAGGGATTGTTTCTTGGTATTCCTCCATGGTGCCTTGAACATATTTTAAATTCAATGTTTATTAGTTAATTTTTCCCCTGTAACTATTTTAATAAACATTTGATTTTTGCTATTTTCAGTCATTACTAAAACTTTTGAATTTATAAAACGCCAAAATAGATTATTAATTATTGTCATTAATCCTATATAAGAATTTTTATTTGTCCTCATACAGAGGCTTTGAGCTTAAGTTATAATATAAGAGTTTTAGTATCTTTGTGAATGAACTGTAAAAGCCAGAAGTCAGATGATATCAGATATGAAATATACTCTGGAAGCAACAGGTGGCACAGACTATCCCTGTACAAATCCATTTCCTCTAAACACGTATAGGTGAGCCAGTCAATAGACAGAAATTTGAGAGGTGCTCAGATCCAGAATCATTAGCTAACATTGGTGTTAATGTTTCATCCTAGCTTATAAACTGATTCTTCTTAAGGTGTTAAGTGGTCATTTATCAAAAATGGCAGTTCTGGGAGCTTAAATCATTTTTGCCAAATCATGTAAATGCAAATGTTTATTTATTTGCTTGTTCATTTATTTGTTTTGGAGAAAAACATGTTGCATTTTCAAATATTTAAAGGATTACTTTAAATTGTTCAAATTATGATTCAATGCCTACTCTATGCAGGCACTATGATACCAGAACAGCCTGCTTCAAATAGTCTGTGTGGTGGTGGAAGAGAAAGCTAAGAAAGAAATGTAATGCCAGGCAGTATGCAGTATGTGCTTAATAGGACATAAGTTATACATTGTGGGGATGTAGAAATTCATTCTGATTGGGATTCTTGAGAAACTTTGATGGAAGAGATGGCATATGATCTGTGCCTTATAGGATGAGGGGATTTTTTTATACAGTTTGGGAAGAAGAACATGAGCTTCCTTCTGATGCAGTCCAAGATGCATAAATAAACTGAGAATAAATATTAAACAATATTTTCAAATTGAAAGCATCCTTGTCCTTTTATTTATTTATTTTTTGAGACAGGGTCTCATTCTGTTGCGCAGGCTGGAATGTGGTGGTGTGATCATGGCTCACTGCCTCTTCTACCTCCCAGGCTCAAGCAATCCTCCCACTTCAGCCTCCCAAGTAGCTGGGACTATAGGCACGTGCCACCATGCTCTGCGAATTTTTTTTTTTCTTTTCTGTAGAGATGAGGTCTCGCTATGTTGCCCAGGGTGGGAAAGTATCCTTCTATTATTCATACTTTTGAAACTTTTGAGACTATCATAGCTGAACTCACTAGAAAAAAAAAATACCCTGCAATAAAGAAATGTATTAAAATTTAAGCATAATTATTTCACCAATAAATTGAATAATTACAGTTTTCAATAATACTTTACAATTCTATTAAGCTAGTTTCGTACTTAACAAGATTTTGTCTTATTATCAGTGGAACACAGTTGTATTTGTTCACCCCATGTATTTATTCAACACAACCTTTTGATAGAAGGCTTCACTTGTTTGTAAGGAAAGAAAACTAATGTGCATTTTGTTTTCCAAAGGTAGGAAATACATAGTACATTTCTTATATACTTATTTCTTATATAAACATTCATAAAAGGGACTGCAAGCTCCTTTGGAAAGGTACTTGGATACATACGGGTCTTTAGAAGATGGAACTCAGTCCTATCTTTCCTACTGACCCACTGTGCTCCCAACACCAATCACTTAGAAAAGAGAAAAGGTACATGTGCATTTCACCCAATCTCCTTATTTAGGTTTTTCAGTACAAAAGCTGGAGAGTGGCTATAGCTTTATGTTTTAGCAAAACAACTAATTTTTTACATTTTTATTTTAAAATAAGTTTTCTGTGCATAATACATTTTGTGCTGGTACCTTCCCTGCTGTTTAGCAGTTGCTTCCAGCTTCTGGTAGTGTTAAACTAGAAAGTCATAATGCCAAATTGAGGGGATGTTGTGTTTGTCAGGCAGCATATACTAGTAGAAAGCTTGATTTCTCAGCATGGTCTATATGACTTTATCCACTTACATTTATGTAGCATCATAGAGATTTGTCAAAGGTTTCGTTATTTCCATTTGGCTGATTCACTCCACTGTCTTTTTGGCTTAAAAATTGAAAAGGTAGAAAGGCTGTGTTGTTGCCAGGCTAATTTACTTGAATAGTATTAAGCCAACCTTCTGCTTTTTTTACAACTTCCTTTCCCCTTCCTTACTTCGTCTTTCTCTCTAGAATTAAGTATCACTTTATAATGAAAAGATAGTTTCTTTTTAATCATTGAGTAGGCAAAGAGTAAACAATATGATTTTGAACACTTTCCTTTTGATCCTAAGGACTTACACTACAAAATATTCTATCAAAGTCACAGAATCTGTTGTTTCTTTAGTAAAACATAGATCAAGAAATTGGTAGGTAGAACATGACCTTAGAGTACAGTCAAACTCATAAAACAACTAATTTTCCATATTTTTATTTTATTAAAGTTTTAGTTGCATAGCATTTTTGTGCCAGTGACACGATACAATGGAGCTATTCTGTAAGTTAGTTCTAAAAACTGGTTGATAAATAAAAGTAAGCACAGTGGAATTCTAAAAGAAATAGTTGCCCATAAAAATGGTCTTGAGAATATATCATTATGACTTAAATCATGAAGTATATGTTTCATTTGTTTTGAATAATTGGGATCCTTTTCAGGAGAAGTGCAGTGACAATTATGAGGCCCAAGCAGAGAAGAATCAAGGCCAGTCAGAGGGGAACCAGCATCAATCAGAAGGAAATCCGGACAAATCAGAAGAATCCCAGGGCCAACCAGAAGAAAATCATCATTCTGAGCGATCCCGAAACCACTTAGAGAGATCTCTTTCTCAGTCAGACAGATCTCAAGGGCAGCTAAAGAGACATCATCCCCAATATGAGAGATCTCATGGCCAATACAAGAGATCTCATGGTCAATCTGAGAGATCTCATGGCCACTCAGAGAGATCTCATGGTCACTCAGAGAGATCTCATGGTCACTCAGAGAGATCTCATGGTCACTCAAAGAGATCTCGTAGCCAGGGAGATCTTGTGGACACTCAGAGTGATCTCATAGCCACTCAGAGAGATCTCATAGCCACTCAGAAAGATCTCATAGCCACTCAGAGAGATCTCATAGCCACTCAGAGAGATCTCATAGTCACTCAGAGAGATCTCGTGGCCACTGAGAGAGATCTCATAAATCAGTCAGGGAGATCTCATGGCCAATCAGAAAGACATCAGAGATACTCAACAGGTAAAAATACAATAACTACTTAATCATCAGAACAATGTGTTGAATTCTGTGGAAATAGAAAAGCATATATCTATATTCTAATGGCTAAATATGTATTTGTTGAAACATGTATATTGGGACAAAGACATAAATATTAGAATGGAGGTAATACATACATAGTATCAATATTGTTTCAACTTGATGTCCTCTAAGCTATCATCCAGTTACCCAGGATGTCCCATTAAGTTGTTCCCGGTAGGTCTGCTTTCCCTGGAAGAGCCGTATGTACTCAGCCTTTCCTATTGGGCCTTCCCCACAATTAGAATATTTTGACTTAGTGTCCTGTCCCCCTTGGACGTTCCAACTTGACTTAGTGTCCAGTGCCCCTTGGACATTCCAACCTGGTAGGTAAGCTAATCTAACAACTAACTGCCAAATTGATAATATATAATCTATGATAATGAATATCTCTTTTGTGTCTCCTTCCTAAGCCATCCTCAGAGAGTCCTTAGCAGACAAATGGTAGATGTATCTTTGGGCAGCTGAACTTTTCTGCTTTCCTCAAATCAGACCATATGAGAGGATATATTCTATGCATAGATGTAATGCTAACCTTCTGAATATATTTTGAATACATTTATATATTCACTGTTGCCTTATAAAACTGTTAGGGTAGGTCTGTCTACCCTAGCAAAAGAAACACAGAAATTTAAATGTACTGGGAGTTATGTTGTTAAAAACACAAGATATGTTAACTGCAGTTTGTTTGGTTATTCAATAAAAGTTTTAGTTTTAATTTCTCAGTGATTGCCTTGTTTGTATTGACTGTAAATGTCTAGTCAAATATTTTAGGTTCATATTAACTGCTGCACAGAATTACTTACTTCAGCTAAAAAAAATTATTTCCGGCTGGGCGTGGTGGCTCATGCCTATAATCCCAGCACTTTGGGAGGCCGAGGCAGGCGGATCACTTGAGGTCAGGAGTTTGAGACCAGCCTGGCCAACATGGTCAAACTCCGTCTCTACTAAAAATACAAAAATTAGCCGGACGAGGTGGCGAGCGCCTGTAATCCCAGCTACTGGGGAGGCTGAGGCAGGAGAATTGCTTGAACCCGGGAGGCGGAGGTTGCAGTGAGCTGAGATCTTGCCACTGCACTCTAGCCTGGGTGACAGAGCAAGACTCTGTCTCAGAAAAAAAAAAAAAGTATTTCCAAGATGTGTGTATGAGTTATTGTGTATGTAGATGATGTCTGATGCAGGCATCATTTTAATGCAAAAGGTCCCACCCTACTTATATTAGCAGTATACACATAATCTGCTATAAAAATGAAAATGTTTAATACTGATGACAAGCAATCCATATTTCTGCATTTATTAGGGATTTGTACACATTTTACTTAATTTTACATATCAATTTTTGTTTGTCATGTGGCATAATACTTCCATTAAGGCACTAAAAATTCTATTTAAATTATTGTCCATTGGCATATTCCTATCATTTTGCAAATACATTTTAAAATATAATGAATAAGTCCACTCAGTTTTTTTCCTTTATGTTCCATTATAATTTTTTCATATTCTCAGCACAAATAGATACCACCTGAATGGTTAAGGTTAAATTAATCAATGTAGAGCTATTACTAAAGAATACATAAATTACAGAAAATTAACATGTATTAATTGATATTTTGGAGATTAATTATTCTACTCCATAACTTTCTACTCTAATATGTATTAGAATAACAATAAATTGACCAGATGGGTTTAATAGCACCCTTCAGAACTAAAATTTGCTTCTATACCAAGTATAAAATAAAGATTTCAGTGATTTCATGATCCCACTCAAAATCTTCCCCTCAGGCCAGGTTCACCAGAAGGTAAAGATATGCCAGAGAGGCTACATTTCTGCTTTAAACAAACAAGTTAAATCCAGAAGGCCATTGTGGCCTTAATAAATAGCTGGGCCAACACTTCAAATAAAATATGATAGCATATTCAGAATATTATTTATTTATGAAGTTTGGAATAACTTATTTTCATTTTTGAAAAACTAATATGCCTCCCAATAAAAACTCTAAACAGGATGTATGCAAACAAGGTGTAAATTTGAATTTTTAACTCCCTTAAAATACCTGATAATTGCAGCTTTTTGTCTTCTTTCCTGATATGGTAATAATACTCATAGTCAAATGCCTTCCTTGGCTGGACTGATAGGTAGAGAGGGATAGCAGAACAAAAACTGTCTTTTGTACCCCCACTAGGTGTGGCAAAATGAAATGTGTGGCAAAATATGCATATCTTTACATTAGTTGGGCTGTCCACCTGATTAAAGCTTTTCTAAACATAGATAATAGCTTCGGAGGAAATTACGTATTTAATTTAGTAGTGCTTGCTATTTGAACTCCAATTATAGAGTGACAACTAATATCTCATCATTTAGCATCTCTCTGGATTTTAATACTAGACAGCATTCCAAGTAATTCTTAAAATAGATTCAGGCTTGATTATAATTGACAATCAGATCTTTGGGTCTCAAATCCCTAATATATTGTATGTCATTCTGAAGACAGACGTTTTTTCTGATACTTGATTTTATTATTTGATTTTCCTATTTTTATTCCCAAATTCTTCACTTTTCCCTAGCCCCATTTGTTGCCTAGTTGTTCGTATTTTTCTTATTTCTTGAAAGAAGATGCCAGTGAGAATCTGGTTTGCATTTTTCTAAGGAATTGGCCTCTAATGCGGCATAAGTAGCATGAGTAAGTGGAAGTGACATAAGAATAAGAAGACATGTCTCCATGTCCCAAATCTGTCAAAGTATATGACATTGGACAAATTAGTTAATAACTATGCATCTCAATTTCCTAATATGTGAAAGGAGGAGTTTGGACTACATGACTTTAAAAACCTCTACCAACTAAAAACATCATATGAGTCATGAAAAATGAATGATTTATTCATTTTTTCATTAAAAAAATTGTGGTTAAAAAGATACAAAATTTACCATCTTATCCATTTTTAAATGTACAGTTCAGTAGTAAATACATTCAAATTATTATGCAATACATCTCTAGAACTTTTTCATCTTGTAGATCTTAATTCTATACCCATTAAACAACAACTCCCCTTTTCCCACTTCCCTCAGCATTCCCTACCATTTATTTTTTTCCTACAATTTTGACTACTTCATATACCTCATATAAGTAGAGTCATACAAGATTTGTCTTCTTGTGACTTTTATTTCACTTAGCATCTTGTCATCAACATTCATCTATACTGTAGCATGTGACAAGATTTCCTTCATCTATTAGGCTGGATGATATTTGTTGGAATGTATATACCACATTTTCTTTATCTACTCATCTATTGATAAACATTTGGCTTGCTTCCACAACTTGACTGTTATAAACAGTACTGCTAAGAACATGGATTTGTAAATCTCTTTGAGACTACCTTTTCATTTCTTTTGGGAATATACCCAGAAGTGGGAATACTGCATCATATGGTAGTTCTACTTTGAATTTTCTGAAGAACCCTCATACTGTTTCTATACCAGTGGAACCATTTTACAGTCTCAACAGCGCACAACTGTTCCAATTTCTCCACATGCGCAGCAATACTTGTTATTTTCCATTTTTCTGGTAATAGACAACCTAATGGATATGAAATGATATCTCACTGTGGCTTTCATTTTCGTTTCTCTAATGATTAGTGATGTTGAGCATCTTTTCACATGCTTGTTGTGCATTTGTATATCATCTTTGGAGAAATGGCTGTTCAAGTCCTTTACCTGCTTTTTAATTGGGTTATTTGAGTTTTTGATGTTGTAGGAGTTCCTTATATATTCTGGATATTAACCTTTTATTGATATATGATTTGCAAATATTTTCTCCCATTGCATAGGTTGTCATTTCACCCTGTTGATTGTGTCTTTTGATGCACAAAAGTTCTTAACTTTAATATAGTCTCATTTGCATATTTTTTGTTCTTATTGTTTGTACTTTTGATGTCCGTTCCAAGAAATTATTACTAATTCCAGTATCATGAAGCTTTCCCCTATGTTTTCTTTAGGAGTTTTATTGTTTTAGATCTTTAATCCATTTTCAATTAATTTTTGTATATGGTATATGATAAGGGTCAAACTCCATTCTTTCGCATGTGGATATTCAGTTTTCCTAA
Organism: Homo sapiens; assembly: GCF_000001405.40. NCBI lineage: Eukaryota > Metazoa > Chordata > Mammalia > Primates > Hominidae > Homo > Homo sapiens. The sequence goes on from NC_000023.11 coordinate 115,310,940, forward strand.
TACCATTTGTTGAAAAGATTGTCTTTTCCCCGGTGAGTGGTCTTGGCACCCTGGTTGAAGATCATTTAATCATATAACCAAAGGTTTATTTCTAGGCTTTTTATTCTATTCCTGTAGTCTGTCTTTATGCCAGTATGATGCCATTTTTTTTTTTTTGGTAGGAAAAACAAAATTCCCAGTCCTCTTGACATGACAGTGGGATCTAGCAATCTACTTAGGTAGGTGTACAGAGAGAAGCTAGGATGTGCCAAGAAATGGAGGTATCCTAGACTGCCCCTACACAATTGGCACCAAGTCCTCACTTTTTTTTTTCTTTCTCTCATGCCTTTTGCAATGTTATCTCTTATTCCACCAGCATCTGTCCCCAGGCAGTTGGTTGATGCTGGAGCTAATTCCCATTGGTATGCAGATTTTCTAAGCACACAGCAGGCATCTCTCTTCTGGTGCCCCAGACATTACAGAATATCAAACTTCACATTGGAAGGTGCAGAAAAGGAAGGTGACCATGTCCTCGACAAGGCATGTACTTGATAAGTAGGTCATACTTTCTTTTTCTATATATATAGAGCTGTATGTAAACAGCATTGGGGTGTCTGTTTCTGCAGCTGGATTTCCAAAGGGTTTCCCCAGTCCTGTGCTCCAGGCCCTGTCTTTACTCTCTACTTCCTTCTCAAAGTGCCAACCGCAGCCTTTCAAGCCCTGGGTTTCCCCTCTGGAAAAAGGGAACCAGCATTCTCCAAGGACACAGGGTTTTTACCAACCTGTTTATCACTCTGGCCTGCTGTCTGCGTAGGCCCCACAAAGAAGTCCCATATTCCTGCAAGCTCTGGCTGCCAAGCAACCAGGCCGCCAGCGCCACCAGCTGTGGGGCCGCGTACAGCCAAGGCCAGTAGGTACGGTGCTCTCTGGGCGTGGGGCTGCCACGTGATGCACTGGTGCAGCTCCTTTCGGGGCTGTGGTGAGCTGCGCTGTGGCCGAGCGCAGCCCCAGGCGACCCGCGAGGCAGGCATACAAGGCCAGGGAGCTGTGGCCGCGGTGCAGGGGGCACGGGAGCATGACAGCTGGCCTCGCTCCCTCCCTGTGCTCCGGCAGCCCCTCGCCTCCTCTCTGGCCTCTGCGCCCACTGCGGCTTGCCGCCGGGGGCCTCCCCTGGACACCAAGTTTCTTCTTTTGTTGTGTGTTTGTTGTGCTGATGGCACTCACTATTTTGATTACTATAGTTTGTACTATGTTTTGAAGTCAAAAAGTGTGAGTCCTCCAACTTGGTTCTTTTTTTTCCTCAAAATTATTTTGTCTATTTGGGGTCCTTTGAGATTGCATATGAAATTTAGAATGAATTTTCTTATTTCCGCAAAAAACGTCATTGGATTTTGATAGGGATTTCATTGAATCTATATATTTCTTAGGGTATTATGGATGTCTTAACCATATTAAGTCGTATAATCCATGAACATGAGATATCTGTTTGTTACCGGTGGAGGGTGTCCAGGTTCTTGGTGTCTTGAACAAAGAATTGGACAAAATGCACAAAGCAAGGAAAGAATGAAATAACAAAAGCAGAGATTTATTGAAAATGAAAGTACACTCTACAGCGTGGGAGCAGCTGAAGCATAGGGGCTCAAGAGCCCCATAACAGATTTTTGGGGAAATACCCTCCAGAGGTTTCCATTGGTTGCTTGGCATGTGCCCTATGTAAATGAAGAGGATGAAGTAAAGTTACAAAGTAATTTACTTGGTATACTCCCTGTATAAATGGGGAGGATATTTCCTGTCGTAGCTGAAGTGTTTCCATTTGATTTAGCTCTAGGAAGTCAGCGTGAATTAGCCTTATGTTCCCTGCCTCCAGACCCTATTCTCCTGCTTCATTTCCCACCTGAGAGATGTGATCCCATAAATCTTTATGGGTGGCGGAGGGACCAATGGTCCTTGTTCTGTAACTGCTTCATACTGGCTTGGGGCATAGTCCCTACCTATTGGGGATAATAGAACTCTCGCACTGCTCTGTCTAGTGGAGGCAGGGTAGTTCCTTGATGGCCAGGGGTAGTGTCTTCACCTGGAACTGGCTGGAACCCTCGTTGCATGATCATCTGAAGCTTGATGGTCTCTAGGCAACAGGAAATGAATTTGGTTAAAAGATTTAATGGGAACTTCAGGAAGTGGATACCTCTGCTGTCAGGAATGTTTATTATAGAGATTTGCAGGAGAAAAAACAAAACCTGGTCTGTTCTAGGATCTATGTGTTTGCTTAAAGTCTTACACAAGCAACTCCATTTTGGTTTGGTTTGTTCTGTTGGGGCCTAGTGCATGAGCTCAGTCCAAAACAATGGCCTTCCTTAATTTTGTTTAAAAATATTTCCCCTTTTTGCTTAGGTTCTCACTTAGGTGAGAGTGTGACCAAAACTTAGGGCCTTAGTGCCACCCTCAGTTACCATCATTTTGCGTTTCCACTCTCAGCACATTACGCATAGGTTATGGTGTCCTCATAGTAGCACATTTTTTTCAGCTCTTGTCATTCCAGTTGAAGAGAGACCATTTGACATTGCAGAGATGTCTCCATGCAAGCATTTAAAACCTTTGAGAGAATACAGTGCACCAGGGAGACTATTATTATGACTATTGGGAGAATCATACCAAGAGTTTGGAGTATGCTTCTTACCCGGGGTCCCCATAAACCAAACCTCCTAAAATCAAATAGATCAAAGAATGAGCTAAAGAGTCTCCTCACTTAACTAAGCAGTCTCTTCATTAATCCGCTGCAACTGAATCTCTATAATACCCAATGTTTTCTCCATAGGCCATGAGTATCAGCAGCTGCACAGCTACTTCTTTGTTCAACCAATTCTATCATAACTTTCACAAGAGAATTTAAAGTTTATTGTGTAACTGTAGCCTGTACAGTAGAATTTGCTATAAGCCTATCATAAGGGATACATTTTTAATCATTGCTTCTTTTACTCCAAACCATGGAAAAAGTACCTAACGAATGATGCCCTTCTAGAAGGGTGAAGACCTCCTAGCAATGTTCTTTTTAACCTGTGATGTGGGTTAACAGGAGTGAACCAATGTTCTGTTTCTGACTGATTATGAGGCAGTGTTTGTACCATTAAAACTTCTTGGCAGGGCACGGTGGCTCACGCATGTAATCCCAGCACTTTGGGAGGCCGAGGCAGGTGGATCACCTGAGGTCAGGAGATCGAGACCATCCTGGCTAATACGGTGAAACCCTGTCTCTACTAAAAATACAAAAAATTAGCTGGGCTTGGTGGCAGGCATCTGTAGTCCCAGCTACTCGGGAAGCTGAGGCAGGAGAATGGCATGAACCCAGGAGGCAGAGCTTGCAGTGAGCTGAGATTGCGCCACTACACTCCAGCCTGGGGGACAGAGCGAGACTCTGTCTCAAAAAAAAATAAAATAAAAAAACTTCTTACCTACATTGGGAACATAATAAACATAATTATGATTGATAGCATATACTCAGACATATTAGAATTTTATAAATCCCATATAATTTTGGAACATATGTTAATATTATTCACTAAAATATAACCTGAAGATGATTAAACATTATTTTTTTAATTTTGACAATGCTTCCCATGTAACTAAACATGTCAAAGAATAAAAGACAATTGTAAAGCTTAAATTTGATTTTGGGAAGCCTATTAAATATTGTAAAGGTTTAAAAAATTTACACTCCCATGTCTTCTTATAATTTTCTACCAAAAACACATTTCACTTTTCTACACACCTTGCATGTAAAACTGTTTCTTCAGTAGTTTCAATTACATGTTATAATGTTAACTCTTAGTGGCTTTTACTTTTGGTGAAAACCTTGGTAAGTTCAGGATTTTAATTGTGTATTAGATGTGGAGCCTAGGACCCAGATAGGGTGCAGATAAGGTCTGACTCTGCAGCATCTAACTTCAAGTGTCTCAGGCATTACCTAGCTGTAAAGCAGGCAAGTTATACAGTTAAGAGTCATAGTGGCATTTTATGAAGCATTTAGGAGGCCTAATCACCTTTAAATTGTATAACACTTCTTGCATAAATTCTCCTTCATAAATTCTTTCACAACTTAACACAGTCCATCTATGACATGATTGGACTTCTGACTTGTCCTAAACATCCCTCTTTTAAACAACCAGTTATTTTACTTTAGGACAAGAATTTACCATACAAGTTCCTTTCTTATATATAATCTCTTTTCTTTATAACCTTCTTTGCATAGCTATGGGGCGTGGCTAATTTCACATGTCCCTAGGCCTTATCTAGAATCTAATGCTCCAAAATAAATTGAACAATTTTTAAACGTCAAAGAAGCAGTTTATGACCTTAAAGCATTTAGCATACCTAATATTCGACCTGCATAATTTAGACCAAATGTTTACATTTTTGAAGATATTTTTATTTTACCAATAATCTTTAAAACTGTCTTTATTTCCCAAAGATTACTTAAGTCACATAAATTAAAAGGCATTGCACTTTTTACTTTTCTGACAAAATATTGGATTTAAGCTCTTATTATTATTAAACCAGTTAAAGTTCTTTTATATTATACACACAACGCATATAAATACACAGAAGATAAAGGACTCATTCTCTAATCCAGGAATCGGACCCTAAACCCAGGCAGCCATTTTGAAAAGAGAAAGCATGGCCACATGGTTACAAAGTCAAGCTCCCAAGAACATGACTGACCAGCTTGCTGGGCCATGTTGAACAACAGCCCTATGGGGGGTCCTAGGCACACATTTTATCTTAAGGTACCCCTCTTTATGACAGAACAATACAGAAAGACACACAAAGCACACCAGATTCACAACAGCATAAGACCAACATCAGAGTTCTTTTTTATATTAATTAAAACTTTACAGAGGAAATAAACAGTGACTTTTACCTTTCATTTAACCGGTTTGCAGAGAGGCCAGAGTCTGACTGCTAAGAAATTCTTACCCTTTTGCTGGCATGTCAGATTTCTGTGTTCTCTCTCCCTGAGCAATCCTAGCAACTCTGCTTGACTTTATGCAAACAAACACATTGCCATGAATTAAGAATATTCACAAATAGTTTACAAATTTTGGACAAATTAGGCAGAAAGCAAGAAATATGACTCAAATTCTATTTACAAAAGTATACTCAACACACTTAAAGTATCAGGAAGCGTAAACTCCAAAAAGTTAGTTTAAGGTGAAAAAGCTGATGTGCTCCATTAATTCCTGTAGCCAAACAAAGGTAGCCTAGGAATTCCCGGGAAATGTAACAAATGATGACTTGCTAGAAACACATAGGAAACAAAGTAACTGTTCACAGAACCAAATAAAAGCCTTCCACTAGAAACTAAAAAAAAAAAAAAAAAAAAAAAGTGGTTTTACGTATGCATACACAAGCAAAGCCAGAGAAGAATAAACAGCAAATGAATGAAAACTAGAAGCAAAAACAAACAGGAAATCAACCCTAAACCTTTTCTATTCAGTCTTCCCTGGAGTCTACAGTGTTACCCAGGGCCCCCTAAAAACCACATAATGAATATTTTATCCCTGATACACATTTTAATATCCTTAAATTCACCACTGTCACCATACATCCTATGCAATAAAGAAATTCACTCTAGGCACATGACCAATAATTACTCCAGTGCCAGTACTATAAGCACAAAACAGTAAACATAGTGTGAAGCAATGCAACCATGTATGTGAAATTTGGCTCCATGCTACATTCAGGCTTAACTATATTAAAAAAAAAAAAAAAAGAATTGCCTAACTGCTGATGCATTTCTTTACAATACTTCTTATTTTACTTTAATCAGGCCTAAGAGCTTTAACTATGAAAATGTTAATTAGCCAAATGTCTCCAGTTCTCTATCAGGTTTTAAAGAATATTTTATTATCTAAACTTTGTCCACAATCTTCTCTCCTACTTACTGGTTCCTTAACACATTGTTTAACCAACTTTCGGATAATTAGACAAAATTATTCTTTTTCTCACTAATAACATAACCCTTTCTGGCACATTTTGTGTACAGAATTATGTGTTAATTAGAATTCTTATCCTTAGTAACCTAAAACTTTAGTGAAACCCTAAAAAGCAAGAAATCCTGAACCATAAGATATGGGCATTTATAGATAAGAACAATTCCACAATTTTGGAAACATATTTCCCCATATCACAACCCTTTCTTAATTGGAAATGACCCAGATAGTAATTGAGCATCAAAAATAATTTACACAAAAAGTTACCTAAAACATTTACTCCATTAACTGTACTCAGTTCTTTCACTTTTAACAAAGCAGACATGAGACATCAATCAACATATGTAAAATGAACATTGGTTCAGTCTGGAAAGGCGGGACAAAGTGAGCAGGGGTCTTCCAGGTCACAGGTAGGTGAGAAACAAACGGTTGCATTCTTTTTCAGATTCTGATGAGCCTTTCGGAAGAAGGCAAACAGATATGCATTTATCTCAGTGAGCAGAAGGATAACTTTGAATAGAATGGAAGATAGGTTTGCCCTAAGCAGGTATCAGCTTGAATTTTCCCTTCAGCTTAGTGATTTTTGTGGCCCAAGATATTTTCCTTTCACAAATTACTCTCATTAAAAAAAAAAAGGCACGCAAACCAAGATCATTTTGTTTTGGCTAGGTTTATAGTTTTATAACCTTCTATGCCAAACACTTGATATATCCAATAGTTTGGAACCTTAGCCATGAGATAGCAATACAAGCTTGCCAATTTTACTTTGTTTGCCCCAATAGATAATCCGATGAAGGCTGTGAACCAGTTTCAGATAAAGCAGTTTCCATGGCAGTGTGATTTTTAAAGGCCAAACCTCCCGACTCCAAAGAACACTAGGGCCAAACAGCACCAAAGGAGAGCATCACACATTAACCAGGCCCCCTGCTTAGAACAGCAGCACAAAAGCCTGGATACATGCAATACCATCCCACTTTCCCATTCAACAGTAAAATCCAGGTTCCAAACAATATTGGGGCCAAACAGTATTGCAACTGCAAGAGAAAATTCTAAGGATGGTTTAATACTAGACCTCAGAACCTCTGCTAAGGGTATCCCATTTGGAGTTGTTGAGGTCTGGAGGATCCCCCAGGGTATCCCCCTTTGAGGTCCAATCTTAGATTGTCAGACGTCTCTGACCTTAGGTGGGCACCAGTGCCACTTGCATGTTTTCTTTCCAGAGGTGATGGCCTACTATGAGCTTTCCTTTTGTCCCTGGATGAAGGCCTCAACTTCTAGCAGCCTTTTAATTTATAAGGCCACCTTTTCCCATGCTTCCTGTTCTTCGTTAGAGTGATAGCTATGAACTTTAATGATAGGAAACTAAAGGCTAGGTGGATTTCTTTTGTCCTTAGCCAGTCAAGTAGAAGGGAAGAATTTAGCATAAGAAAAGAAGGTTTCAGTCACCTGAAAAGCGTGTGAGTTTGCTCCAAGCTGCGCCACATGTAGAGATCAGGGACCACAACCAGAAAAGATAGAAAAGAGTAAAGAAAGAGAGGGGGAAAAAAAGGAAAAAGACCCAGATCCTTTACCCAAACTGGGTGGTGGTGGTGGTTAGGCGCCTCCACATGGACGCCCCTTAGTTTCACCTGCCATGGCCGGAAACCTCCAGTTGCCTCCATGTTTAGCTGCTGCTCACCAAGGCTCCCACATTGGAAAGAAAAAGAGAAAGAGAGAGATTCCCCTGTATGAAGCAGAAAGGAAACGGAGAAAATTAAATTCCAAACTTCGGGCTTACCTCCTGGCTGGCTTACCAGTATGTTACCGGTGGAGGGTGTCCAGGTTCTTGGCGTCTTGAACAAAGAACTGGACAAAATGCACAAACAAAGCAAGGGAAGAATGAAACAAAAAAAGCAGCAATTTATTGAAAATGAAAATGCACTCCACAGTATGGGAGTGGTCCCGAGCATAGGGACTGAAGAACCCTGTTTCAGAATTTTCTGGGTTTAATTACCCTCTAGAGGTTTCCATTGATTGCTTGGTATAAGCCCTATATGAATGAAGAGGATGAAGTAAAGTTAGAAAATAATTTACTTAGTGTACACCCTATGTAAATGGAGAGGATATTTCCTGTCATTTGATTTAGTTCCATTTGATATTTCCATTTGATTTAGTTCTCGGAAGTAAGGGTGAATTAGCCTTATATTCCCTGCCTCCAGACCTTATTCTCCTGCCTCATATCCATTTATTTGTGCCTTCTTTAATTTCTTTCAGTGATGTTTTCAGTGTAAAAGTCTTTAGCCTCCTTGGTTAGGTTTATTCCCAAATATTTTGTTCTTTCTGATACTATTGTAAAAGGAATTTTTTTCTTAATTTCCTTTTTGGATTGTTAATTGTTAGTTTGTAGAAATCAAACGCTTTTTGTGTGTTGATTTTGTGTTCTGCAACTTTGCTGACTTTGTTTATTAGTTCTAATAGTTTTTTAGTGGAATCTTTAAGGTTCTCTACATATAAGGTCATGTGATCTGCAAACAGATAATTTTACTTCTTCCTTTCCAATTTGGATGCATTTTATTTCTTGCTCTTACCTAATTGCTCTGGCTAGCATGTCCAACACTATGTTGAATAGAAGTAGTAAAAGCAGGCATTCATGTCTTGTCTAGAGCAATCAGTCAAGAGAAAAATATAAAGGACATCCAAATTGGAAAAGAAGAAGTAAAATTATCCTTGCTTGCAGATTATATGATCTTACATTTGGAAAAAACTCAAAGACTCCACAAGAAAACTATTAGAACTGACTTTAAAAATTTAGTATGGTCACAGGATACAAAATCAACATACAAAAATTAGTAGCATTTCTATAAGTCAATAGTGAACAATGTGGAGAAAGTAATTTAAAAAAGTAATCCCATTTATAATAGACACATAAAATGAAATGCCTAGGAATTAACTTAACCAATGAAGTAAAAGATATCTACAATGCAAACTATAAAACACTGATAAAGGAAATTGAAGAGGACACCAGAAAATGGAAAAATATTCCATGTTCATGCATTGACTCAGCTATTGTTACAGGCACATATTCCTAAGTTAAGGTTTCAATCTTGTCTACTTATTTAGGTTCATCCGCAAGAACCTAAATACAGAAGTATGGAGTCCGTCTCAGGCCATATTTACTTTGCTTTAACAGTGGGAATGTAAATAAGTACAACCACTGTGGAGAACAGCTTGGAGGTTCCTCAAAAAAGTCAAAATAGAACTGCCGTATGATTCAGCAATCCTACTACTGGTTATGTATCCAAAGGAAATTAAATCAGTATGTCGGAGAGATACCTGCTTTCCCATGTTTGTTGCAGCTGTGTTTACAATTGGCAAGATTTGGAAGCAACCTAAGTGTCCATCAACAGATAAATGGATTAAAATATGGTACTTGTACACAATGGACCACTGTTCAGCCATAAAAAAGAATAAGATCCAGTCATTTGCAACAATATGGATGGAACTGGAGGACATTATGTTAGGTGAAATAAGCCAGGCATAGAAAGACAAGCATTGCGTGTTCTCACTTATTTGTGGGATCTAAAAATCAAAACTATTGAACTCATGGACAAAGAGAGTAGAAGGATGGTTACCAGAGGCTGTGAAGGGTAGTGGGGTGCTTGGGGAGAAGTGGGGATGGCTAATGGGTACAAAAAAAATGGAATAAATAAGACCTACTATTTCATAGCACAATAGGATGACTATAGTCAAGAATAACTTAATTGTACACTTTAAAATAACTTAAAAAGTGTAATTGGATTGTTTGCAACTCAAAGGATGAATGCATGAGGGAATCAATACCCCATTCTCCATGATGTGCTTATTTCACACTGAATGCCTGTATCAAAACATCTCGTGTACCCCATAAATATGTACAGATACTATTTACCCCCCAAATTTGAAAAGAAATTGTTTAAAATAACAGTAAAGAGTATATTAAGTTATTGGGATAATACAGTTTTCTATCTCACTTAGCTATTATGAATACAGTCAAAGTCACAGGCCTAGTATATATAAAGATTTTCAGGGCACTATTCGTAGATTTTATCTCCAACTATGATATCTTTTCTAGATTCTGATAAGCAGTGTTTTGATCCAGGCCCCATCGAGATCTTAAGAGAGTTTGCCTCTGGGTCACCACTAGCTATCAGTCCTTCAGGAAGTCTTTTGACTCTTCTGAATCCCAGTTTCCTTATCTCTTAAGTGAAGAGGTTGGCCAGCTTGATCTCTAGGGGTTCACTGGCTTTGACATTCTTGCATCTGGTAATAGTGGCAAAAAATCTGAAATTGAATGTCAGACTGAGGATCAAGCAAAGAGAATATTGTCACTGAAAATGTTGAGTCAATTTTAAATATAGACAATAAACACCTTGTGCTGAGTAAGGATGGCTTTTGGATGATTTGTTTCAACTTTTCCCATTTGGATAACACCAGGAAATGAGTGTAATTCCTACAAAAATCATAGAAAGGTAATTGCAGGCAGACATCTGTATAACTATATTTAATTATTCTAAATGGACAATATGAAACAAAAAAATGTATTTTTCAGCAGGGAGCCTCTAGAATCTGACTGAACAATCCATAACAACGTCTGTAAATAATCCTAATGCAGAACCAGAAAATTCTTAAGTAAAATTACCTGGCTTGTTTTTCTGTTTTATTTTGTTTTTGTTTTTGTTTTTGTTTTTAAGACGGAGTCTTGCTCTGTCGCCCAGGCTGCAGTGCAGTGGCGTGATCTCGGCTCACTGCAACCTCTGCCTCCCGGGTTCAAGGAATTCTCCTGCCTCAGCCTCCCAAGTAGCTGGGACTACAGGTGCATGCCACCACGCCTGGCGTATTTTTTGTAGAGACGGAATTTCACCCAGTTATCTAGGATAGTCTCGATGTCCTGACCTCATGATCCGCCCATCTTGGCCTCCCAAAGTGCTGGGATTACAGGAGTGAGCCACCGTGCCCAGCCATCTGGCTTGGTTTTATTTTTATTTGAGATTTCCATGCATCAATTTTCTCTGGTGATTATAAATGTCTTGATGTTGTACCCTTTCTGCTTAAAGCATGCAGGCAATGTCATGTTGAAGACTTCAATGCTGTGAAGATTTTTCCTCATTTTCAATCTTAAAATTTAAAACTCTTCTGCTCTTTAGAAATACAATCATACTAGACATGCTAAATAAATTTCAGTATTCCAAATGCTGTTGGCTCCAATAGTGGAGGACTTTGCCTAGTGATGATGTAAGGGAAGAAAGAATACTTTTTCCTCTACCTTTTCTGAGTTAGTTGAGACAGACCCCTGTAACAAAAGACAGATTAACAAGAGAAAAATAATTAGAAGTTTATTTGCATATACAGGCATACCACAGGGATGTTGCAGGCTTAGTTCCAGACTACCACAATAAAGTGAATATCCCAATAAAGTGAATATAGCAATAAAGCTGTCACACAAATTTTTTGGTTTTCCAGTGCATGTACAAGTGAAAGAGGAGAAAAGAAAAAACCAGGTCAGGCAGGCAGTTAGGGTGGGTCCTGAGTTTAATCCTTTTGACCAAAAGAACAGCTGGCACACACTGATAAGGGAACTTGCACAAGGGGGCTTTCCTAAGATAGGCCCACAGCTGCACAGATAAGAAAGGCTACACAGGTGACTTGCCCAGACACAGCTGCAATAGAAAATTCTGTTCCCTGTCATGTGTGCAGTAAGGGAAAGAAAACAATATGAAGTAACTCAAGCTAAGGGCCAGCATGTACATTAGGAGGACAGGGCAGAGCTACAAGAAATTCATGGTTTATGCAAATGAGATGCCCAGCCCTCATTGGTTTCCTATAAAAACCTTTGTGTTCAACTGTAAAAATGGCAACCCACTTCCGGGCCCCCTCTCTGCAGCAGAGAGCTTTCTTTTTTTGCTTATTAAACTTTCACTCCAACCTCACCCTTTGCGTCCATGCTCCTTAATTCTCTTGGTTGTGAGACAAAGAACTTTGGGTAATACCTCACAATAAGAGACTGCTACATTGTGGTGCATTGGCAAGATTGTAACACAAGTTTTATGTATACTATACTATAGTCTATTAAATGTGCAATAGCATTATATGTACAAAGACAATGTGTATATCTTATCTTAAAAATACTTTATTGTGAGAGAATGGAATCATGTCCTTTGCAGCAATATGGATGCAGCTGGAGGTCATTATCCTAAGCAAATTAACACAGGAACAGAAAACCAATTACCACATGATCTCATTTATTTAAGTGGAAGCTAAATTGAGTACAAATGGACACAAAGAAGGGAACAACAGACACTGGGGCCTACTTTAGTGTGCAGGGTGGGAGGAGGGTGAGGGTTGAATAATTACCTATCAGGTAATATGCTCACTATCTGGGTGATGAAATAATTTATACACCAAACCCCACAAGTAAAAGTAAAGAAGTTAGATTATTTAAAAGCCTAGTGTATTAGTTTTCTATTGCTGCCAGATTACCACAGGCCAGGTGGGGTGGCTCACGCCTGTAATCCCAGCACTTTGGGAGGATGAGGTGGGTGGATCACTTGAGGTCAGGAATTCAAGACCAGCCTGGCCAACATGGTGAAACCCCGTGTCTACCAAAAAATACACAAATTAGCTAGGTGTGGTGGTGTGCACCCATAGACCCAGCTACTCAGGAGTCTGAGGTGGGAGAATCACTTGAACCTTAGAGGCGGAGGTTGCAGTGAGCTGAGATCATGCCACTGCACTCCAGCCTGGGCAACAGAGACCCTGTCTCAAAAACAAAACAAAGCAAAACAAAAATTACCACAAAAAGCAGCTTAAAATAGCACCCATTCATTATCTCGCAGTTCTATAGGTCAGATGTCCAGGCATGCTTGGCTAGTTCTCTCCCTAGGGTTCCATAGAGCTGAAATTGTCACCTGAAAGGGGTCCCGATCCAGATCCCAAGACAGGGTTCTTGGATCTCATGCAAGAAAGAATTCAAGGCAAATTCATAAAGTGAAAGCAAGTTTATTAAGAAAGTAAAGGAATAAAGAATGGCTACTCCATAGGCAGGGCAGACCTGAGGGCTGCTGGTTGCCCATTATTATGGTTATTTTTTGATTATATGCCAAAGAATGGGTGGATTATTCATCCCTCCCCTTTTAAGACCATATAGGGTATTTCTTGATGTTGCCATGGCATTTGTAAACTGTCATGGATCTGGTGGGAGTGTAGAAGTAAGGATGACTACAGGTCACTCTTGTCACCATCTTGGTTTTGGTGGGTTTTGGCCAGCTGCTTTACTGTAAACTGTTTTATCAGCAAGGTCTTTTTGATCTGTATCTTGTGCCAACCTCCTATCTCACCCTGTGACTTAGAATGCCTAACCATCTGGGAATGCAGCCAGGTAGGTCTCAGCCTTATTTTACCCAGCCCCTATTCAAGATGATTCAAACGCCTCTGACAAAATCAAGATGCTAGCCAGGCTGCCCTCTAACTTGGAAGTTCTGGGGAAAAATCTGCTTCCAAGCTCCTTCTAGTTGTTGGCAGATTTCAGTTGCTTGGGATTGTGAGAATGAGGTTCCCGTTTCCTTGCTGGCTGTCAGCCAGCGGCACTCTGCTTCTAGAGGCAGCTTGAATTCCCTCCATCTTTAAACCAGCAAAAGAAGGTTATGTCCTTCTCACTCTTTGAATCATTCTGACTTATTCTTTTGCTCCCTTTTGCTTTTATCATATGATTAGATTAGGCCAACCCAGATGTATGTTGTTAAAGAAAATAAAGAAAAAGCGAAATTACAACTGAAAAACAATTAGGAAACTAATTACTCAGAGCATTCTCTCCCTTTTCCCCAAAATAAACAGTTTTTGGTCCAGTTGGGTCATGGTAGGAAAAACATTTATAACCAGACTAAAAAAAAAAAACTGAGAAAAAAATACCTGATTTATTTGGACTACTAAGTACAGCAACTCAACTGACAATGTCAGAATCACCACACAGCATTTGGGCTTTTGTTGTATTTTACCTCTAACAGAATGTGACTACATGTGATAAACATATTCCCTTGAAATATCTAACTACCCATTAAAAAAAAGTCTTCAGCCAGGTCCTATGGCTCATGCCTGTAATCCCAACACTTTGGGATCCCAAGGTGGGCTGATTGCTCGTGCCCAGGAGTTTGAGACCAGCTGAGTAACATGGTCAAATCCCGTCTCTACTAAAAATACAAAACATTAGCGGGCTGTGGTGACGTGTGCCTGTAGTCCCAGCTACTTGGGAGGCTGAGGTGGGAGAATCAACTGAGCCAGGGAAGGTGAGAATGCAATGAGCTATGATACTGGAATGAGACCTTGTCTTAATGTCTCAAAAAAAAAAAAAAGAATGAAAAGAAAATAAAACTCTTCTGTACTGTTTATTTATGTGAAGAGCTGTTTTAGTAAGACAAAGTAAGAACCAGGCCCCACTAGCAGCCTTTCAGGAGTCCTCGTGTAGAACATGCCTCTACAATGTGGCAGAAGGAAATTTTGGATAACTGAGCTGCTTTTCATATTAACTGCTATGTAGCCATGTGCTCCAGCTACTTTTTTGGTAACAAGTTTATTGAGATATAATTCTTATACTATAAGGTTCGCCACGTTAAAGTATACGGTTCAGTTAGTATATTAACAGAGTGTGCAACCAATACTATAGTCTAATTTTAGAACATTTTTAATGTCCCCCAAAGAAACTCTGTACCCATTAATAGTCACTCCCCCTTTCCCTCCTTTCCCCCCCTTCTCACAGCCCAAGGCAACCATGAATCCATTTTTTTTCTCTATATGAAGGCTGTAGCTACTTTTGTTCCAAAATGCATATAGGGATAACTATACTTTAAAAATAGTGAGATTGATTTGGCATTTAAACAGTAGAATCTGGGCAGGGTGGCTCACACCTATTATCCCAGCACTGTGGGAGGCCAAGATAGGCTGATCACTTGAGCCCAGGAGTTCGAGTCCAGCCTGGGCAACAGAGTGAGACCCCCGTCTCTACAAACAAAGATACAAAAAATTAGCTGGGTGTGGTGGCAGGTACTGTAGTACCAGCTACTTGGGAGGCTGAGGTGGGAGGATCACCTGAGCCCAGGAAGAAGAAGAAATTTTTTAAAATAAACAGTAGAAAAACTCATCTAGGGATTTTGAAGTAACAATATAAAAAAGACTAGATTAATGCATGCATGCAATTTTTAAAAAAGATAAACGGTAGAAAAACTCACCTAGATATTTTGATGTAATGATTAAAAAAAGACTAGATTAATGCATGTTTACAATCCTTCTGAATGCTGCACTAATACTCCCTGATTCAGAACTTGGAACCTAACTACTAAAAAGGGAGCTTGAAGATTCTTGGATATACCTTCTTCATTTTACAGCTGGTGTTAATGAGACTTACATGAAGTTGAATGGCCCAAAGTTGCTCATCTAATTAGTGGCTGACAAATATATCTTTACTAATTATTATGCTTAAGTGACACAAATGTGAGATATAGGGTTAAAACTTTACTCCTAAGGACAAAATATACTACAACCAAGAGTTTTCTGCACCAGCCCAGAGGAATATACTTGAAATTCAACTTTCAAGCAATGGATAATCACGTGAGTGTAATAGAATTGCACAATAAGCTTGTTCACGTGATATTAAAGAATTCATGTCTGTTTTAGGACTACTTGATGTATAAAAAGGTATCTTTTATGTATCAGAAAAAAATGCAGTTAACTAGATTCTACCTGGAGCCCTTAATTCACAAAGAGTCTCTTCCTGTACTGCACCTTCATGAAGGATACAAAGGTCAAAGAAATAAGCCAACTTCAATTATTTATTTTTAAAACGAACTTCAAGTTGAACGTGGATTTAGTCCAATATACTATATTTGTCCCTCGGTATCTGTGGGGGATTAACTCCAGGACCCCAGTGGATACCAAAACCATGGGTCCTCAGGTCCCTGATATGAAATAACATAGTAATTGCATATAAGCTATACACATCTTCTTGTATACTTTTTTTTTTTTGAGACGTGGTCTCACTCTGTTGCCCAATGTGCATGAAGCTTCCTAATGTAATTTGTGGCAAATGATTTGGAGAGAGAATGTTTCTTCATATCACAAAAATAATACAGGTTAATTGCAGAAATTTTTCAAAATACAAAATACCAAAAATTATCACACACACACACACACGCACACACACACACACACACACACACACATGCAAACTTGTAATAGCTACGTCCGTATTTATTTTACTGCCACTAAGCCTTCTTCCACAGTAAAGCTTTCTACACTATTTATCCAGTTCCCCATTGCTGGATAGTTAGGCCGTTTTCAGTTTAAGTTTTTGTAAATTATGCTTGTGGTGAGTTTTCGTGTACTTATATATTTGCAGTACCTCTTCAATTCATTACATATGATAATTTTCCAGAAGTAAAATTGCTGGATCAAATAGTACATATTTGGAATGCTACAAAGAAGTTGCTGTACAGAAAGGTTGTACCATTTGACATCCCCACTACCAGAATACTAAAAGGCTTGTTTTCTCATAATCTCATTTACAAAGAATATGGGATGGATACATTGCTTTCAATGTCTTGCTTGCTAATGGGTAATTAGGGTAAGGAGCAACAGTATGGCCAGGCGCAGTGACTCATACCTATAATCCCAGCACTTTGGGAGGCCAAGGCATGTAGATTGCTGGAGCCCAGGAGTTCCAGACCAGCCCGGGCAACATGGAGAAACCCTGTCTCTACAGAAATAATAGCCAAGTGGGGCGGTGTGCACCTGCAATCCCAGCTACTCGGGAGGCTGAAGTGAGAGAATCATCTGAGCCTGGAAGGTGGAGGCTGCAGTGAGTGGCGCCACTGCACTCCAGTCTGGGCGACAGAGCGAGAAACTGTCTCAAAAAAAAAAAAAAAAAAGCAAGAAGAAAAAGCAACAGCATAAGGCAATGAGCCCAGCAATATTTCCCAAGCTTCAAATGGTTTTTCCCCCATATGAAACAGCAGCTATATAAGTCACAAACCTCTCCCTCTCTGCCTTGAATAACATCAGAAGTACAACATTGTCATAACAATCAGTTGGACAATGCCGAGAGATGTGCAGTCTAGCTGTTTGGCAGTATGTGAACAGAACAAAGAAACAGGCTGACTGAACTTTCCATTTTTGCCTCATTTGGCACCAATCATAGCATGAATTTTCTGTGTGTGGTCTTCAAACCAGCATTCTCAGCCTCACCTGGGAACCTGCAAATTCTCAGGCTTCACCTCAGACCTATTGAATCAAAACCTCTGGGTGTGGGTCCCAGAAATCTGTGTTTTAACAAACCCTCCAGAAAATTTTGATGTATACTAAAATTTGAGATTATGCGGGATCTTACTTCTTAGTGGTAGTTAAAACTCCTGCCCAAGATCAGGTGAAATTATAGTGCTTACCCCTTGTCTCCATCTCTCCATCCATCAGTCTTTCTGCTTCTTACTTTTTAATGTGCCAAACTCCCTCCCTCTCTCCTGTCTACTATATCCCCACTCTAATACTCTATCCAATAATAATAGTGGATGTTGGGTGACCCTCTGCTTGGCTGGATCATTACCACTCTATCAGTGTAGCCATCTTCGTCTGATCTTAGGGTTCCTAGAGATAGGGCCTATGATGTACTAACAGATTACACTGTATTTATTGGTTCGGGAAAAGGGAATCATGGTACAACCAGAAGTGGCAGAGTTGGGAGATCTCTCTCAAGTCCCAGAGCTCATACTCTTAACCTTAAAAGCACTCACGCCTTTGCTTCATCATTGGTCTCTTTCTGGGATGTTCTTTCCCGCCTTTGCTGACTGTGGATCCTGCCCATCCTTCAAGATGGAGCTCTGTTATGTTAAATGGATTTAAGTGGGGGAAAATAAAGTTTGTACATGGTTTGGCCCTGTTGTGGTTTGATCTCTGGCTGTGCTCTCCTATTTTATTTCCTTCCTGTTTTTATCTCCCACACACCTTCCCAGCCACACCAGCTTCCTTACTATGCCACTAATACAGTAAGCATGCTCCTGCCTCAGAGCATTTGCACTTCCCTTTCCTCTTAGAACACTTTTCACACCTAGGGCAGAGGTCCCCAACCTTTTTGGCACTAAAGATAGGTTTTGTGGAAGACAATTTTATCATGGATTGGGTGTGGGCAGGGGGGATGGTTTCGGGATGATTCAAGTGCATTACATTTATTGTGCACGTTATTTATATTATTATTACATTGTAATATATAATGAATATACTGAATGAATATAATGAATGTAATATATAATGAAATATACAATTTAATGTAGAATCAGTGGGAGCCCTGAACTTGTTTTCCTGCAACGAGACGGTCCCATCTGGATGGAGGTGATGGGAGACAATGACAGATCATCAAGCATTAGATTCTCACAAGGATTTTGCAACCTAGATCCCTTGCATGCACAGTTCACAATAGGGTTCACGCTCCTATGAGAATCTAATGCTGCCACTGATCTGACAGGAGGTGGAGCTCAGGCGGTAATGCCAGTGATGGGGAGCAGCTGTAAATACAGATGAAGCTCAGCCTCCTCTCACCTCCTGCTGTGCGACCTGGACAGATACCGGTCTGTGGCCTGGGGGTTGGGGACCCCTGCCCTATGGGACTCTTCCCCTACACATTTACATGGCTTTCTCCTTCTGGTCATTCAGAATGCTGCTCAAATGTTACTTATTACACTACCTCAGAGGGGCCTTTCATGACCACCCTATCTGAAGTAGCTCTGTAATCATTTTATTTCCTTTTGTTATGCCTTATTTTTCTTCATAGCATTTCTCATGATTTAACCTTTAATTATGTCTTTATTTGTTTATTGTTGCTCTTGACCCCGAATGCAAGCTCTGTGAGGACAGGGACTTTCTAGATTTTTTCCTTTGTTATTTTATCTCTAGTGCCTAACGAAGTACTTGGTATATATAAGGTGCTCAAGAAATATTTTTGGATGAAAGTCAGAGTTATGAAAAAAATTGATTTTTTTTTTTCTCTGAGACAGAGGCTTGCCCGTCACCCAGGCTGGAGTGCAATGGCGCAATCTCGGTTCACTGCAACCTCTGCCTCCCTGGTTCAGACGATTCTCCTGCCCCAGCTTCCCGAGTAGCTGAGATTACAGGCGCCCACCACCACGCCCGGCTAATTTTTGTATTTTTAGTAGAGACGGGGTTTCACCATATTGGCCAGGCTGGTCTCGAACTCCTGACCTCGTGATCCGCCCACCTCGGCCTCCCAAAGTGCTGGGGTTACAGGCGTGAGCCACTGCGCCCGGCAAAAAATTGAATTTTTAATGACACTCGGGATATTGCAAAGAATGCAATAAGCAAAGATTGGAAAAAATGCACCAAAATGCATTAGAATTTAAGAACTGTAGGAAATTTGTATTTCCCCACATGTACTTTAACATATTTTATAAATTCCTGAAATAATCATATTTTACTTATATTAGAAAAAATAAACACATTTGTGGGTAAAATAAAAAGCATTTAAGTTGCTTTTTGATTTGTACATCTCATGCTTTTTTTTTTCTTTAAGAGATGGCGGGGGGAGGGGGAGGTGGGCGGGGGGGTCTCACTGTGTTGCCCAGCTGGTCCGGAACTCTTGCCTCAGGTAATCCTCCCACATAGGCCTCCCAAAGTGTTGGGATTACAGGCGTGGCCACCGTGTCCGGCCCTACATCTTACGCCTTTAGTCCTGCGGGTTTTTTTGTTAGTTTGTTTTCTGCCACGGGTCTGGCGGAAAGATTTCCCTACTCCAGCTCACTGCTGCCTGTCAACCACCAGATGGCAGCATTCAACTTCCAAAAACTGGCCTTTCGTTAACTTCTCACAAACCGCAGTAAAATAAAGGAAAAAAGAAAACTCTTATGGTTAAACAAATTGTGGAGTTTTGGGCTACTTCAGAAAATAGATATTCGTTTGAAGGTGGAAAATATTTTATCCTTAAACCAGTTTCTCAATTTAATTCGGACAGTTGATCTTCAGGGTATTCAAACAACTAATCCTGAAAGTCTACTAGTAAAGAGGAGTTATGGCATAATTTTGCATTTCTCAGAACCACACCTGGCAGCTGTGGTAGTCAAGACCAGCCTTCTTTGGAAACGTTTTGGCATCTGCGCGAAAAGCGTAACTTTAAGACCTCTGAACAATTCTTCTCCCATCGCCACAGCTATAACTAATGCTCCCCCAAATCACTTTCCTTTACCAGATAAGTAACCAGGGAACTTTAAACGCCTGTTCGCTTTTTAAATTCAAATATCCCTCAGGGAATTTGAATTGTTATAGGTTTTTGTGTTTTGTTTTGTTTTTGAGACAAGGTCTTGCTCTGTCCCCCAGGCTGGAGTGCAGTGGCATGATCTCGGCTCACTGCAACCTCCACCTCCCGGGTTCAAGCGATTCTTGTGCCTCAGCCTCCCAAGTAGCTGGGACTACAGGCTCGTGCCACAGCACGAGGCTAATTTTTGCATTTTTAGTAGAGACGAGGTTTCACCATGCTGGCCAGGCTGGTCTTGAACTCCTGACCTCAGTGGATCTGCCCACCTTGGCCTCCCAAAGTGCTGGGATTACAGGCGTAAGCCACCGTGTCTGGCCATGAGTTGTCATAGAATTTTAGTGTCGTAAATCGTAATAAAATATAGTTTTATTTTGATTTTAAGGAAATAAATCTGGGACTAAGGGCTTAAACAACTTTCCCATGATTAGATAGCTACTTAGTGGCAGAGCTAAATGAAACAAGGCCTAGGTCTCCTACCTTCAGCCCACTGTAGGCTTTATGTTTATTTAGGTTCTGCTATTATATATATCATACTGCTTTTTTTTATGAATATATACCTTGCAATAGTACGCTGTCTGGGGCTCGCTTTAAAATATTTTAGAAATCAATCACCCATTCAGCAAAATATATAAATTATGTATAATTTATAAATAAATATTAGCTGGGCATGATGAGGCAGCCGCAGTCCCAGGTACTCGGGAGGCTGAGATGGGAGGATTGCTTGAGCCAGGGAGGCAGAGGCTGCAGTGAGCCGAGATCATGCCACTGCACTACAGCCTGAGTTATGGAGTGACACCCTGCCTCAAAAAAAAAAAAAAAAAAGAAAAAGAAAAAAACAAGAAATTTATAAATAAATAATATACAGTATATGAAATTATATAATAAATATAATAAAGTTTTTTTAAGAGTATATCTTATTGAGATACCAAGGAAGGAACATTAAAAAAGATGGAATGGAAAATGGAGAGGTTGAGGATGAGGACAAATTTCTTCCAGTTACTTCTTCATCTACTGGTGATGCTTGACTGAATCAGCTGTGTGATCTTAGGGAAGTCATTTCCCCTCTATAAGCTTGTTTCTTCATCTGGTAAGTGAGGTCTTTAGGAACGATGGCCCTAAAGGTACCTGGAAGCAATATGCATCTCAGCTCCCTACGAAAACCCCCAAATATTTAAATTCCTCTTTGGATTTTCTGAAAGGGATGGCAAAAGAAGCCTCAGATCAGGTAGAGCCCCATGGTTCTGACTAAATCATTTCTGACAGCTAGGCAGTTCCACGGCCCCACAGTTCCTCAGAATGCTCCAAAGCCACCAGTTCTGAACTGGGACTGAAGTCTTTAGGAAGCAGCCATACTTAGTGTTGCAGTTTCCCCATAGCTTAAGGGTACCCAAGGAACATGGCTATGTACCACTCCCATGGCTCCCCGAGGCTTCCATTTAAATGTAAGAACACAGACTGAGGTGGACCAAAGTTTAAATCCCACCTCTGCCACTTCCTAGACGTGTATGATCTTAGTTATTTCTAGTTCTCAATCTCCCCATAAATAAAACTGTTGGGAAAATTCAGTATTCAATAAAGGTGAGTAAGAAGGTAGATAGAGAGGTAGACAGAGAGGTGATAGGATAATATATTTGAGATATTGAATTTTTGCCCTCCAGGAGTTCGCCCCCTTCCCATTCAAAGTGCTAGTCATTTCGGTACTCATTTTCTCAGTGGTGGCATGTGACTATCATAAGGCATAAACAGTAAGATCTTTCTGACTTAAGAGGGCAAAATCTTCAGGCAGTGGTGTGCTGGAGCCGGTTCCAACTGGCTCCTTGAGCTAAAATTAACCATTTTAAAGTAAACAACTCAGTGGCGCACATCTTGTTCCAAAACATTTCCATCAATCACTACAAAATAAAACCCCACACCAATTAAGAAGTTACTCCCCATTCATCCTCCTTTCAGGCTCTGGTAACAACCATTCTACTTTTCATTTCTCTGGATCTTCCTATTCTGGATATTTCATATAAGTGGAATCGTGTGCCCTTTTGTTCCTGACTTCTTTCACCTAGTGTGACGTTTCTAAAGTTCATCCACTTTGTAGCATGTATCAGTACTTCATTCCTTTTTACGGCTGAATAATGTTCCATTGTATGAATATACCACTTTTGTTTGTCCATTCATTAATTGATGGACATTTGGACTGTTTCCTCTTTTTAGTTGTTATGAATAATACTACTGTGAACATTCCTGTATAATTTTTTTTGTGTAAACATATGTTTTAAATTTTCTTGGGTATATATATGGGAGTCGAATTTCTGGGTCATATGGTGACTGTGTTACCAGAGTTGTGAATAAATGCCTACAATCAGCCATCAAGAGCTATTTGGAAATCAGTACGTGGAAAGATATTCAACATCATTAGCCCTGGGAAGGGGGAAATGTAAACCAAACCACAATGAGATAACACGTCACATCCACTAGGCAGATAATAACAAGTGTCAGGGAGGATGCAGAGAAACTGAAACCCTCATACATTGCTAGTGAGATTGTAAAATGGTGCCGCTGCTTTGGAAAACAGTCTGGTAGTTCCTCAAACGGTTAAACTTCGAGCCTTCATTTGTGAATGCCTCCTGGGCATGGGAGGGGGTGGTCAGGCCCTGAACAGAATAGCTAGAGAAGCTTCTTCCCTCCTCCCCCTGGGATGAGATAATCATTAAACACATGCCCATTCAGATAGACAGATGGATATGTGGATCTGATATTCACCTCTTTGGTGTCACCTCACATCTTATTCCCACCCCCATCCCCAATTCTCACCTTCCTGAGTGGTAGATATCCTACTGCAATGCAAATTCTCTCCAAAACAACTAATGCAGAAAAGGTAATCCATGGTTTCCCCTCTTTGTTATAACTGATTTTCTGGGGGGTTTTTGGAAGTGCGAGCAGAGACTTACCATGTAACTTACATATGCAGTTCACATTACGTATTGTCCTGCCACTGGATCTGATTGCCACCATTCCACTCCTGGAAATGCCCACTTCATTCCTTTCATCCTGTCTAGCTCCTTCCCATCCTGTGAGATCCAGGTCAAATCTCGTGCCCTCTGTAAAATTTTTCCTCAGTTAAATCCAGGATAAAAGTGCCCAGTGACTGGGTAGCATAGCTCCCGGATATCCTAGTACTCGTAACTAAACACCGTAAAATGCTGCTTTTAAAAACTTAATATAGTGAAGCACATGATTTTTTTTGGATTTATGTTCCACTTTATGCTAAAGACATGGTGGCAGGCACAAAGAGTTTAAGAAATAGTTAAGGGGCCGGGCGGGATGGCTCACGCATGTAATCCTAGCACTTTGTGGGGCCGAGGCAGGTGGATGGCTTAACCTCATGAGCTCAAGACAAGCCTGGGCAACAAGGTGAAACCCGTCTCTACAAAAAATACAAAAATTAGCCATGCGTGGTGGCATGCGCCTGTAGTCCCAACTACTTGGGAGGCTGAGACAGGAGGATCGCTTGAGCCCAGGAGGTTGAGGCTGCAGTGAGCTGAGATCGCTCCACTGCACTCCAGCCTGGGTGACAAAGTGAGTACCTGTCAAAAAAAAAAAAAGAAAGAAAGAAAGGAAAAGAAAAGAAAGAAATGGTTAAGGGAGATAAGTTTAAAATGAAGTAAATGTGAACTAAATTTTGTGTGGAATGCGTTGGTTAAAGACTTTCATTGTTTGGTTTTACTTGGAATACTAATGCTTTGTAGCTGTATTGTTTACCTTCTCTTGGGTGGTAAATAGGTGGGATGAGGAATTGATAGGTTTGGGTTCTGGTCCTAGCTTAGTTGTTAACTAGGTATATACTCTTTCAGCTCCTTTAACCCTCTCTATGAATCAATAGGAAAATGGGAATGGTACTACCTATTGATAAACAATTCCTACAGATTCTATCTTCTTTTCTTTGTAAACCCTTTATTACTCCCAATATTCGTTCCCTGGTTCAGACTTTCATCATTCTTAGCCTAGGCTCTTGCTACCCAAAATGTGGTCTTCGGCCAAGTAGCAGCTTGTTGGGAACACAGAATCTTGGGCTTCACTCCAGACCCTAACAAATCAGAATCCACATTTTGAGATCTTTAGGTGATTCATATGCACATTAAAATCTGAGAAGTACTGGCCTAGACTAATTACAGCCTTTTAGCTGGTTTCTCTGTCCCCACCCTGGGCCCTTCCAATCTACCTTCACGTTGTAACTAAGAAGAACTTTTCTAAGCCAAGATTATATCACTTCTCTATTTAAAATCACTCAGGAAGCCAGGCACGGTGGCATGTGTCTATAGTCCCAGCTACTCAAGAGGCCAAGGCAGGAGGATTGCTTGAGGCCAGGAGTTCAAGGCCGCAGTGTCCTATGATCTTGCCTGTGAATAGCCACTGCACTCAAGTCTGGGCAACACAGTGATAACCTGGCTCTTAAGATAAATACACGAAATAAAATCCCTCAGTGGCTCACCATTATAAAATAGCAATATGAAAAGAGCAAAGGCAGTAGAATCAAACATATTAGGGAATCATATGTTTGAACCAGTAAGTTTTGCGGCTTTTTTCTTTCTTTTTTTTTTTTTTTAACCGGTTCTCGCTCTGTTGCCCAGCCTGGAGTGCAGTGGTGCAATCAAGGTTAACTGCAGCCTCGACCTCCTGGGCTCAAGCCTCAGCCTCTGCCTCCAGAGTAGCTGGGACCATAGGTATATGCCACCACACCTGGCTAATTTTTTTAATTTTGTAAAGGCTAGTTTGTGACTTTTGACAAGTGATACAAGCTTCTCTTGGTTGTAGTTTCTTCATTTGTAAATGGCAAAAAAAAAAAAAAGCCCACTAACAAGTCTATATATGCAGAAATGTTTGCAGATGAAAATGGGATGTCTGAGATTTGGTTTCACATAGTCCATGGAAGTGGAGGATGTGTAGGGGTATAGATAAAACAGGAATGGTGTGGAAGATTGTGTTTTCAAATATGGCAGCAACAATATCTCCCATTCTATGTGCTCTTCTACAAGGTGACATTGACACTCACCCCATTTAAGAGGTTGAATCTAATTCTGCTCTCTTTGCATCCTAGCAAACCTTGTAAATCACTTAGAACCAATATAGCAGAAGTGATGCTGTGTGACATCTGAGACAAAGTCAGAAAACTTCATGAAGCTTCCGCCTAGTTGTCTCTGGACACTTACCCTGAGACCGTCATGCCAGAGACGCTACATTTCGATATTCCAGTCAACAGTTCCAGCTCATCTCAGCCTTCCAGCCATTTCCATCAAGCCACCAGACATAGGTGTGAAGCTTTGTTTGGACCCTCCAGACCAGCTCATCTATTAGCCACTACTATCAGCCATCCATCAGTAGGCCACTCCTGAGTGGCCTCAATTGGTGCTAAAACCAACAGAATTGCCCAGGTAAGCCCTGCCCACATTCCTGGTGCCCCAAGTCACAGAATCTAATAAAATTCTTGTTTTATCCCATGAAGTTTGGAGGGTGGTTTTTCAATGCAGCAACAGATTACCAGAACAATTGGCATGAGTTGATAATTGTTGAAGCTGGGTAATTGGGTACACGGGGGTTCATTCTATTGTTCTTTCTACTTATACATATGTGTGGAATTTTCTATAAGAAAGAGTTTTTTAAAAAAGAAATATCTCAGCTTAAAGTTAATAGTCAATAAATAGCAGCTATTGTTATTGTGAATGGAAGTAGTCAATAAATAGTAGCCATTATTATTGCCATTGGAATGAAGTTCAATCTGAGCAGCACAGCATTCACAGTCCTCTTGCTAATTTGGTTCTTGCTTCTTCAAGTTCATCTTTCACCAACTCACACCCTTCACTTCGCTCTTACGTGCTCCAGAAATTACCAAAATACTTACAGTTCCTAGAATATGGCTCTGTGCTTATGCTTCCATGCTATTGCCTATGTTGCTTTCTCTTTTGGGAAGTATTTTCCCACCTTTGTTTCTATATAATGTTTCAAGATTCAGCTCATATGTAACTCCATCAGGGAAGCTTTTTCTAACACATAGAAATAGAATTTGTTCCTCTTGTTACTAGGACCCTACTCTAAACAGACTTCTTCCAAGGCATCAAGAGTAGTTTCTTATGCTTCTGTGTGTGCTTGTCTGTTTCTCTACCAGACTATGAAACCTTCCCCACAGTGCTATGTGTGGGGAACCACGTCTTAACCCTCTTGAAGCTCACAGTGCAAGTAGAGAAGCCAGACAATAAACAAATAAATCTATAATTAAATTTTGATAAGTCCGATGAAGGATATAAGCAGGAAATTAGGAGAAAGCAGGGGGCCGGAAAGGGAAATCCTCTCAGAAAAGGATGACATTTGTGTTGAGCTGAGAGGATGAGTAGGAGTTAGCCTTATTCATATGTTTAAGCCAAGGCCTAGCTCAAGGCTTGGCAGGTAGTAGGATGCATTAAATACTTATTGAATGAACTTGCTCTGCCTCGCTCAGAAGTTTCTTGTGAGCATCACATGTGATAACATCTGCAAAAGTTCTTTGGAGAGTATAAAGTGCAACACAAATGCAACTTTATTACAGACGATATCCTGAGAGGATAGGAAGCAGAATTCCCTCTTTCATCAGAGTGAACTTCTGCAGACAGGCAAGTTCTGCCCTGGCCAAGTGTATCCAGGCTTACAATCTTCTCTCCAAACATAGTTTTCTCATTTTTTTTTTTTTTTGAATCATCAACATGGCCTTTAATGAGATACAGGAGGGAGGAGACACATGGCTTGTGTGGGTGTAGGTTTGGATGAAGTCCTATAGCGGGAAAGCAGCCAGCTCTAGTGCAATGACTTGAAGATCAAACTGGATGATTTTCAAGGGTGGAGGGGAGGATGCTAAGGAAAGTGGGAAGTAGGGAAAGTGATTAAGAATAGTAATATTAACTCCATGTTTGCCCATCCATATGATCTGATTCTATCAAGTGCTTAAGTTCCTCCTCTCCCTTTTCTTTACCTCCCCAACTTACGGTTGTCCAAATATCGCCTGTTTTCAGTAAGACCAGAAGAGAATTAACGTATATTTAGCATCTACTATGTGAAAGGCACTATGGCATGTTCTTTTAAAACATAAAGGTGTGATGGCTCATGCATGTAGTCCCAACTACGAGGGTTGCTGAGGCTTTAGGATCGCTTGAGCTCGGGAAGCAGAGGTTGCAGTGAGCCACGATTGCACCACTGCCCGCCAGCCTGGGTGACAGAGTGAGACCTTGTCTCAAACAAACAAACAAAAATAAACAAAAACAAAAAAAAACAAAACAAAATACAAAAACCAACATAAAGAGCACAGGTTCTGGAGTGAAACTGTCTAGAATTGTACCCCTCACACCAGAATACCTGCTACTTAATGTGTATTTACCCTAATTCAGATACTTCATGTCGAAAAAAGTATCCTTGCCTATCTCTTGATCAAAATTACCATTATGCAAGAAAAGTATATTGCCATATTATGGGTGAGCTATGTGCTTTCTAATTCCAGCTCTCCCTCTATGAGGTGGATGGCACTAGGCAAGTCCATTTCCTTCTCTGGATATCAGGCCCATCTGTACATGAGGGTTTGGATTATGTAAGTGATTTTCAAACTGTGTTTCTTTGGAAACTTAAGGTTTCGAACAGGAGACTCAGGGAACTCTATAATGGTAAAAAGCAGAATTGGCAGGGAACTCAGTACACCCACTTTTGCTTCAACCAGAGCAGCTAAATTCTGCTTCTACCTTTTTATTTATTGCTCTTTCTAATAAGGTTTCTATTGAAATAAGGGTTTTATTTATAAATTTGTTTAACCACTGAAGTAGATCCTAACACCTTTTCCATGCCAAAATTCCATGGCTGTAAAGGAATTCTGTAACTAGTTAAATGTTGAATGCAGCAATGTATTTCCAAAAGAAAGTATAGCTTAAAAAGCACATTGACACCATTATCTCATTTGATACCCAGAACAATCCCATGAGAGTTAAAGAATGAGAGATCAGGCCAGGCATGGTGGCTCAGGCCTGTAATCCTAACACTTTGGGAGGCTGAGGCGGGAGAATTGCTTGAGCTCAGGAGTTCAAGATCAGCCTGGGCAACATAGTGAGACTCCACCTGTACAAAAAGTTTTTAAAAATTAGCTAGGCGTGGTGGTGTGCACCTGTAGGCCCAACTACTCACGAGGCTGAAATGGGAGGATTGCTCAAGCTCAGGAGGTCAAGGCTGCAGTAAGTTGTGATCATGCCACTACATTCCAGCCTGGGTGACAGAGCAAGATCTTGTCTCAAAAAAAAAATTGTTTTAAAAAAGAATGAGACATTAAGAGATGGGGAACTCCTTGCCTGAACTTCTGTAGCCAGGTATGGAAGAACATGACTGGAACCTAGGTCTATTTTTGCTGATTGCTTATCTAGCCTCCACTGCACTATATTACAACACTTCTCAAAATTTGATTGTGGTGGGAAACAATAAGCAGAAATTTTCCTCAGAAGTGATGTTGGGCAACATAGACACGAAAGTTGGAAAGTTCTTTGGCATCCTGAGAATTTCAGTTACAGAAGCAGAATCAACTAACTCTACCTTCAAAATGTTCAGTTCCCACAGGCCACACTTGGAAAGTACCCAGCCAGAGTGTTAAGTTGTTCTTCCTCTCTTTATCCCAGAGAGAACGTATGAAGGAAAATGATGCAACTGATTGTCTAATGAAAGCACTCCCCATATGGGAATGACTAGAGTATACACAAATGCCTTGTTGACTCCTTGAACAAAGACCTTAACTTACACCTTGACGTGATGGTTATGGCTGGAAAAGGCCTAGAGATCACTGAAACCAACAATACAAAGCTAGGATCCCAGAAAATTCTACTTACGACATAGAGTTGGCTTAGTGGCAAATATAGCACAAAGACATTTGCAGGCAAAGTGGTATAATGAAATGAATGGACCTCTGAGTCAGATAGAACTGGGCTTGAATTTGAACTCTTGCTTTTCTACTTGTGCATCATGGGGCAATTTATTTAATCTCTCTGAGCCTCAGTTTCCTAATCTGTAAAATTAGGACAATATCTCCTAAGGGGTATTCAAAAAGGGGTAAATAAGATAATTCTCATAAAACTCCATTGCTAGCTGTAGATTCACTTAACTTCACTAAGCCTTTCTTTGAAATGTAGACAAAAATAACTACTTTGTAGGATTAATACCTATTATGTAGGCTCGGTGTGGTTTTAAATGATATTTCAAGTATTTAACTACTGATAGAGCCTGGGCACTGACCAATCAGAGTGGCACCTGCTGAAAACAATTGGTTTGACCATTCTAGTGCCTAATTGCTGCACAGCCAAATATCAGCCTTCGTGTGGAAATTAAATTAAATGACATGAAACATAATAGTTACATAATGAATTATATTTATGTCTCTTTCCCTTCCTGCTCTTTTAGCTTTCCATCATATCAAACTACTTAACTAGAGGAATCTAGCTCCTCCCCTATGTGATTTAAGGTGAATTATGTTTGCCTTTCTGATTTCATAATTATATTTGGGTTCCCTATTCTATCCTGTTTTAAAGTCTTGGCATTCCAATGTAAAAACTTCACATTTTCATGATAATATCAAGGTATCCATAATATCTATTCTAAGGAACTTGGGGAGAGTAAGTTACACATCTTAGGAAGCTGCAATAGAGTGAGCTCACTGGAATCATTTTTGAGGAAAAGGTCTCTTTGTGATGTGAAAAGGTAGATGTGTCTTGGAAAAACAAAACAAAACAAAAAAACGAAAGAGCCCACTTCAGATCTAGAGTGTGCACTGGTTTAAAAAGCTATAAACAGGGCTGGAAACAGTAAGAAAAAAAGATGCTACAGATCTCTGGAGTCACAGATTAGTAACTAAAATAGTGCCTAATACTATTGTCAACAAATACCTTAAGAAGGATGGGAGGGTGAGAAGAAGGGAGTGGTGAATAATGTGTGATTAGGGTAGAAATGGCTTAGAAAAGGAATTAGTAATGTGGCCCAGTCCAGCAAAAGTCAAAGAACTATTGCATATCCAGCACCGAGACACTTCCAACTCCCCCTTATAAAGCTGTCGCTTTCTCACAAGACCCAACTAGTCCTTTGATCTTTGTGTACTTCTCAAGTTGAGGCAGGAATCGAGTTAAAAAATAAAAAAGGATCCCTTTTTGCTTAGAGGGAATAGGACTTTGTAGGCATTATAGAGACATTAGTGGCACTTGGGAGCTCTTCCCAAAGGGACTAGGGTCAGCCCCATCCTGACTAGGGCACCTGAAGAAAACAAGGGAAACTTTAACTTTTAAAAGAGAATTTGCAGAGTCAAAAGATTTTTGATGCATCATTGTGGAAAATTTCAGGGCTTTGTTCAGTGTTTTGTTGACTTTTTTCCTAAAATCAACATTGTCGTCAGAGAAAGTAGCAAATATGGTTACTATATGTCTGTTTACATTATCTTCTGCATTCCCAGAGAGAGGATGTTCTGACTTCTGATAACTGGGCAGAAGTCTGACAAAAAATATTTAGGTGGTAGAGGTTGTTCCATTAGGAAGATGAAAAGACCTCTTAGTTCCATTATTCTGATTTTTTTTTTTTTTTTTTTTTGAGACAGGTTCTCACTCTGTCACTTGGGCTAGGGTGCAGTAGGGGGACCTCAGCTCACTGCAACCTCCACCTCCCGAGCTCAATCGATCCTCCCACTTCAGCCTCGCAAGTAGCTAGGACTACAGGTGTGTGCCACCACGACCAGTTAATTTTTGTATTTTTTTTGTAGAGACAAGGTTTCACTATGTTGCCCAGGCTGATCTCGAACTCCTGGGCTCAAGCGATCCACCAGCTTCAGTCTCGCAAAGTGCTGGGATTACAGGTGTGAGCCACTGCACCTGGTCTATTCTGACTTCATGTCATTTAATTATACCACAATATAAAATCTAGACAGTATGTTGTTTCTCTAAATGGACTTCCTGACCAAGGAGATGGGGCCTGTGCAGAAAACAGGGTGTTCAGGCTTAGATTTTGGTGCAGTTCAGATTAGGAATAGTATAAGCCATTCTGAGGCTCAATCATCCATGGGTAAGTGGACTCTCAAGGTTTTGGGCCTACAGAGCTGAGAGAGAGAACACTTTACCTTCGAGAACCAATTTCTTTGTCTTCTCTCGCCCTACGTGGACAAAGTGTGACCATCCATGAAGACTCTGTCCAGATATGCCTTGCTCTATTTTACACCATTGCCAACAGGTTTCCACCACAGCCCAGCAAGCTTTGCTTTTTTACTTTGCACCCCAGATTGGTTTTTAAAATTGACTCTTGGCCTTTTGCAGTGGCTCATGCCTGTAATCCCAGCACTTTGGGAGGTCGAAGTGGGAGGATCGCTTGAGCTCAGGAGTTCAAGACCAGCCTGGGCAACATGGCGAAACTCCATCTCTACTGAAATTTAAAAATAAATTTAAAAAATAAAATAAAATAGACTCTTGGAGAACACTTCCTGGCACAATAGTCTGTTCCATATTCTGTTGCACCCAATAATTAACTCTTAATAATTGTAGTACAATGGGCTGCTATTTATAGTGACTATTAAAATATCCTTCACTGCCTTTTGCTGTTAAAATGCCTAGAACCCACTTTATAATATTTTAACATGCTTAAACAGTAATATAAAATGGCATCTGCGTATGTTTTTCCTTCTTGAAAATTAATAAAAGAGTGGTTCGCTAATGACTGTGTCTGTACAGAGCAAGACAAGGCTTCCAAAAGGGGCTAACCATCTGTGTATCTACCTTCTCAGTTCTGGTGAAGAATTCTGAGATGACGGGATGAGGACAAGAGAGTTGAGAAGAGCCTGAGAAGGGTGAAATTAATTAGATATCAGGAAATCTCTGGAAGCTCCTTTGAAACCATGCTAGAAATCAATGATATTTGCTATGGGCCAGCCACTGCATCAAAGAGAAAAGAGAGAGTTAGTGTGGACTTTGCAGAAGCACAGCCACATGAAGGGTATTCCACGCAGGGATTTACATGTGCAATTCTGTAAATTTGGGCAAAAAGTCAAGTGACGATGCTATGGAGATAAGTGCTCCAGTGACACATTAAATCACTCTCTGAGAATCTGTTGATTCGGATCTAGTTTCTTTTCGTATTCCAGAATAAAGCTAGAGCAATGCTGTCCTCTTCAATCTCAATATATGTATTGCTTGAAAAACAAGGGAGAATATGAGACCTTTTGCATGTTCACACAGCAAGTACAAGAGAAAGGGGGCAACGTGGATTTTTTCTAAATCATGTTTCCCAGCTGAGGAACAGGCTGGAGCATGAGAGGAGTACAGAGCCATTACAACCGTTTAGATGGGCTTCTCGTTTCAACAGGGTCACACTATCTTCTCCGGAAAGCCCACTTTCCATGCCAAGCAACAGGAGAGGTTTTGAAGGCCAGGGATTTGTTTCTCTTCCTTGTTACCCTTCCCACCCAGGTTGTCACACCATACAAGAGGAATAAAGAATACACTGAGAAATACTGAATAGACCAAAAGTCTGACAAATAACCAAGCATTTTCATAAAAAGAAAGAGTTTGGTAATTGTCAATTTACTCTGGTTTTGCTTCCAGTTGGTTCCCTTTTCAGCTGATTAGCGCAAGTGACTATTGAGAGCATGGAAGCATCTCAGGGTTGAAGAGACAGGAGTCCCATTTTCCACTTCCTGCCCTCTTGGGTAACTCTGCTTCCTCCTGAGCAAAGAGTTAATGAAGACATTGTTGCTTTTTTTTTTTTTTTTTTTGCAAATAAGGAAAGGCAGACACTGAATGTTTATTATTCAGTATGAACATAGAGGCAAAACTAGGAGAAAAAACAGATATGAGGTTTCCAGAACTATGGAATTTTAGGCATATTATATTATCAGTTATCATTTATTGAGTACTTACTATGGACCAGCCACTGCATTAAGCATTTTACATAGTCTATTACATAGTTTAATTTTAAATTTTTATTTATTTACTTATTAGAGTCCCACTCTCACCCAGGCTGGAGTGCAGTGGCATGAAATAATAGCTCACTGCAACCTCAAACTCCTGGGCTCAGGTAATCCCCCTGCCTCAGTCTCCCAAGCAGCTGGGAATATAGGTGTGTGCCACCACACCTGGCTAAAGTTTATTACATAGTTTATTAGTCTTGACAACAGCCCTATGACATAGGTACAATTATTATCCCCATTTTACAGATGAAGAAACTGAGGCTTACAGAGGTTAGGTAACTTTAACCAAGCCTAAACAGCTAGTAAGTGGTGGAAGTGATTCAAATCTAAGACTGTGTTACTAAAAGAGCTGTGTTCTCAATCACTCTGCCACACGGTACAAGAGAGGTGTTAGCTAGAATGCCTTCAGGGGCATAATAATAATTATAGTTAATGCTGTTGTGGAAGGCTTATTATATGGTAGACCCTATTCTAAACACTCACCTATGTCAACTTTAGGCTCTGCATCTCACACTCTATAAAGAAGGTGCTATTATTGGGCGCATTTTACAGTAAGGAAAGTGAGGCACAGAGAGGTCTTAAGTTCACGGAACTAATGAATGGTGGAGCAGGGCTACAAATTCAGGCACTCTGACTCCAAAGATCATCCTCTTAGCTGCTAAGCTATGTTAAGGTAAAATGTTCGTTTCTGTGTGAGGAAGCCCAGTCCACTTCGAGAGTCAGCTTTCTTTGTTAGAAAGTTGTGCCTGCAGCTCTAATAGACTTCTCAGAAGCAAACAGAAGGGTTCAAGAGTCCAGCTGACAGCAGAGGCTCTTGCTCAATCCTTTCCCAGAATGCTTGTCTCCATTACCCTTTAACCTGCATCTTTGAACAAATTGATATATGGGGAGTTCAGCAATGGCAGATCTCAGCTGTGCCTTTAATGTTTGATATGTCTGCTAGCACACCATGTTTTTCATTGGATCTAAAGGAGATCTAATGAGAGATCATTTCCTAGTAACACATTGTCTGCTTTCAACATCACTAGGAAAGCACTTTGCTGCAAACAATCCCTATGTTGGTTTAATTGCCTTTGAAAAGGGGCACAAGAGGGAGCATCAACTCTTCAGAGTTTGGGTCTGATTTCCTGAGGTGTTCCATTTCAGAAGAGGCCCCTGACAACAGGCAGAGAATAAAAACAAGTGTGGTCTAGGGCAGACAGTGTTTTTCAAACAGTTGGCCAAATCTCTCCTGGCAGCCGGGAAGCAGCTGAATCATCAAACACTAGGCCTCTAACGAGATGGAGGCTGGGCTGTATTGAAGTGCATTCCAGACTGACTGTGAAACCCAGAGCTGCTGCTGCTTTCCCAATGCTGGCTCCCTTCCAAGGGGCTGGCCCAGCTGAGCTGCTTGTCAAAGCTTCATTTTGTCTCTTCTCTCTCTTTTTTTCCTCCTCTTTGTGATTTCCCATGTAGCATTTGCCTGCCCTTGGATAGAATATTTGGATGAATTTTGGGGTCACCTCAGGTACAGCCTCTGCTCTGCAAGCTAAAGTTCATGAACTGTGTTTACCTGTTGGAAAGTCAGAATGGCAGAGGGGAAAGGCACTAAGCTAGAGCACTCGGGGAATGGACAAGTGGACAGACATTCTTTTCTGAGAGGCAGGAATGACCTAGACATTCCGAAATTGAAAGCCAGATGTTGGGATAAAACTCTAGACTCAATTTGAATCGTAGGAGTGTTGACAACCTTGATGAAATCCTATGACTAAAACTTTCTAGAGTAGAGGGGAATTAATGGGGCCTAAGTAGGGTAACCCACCTTGAAAATAACCAGATCCCTCTATTTATATCAGAAACAAATGTTTGGACTCTTTAAGTGCCATGGTCTGAATGTTTGTGTCTCCCCCAAAATTCATATATTGAAACCTAATCCCCAACGTGGTGGTAATTGAAGGCAGAGCCTTTAGGTGGTAATTAGGTCATGAGGGCAGAGCCCTCATGAATGGGATTAGTGCCCTTATAAAAGAGGGCAGAGGGAGCTTGTTTGGCCCTTCAGCCATGTGAAGACGCAGCAAGAAAGTGCCATCCATGAAGCAGAGAGTGAGACCCCATCAGACACTGAGTCTGCTGATGCCTTGATCTGGGACTTCCCAGCCTTCAGAACTGTAAGCAATAATCTTCTCTTGTTTATAAATTACCCAGGGTAATGTATTTTGTTATAGCAGTCTATTAAACATGAAGAATAAACAATATTTTCTGTGCCTTTTATGATGACTACCTGTGGCATGTACCATCCGCATGCCTTTTTTTTTTTTTTTTTTTTTAATTTATTTTTTTATTGATAATTCTTGGGTGTTTCTCACAGAGGGGGATTTGGCAGGGTCATGGGACAATAGTGGAGGGAAGGTCAGCAGATAAACAAGTGAACAAAGGTCTCTGGTTTTCCTAGGCAGAGGACCCTGCGGCCTTCCGCAGTGTTTGTGTCCCTGATTACTTGAGATTAGGGATTGGTGATGACTCTTAACGAGCATGCTGCCTTCAAGCATCTGTTTAACAAAGCACATCTTGCACCGCCCTTAATCCATTTAACCCTGAGTGGACACAGCACATGTTTCAGAGAGCACAGGGTTGGGGGTAAGGTCACAGATCAACAGGATCCCAAGGCAGAGGAATTTTTCTTAGTGCAGAACAAAATGAAAAGTCTCCCATGTCTTCTACTTTCTACACAGACACGGCAACCATCCGATTGCTCAATCTTTTCCCCACCTTTCCCGCCTTTCTAATCCACAAAGCCGCCATTGTCATCCTGGCCCGTTCTCAATGAGCTGTTGGGTACACCTCCCAGACGGGGTGGTGGCCGGGCAGAGGGGCTCCTCACTTCCCAGTAGGGGCGGCCGGGCAGAGGCGCCCCTCACCTCCCGGACTGGGCGGCTGGCCGGGCAGGGGGGCTGACCCCCCCCCACCTCCCTCCCGGACGGAGCGGCTGGCCGGGCAGAGGGGCTCCTCACTTCCCAGTAGGGGCAGCCGGGCAGAGGCGCCCCTCACCTCCCGGACGGGGCGGCTGGCCAGGCAGGGGGGCTGACCCCCCCCCCCCCCACCTCCCTCCCGGACGGGGCGGCTGGCCGGGCGGGGGGCCGACCCCCCCACCTCCCTCCCGGACGGGGCGGCTGGCCGGGCAGAGGGGCTCCTCACTTCCCAGTAGGGGCGGCCGGGCAGAGGCGCCCCTCACCTCCCAGACGGGGCGGCTGGCCGGGCGGGGGGCTGACCCCCCCACCTCCCTCCCGGACGGCACGGCTGGCCAGGCGGGGGGCTGACCCCCCCACCTCCCTCCCAGACGGCACGGCTGGCCAGGCGGGGGGCTGACCCCCCCACCTCCCTCCCGGACGGGGCGGCTGGCCGGGCGGGGGGCTGACCCCCCCACCTCCCTCCCGGACGGCACGGCTGGCCAGGCAGGGGGCTGACCCCCCCACCTCCCTCCCGGATGGGGCGGCTGGCCTGGCGGGGGCTGACCCCCCCCCACCTCCCTCCCGGACGGGGTGGCTGCCGGGCGGAGACGCTCCTCACTTCCCAGATGGGGTGGCTGCTGGGCGGAGAGGCTCCTCACTTCTCAGACGGGGCAGCTGCCGGGCGGAGGGGCTCCTCACTTCTCAGACGGGGCGGTTGCCAGGCAGAGGGTCTCCTCACTTCTCAGACGGGGCGGCCGGGCAGAGACGCTCCTCACCTCCCAGACGGGGTCTCGGCCGGGCAGAGGCGCTCCTTACATCCCAGATGGGGCGGCGGGGCAGAGGCGCTCCCCACATCTCAGACGATGGGCGGCCGGGCAGAGACGCTCCTCACTTCCTAGATGTGATGGTGGCTGGGAAGAGGCGCTCCTCACTTCCTAGATGGGATGGCGGCCGGGCGGAGACGCTCCTCACTTTCCAGACTGGG
Source organism: Homo sapiens (assembly GCF_000001405.40). Lineage (NCBI taxonomy): Eukaryota > Metazoa > Chordata > Mammalia > Primates > Hominidae > Homo > Homo sapiens. The sequence continues at coordinate 115,348,111 of NC_000023.11, forward strand.
CAGCCAGGCAGAGGGGCTCCTCACATCCCAGACGATGGGCGGCCAGGCAGAGACACTCCTCACTTCCCAGACGGGGTGGCGGCCGGGCAGAGGCTGCAATCTCGGCACTTTGGGAGGCCAAGGCATGCGGCTGCTCCTTGCCCTCGGGCCCCGCGGGGCCCGTCCGCTCCTCCAGCCGCTGCCTCCCGGGCGGCGCTCGCCGGCGCCGCCTAACTTTAAATGAGCACAAAAATATCTATTGTTTTCCATCTCTGCTGATATGTAGATGACTATTGTTTAATTACATTTGCCCCTAATAAGGAAGGGGAAAGATCCAATGTCTTCCTGACTGACAGTGCCATGTTGGCCATTGATCTCAACTTGGAGCTGACCTCAACCTGCTCAGATAGGTTTTTCACCTAAATAAATATTGTGGAAGAGAGAAGCCTCCTTCTTCACTGTTAATAGTAAACTGCAAAAGCATGGAGGTAGGGGGAGGGAGGCTGTGTCTTGGAAAGAACCTTGAAGTTCCACAGTACTATAATCCATTGTCTGGACTCTGATGGGAAAAAGAAAAAAACTGGATTCCCTTCCCATCAGTCTTTGCCAACAGCATTCCTTTTTCAGTTTGTTTTCCCTGACCCCACCCATACTACTACTACTAATAATAACGTGTGTTTTTATAATCTCTAAAGAAGTTTCGCATACATTTATATTTGATCTATACAACTTTGGGAGGATGAAAAGAAGAGACTTGTCCCTTTTTGCAGATGAGAAAACTGAGGTCCAGAGAAATTAATTGATTTGCCCAAAGTCACACAGGAAATTAGTTGTGGAGCCAGATCTATTAGGTCATCAGTTTCCAGGGTCGTTACTTCTTTTACACACCAAACTGTGGAGTGCTGGTTCTCAAATATTCAGTTGCATCATAATCACCTGGGAAGCATTTCACAAATGCATACTTATGGACTCTACCCTCAGAGATACCACGGGTCTAGAATAGGTATCTAGAGTCTGCATTTTTAACAACGTTCCCAAGTGCTTCTAATAAACGTGGTCTCTGGGCCATACCTCGATTGGAAGTGAATCTATAGCCTTGAACTGTTCAGGAATCTCTTTTAAATCTCTATAGATAATCTGTTTATTTTAAGGTTCACATAGGAATGGAAGAAAACAACAGGGTTATCCTTAAGAGGACTGTGAGATGAGGGGGTACAGGAGAGTGGATGTTCTTTGGGAAAGGACACTTGCTACCTCAACTCTCTCTCCAAAATCCCTTTTCCACATGAAATTTGATTCAAATGAACATAAAAGGAAACCTTAAAGATAATGATATGGTGAAAACTGGCCCCTAAGACAGCTGGCCAATAGCCAAAGAAAGGGGCTTTGCAAAGATGCCATGGGAATGGCTCTAGGTCAACAGAATATATATACTTGAACTTCAGGTCTTTTTTTAACAGACAGCTGGTCGGGACTTTTTACTGTGGAGCCCAACTGCCTGGGTTTGAATCCTCTCACTGCCAATTATTATGTGTGTAACCTTGGGCAAGTTATTTAACTTTTCCATGCCTTAGTTTCTTTAACTGTGCAATGGGGATAATATTACTACATATTTCATAGGCTTGTTGTAAACATTAAATAAAATAATGCATGTACAGCATTACATGTTCTAGGCACAGCACCTAGAACAGTGGCTGGCATCTACTGAGTAGTGTTAGTGTTATTGTTAACTACAATTTTCCTGAATCATTGCTCTGCTGCAATCAATAAAGGATGGCTTGGGCCTAGAATTGGTCATTTCAATGGTTTTCATGTCTGTGCCTCAGTAACCTGTGAAACAGGTGCTCTGAAGAGCCACAGGTGGCACTATTGTGACAGTACACTAAGTCCATTTCCCAGACTAATAGATAAATCCTGACGAGCTACGGGACTTCAAATGTTTTCTGTGGCAACATCACAGAACAGAGACATTTGACCCCCAAAGACAATACTCTTCGTGTCCTCTTAAAAATTATTCAGTAGAATTTACTAAAAATCTGGTCAGTATTGGTAGAAAGCAAAGTATACATTCAAAGCACGGTGGTGCAAAGCTGTTGTTCCTCTTTCAACCTTTCCATCTCAAGACTGTTCCATAAATGACAAAAGACGATGATAAGGGGGACACCAAGGCACCGAGTCTCCTCCAAGTGTATTAGAAAGGCCCATGGGGACACAGGCCTCAGTCAACTGCACGGTATGGCATGGTAGCTGGGTATAGAAGTTATGCCCAGGAACTGTCTTCCTAGAATTTGCTGATAGGTAATATTTTGGGATTTTGACAGGGTTTCAAAGTTGATAGATTTATGGGATTCAGATCAACTGTCTGGAGACCCTAGTGTATACGGTCAGGGAATGTATGAGAAAGAGAGAGGAGGAAGGAGGGAGGGAAGACAGAGTGAGAGAAAGAAAGAGAAAGTAACAGAGACAGAGGGCCATGATGTAAACGTATATTGGGCAGAAGTCGGGATTGGGGATGGAAAGCAAGAGAAGAGAAGTTTTGAGAGGTGATGGTGAGAAGCAGGGAGGGGTCTAGACTTGAGTCTAGAATCTCCTTGAAGCTTCTGGAGCACATCATGTCTCACAAGGAAAGCGGAGTTTCATTCCAGCCTGAGTCAGCCTGCCTACCAGCGGCCTTGTTCCCTGCTGTCTTACTGTCACTCATGCTCACAGGCACATCTGCTTCAGTGCCCCAGGCCAATTCACGGTATATTCATCTGAATATTCCCGGCTCATGTGACCGCCAGCCAGCCAGCAAGGCGTCAGAGCACCAGCAAGCAGCCTAGGTTGAAGCGCAAAGGAAACACTGACAAATATAAAATACTTATAAATGTCTGGTGCCAATTACAGCCAGTTAGCCCTTAAAAAATTCAAGAGGCTGGAAGCAGTGGTATCACCATTGGAATCCAAAAGCTTGTGTCTTTGATTATGTGCATATGTGCATCTAAAGAACACACTTGCACATAGAAGTCTTTCAGTAACTGGCAATCTTCATGAAAATGATGTAAGAAGGATAAGTCCATTCCTGGTTTTCTCTTCCAGTAGGTTCAGTTACATAGTGCAAACTGTTCACAGATCAGACCATTTATCCCCTGACGAGTGTCTGTTTGGCCAGGACCCAAGTCCTGCTAGGTTGGAAGGTGATGGCGGCTGCAGAAGCTTTGGCTACTGTGCTTTTTATGCATATGCAGCTCCCACATTTTACCATTGGAATTGGAAAGTCTCTTGCAGAGTACGTTGAACTTGGAGAGATTTTTCCATGTACTTTGCAGCCTCCAAAACATCCAAGGCTTTTCTTATAATCCCAGTTCAGTTGAACTTTGACTAGCTTTTATATAGACATAGTCCAGTTTAATCACTTAAACAGAAGAACATCATGAAACATGTTTTCATTCTGACGATTTTGCACCTAACTAGGAGACAACCACCAAATAAAAAGTCTGTCAGGACTTTTTTTTTTTTACAAGACTATGAAAACTGTTTAATTCTTAGACGAATGTAGAGTTTGAATGAACTAAAGTCAGAGTTTATAGAAGGTCAGAATAGAAGGCTAGAATTAGTGGAAATAAATGCTTTTGCCTTTTGGAGACAAACAGAATAGGACAGAACTATTTATCTAGAGCCAGGTTATTCAGAATATCCAAAGAACCAAAGGATAAAGGCATATCCTTTCAGACTTCTTTGTAAGAACAATTGAGGTAACTGGCTTTGGTGATATACACCACTGTTAGCAAAATCCTCAGCAAGTTGCATGTACCAGTATGGTTTGAAAAAGTGAATAATCTATGCCTAATGTCCAGGACTTACATTTCAGATATAATGATTGCATACATTAGGCCAGTTATGATCATATGCACCAGCCCTTGTCTATAGACTTTTAAAAAAAGTTGTTGGCCGGGTGCGGTGGCTCACACTCCTAATTCCAGCACTTTGGGAGACTGAGGCGGGTGGATCACCTGAGGTCAGGAGTTCGAGACCAGCCTGGCCAACGTGGTGAAACCTTGTCTCTATTAAAAATACAAAAATTAGCAGGGCGTGGTGGCATACAGTTGTAGTCCCAGCTACTCAGGAGGGTGAGGCAGGAGAATCGCTTGAACCCCAGAGCCAGAGGTTGCAGTGAGCCGAGATCCTGCCACTGCACTCCAGCTTTGGAGACAGAGTGAGACTCTGTCTCAAAAAAAAATTTTTTTTTTTTTGTTGAGGTTTGATCTCAGGAAAGTCTTTCCTGAATTCCCCACATTCAGGAAAGAATGTGGGTGAAACGTCCAGTGATATATTTCTAAGTAATTATCTATTTAGATTTCTGTCCATCACAATACACTGTAAGGTCTTTGAAGGCAGATACCATATTCTACTTATATTTAAAATACCACTACTAACTTGCTGTATAATACAGATTAAGTACTAAATAAATATTTGTTTAACTGTTGGTAGAAGACAGGCAGTGGGACAAATGAAAATTGAGCAGGGGTGATCTAAAGTGAACATTCAAAATATGGTCCACTTTTTAGTCTTTTTTCCATGATGTGGATGAAAATCTGCATTCCTGAATCTGAGCCCATCTCTATGACAGGACCAGGATTATATAATATGAGTAAAAAGCCTGTTTTACTAAGTATCTTTCTCCTGAACTTCGTGAGTTTATTCTGTCGTTTTGCCTGAAATCTCACGATAATGAGATCCCTTTTGTAAAGTCTGAGAATCCTTGAGGATCTTTCATGTGATTTGTCTTTCATATCATAGTATGCAATTGTTGGATCAGGTTGTTCTACTTTTAACACCTAGCTGATATTGGCACAAAACAAAAACAAAAACAACAACAAACAAAAACCAAAAAAAAAAAAAAGAGTTTTGGCCAGGCACAGTGGCTCACATCTGGAATCCCGGCGCTTTGGGAGGCCAAGGCAGATGAATCACCTGAGGTCAGGAGTTCGAGACTAGCCTGACCAACATGGTGAAACTCCATCTCTACTGAAATTACAAAAATTAGCTAGGCCTGGTGGTGGGTGCCTGTAATCCCAGCTACTTGGGAGGCTGAGGCAGAAGAATTGCTTGAACCCGGGAGACAGAGGTTGCAGTGAGCCGAGACTGCACTATTACACTCCAGCATGGACAACAAGAGCGAAACTCTGTCTCAAAAAAAAAAAAAAAAATTTTTTTTTGACTAAAGAGGTGGGAGGATGAAAGATGATGCCAAAGTAAGAGAAGAGGAGTATTTTGGAGAATGGGAAAATACCTGAGAAATTCAGTCTGGGTAGCTGACTGCAGATTCAGGTCCTGGGTTGGGTAGTGGGTGGAAGTGAAGCATGGGTACAGAAAAGGATTTGGTGAAGGTCAAAGTCAAATTGAGAGTGATCAAGTTGTGGACTAGGAGAGTTAGAAGGATTATTACAGGTCCTTAATGCCAAGAGAATATGGAAGTATGGAAAGGTTAAGTGACATTTCCAAGGTCATACGGTATTTCTTGGTAGAGCTAGAAATAAAACCAACAGAACTTTGATCCTTTTACCACAAAATTAAATTCCATTTCCGTGCTTGTTAAATAGCTACATGTTCAGCACTGTGCTACATACTACTGGGAGTGAAAGTTCCATTTATGATATTTTGCCATCATGAAGTCCTCCATTTTCCTTCCTTGTAATAAAGATTTCCTGTTGTGAAGGCCAAAATATATGAGCAATACTGCCTAATTTATGCTGGGATATTGGAATTTAAAGATAGCAAGTGAAAGTCTCTGCTTTATAGCAGATTCAAATCAATAGGCGTAACAAACATAATAAAGTCAATCATAAAGAACTAATTTCTCTCTTTAGAATCAACTTTAATATCCCCTTTCTTGATTCATTTAGGCATCAAGTCATGTAGATTCTAACTTCATAATCTCTCCCAGGCCTGGCCCTGTACTCACATCACCTTCATTCTTACCTTAGACTGCATCCTTACCACCTCTCATAGGGATTGTTGCAGCCATCTCTAAAGTGGTATTCCTATATTGATTTTTTATCATCCTTCAATCAATGCACACCTATGTCAGATTAATATTCCTAAAGCACCGCTTTGCATTCCTCCATCATAACTCTGTTCAAAATTAATTTAATGTTTATTTAATATTTAATGCATTTAATGTTCCCCATTGACCAAGGATAAAGGCCAAATTCTTATGCTGACTTCATGGTCATCTCCTTTGTCATCCTTTGTAGTCATCTGTTTATGAACATATCTTATTTCTGACACTGGATTGTACATTTGTAGGGACAGGAACTCTAGCTTCTTGTCTTTCAGTTTCCATACACTAGCACCAATTAGACACTTGGTAAATGTTTCTTACTGATGATTGCTTCCTATAATATAATATCAAAATATTTTCATTTAATATTCCATTATCAAATTCACAGAAGACATTCCTGTATTTGCTAAAGGCTTGTTAGCTATTTGATTTAATCTTTGTAACCACTAATCTTCAGAAAAAATATTTCGTATTATCTATATTGTTACACATATGCACACTTTCACATGGAGTTAAGTCAAGCTTTGGCAGAGACTGACCTAATTCCTTAATATGTATCCCAAACACCTACACTGTTATGATTTGACTTGCCTCTAAGTGCTTAAGCTTAAATCTGTCTTATCGCTACTAAATATACAACCCATTCTAGCCAAGTGTACTAATAGAGAAAAAATAACTCTTCCTTCTCTTTGTGCTTTGTGTTTGTTCTTTGTACTGGTTCCCACAATGGGTATATTCCCAATGGGTCCATAGGCAGTCAACAGGAGTTTTAGCTGAAGGCAAATGATGGATTACACACACTAAGAGAAATTCCATACTTATTTTTAATGGGCTGGGAAACAAGATGTTCTGGAAAAATCATTGACTTAACAATCAGAATAACGGGGTTCTAGACTTGGTTTTACCAGGAATTAGCAGTACGATCTTAGAGTCATGTAAATACTTGTTGTCAATCTATTTCCACATCTGTTGAACATAGGACAATGGTGGTGGATTTGATTCATTCATTTCACAAATCTTCAGTGGTTGCTGAATACATGATAGGCATGGTGCAGGACACTTTATGGAATAGAAAGGTGGCTTGAGTAGAACCCAGGCATGAGCTTCTGTCCTTGAGGAGCTTATAAGTCTAGAAGGTAGACAATACATACCCAAAGGACTGAAATACAAAGCAGACAGACATGAGAACCATGAAAGAGGTCCAGAAAAAGTATGTAATGATCTCTCCGATTCCTTCAGCTTAAATATTCTATGGTTTGTCATTAATTTTTCATGAAAAAACTCTTTCCTTCCCAAAATAGAAGTGCTGTAATAATTTATTAAAGTGCTTTCTTTACTAGCATCACTTCCCGCATCAATGAGAAAGTTAGGGAGATCAAATTGAATGATTTCGACCATAATCACAAGGAGATGGAAAAAAGGGCATTTTGCAGAAAGATGTAATACCCATTAACAAGTCAGCAAAAGACAACAACAGGAACTTTTTAAATTACTTTTTTTAAAAGTACCTGTTTTGTAAAAGAATTTTGAAGACAAAAACCAATCACACGTTACTGAATCTCTATACTTCTAGCCCTCTTCAAGAGACTGCAGGAGTTGGAAACAAAGCTTAACATATGGTGCCTCTCCTCTTTCTGATTAGCATGTAGGTAGGAAGATCAGACTAAATATAGAGAGGATGATTTTAAACCAGTTTGGTATAAAATTGCATAGTGCAAATTATGGTATCATAAGAGATAAGAGAAGAGAAACATTGCAATGGAGGAACGATGTCTTTAGAATCAGTCAGATCTGGATTTAAAACTTTCTCTGCCACTTCTTGGCTATGTGACCTTGGGTTTATTGCATAAATTCACTGTAATTCAATTTTCTCAACTGTAAAATGAGGATAACTGTGTAACTTGCTATGCAGGATTGTTATGAAGATTAAATGGGCAAGTGCATGTAAAGTGACAAGCATTGCCTGGCCCATAGAGGTGTTTAATGGTCATTTGTTGATTTTGATAATTAGAGTGAGTTGGAAAACCCAAGGAAGAAGTTCAGACCCAAGGTGGGCATTTACAGATGGCAGAGAGGAGAGAGTAGAAAAATATATAAATGAAATCTACTTGTAAATTTGACTTGTAAGAAAAAAATTAAGAGAGGAATAAGCGTTATCTCATGCACTTCCACAATGTATCTGGCAATAAACTAATATTAGTAACCACCAGCTAATAGCTAGTGATAATTCACAATCTAGTACTCGTCTGGTTAGCATGTCTCTTCTCAACGTAGTCATTAAACTCATTCGTCAGGGAATCTGTAAATATCATAAAGCTATTAAAATTTGCTCCATGGATCTTAAGAGTAAAACACAAGCACAATTCATTATTTGCTAAACTCAATGAATTTGCTCTTGATCCTCTAGCAGCCCAGAATGAGTAAAAGGTTGAGAAATATTTACAAGTGGCATAATACCTCTTTCTTACGTCAACCTTTCTGAAGCTGTTGAAACTGGATAAAGTATTTAACCAGCCTTATACCTTTTTCTTTTTACATAGTTATTATGATGATGACTGGCAGACCAAAAATATTTTGGTGCTTTGGGGTGAAATGTACTAGACACAGAAGATACAAATCATCAAAAATAAAACTGGAAAGAAAGAAGCTTATCCACTGAATTCAGTTTTCAAGGAAGAAAACCAAACATCTTATTGAGACTAAGTTGTCTACTGTGTTGATGTGAACTATAGGCATGCTATTTTCTCTGAAGCGGGAGTAAACAACACTCTTGTGGTCTTTAACACACTAGAGTTGTTGTGGAAACATCACATCCCACTTTGATTCATGTACTCTGGGCTAGGAAAATGAATTTGGAAAAAACCAAAGCACTCTCTATTTAACTTTCCAATGAAACTACACTCTCTTTGTGTGTCCCCATTACTTGACTTTGAATGGAGGTAACCAAACTCTCTTCCTAAGGCTCCACAGGATTAGAAAAACTCACAGCTTCCAGGTTGTCTTAGCTTGACCCAGGCAATCACCCCTGGGATCTCAGTAAGGCATATTTCCAGAGCTTAGAAGAAAGCTTTTTTTTTTTCCTTGAGGAATTGATGGCATTTTGTAAAGGAGGAAACGAAAACTCATAAAGCATTTGCAAAGACTGAACACTTTAGAACTGAGTTCTTCTCAGAGTTCATCTTTCTGTACATAGCCAGTGCTTCTAAGAAGTGAATCTCACCTCACCACCCCTCCAACCCTGAAACTGAAAGACCTCTCTATTAGTAGTAGGGATTAGCCTCAGAGGGGTGTGTTTGTTATTAGAAGATGAAGTATAAGTCTAGCTATTTAAATCCATTATTTAAAACCTTCACAGTTGATCAGGAGTCATGCAGCAATTTTAGGGTTTAGTAATGCAAGCATCCTTAAATAGACTTGAAGCCTGAGCCATAGCCAAGAGGTATGTCATGATCCTGTGGAAGACAAATCCATTATTTCCTCCAAAAGACTTTTAAGGAAACTAAAAATAGTCAAATACATCTTACGATAAAAATAATAAGACACATTTTGAATCAACAGGTAATAAGATACAGGCACGCAAAAGATGTAATAAAATTGTTATGTCCTTCTGGTTTCTAATGTTAATAGAGGTTTTTCACAATTAAAGATACTAAGATTTTGTCTTTCTATCTGGAGATGGTTTTAACATGAAAATATGGTATATGAAATGGATAATTCATGTTGCAAGCCTGTGAATTTTATATTCCTTTCCAACTGCATGTTGTTTCTCTCCCAAGATACTGTCTCAGAGGTTTGCCAATTACAACAGTGACTCTTTTGAAAGAATGTTCATTTGAGTTCCCAGCAAAAATAATTTCAAGGAGACGTTGCCATTCAAAACATTCACAAATGAACTCCATACTTCATTACCTCAATTGCAGACAAAAATATAAAAATAATCTGACCTTTTCATTCAAAATATGTTTTTGACTGAAACAAACAAAAAATCATATTCTTCCTTAGAAAAAAGTGTCCAAGGAGGGGTAAAGGTAGACTACCTCGACTGCTAATGTGAACTTGATAGTCCTGTTTGGTTACTGACAATGACATAATACATTTTGTTCTCCATGGAACCCATTTTACTACCTCTGACCATTTGACGGTTGCTTAGGTTTGGAAGCTGTCTAATATCTGTGCCCAGGGCAAACCACTGGAGTTAAAATGTACAGAGGAAAGAGAATGTGGTTTATTGAATGCTAAACTAAAGTGAAAGTCAGCAGGCCTCAGTTCTATTTCTGGCTTCTCTTTGGACAAACCGTACCTTCCTTGACCTTGAGCAAGTCATTTACTATCACTGTATCCCAGATGGTACAATAAGACCTCATTATAAGAAAACACCAATACCACATTTTTCCATAGCGTAATTTATAAGGTAAGGAATAAATGTGAAATGGATTAATTGAAGAATTGCTTATTGGAAATGTCTCAAGCCCCACTGTCTAATGGTACTATCAAAAGTACAGCTAAAAACAAACTTCAGAACAGCAGTGGGATACATGGCTCTTTATGTCCTCAGGTGAGATCTGAGGTACAGTTATGGGGGGAAAAGAAAAGAAAGACCCAGGACAAAGATTTAGTTACTCTCCCCACTTCCCTTCCTTTTTCCTATTTCTTCCTTTCCTGATTTTATGAGAACTGCTGAATGTCTTTTGCACTGCAGACACTCATGGTAATAACACTATTGACCAGAGGAAAGTTCTACCTGAACAAAGCAAGAGAACAATAATTGAGGGTTTTATAGGTAAGAGGAAAGAAAATGGTTCATTGTCTGTACCCTTGAGTGTTATCAAAGCTTCAGAAATGGAAAATGGTATGATCTTCAGAATGTCTGTGATTTCCAAGTCTGGAATGTAACTCTTAAAAAACGTCATGTCTCAGAAATACCTCTTTAGTTATAGGATGTAAGGGAGTTGTAACGCAGAATTCCTTTTATTCAAGGATGCTCTAATAAAGAAACAAACAAAAAATCTAGGGATGCAGTTATTTTATATATTGAAGGATAGTTAGGCCAGGCGATTATTATTTCTATTCCATTTTATGGTCTTTAGTGAATTTAGTATAATAATAAAATAGAATCAGAGAATTATAGAGCTGGAAGGAGCATTAGAAATAACAGAGTCATTTTGCAGGCAAATCAGCTGAGGCACAGATATGAGTTGCCCAAGATCAACACTGGTAAATATGAAGGCTAGAAATTGAATCTTCTGAATCTTATTATAATAATAAATATTCCATTACTTAAATTTGACATCATATGACCTGACAAGTTCCTATAAATAGTAACACTTGAATTTTCCTTCTTTCTATAAGATGTCCAACTATTAAATATGAAACCAGTTACTGAGACCATAATTGACTTTAGTTGCATATTCCTTCATTTTTATTTTGGCTTTCGTTTCTCCACCAGTTATATGGTTTGGCTGTGTCCCAACCCAAATCTCATCTTGAATTGTAGTTCCCATAATCCCCACGTCGTGGGAGGGACCTGGTGGGAGGTAATTGAATCATGGGGGTGGTTACCCCCATGCTGCTATTCTTGTGATAGTGAGTGCGTTCTCACGAGATCTCATGATTTTATAAGGGGCTTTTTCACCTTCTGCTTGGCACTTCTCCTTGCTGCCGCTGTGTAAGAAGGATGTATTTGCTTCCCCTTCCACCGTAATTGTAAGTTTCCTGAGGCCTCCCCAGCCATGCTGAACTGTGAGTCAATTAAACCTCTTTCCTTTATTAATTACCCCGTCTTGGATATGTCTTTATTAGCAGCATGAGAATAGACTAATACAACCAGTAAGACATACGTTTAGTTATTATTGTTTTCATTATTATCCCCAACAGAATGAAAAGAGGAGAAAAATAAGAAGCTAAAATGTATTGTCCAACAAAGCCACATGATCGTCTACAAAAAAGTTTTAATAGGGAAGAAAATTGCTGATGATTTTTCCGCCTAAAGATAGCAGGCAAGATGAATCTCTTCCAAAGCCATATTCTACAAGAATATATCAGTGCCAGGGCCACTACTGGCACATACAGTGCCTTCTGGCAAATTATAAAATGGCATTTCCTGCAGGCAGATGAATTGGGGGGAAAAAAAGGTCCCCTGTAATCGGATCAATTACAGAGAGACACAGCTTCTGGAAATGCCTGTGCCAGTAGTATTTCCCCACCTCTACCCATGCACTCAGAGCCTCTGTGCAGGATGCAGCCTGCATAACCTTAAGCTGAGACCCTGAGCATTATTCTCTTTATCACAAATGCTGTCACTTCTGTCTGCATAGACTTCATTAGTAATAAGTTAAAATTCGGCTGTGGAAAACACATGTCTTCAGTTTCTTTGGCTTGCCTTCAATACCAACAAAGATAGGAGTCCCAAGTCTCTAGTATCCTAGCAATAAGTATGGATTTTGACATTACCAAACACATTGACCCATTCTTGTAGATCTGCAGACTGCCCTGCCCAACTTCTCTGTCCAGCCAAATCCTATTGACACTTTAAAACCTCATCTTCTCTTCCAAGCAGCCTTTGCTGACTCATTCCAATCCTCACTGATATTTCTTCCCTACATCCCTTAAGATTCATTATCTGTTGAGGATTTGGCATTTATTAATATGGCATTGAATGATATTTCACCAGAGGACCCAGTAATGCTTAAATCACCAGACTGCCCTGGAGATGACATGGCATTCCTGCCAGAGTGGTTTCAGGGCAAGGGGGAAGACAACCTGAAGACTCTAGCAGCTCTATATTGTGAACTAAGATAGACCAACAAGTAATAAAACAAGTGCTCGGCTGCCCAATGCACCTCGTACTGGCATGTGCTGCCCAGACATCCCACTTTCTTGGTGTATAGATAGCCACCCAGCCAGTGTTTCCAAAAACAGTGGATTGATCCTTCCAACTGGCTATTGTGAATGGTGATTGAAAGTATCTGCCTCTTAAGTAATGGAGGCAGCGCTTTATTTTTTTATATATATCAACTACATTACTTTCGACATGAGAAACTTCTGCAGCCTGTTTAAAAATGTGAGAAAACGCTGGGTGCAGTGGCTCACGCCTGTAATCCCAGCACTTTGGGAGGCTGAGGCTGGCAGATCACAAGGTCAGGAGTTCGAGACAAGCCTAGCCAACATGGTGAAACCCCATCTCTACTAAAAATACAAAAAATTAGCCGGGCTTGGTGGCGGGCACCTGTAATCCCAGCTACTCAGGAGGCTGAGGCAGGACAATCGTTTGAACCTTGGAGGCAGAGGTTGCAGTGAGTGGAGACCGTGCCACTGCACTCCAGCCTGGGTGACAGAGTGAGACTCTCTCTCAAAAACAAAAAAATAAAAAATAAAAATAATAAAAATGTGAGAAAAAAAATCAGGAAAGCTACAAAATTAACTGTCTTACTAATGAAGACATTTAATAATTTAGCCGATCCCCTAAAATAATTGCCACCAGATGCCCCCTTTCCTGAAATTGGTGCATGTTTGAGTAAAAAGCATAAGCATCTTCAAGTCTATCTTTTCAGCTTCAAACAGGAAAGGATGTTGAGCAAGGAGTGGCAGGAATAACAGGAATTGATGTGACTTCCTCTGATATATTATCAAATATGTATGTAGAAGTGTTTATTATTTTCTACCAGTTTGTAGATATGGTGCTAATGACTGCTCCGTTTTGAGATTGCTGTGACATAAAGCTTACCTTTTCCTGAAAAAAAAAAAAAAAAAGGCAACGATACAATAAAAAGGAGGGCAAAAGGCCATCTTACTTCTCTTTCTATCCCAAAACCCAATCCCAAATCTTAACACTCCAATCGAGAATCGGCCAAACAAGTCAAGAAATAATAGAAGAAAAATGCACACTCATAAGCTCCAATGCCCATATAGGTGTGTGTATGTGTGTGTTTGTATGTGGGGTTGAGAGGTGAAGCCAGCTGGACTTTCTGAGTCGGGTGGGAGAACTTGGAGAACTTTTCTGTCTAGCTAAATGATTGTAAACGCACCAATCAGCACTCTGTAAAAACGCAGCAATCAGCACTCTGTGTCTAGCTAAAGGTTTGTAAATGCACCAATCAGCACTCTGTAAAAACGGACCAATCAGCACTCTGTAAAATGGGCCAATCAGCAGGATGTGGGCGGGGCCAAATAAGGGAATAAAAGCTGGCAACCCGAGCCAGCAGCTGGCAACCCTCTTGGGTCGCCTTCCACGCTGTGGAAGCTTCGTTCTTTCTCTCTTCACAGTAAATCTTGCTGCTGCTCACTGTTTGGGTCTGCACTACCTTTAGGAGCTGTAACACTCACTGTGAAGGTCTGTGGCTTCACCCCTGAAGTCAGCGAGACCACGAACCCACTGGGAGGAATGAACAACTCCGGACGTGTCACCTTTAAGAGCTGTAACACTCACTGCGAAGGTCTGCGGCTTCACTCCTGAAGTCCAGCGAGACCACGAACCCACTGGAAGGAAGAAACTGTGGACACATCTGAAGGAACAAACTCCGGACACACTATCTTTAAGAACTGTAACACTCACCACGAGGGTCCGCGGCTTCATTCTTGAAGTCAGCGAGACCAAGAACCCACCCAAAGGAACCAATTCCGGACACAGGGTGGAGGAGGGGGTGAAGGTTAATGTGCAATTTCTAGATGAGAATGCCTGTGGCTTCTCTTAACCACATAAATGAACAAGCACTGGCAGAGAGACAGATGGCTTAGCTGGCCCAGAGCAGCCCCAGTGCTCTTAGGGAAGGAAAAGAGCCCCCTTCACTTCACTTCAGTTCCTCCTTTCCCCAGCAGGGTGAGCAACCCCTAAAGACCATCGTTATTTTGAGGGCTTTTGTTTAAGTATAGCACATATATTAGAATGTACTATGGTGATGGCCTATGGTGCTCTTGAATTGTTTCATAAATATTTATCCTGAATCCCCAGAAAGATTAGAAACTCATTGAGAGCCAGATCCAGTATCCATGCTGCTTCTATGTCTCAAAAGGCTTAACTGAGGCACAGAGTAAATGGTCAGTCATTATGGGTATGATTGAATGAAAAAATAAATCCTTAATTTTGAAACTCAATACAACCTGGTTTTACAGATGTGAGGATAATGATATGGCATATTCAAAGGACGTAGAAAGGAGTTAGGAACTGGCAAAAGAGTTTAAACCATCAAGAGTAGCTCCGTTGTATGAAAAAAGCATACCCCCCTCAAACCTTCTAATCATAGACTAGGCTCTGTGAGTTAATGACATTTCTTTATAAGACATGCAATGTTTTTTTTTTTTTCTGTCTGGAAGCAATACACATTCAGAAATTGAAGCAAACATCAATAGAACAAAAGCTGCTGTAGCTCAGCTGTTTGGAGAAAATCAATTCAAACAACTCATAATTTGCTGGGTGACACATCATGAAACATTAAGCTAAGTGGCGGCACCTGGCTTCAGAAGCATAATCTCTAGGACAGCTACTAATTTATTCGTGCTGAAAAGGAAAGTCTCCCCTCCCCACTCCTTTCATGTAAAGCTTATAAACCAAAATGAGAATGATATCAAAGGGCTCTAAAAAAAAGAGCTTCCCAATAGACAGTTATCTCTTTGTCAGGTTATTTCATGCAACTTCCTCAAACAAAGCAAAAGATGAGCTGTACTAAGGAAATGTTTTGAGATCTATAAGCTGTGAACAGAACTTATGAGGTTCAATATGAAAGGAAGGTATGCAGTATGGCAGGATATTAGTATAATGGAAGTCTGGTTCACAGTTTGGGAAGGTTGTCGGCAAAGGTATTTTCATTTGTTTAGTAACTGGGGTTAGTGATTAGAAAATACAAGGACTCTGAACCTTAAAAATCATCATGATCGGCTACTTACTGATGAAATGGTAAGTGGAGTTCATGCACACACACAAAGCAGGCAGGGAGGGCCTGACCTTGGGTTGACTGAGAAAGAAGGTCAATGGGAATACATCATTGGTGGTGAAACAAGGCATTAAGTCTCATGGAGAAGCTTTGGGGAGTATTCACTACCATCATTGATCATAAGTACATATTGAAGGAAGATTTACTGCATGGCCAGTTTGAGCCAGCTGAGATGAGGAAAATAGAAGAAATGGAGCCACTTTCCCCAAGTAACATATAATCTAATGAAGACAAGATTAATAATGATCATTGAATATTTACTGTGAGCCAAGTAGTGCTTTACGTAGGTTATCTTACAACATAATCCTCACAACATGCCAGTGAAGCAAGTACTGTTATTCCCTCTATTGTAAATACGAGGAGACTAAGGTCAAATAGGTTATGAATCTTGTTTAAATTCATTCATCCAGTAAGTGGCAGAGCTAACTTGAACTGTGGTCTTACTCCAGAGTCTATGCACTTAATCACTATAGTAGACCCAACTGTAAAGTGGGGATAAAAAGGGTGTCTACTACAGAGTTGATATGAGAATAAATGAGGTAACACTAACAACAGCAAGGAGAGTGCCTGGCATGGAGCCAATGTTCAAAAATGGTTGGCTATCATCATCTTTAATGTCATCAGTGTTTTCCTACCTCCTAAAAATATGAATCCTTTTTACAACAATCTTGACAGGTAGTTCCCAGCTCCTGATAATATATCTCCCCAAGGGCAGGAAGCTCAGTATTTGAGCAGGCTGCTTCCTTGTGCAACAGCTCTTGTTGTTCAGAGGAATTTTCTTTGATCAGCTGAAGTAAACTTCAGCTCTTCTGTAACTTTTGCCTATTGGCTTTAGTTCTGCCATTGAGAATAACACAGAGTAAGCTGATACCCTCTTCCACTTGACTTGACAGATTAAATATGGCAAGAACTAGAGAATCATTTACATTTTTTTAGCTGGAGAACAACAACAAAGAAAAGGGAGGCTAATGAAGCTGTGTCTGATGAGAATAAGCAGAGCTGGATTTGAGAGCAGTGAGAATGGAGACAGGGAAGCCAGTGAGAAGGATGTGGCAGTAATCCAGGTCATATGGACCAGGATGAGAGCAATGGCAACGAGGATGAAGAAGAAGTGCAGATAACAGAAACTTTTCATGTGGGAAAATGGACAGAACTTGGGGTCTGGCCAGATACTGGGGGGGGGTAAATTTTAAAAATCTCATTTATGGTCCAGAGTTTTCAAACATAGCTATTAAGAGAATTCAATTTTTTTTTTGTGGTGGGGGTGCATTTGGAGGGTGGTAAGATGATGATTTTGGATTTGAGTTGACAACCAAAAAAAAAAAAAAAAAATCCGGTAACTAGAGACAGGTGACTGGCAAGAGTTATCTGGGATAAGAGATACACATTTAAAGTCATCAGCCAGAAGGGTTGAATAGGTTAGACAAACTGTTGATGCAGGGCTTCAGATGTTAAGGTGAGAATCTGAACGTGGTCCAGAGGGTGAGGCTGGCCCCATGTGGAACTCTGAAGGAGCTAGTATTAGAAGCCTCTGGCTGCCCTCCCACTCTGTCTTTTTTTGGTGGTGTCTTTCCCTTCCATTTAGGTCTTAAATACCCTTATCTCCCTCTACTTGCCCTCTCTCTTAGTCCGTTTACACTGCTAAAATAAAATACCACAGACTGGATAATTTATAAAGAACAGAAATTTATTTCTCACAGTACTGGAGGCTGGGAGTCTAAGATCAAGGCACTGACAGGTTCCATGTCTGGTGAGGGCCTTATCTTCACTTCCAAGAGGTTGCCTTGTTGCTGCATCCTCCAGCGGGGAGCAACGCTGTGTCTTCACATGGTGGAAAAAACAGAAGAGCCAAAAAGGGGACCAAACTCCCTCTGTCGAGTCATTTTATAATGTTTTATAATCCATTCGTGAGGGCAGAGCCCTCAAGACATAAACAGCTCCCAAAAGGCCCCACCCAATTAGCAATACTGTTGCATTGAGGGTGAAGTCTTGAACACATGAATTTTCAGGGACACATTCAGATTATAGAAAGCTCCTCTTAATATTGTGATGAAGACAAAACTAATTTAAGTGGGTCAAGGTGGTTACATGGCAACAACATAAACTGGGATTCAAGAAACCTGGATTCTAAGCCGGTCATGGTGGCTCACGCCTGTAATCTGAGCACTTTGGGAGGCTGAGGCGGGAGGATTGCTTGAGGCCAGGAGTTTGAGACCAGCCTGGGCAACATGGTGAGACCCGGTCTCTAGAAAAAATACAAAAATTAGCCGGCCGTGCTGGTGCACATCTGTAGTCCCAGCTACTTGGGAGGCTGAGGTGGGAGGATCGCTTAAGCCCAGGAGGTCAAGGCTTCAGTGAGCCATGACTGCACCACTGCACTCCAGCCTGGGAAACAGAGCAAGCCTCTCTCTCAGAAAAAGAAACCTGGATTCTAGACTCAACTCTACCACTCCTCCTTTTGAATCTCAGAAGGGCCCAAATGGCCCTTACAACTAAAAATAAATCAATGTGTGTCCAACCTGCCTGTACTGAACACTGCCCCAGTTAATTGGCTCAGTGCTGCAAACCTATTTCCAGATTCTCCATTCGTTCTTAAGTGCAAAAGACACAGAAGAGCTTAGCATATACTGTTGGAAAGAAAGAAGCAGATAATATGTTTAATGGATAATCCAGAAACAATAGTCTTTGGTCTTGGACTGTAGCCTGACATAGATATCCAGACACATGCCTACTAGTACAACCATTCATTCACCTTCTCCTGAACTCAGCTGTATGGCTTACTGCTGGAGCTGGGTGAGATAAAGTGGTAGAGGAAAGCAGTTACATCAAGTAGACTTCTAATGAGGATTCCAAGAGTTATGTATTTGTTGCATACAGTTTATGTGCAAATATGTATATAACTAAGAATAAAAAGATCTGAAAGGTTATATATGGAAGAGTTGACAGCAGTTCCTTCTGGGAAAGAGACTTAGATCGGGATGCAGGGGTGAGAATGAAAGGAGACTCCCATTAACTCTAGACAGTTTGGCATGTTAATTTTCACGATGAGAATGTATTCCTATGTTACACAAGTAATATATGAAACAATGAAAATGCTTTTCATTTTTAAAAAGAGACAACTGTTTATTAAGTCTGAGAAGCTGAAAAGTTTAGAGTAGCATTTCTGGTATCACAATGATAATGACTTCATGTCTTAGGGTGCTTGGTGGACAGCACCCTCTTCTCCCTTCCATAGATCACCAGCCTTTCTAGCCTCATAGCCACCTGAGAAGCAGAATCAAGGAAAGGGGTGTTTGAAAAGAATGCAGAGAAGAAATGGAGTGTATCAAATGACATCAGGAAGGCTGGCTGGTGGACTATAGGCTCCAAAGGTTAGCCAAGCAGTGTGTCAGGCAGTAAACCAGAGGGTCCGCTTTGACCTCCTACCACCATTTGACGAGAAAACAAGAGAAAATGTGGCTGGTGTGGGTCCACTGCAGAGGTGGGGAGTTCTTTCGTGCAGTAGTGACAATGCCCTGCTTCCCCAGATCTGGCACATTTCAGAAGTTGCTGACGTGTTGATGCCTGCTAAAACACAACGTGGGAAGAAGAATGAATGTGGGCAAGCTCGGCTAGCCACTCAGAGGGAAATGATCTCATTTCTCCTGCTGGGCAACCCCCAGTTGCTGGTAAGTGGAAAAAGACAGGGTAGAATTTAAATTCCACCATTATGTTTTTTTTCTCAAAAGCCACAAGTTTACAGATGATGGCTTATATTGTCTCATGAGCTGTTTATCATAGCTATTTCCAGAAAAGGAGAAGGATTCAGAAATACTGTCTTGGCCAGAATTTCATTCCCTTGCTTCTCTTTGGGGATATTTCCATTATTTTTTTTAATATACAGGAGTGGCCTTTGGCACTTGTTATGGTCTTATGTGCTGACTGGTTGGAAGTCATGAATATTGGAGACTTTAATCCATAATCTGTCTCCCAGTGCAATTTGTCTATGAGATTCCTTTCCTGTCCTGCCAGAGGGTAGTAGAGTTATAATTCATTATCCTGTGATCTTCAACATGGCTTCTGGCACAGTGAGTAAGTTCTTTGTTCTTTTAGGACAGAACTGTCACTCATCACTAAACAGCCCTTCATTTTTTTCCCCAAACACTGACTCATAGAATCATAGATTCTCAGGGATGGAAGGAAGCCGAGAGGTCGTCTAATCCAACCCTTTACTAGTTGACTCCAGGCAGTGCCTAGACATGGTAAATTACTTCATGCCCCAAATAAGTAAAATTTAGTGAAATAAGAAGGGCGATTTGTGAGAGTCAGAGATGGAACACCTCCAAAGGGTCTCTAAAGGGATGTGTGTGCTCAAAGGTGCGATGAAGGAAAAAGGCATACTTAATAACATCTCTGTTTCTGTGAGAATGAATTAGGTGCAAATCCAAATTTGAAGCTGAGAACCTCCTAATTCTATAATAATAGTGATAATAATCATAGTAATAATAAGTCAGAACAGTTAAAATAAGTTAAGATTTTCTGAACACTCGCTATGTGTCTGACATGAATCTAATTTATTCATGTGAATTATATAATCATCAAGTCACCACTTTGGGGCTGGTATCTTCCATATTACAGATGAGGAAACTGGGGAGTTTTGGAGTGTTTTGCCCAAGGTCATATACCTAGTAAGTGTCAGAACTAATATTGGAATCCAGGAATGTCTAAGTCTTTACCACCAGGCTATATTACCCTATTATCCTCAAATAAAGACAGTTGCTATAGAAAATAGTTGCCTCCTGGATTTATCACCAGCTGCCAGGCTAGTGAGGAGGATATGTTTTATAATCTTTTCCTAGATCCCTTGAGATCTTCTCAATATAAGTCCTCATTTAAACTGAAGCAGAAACATTTCTTGCTTCTGTCCCTTCACACAAAGGATGTTTTGGTTTCAGACAAAAGCAAGAGAAATAGTTCCCCAGCTTTGAAATGTTTTAGTCATCCCGCTGGTGCATTGGAGCAGGTGATACATTTAAAGTGAAAATAATAGCCTATAGTCCTGGACAGCTGGTTTGAGAGAAATTAAAGCCCTACTCTGATCCAAAGAATAAGAACCTTTCACACAAGCTCTCTGCCCAGCTAGTCAAAATCCATAAATCTGTCAAATAGAGTGAAGTTTTTTTGTCTTAAAATGTCTCAAAGATAAGCTTTCCTATTAAGTGTGTCGTTCTTTGAATACTGCATTTTAAAAAGCTGGGTTGCTATGCTGTGGCTAAATATTTTAAAAGTGTAAGAATATCACAAAAATAAATAACTAGAATCACTTGTAAGCACTTGTAATTTAACGAAGGAGCCATGCTTTTTTTTCATATTCATACTTTACCAAATGCCTTCCCATACTTTACTTGATTTGATCGTCACAACAACCCTTTGAGATAGGCAAAACATATTTTATTTTCCCAATTCAGTGAGAAAGAAAACTGAGACACAGAGTTTAAAAGAATCACTCAAAGTTTTGTGGGGAAATGATGAAAAAGGCAAGACTAGGACTTACAAATATTTTTATCTTGCTCTATCTACATTGGATAGTTCTAGACTGACAGATGGCATGTTTATCATTTTTAAACATTATAAAATATCTCTAATGATTTTATCATCCTTCTTTGGTCTTAAATGTCTTAGTGTTAACAATGTACTTGTTCTTTGATCTTCATGGGAAATTAATAGTATATGTCAAAGCATAAGTAGATTAAGTCTGTGCTGGAATTTCCTGAATATAATTTTTGAAAATGCAATATATGGTCATTGTCTTCATTAAATGATAACACAGCAATAATATTTAATGAACTTGGAAATGTGGTTGGTTGTATGTTTAGAAAGGTGAAAATATCACACTAAATAGGCACTACATGCTGGATACTTTATGTGTGTTATTTCATTTAATGTTCTTCAATATCAAAAAAGGAAGATACCACTATAGTATAGTGGCACTATAAATTGACTGATATTGGGGCTTTTATTTTTATTTTATTTTATTTTATTTTATTTTTAAGAAGGAGTTTCACTCTTGTCACCAAGACTGGAGTGCAATGGGTGACCTCGGCTCACTACAACCTCCGCCGCCTGGGTTTAAGCGATTCTCCTGCCTCAGCCTCCCGAGTAGGTGGGATTACAGGCACCCACCACCACGCCCGGCTAATTTTTTGTATTTTTAGTAGAGACAGGGTTTCGTCACTTTGGCCTGACTGGTCTCGAACTCCTGACCTCAGGTGATCTGCCCGCCTCGGCCTCCCAAAGCGCTGGAATTACAGGCGTGAGCCACTGTGCCCAGCCCAGGACTTTTTAAATGGACTCTTAGAGATGTTGATAAACATCTCTAAAATTGACTCTTAGAGAATTAAAAATTGATTCTTAGAGATGTTAAAAACTGACTGTTAGAGATATTAAACAATATGACCAAGGTCTCATCGATATTAAGTGGTAAAGCTAGGACTCAAACTAGTGTGGTCTGACTCTGAAGTCCAGGTTTTAAACAAACGTGCATACTGCTTTGTAGTAGCTGAAGCTAAATAAATACGAGTAGTAGCTCACCTTGGGGGTTTATTATCTACCAACCATTGTGCTTATTACTTTGCCTCCTTCATCCCATTAATGTCAAAACCTACCAAGTAAGTGTTAATATTATTTCCATTTTGTAGGTGAGGAAACCGAGACTGATAATGGTAAATAATTTAAGCCACACAGCTGGAAAAGAAAGGAACCAGAATAATTACTATGCATCTCTGTATTCTGTGTGCCATTTAGGCAGTACAGCCTATGAGTATAAAAAAAGGAGTAGAGAATCACTTTGCAGCAATATTTTGAGTTGGCACGCATATGCACATACTCACATATCAAAAACTCAAGGCCCATGAGAAACATTACCCTTTTGCTCTCGAGGTTACAGACTGCTTATGAGGGAATGAGGACATTTTGATATGCTAAGAAACTCTATTGAAGACAGAAGCCATTAAATAAATCAGTGTAAGGTTAAGAACAAAACTGTCAATTGGAGCACAGTTTAATTTGCTGCTATGATGACATCGGCCAGTTCATGAACTTGAACCCTGACAGGTATAATCTTTTACCTTGTATTTGTTTTGGAAATTTTACAGAAGAAAAAATTAAAATAATGATGTGATGAATTGCTATGTAATGACACATGAGCTATGCTGTCAAAACATTTAAAAGATAAAGTATATACATACAGACAGGTATCGGTTTGGATCCTAACTCTGCTGCTTCCCAGCTGTGTGATCCTAGTCAAGATAGTGACCTTTCTGAGACTTATTTACTAGGCAATTTTTTTAAAAAAAATGGAGTCTTACTCTACCGCCCAGGTTGGAATGCAGTGGCGTTATCTCGGCTCATTGCAGCCTCTGCCTCCCAGGTTCAAGCAATCCTCCCACCTCAGCCTCCCAAGTAGCTGGCCTGACTAATTTTTGTATTGTTAGTAGAGATGGGGTTTTGCCATGTTGGCCAGGCTGGTCTCAAACTCCTGGCCTCAAGTGATCTGCCCACTTCACCTCCCAAAGGGCTGGGATTATAGGCATGAGCCACCAGTCACCTCACAGGGTTGTGCTTAACCTCACAGGGTTGTGGTGGGCCTCTAATGAGTTTAAATATGCAAAGCAGCTAGTCATGCACTTAGCACACAGCAGTAACTCAATATATATCAGTGCCATTTGCCTTCCCTTGAAAATCCCTATTGAAAATTAATCTCCATACAGCAAGGATATTTTATGATCTATAACATAAATATTTTATATGTAATAATTGCAATTAGTAGTTTCATATTATTTCACCATATCTACTTTGTTACATAGTTGTGGTTACCCCAGATCTTGTGCTTCTTAATAGTATGTGCAGAAACTCACCCACACAAAATGGATTATTTTGTGGCTGATTTAATAAGATTTGCACAAAGTTACTGCTGCATTTTAATTTGTTTATTCTGTTTTTCTTTTCATGCTACCTGGCAGGATTGTCTTAATGGCACTTAGAAAACCATACTTACATGGGAAAGTAAGTTATCCAAGCAGACACCCAGAATTGCTTGGCATACTGTATAACAACTGGCAAATTAACCTTCACACACTCTGATAATACTGCAGAATTTAAGAAGCAACTGTATCTGCCTCCATGCAGCTGTCTAGTTTGCTAATGCATGTTCCTGAAATAAAAAAAAAAAAACACTGACACACATACTGTCTTTTTCCTTTCAACAATCCAGCTACTCAGTCCTTCTTGAAGTCCATTTTCGTAAACACTTTGCTGATCAAGAAGTGTCTGAAGATGGGAAGACGGAGAAAGCTTGTATTGTTTACTGAGTATCAGAGGACACTTCCTTCAAGTGACCTAAGGCATGTGTGAGTGCTATCCTACGAGCCACATTCTAAAGGAGTGAAGTCATCACGAACACTGCCTTAGAAGAGTGAGTTAGTGCCAAAGACTATCCTCAACAGCATTTACAGACTCACTTTTCTAAAAATCCAGAGATTTTTTTTAACATATAAATCAAGAATGAACAAGGCAAATGTTCAGCAATTCACTTCCATGCATTACTCCCCTTCTCCTTGGAACTCAATTTCTTAGCCAGGTTGCTTTTTGGGGCTAAAAGAAAGGAAAACAGAGATGGAGACAGACAGGGCCAAGAAGCCAATAAAGAGATGAGCTGCACAAAGCTATAATAATCAGTAAACCTAAGCAGGAAAAAGCTGAGAGGAAGGAAAGTTACTTAAAATCAGAGAATGCGGGGAGGGAGAAAAATTGCTTAAAATTAGTTTACAGAAAAAGAAAATTAATCTCCATTTTACTGTTGAATGACCTTTAGTCTGGAATTAGAATTCTATAAAGTCTAAACAAAGAGCCACATTTAATTCCCTGGGAAACTCCAATTTTAACTTGGCTTTAATAATAAAAATTTTTGTGTGCAAATTCCGAAAGCAGCACACACAAAGAAATTAAAGAATACAAAAACCTGTCCTAGGTAATCATGGAAATCTTACGTAAAGAGAAAATGAAAATCTTTTCATGCAATTGCACTTTACTCGAAAATTCTACTAATCCTGACCTTTCAGGTTTTGTGAAGTGCCAAATGCAAATTAAATGAAAATGAAATCACAATACATTGGATTTTAGAGAAAGGAAATGGCTAATCATGAATGCTTTTTTTTTTGGCAAGAACTGTTCAGGTGAATATTATGCTTAGTAATTGTTCAGGCAAGAAAGTGGGTAGAAATAAGCTTTCTCTCCTACCATGAGGCTGGATGCATGCTTTGTTCTCTGAGGGAAAGATCTCTACACATTGAATAAAGGCGAAGTACTTACACTGGACTTTAGCGAGAGTCTGACCCACAGAATTCCTTTCCTTTGTGGGAAATAGGGGCAATTCTCAGCATGGGAAGTACACACACACACACACACACACACACACACACATACACACACACACACACACACACACACACACAGACACATCGCGCCCACTCTTTCCTTGCCTGCGCCTTTTGTCTCCAAACCTAAGGGACCACACACCATCTCCATTTTATAGGCCCCTGTTTGACACTCTTAGGCATTTCAAATTTATCCTGCCCAAGCCTATATTTAACATTCTAGATTAAAATCAGAGAATGTTAAAGCTGAAAGTTACCTTATATACACATAGGTCGGCCAGTCAGTCAGCTCTTGCAATATTAAGGCCATTTAAATAATTTAATTGGCAAATTAAATTTCCTTGCTTTTTTCGGAAAAAAAATATATTATGTAAAGTTAGGTTAGCCTCTACAAAAGTATTTGTGCTTTAGCTGTAATCTGGCCAATGATTTTAGTGATCATTTATGAAAATATATCATTCATTCTAAGTCCTGTTAGGCATTTAGAGGTGAATTGAAAATACTTATTTCTGAATTTGTTCCTCCTCTATTTCTTAGGATCACCTCTACCTCCCATGCACATTAACCTGGGAAAGAGACAGAAAAAATCAGAAAAAAAAGATGTTAGGAGAAGCTGAACAGACTGAAATTCTCCAGAATGAGAGTGAAAGGAGCTGAAATGCCTTTGAAATATTATTTCTCAGCAAACAAAAATCACAGAATAGATGCTGCAGACTTGAAAATGGATAAACACTGTTTGTGCCTACATCTTTATCTCTTTGCAATCACCTCAAGATTGAATTGTACTGTACACTATGGATGTCTAGTTGTGCTTCAGTTATAGTACATTTCCTTTGATGCCAACTTCCCTAATGTCAGGATTTTTCCCAGATTAAGAGTGAGAACTGGGATTGAGCCAAACAACAACACAGAATCCATAATCTTCAATACAGTTCAAGGTTGTTTCTAGGGATTAAAGAGTAGAAAAACACACCAATGCAATATAGGGCAAAACAAAATATAGTGATATCTCACCCTATCACCTAGCACACAGTCATATACAGAAAGGCTTATAATTTATCTTGGTAGTAAAAAATGTGTTACCTTAAGCCCTCTATAGTTAGATGATTGCGTGAAAGGTAAAAAAGCAGATTAGAAGGGATGCATCCAGGCATAAAAAAGGAATGCTGATAGTAGAAGAGGAAAATGTGAAATACCCAGGGTCCAAGCTTAGTACACTATGGTTAATTAGTGGTGAGGAGCAAGAGCTAGTTAGTCCACAGGAGTCTCAGGGATAGTGAGACCCCCATCTCTATAACAAAAAAAAATGCCTGGTGTGGTATCATGTGCGCCTGTAGTCCCAGCTACTCAAGAGGCTGAGGTGGGAGGATGGCTTGAGCCCAGGAGGTTGAGGCTGCAGTGAGCCATGATGAGCACACTACTTCACTCCAGCCTGGGTGACAGAGCAAGATTCTGTCTCAAAATAAATAAATAAATGAATAAATAAATAAACCCCAATCACTGTTTAATATACAGTGTGATAATTACATTTGTAATGTTTCTTCTGCCCCCTCAGTTATCATACTCCTCAGTGATTACCATCCTACCCTTGCAAGCTCTGCTCTCTGCTCCAAGTTTCAAGGGGGTGTATGAACTGAAATATCTTCCCTTCAATATAGCCTGTATATGCTTTAAGGCGGTCTTCCATGATCCCTTGTCCATTCAAAAATGGGTTGGGTTGTTCTTTACGTGTTCCCAGCACCCTGAGGTTTCATTCAAAGCATTTATCAAAACTGTAACTAGATCAGGTGCAGTGGCTCATGCCTGTAATCACAGTATTTTGAGAGGCCAAGGCAGGAGGATTGCTTGAGGCCGGAAGTTTGAGACCAGCACAGACAACATAGGGGATGCCCCTGTCTCTACAAAAAAAATGTTTTAATTAGCTGATCTTGGTGGTTCATGTCTGTAGTCCTAGCTACTTGGGAGGCTGAGGCAGGAGGATCATTTGAGGCCAGGAGTTTGAAGTTACAGTGAGGTATGGATTCACCACTGCACTCCAGCCTGGGTGACAAAGTGAAACCATGTCTCAAAAATAAATAAGAAAAAAAGAAGACATGAATTAAGTGAAAAAAACATAAAGGGATGGAGAAAGATATACTATGTGAACACTAATAAAAAAAAAGTGGCAGTAGTTATGTTAATCTCAGAAAGAGTCGACATCAGCTAAGGACAGTTATCAGGGATAAAGAGTGGCATTACATAACGATAAAGGTGTCAATTATCCACGAAGACATAACAACTTTTAATACGTACATGCCTAACTTTAGAACTTCAAAATACATGAGGCAAACACTGAGAGAACTTCAAGAACTTCAAAGAGAAGTAGATGAATCTACTATTATAGATGGAAACTTCATAACACCTATATATCAGAAATGGACAGATTCCAAAGGCAGAAAATCAGTAAGGACATAGTTAAACTTAGCACCATTAATCAACTAGTTATAATTGACATCTATAGACTACCTCATTCCACAACAGCAGATTACACATTATTCTGAAGCTCATGTGGAACATTCACCAAGATTGACATTCTGGATCATAAAACACACCTTAACAAACTGAAAGGAGTAGAAATCATATAATGTCTGTTCTCAGACTACAATTGTATTCACCTAGAAATCAGTAACAAAAAGATAGCTGGAAAACTTCCAAATACTTGGAGATTAAATGTTAAACTTCTAAATAACATGTGGGTCAAAAAAACTCAAGAGAAATTTGAAAAATATTTTGAACTAAATGAAAATGAAAATGCAACTTCTTGAAATTTGTGGGATTCAGCAAAAGCAGTAATTAGAGGGAAATTTGTAGCACTGAATCCATGTATTAGAAAAAAAGAAAGGTTTAATATCAGTCATCTAAGCTTATATTTTAGGAAACTAGAAAAAAAGAGATCACATTAAATCCAAAGTAAAGAGAAGAAATAAAACAGCAGAAATCAATGAAATTAAACAGAAAATTAATAGAGAAAGTAAGTGAAACCAAAAGCTGGTTTTTTCAAAAGATATTGATAAGCCTCTAGCCAGGCTGGGAAAAAATTATAAAAGACATAAATTGTTAATATGAGAAATGAAAGAGGGATATCACTGTAGATCCTGTGGACATTAAAAGGTTATACTTTATTACGAAAGGAATATAATTAACAACACTATGCCCACAAATGTAATAACCCAGATGAAATAGATCAATTCCTTAAAAGACAAAATCTGCTAAAACTCACACAAAAACAAATAGACAATCTGAATAGGCCTATATCTATTAAAGAAATCGAAACAATAAACAGAAAGCACCAAACCCAGATAGCTTCACTGGTAAATTTTACTAAACATTTAAAAAAGCCATTAAAGCAGTTCTCTACAATGTCTTCCAGAAGATAGAAGCAGGCGGAATATTTCCTAATTTATTCTATGCTGCAGCATTACCCTAATACCATAAACAAAGACATTATAGGGAAATAAAACTACAGACCATATCTGTCTTGCACATAGATGTAAAACTTCTCAACAAAGTATTAGCAAATGAAAGCCAACGATATATAAAAATAATTATATGTCACTACTGTACCAGGTATGAAAGCCTGGTTCAACATTTGAAAATCAATTAATTCCAGTTTTATTGTTTATCAGTTAAAAAGAAGAAAGAAAATCAATTAATGTAATCCATCGCATCAACATGCTAAAGAAGAAAAACCACATGATCATATCAATAGGTGCAGAAAACGCATCTGACAAAATCCAACACCCATTTGTGATAAAAACTCTCCATAAATTAGTAATAGAGGAGAAATTTTTCAACTTGATAGAGAATATCTACAAAAAATCTATAGCTAACATTATACCATTAATAAATAGTGAGAAACTTGATGCTGTGAGCACCCTAGACAAGCAAGTTGTCAGTTCTACATTTCCATCTGCCTTCAGGCTATGGGTAATGAGGGGCCCTCTCTGCTTCCATCTGGCTTTGGGAAAAAGCTTGTCACCTTTGATCAGATTAAGATTTCATCCAGTGCCTCAGTACTTGTGGGATATGCTTTGGGTTAGCCTTTTGGCCTCTGATTTGGGATATATTGGAATCTAACTCAAGCCTATAAATAGTAAACAAAGCACAAGCAGATACCACTGGAAAAAAGAGTAAAATACTGGTAGAGGGAAATTAGTATAGACTCAGAGAAATTTGTGAATTTTTCTCTTACTTTGGAATTGAACAAAATTAAAAATAAAACTCCTCTAATAAATTCAATCTCTCCCTTTGTCTCCTCTACACCACCACCCTTCCCGTCCCCACCCAATACATTCACATGTACACATGCACACATACACTCACATGTGCACGAATGAAGACAGAACTAAGCCCATTGACAGTAAGGAGAAGGAAGAATTCAGAACTAGAAATTTGTTGAAGACCCTTTGAGTGACCCTCCAACAAGCCCTAAAAGCAGTCCAATAGGCAATGGAACCCAGACCAGTCCCCCTTCCAGTTAAATTGACTAAATGTCCACAGGGTTTGCGTTTTAAGGTCAAAGCCTGTGCGTGGCCATAACCCTGCTGATTTCAATATGGCCATTTGCTCAAATCTATAGATCCCTTATTTCCCTAAGAAATTCCATCAGTTAAAAAGCCAAATACCTGGCCCTTATTAAATCCAGACCTTCATCTATATTTTCGAGGACCTGTGTGTGTCTTCTTGGGTTTAGTTTCCTAAGACCTGCTCTGACCTAAAATAGGAATAAAAATGATATAAATATGGAAAACAGTTCATTTACATATTCTGTCTCTGTAGGGTGGATGGAGATAACAATACAGCACAATTTTTTAAAGCTATTAATTCTCTAAGACAAGTGATTCAGAATTACAATTCCCTTTCTTGTCTCAAAATTTATAGTGCAAGACAATTCAACAACTGTTTATCAGGTTTATCAGGTGCCTAGCACAGTGTTCTAGTGTCTATCATGGTGTCTCAAAAGTAGTTGCTCAATTATCATTTGATTCAAACTGCTATTAGTTAATTTTGCCAGCCCAAAAGACAGATTGTTAGAAAATATCTTCATTTGGCATCTGAGGGGTTTGGAAAGAATCTGGATTCATTCCCAGAAATGAATATATCTGCTAATCAGGGTTCTGGAGTGGAAAAAAAAATGTTGAAGCTTAGGTCAGATTAAGAAATAGGTGGTTTGTTTTACTTCCTCTGACTATCCAGTGTTATTCTAATGCTGCCCCCTACTTAAATGCATAAGGAACAACATTAAAGCACTCCACTCTGTGCTTTGGTCGGATGGATGGGTCAGTAGAAAAAAAGATATGGCATAAAAATACAAAGTCTGTAGAAATGATTGACTGTAAGGGGCTTTCTTTGGGAGAAGGTTTGTAAATGTGTTATAGGAAGAAAAGGCGTGCCTGGAATCTTGTCAAAAAGACTGGCATCTTCCTCAAGGTCAATCAAGAAACCGAAGTGACTGGCATAAGATGACAATGGAAAATTATAATCTACTCAACTGCATTGGAACTTCTCTGGCATGACATAGTCATGATGAAAAATATAAAAGGAGAATGGAAATTTTAAAACGGAGAAAATAGGATTTTAAAAATGGGAATAATTTATCAGTTTTCAAAGAAGAGTAAACTCTCTCCCTTTCTGTGGGTTACTGAGAAACAATAGCCTCAACGTAGAGAAAGACATTCATTTAGCCATGCTTATTTGATAAAAATAAAAGTACAGAACTCAAGAACCCTCCTTCCCTTCATCCAAATTCTTTGCTCACCAAGCAATCTTCCCATCTATAATTTGGTTCCCTGAGTGCCCATCCAAAAGGAATGTCATGAGAAAATGACAGATGTGAATTATTCTACCAGATCCATCTGTAAATTAATAAATGACTCTGTGGTTTATATGTCAGCCTTTTACAAGTGTAGATAGTATGAAGCAGTCCCCCAAAATTGACCACTTTGGGGCTAAATAAACCAAGTTTCTGGATCTGCAAAGCTGAGGATCTGACCCTGAATCCACGAGGAACTTTCAATCAGCCTGCCCATTGAGCTTTGCTGACTTGGCACAGTAAGCATTCTTGTTACCATTCCTTAGCTGTTGCGTGGCCTGAATATCACATTTACTTTCATTAGAAATAAATGTGCAAAAAACAAGAAACTGGGAGGAAAGTAATATAGCAGAGAGGGAAAGGGCTTTAGTGTCAGAAGACCTGAATTTGGACAAGATACCAAACTCCTACCTTCCATTTTTCTCATTTGAAAATGGACTTAATAATATCTACTTCTGAAATATTTCCTTGTGAAATTAAATGATATTACATATAAAATATCTGGCAAATGGAAGGTGTTCAATAAGACATAAATTTTGTTACTACCAGGCTATGTTTATATTTTAAAAATACCTTAGACTTAACCCAAAGGCATAAGTGTCTGGTGGAGACATCTCAGACCCCAGCCAGGAAGGAAAGTGGCAAAAGAATGTGGGGGGACCCAGGACCTATCAAGGTCTTTGGAAATTGCACCCCAGGAGCTCCAAACACTAGAGCTTCTGGTTGTCCACTTAGGGAGTATGAAGTAATTAGGTAGCTATCCTAAACCCATTTAGGGAGGATGCAGTAATTAGGGAGCTGCTTCTATCATAATTTCTGTGTAGATGGGTGGTTCATTGACATAGGCTACTCCCAACACATTGTCACAAGATACCTTCTATCTTCATCCAGAGAAAGCTTGCTGGGAAATAATACAAATAATAATAGCTAACATTTGTTCAGCATTTACTTTGTGCTTTACACTGTGTTAAGAAAAGTAGTTCTCTAATTATTTTCATATGCATTTGTTTTGTCTCATCAAGAATATCCTAAGCTCCTTGAGGATTTAGTGTCTACCTCATTGCCTAGCACATTGTAGGGTGTAATGGAAGAACAAATGCTACGGATGCTGCTGCTGAACTATTAACATTTATTGATTCCTTACTATAAGCCAACCAATATGCTAACTGCTATTACATGCATTATCTCATTCACTTCTCTTAATAACCGGATGAAGTAGGTTATTATCCCCATCTTACAGATGGAGGCATTGGAGCTTGAAGGTTAGGTTGCTTGCCCAAGTTCACTCAGCTTTAAGTGGCTGAGTATGGAGTCAGTCCATGTCAGTGATTCCCAAAAACCATTCTACTACCATCCTATTATCTCCAGTCTTGGCTTTACCACTTACCTCAGGCAAGTCATTTAATGTTTTTAAAGTACACCTATGCTATGGTCTGAATGTTTGTGTATTCCTAAAAATTCAACTGTTGAAATCCTAACCCACAAGGTGATGGTATTAGGAGGTGGGGCCTATAGGAGGTGATTAGGCCATGAAGGAAGAGCTCAGGATTGAGATTAGTTCCTTTATAAGAAACCCTGGAGTGCTAGCTCACCCCTTCCACCATGTGAGGACACGGCAAATAGGCACTATCTGTGGAAAAAGAAACAGGTCCTCCCTCAACAAAGACCAAATCTGCCAATGCCTTGATATTGGACTTCCCAGCTCCAGACTGTGAGAAATACATTTATGTTGTTTATAAGCTTCCCAGTTTATGGTATTTTGTTATAGCAGCCCAAACAAACTAAGACAGCCTATGAAATTGAAATAATAATTCCCACCCTCAACAAAACAACGCATTGTGAATTCATCATTTTGACCCTGAGAATGATGAAACCCCAAATAAAGACTGGTCATTAGAAAGATCCTGTAATATCTAATTTCACAATCTGTTATGAATCCAATAAGAAATTAATATAAACCTTTTGCATTTTTATCCAATTCAATATAAATATTACTGGTAAAAAAAACAATCAGCACAGAATAAAACTGAAAAAGCTGAAGCAAAACCAACTATATTTGATAATAAAAAATTGTTGTAGATGAAAAACTAAGAATCACACCTTTTCAGTCAAAAAACTGCAAAAATTGACCTGATAAGTTAGACTTGGTAGAACTTATCAAAGAAATAGAATGGAAAATGAATAAAAACACACTAAGCAAAATATGTCATTAATTGCAAATTGAATAGGAAACAAAATTTTGCAAAATATATATTTATCAAATAGGACTAAGGCAAATTGAACTGTGTAGAAATAATTTCCATAAACATGAAACTAGGGAGAAAATATTTGTAAACAACCCATCTGACAAGGAATTGATAACCAGAATATATAAGGAGCTCAAACAACTCTATAGGAAAAAAAATCCAATAATCTGATTTAAAAAAATGGGCAAAATATTTGAGTAGACATTGCTCAAAAGAAAACATACATGTCGCAAACAGGCATATGAAAATGTGCTCAACGTCATTGATCATCAGAGAAATACAAATCAAATCTACAATGAGATATCATCTCATGCCAGTTAAAATGGCTTGTATCCAAAAGACAGAAATAACAAAGACTGCAATAACAAATGCTGGCGAGGACGTGAAGAAAAGGGAACCCTCGTACATTGTTGGAGAGAATGTAAATTAGTACAACCACTATGGAGAAAAGTTTGGAGGTTCCTCAAAAAACTAAAAATAGAGCTACCAGGTGATCCAGCAATCCCACTACTGGGTATGTATCCAAAAGAAAGGAAGTCAATATGTTGAAGAGACATCTGCACTCCTATGTTTGTTGCAGCACTGTTTCCAATAGCCCAGATTTGGAAGCAATCTAAGTGTCCCTCAACAGATGAATGGAAAAAGAATATGTGATACATATCCACAATGGAGAACTATTCAGCCATAAAAAAGAATGAGCTTCAGACATTTGCAACAACATAGATGGAACTGAAGGCCATTATGTTAAGTGAAATAAGCCAGGCACAGAAAGACAAACATCACATGTTCTCACTTATTTGAGGAATCTAAATATCAAAATAATGGAACCCATAGAGATAGAGAGTAGAAGGATGGCTACCAGAGGCCAGGAAGGGTAGTGGGAGGTTGGTGGGGAGGTGGGGATGGTAAATGGGTACAAAAAAATAAAATGAATGAACAAGGCTTAGTATTTGATAGCACAACAGGGTGACCATAGACAATAATAATTGTTCATTTCAAAATGACTAAAAGAGCATAATTGGATTATTTGTAACACAAGGGATAAATGCTTGAGGGGTGGATACCCCATTTTCCATGATGTGCTTATTTTACATTGCATGGCTAAATCAAAGCATCTCATGTACCCCATAAATATATACACCTACTATGTACTCACAACAGTTAAAGTGAAAACATTTTTAAAAGTAAAACTATATATGTACAAAATAAATTTCAATGTAACCTTTATGAAGAAACTAACTTATTTTGATAACAAATAATTTAAGCAAATTAAAAGTAAAAATGAAAAAAATATTTTCACTTCAATGCATAGGAAAATTGATAAAAGAAATATATAGGCTCAGTGGCATTCTCTCCAGAAAATACTTTAAAGAAGAAAATTCATCAATGTTGTTATAATTAAGAATCATAGCAAAATGGTTTTAAAAGTGTGGGCTCTGGAGCCACATGATCTGTGTTTGAATTCCAGCTCCATCACTTACTTAACTGTATACTTCAGCTGGTAGCTTATCCTCTCTGTACCCTGCAATGACCTTGTCTGTAAAATGGGTATAAAAATCTGTAAAATGGGTATAAAAATAGTATTCGGTTCTTGTGAGGAGTAAACAAAGTAGTGCATACAAAGCACTTAAAAGTGTGCCTGACACATACTAAGTGCTATATAAGCACTAGCTATGTACAAATCTTTCCTTTTCCATTACTTTCAGGACCCCACATCGCTTAATATTGGGTCATAATCATTGCATGACAAGGTGCTATCAAGACATTATGATATGCCTGTAATTGACAGAACTAGTGTGTTATCAATGACCAAAAATCCCATGTTTGATAAACAAGTTTTAGGTTATTTCAACTGCCAGAACTAGGTTGTTTTGCAATGATTATAAAAAAGTAAGTTGATAATTTTTCCAAAGAGTTTTCTGAGTTGCTTAAATGTAGGCTGTTTTGTTCTCTAGTGCTAGGAAGGTGGGTGGGTAGTGTCTGCAGAAAAGAGTTGGTCTTCATAAAAAATATATGTGATTTAGGCACATATATATTCAGGCTATAAAGTTGCCTTTTGGTTCAAAGATGCTGAGTCTGGGCACTTTCCTACTAGGTATTTCTGTATTGTAGTTTGATCTCTTTATTTCCAAATAGGATGTGCCTCCCTCAATAATTCATTCTAGTGTTTAAAACCCACTATATGGAGATGTTAAGGCCTGGATATGATGGGAGACGGGCAGAAACCAGAAAAAAAAAGGGCTGGCGAATATCTTCTTTTTACCACCAGTTTTTAAACATTTTATTATTATTTTTTAAAGTTCTGGGGTACATGTGCAGGATGTGCAGGTTTGTTACATAGGTAAATGCGTGTCATGGTGGTTTGCTGCATCTATCAACCCATAACCTAGATATTAAGCCCAGCATGCTTCAACTATTTTTCCTGATGCTCTTCCTGTCCCCTGCCAACCCCGACAGGCTTCAGTGTATATTGTTCCCCTCCCTGTGGCCATGTGTCCTCATTGTTCAGCTCCCACTTATAAGTAAGAACATGAGGCACCACCCGTTTTTTTTAATCCCATAATAAAAATTTTTAGATATTTCCATTTTCCCCTACTCCAGAACTATTTTTTTGCCCCTCATATATCTGTCACTGTCCCTTTTAACCTTTCCCTCTTTATTGCCCAGTTTTCAAGGCTCAGTTCGTTTTCCATCTCCTCCCTCCTCTGATTAATCAAGATACTCTCTCTTTGAATTCACATTGCATTCCTTACCTTGACCATGGAACTTTAGATTTCATTACTTGTGTTGGTCTTCATGTCATGTGTTATTTTAGTCCAGTGTTCTTAGCCACAGCTGCCCACTGAAATTAACTGAGGGGCTTTAAAAATGTTGATGCCTGGGTCCCACCTCACAAATTCTTGTTTAATTAGTCTTAGATGCAACCCAGAGATTGGGATTTTTAAAAGCTCCCCAGGTGATCTTAGTGTGTAGCCAGGATTGAGAACCACCATTTCAGTTCATCGTGAATGTAAGCTCTTTTATATTAATAAATTTTGTATTAGCATTAGCATTAGCAGCCCTCAGACTTGCTCAGATGCTGGTATACCTCGAAGTTACAGTGCTCTTTAAAGAACACTATAAAATATTGATGTATTTGACTGATTCCTGTAAATGAAGAACAATTTTAGTGGCAAATAAAGAACTATGGTTTGAATATAAAATATAAGAGCATAGCCCTGTGTACATATAACCTAGACACACTTTTGAGCTATACATGACTGGCTGATTCCCAGTTTCTCCTTAATATTCTTTGGCTTATTTTTCTGTGATCTGTAAGCATTCACTAACAGTCTCATAATAAGAGGTATCAAAGTTTTAAATAAAAATTGTAAGCCAAAAAAATCCAAAAGTGGCTAAATTCCATCTTTTTGTATTCTTTTACTTGCAAAGTAAGAAAAGCCTATTGCTACTAGATTTTAGTGTTGAAATACCTCCATTCAGCTTGCAGAACACCAAACACAATAATAACTGCTGACATTTATTAAACCCTTATTATATAGCAGATGATCTTCTTTATATACATTATTCATATTTATATGCTTTATATGTTTATGTATTATATATAAATTACCATTTTGTAATGACAGCTTTTGTTAAAAAGGAATGGATGCAATACAAATAGCATTTTATTTGGAAATTACTTGTCTGAAGCAGGTCTTTTGAATCTCTTTATAAAAGAAACTTGTATTTTATTAATAACAATGGCATGTACATGAATATGCAATTGGTAGAAGTCATACATGTAAGCTATTTATTTCCATAAAAGTTTTGGAGCCCTAGAAATAATTCCACAGTTGGCTAGCAAACTGAGACTTACAGGTTGTAAACTAAATGTTGAACTCCAAATTTGGAGTCTGTGGTATGCTGATTAATGGCCCCTAAAGATATCCAGGTCTTAATCTCTGGAATTTGTGCATGTTATATGGCAGAAGAGACTGTACAGATATAATTACATTAAAGCCCTTAAAATAGGGAAAATATCCTGGATTTTTTAGGTGAACCTCAGATGCAATCACGTGCATCCTTTAAGAGTGAAGCAGAGGGAGATTTGACACAGAAGAAAGAAGGCAATATGACAACCTTAGCAGAGAGAGAGAGATTTGAAGATGCCAAGGTATAGGTACTGTAAATGGAAGAAGGGCCCGCCCACAAAACAAAGAATGCAGATCTTTAAGCCGGAAGGCAAGAAAACAGATTCTCCCCTAGAGCTTCCAGGGAGCACAGTTCTGCCAATGCCTGAATTTCAGGCCAGTGAAGCTGATTTTGGACTTCTGGCCTCCAAAACTGCAAGAAAATAAATGTGCATTGTTTTAAGCCACAAAGTTTGTGGTAATTTGTTACAGCAGTCATAGGTAACTAATAAAAAGTCTTTCCCCACATAGATACTGTCAGGAAAAGATGAAGACCAAGATTTCACGTGTAGGCCATCACGACACTTAACAAACATAGAAGGACATATTAAAACGAAGGAAATATTGCCTGAACCTATTCCTTTGTTTTTAAATTGATGAGGTGTGCAATAGAAAACTGGGCTTATTGTTAATGTAGAAACCACTTTAGTTGAACAGTCTTTGAAGAAATTTGGCTCTTTTTTTGGATAGTGTCCCCCCAGCCTAAGATGTGCCAAACCAACCCCATCTGTGTGGTTTACATCAGAAAGCGTACTTTTTTCCCCTTTTTATTGTGTGTGTGTGTGTGTGTGTGTGTGTGTGTGTGTGTGTGTGTGTGTGTGGAGATGGGGTATCACTATGTTACCCAGGCTAGTTCAAACTCCTGGCTTCAAGTGATCCTCCTGCCTCAGCCTCCCAAAGTGTTGGGATTACAGGCATGAGCCACCATGCCCAGCCCAGAAGTGTACTTTTTTAAAGAACGTTTTGGTGAAAGATGACTGAAAGTCTTTACGTGATAGTTGAATTTTGACTTGAAATTCTTTATAAAAAAATTAAAATGTAATAAATGCATGGATTATCAGTTATTTACTTACAAATAACTTTAAGGAGCAGATAGGTTTTCAATACTTTAATGACTTAGGATGTCATCAGTAAACACCCCGTTAAGAATTTGGTGTTTTTGGTCGGGCTCGGTGGCTCACGCCTGTAATCCCAGTACTTTAGGAGGCCGAGGTGGGTGGATCACGAGGTCAGGAGTTCGAGTCCAGCCTGACCAACATGGTGAAACTCTGTCTCAACTAAAAATACAAAAATTAGCTGGGCATGGTGGTGCGCACCTGTAATCCCAGCTACTCAGGAAGCTGAGGCAGGAGAATCACTTAAACCTGAGAGTCAGAGGTTGCAGTGAGCCAAGATTACGCCACTGCACTCCAGCCTGGGCAACACAGTGAGACTCTGTCAAAAAAAAAAAAAAAGAAAAAAGAATTCGGGTTTTTCCACTAAAGATACTACATGGAGAGCATGAGAGTACACTCACATTCTGGTGATGACAGGATGGCATACTCTTTGAAGATTTGGCTTCACCTAAATTTTTTAGAAGGTAAACTCACTTTACCTAGAAGTCAACATGGATGTTGATGGGTCATTTGTAATTTAAAAAGGGGGAATTCCTATGAAGGAAACAAAAATAAAACACCATTTAATGAAACAGGTGTTCCCTTGGGAAGGGTTGTAGGGGTTGGGCTGGGGAGTGAAATTTTATGTTTCAAAAAGCTCGATCAATCTGAAAGTGACTGACTCTATAAAGGCTTCGTTTAAGGGCCACAATAGAAAAGTAATAAAAACAAACAACTATCCCTAAAAGTACAAAACCATAAATTCTGTATCGGTGGGTCTATATTTTTCAAAAGAAGCAAAAAGAAATGGGTGAATTTTTGTTTCAGAATTTGTTATTTTAATTTTGGTTTGGTTTTTAACAGTAGTATGCACCCTAGAGACTAATTATCAGCCTTTCATTTCCTGGTCACAAATTACTTTCAGCTTCATTGTTGTATTAGTATCCATTTTGTGGTGTTTACTTCTGTTTTTTAACCATGAATACACATATTGGAGTAAGGATGTGTAACTGAGGATGTAAAGCAATTTGCTACATATGCAGCCAACATTTAAGTCATTTCAAGCCATTAAAGCTTATAAAAGCAAATTATTTGCCCTTTCTGGGTCCGCTAACAATAACCTTCACCAAAGTGGTTTTAGAGGAGCATAGTTACTGAATTAGATCCTGCTGAATTAGTAAGTTTCTACTCCCCCAAACAGTATTTAGTAAGTCAGCATATCTGTAATTTTTAAATTACTGCTCTTATAAACAAAGACAGAGACAACTGGAGGCCACAACTTAATAGCTCTCTAGACAGTTGCCTATTCCAGTTCATGGGTGATATCTTAATGAGGATTCTTTACATCATGTAACTGGATATAGGAGGAAAGAGGTGACAGTAGCAGAAGGTAGTGGCAAGGTCTTTTGTTTGTGTAATAGGAAGCCTGGACTCTGTCCCTCTAGTGAGAACCCCTGAATGGCATATCTAGCTTCAGAAAAGCTGGATCATCAGTGTTGACAATCAGAAATCCTATTTACATTAATACCATCAAGCCTCTTGAGAATAAAAAACAGATTACTTTTTGACTGACAGTAAGGTTCCTGTGACAAAGAGATCAAGATCCTTAAACAAAGCAATGGGACAATAGTCACCTTTATCTTAGGAAGCATGAGAGGTAATGCCAAGAATGAGTAGTGAGCCCAGAGTAGAATAGGTTTGAGGAAGCTAGGCACTATCACAGACATTGGATTTTTTGTTGGCAGGGAGAAATGTTTTCCAATAAGACCCAAGTGGCTTTTGTTCAGATGTCTATGGTAGCGGTTGGCAAACTTTTTCTGTAAATGGTCGTATAGTAAATATGTTGGGCTTTGTGTCTCAAGAGATAAAATTGAGGATATTATGTCGGTGTTCATATAACAAGAGAGAGAACAAATTTCCACATATTCAATGTTCAGTAATAGTGATTTGAGGCCAGATTTTATTTATTCAGAAAAATTTCAATCTCAGCCCTGAGCTTAAAAAAAAAAAACTCAGTAAAAATTTACCACTGCTAAGCCATTGAACTTCAGTGTCATAGGGCAAGTCAGATATTCAGTTTCTATTTCTGACAAAAATTCACAGAACTGTCGATGGCTAAGTCCAGGAGAGAATGTGAACTTCATCACTGACGCTACTGGTATAATAACACAGTAGATGCAAATATTTTCTGCAAAGTGCCTGCTGAAGCAATGAATAACCATAGGCTTTAATTAACGCACCATCAGTAAATGACTTTCTTTGCTTGCCTAATAAATGAGCCACTTGGAAATTTACTTTTGTGGCAGCCTCACTTCCTGTGAAGAAATTCTTCTGCGATAAGGTATTCCATTTTAAATGTTCTAATTTTTCTGACCATTGCTTTCCTGTGAGTTGGGGATATTAAGAGTGCTTAGTCTGGAATTGTTGACATATACCGTATTCTTTGGATATCCTGCAGCTGTAGTGTCATTGCACAATAAACACAATGCTCTGCCATATAATTAGACAACCAAATATCCAAACTCCAGTATGTCTTAACAATACAACAATCAGAACTGGGTGTTGTGGTGTGTGCCTGCTGTCCCAGCTACTCAGAAGGCTGAGGCAGCTCACTTGAGGCCGGAAGTTTGAGCCCAGCCTGGGCAACATAGCAAGACCTCCGTCTCTTTAAAAATACGTACAACAATCAAAGTCCACGTCATTTTTCTTTGAAAGGCTGTAGAATTATAGATGTGTCACTGCAATTTATAATGCACTGAGTAACAGTGTGAAGAGATGAGAGAGCCATATTTGGTCTCTGTTGCAACTATAGTGTATAACTTTTTTTTTTTTTGAGACAGAGACTCACTCCCTCACGTAGGCTGGAGTGCAGTGGCACAATCTCGGCTCACTGCAACTTCCATCTCCCGGGTTCAAGCGATTCTCGTGCCTCAGCCTCTTGAGTAGCTGGGCTTACAGGAGCGTGCCACCATGCCCAGCTAATTTTTGTAATTTTAGTAGAGACTGGGTTTTGTAATGTTGGCCAGGCTGGTCTCAAACTCCTGACCTCAAGTGATCTGCCTGCCTTGGCCTCCCAAAGTGCTGGTATTACAGGCCTGAGCCATCATGCCCGGCCCCAAGTATAACTTTTGACTCCCCAAAATCTTAACTACTAATAGCCAGCTGTTGAGCAGAAGCCTTACTGATAACATAAACAGTCAAATAACACATATTTTGAAAGTTATATGTACTATATACTGTATTCTTACAATAAAGTAAGCTAGAAATGAGAAAATGTTATTAAGAAAATTATAAGGAAGAGAAAATATAGTACTTTACTTATCGATACCTTAAGTTTACATCATCTGTTTACAAAATAAATTGTCAAAATAGTGGGCCACCTCCCTGTGCAGACCTCAATGTATGGTGCATATCAAGCAATTCAACTTTTTCTTGTAATGTCATGGCTTTCCTCTGCTTCTTATAGGAGCACTTCCAGCACCACTAGGGGCTTTTTGTATGGATCCCATGGTGTTATTCAAGGTTTACCGTATTGCACTAAACATGAAGAAAAATAAAGAGCTCCAGGACAGGTCACTTTTTACTGCACTCCGGGATATACCAGAGAGACAACAGCTCACACAGAGATGATTTGTGTCACATGACGTTTTAAGCAGATATTCAAAATATTTAACCTCACCACAATAGCAACAGGAGGTGGCTACAAAATCATTATGTAGCACAGAATGTATTACAGTTAATTTTATGCAGTTATGATTCATGTAATAAGTTTGTTTACATTTCTTTCAAATGGTGCCAGGTATGGTCTGTGTTTGTGTGCATTCATTTTGATAAATTTTATCTTTTTATAGTAATTTGTGTATATTTTATGGTTGTAAATGGTAACATAGACTATTATTTACATATATTTCATGCATTCATGACATACATTTTTCTTAATTTTTTTGATATTTCTAAACTAGGTGGTTTATCTGTGAGTTTTTCAAATCATCACAAATGTCAAAAAATTGTTCCAATATATTTATTGAAAGAAATCCATGTAACTGTGGACCCATGCAGTCCAAACCCATGTTGTTCAAAGGTCAACTGTACTTAACTCTGCTATCATAGCACAAAAACAACCAGAAATAATGCGTAAATGAATGACTGTGGCTATGTTCCAATAAAACTTTACTTACAGGCCCTGAAATTTGAATTTTATATAATTTTCACGAGTCATGAAATATTTTTCTTTTCTTTTTTTTTTTTTGAGACAGAGTCTCACTCTATCCCCAGGCTGGAGTGCAGTAGCGCGATCTCGGCTCACTGCAACCTCTGCCTCCTGGGTTCAAGCAATTCTGCGGCAGCCTCCCGAGTAGCTGGGACTACAGGCACGTGCCAGCATGCCCAGCTAATTTTTGTATTTTTAGTAGAGATGGGGTTTCACCATGTTGGCCAGGATGGTCTCAATCTCTTGACCTCGTGATCTGCCCACCTCGGCCTCCGAAATATATTTCTTCTTTTGATTTTTCTCATCCATTAAAAAATATTAAAAACCATTCCTACCAGAAGAAAACCTAGAGAAAAAGCTTCATGATATTGGAGTTGGTAGGTTTTATTGGATAAGAGATGAAAAGCACAGGCAACAAAAGCAGAAAATAGACAAATGAAACTACAATAAATTTAAGAAAGCTTTTGTGTATCAAAGGACACAATCAACAGAATGAAATATCAACCTACAGAATGAGAGAAAATATTTGCAAATCATGTATCTGAAATGGGGTTAATATTCAGAATTTTTAAAGAACTCCTACAACTCAACAACAGAAAAACCCAAATAAGCTAATTTAAAAAATGAGCAAAGGACATGAATATACATTTCTCCAAGGATGATATACAAATGGCCAGTAAGCATATGAAAATATGTATATTGCTAATCAGTAAATAATTGCAAATCAAATGAAATATCACCTCACACCTATTAGGATGGCTGCTACCACAAAAAATCAATAAAATAAAACATGTTGACAAGAATGTGGAGAAGTTGGGACTTTTGTGCACTATTGGTAGAATTGTAAAATGGCGCAACTTCTATGGAAAACAATATGGTGGTACCTCAAAAAATCAAAAATAGAACCACCATATGATCCAGCAGGCTTACTTCTGAATATATTCACAAAAGAATTGAAAGCAGGGCCTCAGAGAGATATTTCTATACCCATGTTCATAGCAGCATTATACACAACAGCCATGTGATAGAAACTACTCAGATGTCTATGGACCAATGAATGGATAAACAAAATGTAGTATATACATACAATGGAATATTGTTCAGCCTTAAAAAAGAAGATTCTATCATATGCTACAACAGGGATGAACCTCAATGACATTATGCTTAGTGAAATAAGTCAATCAAAAAATTGCAAGTACTGCATTATTCCACTGCAAATACTGCATTATTAAGTTATCTAAAGTATTCAGTCCTCTTAGAGACAAAAAGTGGAATGGCATTTGCCCAGAGCTAGAGGAAGGGGCAAACGAAGAATTGCTATTCAATAGGTGCAAAGTTTCAGTTTTGCAAGGTGAAAGAGTTTCCAGAGATCTGTTGTGCAACAATGTTTGTATAGTTAACACTACTAAACTTTAAAAATGGTTAAGATGGGCTGGGCACAGTGGCTCATGCCTATAATCCCAGCCCTTTGGGAGGCTGAGGTGGGCGAATGGCTTGAGCCCAGGTGTTGGTGACCAGCCAGGGCAACATGGAGAAACCCTGTCTCTACAAAAAAAAAAAAAAAGCAGGGTGTTGTAGTGCATGCCTGTGGTCCCAGCTACTCAGGAGATTGAGGTGGGAGGGTCATCTGGGCTTTGGGAGTTCGAGGCTGCAGTGAGCTATGATCATGCCACTGCATTCCAGCCTGGGCGACAGAGTGAGACCCTGTCTCAAAAACAAGATAATTGTTAAGATGGTAAATTTTATTTTTTTTAACCACAAAATAAATACAAGTTAGGGAAGGGATATTATTAAAAGAACAGTCTTGAATCTACTGTAAATTAGTTTTTAAGCAAATCATTCCCAAATTTTGAGATGTAAGTATATTTAGTAAAAAATGACTTGAGTCAATGCCTCACAAGTATTAAAATTCATAGAAACAGAAAGAATATTGGTTACCAAGGGCTGGAAGAAGAGAGAAAAGGGAATTGTTTAATGGGTGTGGTGTTTCAGTTTCACAAGATGAAAAAGTTGCAGAGATCTGTTGCACACCAATGTGAATATACTTAACACTACTGAACTGTACTCCTAAACATGGTTAAGGTGGTAAATTTTATGTCATTTTTTTAACCACAATTA
Organism: Homo sapiens; assembly: GCF_000001405.40. Lineage (NCBI taxonomy): Eukaryota > Metazoa > Chordata > Mammalia > Primates > Hominidae > Homo > Homo sapiens. The sequence goes on from NC_000023.11 coordinate 115,392,944, forward strand.
AAAATAAACAAAGAAAACCTTCTTAGATTGCATGCCATACAAAAACAGACAGGGCACTGAACTTGGCGTGCAGGTTGTAGTTGCCAACTCTTCCTCTTTGGCCCAGCCTCAGGAAACTTCTCTTAGGTTCCATGCCTGAGAGTACTCTAAACTATAAGAACCACATCCACTTTTGGAGGATTCAATAAAACACCTGCAATACCAGTGGGTAGAAGTTTCTCTTTCCTCTTAGAAAAATTGGCAGTGGATGCAGTGGTGGAAAAACCAGCAGAGTTAGAATGGGAGATATTAAGGGACTGGATAATGGATGTGAGAATGTGTGGGCAATCATAGCAGAGAAGAAAGCGTGAATGGTGAGGAATTTGATAGCCTGTTTGAGGAAGAAGAGGAATATGGACATTGACAATCCACTGCTCACTTTTTACCCAGAGGATGGTGTCATTTTGGTGAGCAAGAGTTAATTCATTCAGTCACTGTGTAAACTTGGACAAGTCCATTCCTCTTACCTTATCTGTGAAAAGGAGGGTGGGAACATTCCTACTGCCCTCTCAGCTCTAAAAACCACAAGACTCTATCACCAAGCTGACAAAGTGCCAATGATTTTATCCTCTCATTTGTACAGCTTTTAAGGCAGGAGACTTTCTGTGTCTCCTATTGGGTAGATTTTATTCATTTACTCTAGCCAGTGTAGGTAAAAAACTAATTACAGTCTATGGAGTCCTGACTAACTCTATCCACAGCTGGGTCTTTTACTCAATACCTCAAGCCTCCCTTCCCCTGGGAACCTGAGGAAATAGTGCAAACAGGGAAGGGAATTAGGAACCATTGTTAACTCCAGTTTCTTTTCTTCTTTTTTATTTTTCTCGCTCTGTCGCCCAGGCTAGAGTGCAGTGGCTCGATCTTGGCTCACTGCAACCTCCACCTCCCAGGTTCAAGTGATTCTCCTGCCTCAGCTTCCTGAGTAGATGAGATTACAGGCTCCCACCACCATGCCTGGCTAATTTTTGTATTTTTTAAATAGAGACGGGGTTTCACCATGTTGGCTAGGCTGGTCTCGAACTCCTGACCTCAGGTGATCCCCCTGCCTCGGCCTCCCAAAGTGCTGGGATTACAGGCATGAGCCACCAGGCCCAGCCTTTAATTCCAGTTTCTTAGCCCCACAGCAGCTACCCCCTCCTGTTAAAAATCTCTGAAGTCTCTTCCAGTTCTTTAATAGGAATGGTTGGGGAAAGAGTCTTCTTTATGAAAAGAATGTAAATCCCAGTGCTTTTGTTTGTTTGTTTGTTTTGTTTTGTTTTGAGATGGAGTCTCACTCTGTTGCCCAGGCTGGAGTGCAGTGGCTCGATCTCAGCTCACTGCAGCCTCTGCCCCCGGGTTCGAGTGATTCTCCTGTCTCAGCCTCCCAAGTAGCTGGGATTACAGGCGTGTGCCACCACACCCAGCTAGTTTTTGTATTTTTAGTAGAGATGGGGTTTCACCTGTTGGCTAGGCTGATCTTGAACTCCTGGCCTCAAGTGATCCTTCCGCCTTGGCCTCCCAAAGTGCTGGGATTATAGGCGTGAGCCACCGCGCCTGGCCAAATCCCAGTGTTCATTTTAAAAAATCATCATTGTGTGTGACAGCGTTATCAAAAGCAACAGCAAAGTTCTTTTAGCTTTTTTTTTTTTAAATCCTCTCCTCCTTCATTAGGACTACCAAGGAAAAAGCAGGAATTTAAAGGGACTCATAACAGACCTTCCTCCTTCCAGTTGTTAACCAGGTTAATCGGATTCATTCCAGTTGTTAACTTCCTTCCTTCCAAAGAGGAAGAAGTGTCCTTTCTGTTGGCCTCTAGTGTGTTGGGGAAAGGGCCACGTGTTGGGAGGAGGGCCTTTATTAATGGGATCACTCCAGTAGCTGTCTCATTTGCTTTCCAGTTTGCAGCTGTCCCGTGATCTGATTATTTGAATCTCAGCCTCAGAACTGACTTGCCTTTGTTTCTGGTTCAAGAAAGCTCTAGTTAGAATGGGAAAGCTCAGCCACATTGTTCAAGTTAAACACATCGCAATGGCGAAACATGAACCTCAAGACTGCTGTATCGGGGTTAGAATTTTCAAAGTGAATGCCTTTGCCAGTGTTGTGCTTTTGTTTACTTCTGGGGCTGGTTGTGGTGTTAGCCTCACATTTGCTCAGCCATTTTCCTGGGGTGATTTACCATAACATTTGGTCCAATAAAAAGGAAATTAAATATCTATTGGCTACCTTTGTGCATTCATTGCCATGTTACAGTTGGAGCTATAATAATAATAATAAAATGTCTTGCAGGTGTAAGTTGTGATTAGTTATACAACACTTGCACATCATGTTCTTGTTTAACATAACAAACCCTGGGAGGTAAACAGAGTAAGAGTTTTATCCTCATTTTACTGATGATAAAACTGAGGCTCAGAAAGCTGAAGTGACTTGCCTAAGTTAGTGGTTAATTTGGAACTAAAACCTACCTGAAGATAATAGCTTTTTACAGAACATCACACTGCCTACCCTCTTTCAGAAAAGCAGAGAGGTTGCAATTTTACAAGGTTTAGACTCAGCCTGGAGGCAGGAGGAGTGGTTAAAATCATGAAACATTTTGGGAGGCCGAGGCAGGCGGATCACGAGGTCAGGAGATCAAGACCATCCTGGCTACCACAGTGAAACCCCGTCTCTACTAAAAATACAAAAAATTAGCCAGGCGTGGTGGCGGGCGCCTGTAGTCCCAGCTACTTTGGAGGCTGAGGCAGGAGAATGGTGTGAACCCGGGAGGCGGAGCTTGCAGTGAGCCAAGATAGCACCGCTGCACTCCAGCCTGGGTGACAGTGTGAGACTCCGTCGGAAAAAAACAAACAAAAAACAAAAAACAAACAAACAAAAAAATCATGAAATACTGAGGCACTGATTGGTGAAGAGCTGCTGCTTTGAGCCCTTTGAATGGATGCCAGTTGCATCAGCATGGAGGAGTCTTTCTGGGGGCTGCCCTGCTGCCTGTCTGCCAACAGGCTCCCATCCATGTGTCCAGATGACCAGAGCTGAGATAGCACCAGCTAGAGTGGAAACAGCACCCCTGGCAACAGGACCAGCACCTTAGTGTGCAAACTGTGTACTGAGCCCACAGCTGACCAGCATGCCCCTCAAGGACCTTCAGCTAGCCACTGATGAGAACTTCTGCCTCTCCAATATATCCTACTGCTTCTTAAATACTTTTAATATTATCCAAACATGTACAACTAAGTCGAAGCAACAGCAAAACTGTGAAATAGATCCCTATCATTTGTCTTTTCTCCACAGTGGGTGCCCTGCCCCTGAATGGGTGCCTGGTTCCTCAGGTTACCCCCTGCCCTAGTCTGTTAGAGGCCTTCACTTCAGAGTGATATCTGGGCTAGGTCTATTCAGGCTTTTCCTCCCTTCCTTTTACCATACCCACCTATCTAAGCTGTCAGAGCCTGACTTTTGAAAGTTTTAGTGACTAGTGACAGATAGTTGTGATGCTTAAAGATATAAAGTCTTAGCGACATCTTTACCTATGAAACTTTAGGCCCCATGGGGGATGGGACAGGATATATTTTTTGAGAGCTGGCTTTTCTGTTCTCAAGCCCTATCTTGTCATAAATATCTACAAAACTAGGTCATGGCTTACTGCAGCCTCAACCTCCTGGACTCAAGTAATCCTCCTATTTCAGCCTCCTGAATAGCTGGGACTATGGGCATATGCCACCACACCTGGCTAATTTTTAAATGTTTTGTGGAGATGGGGTTTTGCTATGCTATCCAGGATGGTCTCAAACTCCTGGTTTCAAGTGATCCTACTGCTTCGCCCTCCCAAAGTTCTGGGATGACAGATATGAGCCACTGTCTCCTGCTCTAAAATACATTTTTAATGTATGATCGCCTTCTATTCTACAGGAAAATAAGGAGCTATATTTAATACAAGAAATGTGTTTAGGAGGAGGGTATTTCTTTCAAAGGCATAACTCTGAAAATAAACATAAATGCCATATTTCGTGGTTAAGAGCACAGGCTTTCAACTCTTTTTTACAAATGGCAAGAAAATAATCCCAGCATTTTGGGATGCTGAGATGGGAGGATAGCTTGAGGCCAGGAGTTTGAAATCAGCCTGTTCAACATAGCAAGACCCTGTCTCTACAAAAACTGAAGAAAAAAAATAGGCGTGGTGGTGTGCACCTGCAGTCCAAGCTACTCTACTCAGGAGGCTAAAGTGGAAAGGATTGCTTGAGCCCAGGAGGTCAAAGCTGCAGTGTGCCATGATTGCACCACTGCACTGCAGCCTGGGTGCCTGGGTTACAGAGGAAGACACTGTTGAAAGAAAGAAAGAAAGAAAGAAAGAAAGAAAGAAAGAAAGAAAGAAAGAAAGAAAGAAAGAAAGAAAGAAAGAAAGAAGGAAGGAAAGGGGGAGGGAGGGAGGAAGGAAGAAAGGGCAAGAAAAGAGGGAGAAACTTATAGATTAAAAGAAACTTAAGAGATGACTTATCAACGAAACGCCATTATATGATGCAAACCTTTTCTGGATCATGATTCAAATAACCCAATGTGAAAAAAAAATGAGATAATTGGGGAAATATGACCATGGATTGGACAATTAATGATGTTAAGAAATAATGCATTTTAAAGGTATTATAGCTATTTTTTAAAGAGTCCATTTCTTTTGAAAATATATATTGAAATATTTACAATGAAATGACATGAAATCTTGAGTATGTGTGTGTGTGTGTGTGTGTGTGTGTGGTATATGCAACCAGTGTGTGTGTCCTATAAATAGCTTTGCAATATACAAGATGTCTACTGTTGTTTTGCAACTGAAGAGCTTGTCTAGGAAAGAGTTTGCAGTGGCAGCACAGGTGGAAACAGTAGTGAAGAATCAGACAGTTAATCCTGAGGAATAAGAAAAGCCTTGCTTCACGGGCAAAGATTTCATGATTAAAACATTAAAAGCAATTGTAACAAAAGCAAAAATGGACAAATGGAATCTAATTAAACTAAAGAGCTTCTGCACAGCAAAACAAACTACCATCAGAGTAAACAGAGAACCTGCAGAATGAGAGAAAAATTTTGCAATCTATCCATCTGACAAAGGGCTAATATCCAGATTCTACAAGGAACTTAAACAAACGTACAAGAAAAAAGCAAACAATTCCATTGAAAAGTGGGCAAACGACATGAACAGACACTTCTGAAAAGAAGACATTTATGCAGCCAGCAAACATATGAAAAAAAGCTCAACATCACTGAGCATTAGAGAAATGCAAATCAAAACCACAGTGAGACACCCTGCCATGCCAGTCAGAATAGCAATTGTTAAAAAGTCAAGAAGCAACAGATGCTGGCAAAGCTGTGGAGAAATAGGAATGCTTTTATACTGTTGGTGGGAATGTAAATTATTTCAGCCATTGTGGAAGACAGTATGGCAATTCCTCAAAGACCTAGAACCAGAATTACTATTTGACCCAGCAATCCCATTACTGGGTATATACCCAAAGGAATATACTTCATTCTATTATAAAGATATATGCACACATATGTTCATTGCAGCACTATTCATAATAGCAAAGACATGGGACCAACCCAAAGGCCCATCAGTGATAGACTGGGTAAAGAAAATGTGGTACATATACACCATGGAATACTATGCAGCCATAAAAAGAAATGAGATCATGTCCTTTGCAGGGACATGGATGGAGCTGGAAGCCATTATCCTCAGCAAAGTAATGCAGGAACAGAATACCAAACACAGCATGTTCTCACTTATAATTGGGAGCTGAACAAGGAGAACACATGGACACAGGGAGGGGAGCAACACACACTGGGGCCTGTCAGGGGTGGTGGGGAAGGGAGACCATAGGGATAAATAGCCAATGCACGTGGAGCTTAATACCTAGGCGATGGGTTGATAGGTGCAGCCAACCACCATGGCACACGTTTACCTGTGTAACAAATCTGCACGTCCTGCACATGTATCCTGGAACTTAAATTAAATTAAATTTTTAAAAACGGAAAAGCCTTGCTTCGCAGCACTAAGCCTTTAAAAGCATCCTTAGGAACAAAAGTAGCGTATTTCTTCTGTATCTGTTTTTTGTCCTCTCTCTACCACCTCCCACCCCACATTGCCCCATAGTGAATGTTAATAACCAATTAATTCTCCTCAGATTTCCTCAGAATACTGAGCGGGAAAAGTCTGGTTGCCACTGAAGCAGGAATACAGATCCCTTCCTTACATAGTCCTTATACCTGACATAGGAATGGAGAACTCTGTAGTCATACTTTAACTCTTTTAACAAACATTTACCAAATGTTCACTACATGCCAATAGTCTGCTAGACACTCACACGTTATCTCAGTGATCTGGTCCAGACCCGTTTTACATATGAGTAGACTGAGGTTTGGAGAGATTAAGCGGCTCACCCAGAATTACACACACTGCTAATGTAATCATGGGCCATCAATGCCTGTGGAGGCTCTGTGGTCTGTGAAGGGGAGAAAATTACAGAACAAAGAGGCCCTTCATGTTTAGGTTCAATACCAAGCCCATGCTGCACACAAAGGTTCAGAGCAAGTGAACAACATGGAGTCCACTGAGCTCCATTGTAAGGTAGAAGTGGACTACCAGATGGGACCTTTGCCAGCCCTGAGCCATTAAAGACTTCCTGAGCCCAGCCAATTTACCTGCTTTTCAATAAGATCTTTATTTGCCCTTCTATTCTTGTCTAAAGTTGTTGTCATTTCCTTTTCTGTCTGGCGACACTGAAAGCTGCCTTCAGGCAGTATGACCATGCTGGCCCCTTCTGCAACCCCCACCTCACCAAGAAACATATCTTAGGATTCCCTTTGTTTGACTTTTTTCTTCTTTTTTGAGCAGAAAGCATCTTATCTCTCACATTTCTAGAACTTTGGCTATTCAAATTCTTTATTGGATCCGCAAGCAGCTCAGGGTCGGGAGTAAATGGAAAGTGCTGTCCTAGCAGCTCTGGTTTCATTATTAAGCGGTTGCATTGGGAGACATATGGATTCACAGGACCAGAGCCTCTTAGAGCTGCCAAGCTCTCAGAAACTGTAGAATTGGGCCCAATCTGGGATGACTGCAACTTGGCTGCTAACAGTTCATTTGTTTGTTCGTTCATCCCTCCCTTCGTTCTTTTATTCCAGAAACACTTCTTAACTGCCTACTTGTGCCTTGCTCTCCCCGCCCAACTCAGGCGGCTGTTATCTTGAGGAAGGGGGTGAATGGACCAGTAAACAGAGGGTCACCATCCAGTGTGACTAGTTCTATGAAGGAGAGGCGGTGTCAGATAGTGGTTTAGAAAGTACAATTTAAAAATCACACAGTCCTGGTTTAAACTTCAGCCTTCATACTTATTTGTTGTGTGGTGGTGGATGAGCTATGAAACCTCCTCAGTTAATCCATAGTGGGGAGGTACCTGGTACTAGAGCAGCACAGATAGGCAGCAGAACATCTCTTTCTGACTAATGGGGATCCATAAAACCAGGAGCTAACATGGGAGAATTTTATCCTTAAAAACATCTTATCTTTGGCACGGTGGCGTGCACTTGTAATCCCAGCCACTCAGGAGGCTGAGGCAGGAGGATCTCTTGAACCAAGGAGTTGGAAGCTGCAGTGAGCTGTGATCATGTCACTGCACTCCAGCCTAGGCAAGAGGGCAAGACCTCATGTCTTTCTCTCTCTCTCTCTCTATCTCTCAGTGTGTGTGTGTGTGTGTGTGTGTGTGTGTGTGTGTGTGTGTGTGTGTGTATGTGGGCGCATATATATATATATCCTATGGCAAGGGCAGGCAACAGGCAGGTAGACGGCTGGGACAAGGGATGTTTGTTCATTGGGACGAGATGTCCACAGGGGCTCTAGTTCAGAGTCAGATCCATAATTTATAGAAGGATTTAGGGGGCAAGGCAGACTTCACTCCCAGAGGAAATATACGGCTGGCTTTATAGAATGAGAGTATAAATTAGGACTTGGAAACAACAGAACCCGGTAACCAGAATACAGGGGCCACACTAAACAGTACAGGAGCCCTGCTGACAATGCTGGGGTTGGCAGGCATGGCAGTCCTGAGAATGTGCCACTCAGATTTCTGCAGGGACAGTGACCAAGCTGCTGCTGTGCTCTGAAATCATCGCCTTGGCACTGAGGCCATGCTTCCTACGGCTGCTCCCCGTCATTGTGTGAGCACAGCAGGGAACCTAGACAGGCCTGTCCATGAGACACTGGATTCCTTTGACTGGTGACTGTCTCAAGGACTCCCTGGCAGCCTTGTTAAACTTTCCTTAGAACTACATGGTAGGCTAATACCCTCCATCCCCCACTCCTTCCTTCCTTCCTTCTTTCTCTCTCTCTCTCCTTCACTCAGGGTGAGACTTGCATTGCATTGCAATGAATGCTGGTGGCTCTCCTAGATTTTCCTAGCTCCCTCCCCATTTTCCATCATATGGATTGCCTCTAATAAATTTCTTGTGTTTTTAACCCTATCACTTTGTCTGCTTCTTGGAGAGCCTGGACTAACACAGAGGGTCACTTACAGGTGTGGTTTAAGGGACCCCAGCTTAAAGGTTAGTGAGTTGAAATAACAAAGATTTCATAGGACATTTAGTGCAACGGTTTCACATTTCATTCCATGAAGAATGTAGATTCACTGGGGAGGCCTTAGGGGCCAGCCACAATGCCACTCTCTAGGAATACAGTAATGAACAAGATGAGCAAGATACCCTTACAGATTTTGCCAGGAAAGACGGCAGAGTAAGCAAGTAATTAAGAAAATATTTCCATTAGTTTTTTAAAATTTAGAAGCTAGTAATATAGTTCAAATCCCTTACATATCTTACAAGTCTTCATGATCTAGCCCATACCTTTTTATCTCCTTTTTTTTTTTTTTGGCCATATCCTTATTACATTCCGCATAAGCTAGCCAGAAATGTTTGCAATTTCCAGAAACTTCCACCTTCCTTCTTATTCTGAGCCGTTGCCAAAGCTACCCTTCACCTACTAGCCTTAACCATATCCATCTGCCGGGCTTAATTCAGGCATCCCCTCTCTGGGAAGTTTTCCTTGAGCAACTGAAGGTGCTCCCATAGCAACCTCTACCCTGATCATAGATTTCATTAAAGGCAGGTAAATGGAAAACAATAGAAAAGCAAATGTCATGCCAGGTATGAGAAATCTATATTCCTTCTTTCCAAATCAGTTGGCTCATATTTAAGAAATACTATCTCCACCCTTTATGCTCAAGCCAAACTTGACTTTTGTTTTGTTGCAGAGACTGCCTACCCAATATCTTTTCTCCCCTGCTTCCTTACTATAATAATGTGGCCAACTAAAAAATATCTATGCTTCTTAGTCTTTCTTGCAGATAGAGACAATGAGATACAAGCAGAAGTCATAGGGTGGGGCTTCTGGGAAGCCCTTTTTGCCTTTTGACTCTCCCTTCTACCCACTGCCTGGTATTTGAATGTGATGCTTAAAGTACCACCAGGCATCTTGGGACTATGAGGGAAAGGTCAAGAGAATTACAAACAGCCCTGACATTCTTGAGCTGCTAAACCAACACCAGCAACCGCCTACCTTTGGACTTCTCATTACATGGGACAAATAAACCCTCATGTGTTTCAGCCACTGTAATCAAATTTCTTTCGCTGACAGATTAATGCATTTCAGAACTGGTCCACTTTAACAAGTTCTGCTCCCTTCTCCTTAGCTATACTCATGCCTGGAACACCTCCCTCCCCACCATCCTTTCCCCTAAATCTCCAAATCCTATCCATCATGGAAGATCCAGTTTAAATGACATTCAGTTAATGGGATCTTATTTTATCCCATCCCACACTTGATGTGCTATTTCTTCTGACTCTTATGACTCATCGTATTGCACTTTATCTGGACTTCTGTTGTGGAATATATATATTATACACATATATATGTTTATATATAAAATACATATTATACATATATTTGTGGAATATATATTATACATGTGTGTATATATACATATATATTATGTGGAATATATATGTATATACATATATGTATATACACATATATTATGTGGAATATATGTGTATATACATATATGTATATACACATATATTATGTGGAATATATATGTATACACATATATGTATATACACATACACATATACGTATATACACATACACATATACACATATATGTATATACACATACACATATACACATATATGTATATACACATACACATATATGTATATACACATACACATATACACATACACATATATGTATATGCACATACACATATACACATACACATATATGTATATGCACATACACATATACACATATATGTATATACACATACACATATACACACGTATACATACATGTATATACACACGTGTACATACATGTATATACACAGGTATACATACATGTATATACACGCGTATACATACATGTATATACACAGGTATACATACATGTATATACACATACACATATACACATACATGTATATACACATACATGTATATACACATATATGTATACACACACATATATGTATATACACATACACACATATATGTATATACACATACACACATATACATATATGTATATACACATACATGTATATACACACATATACATGTATGTATATACACATACACATACATACCTATATGCGTATACATACATATATGTACATGTGCGTATACATGCATATACATATATGTGCATATACATACATATACGTATACGTACACATACATACATATACATACGTATATGTATATGTACACATACTTACGTATATGTATATGTACATATACATACATAAACCTACATATATGTATATATACATAAACCTACATATATGTATATATACATAAACCTACATATATGTATATATACATATACATACATATATGTATATATACATATACATACATATATGTATATATACATATACATACATATATGTATATATACATATACATACATATATGTATATATACATATACATACATATATGTATATATACATATACATATACATACATATATGTATATATACATATACATACATATATGTGCATACATACATATATGTGCATATATACATATACATACGTGTGCATATACACATACACATACACAAATATATGTGCATATGTACATATACGTGCATATGTACATATACATACATGTGCATATATACACACATACATGTGCATATATACACACATACATGTGTATATACACACATACATATATGTGTATATACACACATACATATATGTGTATATACACACATACATGTATGTGTATATACACACATACATATATGTGTATACATACGCATACATACATACATATATGTGTATACATACGCATACATACATATATGTGTATACATACGTACGCATATATACATATATGTGTATACATACGCATACATACATATATGTGTATACATACGTACGCATATATACATATATGTGTATACATACGTACGCATATATACATATATGTGTATACATACGTACGCATATATACATATATGTGTATACATACGTACGCATATATACATATATGTGTATACATACGTACGCATATATACATATATGTGTATACATACGTACGCATATATACATATATGTGTATACATACGTACGCATATATACATATATGTGTATACATACGTACGCATATATACATATATGTGTATACATACGTACATATATATACATATGTGTGTACATACGTACGCATATATACATATGTGTGTACAGACGTATACATATATACATGTGTGTACATACGTATGCATATACACATATGTGTATATATGCATATACATGTATACATATATGTGTATACATATACATATATACATATGTGTATATATATGTGTGTATACATATACATACATATGTATATGTATACACATATATACATATATACGTATATACGTATATACGTATACATATATACGTATATACGTATATACGTATACGTATATACGTATATACATATATAAATATATACATATATACACACATATATACATATATACGTTTATATAATATATATGTATATATTATACATATGTATGTATACATATACGTGTATATGTATACACGTATACATATATGTATATATAATACGTACATATATATGTATAATGGCTCTTATTGGTATTGAATACATCTTTGTACTTCTCCAATAAGTTGCAGAGACACACATAGTAGACATTCAGCAAATCTTTGTTGAATTAAATATAAACTTGCAATATGAACATAACTTTACACACACACACACACACACACACACACACATTTAACCACTGACTACTGTATTTTTTGGAATGAAGTTGGGCAGAATGCAAGCAAACAAATTGATAACATATGCCTTCAAATGACATCTTCTTTAATTGATTTGGAAAATCAAATTATTCACATGACAATGGGATATTTCCTTCTGCTTATTTTTAGATTGAGCATTCTTTCATTTCAATATTTATATTTATTTAATGTCTCCACTATGAAGTCATAGTGCTATGAACGGGGCTATATTAAGATGAATGAAAGTTTGAGCTGGGAATGTTATGATCAGAGCTAAAATATGGAGGCTATCGAAGACCTAGGTGAATGTGGTGAGATCCTGAACTAAGCTGAGGGCAGGGCAAATGGAAAGGGGAAGCAAGTCTGTACTATTTGGCCCAGACTCTGAGAACAGGCACATAAATATTACTTAAAGATCTGCCATTCAAGCTCATACTAGACACCAGAATCTTATTGAATATTACATGCCCCAAAATGATGCAGATAAAGAGGGAGATAGAGCTGACAGTGTGTTTAAAGATGATGTTTCGATGAAAGATAAATGCATATTCAGAATTCTAAAAAAAAAAATCCCATGAGATAAACAGCTGAGAAGAGCTCATTAGAAAGAACGATCCTTACACAGGAAGAAAGCCTCTTTCTCTCTGCTCATAGAGCACTCTGTTCATGCCTATTATAGCCTTAATTAGATTAGATTGTAATATGTTATTTACATTTCTCCCATAACTTTGAGTACAGGAATCACATATTATCCATCTTTGTGTCCACCTAGCACTATGCCTGACACATAGTAGACACTACTCAGTAAGTGATTGCTGATTGTCATCCTTCTTGACTTGTCTGCAACATTTATAATTATTGACATTGGCCTTCTTGAAACATGCTTACTCTTTGCTTTCATGACACTGGATTCTCTTGGCTCTTCTATCTTCTCCCTAGTAAGTCATTTTCAGTTTTCTTTGCTAAGTCTTCTTTCCCGCAACTACCTTTACAAGTATTGGTATTCTTCAAGGTACTGTCCTTCCCCCTCTTCTTTTCATTTATATTAAATACCAAAAAAATTGTTAAAACTTTATCTCCATAAATATATTACTCCTTTTACATTCTTTCTACTCTTGCCTTCTGAAACTTCACTTAGATATATTTGAGACTTTTCTTAATGCAATCCTCAATGTCTTTTAGCCTCTTTCAGAATTTTATTTCATAGCTTTGTGCTTCTTACTGGGAAATACCATTTGACCTATTTTCCAACTCACGAATTGTCTTCAGCTCTCTGTTTAACCCATCCAAGGAGATTTTATTTTGTACTTAAATTATATTTTCCACTTCTCACATCCATTTTGGTCTCTTTTTTAAAAAAATCTTCCTGCTCAGTTTTCACAGTTTCTTATTTTGTAATCATCTTTAAATTCCCTTTTATTTATTTTAGCATATTGAACATCCTTATTTTCTATTCAATATTGGATCATTCTTATCTTTCTGAGCCTTTGTGGCTCTGTTTCTGCAGACTGTCATTCAAAACGGTTTGTTTCTTTGTAGATTTCATGATTTTGTTTCATTGTGAGCTCATGTTCTTTGGAATTTTATCTGTGGGAATTCTTTGAGGCCACTTAACCATTCTTCTAGCAGAAATTTTAATTTGCTACTACGGTGTGCCTAGGGGTGCTATTAACCAAGGACCACCATAAACTAACTTTTCTGAATGATGGTTTCGAAGACACAGGAATAGAATTCTGCTCCTAAAACTGCTTGAGTGTGAGTATGTGGTTGGGAATTCTCAGAGGAAATAATTTTTCCCCACACTCTTCTGCCTCATCCCTGGACAGATAAGTATCTTTTATGTAGAGATAGGGTATTTTCTAGGCCACTCACTGAGGTAGTCACTGTTAGAGGATTTTAGCTTTATGATAGACTCTCCAATCGGCTTGACTGCCTTGCGTGGGTGCCAGGCTTTACAGCCTGTTTTGGTCCTGCCACACAGTCCTTTAATACTGACTCTAGGCCACCAGGGATAAGCAGATACTTCCAAGACAAACCTTGGCTGGATTACCTTTAGAAAACCAGGCTTTATTGTCTGGCCTCTGATTGTTTTCCTTACTTATCTTCAGCTCAGCTCCACTTTAAAAACATTTTAAATATTCTATCCAGCTTTTCAGGCACTCTTTTTTTGGAAGGGTTTCCCTACACACCTATCCTATTGCCTGAAGCAGAAAATGTTCTCTTATTTAATACTATTTTCCCTGGCTAGTTTCATCCTCTTTCGACTATATTTTCTCTCTGGATGAGTCTCAAATCTACATTCTGGCCTTTTTCTTGAGGTTCAGACATGACTAACTCTCCCTGTCCCAAGTTTACTCTTTGTCCTATGCCTAATTTCTCAGTAAGGGGCACAATAATCTGCCTTATCAATCAGGCTAGAAATGTTAACATCCACTTCAGATCATTTCTGTCTCTCATACTCAGTTACCAGTTCCTGTAATTACCTACTGTGAAATTGTCTCAGGTTATCCCTTCTTTTTCATTCCCTGTGGAAACACCTTCATTCAGGCTCTTGCCCATCCCTCATCTAGACAATATCCCTAGTCACACAACTGATAGTTGACCTCTGACCTTTTCATGATTGAAGCTGCCACTGAAATTCTCCTTCGAAATCACGGATCTGATCATATCACTTGCCTGCACAAAAACCATGATTGACTTTCCATTGCCTATTAAAGAAGGAATAAAATCCTGATGTCTTTGCTTAGTGTTCAAGGTACACAGCAATGGGGTAGCGATCTTTACAGCCTTTTCATTGCGACTCCTTATTCTGTGATACATGCAATGCTCCAGTTATACTATACTTGTCACTCTGTGATTTAGCTCCTTTACCTGAAATACCCTTTCCCTCATCTCCATCTACCAAAATCCCACTTGTCATTTAAGGCTCAGTTCAATTTTTACTCCCTCCATGAGGCCTTCCCAGATATTAAATACACCTTCATCTGCACTCCCATAGCAGTTTGCCTATATCTTTTGTGGCACGTACCATATTGTTCCTTTTATTAGAGATCATTTAGATATTTCTTTTTCCTACCAGATTCTGAATCTTTGAAGGCATGAGAGGATGGCAGTTGCATATGGTGGCTCTGGGATCAAAAAGATCAGGCTCAAACCTTGATCCCATCACTAGCTGTGTGACTTTGGGCTTAACCTCTCTGAATTTCAGTTTCCTGATTTACAAAAGGCAGTATAGTAGCGTTGTAAAGTTTAAATTACCTAATTCATGTAAAGACTTTAGCGCAGTGCTTGGCACAGAGTAACTGTTCAATACGTATTCACTATTATTATTAAAGATAAGTGGTACAGCTTGTTCATCTTTCTGTCTTCAGCAGTTCCTCGAGCTTCATCTCTTCCTGCACCCCTCTTCTCCTTCCAGGGCTTAGCCCAGAACCTTGCACAGACTAAGTAATTGCTAAATTCTTCTGGAGCAAATGCTGAAAACATCAGACAGTTTTTATATAAAACATTTAATTCAGTCTGAGTAGGAACAGTTCATGTTTGTATGAGACACCAACAAACGAATGCTTATGGGATGTCCCTGCAAGATATATCAATGGAACATCCTGTCTGAGCACCAAAGAGCAGCCCCTTTCAGTATTGTCTGAACAAGCTGGCCTTACTAGGAGTGGTGAAAGAGAAGGGGGAGGTTTCATATCCTAAGGAAGTGTTTGGAACTTAATGAGAAGTGTAGGCTGAGAAAATGACCCTGCTCTTTGAAAATCAAATGCAGCTACTGAATGTGAGGCTTACACACAGCCAAGGCCATGTATGAGCAACAGGGGCCAGAGTTTTGCAAAATCTTTTTCCTGGCCTGTGGTGAATTTTGAATCAAACCCACTCAGCATTTTGCTCTCTATAGACACAGCACATTTTTTCTCTAAATCCTCACTCTCAGCATGCTTACTAGCCAACATTCCTGATAAAAACCAATGAAACCAAATGAATTATTTCGGGTGAGATATGAAGTTGGTCTTCCCCCCATGTCTTGCTCCAGTACCACAACTGTTTATGCTACACTTTACATTCCTTGAAACTACCAATATTCCAAAGTTATCTTCCTCAGATTCCATAGTTTTTTCTGTTCTAGAAAAACAAAAACACCACATTTTATGACATACCTGTTCTAATGTTATCAGTAAGATTCTCATAAAGGTGAAAGGTTTTCAAGTCCAAATTTTGTTTTTTTAACTCTTCCTGAATTATATCTTGCATAGCTGCAAATCCATCAAAATGCTCAAACGATTCTATATATGTTTCCAAGTTTACTTATGAATTTGAGAACAGTTTAGACTTTTGCTGCTTTAAGCTAACTATTTTAGGAATGTGGAGCTTTATCATTCAGAGATGATAAAAATGGAATTTTCCTTTAGCCTCACAGCACACACAACTCAATGGTATTTCTGAAATCTGATTGTTTCCCCTTGGGTAAAGAGTATGGAACAGCTCTATTACATGATATACTCCAGGTGACCCTCCACACCACACTCTCCCTGACAAGAAATTCAATTAAAAGGCTTTGTTTTTGAAACCAAAGATTATATACATGGCTGCCTGGCTGATCTTTATTTGTACATGTAACTCTTGATTCCTAACCTGTCCCTTCCATTGGAAAAATCAGTGGCCCAGGATATATATAGTAAATGTCATTCAGTTCTATCTCCTAAATAGTTTTTCTTTGATAGTATCTGCTCTCTCTTCCTCAATATTGATCTCGCCCTCAGTTAGCTGTCAATTAATCACTGACAAGGTCTTGGCTGATAAGGCTTAAGCCATGAGTTTCTAAGAGTTGTGTGTGCATGCATTGTGTGTGTGTCTGTGTGTGTGTGTGTGAGAGAGAGAGAGAGAGAGGAAAATAAGGAGAGGAGAGTCAAGAGTCAGAAGAAAGGAAGGGAGAACCCAGAAAGTAGAAAATAGTGAGGCATGACAGAAGCAACCAGCATGAAGACCTAGAAAGTGAAGCCAGGGTATTGTTTTCTGGCTAGGAATTCCTAGCCTAAGGCGTTACCAATCTGAGTTAATGAAAATCTTCTTTAATACCCAACCAGTTTTATTACTTGAAAGTTTTCATGGCAGAACTTTAGGCACCTTGGCAATTCCGGGGGAAGATAGTTTGGAGATGGCCTTATAATTCAGAGTGATCTTCTCAGTGGTGTAATCTGTGTGGTGCAAAGCAGAATCCCTGACTCCGGTCACTACTCAGACCTTATTGAATCTGCGAGGCGAAGAGTGGGAAACTGTTTCTTGTCATACTTTATGGCCCAGACAAGGCAATATGAGTTTATTTTGCTTCAGGGGTTGAAGTTTTTGGAGCCCTCCTTTTCCTATTTCAGTTCCACTAACTCTAATGCTATTGAAGAGGTAGAAGGTGAGGCACATACAAATCTAGTTTGACACCCACAAGTAAGCTACCTAGTGTCAATTGAAGAATGATGAAGTTCACAAATTTGGAAAAGAGAGCTTTATTTCTCATAAAGGGTTGTAGCCTGCAGGGTGGCCATTCTGACAGGCTGGGAAGCAGAGCCTCCTGCCAGAAGCTAGAAACAGATGCTTTAAGGGAGGAGCAAAAGGAACAGGAATTTATGCTGAGCAGGGTGGCTGAATATACATATTCAATAAGCTATAGGAGGAGTCATGAATATTTATGAAAGGAGAACTGCACATATATAACTGAGCTTCATGCCCCTTCATGGGTCCTGTGTACAAAAAAATGGTGGTGTTAGCATGATCTGAGGGTAGAGTTTTTGGCTTTCTGACATCAAAAGGTGAAGTGGGAGACATGAAAACCCTTGCTGCACATCCTTCATAGACTGGTCAGACCACTCCGTGGTCAGTGCTCTCTTACGCAAAAAAAGGAGGGTCAGCATCAGGAGGTTGGTTCATATCAGTGGTACAGTCTTTTGAAAAGGCTGGTTACCGTTAAACCCTTAGGGAAGAAAGTCTAATTGTGGTTAGGGAGGGAGGGAGGGAGGGAGAATAATGAGGCATATCTGACTCCCCATTCCGTCATGGCTAAGAATTCACTTTCTTTCTCTCTCTCGCTCTCTCTCTCTCCCTTTTCTCTTTATTTTATCTCTCTTTCTTCTTTCTGTTTTCTTTTTTCTTCTTTCTTTCTCTCTCTCTTTCTTTCTTTTTCTTCCTTTCTTTCTTTCTTTTTCTTCCTTTCTTCTTTTTTGTTGAGTCAGTATCTTGCTCCCAGACTGGAGTGCAGTGGTGCAATAATGGCTTGCTGCAGCCTCAACCTCCTGGGCTCAAACAATCCTCCTCCCTCAGCCTCCCAAAGTGCTAGGATTACAGATGAGAGCCACTGTGCTTATCCAGCATTAGAACTCACTTTTCAAGGTTACTCTGGAATCCTATTGGCTGAGAGATGGCCAATTCAGTCAGTTTGGGTACTTAGAATTTTAGTTTACACTAGGAATAATTGGCCATACAAGCTCCTCCAGAAAAGCAGCCAGATCTTTTATATTGTGCTTGTATGAGGCCTGACCTCATTTCCAAGTCTCCCCTGGAGGAACCCTTGTGAGGTAGGTGAGTCTTTTGGTTGCTCCCCTGTTGTCTTCCTCTGGGATTTCCCAACCCCAGCTGCTTACTTCATTCCCTCAGGGCCTTGGTTTCATTCAGTCTACTATAAAAGCACCTTTACTTCAGGTATCAGGCCTGCCCATGATAAGGCTTTGTTATTATAATGTTCATCCTCATGTAGTTTTTCATTTTGCAGGACAGACACAAATATACGGCAAGGTGGGCCTTTCCAAACAGCTTAATCAGGACCTCTTGAAGACAGAAAATCTTTCAAAAATGTAAGTGTTTATTTTCTGCTCCTGCCTGCTGTTTCTATTATGTCTCCACAGGAATATTGTTGATCTTCAATGGTGTATTTTGGTGAATGTAATATGTGATGGGGAGGGGGAGCAGAGCCTCCCTTAAAATCCTTCAGTCAAGCAACCTAGACATTATCTAGGCAGTGAATAATTGTTCCATCTCTTCGGAAGCCCAGCCACATCCACAATTAAGAAAAGGAAAGCATCATGCTTGCCTTAGTTCACACTACTATAACAAAATGCCATAAACTGGATGGCTTACACACAAAAGAAATGTATTTCTCATATTTCTGGAGTCTGGGGAGTCCAAGATCAAAGAATTGATAGATGTGGTGTCTGGAGAGGGCCTGCCCTCTGGTTTGTAGATGGCACCTTCTCGCTGTGTCCTCACGTGCTGAAGGACGAAAGGCAGTTCTCTGGGGTTGTCTTTTATAAGTGCACTAATCCCATTCATGAGGGCTCTCTTCTCATGACCTAATAATCTCCCAAAGGCTCCATCTCCTAACACCATCACATTGGTGATTGGGCTTCAACATATGACTGTGGTGGGGATACGTATAGTCAGACCGTAGCAGTGCTATAGCACTGGTTCTCACCTTGCCTGTATGTTATAACCATTGGAGATACTTTAAAAACACTGATGGGTCTTGCGTGAAGCTTGAGCACCCAGATTGTTTGAAGCTCCCCAGGTGAGTATAATATATAGCCAGGCCTGAGAGCTACTTTGTTACAGTGTGAAGTTCTTGCTGACAAATGGCATCCTATGTCATATCAGAGTTTGATTGAATTTTCCTCTGTCAACAATCATCTTCTTTGAAAAAACAGGTGAGGGCCAAAAATGGTGCTCAATATTTACCAACCTGAATCCTGATACTAACCCTTCTTCTTGTTGAATCTTAACTAGCAGTATTGGTAATATTCGCTTTTATTCTCTAGCAATTAATTATTAGAATTGGGTATATTTTGGGAGACAACATCCTTGCTGCCTGGGACTGAGGAGTTTCCTAGGATGTAGAATTTTGGTTTTTAAACTAGACTGTGCCAGAAAAACTGGGATGAATAGGCTACCCTAGATACATATGAGAAGAGGACATAAACCATACAGTTATTTGTGCAGTCACATTCTAAGGATTACAAATTGGGAGAATGTGCAACATGGAGGCAATGCTTTTTGCAGAAATCTACCACTTTCTATGGACAAGTGAAATCATTCAGTTTGATTTACTTGGCACAGTTCTACAAAGGAAAAGTTCGCAGTTACAATGGCTCATAAATAGCAAAAACAAACAAAACAGAACCACCAACGTTCCACATTCACTTCTTGACCTGGACTTGTGTAGCTTGGTTAGAGTTTGAGCTCCTGCCTAGTGATTATCGAGAGGCAATTGGGTAGTTTACATGATGAATGGTATCAGCACAGAAGTCCAATTGTGACCAAAAGCCCAAAAAGTATTCATCTTATTATGTGTATGTTGAATAGGATTTGAAAATGGATCTGCAACTCAACATCATATGGAAACATTTTTTTTTTCTAAATTGGAAAATGCCCACAAGTGGAAAACACATCATGTTGGAATGTACACATCGGATGTGCCTGACTCAAGTGTGTTTTCTTTTCCTTTTCCTTTCTTACTTTTTTTCTGAGACAGAGTCGCCCAGGCTGGAACGCAGTGGTGCAATGTCGGCTCACTGCAACCTCCACCTCCCAGGTTCAAGTGATTCTCCTGCCTCAGCCTCCCGAGTAGCTGGGATTACTGGCTCGTACCACACCACCGGGCTAATTTTTCTATTTTTTTTTTTTAAATAGAGACGGGGTTTTGCCATTTTGGACAGGCTGGTCTCAAACGCTTCACAAGTGGTCCGCCTGTCTCAGCCTCTCAAAGTCACTATGCCCAGCGTTTTTTTTTTTTTTGTTTTTGTTTTTTTAGACAGGGTCTTGCTCTGTTGCCTAGGCTGGAGTGCAGTGGCACCATCTCAGCTCACTGCAGCCTGAACCTCCCAGGCTCAAGCGATCCTCCCACCTCTCAGCCTCCAGAGTAGCTGGGCGGGATCCACTACACCCAGTTAATTTTTTTTCAGAGAAAGGGTTTCGCCCTATTCCCCAGACTGGTCTCAAACTCCTGGACTCGAGCGATCCACCTGCCTTGGCATCCCAAAGTGCTGGGATTACAGGTCTGAGCCACTGCACATGGCCTCAAGTCTGTTTTCAATAGGACAATGCTATTTTATTATCCTCAGGTGGAGAAGGTTAGAGTTGAGCAATGGGCCCTTGGTAACTTTAGATAGGAGGAATGCAGATTTTAGTATATTAACACATACATTTTATGTAAAATTAGTCACAAAAATATAAACATTTTGTGGTAGTCTGTGTATCTTTAATACAAACTGGCAATGTATATAGTGGTTAAAAAATTGGCTTTAGGGCCAGGCGGGGTGGCTCACATCTGTAATCCTAGCACTTTGGGAGACTGAGGTGGGTGGATCACTTGAGGCCAGGAGTTTGAGACCAGCCTGGGCAACATGGCGAAAACCCGCCTCTACTAAAAATACAAAAATTCGCCAGGCGTGGTGGCACGCGCCTACAGTCCCAGCTACTCAGAAGGCTGAGGCATAAGAATCACTTGAACTCAGGAGGCGGTAGTTGCAGTGAGCCAAGATCATGCCACTGCACTTCAGATTAGGTGACAGAGCCAGACTCCATCTGAAAATAAAAAATGGCTTTAGAATCAGACAGATGGGTTCAAAAGCTGGTTCCACTTCTTGGAACCTTGTGACGTGACCTTGGAAAAATTACTTAACCTTCCCAATTCTGTTTCATCATCTGTGTATTAAAGATAATTATACTTCCCTTGTGGACTTGTGAGAATTATATGAAAAAATAGATATAAAGCAGAGTTTCTCAACCTCAGCACTACTGACATGTGTGACCACATAATGCTTTGTTTCAGGGGCCTGTCCTGTGAGTTGTAGGATATGTAGCAGCATTTCTGGCCTTTACCCGCAACTACTCTCCAAGAAGTGACAACCAAAAATGTCTCCAGACAATGCCAAAAGACCCCTGGGGTCATGGGAGAATTGCCACTGGTTGAGAACCATTGGACATAAAGTGATTAGTGTGATACCTAGAAAATAGCAGGTACCCAATAAGTGGTAGCAATTATAATTATTAATACTATATCAAAATTAGAGCTCTTATTCCTGATGTGGTACCTTAAACATATGTAAGTATTTTAACTATAACTAAGAATAAACTCTCAGACTTATTCTTTTAGGCTGTGAAAGCCAGTCTTATTCTGCTGAGAGCAATATCAGAAAACATCACTTTTCTGCCTCGCGTCTCCTGCACCTACTAGTCCTGCAAATCTAAGATCTTTTAGGTATAGTGATGTTACTCAACCATTTTCAACATGAATATATGAACAGTGAATATAATTTAGCTATTTTTAAGTAGTTTATGAATGTTTAAAATGGTTGAATAACATCACTATACCTAAAAGATCTTAGATTTGTATTACCAGTAGGTGCAGGAGATGCGAGGCAGAAAAGTTTAAGGCATTTGAGACACAATCTTTTCTCCCATCTAACTCATTTCCCCTCTCCTGACATTCATGCCCTGCAGGAAACCTCAACTCCTACTTTACTATGGCAATCCAGTATGAGTTTTCTGTTATCAACAGCTGGTCCCCTTTCTGAACTCTCCTTCTCCTCTCATCCTTGTTTTTATTAAAGAAAGAAGGGTCTCTCCTCTATGAGTCTTCACTCCTATGCTGCTCTGTTTCCTGAAAGACCTTGCTCTAGCATTTATGCATTCCATATCCATGTCTTCACTATATTTCTTTCCATCAGCTCCTTTTCTCTCTATCATCAAATAAGATCAGTTTCCCCTACTTAGAAATGCTTTTTGCTACAGAAGTCTGAAATTGCAGTTTTCTTTACTGAACCACACACACAACTCCTTCTCAGTTTCTTTTGTTGGATCCTCTTTGTTGCCCAGCCCTTAAAGTATTGGTATTGCTCAGTGTTCTGTCCTCTGACAGCTCTGCTTCTCACTCAACACTACACGACCCTACTTCAACCCAGAGAAATCCACATTTTCTCTCATAGATTCAATTACCAACTATTTGCTGTTGCCTCCCAAATCTCTATTTTCTGGATTAAGTCTCTCTGAACTTGAGATACACATAGCCAAATGTCTACTATATACCTCCACTAGGATATCCAGCAGGTACCTCAAAATCAACATATGCTAAACTGAATTCATCAATTCTATTCTCAAAACGACTCCTCAACTGATGTTTCCTACATCAGCATACACTCGCTTATCCAAGCCAAACATTTTGATGTCATTCTTGGATGTTCTTTCTCCTAAAACTTCCCACTGCCAATTAATTAGCAATAACTGTCAATTCCACCTCCCACATATTTATCGAGTCCACCCACTCCTCTCTCTCTCTCTCTACTGACAACTTCATGTCTCTCCTAAACTACTATAACAGGCTCATAACTCATAACTGGCCTTGCCTTCCCCCTGCCCATGCACAGTTAGAGGGATCTTTCTAAAGTACAAACCTGATTAAAGCACTCTCCTGCTTAAGCCTTTCAGCAGCTTCCCAATGCCAGTTTGGATTGAATTCAAAGTCCTTGACACAGCCCTGTAAGTTTCTTTATTAGTTGACTCCTGCTTACCTCTTCAATGGTATCTCTACAAAATCACTCAGGCCACCATTTTTTTCAGTTGCTTAGTGTTCTTGTTTTCTTTTCTCTCTAGATCCCCACACAGGGTGTTTCCTGCTTGGATCACTCCCTTTTCCTCTCATCTAGCTAATCCCAGCTCATCGTGTAGGTCTCCGTTTAAACATCACTTTCTCTGAAAAGCCTTCCAGACCTCTCGAGTCTGGGATAGATGGCCCTCCTCATGTGCTATGTTAATACCCTGTGTCTCCCACACGTTGGTACTTATCAGATTGTCTTGCAGTTGACAGTTTTCTTGTTTTTCTTCTCTACTAGACTATAATCTACATGACAGTGTTTCCAGCACTCTAGTGCTAAGAACGTAGTAGGTGCACAGAAATAATTGTGGAACAGAACTGAATTAAATGTCTCCAAGATTCTTCATCAAATGCAAGGCTTTTATTCTCGTTATTTTTACTTTTTTTTTTAATTTTTTTGAGACAGGGTCTTGCTCTGTCGCCCAGGCTGGAGTGCAGTGGTGCAACCTCCACCTGCCGGGTTCAAGCCATTCTTGTGCCTCAGCCTCCCGAGTAGGTCGGATTACAGGCACATGCCACCACGCCCGGCTAATTTTTTATTTTTAGTAGAGATGGGGTTTCATCATGTTGGCCAGGCTAGTCTTGAACTCCTGACCTCAAGTGATCCGCCCTCCTCAGCCTCCCAAAATGCTGGAGTTACAGGTGTGAGCCACTGCGCTCAGCCTTATTCTGATTTTTAATCTTTCTGGATACTCAAATTGTTTGATCCTTCCCTGTCTTCTAAAATTATTCTCCTTTGTTTTAAGAGACAGCACAGTATGCAACTTGTCTTTCTACTTTTTTGAGAATTTCTAGTCCTTGTTTGCTGATTCCTTTCCTGTCCCTTAACTTTGGACTTTCCTCAAAGACTCTGTTCTTCACTGTACTTTATCTCCACACTCAGTGTCTAGAATATAATAAATATTCAAAAATTATTGTTTCCTTCCTTCTCCCATTCTCCAGAAGTTCATTTAATCTCATGACTCCAAATGTCTCCCAGATTCATGTTTCAGTCTGAGCAATGCAATGGAGTACCAGTCACCTGATACCTCAAATAAACTATAATTAAAAACCATGGCACTCAACCATACCCATTCAGTTTATTCCTACAACACAACTTCTGTATTTGCCAAAACTGTAACCAAGAGTCTCTTAATCACTGAGGATCCATACATCAGGCATCTCTAGCTCCACTAACTACTTTATACTCTGGGTGCAATTACCCAGCAAGTGTTACCTTTTCCCTAGAAATGATCCCATCTATTGATTTTTTTCTCTACTTTCCCCCTTTATTTTTTCTACCCTCTTCTTTTTACTCTTATATTACTGTAATGGATTTCTTCCTAGTTGACTTTCCTGATCTCAGTATCATCCACTTTCAGATCTATTTTGTATACTGCCACCAGACTCATCACCCATACACACTCCTTTCATGGCCAAGGGCTTTTCACACCGTACACTCAATAAATATGACAGAAAACCAACTCACTATCCCCTCAAGAACTTACAGTGGCTACAAATCATCTGCTAAGTCCAAACTCCCCTTTCCGACCTTTTTCCTTCCTTCTGGCCCTAACCAGCTTTTCAGCTTTATCACAACCCCATACTATTCTTCCATACATCCTACTTTCCTGACTTGCTGAACTTCTTGCCTTTTCCAAAACACATTCTACTTCATTCCATTGCCCCGTTGGTTCCTCTACCTTGAGCAAATCCACTCCCCTATCAGTATGAAAAGCCTAATATTTTTAATATTGAGTTAAAATGTCACTTCTTCTGTTACTCAGGTAGAGTCGATGCTCATTCTGTGCCTGTTCTGTACTTCGTACTTAATACATTCATTACTTTCTTCCTAGTATCATAGTAATGTGCACGTCTACACGATAAATTTCATGATGTCTGGAATTCTCACTTGTTCATTCTTATAATTCATGATGCATCCAAACCAGTTCCTGTAATGCACACAGTAGGCACTTGGCAATCAGTCCTCGACTTGGCCACATTGTCAAGCATTTATTGATGTCCCCACTATTGGTCTCCACCAAGTGAAGAGTCAGGAGGCAGCTCTCTTTGAATAAAATTCAGCTGGGCATACCCAACTCTGGTAAGACACTGTCAGCTTTGGCAGGAGCAGCTTCTGGGTATCTGCCTAACTTACAAGACTCACCATAATCCGCCTGTCCAATGTATACAGCCTTGCTTCTTATTTGTTCCTAAGCCTGTGTCCTCCACTTTACATTATTTTAAATCTTTCAACTCAGCCTTTGTTCACGCAGTTGTCCATGCCAGAAATACTCTTCCCTTATTCTGATAAATCCTCCCCAAACTTCAGACCCAGATTAAGTCTTACTTTATCCATGATGTCATCTTTAACTATTTGAGCCCGCGTTTATCTCTCCTATGTCTGAATTCCTTTGGCAGAGATAATGTAATATATTATGGTGTTCTCAAATTCTTTCCTGCGTATGTCTTGCTTTTCTCAGCAAGAGAATTGACTCTTTGGGGGCAAAGATCATGTCTTAGTCTCCTTTGGTAATCAGTGCTGCTGATCATTAGATTGATAAATCAATAGAGCTATTTTCTTCCGTATTACTAATTTCTCATAAATTGAGAAAAGATCCCCCATAGCCTACTTTTGTCTATTAAAGAACTATATATCAGGTCTGAGAGATAATCTAAGGATTAGCCAATATTATTTAAAATGAGAGATTTAAAAAAAATTTTTTTTGCAATTAAATCAGTTTCTTTGCAGTTAATCCAGCTTGTTGTCTTGCAATAGGTTAAGGCAGTTAGGAGAAAGAGTTAATTAAAGACGATGGATTTTGTGGCTATTTGTGAAACATGGTTGAACAAGATCCTGATAAATCAAATTCACTATCTTTTTTTTAATTATAGGAAAAATAATAAGGTCTATGTTCTGGTGATTAGATCATTTTGGTAGTGAAATCTTTGTGGATGATATTTGGACTTTCATCACAGATTTAATCCATTCGAACACTTAAAGGGTTGTTTACAAAGTTGAATAACCAAGCATGGTTTGACCCAGAGAGGTGTGCATAAGCTTCACATATGACACAAGGAAGAGCTGAAAGGCAGCGGTGAACAAACGGCACAGTGTGGCTTAGATTTTATAATGCACACTGGATTTTCAGGATATGCAGGGAGAAAAAAAACATAACAGCATTTCTCTGCTTATTTCTTTATATTTAGGTTCATTTCTTGTTCTAAGGAATCAGTTTCCTCTTAAGTGTTTTGATTTTTTTTTCACACAATGAACTGGTTAACAGCATTTTGATTTTGCAACCATTGCTTTAAACTCACTATAATAAGCTATGCTATTGACCACGTCAGAAGGCAGATGAGATCAGACCTTAGATGGAGGTCTGTTTTGCTTCTTACAGTCACTCATTTCTATATTTTTATATTAATGAGGGTAAAATGTTGCATTCTTTCTCTTTGGTCTCTGTTTTGTCTTTTCCAACTGCCACAGAATGCTAGCTATTCTATGATCAAAGCTCCCCTGAAAGCCTTTAACCCTCACAGGTCACTAGCCAGTACTTTAGTGGGTCACTCTAGTCATCATTTTCTTACAGCTCACCAACAGCTACTTACAAGAGCATTTGACTAGAAATGCTCCCTCAATTTAATAAGCCCTCTAGTTACACACACACACACACACACACACACACACACTTAGGAACAATGTCCACACAGAAACTTGAACACAAATGTGCATAAGAGCTTTCTCATAATAGTCAAAAAAGTGAAAACAACCCAAATGCCCATCAGCGGATGAAAGGATAAATAAAATGTGCCATATCCATACAATGGAGTATTATTTGTTACTGAAAAGGAATTAAGTACTGATACATCTATACAACATGGACGATACCTGAAAGCACTATGGTAAGTGAAAGAAGCCAGACACAAAAGGCTACATATTGTGTGATCTCATTTATAAGAAATATCCACAATAGGCAAATCTAAAGAGACAGAAAGCAGATTAACGTTTGCCAGGGCCTGAATGGGGGGTGTGGCATGGGGATGAAAAGTGATAGATAATGGGTATCGGTATTCTTTTTGAGATGATGAAAATATTCCAAATTAGATTGTGATGATGGTTGCATAACACTGTGAATATACTAAAAAATTTGAATTGTACATTTTAAATGGGTGAATTTGTATGGTATGTGAATTGTATCTCGATTTTTGAAAAAAAAAAAAAAAAAAAAAACACTTAAAAGTCTCCTTTTGAGGACACAGCTAGCTCCCAATTTTAAATACTGGTTCTGCATCAGAATCTTCAGAGGTAGCGACCTGGAATCTCTGCATTATAATAAATTCTTGACTGATTATTATGCACAACTAAAATTTAAGGATCACAGAATTAAAAGAAACAAACCTTGCACTGTCTCCATGAGATATAACTGCAAATGTCTCCATTCAGGGAGAAGTTGCAATTATTCTCAAGTGAATAATACTCACTTCTTTGTTGTTGTTGTAGGTCAGGTATTTAAGTTTTGGTTGATTGATCTTTGTGTATCTACTTTCAATTTTCAGATCAAGTTTCTTTTATACCTCTGAGAGAAAGGATGAAAACACAGAATCCACTAATACT
Organism: Homo sapiens; assembly: GCF_000001405.40. NCBI lineage: Eukaryota > Metazoa > Chordata > Mammalia > Primates > Hominidae > Homo > Homo sapiens. The sequence continues at coordinate 115,421,530 of NC_000023.11, forward strand.
CTGTTCACTGTGAATTAAAATTAGAAAATTGCTATCAGTCTCACTTCTGAAAGCATTTGTGGAAAACTAGTTCAGGGTTTTCCTCCTTCCACAGCTAAGGAAAGAAAAATAAGATTCTGTATTATACAGTAAGTTGGAAATGTGAGTGAAGTTAGAACTTATGATTCTCTTGTCCTGAGTGGCTTTTGCTCAGCTGTCATTGAGGTTTTAAATTGTACATCAGGCTGTGGTATTAATTCCCTAACAGGCATGGAATTGTAACCATCTACCTCATTCTAGCTCAGCAAAGGAAAATGTATTTTCCCTGCATCACTTTAGAAATTAAAGCTCTTGGCTGGGTGTGGTGGCTCACGCCTGTAATCCCAGCTCTTTGGGAGGCCGAGGTGGGCGGATCACTTGAAGCCAGAAGTTCAAGACTAGCCTGGGCAAAATGGTGAAACCCCATCTCTACTAAAAATACAAAAAATTGGCCAGGCGTGGTGGCAGGAACCTGTAATCCCGGCTACTTGGAGGCTGAGACACGAGAATGGTAATTCCAGCTGACCTTGGTGGTCTTACTATCAGAAATAACTGAAGAAAGTGGATTGACATTTGATAGGTGAATGGGATAATCTTGATAATAATATGGTACTAAGTTAGAGAAGTATTGGGTAATATAGTTTACAGATCCTGTGTAGGCTTCACATTGATGAAGTTACGGTGCTGCTAGCTATCTAATGATTAATATGGTAAAAATCTTAGGTTATCTCGCCCCTTCATCAATTTTTTTTCAAATAAAAAAGCATCTGCAGAGCATAGTTTAGTAACTTTTACTCATATATGAGAAAATTGCTTATTTTCTTGTTTCCTGAAAATCTAAACCAAACATGAAATTTAAGTGAAACAAAGAATAAGGTTTATTAAGTGTAACTACCTGAAATCTCATTTTTCACACGTCAACAATTAAAAGTAGCTAATGTTCATGTAGTCAATAAAATTCAATAAATATTTATTGGTCACCTCCTGTGGTGCCAGGAAGTACACTAGGCAAACATCGTGATATTGGATGAATAAAACGTGGCTCCTGGCCTTGAGGAGTTCAGTGGAGGAAGTAAAGCTTTACTTATTCATAAAGTATATCTGTGATAATAGACTATAGTTCTAGGTACTGAAAAAAATACCTGGAAATGAAATATTAGGTTAGGGATTTGAACTTGGCAAAATGAAAAGCTAAAAATCTTATCTTTTCATAAAAGTCACAATGATATATGGGCTATGATAATAGCTTACAGTTCTAAATGCTATGTGGTAAATAATGTTGATTCTTGGATAAACTATTTCCTCATCATTTTAGTAGGTTAGACATAAAGCTTGAGATATGTACTATTACTCTTAAAGAGTTTGGCAAATTTTATGCATTTTCATGGGTTTATAATCTTGGCACTTTGTTGTTACAATACCTTATGTTTAATTACAGAAGGCTGAAAAAAGAAAAAATAGGGAAAACACTAGCGAATGTTAAAAATGTTTATTATTAAACATCATTCACTAATTCAAAAAGTGTATGCTGAAAATAGGATTGTTTGAGATTTTTCATATCCTTGAGGCTATTATTGGTCTATTGGAAACGACTTTTGTAGATCATGCTACTCTTCACTTTGTGAATGGAATTTTGGCTATGGCAGATAGTACACAGCATCGTTCCCAGTATGTCTAGCAGGCAGCAGACTGAAGTATCTTTTACCAGCACTATTTCTTTCCCTCCCTGCATCACAGATATTTTTAGAACCTGATACTGGATTTAAGTGAATTTGTCATCGCTCTGCATACATTGTAAAACACAGCCTATTGAAAGCTCCTTTTCAGCTCTCCCTTGCTACTAGTAAAGGAGGAAAATTGCAAGCAGGGTCTCCTTAAACCTGCTTAGAAGTGGGGCAATCATACATGTTGAGAGTACCAAAAGTGCAATTTGAAATTGGTTGTAATTAAGGTGGTTAATGAAAATGACTTTAAAAAAAAAAACTACATGGAAAGAAAAGTTAATCAAAGAAAATGTGTCACATGACATATGTCATTTTGAAGCATAAGGTAAATATTTCAATATGTCTTCAGTTTTCTCCAAAATATTTTAGAATGAAGACAAACTAATTTTTGAAAACCAAAATTCTATTTCCAACTGCTTCATATCCTTTTTTTTTTAAAAGACAGGCAATACTTCATTTAAAACCCGTCACAGAAATGAACAGCTTGAGTCTGTAATACAGCATACATGTTTTAAAGCCTAAGTCAGTAATTGTATATGAGAGCATATACATACACTGCTGCATACAAATTAACTCATCAGACCACAATTTTTCAATGTTTAAAACAGAATAAGCTTCCCTGTGAAAGCAGCATCTGAGCTGGTTTCTTTTTTGTTTTTTGTTTTTTTTGAGACGGAATTTCGCTCTTGTTGCCCAGGCTGGAGTACAAGGGTGCAGTCTTGAATCACTGCAACCTCTGCCTCCCAGGTTCAAGCAATTCTCCTGCCTCTGCTGTTTTAACTTTAGTATTCTTCTTCTTCACCCTCTTTTTCAACAGACTCCACACCAACATCCTCATAATCCTTCTCAAGGGCAGCCATGTCCTCACGGACCTCAGAAAACTCTCCTTCCTCCATTTCCTTACCCACTTACCAATGAACAAAGACGTGCTTGGAATACATCAGGTCAAACTTGTGGTCCAGGTGAGCCCAGGTCTCAGCAATGGCTGTGTTGTTGCCCAACATGCACACAGCTCTCTGTATCTCAGTCAGGTCTCTGCCAGGCACCACAGTGGGAGGCTAGTAATTAATGCCATCTTGAAGCCAGTGGGGCACCAATCCACAGACTGGATGGTACGCTCGGTCTTGATGGTGGCAATGGCAGCACTGACATCTTTGGGAACCACATCTTTATGGTACAACAAGCAGCAAGCCATGTATTTACCATAGTAAGGGTCATGTTTCACCACCTGGCTGGCTTGCTCAAAGAAAGCATTGGTAATCTCTGCTACAGAAAGCTGTCTATGGTAGGCTTTCCCAGTAGAGATGATGAGGGTGTATTAGTTTGTTTTCATACTGCTGATAAAGACATACACAAGGCTGGGCAATTTACAAAAGCAAGAGGTTTATTGGACTTACAGCTCCACATGGCTGGGGAGGCCTCACAATCATGGTGGAAGACAAGGAGGAGCAAGTCACATCTTACATGGATGGCAGCAGGCAAAGAGAGAGCTTGTGCAGAGAAACTCCAGTTTCTAATAGCCAACAGGTCTTGTGAGAGTTATTCACTATCATGAAAACAGCACTGGAAAGACCCACCCCCATGATTTAATCATCTTCCACCAAGTCTCTCCCACAACACATGGGGATTATGGTAGCTACAAAATGAGATTTGGGTGGGGACACAGAGCCAAATCATATCAGAGGGCATAGTTGCCCAGAGAGAAGTGGATGCAGGGATAGGACTCCAGGTTGGTCTGGAGTTCTGTCAGATCAATATTTAGGGTTCCATCAAATCTCAGGGAAGCAGTGACAGAGGACACAATTTGACCTATGAACCTATTTAGGTTAGTGTAGGTTGGGGGCTTAATATCAAGGTTTCTATAACAGATGCCCTAAATGGCCTCACTGTCTATCATGAAAGCACAATCGGAGTGCTCCAGGGTGATGTGGGTGGTGAGAGTGGAATTGTAGGGCTCTAGTACAGGTATGGAAACCTGAGGAGCTGGGTAAATGGAGAACTCCAGCTCGGATTTCTTACCATAGTCAACAGAGAGACATTCCATGAGCAGGGAGGTGAACCCAGAACCAGTTCCCCTGCCAAAGCTGTGAAAACCAAGAAGCCCCGAAGACCTGTGCACAAGTTGGCCAGTTTATGAATTTGGCCCAACATGAAGTCAATTATCTCCTTGCCAATGGTGTAGTGCCCTCGGGCATAATTATTGGCAGCATCTTCCTTGCCCGTGATGATATGCTCAGGTTGGAAGAGCTCACGGTATGTGCCAGAGCAAACTTCGTCAATGACCATGGGTTCCAGGTCTACAAACACTGCTTGGGCAAGGGCTTGGTTTCTGTTTCACAGCTGCCTGGCAGATGACAGAGATGAAGAGGAGAGGTTGTTGCTTCTTACAGACCGACTCTTAAACAGTTGATGTAAGGGAACCTTCATCTCCTTTTTTTTTTTTTTAACAGGGGCTTATTTGTAGAGCAGTTTGAGATCCACAGGGAAAGTGAGCAGAAAGTACAAAGTTCCCATATACCTCCTGCCCACCACAACATGCACAGCCTCCCCCACTATCAACATCTGGCACCAGAGTGGTACATTCATTACAATCAATGAACCTACATCGAGGCATCATGGCCACCCAGAATCCCGTAGTGTACATTTGCGTTCACTCTTGGTACTGTGCATTCTATGGATTTTGGCAAATGTACAGTGACATGTACCTACCATTGTACTGTCATAAGTAGTTTTACTGTCCTAAATTCCTCTGAGCTCTGCCTATTCACTCCTCCTCACCTACTTTTAAAAAAGCCAAACTGCTCAATATCTATTATCTGCCTAACCTGGGATTTCTCAATCTCAGACTCTTGACATTTTGAACAGGAAAATTCTTTTGAAGCAGATGTCCAGTACATTCTAGGATATATAGCAGCATCCTGGCCTCTACCCAATCAATGCCAGAAACCCTGCCATTCTTAGTTGTGAGAATCAAAAATGTCTCCAGACATTGCTAAATGTCCCCTAGGAGCAGGTAGCAAAATCATTCCTGTTAAGAACCACTGGCCTAATCTAAGGCATACTCTACTTCCAAATGAATGTCTATATTATTCTATTATGACTTGTACAGTTAGTCATTAAATGCTATCAACAAATATTTATTAGGCTTACTATGTGCTGGATACTATAAATTTATTCCACACTAGCCAGTCAAGAGCTATTAAATTCTTAATATATTAATAAGTGACAGGGAGAGGCATGAGTTGTTGCAACAAACATTTTAAAAATCTACATGCAGTAGCTACATTGAATCTTGAGGCATGATTGATTAAATTGATATAGCGATCTTCACGATCTAGTTCACAGCAGAATGAACGCAGAGGGAAAATGCATTGATCATTAAGATTGCTTAACTGATTGGACCTGCTATGCAGTGATCTGCTTCAGCAGCCACATGCAAGAGATGGACACTGCCTCTACAGGGAAATAATTCTGAGTAATTAGCCAGGGAAGACTCTATACAAATCCCCACTCCCACCCTAACTCCACCACTGTTTTCCCATGATAGCAAGGGATATTTACCTGATTCCCTTGTGAAATTGCCATAAGTGCCTCAGTGCTCCTTTCATTTTGCCTCTGTAGATAGAGGCAGGACTGATGATAAGCTGGTTTGCTTTCTGGTTGGCCAGTACTTGTGTTGTTCAGATCACTAAATCAAATGTAACCAAGCAAGTTATAATTTGAGATTTTATTTCGAGATTCTCCTTGTAAAGATTTAGGCATTAAAGTAGTCACACAGAATCCAAGAGACAACTGTCAGAAATGGAAAGGGGAATTGGAGTGGTAGACAATGAGACATCTTGGCAAAACTAATTCTATTTGCATATGGCCTCAAATTATGGGTTTCCTCCTTCTCTTTCTCCTTTTCCTTTTTTGGACAGACTTATTACAGTCATTTTGATTTCTCCCTGCTTTTGATTCTTTTTAATGATGAGTCAAAAATAAATAAATTCAAAATTGACTCATTGAAGGCAGTTAACTACATTTAACTTCTATTTCCAAGGCACTTCTTGGAGGATGTGGGTCTACTTATTCCTTGTTTGTTAAAGTCAACTGATATGTATGTTCCCCTTTGTGGACCTCTAAATTGGTCTTCTCATCTATAACTTGTAAGATTCCTTCCAGCTCTAATTGTCTATGATCTGTTGGCTACTATAATAAATGTATACTAGACCATGATGCATGCTGGGACCTCAGCAGAAGGAAGAAGAGGAAAGGAGTAGGAAAGAATCTTGGAAAAGACTAGATTGAAATTTCATGGACTAACTTGGTTGCAGGAATGTACCTTCAAGATTGTGTTTGGGGCCAGGTGCAGTGGCTTACACCTGTAATCCCAGCACTTTGGGAGGCTAAGGCAGGAGGATTGTTTAAGGCCAGGAGTTCAAGACAAGCCAGTACAGTATAGCGAGATCCCACCTCTATAAAAAATTTAAAAATTGGCAGGGCGTTGTGCCACATGACTGTACTCCCAGATACTTGGGAGGCTGAGGTGGGAGGATTGCCTGAGCCCGGGAAGTTGAGGCTGCAGTGAGCTGAAATGACGCCACTGCACTCCAGCCTGGGTGACAGATCAAGACTCTGTCACAACATTTTTTTTAAAAAAATGATTGTGTTTGGCATGTCAAATCAAAGTTCAAAGGATGAGACAAATGGGTTTTATTCAAAGGATGATCAAGTCCTGGAGTTGGGTAAGGGAAAGCAGTAGAACCAAACATTTGCTGGCAAGAACTGATCCCAGATGGTCTATTTGGATTACAGCAAGATGCCAGCTAAAAGAGGAAGCTATGCAAAACAGGATCCAGCTCCCAGGGGCAACGGGAGTAGGAAGGATTTCTTAGAGAATCAGAGTCTTAGGCAATTAGGCTGGAACTGAGGATTAGTTCTAGCCTCAAAGTGGGAATTATAACCCTAATCAGAAAACTAAGGCAAAAAGTCAATCACAGAGGGTAATCCAACACTAGAGGGGGATGGGTGGTCAGAGAAGAGGTTGCAGTTCAGTGAACACACAACAGACATAAAGGTGCCTGGGGGATCATGTCTATTTTATCATGCCCACCGTCAGGAGGGAATGCCTAGTGTCCTGCTGGTTGTAGGCAGGATTTGGTTCACTCAATGTAGGAGGCAGAATAGTCCCAGCCTCTGCCAGAGCAGGGCTAGGAAAGGCTACCTCATATACTTTGTTTCACTTAATTCTTCTCTTTGTCAATTCTTAAATAGTCACAAAACATCATACTCATCAATTGCTATGGTTTTTATTTCTACCCTGAGTTGTATGCAACTTCTTAAAGAATTAAACATGATCAGGCCCTAAATATTGTGCTATGAAATTTCTGTACATCCACGGACTTTATACACTAAACCAAGTTCGGCAAACTTTTTCTGTACAGGTCTGGACAGTAAATATTTAAGGCTCTCCAGACCACAGGGTGTTGGTCACAAGTACTCACCTCTGCCATTGTAGCATGAAAGTAGCCATATTCAATATGAAAACAGATAAGCATGGCTGTGTTCCAATAAGTCTTTATTTACGGACCTTGAAATTTGAATTTCATAAAATTTTCACGTCACGAAATAGTATTCATTTTTATTTTTTTAGCAACTTAAATGTGTACAAATCATTCTTAGCTCATGGGTCATACAAAAACAAGCAGTAGGTCATAGTTTGCAACTCCTGTACTAAACTTAAACAAACGATAATTTATTTAGTGAACAATGATCTGCCTAATTCTGCCTAGCAGGCCTCCAACACTATAATCAGGGCCACGTAATCCTATTGGTAGGATTAGCCTTGCTCCAAGTTCTGGTAAAAATCAGGTCACAGACAGTGAGAACATAAGAAACTCTACCTATCATCCATTCTTTATAAAAGTCAACCTGTTTGATGGCCCTGCACTATTTCTGCACTTTGTTCTGTAATAGCTCTCTGATCTGGTTGCTATTAATGAATCCACTTGAATTGCACTCCAGTTCCCACAGATATTCTTTCTTTTATGTACGAATTTCTGCTTGACATTCAGTTTCTACAGAACTAGAGTCTCGCCATGACTCGTCCAAAATCAGAGTCCTAGAGATGGGAGTGTTGTATGTTAACCTTAATGCCTGTGGCTGAGTCCCTGTAATTTACTACCTCATCTTCCTGATGTTCCTTTCTACCTTCCTGAATCATCCTCCTGTGTTTGATCCAGTTCTAGGCCTTGTTGACCTGGCCAGTCTCACCGATTTCACCGAGTCTGACTGAGGCAGTATCATATGAACAAAGGAGCATGCAGAAAAGTAGATGGAAAATAATAAACATATAAAAACTGTTTGAATAGCTTTTATTATAACCAAAAACCAAGATAGCACAAACTCTTTGTTTTATTCCATCCTTGATGAAGCAAAAGTGTTCAGAACTGAAATTCTTCCTATCACAATGGCTGTTCAACACTGAAGTAAAAATTATACACAATAAAATTCTTAGTGACTGCATCAAGACACAATAGTAATTATTTAGTTTTGACCTTTACAAATCTCAACTTTTGAGTCTCTGAGTTCATTTTTTATAGTTTTGGTTCATTCTTGTCTAATCAAGGCTGTTCCAAATTTTTGTGGAAGTGATTCAGTCACATAAGTTTAGTATTTTTTTCTAATTCTCTTTCATACATACTGAACTCTAGCTTATAATAGGTAGCTGTCCCCAGTTACCAATGTATAAACTACTTCTTAAAGAGGAAACTATACACTATAATGTAGATAACACTATATTTCAACTTTTCATCAATACATCATACAATCTTGCAAAGACAATTAGAAAAAAAAAACTGAAGTGGTAGCTCCCCATCTTGAGTTCACGTATTTTCTGGGATAAAATCTAGGAATGTATATTTCTGATCTATATTGTACCTGATATTTTGTCAAGAGGAATATATTTTATCTGCTCTGCATCAAGATTTTCAAATGTGGTTAGTTATGAAAAATATGCCTGTGATTTAGTTATGCTTAAGGATGAAGATAGCATGACATAAGGATTTAGAGTGATCATTATTAAAGACCTAACTGGGATATAATTCTAAACTCAAATATCTAGACATAGACACACACTTTTGTTCCAAGTAAAAGACTAGGTTTGCAGTTATTAACATTTAATAACAGTAAATAACAGAATATACCTGTTATTCTCCACAATCAGGACATGCCTATATGCTGCTATCAAATTGGCAGTATTTGGTTACTTCAGTTATGTTTATTCAGCTATCTTATTTGGCACAGACTAAAATATTGACACTTTGGGAACCACTTCAGGTTTTTTGTTGTACAAATATTATCTCAGAGCAAAGCATATAAACTCCTCAGTGAATGTATCTGTCTTATGGGAAAATAGGTCTCATTACTTTATATTCCCATGAACCACACAATCCTTAATCACAGGCAAAGAAAATGTACCTTGAACCACAAAAGAAACATAGGAAAATACAGAGGAAACTAAGAATAGTGCAAATCTAACCAGCTCCACCTTCCAACATAGATGCTACTTTCACTGGCTTAAAACCATACTGGCCAGGTACGGTGGCTCACACCTGTAGTCCCAGCTCTGGAGGCTGAGGTAGGTGGATCTCTTGAGCCCAGGAGTTCAAGATTAGCCCAGGCTACATTGTGAAACTCCATCTCTACAAAAAAAGAAAGGAAAAGAAAAGAAAGAAAGAAAAAGAAAAATTAGCCAAGCATGGTGGCACATGCCTGTAGTCCCAGCTACTCAGGAGGCTGAGGTAGGAGGATTGCTTGAGTCTAGGAAGTAAAGGCTTCAGTGGGCCACAATTGCACCACTGGACTCCAGCCTGGGTGACAGAGCATGACTATATATATATATATATATACAGACACAGGGTTATATATATATGTATAACCATACCAGTGGTTCTTTTGTCACTGCTTGGAGCTTGGAACTATAATGAAGGAATAGGAAGTCTTTCCTTTCTTCAGTTCTTCAGTTTGGATAACAGGAACTTTATTTGCACATTCAGATTTAGTACTACAAGGTTTTTGCTTAACCTCATTTATCTTAGATTTATCTTATTTCTACACCATCTTTCTTTCATGCTGGACGTTGCAGTGATATGGAAGAGGCATTTGGGATCCTGTCAGCATTTGTTAAGATGAGAGAAACTAGAGTCTCTTTAAATGGCAATGGAAATGAGCCAGAAAACCAGGGAAAATGGAAGATTCAGGGAAGAGGGGATAATCAATAGTGTAAGGTTCCTAATAAAGTGGGAATAGGGATACTTCACTCATAATATCTCTAGGCAACAATTAGGATATATGTGCTGGAATCATGCAAAGTCTTTGTCATTTGGATGGCTCCCATCTCTGGATTCTGTGGGAATACAGGTTTCCCTTTATTTTGATCTTGTCATGGCCTTTTGTTCTCAGGAGGAGCATTGTATGTCGGTCCTCTGCTGTGCGTGGCAGTGACAGACCTCAGAATAGAACTGGCTTGGATTCCCAGGCAATGTTCTTTCCTCACACCATACTGTTGTTGAAAACAGTGTTGTTTCTAAAAATTACTTTCATTATTTTTTATTGCTGATTAACAATTTTCTCTGCTTTTCAGTACATTCCACGTAACTATTTGATTTGGAAATTTTTTTTGCATATGAAATTAATTCCAGGGCCAGGGTGTCTAAGAAAGCCAGCCCTCCTGCTCCCATTGCCTGCCATGTCCCTTTCAGCACCACAAACTCATCAGAAAATATAGAGAAAACCAAAAATAATCTTAACCTAACCAGATTTACCTCCCAATTTTGACATTGCTTTCATCAGGATCAATGGTTTAAAACCATGTCACTGGTTCCTGGTTCACTGCTTAAAACTGCGACTATAGAAAAGGCCGTCTTTTCCTTTATTATACAGACTTATATTTGTAGATTCCCCAGAAACAAACTCAATAATAAGCCCATAGGCAGTGTGTATAAATTCCTTGCTAAGGCAGTACCCTCCAGTACTCTTCCATTATCCTTTCACTACTTAATCTACCACATCTCTAAGATGTGAGTCACCTATTCAGGTGCCCACCATTTTTCATCACTTAAATTGTGATTTTTTTTTTTTTGGTTCTTTACGCTCATACTTTCACTCTATTTTAATAAGACCCTTGTAAACTCTCTTTATGTGCATTGGCTTGCTGTTTTTTGTTTTTTCTCTTTCATAACATTGGCTGAGAAGGCTCTTGTGTGACACTTAATGAGCTTTTGTTGCTACAGGGACTGGTGGGTGGGCTGGAAGCTAAACCCATTAACTATATCCCACTTTCTTAAACTTAAAGCACTAAAAGTCAAAAGTATACAATAATTCTGTATTGGTCATATCCAGCCTTCCCTTCTCTTGTGGCATCCTGCATTCTGACTAATTCCTGAGGGCCATGTCAAAGGTCCCCACTAGAAGGCCTAATGCTGTAAATGAAGACACACAATGAACTGGGAACTGGCACTAGTAAGTTCGAGATCAGTCCTATAATTTCTTATTGACACACTCCTCAAACATCCAGGTGGTCCTTTCATTTTATGATGTCTATATTTCTACGAATCAATTTTGTTTAGTATCATCTCCTGCAAACAAGAGCCAATAACTCTGCTGGCTCTTCTTTTACCTTTTCATCTCACATAGTGACACTTCTCAATTGGGTCATCATGTTGATAGTCTTATCTTCTGTTACATCAATTTTGGCTCCTGCTTCTTAAGCCTACTCTTCATATATTGTGAGACCATGCTGCCTTTCTTCTGATGCTCTGCCAATGTGATATTACACAACACCTGTGACCGGTGTGGTTGGCCATGGCCAGACCTGACCAGAATAGGCTTCAGTGAGGACCAAAATGGAAACTAGGTCCTGTAGTTCAGGCACAGAAAAACAGAGATTACTCTTGGGCTGACACAGCAAGAATTTCAAGGCCCCAGCACAGAACATGAGCCTTGGTGACATGACATCCTGAATAGGGAAATTATTGCCTTCTGTAGTAAAATGAGTTGTCTCTGGATGCTGAGTAAGTGGCCAGGGAGGTGGGTGTAAAATGCAGGAACCCAAAGTTCTTAACTCTCAAACCTGGTAGCGGTTTCCCTCTGTGTGGGATGCCAAGTCTACAGAACTTAGGGCATGACTCTGAGAGATACACGGGAGGCCGTCAGCAGTCAAGTCATCCCTAGTGTCTTTTTTTTTTTTTTTTTTTTGAGACGAAGTCTCGCTCTTGTCCCCCAGGCTGGAGGGCAATGGTGCGATCTCAGCTCACTGCAACCTCTGCCTCCTGGGTTCAAGCGACTCTCCTGCCTCAGCCTCCCGAGTAGCTGGGATTACAGGCACCTGCCACCACCCCAGCTAATTTTTGTGTTTTTAGTAGAGACGGGGTTTCACCATGTTGGCCAGACTGGTCTCAAACTCCTGACCTCAGGTGATCCACCCTCCTCGGCCTCCCAAAGTTCTGGGATTACAGGCATGAGCCACCACACCTGGCCATCCCTAGTGTCTTTACAAATTATTTACCTCCCAACTTTGACACTGCTTTCATTCAGGATCAGTGGTTCAGTCATCCCTAGTGTCTTTACAAATGCATCTCTAGTGCATTTGTATCCTTTCGGCTGCTGATCTGCTACTTTTACTTTGAGAGTAAACCAAAGGAGACATCACCTCAAAAGGTGGACCAGACTTCCTCAATCAGCCTCTTGTGACTGGAAATCAGCTGTTCCCTTTTTATATTTCCACTGATCTATAAACCTTATCAGGGGGTCTGCAGGCAACATATCAAGGAAGGAGCTCTGTGGTAGGCTTTGCCTCACCCCTTTTTTCACATTCATTTATTTTCCCCATCCCCTTTGTTCTAATTTTAAAACCATTGATCCTGGGCATGTGACAGCATTGAAATGGAATAAAATCATTTATTCTTTCAAGAAATATTTTTTGAGCACCACACTGTGCCAGGCACTGTTTTGAGCAGTGAGGATGCAGCAGTGGACATAAAGAGAAAAATCCTGCCCTTGTGGAGCTGACATTAGTATGTTAGACGAAGAAAAGTGATATGGAGGAAATAAGCAAGAAAGGGAAGTATGGTGTACTAGGTGTTCCCTTAAATAGGGTGGTCAGGGAAAACATCACTGAGATGGCGACATTTGAGGAAAGGCCTGAAGGAAGTGAGGGAGCGATTCATGTGTTATCTTAAGGAAGAGAGTTCCAGGTGGAGAGAATAAGAGGTGAACAAGTCCTGAGGTAGAAACAGGCTTAGGATGTGTTAGAGACAGCAAGGAGTGTCCTATAGGGCGCCTTGCTCCACACCTTTGCTTGTGGGCACTTTGCAGTATCCACAAGCAATTGCAGGATAACTTTTATATATCCACTGTTAGGGAAACAGGAGCCTAGGAAAGCCAGAGTGACATCATTTTAAAACCAACTCTGGCTGGGCACGGTGGCTCACGCCTGTAAATCCCAGCACTTTGGGAGGCCGAGGCAGGTGCATCACTTGAGGTCAGGAGTTCAAGACCAGCCTGGCCAACATGGTAAAACCCCATCTCTACTAAAAATACAAAAATTAGCCAAGCGTGTTGGCGGGTGCCTGTAATCCCAGTCACTCGGGAGGCTGAGGCAGGAGAATCGCTTGAACCCAGGAGGCAGAGGTTGCAGAGAGCCAAGATCGCGCTACTGTACTCCAACCTGGGTGACACAGTGAGACTCTGTCTCAAAATAAATAAATAAATAAATAAATAAATAAATAAATAAATAACCAAAAGACTCCATCTTGAGACTAACAAGGCACGTTCCTTGCTAGTCACCACCCATGGTCCTAAGATGTTTACAGCTAAATAAAAAAGCTTGGCAAGGCCTGCAAGGACAAACTCCTACAACAACAGATAGTTCAGGAGTCCCAATACCCACAACAATATGTTTTCAAGATGCTTTGATATACATACACAGTAAAATGTCAAGGATAGTTTTCTTTAAATCAACAGAATAATAAATTTTGTCATCCTGTCTGCTCACTCGCACATAGGCACAGCTTAATTTAGCCTTTGCATAGACAAGGACCCTATATAAGAAAAACTTAAAGATGGCGTATTCTGCTTGCTTTCTGAGGACACCCTACTCTGTAATGGAGTCACTTTCAATAAGCTATCTCTTCTCACTGTACTCTGTGACTTGCCTTGAATTCCTTCCTGCGTGAGATCCAAGAACCCTCCCTTGGGGTCTGAATTGAGGCCTCTTTTTTCCAGTAACACAACCATGGCTGGAAGAGAAAGTCATGATTTGCTGAAGATCAAACAGCTTTTTAAAATTCACCCATAATGAATATTCTTTCTCCTGCCTTCCATGAACGTTTTCTGTGATATCTCAAGCCCAAGTCCTGCTAGTTATCTTCTAGATGAGGCCCACCGCTAGTCTTGTCTGTATTGAGTATAAATTAGCTGTTAACTATATAAAATCCAAATTCAGTAATGCCAGTGGTATCCAGTTACTAACATCTCTCACCTCCCTTTTAAAAGCATTGTTGTTACACCCAATAATAGTAATAATAATAAGAGGTATCATATACTGAGTGCCTGCCATGTGCTGCAAGCTTTATAGATGCTACATAACTTAATCCCTCAACAACTCTGTGGGGTAAATATTATTATATACATTTTGCAAATGAGGTTGCTGAGGCTCAGGAAGAATGAATGCAATGCCTAAGGTAATATAGCTAGTAAATGGTAGAGCCAGGATTTAAAACTGTGCCTGAGCCAGAAGCTTACTATATACTGTGCTGCTGGTCTCCCTAGATAGGTTGCTTCCTCAAAAATGTGGTGGCTTAGACCTAAGCCTTGGGACCATCTTTTGAAGGTGTGTCTCTTGAAAACTTGGGAGTTTTGGCCTCCATAGTAGGTCCAATCACTATCTTAGACAGCAGCAAGGCTTCATTTTCCCTGATCTTTTCTGTGGTCTTAATTTAAATTTCCCTCTGTTCTAATAAGACTTTACTTACCCTTCCTATATCTAGGACAAATGTTCTATCTTTTGAGAAATTGATCTTAGCTACTATCTGACCAGGATCAGAAAAGTCTGTCTCTTCTCATTTGATTACACAGCACCCTTTGCTCTAGTGCTTACTTCCTAGCAATCCTGCTGACTTAACTTTTTTGTCACTTTTTTTTCCAGAGGTCTTTGTTAAATGACCTTCATTTTAGTGTTCTTCTAGGCCAATTCTAATTTGGCATATTTTTGCTGCCTTCAGATGGTCATCTTTTTTCCTTAATGCAGTTGGCATCAACTCCCACAATCACTATTTGGCCAAATAACCTTTAATATCTTTTCCCATTCGTGTTCCCATATTGCTTTATGAGTCATATTCAATTTTGAGCTTTCCTCTCTCCAATCCATATCCAAGAGCAAATATATCACGAATAATTTTTTCTTTCTTTTTTTTTTTTTTGAGACGGAGTCTCGCTCTGTCCCCCAGGCTGGAGTGCAGTGGCGCAATCTCGTCTCACTGCAAGCTCCGCCTCCCAGGTTCACGCCATTCTCCGGCCTCAGCCTCCAGAGTAGCTGGGACTACAGGCGCCCGCCACCACGCCCGGCTAATTTTTTGTGTTTTTAGTAGAGACGGGGTTTCACCATGTTAGCCAGGATGGTCTCGATCTCCTAACCTCGTGATCCGCCCGCCTCGGCCTCCCAAAGTGCTGGGATTACAGGCGTGAACATTCAACCATTTTCATTCTTCTTAAATCATTTTGCCTTAGGACACCCTCCATTACCACTGCCAGTAAATTAGTGAGTTTCAGTGCTTCAAGGAATGGTTAACACGATATAGAAAACAAGTAGTCCTAACTGGGATTTTATTATCAAATTAGATGTTTAATTCCCTGAGGACTTCTCAGGAAAACAGCAGTCTTGGAGTCAGAGACTTCTAAATTCCTTTTGTGTAGCAAGAGCCAAGCCTGTCACACCCACCAGGATGGCTATAATCAAAAAGAAACAGTGTTAATAAGAATGAGCAGAAATTGGAATCCTCATACTCTGTTGGTAGAAATGTAAAATGATGTAGCCACTATGAAAAGCAGTTCGGCAGTTCCTCAAAAAGTTAAACATAGAATTACCATATGACCCTGCAATTCCATTCCTAGGTATACACCCAAAAGGATTAAAAACAGGTATCCAAACAAAAACTTTTACATGAGTGTTCAAAGCAACACTGCTCACAATAGCCAAAAGATGGAAGCAACGAAACATTCATCAGCAAATGAATGGATAAACAAAATGTGGTAGAGTCATATGATGAAATATTATTCAGTGTTAAAAAGGAATGAAATACTGATACACTGCTATAATGTAGATGAACCTCAAAAACAGTATGCTAAGTAAAATCAGCCAGATACAAAGCAACATATATTGTATGACTCCATATATTGTATGAAACGTCCACAATAGGCAAATACATAGAGACAGAAAGTAGATGAGTGGTTGCCTGGGTCTGGAGGTAGGAAAGTGGATTCACTGTACATGGGCATGAATGATCTTATTGGGATAATGAAAATGTTTAAAAACCGAAAAGTACGGTGATAGTTATACAACTCTAAATTTACTAAAAAGCCATTGAATTGTACATTTAAAACGGATGAATTTTATGGTATGTAAGTTTCACTGCAGTGAAGCTGTAGGAGAGAGAGAGAAAGACAGAGAAAGAGAAAGAGAGAAATTGAAGGCAAGCCTGGAGCCTGGCCAATTGGCATTCTAGAGCTTTACTAGTTCGGGAGATCAAGAGATGATGTAAGTGAAGGGTACACTATCCAGAAACAAAACTGTAGCATTCTGAGAAGTGAGAGACAGAGAGAAAAAAGAAAGGGTAAGAGGCCACAAAGGAAGCAGAAGAACCCATAGATAAATGTGCCACTCTACCCTGCCCCACCACACACCCCATTATCATAAGCGTGGAATCTGGGGACATTTTCCAACAGGTTTAGGGGAAAAATAAAAAACAAAGTGGAATTATTCCAAATTTGGTCTTTGGAACTCTGGGACACCACTGTTGTGGTTTAAATGTTTGTCTGCTCCCAAACTCATGTTGACTTTTAATTGATGTGGTGCCTTTAAGAGATGATTAGGTGATGACAGAACCATCATGAATGGATTCATGCCCTTATTGCAGAAGTGGGTTAGTTATCACAAGACTGAATTTGTAATGAAAGTGAATTTTGCCTGATTTCTTCTCTCTGTCTCATGTTTGCTTCAGCCTTCTGTCCTTCTGCCATGGGATGACCCTCATCAGATGTTGGTGCCATGCTCTTGGACTTCTCAGCCTCCAGAATTGTGAGAAATAGATGTCTTTTCTTTATAAATCACTCTGAGTAACAGAAAATAGACTAAAACAAGCACCTTTCTGAGTGCCCCCTCACTAACAAGGGATAATCATAACAGAAGAAAAATGGATGCAAGGCAGATCTAGGCAGAGAGAGGGCCAAGTCTCCCTCAGCTTTTACCTGGCATAAATGTATCCAGATATTTTCACATGCTCCCAGTGGAGGATATAGAAAATAGCTGGATGTTTACAGCCGGCAGGTCTCCCATGGGGCCACTGCCATGAGGAGCAAGTTGACGCTACTGCAAGGGCCGCAGGTGGACAATCTAACTCTGGGGCTGGATGGAGGATGTGGTTGAGATTCAGAGGGCCTGAAAGGCAGACAAGGGAAGAGGTGAGTCTAAGTCAGCAGAATGGTGGATAACTCTGGGCCTAGATGAGCTGAGAGAATAGACCTTGTATTTCACAAGTCCTGGACTTCATCGTCGAATGCCCGAATAGTTCCCAATGATTGAGGGGGACATTGCTGAGGAAATTACTGCAGAGGCCAATAAGGACCCACACAAAGATGTCCATGTCAACTCATTGCCTCTTCTCTGTCTTAGAGAGGAAGGAGGTAGGTGTGGCGAGTTGAAATTCTAAAACACTGAGAAGTATCCAAAGGAACTCAGTTAACCCAGAAAAGACTTTTTAATGGAAAGAGACTGGTTTTCCATTATGATTTAGCATAGTAATAAGACACGTTGACTTAGTTCTCAATTGAGCACAATGGACCAAGGCCTGTACTTAACTGCTCACTCACAGTGCCCTGAAGAGTCTAGGGGACTATACTGGGCTCTTCAGAGCTCCATGTGAGCCACAGACGTTTATAACATTGGGGATTTAATCAAGATTTCCATAGTGAAGTTGAAAGCCAGGAAGATCTGAGACTGGATTACATAGTTCTTAAAAACAAACAAACAAACAAACAAACAAACACCTTTTTTCTACTAATCACTGGAACAGATTTAGTACCCAAGTAAAAATGCCACATGCTTGAATCCACTTAATAAATAAACATTTAGTTACCTCTAATCCAGTAGTTCCAAATCTTGCATCCATGGATGAACTTTGGGTGGCACATGAGTGCTTAGAAGGTTGAGTGCCAAACTGAGACTATAAATGCGTATGTGTGTGTTTGTGGATAGAGCTTTTGTAACTTTCATGAGTTTCCCAAAGAGGGAAAAAAAAATGGTTAACTACTCATAGAGAGGGCAGTGGAAGCCTGGGAAATGGGTAAGCCCAAAGAATGTGGGGACAGAGGAAGGTCTCATGCAGAACACTAGGAAATCAACCAACTGTAAGATAAGTCAGGTATTTTCACAAAATGATTCTCAAATCAGTGTCGCATAAATTGCAAATGGTTTGATTGAATTTCGTGATGGGAGGTCATTGTTGTAGACTACTGACCTGGAGCTTATGGATGCACTTTATGAGACATGTATACTCTCTGAAATGGGATGTGAAATTTCCTATGTATGTGCATATGAGCATATTTCTGGGTAGATGAGCTATAGATTTCACAGAATCTTAAAGAAGGTCCTTGACCTCTAAGAGGTTATAAACCATTCAGTTTAACTTCTGGCAGTGAAGGTTTCTTCCTATACACAACTCTTATTTTTCTATCTTTATGTAATCTCCTTCTTTCACCTCCTCTTCCTTTCCTCCCCACCCTGTTTCTTTCTTTCTCCACCCACCCCCAACTTTCTCTCTTTTCCTTACAAAGCAATGCAGAAGACTAATGCAGTCCAATCTGAATATGAAAGATGAGAGGAGTGAGCTCAAAGGGGTGATTCCAAGGAGATTAACAAACCTTTTGAAGTGAGGTCTAGCAGGTCGGCTCAGCAAGCAATTGAGTCCTTAACTGGCCCTCAGGAAGAAGACAGCTTGGGGAAGAAGCCATGGAAAGGAAAGCTTAGACTGACTACATAATTAGTATCAAATTAATATACAAGATGAGGTGTCAGCTTTTTGAATGTGTAAGACACTATAAATGAGGAAAGCCATTGCCACCAGAAGGAACACTTAATGGGCTATTTATCATTGTAAAGAAGGCAGGAGGAACTTACTGACTTAGAAGGTTAACCAGAATCCTCATCAAGGGCCTCCTTAAATGAGAATTCAGTTAACAAGGTTTAGACAGCACCTGTCTTCATTAGCAATATAAATATTTCTTTATTACATTTTGGAATTAAATAAAGAATAAGATCAAGTTTCTTCACTGGCTGAATAAGTAGAGATTGATTCTTACCTAGTTGTGTGGATGGCCCTTAGTCTTCATCATTCCCAAGAACAATTCATGAAGCAAGAGCTACCATATGATAATTTTCACTTTTCCAGGACTTCTATCTTTCATAAAAGAAGCTGTCCTTGGCATCAGTGAGAAGTCTCCAGGAACAGACTGACTCACTGACAGAATCGCCTCACAATAATCTGGTATCCAAATGATGCATATTTAACACTATGCTAATTACTTTTCATTGATTTGATTGTCACAAAGCATCTATGATGTAAGTATTATTACCGTCTCTAATTTACTAGATAATGAAACAGTCCCAGTGATGACACATACATACAGATGGTCATACATTTGTTTAAGAGGTAAAATTAATAATTGAAGTCAGGTCTGCCTGATACAAATTACATGTTCTTCCTCCCAATCCATACAATCATTATGACAAAATAATGTGACTAAATTTATGTATAAACATAACAATCTTTCAAAGGAGTCATCTTGTCTGACTCTATTGTACTCATATTGCTTCAAAAATTTTTAGAACTTCAAGAATGTCTTCGTGGTCTAAGAATAATTGTTTTGAATCTTCTCAATGGCGATAAATTTTATTTTTGGGGGAGATTAAAAATATCTTTATTGAGACATAATTCACATACCATACAACGAATTTATTTAAAGTATACAATTCACCAGTTTCTTTACTATTATTTTTTTTAAAATATGGCAAAACATGTATAACAAAATTTGTCATTTAACCATTAAGGTGTACGATTCAGTGGCATTAACTAGATGACTGTATCATTTTATTTTTTTACTGTTATAAGAAATGCTGCAAATATACATCCTTATATATACTTTGTGCAAATGATTCCATAAGATATAAAACTGTCATCTGTGATGGGCCAATGATAAAGAGTGATAAAAACGGGTTGGTCTTTTCCTACGATCACTACATTACCATTAAACATGATTGTTTTTATTTCAATAGGTTTTTGGGGAACAAGTGGTTTTGGTTACATGAATAATTTCTTTGGTGGTGATTTCTGAGATTTTGGTGCACCCATCACCAGAGCAGTGTACACTGTACGCAATGTGTAGTCCTTTATCCCTCACACCCCTCCCACCTTTTCCCACGAATCCCCAAAGTCCATTGTATTATTCTTATGTCTTTGTGTGATGGTGGTAAATTTTAATTCTTTGAGGGAGGAATGCTTTTTGGAAACCAGCAAAGAGTCATTCTATTGATTTAAATGTGATTAAACTGGATAATAAAGTTTGGGCAGAAATAAGTTGTGTTTATAATGTAACATATTTATTTTCTTGCATAGTTCTTATATCAGCTCAGCAGCTAAAGAGTTCATGAATTAATGAGTAGATGGGTATCTTGCTCTGTTTGGGCTTTTATAGGTGAATACCATAGACAGGGCGGCTTAAAACAACCAAAATTTATTTCTTACAGTTCTAGATGATAAGTCCAAGATCAAGATCAAGGGACCAGCAGATTCAGTGTCTGATGAAGTCCTGCTTCCTAGTTCAGAGAGGGTGCCTTATTGTGTCTTCACATGGTGGGAGAGGCAAATGAGCTCTCTGGAGTCTCTTTTATAAGGGCATTAATCCCATTCATGAAAGCTCTGCCCTCATGACCCAATCACCTACCAAAGACCACACTTCCTAATATCATCCCATTGGGGGTTAGGATCTCAACATATGAATTTTGGGGATCACCAACATTCAGTCTCTAGCAATGGTAAACAAATCTCCCAAAAGGATTACAGTTTGACTTTGAAGGTGGATACTCATTAGAAAATATGGGTTCAGATATATCTGCTTTGTTCAATTTTTTTTAGTTATTTAGTGACACCATGTATCTCCTAGCAAGAACATCAGTTGGATTGACTCAAAAGTAACACAGGTGGTCCTCTCTTTAGTAGGTTTCATTTTTATATCTTATAACTCAGCCTCAGACTGGCATCCTCCCTAGAGATAAAACTTGCAAACACAGACTAACCATCAACCAGAAAGATTCATGACAGCAATGTGCAGAGTGAATACTCAAGAATAAATACAATTTAGGAGGAGTTCTTCATCTTATCTGAAGAAAAGAAACTCTGAATCTTTGCCCATTTTTATAACCTAATCTCTTTTTATAAAGTAAAACTTTTGGATGCATCTGTTGAGCAATAAATTTATTTTATCACTTTTCAACCAAATGCTTGGCCCATAGATGTATAACTTCTTGCTAATTTTAAAATCATCTCATTTTTACAGGCATGAAGAATCTGTAATTAGGCAATACATGATTTTTATACAACATTATGTACAGAATGAGACAAAATAAACTATGATAAAATCAACACTTATAGGTTTATTGAAATAATCCAACTAAATCATACATTTGATTACAGCTAAAGGCTTGGTTCTAGTCACAGCATGTACTTTTTCTCAATGTACAGTCTCCATATATTGTCCACCACTAACTCCCTAACTCCAAGCCAACATTTCCCACGTATACTCCTTTCCAAATACCAGACTCATATCCAACTATCTTTTGGACATTTCCACCTGGATGTCCACAGTGAAGACTGTTGTTTACAGCTGTGCAGGCGGTGTACTATATACCTCCCAGAGGAAGGGGAGCCATTTACATAGAACACCATATAAATACTGCCTCCAGGAGTTGTATAACACAACTACCTTGTGTGCGGACAAAACACATCCAAAATTAAACTTTAAAAAGTCCTTCAACCAAAATGACCTTATCTTGCTGAGTTCATTTTTGTTGAACTGATAGTGTTGCCCTTTCTCTGTCACCCAGCATTGAAGTTTAGAAGTGTTTTTGAAAGTTCATCTTGGGCTCTACCTTCAATCACTGACTGAGCCAAGTAGATTCTTACCTTCAAGATGCTTACCAGATCCATCTTCTGTTTTCCTTTCCCAGTGGAAAAACTCCTGACTGTTCCCTCTTAGTTTGGAGTTATAGAATTGTAGATTTGAAAGCAATCATGGATTTTACGGACTCAGGCCAAACCACTCATTTTACAAATGAGGTAACCGAAGTCAAGAAAAGTTAAATGGGCCAGGTGCAGTGGCTGAGACCGGTAATCCCTGCACTTTGGGAGGCTGAGGCAGGCAGATCACTTGAGGTTAGGAGTTCGAGACCAGCCTGGGCAACATGGTGAAACCCCATCTCTACTAAAAATACAAAAATTAACTGGGCATGGTGGTGGGTGCCTGTAATCCCAGCTACTCAGGAGGCTGAGACAGGAGAATCTCTTGAACCTGGGAGGCGGAGGTTGCTGTGCCCTGAGATGGCACCACTGCACTCCAGCCTGGGCAATAAAGTGAGACTCTGTCTCAAAAACAAACAAACAAAAAAAGTTAAATGACCTGATGAAGGTGGCATATATAACAAGTTTAGTGATAGAAATGAGATCAGAATAAGAATCTCCTAATCCTCCTGACCCTCATTCTTCCACTATAAAGTGATTGTGTCTTTGCTCACCTGGCCCCATCATCTATCTCCTCTCTTTTCCTACTTCAGTTCATTCTAAAACCTATGGCCAGATCCATCTATATAAAATATTACTTTCCTCATAAATCTTTTATCTCTCCACATTGATTGTAAAGTAAGCACGAATTCCCTATTCAATGACTCAGTATGGATGCAACCTACCTTTCTAGTCCAGTTTAAAAACAAAAAATGTATCAATATAATTTATTCACATTAATAAAGGAGGAAATTATATGTTTCTTTCAAGACTATCAAAAAATTTGCTGATTTTCAATATTATGTATAATCAAAAAGAAACTCAGTGCCAAGCATGGTGGCTCACACATGTAATCCCAATGACTCAAGAGGCTGAGGCAGCAGGACTGCTTGAGCCCAGGAGTTGGAGGCTGCAATGAGCTGTGGTCGCACCGCTGCACTCCAGCCTGCGTGACAGTGCAAGACCCAAATACAAGAAAAAGAAAAGAAAAGAAAAGAAAGAGAAAGAGAAAGGAAGAAACCCAATTCACCTCAGTTAATTTCCCAAAGAAATGAAAGCTTATCTTCACACAAAAACTTGTGCACTAATTTTTATAGCAGTTTTGTTCATAACAGCTCAAAACTAGAAACAATCCAGATGGCCTTTATCAGGTGAATGATTAAAATCTGGTACATCCATATCATGGGAGACACTCAACAATAAAAAGGAATGAATAATTAACTTGTAGAGCAGCCTGGATGAATCTTCACGGAATTATTCTAAATGAAAAAAGTCAATCCAGAAGATCACATACAGTACGATTCCATTTAAATAACACTGAGACAACAAAATTAGAAATGGAGAACAGATTAGTGGTTGCTAGGGTTTAGAGATGGAGTAGAGGAGTGGATGTGACTATGAAGGAGTCCCATGAGGGGGACCCTAGAAACAGTTTTGTATCTAAACTGGTAGTCTGAATCTACACATGTGATAAAACTGCATAGGCCTACACACACATGCATACGTGTGTGTGTCCATGAGAACACAGAAAACTGGTTAAATTAAAATAATCTCTGTAGATTGCACCAAAATCAGTTTCCTAGTTTGATAGTATCATTATACGGGATGTTACCATGAGGGAAACTGGGTGAAGAGTATGCAGGACCTCCCGGTACATTTTTTCCAACTTTCTATCAATATAAAATTATTCCAAAATAAAAAGTTTTAAATATATTAAAATATAAAGAGATTTTAAGCAAAGAAATAAAAAATCCTGACTTCTTAATTTCCTTTGGTTTTAACCATGAAACATTATTTGATCCTGCCCAGTGTGAGAAAATTTAAAAGGGGATGTGATTTAATGCCATCTCTCCAGTCAATGTGCAGGTAGGTAGAGTTTTTTCAATGATGAGAAGACCAGAGGTTGAAAGGGGAGCTCAGTGTGCAGGTGAAACAAAGCTGGTTAAATGAACCAGAAGTCCATGGTGACCCCTGACAGGATGCTGCAGCAAATTTAAGGATACTCAGCATCAGTAGAAAGAAGCCAATGAAGACCTAAAGAGGTAACTGCAAATATTTAAGGCTTTATACAAAAGGTACTTAATAACACTTCGATGCTTGCATTTCATTAAGATTCTGCCTTTGAAGTCAGCCTGACCAAGGTCTGAGTACCAGCTTCCCATCATTCTTTGGGTAATGTTTAAAATTTAACCCCTTTGAGGCTCTGTTCCCTCATGAGTAAAATAGGATTAGTAGTAGTATTCACTTGTTTGGGGTGGCTCTGAGAATAAAAAGGAATAATGCTGTAAAATGTACAACATAGTTCCTAGAGCATAAGTGGACAATAAAGGACAGATATTAATTTTTCTGTATTCCCTAAAAAGGAAGGAAGGAAGGAGGAAACTTTTTAGCAAACGAGAAACAGAAAGATAATTCTTTAACTTGTTAAAGGTTACATTTTTAAAAAACTATAATAAGTATTAAAACAATGAAGAAACTTTAGATTTATTCTCTTTGAGATCAGAAACAAGACCATAGTTCCCATCTATCACTGCTAACTTTTAACCTATTGCTGTCAGCCATGGCCAATGATATAAAGAAAAAAATAATTAATAAAAAATGAAAGGGCCTGGTGCAGTGGCTTACACCTGTAAAACCAGCACTTTGAGAGGCTGAGGTGGAGGATTGGTTGAGGCCAGGAGTTCCACACTAGCAACTCTGGGCAACATAGCAAGACCCTGTCTCTACACACACAAAGAATTTTAACTAGCTGTGTGTGGTGGCACATGCCTATAGTCCCAGCTACTCAGAAGGCTGAGGTGGAAGGATCCCTGGAGCCCAGGAGTTTGAAAATACAGTGAGCTGTGATTGCGCCACTGCACTCCAGCCTGGACGACAGAGTGAGAAACTATCTCAAAAAAAAAAAAAAACAAGCAAAAACAAAAAACGAACAAAAAAAACCCCTGCAATTACTTGCAATAAAAATATGATAATCTACCTAAAAACCATCAGCAACAGATTCAGCAGACAAACTGCAGAATTATAATTAATATGAGAGTTCAAAGTGGTTGCCAGATAAAATATCAATCTCCAAAAATAACTTCCATTTCTTCACACCAGTAATAACATGCTAGAAGAGACATGCAAATGTGAAACTGTCACAATAGCAAAAAGAAATTACAAATAATATAAAGACAAAAGTAACAAATGCCTTTATGGAGAAAAAATTCCAATAAAAGAATAAAATATTATTTAAATAAATGGAGAAATGGTCCATACTCTTGGATAGGACAACTTATTGTAAATATTCTCACCAATTTAACCTATTTAATGCAATACCAATCTAAATTCCAGTTGAATTGTTTGAGGAACTTGATAAATTTTATTTAAAATATATATATATATACACATATTATATATATGTATAATATGTATATATATATTTTTTTGAGATGGAGTTTCAATCTTGTTGCCCAGGCTGGAGTGCAGTGGCACGACCTCGGCTCACTGCAACCTCCACCTCCCAGGTTCAAGCTATTCTCCTGCCTTAGCCTCCCAAGTAGCTGGGATTACAGGCATGTGCCACCACGCCCAGCTAACTTTTTGTATTTAGCAGAGATGGGGTTTCACCATGTTGGTCAGGCTGGTCTCGGATTCCTGACCCCAGGTGATCCACCTGTCTCAGCCTCCCAAAGTGCTAGGGTTACAGGTATGAGCCACCGTGGCTGGCCTAAAATTTATATCGATGAATAAAGGTCTATGAATAGCTAAGTTAACCCTATAAAGGCAATGATGGAGTTACCTCAAGAATAATAGACTAGCCCTGCATAGTGGCATGTGTCTGTAGTCCCAGATACTTGAGAGGCTGAGGTGGGAGGACTGTTTGACCCAGGAGTTCAAATCCAGTTTGGGCAAAATAGAGAGACCTTGTCTCTAAATAATAATAATAAATAGAACAAATGGAACATAATAGCAAAACAAATCAAAGGAAGAAAAAGATTGATAAACCAGCTCACTGTATGGAGAAAAATGTAATCAGGACCTTAACTAACTGCACAAATGCAAAAGAAAACATTGATTATGTTGGTAACTTCAAAATATCAAAGTTCTGTTAAACTAAGGACATCTCTGACAAAATTATTACATGATAGAATTATGGAAGCTGATAAGAATTTTGAAATTTCAAAAAACAAAAAACAAACAAGGAGTTAATATCTAGAATATACAAGGGTATTTTGCAAATCAGAAAGATAAAACTAGCACACCCAATAGAAAAATGGATAGAGAATATGAACAAGCGATTTAGAGAATAAACTCAAAAAGGTAGCAGAAATATGATAAGGTGTTCAAAATCACTGAAAATCAGATATATGAAAATTAAAACAGTGTGCATATCATTTTACACTTATTAGACTGGCAAAATTCTAAAAGCTATAAAACGACAAATGTAGGCATGTGGTAATAGAACAAAGGTTCTGTTCTGTTGGCAGGAGTGTAGACTGTTGCAGCCATTACAGACAGCAACTGATCTGTACACAGTCAAATTACCAATATGGCCAACAGTTTCACTAAGGATAGAAACCAAAGATTCTCACAAAGGCCAATAAGAAGACACAGACAAAACATTCACGTCAGAATTGTTTATGGCATCAGGAAGATGAAGGTAACCAGAAAGTTCCTCATTAGAAAAGTGGACAGGTAAAATATGGTACACACAAATGTTTCATGAAGTTCTAATGCAGCAGTTAGAAGCAATGCATTAGAATCACTTACCACACCTTAAATAGATCTTTAAAACATACTGCTGAGTAGAAAAGTAGGGCACAGAATGAGATACAATGTGTAACAGAATACCATTTTCCTAAATTAAAACCCATGTGTATAAAAATCTCCACATATTTGGCAGTAACACAAACAAGAATACATATCAAACACATATTCAATGTTAAATAAAATGTCATTTAAATAATTATTTATAGGTTGAAGACAAAAATGGGAGTAGGTTGTGAAGATTAAAATTAATTAATTAATTATTAAACCAAGCTGATTAAGAAGAAACAAAAAACCTAAATAAACTGGTAATCATTAAACTGAGTATGTGAACAAGTCTTCTCCCTTACCATACTCAAAACAGATACCAGGGCCTTGCAGATATACATGCAAGTTTTACTAAAACCATCAGGCAGAGATAGTTACTATTCATAGAACCTAATTTAGAAACTAGAAAGAGAGGGGGTACCCAGCTCATGCCCTGAGGCCTATATACGACTTGGATACCGAATCCAGATGATTTTGGTATAAGAAATATATACAGTATAAGACCAAATTCTCATATGCACATGAGTGCAAAGTATCCTAAACAGAACACAAGAATATCAGCCAGGTGTGGTGGCTCACACCTGTAATCCTAGCAATGTGGGAGACTGAGGTGGGCGGATTACTTGAGCCTAGGAGTTCAAGACAAGCCTGAGCAACACAGTGAAACCCTATCCCCACAAAAAAATATGAAAATTAGCCAGGCATGGTGACACACACCTGTAGTCCGAGCTACTCAGGAGGCTGAGGTGGGAGAATCACCTGAGCCCTGGAAGTCGAGGCTGCAGTGAGCCTTGTTTGAGCCACTGCACTCCAGCCTGGGAGACAGAGTGAGTTTCTGTCTCAAAAAAAAAAAAAAAAAAAGAATACAAGAATATGAAGTTGAACAGTGTATAAAAACCTGATATAATTCAACATGGTAGCATTTTCCACAAGAATGAAAGAATGGGTCAAAATTGGGAAATCTAATTATATAAATTACGATATTAACAGATTAAAGGAAAACTACGTATCATTATTTACACAAGCTTCTATGGATCGGATATGGTTTGTTTGTCCTCACCAAAATTCATACTGAAATTTTATCCCGAATGTGGCAGTGTTGGTAGATGGGGCTTAGTGGGAGGCATTTGGTTCGTGGGGGCAGAGCCATTATGAATGGCTTGGTGCCCTTCTAGAGGTAATGGATGAGTTATTGCTCTCACAAGACTAGATTAATTATCCAGGAATGGATTAATTCCAAGGAGAGTGGGTTGTTATAAAGCCAGGATGCCTGTTGGTTTTGTCTCTTTGCATGTGTCCACTTCCCCTTGACCTTCTCTGCTATGTTATGATGCAACATGTAGCCTTGGCCAGAAGCCAAGGTCGTGTCCTCGAATTTCCTGGCATGCAGAACAACAAGCTAAATAAAATTCTTTTCTTTATAAATTACCTAGTCTCAGACCCAGCAGTCCCATGAGAAATGAAAACATATGCCTCACAAAAACTTATATGCAAAATTTCATAGCAACTTTATTCATAATCTAAAATACCCCTTCAACTGGTAAATTAACAAATACATGGTAGTACATCCATACAATGGAATTCCACTCAGCAACAAAGAACAATCTATTGAAATACATAACAACATGGAGGAATCGTAAACACATTATGCTAAGTGAAAGAAACCAGATACCCAAAATCTACATGCTGTGTAATCCATTTATATGACATTTTGGATAAGACAAAACCATTGGGATGGAGAAGAAATCAGCAGTTTCCAGGGATTGTGCATAAAGAAAGGAGTTGACTACAAAGGGATATTATTTCATATATCTTGTCTGTGGTGATAATTACACAACTCTATGCATTGGTCAAATACTCATAGCATGTACCAAAAATAGTGAATTTTACTCTATATAAATTTTAAAAATAAATAATTTTCATAGGGATAATGAGCAATTCACAAAAGAAGAAATCCAAATGGCCAATAAACCCCTTTCATGGCGTTATTCTAATAAACCCCTTTAACATCACTAATATCAGGAAATGCAAATTTAAAACTACAAAATAACATTTCCCACTCAGAAGACTGGAAAACTTAAGAAGTTGGTTAAAGATTTTGAGAAAAGGGAATTCTCATAAACTGCTGGTGGGAATGGAAATTGACACATTCAGAGAGCAATTTGGTAATATTTTGTAAGGTTGAAGATACATATAATGTATATCTACAATTCTGCTTCTTTGTACCTGGAAGAAATCTAGCACATGTGCACAAGAAGACATGCAACAGAATGCTAAGTGCAGCATTATTTATAATATCAAACATTGGAAGTAATATATATGTCAGTCAAAAGGAGAATGTATAAATAAACTAGTGACATTTTGATGCAATGAAATGATGTTCAGCATTTGAAATGCATGAACAGAGGCCAAGTGTATCAAATAAATAAATATCGATAACTAAATGTTGAGTGAATGAAACAAGCTGCAGAATAACACATGTGGTATGATATTTACATAAAGTTTGAAGACAAGTAAAACAATACTACATATTGTATATTGATAAATACGTACTTAGTAGTCATTTAAAAACTTGAAGTGGAATGATAAACACTAAATTTAGGATAATGATTACCTCTGAGGAGGATTGGAAAGGAATGAGATCTCGGAGAGCCACAAAGAGGTCTCTAACTCTATATGTAATGTTTATTTTCTTCAAAATAAAAATACAAAGAAAATTCGGCAAAATGCTGAGAATTTATTTGTTTTCTTATTTTCTGAATGTTTTGCAAAAAAAAGAAGAAATAATAGAAAATTATTCATGTAAACATGTCCATTGAAAATTATCTCATAGCTGCAGTGGTTCACGTGCTGCTCTTTGGGAAACAATACTTGTATTAGTCTGTTTTCACACGGATATAAAGAACTTCCCTGAGACTGGGTAATTTATAAAGAAAAGAGGTTTAATTGACTCAGTTCTGCATGGCTGGGGAGGCCTCAGGAAACTTACAATCAAGGTGGAAGGGGAAGCAGGCATGTTTTATTTGTCGGCAGGTGAGATAGAGAGAGAGAGAGAGCCAGTGCACGAAGGAAGAAGAGCCTCACACTTATCAAACAACCAGATCTCTTGAGAATTCACTCACTATCATGAGAACAACATGCGAGAAACCACCCCCACAATCCAATCACCTCCCTTTCTTGACAAGTGGGGATTACAATTTGAGATGAGATTTGGGTGGGGATACAGAGCCAAACCATATGCTCTAGTGGCTTAGAACATAGACTACAGAAGTCAGGTTCAAATCTTGCCTCTACCATGTACTGGCTGTGTGGCCTTAAGAAAGTTACTTAATCTCTTTAAACAGCAGTTTCCTCTTTGGGAAGTTGGGGTAGTATCTGCTTCCTAATGTAGTTGTGATAATTAAATACTGATTTAGGGATAGTCAGGAAGGATAATAACTTCAAAACAGTACATTTTCTGGCCCATGGAAATTGCTAAAAAAATGAGAGTTGTTATTGAATAAATTATTACCAGTGGGTTAAAGTCAAGAAAGACATTCTGGAAGAAGTGACACTGGTTTGCTTCTCAAAGGACTTTGAAAAATTAACCAGCTGTGCAAGGGAATCATTGGGTGTTTTATACAAAAGGAACAGACTGCATATGGTCAGAAGCATGAAAGTACATGATCAAACTTGGGGAGTATCCATGAACAAAGCCAAACATCTAATTTTTGTACTCCTAGTCTCTGACACATATTTCACCTCCAACCTTGGGTGTATCCTTTACAAAGCACAGCATAAGTCAAAACACACTTTGGAGATGATGATGAATAGTTTTGACATGAGTGGAAGGAATGATGACCTGTGGGAAGCAATAATTTATCTGGACTTGAACAAATTGTGTAGTCATATGATAAAAACAGAACTGGAAGGAAACATGGTGAACACATCTAATGATCATCCTTCTTTTCCCTACTTTTATTTTCGTTTTCTATAGTATCTTCATTTTCCAGATGCCCTATGGAAAATGAGTCTGCTGAAATAATGCTACTCAAGTTATAAATCTTTAGACAAGATTGATATAACTGATGAAATTAGCTTTTTGTTGGGGTTCAGTGGCTGAACAATGGACTGGATCACTGCCTGACTGGTTGAATTACATTAATAACCAGACTCAGAACTTGTAGGTCTGGCTATTACGTTGTCCTAAGGAACAAGACAATCCAGAATGATTCTAATTCAGTAAAGCTTGCATTTTATGACAGTCAAAATTTTAAATTGAATAGAAAATGATAATTGTGGTGGTGCCACATAGTTATAACCTAACCGTAACATTCTTTTTCTTAGAAATACAAAAAATAGACGTGAATGGGGAAAATAACAAAATGGCCAAAGGGCCTGTAGAATAAATCAGAATTCTGTTACCACACCACTGTAACATTATACCCAAGTCTTGCTAATCATATTGTATTAGCAACTATATACAAGATAGGTATGATCAGGTAGCTTGAGCCAAATCTCTTCTTAATACCAATGTCCTCAGGGAGAAACGGAGAACCAAAACTCTAGTAGCAATGGCATATTTAGTGTTATGAAAGGAATTGATATTGGAGCCAAGGCAACAATTTTCCTCTTTGTCCAAACATCTGAAAATGATAATTTTTCAAAGATGTCTAAAATCAACGTGGAGCAAGAAGGAAAATGGTCACGCAAAAGCCAATGCAGTCAAGAGCTTAGAACAGTTGTGCAGCTTAGTTTGGCAACTCAAGCACACAAGCCTCCCAAATAACACAGGGTGCAATTTCATAGCTTGGGCTGCCCTGTTTCTCGAATTCTGCCATAAATTAGTCTACTAAGTATATTTGTTTGACAACCCATAAAAATATTCATAAAGGTGTTCTTTCAGAAAACAAAAAATGAAGATTGCTGATTTTCAATGGGTGAAAAGTTTCCCAAAAACACATTTTTTAAAAAGGTTAGGGCCGGTGAGATGGCTCAAGCCTGTAATCCTAGCAATTGGGGAGACTGAGGCAGAAGGATTGCTTGAAGCCAGGAGTTCGAGACCAGACTGAGCAACAAAGGGAGAGTTTGTATCTAAAAAAGAATAAAACAACTTAGCCGGAGGTGGTGGTACATGCCTGTTGACACTGCTACTCAGGAGGCTAAGGTAGAAGGATTCCTTGAGCCCAGGAGTTTGAGGTCTGCAGTGAGCCATGATCCCATCACTCCAGCCTGGGTGATACGGTGAGACCTAGTCTCAAGAAAAAAAAAAAAAAAGCTAGGAAGTAAATTTTTATCAAAATACATTATGGATTTTTAGTTTTTTAACTTTGCAGATTAACTTCTATTTCATTCAAGCCTTAAAACATGCCTCCCTCAGCCAGGTGTGGTGGCTCACACCTGTAATCCCAGCACTTTGGGAGGCCGAGGCTGGCAGATCATGAGGTCAGGAGTTCGAGACCAGACCAGCCTGGCCAATATAGTGAAACCCCATCTCTACTAAAAATACAAAATTAGCCAGGCGTGGTGGCGCATGCCTGTAATCTCAGCTACTCGGGAGGTTGAAGCGGGAGAATCGCTTGAACCCAGGAGGTGGAGGTTGCGGTGAGCCGAGATTGTGCCATTGCACTCCAGCCTGGGCAACAAGAGCAAAATTCCATCTCAAAACAACAAAACAAACAAACAAGCAAAAACCCTCCTTCTTGCTTCCCATTTTAGATGAAAAAGACTAGCACAGAGTCCCCTTGACTGGCCAAAGTCACATACAAGGAGGTCCTGAGCCCATAGCCAAGGCCTGGGGTCCAAAAGGACCAGGCAGCCTGTGTCCAGGGACAGTTTTGGTCCACAGTGAGACCCTGATGGCTATTGCCACACTGGTGGGACAGGCTCCTCTCCTGCGGGACTACACATACAAGATAGCTACTGTCATATCCTCCAGGTCCAAGGGGCTGAACTGAGCACTTAACACAAAAGGTGAATGTTGTAAAGGGACAAATCATGCCTGGAAGGTCTCAAAAGCCCGGAGATGCAGCAGCAGACAACAGCTGCAAGTTGTCACGACTGTTGCCTGACAGTGGCTGCTGCAGGTTTCTCAGAGGAAGGGAAGGAAGTCCCAGTCCTCCTGCAGGTTCAGGAGGCCTCGGGTTATCCTCAAACTCACCCTTCTGGTCGACCTTCTGGCCCCCTGCATATGTGAAGCCCAGCTTCACACAGATGATGAAGGGCAGTGGGTAGATTGGAACCCTGGGCTTTTCCTGAGATTCCCCTAGCAGTAGAGGCCCGTGAGCTTGTTCTCATCAATGTCACAAAACAGACCAACCTTACGCTGCAATCCAGCCTGCACCCCTGCTTGCCCCCAGTTCCCGATGGTGAAGATCACCCAGTGCGTGAGGACGAGAAAGTGGGAGCAGCAAGGCCAGATGGTGGCCTCCAAGACAGAGTGTGTGGTCGTGTGCTGGTGGTAGCAGTAGAGGAGGAGGCTCTGCTCCACGTCGACAACCCCACCGACTTTTCCGAAGTGGTCAAAGAAAAACAGCAGGTCTTCTGGCAGCCCTGCAAGAGGGAAAGAGAAGCATCCACCGTTGCTGGTGGTTTTGCTCTAAGTTGTTCATTTTTCATTCCTGTGATTGAATCTAAAGGCAAACAATTTCAGTGTTAACTAGAACCCCAGGCCCCTCAGATGATTTCCAAGAGAATAGGTACATATGTAATATGTACTTCCTTGCCCATATCTTTAATGACTCCCCCAGCACTTTGCAAATATATTTCTTAATTTTCATGCCTGATTCCGAGGTGGCCAGAGAAGAAAACAGAAACTGAAATGGGTAATAGACTTCCACTCACACATTGTTGGCTAGCATAAGAGGGAAAGTGGAGAGCCTCTTTTAGATTTCTCTGGGAGGTTAGAAGCAGATGGAGAAATCCTTGAGGCATAGACATTGGGAAGTAGAATGTGGGAAAGAATTTGAGAAGGACAAATCTTCATACTTTAAACAAACGATAAAAATCAGAAGAGCAAATGCAGCTGCCAAAAAGAGAATGTGCAGTCTTGGGAGTAGAGGCTGCTCGTTTTTACGTTGTTGCCTTACCAAAATGCAAAAAAAAAAAAAAAAAAAAAAAAAAAAAAAAAAAAAAGCTGATTTGACAGAAATTCTTTTTTTGTTTTATTTTGTTTTGTTTTGAGATGGTGTCTCACGCTGTCGCCTGGGCTGGAGTGCAATGGTGTGATCTTAGCTCACTGCAACCTCTGCCTCCCGGGTTAAAGCGATTCTCCTGCCTCAGCCTCCCGAGTAGCAGAGATTACAGGTGTGCACCACCACGCCCTGCTAATTTTTTGTATTTTTAGTAGAGACAAGGTTTCACTATGTTGGCCAGGCTCGTCTCAAACTCCTGACCTCGTGATCCACCTGCCTCGGCCTCCCAAAGAGCTGGGATTACAGGCGTGAGCCACCGTGCCCAGCCAACAGAGATTCTAAAAGTTCAGTGTCTATAGTGGAAATATGTTTTTTTTCCAGAGCCATCCCAGCAGTAGCTTTCATTCATAAAATGCTGTCTTGTATTCTTCAGCAGTTCAGGCATACTTAAATCACAGGAGTAGAAAATCGTTCATTTTGGGACAATGGTCCCGTTCCCACTGGTGATAAGTCTAGTCCATGCCATGCACGTTCAGACTGCTGTTGTTTCTAAGGGGGTAATCATTGGCCTTCTGGTTGCAGAAAGAGAACAGGGACATGTGCACTGTGCTCCAAAATGTCATCTATCACTGTTAATATCTCTCAGGAAAGAAGGCAAGCCTGTGAAAGGCTGTAAACAGCTTGCAGAACTGCAATAGGAGCTTTTTTGGCAATCAAGAAAAATACTCATGTGACCTCCAAGACCACCAAGTAAAAGGACCTGATTATTGCTTCCTACAAACTTGTCTTTGGTGTTCAAGCTGGAGTTGTCTTTTTCAATGCAATCCATCTTTTGATCTGCTACCGACCTTTCCTACTCTGCTAGGGTCTGTGATCCCTTTTCTCACTGATATTTATGTCCCATATGAAAGCAATTATTCAACAGCACATTTCTGAAGTTGAGGAAGGCAACATCTCATACTTCACTATATCTTGCAAAGGTTCCACTCTACCCAAAATGAGCAAAAAATCACTGTCTCAAAAACAGAAGTCCGGAGCCTTAAAGACCGTGACCCTTTATTGGACTAACCTGAATTTTTGTTTACTTTGGTATATTTAGATTTAAATTTTTAGAAGCCACCGGCTGAGAGCGGTGGCTCACACCTGTAATCCAAGCACTTTGGGAGGCTGAGGCAGGAGGATCGCTTGAGCCCAGGAGTTTGAGATCAGCCAGGGCAACATAAAGAGTCCCCCATCTCTACAAAAAAAATGAAAAATTAGCTGGACATGGTGGCGCGCACCCATAGTCTCAGCTACTTGGGAGCCTGAGGTGGGAGGACCGCTTGAGCCCAGGAGGTTGTGACTGCAGTGAGCCGTGATTGCGCCACTACACTTCAGCCTGGGCAACAGAGTAAGACTTTGTCTCAAAAAAACAAAACAAAACAAAAAACAAAAATGAAAACAAAAATAGCAATATATTCTTGTCATAAAAAGAATTTAAATAATAACGAACGTATCATTAAAAAAAAATCAGGTATGCTTCCCTCAACACTGCTCCTCCAAGAAAACTTAACAGATTGATGCGTAGTCTTACAAATTCCTTTCAATTCTTATAAGGATATCTATGCCTTGTCCAAATCTCTCTACATTTTAAGAGAATAAATGGGATCAGAGTTGTTTGAAATTTGCTTTTTTTAGCATCATATAAGTAGAATGCTTACTACATTAGTACATAAAGTATTTCATTTTTAAACTTATGTGTGTACATTTTTGTTTAAAATTGCTGTTTCTCAGATTATAAAAATAGTATATATTCACTCTAGAAAATTCGAGGAATACAGACAATTATAAATAAGAAGATTAAAAACAATACCACTAAAATATAAACACTGGTAATGTTTTGGCATATAGTCACTTAGTCTTTTATCTGGGCAAGAGAATAGAGGTATGGCTGCTTGTGTTATGCTTCTTTTTGTTACTACATTGAGATACACCAGTCTAATGTGCATTTTACCCTTCTTCTTTACTAAAGGAATTCAATTCTCTGCAGTATAGCAATAGTTCCAGCAAAAACCAATGTTTCCAGTTAGTTAAAGATTCTGGATGAATGAGATGGAAGGGAAAGTTTATTGGAGATTTCAGGCAACATCTTGCTTTCCTTATTATTTCCTGGGAGCATGCATGTGAGGCTGGATGTGGAACAGCCACCTTGTAACCATGAGATGACAAGCATGAGGACAAAATCACGGGCTAAGAGTGGTAGAATGGAAAGATAGAAGGAGCCTGGGACATGGATGATGACGGGAAAACATTGGAGAAGCTCAGGATGTTCTACCTTCATATTTTTGGTAATATGAGGAAAATAAAATCCTATTTGAAAAACCTATTATAGTCAAAGTTCTAGTATATGAAAATAAACATGATCTCTGATATTCTCTAGATGCAAACTTTTAAAATCCTACTTTGTTCGTTTGACATTACATTGTGAGCACTTCCTGATGACATTAAATATTTCTTAAAAGGATAACTTTTAATTGCTGCATAATATGTATTCTGTTGTGATCCAAACAACTGCTCTGTAGTTAGTATTAATGATAATTAGAAAATAGGAGGTTGGCCAGGTGCGGTAGCTCACGCCTATAATCCTAGCACTTTGGGAGGCCAAGGCTGGTAGATGCCCTGAGGTCAGGAGTTTGAGACTAGCCTGACCAACATGGCAAAACCCCATCTCTATGAAAAATACAAAAATTAGTCAGTATGGTGGCGGATGCCTGAAATCCCAGCTACTCAGGAGGCTGAGGCAGGAGAATCACTTGAACCCAGGAGGTGAAGGTTTCAGTGAGCCGAGATCACGCCACTGCACTCAAGCCTGGGCAACAGAGCCAGACCATCAGGCAAGCAAGCAAGCAAGCAAGCAAGAAAGAAAGAAAGAAAGAAAGAAAGAAAGAAAGAAAGAAAGAAAGAAAGAAAAAGGAAGGAAGGAAGGAAGGAAGGAAGGAAGGAAGGAAGGAAGGAAGGAAGGAAGGAAATAGGAGGTTAAGTTCAGCCTGGGCAACACAGCAAGACCTTGTCTCTACAAAATAATGATAAAATTAGTTTTTTTTTTTTTAGATGGAGTTTTTTTGCTCTTGTTGCCCAGGCTGGAGTGCGCAATTGCGGCTTGCTGCAACCTCCGCCTCCCGGGTTCAAGTACCTGCCACCACACCCGGCTAATTTTTTGTATTTTTAGTAGAGACAGGGTTTTGCCATGTTGGCCAGGCTGGTCTCGAACTCCTGACCTCAGGTGATCCACCTGCCTCGGCATCCTAAATTGCTGGGATTACAGGCATGAGCCACCATGCCTGGCAAAATTAGTATTCTTTTAAAAAGATAGAAAAGTCGAAACTTTCACAAGAGCAGCCCTTTCTTCAGCACCGTGGACCCACTTCTCATTCTAGAGTTTTTAAGGACTGGGTTTTATAGGCTTATACTGATTTTTGTGATAGTCACCATAGCACTATGATTTCTGTACTCTAAATCAAAGTTCATCAAGCACTGAGAAAACTCCACAGATGAGCAGTTAGCTGGTTCTGCTGAATAAGGTGATAAGCTAATATTTTAAGGTTTTAACTATTTTTTTCTTCATATATTCTGCCCTTTTCTTTCCTTCCATCTGAGTAGGTAGCTGGCTCTGTTCTCACTGTCTTGGGGAAAAGAGATAAAAGGTGACACAGCAAAAAC
This sequence comes from Homo sapiens, assembly GCF_000001405.40. Lineage (NCBI taxonomy): Eukaryota > Metazoa > Chordata > Mammalia > Primates > Hominidae > Homo > Homo sapiens. Next base: position 115,459,468 of record NC_000023.11, read on the forward strand.
CGTAAGTGTCTTGCAAGTTCAGGGATTCAAGAGGTCTAATCCCACAAAGGAAGAAATTCCACAAGCACTGAGGACGTTTAAAATATAGAAAGGGAGAAGGCTTTTCCTCAAACTAGAAATGGATTATTCCAAGCTGGGCGAGAGGAGTGCAGAGAATCAAGTAACTTTCATTTATCGGCTGTTCTAGCAGGGAAGCATCAAGATCCTAGAAAGCAACGGCTGTTAGGTGCTTCTTGACAGGCAAGTCTGTATGAAGAGTTGGCAAAGATTCCTCAGCCCCAAGAGCACTAGGAAAGCAGCCAAGGACCTCTGACTTGAAGGGACCCAAGGACCAGGAGACTGGACATCTCAGCAGTTATCTATTTACACCTCTGATTAACAACTATATGCCTGTCTCTTCATTACTGTGATTCACCCCATATCCCCCAGCACCTTGGTATCACACAAGAACTCAAATGCATGACATTGCTATGTTAAGGAGCCCACCATTGGGGCTCAAACTCTGAAATATAGATGTTAGAGAAATAGTTATATTTTTGCATAACAATGATTGAAGCCTCAGAATCATACATGCTGCAACAATGTTAAGGATGAGCTCGATGAGCTCTTCTAACCCCAGTTTTTATCATGCAATGATTCACTATGATGTTTTCTGCTCTGGCCAAGAAAAAAAAAGCCATTCTGATAACAGGAAATTTATCTCACACTTATAAAAAGCACACACTTGAATAGCTTTATCTTAAGATTTTGGCATTAGCTTCTACCCTAATTCATATCCACATTTAGGGTTACACAGAACTACACCCCAACAAAAGTCAATTTCCAGATGTTTAACTTATCAGCCAGCTCTACCACAGTTTAAAATTATGATGCCAGGAAGTCTGATTATTTCAAATTTGAAAAGAATATTACCAAGCCACACCTTTCAAAAAATTTTATTAGCATCTGACTCTTTGCTGAACAAGGAAGATGGGAAATGTAGTTGCATTCACAAAGAATGTGTGGAGACTGCCAAGAAAGCAAATCATTTTTGGAAGCCACCCTTATTTGGAAATATTCTAGTTATAGAACTATGGTTTTTTTAAACAAAAGCATTCACCATATCCCCTTTTGAAAACACATCTTTCCGAAATATAGGAAAAGAATCAAATACTATGCTATTCACTTTCTTCTACGATTTACTTGAAAACAACTAAGGTAAAAAGAAAAAAAAAAAGGACAATGCTTGCCAAGAACTGCAAGTAGCTTCCTGTAGGCATTGTGATGTAGTGGAAAAAGCAAAGTCTCTGCAGTCAGACAGACCTGTTTTTGAAGCCTGACTGCACTCAACTAGTTGGGTGACCTTGGGCAAGTAACTTTATCTTCTCTATGATTCATCTGTAAAAATAATTAAATTATATTAAATGAGAAAACATATGTGAAAGTGCTTATTGAAAGATATTCTCTCTGTAAGCCTTAAGGAAAAGCATAATAGTTATACATGGTTACTCTGATATATGGTAAAAAAACAAGTGCATGTCTTAGTAAATGCCCAAAACTATTTAGACAAGTTCTAAAAGGAATTAAGCAGCAAAATGACGTAAAGTGTTACTTGGCCATATGCAAAATTAGAAACTGGAGTGAGATACATTGAAATAACTCCTACTTATTGTACTTCAAATGGCTCCTATAAAGATCCTTTTTAAAGTCACTAGCTGCCTTATGAAATTTGCTATAAGCAAGACTTCTAGAAATTCTAATGTTCTAGAATTCTAATGCCAGATCTTGCTATTTCTAAGGGAATTATGAGAAGAAGATCAATGAAAAATGAATATCAGCAGTGTCTCCTCTTTTAGCCGGAGTAAAATATTAGCTCAAGTCCAAAGGCAGCAGATGAGGTGACTTTCAGTAAAGTGAAGACTCTAGGGTTGATGGCAAGATTATAAAGTAGCTACCCCATCTCAAGTCATTCTCTCAGTTGTCCAATAATTTCATGATGGGCTGGGCACACCTATAAGCCCAGCACTTTGGGAGGCCGAGACAGGAGGATCACTTGAGGCCAGGAGTTCCAGACCAGCCTGGATAACATAGTGAGACCCCATCTCTACAAAAGAAAAATTAGCTGGGTGTGGTGGTATACCTCACACTCCAGAGGCACCTCAGCCTCCAGAGTAGCTGGTAGTTCCAGCTTGAGTCCAGGAGCTCAAGGTTACAGTAAGTCCAGATGGCACCATTGCACTCCAGCCTGGGTGACAGAGTGAGACCCTGTCTCAAAAATAATAGTAATAATTTCATTATGTCCTTTGGCTGTGTTGAAATTATTCGGTTAAGAAACCTCTACTCTAAGTATTATAATCAAGAAGTCAGTAAACTATGGTGCATGAGCCAAACTCAGCCTGCTGTGCTTTTGTAAATAAAGTTTTATTTGAATACAGTCATGCCCATTCAGCTATGTAGTGTTATGCATGCTTTTGCACCACAACAGCAGAGTTGAGAAGCTGTGACAGACTGTGTAATCCACAAAGACTAAAATATTTAATGTTTGGACCTTTAAAAAAAAAAATGTGCCAACGCCTGCTCTAACCCCTAAAAATCCACTTGCTACCTAAAATCAAAGACAATATATTTAACCTATCTATGAAATATTTTCATTTTAAAACATAACCATGTTAACACTATCTGTAGGTTGCCTCCTTCAGCAGAGTGAGAGTCCTCTTTGTGCACCTTGCCCATGCTTATTCCTTTTCCAGAATAATAGAAGTCAGCAGTGTGGCACCCTGCATTAGAAAATTTGCCAAATTTTGATTTGGAGTCACTGTAAACTTTGCATTAAAAAAAAAAAAAGCATGTGGAAGCTAATCTGCAGTTAGCTGCCTTTATTTCATTATCTTAGTTAAACAAACCCAAGTATAGCCAAAGTCAGCTTTGGAGGAGGTCTACCAATCTCTTAGGAGATTTGCTCTGAAGTAATATGCCTGAAACATATTAACTGTCCAACATTCTTTCTAAAGATTTGAAAACTTTGAGAATCATAGCAATGATATCTCTTGGAATACTGAGCAATGAGCCACAGCACTGTTGCGTTTCAGAAACCTTCCTCCCAAATCAAAATTGACAATCAGTCTGATTCAGCCCATAACTCATCCTCCCAAATAATGTGGTTTGAAAGATAAGGAGTCTGAATGAAGTAAAATAATGGCTGAAATAACTTGAAAAACAGATAGAAGACTGGAATCAGGGCAAAATCTCCATTCTAAGTATGCAAAGCCTTCAGGATGGATCCAAGCTACCATAAGTAATTCAAAAGCTATAACTTACTTGTGTCCAAGGGTCTTTGATATAAGAAGCTGGAGTGGAGAAAGTCAAAAAGAAGATTAGTCTGCCTTCCTTTGTTCTTCGTGGACATGTTCCAAGGTAAAGTTCAAACTAATGTTAGTCTTGGTTATTTAGTTTTATTATGCATACAACAAAAATAAAGCAATCTCCATATTTTTCCCAATAAGTTGCAGGTTTTAAAATATATTTTAAAATAAAACTGATGGGGGTGGGGGGAGCTTCTTTTTGAAAACTGAATCTAAATAAAGGCCAGTAAAGTTTATAGTCTGGGTACTGAGGAAGGTGATTTTTTTTTTTTTTTTTGAGACTGAGTTTTGCTCTTGTTGCCCAGCAATGGCGCAATCTCGGCTCACTGCAACCTCCACCTCCCAGGTTCAAGTGAGTCTCCTGCCTCAGCCTCCCAAGTAGCTAGTATTACAGGAATGCACCACCACGCCTGGCTAATTTTTGTATTTTTAGTAGAGACGGGGTTTCTCCATGTTGGTCAGGCTGGTCTCGAACTCCCGACCTCAGATGATCCGCCCGCCTCAGCCTCCCAAAGTGCTGGGATCACAGGCGTGAGCCACCGCGCCTGGCAGAAGGTGAAATTTTAAATGGCAAATTAGTATATCTTTAGCAACAAAACAACATATAATGACATAGTTTCCTACAGTTCACAGATAGTTTTTACTGGATTCTAAATCTGGTTCTGCCATTTGGTTGCTAAAGAACTTTACTTCTCAGTTTTTGCCTGGGAGAGAAAAAAAAAAAAAAACAGAATGAAAGCTATTCCTAGAATAATGTGGTGACTTGAGGACTGTAAGTTCTAAGTTGTTTAGAGGTATATACTGATCCTTTTGGAGGAAAAGGAAAGGAGACTTTTACTGGAGTTCCTGGAGCTATTTGCAAATATGCTTTGAAACAGGAGTGCCAGAGCAAGGCACTAAAGCAAGTCTCATGACAACAGGAGCCCCACTATCGGGCCAATAATTATTTCAGAGAACCCAAGTAATGAAATACTACCAGGTTAACAGAAATGTAGTGACATATCTATTCCACCCACAGGCTTAGGGACAGGGAGAAATGGCTGAATAGTTACAGAATGTGCATGTGTCTGTAAAGCTGAGTAGATTACTTTCAGCCAGACACCGATGAGGGGCCTTGGACCATGTCCACCGGAAAGGGGAAAATGAAAACTGAAACACTAAAGGCAGAGAACTGGAGTACTACTGAGCTCCCCCAGGGTCTGCAATTATGGTAAATTTCTTTTTGCCCAAAGTAAAAAGAAAGAGGTCTTTTTAGGGGGCTCTGTCAAATAGTCATCAGGAATTGGCCAATTTTAACCTATACACAGTGGCAAGGGCAAGCAGAGGACTTTTAAATTGTAAACCAGACCACATTACTCTCTTGTCTAATCACTTTTCTAATTAAGTCTAAAATCCTAATCGTGAGCCAGTATGGCCCTACATGTTTTTTATTCAATCCACCTCCACCTCTCTGACCTCATGTTCCACTGCTTTGTATACCCTGTTCTAGCCTTACTCTTCTCCTTGCCGTTTCTAGAATATGGTAAACTCATTCATACCTCAGAACCTTCAGATACGCTGCCGCCTTGTCCTGGAAAGATCTTCCCCGGAAACTGTATATGGTTTATTCCCTCACTACATTAATGTATCTACTCAAACATCACCACCTAAGAGTGGCTGTACCTGACTACCTTGTATAAAATAACCCCTCCCATTCACTCTCTATCTCTTTATCCTGCTTTAATTTTCCAATGAGTAATGATCAGCATGTGATGATACAGTATATATGTATTGATTAATTTATTATGTAACCCGGCCGGGCACGGTGGCTCACGCCTGTAATCCCAGCACTTTGGGAGGCCGAGGTGGGCGGATCATGAGGTCAAGAGATCGAGACCATCCTGGCTAACATGGTGAAACCCCATCTCTACTAAAAATATAAAAAAATTAGCCGGGCGTGGTGGCGGGCGCCGGTAGTCCCAGCTACTCGGGAGGCTGAGGCAGGAGAATGGCGTGAACCCAGGAGGCTGAGCTTGCAGCGAACCGAGATCGCGCCACTGCACTCCAGCCTGGGCGACAGAGCGAGACTCTGTCTCAAAAACAAACAAACAAAAAATTTATTATGTATCCCTCACAAGATTGCAAGCTCCATGAGGGCAGGGACTTGGTTTTGTTCACTTCTTATCCCTGAGGTTTAGAATAGGGTCTGACATGTAGTGAGTACTCAACCAATAATTGTTGAATAAATAAATGATTTGAAATAGATGCTGGAGTGAAATCAGCTTTTGTAGAAATTTCGCTCCCAGACTGTACTAGACATAAAATATCTCAAACAGTTAAACATATAAAAATCAATTTTTAAAATGATTTCTGGAAAAGTTACTTGCCTGAATGACCTTGGCCATTCCACATTTTAACTCACATTTCAACTTCATCCTACATGATGCCATTTAAACATGGTCCCTCTTTAGTAGCAAGACATAGGGTTGGTATAATGCTTATTGTTGGTCTAAGAATATCCAAACCCTCTTATTTTGGCAAGGCCGGAGAGAGATGAAATATCTTTTGTTCAGAACAACCTTAGAAATAAAGACATACTCACTTTTTTGGGAAATTACTTTGGGATGTTGAGACAGAAGATTACTTGAGCCCAGGAGTTCGAGACAAGGCTGGACAATATAGAGAGACACTGTAGCTGGGACCACAGGCACACACCACCACGCCTGGCTAAATGGTGGTGTGTGCCTGTGGTCCCAGCTACTCAAGAGGCTGAGATGGGAGGATTGCTTGAGACTGGGAAGTCAAGGCTGCAATGAGCTGTGATCATGCTGCTGCATTCCAACTTGGGTGACAGAGTGAGACCCTGTCAAAAAAACAAACAAACAAAAAAACCCTAATCACCACTTTGGAAAATTAGACCCACAGAGATTGTTGGTTTATTTAAACAGACTTGAGCATCAGCATTTTAGCCTCACATAGTACTATATAATTGTACACCCTTGCACCTGAAGAGGCTTTTGCCACTCAGTGAGTTAAGACACCTTTATATTGTTTATAGAGTAGGTGTGACAGACGGAACTCATTTTTGCACTTGCTCTGAAGCACCTTGTAGAGAAAGTTAGCAGGTTCTGGAAGCTATCTGGGGCCACAGAGCAAAGATTTTATCTATACCAATGAAACTCAACAGCTCAGCCAAGTATTGACAGTGACACCATTATTAAGCTCCACTGTGTACCCAAGTGAACAAATGTTTCCTGCATTATGTTATGTTAATCCCCCAGCATCTCATATTCCACTCTGCTCAAACTGGGCTATGCCCTTTTACTGATGATATCCTGTATTTTTCTACCTTAATACTTTTGCTGCTGCTGTTCCCTAATTTGTGCTATAGTTTTTTTTCCCGTGTATCTAACACATCTCTTTTATTTAACTGTGAGCCTATTCATTCATTCATTTAAGTATAATCTTATAACAAAGGGGAAAAGAAAAAAATAAGTAAGCTAAACTAAAGATCTAATCAGGAGACCTCATTGTTAAAACATATAGCAGAAATATGGTATTAGGGATGCTTGATGCCAGATGAAGCTGCTGAGAGTCATGGACTCATGTTCATGGTCCACAAGGGTCTATCTCGAGTATTAGAAATCAAGGTGACTTAGTTTTATTGCAACCTGGGCTAGCCAAAAACATAGTTCAACAAATAGTTTTGGCCAGGCACAGTGGCTCACGACTCTAACGAACTTTGGGAGACCAAGGCAGGAGGATCCCTTGAGGCCAGGAGTTTGAGACAAGTCCAAGCAAGATGGTAAGACCCTGTCATTAAAAAAAAGAAAATTTGTAATTAGCTGGACATGGGGGCATGTACCTGTAGTCCCAGCGACTCAAGAGGCTGAGGTGGGAGGATGGCTTGAGCCCTGAAGATCTAGGCTGCAGTGAGCCGTGGATGCACCACTGCACTCCAGCCTGGGCAACAGAGTGAGACCCTGTCTCAAAACAAAAACAAAAACAAAAACAAAAAAACAGGTTTTTTTTTTAAATAGTTTTAAAACTTATACACAAAGTCAAATAAGGCATGTTCCCTGCCTGAAGGGGTGAAAAAACATGGACCAACAAATATAATAATTGGAATACATGATAAAATATGCACATGGTTAGGAACATATCATCTTATTCCTCTTTACCTCCCCCTGACTGCCTAACAATGTCTTATACACAATAATTTATTTTTTCTAGTTTTTCCATTTTGCATTTTTAAAAAATGAGACAGTGTTTCACTCTGTCACCCAGACTGGAGTGCAGTGGCACAATCACAGTTCTTGCAGCCTCAACCTCCCAAGCTCAAGCGATCTTCCCACCTCAGCCTCTCAAGTACCTGAGACTACAGGTACACACCACTATGCCTGGCTAATTTTTTAATTTTTTTGTAGAGACAGAGTTTTCCTATACTGTCCAGGCTGGTCTTGAACTCCTGGGTTTAAGCAATCCACCCACCTTGACCTCCCAAAGTTCTGGGATTACAGGCATGAACCACAACACCTGGCCAGTAATCAATATATATTTATAAAATTGAATGGAATTCAATTTTCCAAACTAGAAGGCACAGATTCAGATCCTACCTTGGTATAAATATTCTCTGTTCAATACAGACTTGCTATAAGCTATGTGGAACATGGGAAGGTAGAAAACATTAATTTCAAGTGCCAGGTTAAAATTATGTTGAAAAGTAAAATTAGTTGCCCTATGGTTCAACATGCAAATTGCAGCACCAAAACAGAAACTGAAAAATAGAGTAGGCTGGGTGCAGTGTCTCACATCTATAATCCCAGCACTCTGGGAGGCTGAGGTGGGAAGATCACTTGGGCCTAGGAGTTCAAGACAAGCCTGGGCAACATAGTAAGACCTTGTCTCTACAAAAAATAAAATTAGCTGGGTGCAGTGGCATGCACCTGTAGTCCTAGCTACTCTGGAGGCTGAGGTGGGAGGATCACTTGGGACTGGGAGGTTGAGGCTGCAGTGAGCTGTGACGGTACTACTGCATTCCAGCCTGGGCAACAGAGTGCGACCTTGATTCGGTTAATTAATTAATTAATTAATTTGTACTTAAGATATAAAGTTTCAAATAAGATATACCCTATGTTAAGATATTATATCACCAAAACTATGCTTTGATATACCCTATGTTAAGATATTATATCACCAAAACTATGCTTTTTCAACTCCAACATTTTCAAAAACCTTTAAAAAGTTTTCCAAGGTTAAAGGCAAGTAAGAAATATTTCACATTTCAGAGCCAGTTATCCTTGAAAATTATGGAAATTGTTTCTTTTTCAGTTGATCATAGAATGGGCTGATTGCCATAAGTTACCATGTGACACAGGAAGGAAAAAGGATGTTGGCAGTGAAATGCTCTATTTGTAACTCTTTATTTAATTTTCAATGTGAGATGAGGGATGATAGAGCTATATCATGAGTCTCCTCAAAATTATATATTCATTTTTGACCTGTAAATGCCTGAGTTACAGGGCTGGATTAAGCCCTATAAAGGCACTAAGCCATGAAAAGATTGCAGTGCCTCCACTTTATATGTGATTTAGAATTTAAAAGATATGCTATAATTCATAGGACAGTGCACGAAAAAGTTCATTTTACTGTATGATAATTTTAAAAATAAAATAATGATATACTATATACTAAGTAAATAGAAATCTAAGCTATATTTAGGTTTTTCCCATAATGACTGTCTCAATGCTTTGCATAAAATAATAAACTCCAAATTCTCCCGCCCCCCAAAAGAGTTCATGCCCCAGGTTTGTGATCACGTGCTCTGTCTATTGGGTAAAACCAGCACTGTATGAGAGGAGTTACCCACAGCCTTCTCTTAGCTTTACAATTTTTTTTTAAGAGATGAGGTCTTGCAGCCCTGGCTGGAGTACAATGGCACGATCATAGCTCACTGCGGCCTCAAACTCTGGGCTCAAGCAATCCTCCCATCTCAGACTCCGAATAGCTGGGACTGCAGACCCATCACCATGCTTGGCTGGCTTTAGAATCTTTAGAGCAATTCAGAGCTGAATAACATCCAAGAATAAGTTTCCTTGAGTAGAAATGCAAAGGATATAGCTCTTATAATGGCTACCAGTATAGGCCTTCTGTAAACCCAGAGAAGCCAGGTGCTAGCATAGTATGATTTCAGGAGCACACTGGGGGCAATTTGGTCCTCCTGACTTGTATTTCTTACCATGTAGTCAATCCTAATGGCTTTTGTTCAGAAGAAATGAAGAGCTAAACTGGGTTGAGGCATTCTGTTTTGTCAGAGGGATAACATCTGTATGGATGAGGAATTGGTTTATATAACTAAAAGATATTCCTTTGCCACCAAGCCAAAAGCTGGACATAAGAATGGCCAACTAGAGCAGGGATGGGAATGAGAGGAGGGGAAAGCTGGGATATGATTCATATCAAATTTTATTTAAATGTGTTTTTTAAAGTTGTGTTTAGGTGTAGCAAAGTTTTATAATACCAAGCTATTTTTAGAGGATAGTCTAGGTAATGAACAAAAATACTCTTGCATGTGTCAAATCGCTCAGAGGACCAGGTGCATGGCTGGCAAATACCAGGTGGAATAAAAGCAGGGAAGCAGCAGCAAAGATTGAAAGGCAATCTATTTAGGAAAGAACTGGTCAACAGGGTGGAGGAGGAAGCGAAGGAGCAGTTCAAGCTGTGTGGCCTGATTAATTTTTCTGTTGTGGAAGCTGAATGCATGAGACAGATTCTTCCATAAGCTTTCAAATAGGAAGAGACTGAGCAATTCAGGGGCAGCACAGCCAAGTGCCGCAAGATACATGAAGCAGTAAGATTCTTTTTCAAGGACAGTTAAGTTCATAATGTAAACTGGGGGCAGAGGAGGAGTTTCAGGAGTTTTGAGCCTTGATTGGATTGTTAGAAGTCTAACTCAATAGCCAAAAAATAGAAACAGCCCAAATACCCATCAACAGACAAATGAATGAACAAACTATTGTATATACATGCAATTGAATATGATCCAACTGTACAAAAAGAATGAAGTACTGCTACATGCTACAACATGGATGAATCTGGAAAATATTATGCTATGTGAAAAAAGTTAGTTGCAAAAGACCACATATTGTATGATTCTATTTATATGAAATGTCCAGAATAGGCAAATTTGTACAAAAACTCTATCAGTGGTTGCCAGGAGCTGGGGCAATGGAATTGGCAAGCAACTACTTAATAGGTATGGGGTTTCCTTTCCAGGTGATGAAAACCATTTGGAACTAGTTAGTGGCAGTGGGTGTACAATATTGCAAACCACTGAATTTTTCCTTTTAAAATGGTTAATTTTATGTGAATTTCAACTAAATGAAAAAAAATTTGGCCAGGCACAGTGGCTCACACCTGTAAATCCCAGCACTTTGGAAGGCCAAGGCAGACGGATCACCTGAGGTCAGGAGTTCGAGACCAGCCTGACCAACATGGAGAAATCCCATCTCTACTAAAAATACAAAATTAGCCAGGCATGGTGGCACATGCCTGTAATCCCAGCTACTCGGGAGGCTGAGGCAGGAGAATCACTTGATCCCGTGAGGTGGAGGTTTCAGTGACCCGAGATCATGCCATTGCACTCCAGCCTGTGCAACAAGAGCAAAACTCCATCTAAAAAAAAAAAAAGAAAAGAAAAAAGTCTTACTCGAATCACAGGAGGCTCTATCTAACTTTTAATATTCAAGGTCACTTATTTTTAAGCTTGAGTTACATTAAAATCAGAAAATAATATTTAAAAATTAATGAGAATAGTTGCTAATTATTTTTAAATATTTCTATTTCCTTTTTTATTTAGATGGAGTCTCGCTCTGTCTCCCAGGCTGGAGTGCAATGGTGCAATCTCGGCTCACTGGAACCTCTGCCTCCCAGGTTCAAGCAATTCTCCTGCCTCAGCCTCCCAAGTACCTGGGATTACAGGTGTGCACCACCACACCTGGCTAATTTTTTGTATTTTAGTAGAGACGGGGTTTCACAATGTTGGTCAAGATGGAGATATTTCTATTTCCATATGCCTTGATGTATTATATGTTTTGATGAATAATGTATTTTCTATAATAGAGAATATATATAACTGACCAGTGGTGATATTCAAAATATTTAATGACTTGTGCAGCATGGACACTGACAAATCAGATACATTACCAGATGTCAACAACTGATGGGCAAATGTTCTACTTACATTATCTCTGATAATCAATTTAATAGGAAGTTTAGCTGAGCAAACAATGAAGCCATAACCAAGGCACCACAGTCTTCCCTATGACAATGAGTCTGATCTATAAACCTAGCATCCAGGAGGAAATAAATAGGTACACAGACACTGGTATTAAAAGCTATGTCACATATGTTTGTGATGTGTTATTAGTGAATAGTTCATTGTTTGGCTTGAATGTTTACATGGCCTAGTATTTTTCCCTGCATAGTCTGTAACAGGGAAAATCATTAGGCTGTATGTCATGCTCTACATTCTGTTGTGAAAGGCAGTCAACTAATGCCAGGGAATGACATCTGCAGAACTTTGTCTGGAATCGGAACGTACGGACATGCCACATACAGCTGAAGTGATATATCTGGATTCAATATTTATATCCCCCCAAAGTTTCTATGTTGAAGTTTTCCCAATGTGATGGTATTTGGAAATGGAGCCTTTACGAAATAATTAGGGTTAGATAGGGTCCGGGGGAGGGTGTCCTCATGATGAGATTAGTGCCCTTATAAGCTCTTACCAGAGAGCTCACTTATTCTCCCTATGTGAACACAGAGAAGAGGTCATGAGCACACAGCAATATGGTGGGCCACCTACAAGCCAAGAAAAGAGGCCTCAGAATGAAACCTACCTTGCCCTGCACCTTGATCCTAGACTTCCAGTCTCCAGAACTGTGAAAAATAAATTTCTGTTGTTTAAGCCACCCAGTCTGTGGTATTTTGTTATGGCAGCCTGAGCAGATTAAGACATAAAGACTTCAATTTAAAAATTTTTCTCCCCTATATGGGTCTTTATATTCCTCGTTTTTGAAGTAGTCAAAGAAGGAATCCTACCCCCATCCTGAAGGCATTCTCTGTATGGCCCCTTTTTCTACATTACTTTCTTGGTTATTTTGAACACAAAGTACCTTAATGTGGTAAAAGGACAACAGATAGTTTACCATTCATCCAAAGAATGATGAATAAAATAAAGTGATCTCGTTCCATGTTTTTGCAATTCTAAGTGAATATGTACATATTTGTTACTGAAAAGTTGTAAATAATATAAGGGTTGGGTTTTTTTATTAGTAAAGTTGTTTAGGAACATTGAGGTTTCAATTTATTCAGTAAAGTGATGTGAAGAAGCTTGTTTGAACTTTTCTAACTTATTAGTGAATAGTTCACTGCTCTGCTTGAATGTGTACATGGCCTAGTATTTTTCCTGCGTAGTTTGTGATAGGGAAAATCATTAGGCTGTATGTCATGCCCCACATTCTGTTGTGAAATTCAGTCAACAAATACCAGAGATGTCCACAGACCTTTGTCTGGGATTGGAACAGAAGAACGTACCACATAGGGCTGAAGTGATATATCTGGATTCCTTCTCTTCATCTTTTCTTCCGTCCTTGTTTGTCTCAGAGAAATACATTTATGATATGACTCCTATGGTTAAGACTTGTATCAAGATAAATTGATTTGTAGCAGTCTGACCAGGGAGATACTAATTCCACTTAATCTGCATAGCTCGAAATAAGTTACCATGAAAAAGAAAAGAATGAAAGACTTTGTACTTGTTTTGTCTCTTACATTTTTAAAATCCAATTCTCCTTATATAAGAAAGAAAGCAGTATTTTAGCCAAAATCTATGGAAGGTAGACTTGCTATATTTAAAACAATGTTGTTTTTGTATAGGTTTTTGAAAATCTGTGAAATGGACTGATTTCTAACGTGCCTTAACATGACTACTTTTCTAGTAATGTTTTAGATGTCATTCATTCTGCATTTTAAAATATTATTCACATGGCACAATGTAGTAACAAATACAGTCAAATGCCTGGCTAGTATGTTTTTTGGCAATTTCTATAAACTTTTACAATCTGGAAAAATCAAGTTGGAATAACTCAGCAACAAGCAGGGTGTGGATTTAGGAAAATAGAGTGGGGTTCTCCATGCTGCGAAGTAGAAATCCAGCCCAAAGCAGCAGCCGATGATACGTTATTATCTGTGGAGGAGGCCACATAGAAAAATGAAATAAAATTGAAGGATCCAATCAAATGAAATGAATGTGAATACAGTATATTGTACAAAAATAGAACCAAAAAATATGTGGGTTATGAGCCTCCGTTAAATGCATTAATTCAGAGAAACATTTTAACTTTCATTTGCATTACCCTTCAACCTGTCAAATTGTTGTGTGGCTTTTAAGTTAGCATTCTTATCTTCATAGACAATTGCAAACATTCTTTTCCATTTTCTAAGTATAAATTATTATAAAAATAATAAATTAAGCATGGATTTTAATAACTAACATTTTAAAAGGATACTTTTAGGCCAGGGGTGTGGTTCATGCCTGTAATCCCAACATTTTGGGAGGCCAAGGCACGAGGATCGCTTGGGCCCAGGAGTTAGAGACCAGCCTGGGCAACATAGTGAGATCCCATCTCTACAAAACATACAAAAATTAGTCAGGCATGGTGGCACACACCCAGAGTCCCAGCTACTTGAGAAGCTGAAGTGGGAAGATCACTTGAACCTGGGAGGTTGAAGCTGCAGTGAGCTGTGATCGCACAACTGCAGTTCAGCCTAGGCAACAGAGTGAGACCCTGTCTCAAAAAAAAAAAAAAAGATACTTTTACGTACAGTATCTCATTAAACTGTGAGAAGGTTTGAGTAATGGAAGGGGCACTGGCTTTGGACTCGGGGAGAAAAGTTGTAGGGCATAGATAAGTGATTTAACTTCTCTAAACCTCCATTTCTCCATTCATATAATGGCATCTACTTTTTAGAGCTGTTGAGAGTGCAATATAAATAAACAAATGAAAATGCTCTGTGCATACTAAGCACTGAAAAAATATAAATTTCTTTTCAAATGCCTCAATAATAAGTAAATTCAACTTTATTATTTCAGAAACATCACTAAAGATATTATTATATAAATTATTATATAAGTAATATTATTGTATTATTTTACCATACATTTTTATGCTTCTGCTTGTACAACCCTTTTATTACTCTTGTTTATCCTATCAGTTCTTTTTAAGATATTATTTATTTACTAGTTTGATTTACCAATGTTATTTTTATTCTCAAGGGCTGATGCTTCCTTTCTACTCTACTTTTTCTTCATCCCCTTTCTAGTATCTCTAGTCTTTCATCTGCTTTTACTCAAACCTTGATTTTTCTGAGTTATAGCCTCTGAAGCATGTGTAGCATTTGATAGATTGTTTCACGGCTTTACCTTTCATAGGAAAGGTAATTTACAAATGAAGTGAGGCTCGCACATTAGTGATGTGACTGGATTTCTTTTTAACACACATGGCAGAATTTATATTTTCACATCAGTGTTGTCACAGTCAAAGCAGTCACTGTAGGCCGGGCGCGGTGGCTCACGCCTGTAATCCCAGCACTTTGGGAGGCCGAGGCGGGTGGATCATGAGGTCGGGAGATCGAGACCATCCTGGCTAACAAGGTGAAACCCCGTCTCTACTAAAAATACAAAAAATTAGCCGGGCGCGGTGGCGGGCGCCTGTAGTCCCAGCTACTCGGGAGGCTGAGGCAGGAGAATGGCGTGAACCCGGGAAGCGGAGCTTGCAGTGAGCCGAGATTGCGCCACTGCAGTCCGCAGTCCGGCCTGGGCGACAGAGCGAGACTCCGTCTCAAAAAAAAAAAAAAAAAAAAATAAATAAAAATAAAAATAAAACAAAGCAGTCACTGTGGGAGTTCATCCATTTGTCTGTAATTATGTGATTATTGATACTAACATGGGTCTCAGGACGCAAGTGTATTATGCTTGAGGAAGTTTGTGTGTATCCCAATTCAAGCATAGCTTTCAACCTTCACTCTCCCTCAACCACTTCATGATTTCCAAATTATTCATTACAGTGGTCAAACAGTGTAATCACCCCCTCAACTAGCTTACCCCTTGCTTCATCTTACTCACTTGAAAAAGCTCCAACAGTAGTTATATCTAACTTTCTGCCTATTCCATACCTGTACTCTTGCTGCTGAACATAGATGGAGAAAAAAATCCCACACAACCACCAACTTCAAATAGATTCTTAATGCAGCTCAAGAATCATATTACATTTTCCTAGTCCATTCACTCTCCCAATCTCATAAATTACTATTTCACACTTCTCCTGTCCTCAAACTTCCAACATCTTCTCCTCCCATTATCACACTCACCTAAGAGCAAACAGAAACTGGAAAAGAACTCTCACAACGTTTCACCACCACATCTACCAAGCAACCAGCTTCGGTGCCTGTGTGTGGAATTGTGCCTATATGCCCATGCTCCTATTTTATGCCAACCCTTCCCTTTATCCACTAGATTCTATCCCTACTCACCTACTCAAGAACATCATCCCAGCAATTCATCCCTCAATCTCCTGCATCATCCATTTCCCGCTTTCTACTAAATCATTGCCATCAGCATTTTTAAAAATACTATTGTTTCTCTCATCTGAAAAAGTACTTTATCCCACTTCTCCCCCAACACACACATTTTTAGTCTCTACTTTATAGCAAAACTCAGAAAAACCTGCCCATACACCCATTTTCTGTTGAGCCCACTGCAATCAGGCTTTCACCACCATCATTCCAATCCAACTACTCTTTTCAAGCTCATCAGCGGCCTCCACATTGCTAAACCCAATGTTCAATTCTCAGTTCAAACCTTATTTGTCTTATTAGCAGGAATTATCATTTACCACTCACTCCTGCTTGGCTTCCAGGGCCCCACCTTCTTCTGTCTCACTGGCCTCTCATTATCAGTCTCCTTTGCTGAATCCTCTTTTTAGCCCAATTTCTGGAGTGTCCCAGGGCTCAATCCTTGGTCTTTTTCTCTTCTTTATCTATTGAACCTTGCAGTACTCTTTGGTAATCTCGTCCATTCTTTAAATATTGTCTGTATGCTGATGACTTCCAAACATATATGATCAGCCTTCTCCCATGAACTCCAGGATCATATATCCAACACCTCTATTTGGATGTCTAATAGGCTTCACAGACCCAAAATCAATTTCCTGATAACTCTCAAGCCTATTCTTCTCACATTTTTTATCTCACTAAAGAGCAACTCCATCCTTCAAGTTGTCCAACCTAAAAATCAGAGAGTTGTCCTTATTATTCTCTATTCCTCATTAGCCACATCTAAAAGTCCTGTCAATAATACTTTCAAAACATATTCAGAATGCAACCACTTCTCACCACCTCCTCTGCCAAGTTAATGATTGAAATTACTAGCACTTTTTGCCTGGATTACTTCAATACTCCCCTAGATGGTCTCCCTGCTTCCATTTTTGCTCACCAATATAGCTTGGATGTGTGTCCCTATCCAAATTAAATGCTGAATTGTAATCTTCAATGCTGGAGGTGGGGCCTGGTGGGCGGTAATTGGATCATGGGGTGGAGTTTGTTATGAATGTTTTGGCACCACCCCCCTTGGTACTGTATAGTGAGTGAATTCTCAATGAGATCTGGTTGTTCAAAGTGTGTAGCACTCCCAACCTTTCTCTCTTCCTCCTGCTCCAGCCACATAAAAAGTGCCTGCTTCCCCTTTGCCTCTCGCCATGATTGTAAGTTTCCTGAGACATCCTCAGAAGCAGAAGCTGCTATGCTTCCCTTACAGCCATGTGGAACTGTGAGCCAATTAAACCTCTTTTCTTTATAAATTACCGAGTCTCAAGTACTTATTTATAGCAGTGCGAGAACAGACTAATACACTCACCTACCTATATAGTCTGCTCTCACCACAGCAGCCAGAGTGATCCTGTTAAAACATAAGTCAAATCACATAACTCATTTACTCAAAAACCCTATTCCAAATCCAAAGTTGTTACAGTGACCCATAAGACCCTACCAGAACGGATTCTCTGTTCCCTTTCTGAATTTATCTCCAGCTACTCACCCTCTTGCTTGCTTCAGTCCAGCACATTGGCCTCTTATTTCTGACACCCTATAGTCAGTTTTCTACCTGAGTCTCTCCACTTGCTGTTCTCTCTACTTGTAACATTCTTCCCACAGACATCCACATAATTAGCTCTCACTTCTTCCAAGCCTTCATCGAGACTTTCTCTGACTATCCTATCTAAAGTTAAGCTACAATCACACAACCACCACTAATTTAATCAAACCTTTTCTGAATCGCTTTTTCTTTATCACCCTTTACATTTTACTTGTTAATGTTGTTTAATATCTGTCCCTGCCCCCACCTAGAACATAAGTTCACAAGGCAGAGATTTTGCCTGATCTGTTTATTATTGTATCTGTAGGATATAGAACAGAGCCCAGAAACATAAAGTAGGCGCTCAAGACACTTTGTTGGATAAATTATTTCTAGCTTAAAAACTTCCAGCAGACAAACCTTCATGTTCTGAATTGTGGCATAATTATTTGAGTAGAATCCTAGAATGAAACAGGAATTCTGATTTTGAAACAACAATCAAACAAACCAAAAACTTGGAAGTAAGATGTAGGACACAGGATGAGATTCCAAGGAGAATGAGAATGCAAAGATGAGAAATCAAAGAGCAAGGGAAATAATAGGCATAGAGGTAAACAGCATGAACCCCTTCATGGGGATGCTCTCAGTCATCAGACCCCTATATCCATGGTACATGCTGTTAGTAGCCCACCTGCACTGAAGTGAGTGTGGTTCAGTTAGACAGATAGGTGGGACCAGGAATGCACAGATTAAGTTGGCAGCTGTTTGGAATAATATCATTGCACACACTGCTGTAAGGATTTCCTACACTTAGATGCATAGGAATGTAGAAGGGGATTCTCCTACCATGCAACTTAGCAGTTATGAGTTATTGGCTTGTGGAGCTGTTGAAAAAGTTGCAGTGAGCCAGGCACGGTGGTTCATACCTGTAATCCCAACACCTCCCGAGGTGGGAGGATCGTTTGAGCCCAGCAGTTCCAGACCAGCTTGGGCAACATAGTGAGATCTCTTCTCTACTAAAAAGAAAAAATCAGCCAGGGCCAGGAGCAGTGGCTCACACCTGTAATCCCAGCACTTTGGGAGGACAAGGCAGGCGGATCATTTGAGGCCAGGAGTTTGAGACCAGCCTGGCCAACATGGTGAAACCCCGCCTCTACTAAAAATACAAAAATTAGGCTGGGCACAGTGGCTCATGCCTGTAATCCCAGCACTTTGGGGGGCCGAGGCGGGTGGATCACCTGAGGTTGGGAGTTCAAGACCAGCCTGACCAATATGGAGAAACCCTGTCTCTACTAAAAATACAAAATTAGCTGGGTGTAGTGGTGCATGCCTATAATCCCAGCTACTTGGTGGGCTGAAGCAGGAGAATTGCTTGAACCCGGGAGGCGAGATTGCGGTGAGCCGAGATCATGCCACTGCACTCCAGCCTGGGCGAAGAGCGAAACTCCGTCGCGGGAAAAAAAAAAATTAGCCAGGCGGGCACTTGTAGTCCCAGCTACTCGAGAGGCTGAGGCAGGAGGATCGTTTGAACCCGGGAGGCAGAGGTTGCAGTGAACCAAGGTCACACCACTGCACTCCAGCCTGGGTGACAGAGTGAGACTCTGTCAAAAAAAAAAAAAAAAATAGCCAGGCGTGATAGCAAGCATCTGTAGTCTTAGCTACTTGAGAAGATGAGGTGGGAAGATTGCTTGAGCCTGGGAAGTTGAAGCTGCAGTGAATTGTGATTGTGCCACTGCACTCCAGCCTGGGTGATGGAGGGAGGAACTGTCAAAGGAAGGAAGAAAGAAGGAAAGAAAGAAAGAGGAAGGAAGGAAGGAAAAGAGAAAGAGAGAGAGAAAAAAAAGAAAAAGAAGAAGGAAAGAAAGAAAGAAAGAAAGAAAAAGAAAGAAAGAAAGAAGGAAGGAAGGAAAGAAGGAAGAAAGGAAGAAAGAAAGAAAATAAATTAATTACAGTGGATAAAGAGGTTCTCTTCAGATTCCATTTCACAGTGAGTAGAGGGGGAAAAAAAACCCCATCTTGGATTTACCTATGAACTGAGAGCCTGGGTGACTGACATCTTATCTATTGTCTCTGAGTGAGTGGCAGCAATCCTCAAGAATCTTGGATTCCAGGCAAAAGATTCAGTATCCATTGCAATGGAGGGTAGAGAGACTGGGGCCAAAGGCCCTGTTCTCAGCTGATGAGACTCATTTAAGCTAAGTGCTGGGGATACAGCAAAAAAATAAGATGCCACCCCCGCACTCAAGGAGCTCAAACTCCGGTGGGGATTGGGATGAGGAAATATGGCCCAATAAATAGACCATAAAAATATAATATTTTAAGGGCAATGATAAAATACAGGTTGTCATTAAAAAAAAAGTCAAGAAGGGGAACCAAATACACTCTAGATTGAGTGGGATCAAATAAATCTTTCAAGAAGTGATGCCAAAATGTAGGCCCGAAGAATAAGTAGGAAAGTAGTATGGAAGGAGATGGGGCATTTTATGCAGAGAAGACTATGAGCAAATGAATGTAGGTAAATAATGGCATGGGTGTTCCAAAGAACTACAACGCATTCATTATTGCTGGATAATGAAGTTTGAATTGGGGGGTGATCAGGCATAACACTGGAGAAGCAAGTGGGAGCTAGTTATGGGGCCCTGTGTTCTTACTTAAAGACCTTCTTCTGTAGATAAGGGGGTGGTGGGAAGGTTTTGAGCATGGGAGTCAGCATTTCAGAAAATTTCCTCTCACTGCAAAATGTGGGCTCCACTGAAATAATAAGACTGGAGACTGGAAAAACAGGCAGGCAAATCACTGTTATAACTTAGAAGAGATGATGGTTGATTGAGCTAGGATAATGACAGTAAAGAAGGGGAGAAGGAGAATTTAAGAAACATTTCAAGGTTAAAATAAGTAAGTCTTTGATGACTGACATAGTTTGATATTAGCATTCTCCAAATATGACCCCCAGTGTTGGAGGTGGGGTCTAGTGGGAGGTGTTTGGCTCACTGGGGCAGATCCCACATGAATGGCTTGGTGCCCTTTCTGCAGTAACGAGTGAGTTCTTGTTCTATTAGTTCATGGACAAGCTGGTTGTTTAAAAACTTGACACACCTCCCATCACTCTCTTGCTCCCTCTCTTTCTATGTGACATGCCAGCTCTCCTTCCACTTTTCCCATGAATGAAAGCTTCCCGAGGCCTTCACCAGAAGCAGATGCTGATGCCATGCTTCCTATACAGCCTGCAGAACTGTGAGCCAAATAAATCTCTTTTCCTTATAAATTACCCAGTCTCAGGTATTTCTTTATAGCAACACAAAATGGACTAACACAATGACTTACTGGATATTAGGATGAGAAGAATAGAAGAAGCTAGGATAACTTCCATTTTTCTTGCTTGGGCATCTGTGTGGAAGGGGGTACCATACTTTTTGAAACAGAAAATAAAGAGGTACCTGTTATCAGAGAAGGTGCTTAGTATTACTGGACTGAGATCAGTAACAGAAAGGACTTCCATTAGATGATTGTGGGAGCTATTGAATTCAGGAAGTCACTGGAAGCTGAAAGTTGAATGTGAAGCTAAATTGCAAAAGGCAAGGAATGGCCAAAACCAACTATTTGAAGATGAGTAGATTTCTAGGAATCAGAGACCAGAGATGTAAACACAGTAGATGGCACATAAATGAAGAGAGGTACATAAAATTATACTCTGCAACTCATATAGCACCAAGCTAAGCTGGCTGACCTTAAAGAACCAGTAACTGAATGAGCAGAGATATGTGTTTTGGAATAGTGTATAAATATGCTTTCAGCTGTATGTAATAGAAAATCCCATGGTATAAACCATAAAGAAAATGTTTAACACATATAAGAAGAAGACTCAAGTTTAGGTGGCTTTACTGTTTGTTTTCTTTTGTTTCATTTTTTCTGTGCCTCAAAGAATTATAGGACAAGGTTCATTCCATCTTTCTGTTCTGCCATGCGTATGGTGGCAATTTTGTCCTCTGCGTAAAGTGGCAATTTTGTCCTCTGCCTTATTCTTCTTTCTTATGTTCAGAAGATGATTGCTGCAGTTCCAGCCACAACATCTAACATAACTACCACCAGTGGAAGAAGAGACCATATTATCCTGTGAATATCTATTAAAGATTGAGTAAACTATTTCAAAAAGCTCCCCACCAAAACATCCTCTCTCATATAATTAATGAAAATTGAGTTACATGTCCATACTGCAAACACTAACAAGGGGAAAGAGATTTGTATCATTGGCTTAGACTAATCAGTATTTACTACCTCAGCAAGTGATGTGGTCATTCTCACTAAAGGACAAATAATGGAGAAAAATTGGGGTTCTGTTGACAAGGAAGAAGGGGTGGTAGGTACTGAATAGGTATCCAACAGTGTCCACCACACTCTTCAGCAGAAAAAAGAAAAAAAAACTGTTATTTGACAGCAGATTTCATTTTTTTAATGGACAAGTAATTCTGAAGCCAACACTCACGAATAAGGAAGATGGATGATCAATCTAAGCACAACCTTTCTCTCCTAGATCAGTTTCACTGTATGCTAAAGGCTTGCTACTTAAAGTGTGGTCCATGGATTAGCATAACCTGGGCTACTAGGAGGGCTTACTAGGAAAGAAGACTATGAGACTCAACCACAGAACTACCACTGTGGCTTAAATGTTTGTGTCCCTTCCAAAATTTATGTTGAAATTTAATCTCCAATGCAAAATTATTAAGAGCTTGGGCTTGCCAGGCACAGCGGCTCATGCCCGTCATCCCAGCAATTTGGGAGGCCAAGGTGGGAGGATATCTTAAGCCCAGGGTCTGAGACCAACCTGGGCAATATGGTGAGACCCCGTCTCTACAAAAAATAAAATAAAATAAATTAGCTGGGCATAGTGGTGTGCGTCTGTAGTCCCAGCTACTTGGGAGGTTGAGGTAGGAGGATCACTTGAGTCCAGGAGTTTGAGGCTGCAACGAGCTGTGATTGCACCACTACACTACACTCCAGCCTGCGCCACAGAGCAAGACCCTGTCTCAAAAAAAAAAAAAAAAAAAAAAAAGGATGGGGCCTTTAGGAGGTGATTAGGCCATGAGAGCTCTACCCCTATGAATGGGATTCATGCTTTACAAAAGGGCTGGAGGGAACTAACTAGATCCTTTTGCCCTTCTGTCCTTCCCGCCATGTGAAGACACAGCATTTGTCTCCTCTGGAGCATACAGTGTTCAAGGTGCCATCTTTTCTTTTCTTTCCTTATTTTTTTTCTTTTCTTTTTTTTTTTTTTTTTTTTTTAAGACAGAGTCTCTCTCTCTGACCCAGGATGGAGTGCAGTGGTGCAATCAAGGCTCATTGCAGGATCGACCTCCCGGGTTCAAGCAATCTTTCTGCCTCAGCCTTCTGAGTAGCTGGGACTACAGGAACACACCACCACACCCAGCTAATTTTTTTATTTTTTATTTTGTAGAGATAAGGTCTTACTTTGTTGCCCAGGCTTGTCTCAAAACTCCTGAGCTCAAGTGATCCTCCTGCCTTGGCCTCCCACAGTGCTGTGATTACAGGCATGAACCACTGCACCCAGCCTCAAGATGCTATCTTGTAAGTAGAGACAGGCTTCACCAGACACTGAACCTGCCGGCAACTTGATCTTGGCCTTTCCAGAATTGTGAGAAACAAATATCTATTATTATAAATGACCTAATCTCAGATATTTTGTTATAACAGCACAAACAGATTAAGACAACTACTGAATTAGAAGCCACCTTTTTAAAGTAATACAGTTTAAAGAGATGATTGTGTGCATTTAAAGTTACACTAAGCAACACTAGTCCTATTAGATGTCCCTTTGAAAAAGTGTCATACATTTAATAGAGGACTTTAAAATGTATTTTTTAAAAATCTCTCAAAATGCAACAATAAAACAAGAAAAGCCCAATAAAATGTGGGCAAAATATTTGAAGAGTCATTACACCAGAGAAGATATACAGATGGCAAATAAGCCCATGAAAATATATTCAACATCATTAATCATTACAGAAGCACATGACAATATAATCTATTAGAATCATTACAGAAGCACATGACAATACACATCTATTAGAATGGCTAAAATGAAAACAATGACCATACTCGGTGTGGTGAGAATCTGAAGGACTGGAACTGTCTTATACTGCTGGTGAGAATGGAAAATGGAACAACTGATTTGCACAACACTTTGGCAGTTTTCTAAAAAGTTAAACACACTAAAAGGCTAAACATACACTTCCCATATGATTCAGCCATTCTAGTAATAGTTATTTATCCAAGAGAACTGAAAGCCTATGTCTCTGTAAAGACTTGTACATTAATGCACAAAGCAGTTTTATTTACAATAGCCAAAACATGGAAATGTCCATCAATGAAAGAATGGATAAACATACTGTGGTATATTCATACAATGGACTTCTATATATTCAGCCATAAAAAGGGATGAACTACTGATAAATGTAACAACATAGAAAAAAGTCTAAAAATAAGTATGCTAAGTGAAAGAAGCCAGGCCAAAAAAGATGACATACTGTATAATTTTATTTATGTAAAACACTAGAAATTATAAACTAGTGGCAGAAATCAGATGGGTGGTTGCCTGGTAATGAAAGCAGGAGATGGTGATGACCAGAGGGCAGGATTAAGAAGGGATAGGAGTAAATTTGGGGGGATTATGGATATGATAATTACCTTGGTTGTGGACATGGTCTCATGGATATCTATATATATCAAAATGTATGAAGCAGCACACTTTAAACATCTGAAGTTAAAAAATACATATATGCATATACCAATTATATTTCAATAAAATGGTTTTGAAAAAGCAGCCCATGGTCAAAAAATGTGGAAAAAACATACCGTGTTCAACTTTGGAGCTTGTAAATGCTCATGCACAGATTAAAATCTCAGAGAAAACTTACAGTAAAGAAATCTATTAGTTGGACATGGTGACACGTGCCTGTAGTCTGAGCTATGAAGGAGGCTGAGGTGGGAGGATCTCTTGAGCCCCAAGAGTTTGAGGCTTCGATAAGCTGTGATCACTCCAGCCACAGCACTCTAGCCTAGGTGACAGAGTGAGACCTCATCTTTAAAGAAAAAGGAGAGGGGGAAGGGAAAAAAAGAAATCTGCTATCTGCTTGACCCAAATTTTCACAGTTATATGACAATAAAATACTTCCACCATGTAATAGCTATTAACATCCCATAGACAAATCTGTCATGGGATTAGAGAAAGAAAACTAATTAAAATTAAAAGTATATACCCAATAGACACTTTGGGAAATGCTGCTCTATGACAGTGATTCTCAAAACATGACCCAGCACCACCAGCATTGTCCTTACCTGGAGATGTGTTAGAAATGCAAATTATCAGGCTCCATTTTTAACCTACTAAATCAGAAATTCAGGGTGGGACCCACAAGTCTATATATCAACAAGTGCTCCACGTGATTCTGAAGCACCCTAAAGTTTGAGAAACACCATTTTAGAACAATATGTCTGACCTCTTGTGTTTCTAGTAAACTGACTATATAACAATGGTAATATATTTAGAACAAATATGTAGCCTAACAACACAATAAATTGGGTGTGGAAAACATCTTTTTTAGAAATGTAAAGACTGGCATATTTATTTTAAAAGAAAAGCAGTCTCAACCTCCTCCTCCTCCTCAACCTCCTCCTCCTCCTTCTCCTCCTCCTTCTTTGTTTTTTGAGACAGAGTCTCACTCTGTCACCCGGGCTGGAGGGCAGTGGCCCAATCACAGCTCACTACAGCCATAACCTCCCGGGCTCAAGTGATCCTCTCACCTAAGCCTCCTGAGTAGCTGGGACCACAGGTGCATGGCACCACACCTGGCTAATTATTTTATTTTATTTTTTCATAGAGATAGGGGGTCTCACTATGTTGCCCAGGCTAGTCTCTAAGTCTTGGGCTCAAGTGATCCTCCCACCTTAGCCTCTCAAAGTGCTGAGATTACAGGCACGAGCCACCATGCTTAGCTATATTTGGAATAAATATGTAGCCTACTGAGACAATGAATTGAGTGTAGAAAACATATTTTAGATCTATAAATGCTGGTATGTTTATTTTAAAAGAAGAGCAATCTCAACCTTATTCTTGAATCTTATGTATCAAAGTAGTTCAGTGCTCCAGGGAAAGGCACCACAAAAATGCAATGTTAACACCATCAAGGAAGTGCAAAGACAACCCGTAGAGTGGGAGAAAATACTTGCAAACCATATATCTGATAAGAAATGTGTATTTGCATATATAAAGGACTCTTACAACTCAACAGTTAAAAAGATTAGTGGCCCAATAAAAAAGGAACAAAGAATCTGATTGAAGTTTATTTAAAGAAGATATGTAAATGGCCAATAAGCATGTTACAAGATGCTCAACATCATTAGTGAAATACAAATCAAAACCACAGTGACACTAATATAGCTCAGTAAATATTTGTTGAAGGGAAATATAAAAACGAATTTGTGGAAAGAAATGAGTTATCAAGCCATGAAAAGACATGAAGGCCCATCAATGACAGATTAGATAAAGAAAATGTGATACATATACACCATGGAATACTATGCAGCCATATAAAAGAATGAGGTCATGTCTTTTGCCGGAACATGGATGGTGCTGGAGGCCATTATCATTAGCAAATTAACATAAGTACAAAAAACTGAATCCCGCATGTTCTCACTTACAAGTGGCAGCTAAATGATGAGAACTCATAAACACAAAGAAGGAAACAACAGACACTGGGTTCTACTTGAGAGAGGAGGGTGGGAGGAGGGAGAGGAGCAGAAAAGATAACTATTGGGTACTGAGCTTATTAACTCGGTGATGAAATAACCTGTACAACAAACCCCAGTGACACGAGTTTACCTATGTGACAAACCTTCACATGAACCTCTGAACCTAAAATAAAAGTTTATTTAAAAAAAAATAAAGAAACATTAAATGAATAATACTAAGTGAAATAAACCAGTCTGAAAAGGCTGCATATTTTATGATTACAATTATTTGACATTCTGGAAAAGGAAAACTATGAAGATAGTGCTTTTTAGGGGTTATGGGGAAGTGAAAGATGAAGAGTTGAATCATTAGAGGATTTTTAGGGCAGTGTAACTATTGTTATGGTGGATACATGTTATTATACATTTGTTCAAACCTATAAAATGTACACCACCAAGAGTGAACCTTCATGTAAACTATGGACTTGAATTAATAATAATGTATTAATATTAGCTCATTAATTATAACAAATACACCACATTAATGCAAGTTTTAATAATGGGGTATTGTGTATTTGAGGATGTATATGGGAACTCTGTACTATGTTCAATGTTTCTGTTTCAACACCTACTAGGATGGCTGTAATGAAAAAGACAGGATAATAACAGGTGTTGGTGAGGATGTGAAGAAACTGGATCATTCAAATATTGCTGGTAGAAATGTAAAATGTTGCCACAGCTTTGAAAAATAGTTTTACAGTTCCTCATAATGTTATACATAGATACAATATGACCCAGCAATTCAACTCTTATGGATGTATACAGGAGAACTGAAAGTATAACCCCTCAAAACCTGGTACATAAATGCTCAAAGCAGCATTTTTCATAATAGCCAAAAGACGAAGACAATGCAAATGTCCATTAATTACTGAGGAGTGGATAAACAAAATGTGGTATGGCCATGCAATGGAATATTATTCAGCCATGAAGAGGAATGTGGTACTGATCCATGCCACAACATGGATTGACCATGAAAATATGCTAAGTGAAAGAAGCCAGTCAGAAAAAAAAAAAACACATATTGGCTGGGCGTGGTGGCTTATGCCTATAATCCCAACACTTTGGGAGGCCGAGGCAGGTGGATCACTTGAGGTCAGGAGTTCAAGTCCAGCCTGGCCAACATGGTGAAACCCCGTCTCTACTAAAAATACAAAAATTAGCCAGGCATGGTGGTGCATGCCTGTAGTCCCAGCTACTTGGGAGGCTGAGGCAGGAGAATGGCTTGAACCTGGGAGGCAAAGGTTGCAGTGAGCCGAGATCACACCATTGCACTCCAGCCTGGGCAACAGAGCGAGACTCCATCACCCCCCGACCGCGCCCCCTGCCAAAAAAAAAAAAAGAAAAGAAAAAGAAAAAACACATATTGTATGTTAGTGGTTGCAAAGGGCTGAGGGAATGGGGAGAATGAGGAGTGACTGCTAATAGATAGAAAATGGGTTTGTTTTCAGGGTGTTGAAAATGTTCTAAAATTAGTGCATGAGTCTGTTCTCACATTGCTAAAGGAAACACCCAAGACTGGGTAATTTATAAAGGAAACAGTTTTAATTTACTCACAGTTCAACATGGCTGGAGAGGCCTCAGGAACCTTGCAATCATGGCGGAAGGTAAAGAGGAAGCAAGACACCTTCACAAGACAGCCGGAAGGAGAATGAACGCAGGAGGAACTACCAAACACATAAAACCATCAGATCTCATGAGAACTCACTATCATGAGAACAGCATGGGAGAAACTGCCCCCATGATTCAGTTACCTCCACCTGGTCTCTCCCTTGACACGTGAGGATTATGAGGATTATGGGGATTAAAATTCCATATGAGATTTTTGGGTGGGGACACAGCAAAACTGTATCAATTAGATAATGGAGATGGTTGCACAACTCTATAAATATAGTAAAAACCATTGATTTATACACTTCAAAAGGGTAAATTTTATTGTATATAAATTATATTTCAAAGATTATATAAAATATGCAGTGCTAGCTGCCTTTGTTATAAGTTCAAGCTGTTTCTCAGTACTTCATTACACAATAATTAGATAATATGCTGGTGATAATCACTCTGTCTTGCAATTTTAACAATGAAACCATATGAAAGGTCTGTATAGCTTCATGCTCTGTTGAAATCTGCAATGTGATTATTCCATTTCCTCAAGTTTCCCCTTCTTGAGGTCCTGTATATATATGTTTTTATGAAAAATAAGTAAAAAGCATATATTAATAACTAAATATCAAACAGTATGCAATTTTGATAAGTTATATATATCCTAAATCTTAATTGGAAACTTTGGGACATATGGTAGCAATTTTAAGTGATCACAGGATTATTTATTAAATGACTGATATAATAACAATGCACTAAATGGCATTTTACTTGATCGAAAGCTGAAAGCACTCTCAAACTGTCTGACTTTAGCTGTGTTCACATAAAGCAACAATAAGTCATCCAAAGTTTGATCATTTTGACAGACAGTTAAATAGCACCATTCTGCCTTGAAACACCTTCTCACTCTCTGACTGCTCCTCTTCTCCCCTCTTCTATGGCTCTTTCTTTCTCCTCTCACTCCTGACTGTAGATACTCCCCCCAGAGTTCTGTCGTTACACTCTGGGATGAACGTGGATTTGGGAAGGCCAGAGGGAAGACTGTACTGGGCTGAATGATGGTCCCCCCAAAAGACATGTCCTCGTCCTAATCCTCAGAACTTGTGAATATTACCTCATATGGCAAAAAAGTGAAAATTATATGATCAAAAAAAGTAACTAAATTAAATGTCTTAAGAGGAAGATCTTATCCTGAATTATCTGGTGGACCCTAAATGCAATCACACGTACCTTTATAATATAGAAGTGAAAAGAATTTTGAGACAGAAAAGGAGGAAACAGATTGGAGTGATGTGGTCACAAGCCAAAGAACTTCTGGAGCCACCATAAGCTGGAAGAGACAGAGAAAGGATCTTCCCCTAGTACCTTTGGAGAGAGAACCCCTGTCAACACCTTGATTTTGGACCTCTGGCATCTGGAACTGTAAGAAAACAAGTTCCTGTTGTTTTAAACCATCAAGTTTGTTACAATTTGTTATAGCAGCCATAGGGAACTGCCTTTATGATTTCTGTGAACTAATTCTCTTGCTCAATGAGTCATAGCCTATGGATCCTAAATCTCCAATAACTAGTAGAATTATTGCAAAGAGTCTTTGGATCCTTATATGAAACAAGCCTGATGTTAGATCGTATACATTTATCTTGCATATAGATCTACTATTATATTTTTTCAAGCATGTCTATATATTATGTTTAATAGGATATTAATTCATAAAGTATTAGTAAACTCATACTAGCTTTTTGTCATTAACCAACTTCTCCAATAATAGATATTGAGAGTAGTATTATTATGTAAGCTTATAAGCACAATTTTATATTTTTATAATTTTTATTGTGATAAACATAACATTTACTATTTAAACTATTTTTAAAGTACAATTCAATGGCATCAAGTAAATTCACAGTGTAGTGCAACCATCAATACTGTGTAGGTCCAGAATGTTTTCATCACTCCCAAAGGAAACTCCATACCTATTAATCAGTCACTCCCCAATAACCCCTCCTCCAGTCACTAGTAATTACATATCCGCTTTTTCTCTCTCTGGATTTGCCTATTCTGGAAATTTCATATAAATTTGATTATTCAACATGTGTTCTTGGTATCTGGCTTCTTTCATTTAGCATAATGTTTTCAGGGTTCATCCATGCTATAGCATGTATCAGTACTTCATTCCTTTTCATGGCTGAATAAAATTTCATTTTATAAATATATCACATTTTGTTTATCCATCGATATGGTTTAGCTCTGTGTCCCCATCCAAATCTCATGTTGAATTGTAATCCTCATGTGTCAGGGGAGGGGCATGGTGGGAGGTGATTGGATAATGAAGGCAGATTTCCCTCTTGCTGTTCTCAGGATAGTGAATGAGTTCTCATGAGATCTGATGGTTTTGTAAATGTTTGCTTAATGATATTTTTATGAATAATACTAGTTTTATTTCTATATAATATTACATTATAAAGGTATATCACAATTTATTTTACGAATCTTCTATTGTTGAACATGTATGGTGTTTCTGGTTTTTTTTGCTACTATGAAAAATACTGTAGTGAATATAACTGAACACATTATTTTTAAAGGATCTCTTTATAATATCAAATATGTAAAAAATGAGACGACTGGGAATACACACACAAAAGACTGATGTTGGATCTTCAACTCACACCAGATACAATAATTAGCTCTAAGTGGATTTTAAAAAAAGAACTAGAACATATAGCTTTTAAAAGAAAACAGAGGTAAAACTAGATAACTTTGGATTTGGCAATGGTTTCTTAGATATGACACTAGGAGTTCAAGCAAAAGAAGAAAAAATAAACAAACTTGATTTCATAAAATTAAAAACTTTTATACATCAAAGGACACTATCAAGAGAGTAAAAAGACAATCCGTAGAATGGGGGGAAATATTTGGAAATCGTATATCTGATTAAGATCCTGTATCTAGAATACATAAAGACCTCCTACAATTCAACAACGAAAAGAAAAATAACCCAATTAAAAATAGGCAAAAAACTTGAATGGACTTTTTTCTTCTTTTTTTTTTCAGTGTAATTCCTTTTTAAAAAAATTATTTCAATAGTTTTTGGAGAACAGGTATGTTTGGTTACATGGATTAGTTCTTTAGTGGTGGTTTCTGAGATTTTGGTGCACCCATCACCTGAGCAGTGTACACTGCATCCAATGTATAGTCTTGTATCCCTTCTCCCCACTCCAACCCCTCCCCCTGAGTCCCCAGAGTCCCCGAATGGACATTTCTCCAAATAAAATATACAAATGGCCAACAAGTACATGAAAAGATATAAGCTTAAACTGATTAAAATATAGTATGTGCATATATATAACTGTATAGGCATAGAGAAAATCTTGTGGGATGTACAGCAAGGAGTTATTAATTTTGGCTATATATGGTGGTGGTGGTGTGTGTGCTTTTTATTGTCTTCTTTTTGTTTATATGTGTTTTAAAAATTTTTTATAAAATGAACACTGTTTTTGTAATTTTTCAAAAAGTTACTGTCTTACTAGTAATGTGTGATCTTCATTTTTTTAGGGATCAGAAACCATTGTTCTAGTCTGTTTAAGCCTCATTCCAACCTGTTCTATCCTGTGTTAGCTGACTGCCCTGTGCTTGGCATCTTGCCTATCTACTCTCTAATTTCTCTTTAATACTTCTCAGTATAGCAGGCTACACTTTTATGTCAAGTCATTCTACCACATAGCTCTTGTTCATTGAATTGATCCACCAAAGGAGGTATAGGAGCAGGGACATGACTGATGCAGTGACAACTCCCCAGCCTAGACGAGCCCTAATTTCTATTCTAACTCTGCAGTTAAGTTGATCAGAAGATTAGTCTTTTTTTCTAAGCACACTTTCAAAAAACTGTGTAATTGTGACTAGTAACTAATGGAGGCATTGTGGAAACTTGCATATGCCAAGAGTCAAGAACAAAGATGAGAGCTAAATGCCCAACATCTTTGTTTCTGGTTAAGACTGACTTATGGAATGCAATATATGTAGTAGCAGCAGTTGCTCTCTAACCCAGCAAACTTCTGTTCATGTTATTTTTATGAGGGCCGATTATGAAATTTTATTATTGGATCTGCTCACCCTTAAACAGTTCTACTCAAATCTTTGGATATAGCATGCTGGTCTGCAACCAACATTTAGTTATTTTTCTCCTTTTTTTGTATTTAATGGATTCCGGGAGTTCTGATCTCTTGCCAGTGCTTTCTTTGTGATTTCGTCCAATGACTGTCAGGCAGACACAAAGTCAATTTCTCAGAATCGATTTTTCTCTATCACAATCTCTTGCTCTATAGCTATCTATCTCTCTCTCTCTCTCTCTCTCTCTCTCTCCTTTCCCTCCCTTCCCCCGTCTCTCCCTCTCTCCTTTCCCTCCCTCTCTTAAAAAGGTCTTATTAATAGCATGGGCTTAGAAATTCCACAGTGTGTAATATTTCTTCATTAATGAATATTTGTTTGTCTGAAATGAGATCTTTACTATTTGAACTCATCACTAGGATGAAACTCAGTGAAAGAAATCAGCCATTTGCATCCATTTGACCTCTTTTTCATTTTTTTTCCATCTGGATTGCCACAGAGTTCTTCTTCCTGTTATTTTCATCTGTCTGAATATTAGTCACAACATTTCTAGTTCCTTTCTAGCTTAAGCTCTTTTCAGCCAGTATCCAGTTAAATCATTTGAAGTAAGCAAGATCATCTTTGATATCTGATCCTAATTGAACTCAAACTTTGTGTACAGATTATACTCTTCATTCAAAAGGCTTCAGATTCCCAGAAATCCACAAACTTTTGGGAGTTTTAGCTCAAGAACCATTTTTCAGTGTGTTTTACCCTTTGATCTTTCTTCTATGCCTGCTCGACAAACATAGACATAATATCTTAAGTCCCTGTGGACATTTTCCCCTGAAATTGTATTTCTTTCTCTCTTAGAAAAAAATCGAATTCTTTTTGTTGAGTTCCAGTGAGTTTGGCAATTGTTGGTGCTAATAAATCATAAATAGGAAGCCTGGTTCTCCTAAGAACAGAAAATAGTTTGTCAAATGACTGTGGAAAAATACCCAGGGCATTATTCCATAAACTTTATTAGATTCAAGAGGAGAATCATTTTTCTCCATATACTCCAATCTTGCCTATGTAGAAGAGTCACCTTGCCAGTGAATTATACCATTTAATTCAGGTAGAAGGAGATGCCATGACAGGAACATGACTGAAGAGAATCTTATGTATGTGACTGTCTTTCAGTCTTCACCTTACAAGATTACATCCACCTCCTTGAAACAATGCTCCCTTGATTTCTTTGATATAACCATTTGCAGTTTTCTGGCTCCGTTGTTGCTTCCTCCATCATTGATCAAACTTTAAATGCTGGAGTTCCTCAGGATATGGTTTTTTTCTCCCTAGATGATTTCATTCATTTCCAAGGTTTCAGCTATGCGCCAGTGAAACCATCCTAGATTTTTATACTGAGCCCAAAACCTGCCTACCATAGGTATTTCATAGGCACCAAAAATTCAACAGGGCAAACAGTGTATCCAAGATTTACATTACTTCCCCCAAATTCCTGTTTCCCCTTTAGTGCTTTGCATTTCAGTGAAAAGCACTGCTATACACCCAGTTAATCAAGTCAGAAAATCAAGAGTCATCTCCAACATTACACTCTCTCTTCTGATTAATTACTCACTAAGCCCTATTGATTCTACCACTGACATATCTGTCCACATCTCTCCTTCTCTGTTGCCAGGATTCTAGGGCAAGCCAACAGATATCACCTCTGCCTCTAGCTTGCACCTTGCCCAGCCTTCCATTCCAATTTGCACACTGTAAACATCAGGACCATTTAGCCACGTAAACCAGATTGTGTCACTCCTGAACATGAAAACCATTCAGTGATTTCCTGTTGCTCCTAGTGTAAAGCCCAAACTCCTGCCCTTACTCACTCTTCTTGTACTACTCTGGCCTTCCTTTACATCCTCCAACATGCCCAGTTCCTTACCATCTTGGTTCCTCTGCACATGCTGCTCTACTTGGAATAGCCTTCAAGACCCTGTTCCCCCACCAAAGGCTTAATATTCAAATAAATAAATAAATATCTCTAGAACTGATACTACATGAACTATGGATGGTAGCATTTAGGAAATTCTTTGGTTCATCAAACAGGAAACACATCAAACAGAAAACACATACATGTCCTATAGAAGGTTCTTCTTCCTGTTCGGCATGCCTACCTTAGAATCAATTAATATAATCAAAGTTTGTCTGTTGTTCTTGTTCATGCAGCAGTACTCTCTTCTATATGGGGAAATGCATAACTTAAAAGAGATGTTTTGCAGTGTCTGCATATTATGCTAAAAATGAAAATTTTATTCTGTCATCATGTAGACGTAAATCCAGATTTTTGACTTTATGTTTCCATTTTTATCCAAATATTTTTAGCTATCTGCACACATTATCTGTTTTATTAAGCTGCTCACTTAGTTTCAGGAATCGTTAAAATATGATACTTATAAGTAGAACTAGATTCCTGTGTATCTAAGCCATCTGTTGAGGTTAAAGATGAAATAATTATTTTAATAATAACATCTGGATGATAAGATTTCTCAAACAAAATTATATTTATTGGCAAGACAGGGCATCAGAAAAGGTTAACAGTAAGATTACATTTGAATTGGATGGTTGTTGCTCAGTAATTTTCTTTTTCCTATATTATTTACATTTTATACATGTATTTAAAAAGATAAATTGCCTTTGCTTTATGTTTGACTATATGTCTTTTCCCAGTAACACAAAAAGGATATTGCCAATGGGAAATGTTAAAACAATGCCCCATCTCAGACCGATTTTATCCCTAGATTACTCAGAGTTTAAAATAAATAAGAGGCAAATTGTCCTAGGCATGTAACCGGATACTGTCCAAGGCCTGTCTCCTACTATAACAGATGTGCTTTCAATGGCCCTTTATTGCTCTTCTTATCCTCCTCTTGTTCTGTTGTCCCCTAGAGTCAACAGCTGTGACTACTGTTTGGTCTCTATAGCACTCAGATTCCTTTTTCCTTTAGTCTTTCAGCAATCTCATTTTCCTAATATATTCGTGTTACTGCTATTGACTGTGCTACAGTATATGTTGCAGTAGCTGTTAGACTCTGAAATTCTATTTAATCTAGTTTTGTTACAAATAACTCCTAAATTTGGTAGATTATACTGAAGCCAACACTTTCTGGGCATGGCCAAAACAACCTGGCTCTCCATGTCATTCTGTAAAACTCTGAAGCTTTAGTTGGGAATGAACCAGGACACCAAAGTAAAGCAGATGTCTTAAGCCTACCCTAGGCCAAACATACATTCTCCACCCAAACATTCATCCCTCGCTATTTAAAAAAAAACTATTTATTGAACAATTACTTCGTGCAAGGCTTTATACATGGAAATAGAGATACCAAGATTATTAAGATACAGTCCTTGTCCTTAAGACTTAGAAATCTGCTGAGCACAGTGGCTCATGCCTGTGATGCTAGCACTTTGGGAGGCCAAGGCAGGAGGATTGCTTGAGCCCAGGAGTTCAAGACCAGCATGAGCAATATACTGGGATTCCATCTCTACAAAAAGTTAAAAAATTAGCCTGGCATGGTGGCACATACCTGTGGTCCCAGCTACTTGGGAGGTTGAGGTGTGAGGATCACTTGAGCCTGGGAGGTGGAGGTTGCAGTGAGAGCCATGATCATGCCACGGCACTCCAGCTGGGTGACAGAGTGAGACCCTGTCTCAGAAAAAAAAAAAAAAAAAAAAAAGACTTAAGAGTCTTAAAATAGAGACAGACTCAAAAACAATTACCATAAAATATGGTAAATAAGGCTGACAGAGGCCAGCCACAGTGGCTCAGGCCTTTCATCCCAGCACTTTGGGAAGCCGAGGCTGGCAGATCACTTGAGGCCAGGAATTTGAGACCAGCCTGGCAAACATGGCGAAAACCTGTCTCCGCTAAAAATACAAAAATTAGCCCGGTATGGTTGCGCACGCCTGTAGTCCCTTCTACTCCAGAGGCTGAGGCGTAAAAATTGCTTGAACCTGGGAGGCAGGGATTGCAGTGAGCCGAGATCGTGCCACTGTACCCCAGCCTGGGTGACAGAGCAAGACTACATCTCTCAAAAAAAAAAAAAAAAGCATGAAAGAGAACTGTGGATCAAAATAAGGCACTTTAGGGTCAGAAACCTTCCCAGAGGAAGAGATATCTAAGTGGAAATCTAAAAGATATGCAGGAATTAACTTCACTGAACACTAGAAAATAGATATCTCAATTAAGAAGTGCAGTGTTTACAAAGGCACAAAACCTTGAAGTAACATGGCTTACTGAGTAAACGATCAGTACTCCCTCATGGCTAGAATGTATGATTCAAGGATAGAGTGAGGGGCACAGTAAAAGAAGCCTGTGGAGGAGTGCAGGGGCAAGTCAACTAGGCTAAGAAGCACGCACTTTATCATTTAGGGCAATGGGGATCCACAAAAAAGTTTTAAGTAGGGGCATGATACAATCAGAATACAGCCTTAGATGGCTCACCTTGGTGGCAGTATGGAAAATAGATAGGAAAGGGTCAAGACTTCCGTCAAAATGATCCAGATGCAAGATAAGGGTAAACTAAGGCATTGGTAGAGGGACTGGAGAGGGGCTGGCATATTAGAGACAATTAGAAGGTTGAATTGCCAGTACATGTAATAATACAGTTATGATACAATGTGGGAAGTGCTATAATAATGGTAAATACAAAATACTGTCTAGAAGAGAAAGCAAACTTTTTTTTTGTCTGAAAGAGTTGGGGAGATGAGTTTTGGTTATCCTAGGCAGAAGAAACAACATATGTGAGAGCACAGGTGAGTGAAAGTAATTGTGTGTCCAGTGAATGGCACGAGTGGTGTGTGTTGTGAGTGTATGTATGTGTGTGTATGTTTAGCAACAGAGCACTTTTCCCAACTAAATCTTTCTCCAAACCTCGATATTTAAAATAGACAGAAGTGGTGGACCACTTTTGGCAAAATGTTTCACTGGCAGAACTCTGGAGCATCCTGCCCTGTGAGTTTCTGTGGAGCTTAGTTGATAACCTGCTGGGGTAGAACCTTATTTGCTTAAGCCCAAATCACTAAGCTAGGCTAAAAGTGGATTATTAGACTACTTAAGGAGAAATTAAATTAGCTGCCTCTTACAAGTTTTCTTGATCCATTGCTCCCTCAATCTAAGCTGTGTGCCATGTACTAGCTAAAGCACTGCAAAGAGCTTTATTCAACCTCTGCAATTAAGGGGAAACTGAGAAACCAATTCCTTTGTCCATAGGGCCAGTTGCATTTTAGCAATCCCCCATACCCCTTCATCAGTCTTTTACACTTTAGTATTAACATAAGTAAATGAGTATCTTATCCCAAGGACATATGCAATGTATGCATATTGAGTTCTAGGTTTAATACATGAGTTCCGAGGTCCCCATCTCACGCTGTCTCAACAATGACTCTCAAAACCACGTTAATGTATCTTGGTGGGGGTCAGGAGGGATAATGCCTTCCTCCATACTCCAGTTTCCTGCTTTTTACATTATTCTGTTCTTTGGGTTCATGTTCTTCAACCTGGGTGCACATACTCCCAAGGCACCCTCAGACTTAAAGAGATACATAGGTAGGTATTGTTTGAGTGTCTTTTTGTTTTTAACAATTTTCCAGATTTTTAACTTCCATGTGTACTCTTTCCTAAATTTGCTTTGTGTGAGAACATACCTGATGGTTCTACTTTCCCACTTCCTTTCTCCCACTTTACAAAATAAAGGCACATCTCTAACTCATCTCAAGGCTTACCTTGGTGCCTGGCCCCAAAACGAAAACTTCTTGAGCACCGAAAGGGATCATTGGAAATATTGATGCTGATATTGAGAAATGTGTGAGCACAAGTACTGAGTGCATCACTTTAATGATGGGATAACAAATACTTTTATAAAGGCAAGTCGTTTCCAATGCCTTGCTTTCAACAAAATCAGAGGAGAATCTAACCAAGTTGTCATTTGCTAGATCATTACACAGATAGATTATATTATGATCTATCATAAAAATTATGATAGATATAATGTAATCTTTGGCATATATTTAGGAAAGTGCTTAATTGAATGATATTATTTTAACTAAACTTTCATTCTTATCTCATTTACATGAACAAGATTTCTCAACATCTTAAGTATACTAAAAATATTGAACTTGTTCTCATTCTAACAATAAGTAACATTGATCCACAGATATATGAACTACTTTAAAAAATCCCCTTCCATCACATTAAGAGATACATTCCCAATAATATTCTATTTTATGTTTATTAACTATAAGGTTTTATAATATATTTATGTTACTCTAACCAGTCATGTGCTAATGATTATAAAAAACAAAAAAGTCCCAAAGACTCTAAGCCTTACAGTCACAGGAATAAAATTTTTTTACAATGTAAATTTACATGTTTTATGGTAGGAATTGGGATGTGATAACAAAAGATATTCTAAACAAAAATATATTACATTAGGATACAATTCTGTGGTGTGAATAGAATCAAAATATAAGTTCAAGAGATAAAAGTATGATATAAAATTTCTGGCTGTGCTGGGCGCAGTGGCTCACGCCTGTAATCCCAGCACTTTGGGAGGCCAAGGCGGGCAGATCATCTGAGGTCAGGAGTTCAAAACCAACCTGGCCAACATGGAAAACCCCGTCTCTACTAAAAATGCAAAAATTAGCTGGGTGGGGTGGTACACACCTGTAATCCCAGCTACTCAGGAGGCTGAGGCAGGAGAATTGCTTGAACCTGGAAAGCGGCGGTTGCAGTGAGCCGAGATCATGCCACTGCACTCCAGCCTGGGTGACAGAGTGAAACTCTGTCTCAAAAAAAAAAAAAAAAAAAATCTGGCTGTGCAAAAGGAGTATCTTTCTCAGGTGCAGTGGCTCATGCCTATAATCTCAACCACTTTGGGAAGCCAAGGAAGGAGGATTGTTTGAGTACAGGAGTTTGAGACCAGGTTGGGCAATATAGTGAGATCCCATCTCTACAAAAAATAAAAATAAAATTTAGCCAGGCACAGTGGTGTGTGCCTATGGTCCCAGCTACTCAGGAGACTGAGGTGAGAGGATCACTTGAGCCTGGGAGGTTGACGCTGCCATAAGCCGTGATGGCACCACTGCACTCCAGCCTGGATGACAGAGTGAGACTCTGTCTCAAAAAAAAAAAAAAAAAAAAAAGAAAAGAAAAAGAAAAAGAAAAGAAAAGGAGTATCTTCATGTATCTTTTACATGGATAATGGTGGATATCAAACTGCTATGGTGCTATGGTAATTGGTCCCACTTATATTTTTTAAAATGATGCAACAGTTTTATTCTCAAACATCAATATTTGCAATATGCCAGAAATTACATCACTTGAAATATTTAAGCTTTCATAAATCCCTCCATAGTTGTTAGATGTCAACTTTAAGATATGTTATAGAGTCCAGGTATGGTATGGTAGCTTATTCCTGTAATTCCAGAATTTTGGGGGGTCAAGGTGGGAGGATTGCTTGAGGCCAAGAGTTCCAGACCAGCCTGGGCAACATAGCAAGACCCCATCTCTATTTTTTAAAAAGAAGAAAAAAGATATCTATGGAGCATAGAGTTTTTCCAAAATTCCTTTAGAGGTTATGCAAGTAAAAATATGTGAAGACCACGGTTTAGGATAGAGAATTCACTAAGGGCTGTTTTAACCTACCTCCATCTTCAGGGGTTCCTGTTCCCAAGAAGTGCCAAGGGTGAAGCAAACTGTAGCTATTGTGTCACTAATTTGTTCCCTTTTCAGGCCAGAAACAGGACCTCTTCCTATGCCAGACACAAGACCTTTCTTCCCACTAACTTTTTGTGTCTCTACTTTTAACCTCTGTGGCCACTTGTGCTTTCACTTTCCTTTAGCTCTCCCTGCTTCCCCTTTCCTAACTCAAACTTTCAACAGGGCTTCTCTTCTTCCTTTGCCTGAGTACAAATATGCCTTTAATTGAATATGATGAATTCACAACAGCTATAAATTGAAATTTTCAGAAGCCAAAAGAGGGAGGCTTCAAGTTACAGTCTCTGGAAACATTTACAGCTAAGGGCTCACAGCTGCCCCTCTTCCCCAGAGAATTGCCCTGGTCTAATAGGAGCTGCCCATCAAGGAGGATACACCCCGGTCTGGAAGCACTCCCTAGCCAGAAACCTGATAAGAGCTTTAAAAGGCTGGTCTCTTGACACCAGAGGGAACAACATTGCTGTGCGGTTTATGCTCAAGAACCATCTGCCATGGATCAAGTCAGTGTGAGCCTGTCCTTCCCAGTTCTAAAATCAAGCACACCCTTCTCCTCCTTGTTGATATGTTCTATCAGACATCTTTCCCCCAAACAGACCAGTTCTGGATACATTGAAAATCTGTAGACATAGATACGTCCTCCCAATGCCAGTCCCTATGATATCTGATAGTACCTGCTGTCTTAGAGAACTCTAGCAACTCTGTTGCCTTCTGCCCAGTACGAACTTCCCGCTGCTTTTGCTCCATGTGTTTGAATAAATGAATAGATGAATGAATGCATCACCAGCAATGGCTTGTTCTCTATGTTCCGTGGCTTCAAGGCTGTGATCAGGTTGTGAAGAGCTAACAGAGTTCTTATGTTTTGTAGAGATGTTGCTTCACCATGTTGGCTAGGCTGGTCTCGAACTCCGGCCTCACGTGATCTGTCCCCCTTGGCCTCCCAAAGTGCTGGGATTACAGAGGTGTGCCACGACGCCTGGCTGAGATTTTTTTCTTTGACCCATGTGTTATTTAGAAGTATATTTTTAATCTCCAAGTATTTGGGGATTTTCCGGTTATTGCTTTCAAGCATATTCCATTGTGGTCTGGGAGCGGGCATTGTATGAGTTCTATTCTTTGGTATTTGTTAAGGTGTGTTTTAGGGTCCAGAATACAGTCTATCTTGGTGAGTGTTGCATGTGAGGTTGAGAAGAATGTGTGTTCTGCAATTGGATGAAGTTATCTGGAAATTTCAATTATATCCAGTTTAATGATGGTGCTGTTGAGTTCAACTATGTCCTTACTGATCTTCTGCCTGCTGCACCTGTCCATTTCTGATAGGGGAGTGTTGAAGACTCCAACTATAATAGTGGATTCATCTATCTCTCTTTTCAGTTCTATTGGGTTTTGCTCTGTTGTCAGGAGCATACACGTCAAGAATTATTATGTATTCAGGAAGAACTAACCCCTTCATCATTATGTAATGCCCCTCTTTATCCCTGATAACTTTCCCTGCTCCAAAATAGCTTCGTCTGAAATTAATGTAACTACTGCCACTTTCTTTTTATTAGTGTTAGCACATTATATCTTTCTCCATCCATTTACTTTTAATCTTATGTGTTTATATTTAAAGTGGGCTTCTTGTAGACAACATGCTACTGGGTCTTGGTTTTATGGGGGGGCTTTTTTTTTTTTTGACAGAGTTTTGCTCTTGTCTCCCAGGCTGGGGTGCAATGGCATGACCTCAGCTCACTGCAACCTCTGCCTCCCGGGTTCAAGAGATTCTCCTGCCTCAGCCTCCTGAGTAGCTGGGATTACAGGTGCCCACCACCATGCCCAATTAATTTTTATATTTTTAGTAGAGATGGGTTTTCATCATGTTGGCCACTTATATCAAACTCCTGACCTCAGGTGGTCCACCCACCTCGGCCTCCTAAAGTGCTGGGATTACAGGCATGAGCCACCGTGCCCAGCCAGCTTTTGTTTTTTTGATCCACTCTGAAAATCTGTCTTTTAATTGGCACATTTAGACC
This sequence comes from Homo sapiens, assembly GCF_000001405.40. NCBI lineage: Eukaryota > Metazoa > Chordata > Mammalia > Primates > Hominidae > Homo > Homo sapiens. Next base: position 115,501,240 of record NC_000023.11, read on the forward strand.
ACTGACATTCAAAGTGATTATTGATATAATTGGGTTAATATCTACCATATTCGGTGGGATGCAGTGGCTCACGCCTACAGTCCCAACATTTTAGGAGGCCAAGGCGGGTGGATCACTTGAAGTCAGGAGTTTGAGATCAGCCTGGTCAACATGGTGAAACCCCATCTTTAATAAAATTACAAAAATTAGCCAGGCATGGTGGTGCATGCCTGTAATCATAGCTACTTGGGAGACTGAGGCAGGAGAATCGCTTAAACCCGGGAGATGGAGGTTGCAGTGAGCCGAGATCACTCCACTGCTCTCCAACCTGAGTGATGAAGTAAGACTCTGTCTCAAAACAAACAAAACAGAACAAAACAAAACAAAACAACGAGAAAAAAAATCTAACATATTCATTACTGTTCTCTATTTGTTGCTCTTGTTATTTGTTCCTGTTTTTGGCTTTTCATTCTTTTTCTCTTTTGTGGTTTTAATTGATATTTTATGTGATTCCATTTTTCTCTTCCTTTTAGCATGTCGGTCATAATTCTTTATTTTTTTAACTTTTTGTATTGGTTGCCTTAGAGTTTGCAATATACATTTACAACTAATCTAATTCCATTTTCAAATATCACTATACCACTTCACAGGTAGTGCAAATGCCTTATAATAACAAACAATTTTAATTATTTCATCTTGTCTCTTGTGTCTTTGCTGTCATTCATTTCACTTATATATAAGAATATGTAAGCATATATATATACACACACACATAAGCACACATAATCAAATATATTGTTGCTATTATTATTTTGAACTATTAGACCAACTAGGAATAAGAAAAATAAAAGTATTTGTATTACCTTCACTTATTCATTCTCCAGTGCTCTTCCTTTTTTCTGTAGATCTGAGTTGCTAACCTATAACACTTTCCTTCTTTCTGAGACACTTCTTTTAATATTTCTTGCATGACAGGTCTATTGGCAACAATGACCCTCACATTTTGTCTGAAGAATGTCTTTAGTTATCCTTCACTTTTGGAGGATATTTTTTTTCCTTCTGTTAGAAAGTTATTGAAGGATAATTTTGCAGTGTACTGAATTCTAGGTTGGCGAGTTTTTCTCTTAACACTTTAAACAATTCACTCCACTCCACTCTCTTCTTGCTTGCATGGTTTCTGAGGGGAAGCTGGATGTAATTCTTATTTTTGCTTTTCTATAGGTAATGTAGTTTTTTCCCCTCTGGCTTCATTCAAGATTTTTTCTTTATCTTTGATTCTTTGAAGTTTGAACTATGATATGCCCAGGTGTCTTTTTTTGGTATTTACTATGCTTGCTGTTCTCTGAATTTCTTGGATCTACAGTCTGATGTCTGACATTAATTTGGGGAAATTTTCAGTCATCATTGCTTCTAATATTTCTTCTGTTCATTTCTTTCTTCTCCTTCTAGTATTCCCATGATTACATCTTTTGTATTTGTCTCACAGTTCGTGGATATTCTGTTCCACTACTTTGAGTCTTTTTTTGCCTTTGATTTTCAGTTTGAAAAGTTTTTGTTGTCATATCCTCAAGCTCAGAGATCCTTTCCTCAGCCACATCCAGTCTACTAATAAGCCCATGAAAGGCATTCTTCATTTCGATTCCAATGTTTTTAACTCCTAGCATTTCTTTTTATTCTTTCTTAGAATTTCCATCTCTCTGCATTTCTTTTGATTCTTTCTTAGAATTTCCATCTCTCTACTTACATTATCTATCTGTTCTTTGATGTTGTCTACTTTTTTCATTAAAGGCTTTAGCACATTAATCATAGTTTTTTTTAAATTCTCGGTCTGATAATTCCAACATTCTTGCCATATCTGAATCTGGTTCTAGTGCTTGCCCTGTCTTTTCAAATTGTATTTTTTGGTTTTTCATATGCCTTGTAATTCTTTCTTGGTCGTGGACATGATGAGGTGAGAGAAAGGAACTGCTGTAAATAGACCTCTAGTAATGTAGTGGTAAGGTGTGAGGCAGGGCAAGCATTCTATAGCCCTATAGTCATATCTCAGCCTTTTAGTGAGCCTGTGTCCCTGCACTGTGTACTTTACAAATGCTTCTCAGTCCTCCGTGCCTCCAAATATGGTAAAACACGATGGCTACAGTGGGCTGGCATTGGGTATTTCCCTTCTCCCAGGTCACTTAAGCTCTCATGAAACTCCAGTAGGTTAGGCTCTGGTTAAATAGTTTCTCCTGGGGGCAGACTTTTTCAGACCTATAATCCCAGCACTTTGGGGGGCTAACACAGGAGGATTGCTTGAGCTCAGGAGTTTGAAACCAGCCTAAGCCACATAGTGAGACCCTTTATTTACAAAAAATAAAATAAAATAAATTAGCTGGGCATGGTGGTGTTTGTCTGTAATCCCAGCTGCTTAAGAGGATGAGGTGGGAGGATTGCTTGAGCCCGGGAGGTGGAGGCTGCAGTGAGCCATGATCATGCCAGTGTACTCCAGCCTAGGTGACAGAGCAAGGCCCCCTCTCAAAAAAAAAAAAAATTGTAACAAAAATTTTTTAAATAAAAATAAAGAACATGGCCGGGTGTGGTGGCTCGTGCCTGTAACTCCAGTACTTTGGGAGACCAAAGTGGGAGGATCACTGGAGTCCAGGAATTTGAGACCAGCCTGGCCAACATGGTGAAACCTCATCTCTACTAAAAATACAAAAGTTAGCCAGGTATGGTGGCACATTCATGTAATCCCAGCTACTCTGGAGGCTGAGGCATGAGAATCGCTTGAACCCAGGAGGTGCAGGTTGCGGTGAGCCAGGATAGTGACACAGCACCTCAGCTTGGGCAACAGAGTGAGACCTTGTCTCAAAAAAAATGAGAAAGAAAGAAAGAACAGGATGCTCTGGCTTATTTCAAAATGATTTCCTTTCCCCTCCCCTTGCTGGAATTTCAAGATTTCTCTCTGATATTCACTGTGAAAAACAGATCAAGCTCCTATCCCCATGACCGGGGCGCCCTGGAGTTTGTAACTCTCGGAGGTGTACCCACTGAGCTTTCAGCAGTTCCTCAACTATAGTTCAGGTTTTCCTACCACTGCACTGGTTCCTACAGAGGTTTTTGTTCTGATAAATTGTGATTCTCTGTATTTGCCTGTCTCTCCAAGTTCAGGGGCAGTGGTTTCCCCTGTGACCTCACTTCTCTTTTGTATCAAAGAATAGTTGTTGGTTTTTCAGTTTCAGTTTTTTCTGATTTTTGCTTGTTACTAGAATGGAATGGCAACTTCCATGCTTCTTACATGCTGAACTGGAAACCAGAAGTCTCATTCAAAGCATTTTCATCAGGCTTAGTTTTTTAGTTTTTTTGCAAACTTCTAAACTAGCTTCCTAAATTAATATTACACTAATAGGCATATAACACTGATGCTGAGCCCCCAGTCCCACAATGGAAAGTTTTCCATTTCCTCAACAGATTTGCATCTCCTTTCCGTGATTATTGAGGATTGTAAATACACACAACTTTTTACCTCTGCCATAATTTGCTCTTTATTATTCACCATTGTTTCTACCATAGGAGTCAACATTCTATAAAATACTGATTATTTCTCACCAATTTCAATGTTTTAATTCTCTTTATTATTCTTTTTTTGATACAGGATCTCACTCTGTTGCCCAGGCTGGAGTACAGTGGTGTGATGATAGCCCACTGCAACCTCAAACTCCTGGGCTCAAAGGATCCTCCCACTTTTGCCTCCCGAATAGTGGGACTACAGGTGCATGCCATCATGCCCGGCTAATTTTTGCATGTTTTGTAGAGACAGGATTTCCCTATGTTGCCTAGACTGATCTCGAACTCCTGGCCTCAAACTATCCTCCTGCCTCAGCCTCTCAAAGTGCTGAGTTTACAGACTTGAGCCACCAGGCCTGGCTGAGTTTATTTTTAAAGGGTTTGAGGTAACTAATATTTCAGAAACTCAAATGAAGATGTCTATAGATAGTTAAAAACATAGGTGTTCCAAAAGAGGTGAAAGGTCAGGGCCAAAAATGTATATTGAAGAGTGGTTTTCTCTTATTACGATGCCATTCATATAAGCTCAGTCTTTATATTTGGCACGAAGTCTGGGCATCTGATTACAGTGTTAAAAACCTAAAAAAAATAAAAGTAGGGCTGGGTGTGGTGGCTCATGCCTATAATCCTAGCACTTTGGGAGGCCAACACTAAAGGATCACTTGAGTCCAGGAGTTTGAGACCAGCCTGGGCAGCACAGGAAGACTTTGTTTCTATTTTTTTTTTTAACAAAAACTTGTTTTTTAAAAAAAGAAAATTACTAAACAAAAATGTCTAGCTGCTCTTTCTTCTGAATGATCTTTTTGTAATTTTTATTTAAAGGAAATTTCTGGAAAAGAAAATCTGTTTGGGATTGTAGAGTAAGGATAGATTTCGTTATTTCTTGCAAACTGTCTGAGAAATCCTTTGAGAGTGTGTAGTAATAAGATAATGAAGTAGATAAACTGTCTATTCCGGTTCCTGTAGCTGTAGCCATTCCTAACCCTACAAGTAGGGGTATTAGCTGTATGGCTCTGTGCTTACGGACTTGAGCTTTGAGGACAACTGATAGGGTCTGATTTCCTGGGGCAATGTTAATGTTGGGACTTAGGGAGACTCCTAGAATTGGGGTGTTGGAAGGACTGCTGCATTTCCTTACTAAGCCTTGAGATTTTAAATGTCTAACAATATCCTGTAATCCTTTATGAGCTTCAGGCCTTAAGGGATATTGCCTTTGATAAGGAAAAGTGGTGGGGTCTTTTAGCCTGATTTGGACTGAGCAGGCATTTTTTGCCCGTCTGAATTGTCTTTCCAGTGCCTAGACTTCAGGGTTGATTCCCTCCTCAAGCAGGGGACAACAAATGGGTAACTTGTTCCCCATACTCATGTAGATAATGGTTCCAGCTTTGGCTAATATGTGCCTCCCTAATAAGGGTGTGGGACTTTCAGGCATAACAAGAAAGGCATGTGAAAAGAGCAAAGTCTCCCAAAAGTCTCCCAATTACAACTAAGGAGGTGGGAGAAATACCTGGTTACAGGCTGTCCCAGGACTCCTCGGATGGTAATGGACCTTGAGGACAGCTGTCTGGGGCAGGAGATTCACACTGAGAAGGCCATGCCAGTGTCCAGGAGGAAGTCAATTTCCTGGCCCTCAATGGTTAAATGTACCTGGGGCTCAGTAAGGGTGATGACATGAGCTGGCACTTGCCCCGGGAACCCTCAGTCCTGTTGTTGGATCATCTGGTTGGGGGCTCCTGGCCCAGAGAACCTTTGTTCTCTGGGGCAGTGTGCCTTCCAGTGATTGCCTTGGCATAGTGGACATGGGCGAGGGGGCAGCTTGTTTCTCATTGGACAGTCTTTTTTTAAAGTGTCCTTGCAAACCACACTGATAACAAGCCCTACCGGGTGATTGGCCTGCTCCATTTTCTGTCCTCTCTGAACCACCAAGGTTTGTTTGTCCGAGGGCCATGACTAAGGCTGCAGCCTTTCTCTGATCTTGCTTTTCCTTTTGGGCCTGTTCCTCTTGGTCCCTATTATAGAACACTGAGGTTGCCAGGTTTAATAATGCCTCCAGATTTTGTTCAGAGCCCAGGGTTTGCTTTTGGAGCTTTCTCCTGATATCTGTGGCTGATTGGGTAATAAACTTATCTTTAGGATCAATTGACCCTCAAGTGATTTGGGGAGTATATTTTCTTAAGGCCTCCCATGGCCGCTCGAGGAAGGTGGAAGGATTTTCTTCCTTTCCCTGAGTTATGGTGGGCATCACTGAATAATTCATGGGCTTTTTCCCAGTTCTCCTTAGTCCTTGTAGAACACAGGTCAACAGATGTTTGTGACTCCAGTCCCCATGATCTGAGTCGAGGTCCCAGTGGGGCTCCATACTGGGGATGGCTTGCTGACTGGTAGGGAATTTGTCCCTTTCTTCAGCTGTCATTCTATCATTTACTTGACTAAGATGCCAGGTATCTCCAAACTCTTGGGCTGCAGCTAAAGCCGCATTCTTTTCATTAAAAGCCAGGGTTTGATCTAACAATAGCATGACATCTCTCCAAGAGAGATTGAAGGTTTGCCCTACACCCTGTAGGACATCTATATACCTATCAGGATCATCTGAAAACTTCCCCAGGTCTACCTTTATCTGCTTTAAATCAGAGAGGGAGAAGGGTTCATGTACGTGGGTTGGGCCAAATTCCCCTCCCCCTACAGCTTGAAGGGGACTTAGCCAATAGCCCTGGGGTTTTTGTGGTCCCTTGGAGATTTTTTTTGCTTGTTTCCCTCTGGGCAGGGGAGATTAGAGGAGACTTATCATTAATAGGAAGGGGAGCTATAGGGAGGCTAAGATATGGGGGTAAGCAGAGAGGTCCTCTTGTGGGATGTAAATTACAAGCTTTGCATAGTTGTGGATTCTCCTTCAATGAAAAGAAAGCTTGGACATAAGGTATTTCACTCCATTTGCCTTCCCTCTTACAGAAAAGGTCAAGCTGCAGGATAGTATTGTAATTTATACTTCCCTCAGGTGGCCATGTTTCCCCATCAGAGAGAGAATATTGGGGCCAGGCCATAGTGCAGATAAAAATGAGCTGCTTCTTTTTCATGGTTTATGGGTCAAATTGGTTCCAATGGCTTAGGATGCATTTCAAGGGTGAGCCTATTGATACCTGAGTGTTTCCCATCTGAAAGAAAAAACCACCCATGGTTTTGGTTTCTTTGTTCCCCACCCCCTCCCTGCCACCCGCTGCCCAAGAACCCACAATGGTCCCTGGACCCTGCTGATCAGAATAGTTGCACTCACCGACGCAGCAGCAGAAACCCCTCTTGCCCAAGAACCCACAATCAATCGTCCCTGGGCCCTGCTGATTGGAATGGTTGCGCTCACTGATGCAGCAGCAGAAACCCTAGTTTTCCTCTTAGACCACAAACAGAACCGAGGAAGGTCAGATTTAGTGGCCCTTAATGATGCATTCTTGAAAACCTGCACCCTTGCCTTTCCTCTTAGACCACAAAGAGGACCGAGAAAAATCGGATTTAGTGGCCCTTACCAATGCATTCTCAAAAACCTGTTAGAGTCCTAAGCATTTTTTCCTGTTAGTATTGGGACTTTGCCCTTGTCCTATAAAGATGTTAGGCCCCAAAACTGAAGAGGAGGGCCACACCCTGAGGGAGGGAAGGGATCTTCAGGGTTGGAAAGTGATGCCTTTTGTCCTCACCTCTCATCATATGAATAGGAAGGATATCATTTCTGAGGCTCCCCATATCCTAGCTTCAGGAATAGCTTTTGTTAGGCCTGCTAGTCTGAGAGGGGATTCTAAAATTCCACATAGTCCCCCCCACCCCTGCCGATGGGGCCTTGGGCAAAAATTATGTCTTTCTGATTAGTGAGCTTTAGTGCCTAAAAAAGGGAACAGAGTCCTGAAGTTTATATTAGAAATCATTCTTATAGGAGAAACTAGAAAAGCACCAGAGACAGGCAGTGGTTTTTAGAAGTGGGACTAGCCTTGGAGAAGAGAGGCAAGAGGAAGTTTGTCTGACAGGCATTAGGACCCAGGAGGCAAGGGTCAGGATAGATAGGATAGATGGGTGAGTCTCGCTTGGGCAACATGACTTTGAGAGTTCCGCTCATGACTACAGGGTCAACCAACTTTTTGTTGGGACCCTAGAGCTGAATGGCTTTCCTCTCTGTCGACCCTTGGCTCAGCCCAGAAGTACAGGAAAACTGGAAGCTGGTTCCAGGCAAACCAATGCTCCTAACTCTGAAGAGTTGGGGGTTGTTAGAGAGCCCTTTCCCAGAAAGCCTGACACCCGTGTCTTTAGTCCAGCAGCCACGCTAGTCACTTTTAACTGGCCGACAGGTGCCCGGTATTTAGCCCTTGAATTCTAAGGAAAAATAGGACAGAATAGCAAGCAAAAGGGGTCCGAATAGCAAGGACAGAATAGCAAGCAAAAGTGACTCACCGCTTGGCGATAGTCCCTTCGTGGTCACCAAGATGTCTGGAGTTGGTTCCTTTTGGTGGGTTCTTGGTCTTCCTGACTTCAAGAATGAAGCCACGGACCTTCGTGGTGAGTGTTACAGCTCTTAAAGATGATGTGGACCCAAAGAGTGAGCAGCAGCAAGATTTATTGTGAAGAGCGAAAGAACAAAGCTTCCACAGTGTGGAAGGAGACCCAAGCGGATTGCCACTGCTGGCTGGAGTGGCCAGCTTTTATTCCTTTATTTGTCCCCGCCCATGTCCTGCTGATTGGTCCATTTTACAGAGTGCTGATTGGTCCGTTTTACAGAGTGCCGATTGGTGCATTTACAATCCTTTAGCTAGACACAGAACGCTGATTGGTGTGTATTTACAGAGTGCTGATTGGTGCATTTACAGTCCTTGAACTAGACACAGAGCCCTGATTGGTGCCTTTTTACAGAGTGCTGATTGGTGCATTTACAATCCTTGAGCTAGACACAGAGCGCTGATTGGTGCATTTTTACAGAGTGCTGATTGGTGCATTTACAATCCTTGAGCTAGACACAGAGAACTGATTGGTGTGTTTACAATCCTCTAGCTAGATAGAAAAGTTCTCCAAGTCCCCACCTGACCCAGGAAGTCCAGCTGGCTTCACCTCTCACTTAGAACAGGAAAGAAAGGAAAGAACCCTTGGGTGAGATCCAAGTGGGCACCTGAAGGTCAAAGAGAGAAAAAAGCATCTGTAACCTTGATCCTGGGACTTTATAGGCTCACCTGTTTTCCATGATTCTTCCCTTATTGTGGGCTTTGCACATGTGCAGTGCCCTCCTTACCCTTGGGAACTGAGCAAGTGCAGTGTGTTTAGGAAGTTGTACACATACCCATCTGAGGCTTTCTTCCCTTTTTCTGGTGGTAGGTACCTGGAAGATTGTACTGAGAGGTGAAGCCAGCTGGACTTCCTGGGTCGGGTGGGGACTTGGAGAACTTTTCTGTCTAGCTAGAGGATTGTAAACACACCAATCAGTGCTCTGTGTCTAGCTAAAGGATTGTAAATGCACCAATCAGCACTGCAAAAATGCACCAATCAGCACTCTGTGTCTAGCTCAAGGATTGTAAATGCACCAATCAGCACTCTGTAAAAAGGCAGCAGTCAGCGCTCTGTGTCTCGCTAAAGGATTGTAAATGCACCAATCAGCACTCTGTAAAAACACACCAATCAGCACTCTGTGTCTAGCTCAAGGATTGTAAACACACCAATCAGCACTCTGTAAAATGGACCAATCAGCACTCTGTAAAATGGACCAATCAGCAGGACATGGGCGGGGACAAATAAAGGAATAAAAGCTGGCCACTCCAGCCAGCAGTGGCAATCCACTTGGGTCCCCTTCCACGCTGTGGAAGCTTTGTTCTTTCGCTCTTCACCATAAATCTTGCTGCTGCTCACTCTTTGGGTCCACACCACCTTTAAGAGCTGTAACACTCAACACAAAGGTCCGTGGCTTCATTCTTGAAGTCAGGAAGACCAAGAACCCACCAAAAGGAACCAACTCCGGACACAGTACTTTGCCATTTTTGTTTCTTAATGTGCATGCCCAGGAAGTTGCTTCTCCCTGGGGCCTGCCTTTAATTAACACTTTAATGTTGACAGGTGTGGACCATCAGAAAATGGCCTCTCCCTGGCACCGGCTGCCAATTTATCACCTTTAGAGAGGCAATGCAACAATTGCCAAATCATCACCTGAACTTTCTAGTGGGTCAGGGAGAGCTGTCTCCTGCCCCACTCATGCCTAACCTGTAACAAAGTGACAAGAACAGACTGGAGAAAAAGTAGGATGGAGAAACTGGACTCAAGAGCAGCTCATGGAAACTGAGCTAGGTCAATACCCAGGTTAAAATTTTATTCAGGGGATTTGGAGAAGAGCACTCCAACTTGTAGCCAGGGCAATTTCTGTGACTAGTGATCTGAAATCCTAGGCTTATGCCTGGATCCCAGTATTTTTTCATAGTTACCAGGGGCCTAACTGTTGTCCTGGCTGGCTTGAGGGTGAAGGAGTTGAAACTTAGAAGATCAGCTTGTGAATAGCCCTGTAAGACTTGGCTCTGGACTTATCTAGGCAATATCATTTGTTATCCTGGGTATGGCTTGGAACCTGAGATTTTTCACAGTGTGGCTGTCCATGCATCCTCCATGGTGGGGAGTAAAGGTCAATTCTGAAAAGGAGTACTGACATCTAAAAGGAGACAGTCTTGATCCTTTGAGGAACGGTGATGAGAAAATGATAAAAATGAGGAATATTTTGTTCCTTGATTATTCCTGGCATTTTTGCCCAAGAAAGTGTTTTAAAAAAACAAGTCTCAGACATTCTTATAGTTAACATTTCCAACACTCTGCTCTTTAAAACTGTGAATATCTTAAGTTTTGTGAAGGGAATGAAAAACGAATGATTGAAATAAATTTACACTTCAAAGAACAGTTTCTTGAAGTAATCAAAAGTGCACCCTTAAGAAAATAATTCTCTTTCCCTGCTTGTATTAGCTGCTATTTGCAAACAGTACACCATTTGGTATCAACTGATGCTTTTAATGAACCTCAGGGAGAGAAGGAAGTACAGCTAATTATTGTAAACAAGCCTGAGGGGACACAGAGTCTGTGTTGTTATGGTGGCAAAGAAATATTAATAGAATACTCAGCTGAACGTAGGCATGTATCAGCTTATTTTGTGTGTGCTCAAATTCATATTCTAGAGGTTTTACTTAATACTCCAACTTGTAATATAGTCTTATTTATATTATTAAAATTGTTCATAAGGGTAAGCAGTAGATGTAGTAGTTAAAATCATGAGCTTAAAAAAAAACAAACCAGGGTCTCGCTTTGTCACCAAGACTGAGTGCAGTGATGCAATCATCAATCATAGTTCACTGCAGCCTCAAACTCCTGAGCTCAAGCGCTCCTCCTGCCTCAGCACCCCAAAATGCTGGGATTACAGCTGGGATTACCAAACCCAGCAAAATCTTAAACTTTAAAGTCCAGGGAGCAAATACAGTATCTGCTACTTCCTGGTTGTGTGACCCCCTTAGGGGTTTCTGAATTTCTCCGAGCCTCTATCTCCATATAGTACATATTTCACAGGGTTATCATGAGAGCTGAATAAGGTAACCAATGTCAACCGATTAACAGAGTGCTTGGTTCATAAGTGCCCCTACATAACAGGTGCTATGATGCTGCTTATTTCATTCTTCTCATAATTAAGTGATTGAATCAAATTTTAAAATACCATTTCTTAAAGTCCCCCAAAGAGCACCATGATGTCCAAGTACTCTGACACTTGAGCAAGTTTGAGAATGACTTCCCAAATATAGCCCACTCTGTGCCTAAGTCCAAGACATTACAACTTAAAAGAAAATTGGACAAAAAATGGACCTTTGCATAAGCAAAAAACATGAAGAAGAGCCTCCGGGGAGGAAGACCATGCAAGGAAAGATACTGCTGAAGGAAAAATCCACATCCAAATGTCAGAGGGCTACAAAGTACAGGATCTTCAGGGAGAGTAAATATCACTGCCTTACACCTGGGATTCCATGACCATGCTAACCTTGCAGAAAAGAGAAAATCACAAGTCAGTGTTTTTCTGGGTCCATCCCCTTGCACTCTCTAGGAGTTTCACTCTCCATTCCCTACCCACACATTCCCCTAATCTCCTAGGTTCCCCCTCTCCCAGAAAAAAAAAAAAAAAACTTCTGGAAAATCAAAAAGGTGTTTCACAAGTTCTCTGGGGTCTGGCACTCATGTCTCCCATTTCTCTTCTTTTTATTCTAGAACTTCCCTAGGGGTGCATATTGTCATGGTCAACAGCCATCAAAACCAAGACCTCTACAGGTGCCTGCCAGAGGTACAACTGGTGGCCTGTAGTGTCCACGCATAGGTCGTCAGTGCCCAATAAGGAAGGTGCTGTTTTTCTTTCTTTCTTTTTAACTTTTAAGTTCAGGGGTACATGTGCAGGTTTGTTACATAGGTAAACTTGTGTCATGGGGGTTTGTTGTACAGATTATTTCATCACCTAGGTATTAAGCCTAGTACCCATTAGTTATTTTTCCTGATCCTCTCCCTCCTCTCACCCTCTAACCTTCAAAAGTCTGCAGCGTGTGTTGTTCCCCTCTGTGTGTTCATGTGTTCTCATCATTTAGCTCCCACTTATAAGTGAGAACATGTGGTATTTGGTTTTCTGTTGGTGTTATCTTTCAATACTGGAGATAGTGAGGCAGGAAAGCAGGGTCTGGAGGCAGGGAACATAAGGTTGATTCACACTTCAGCTATGACAGAAAATGTCCTCTCCATAGTAAATGATAACTTTACTTCATCCTCTTCATTTACATAGGGTGTACAACAAGTAGAGGGTATTTAAACTCAAAAAAACTCTGTAACAGTGCCCTTGAGCCCCTATGCTGGGGTCCACTCCCACACTGTGGAGTGTACTTTCATTTTCAATAAATCCCATGATTCCTTCCTTCCTTGCTTTGTGCGTTTTGTCCAATTCTTTGTTCAAGAGCCCAAGAACCTGGACACCCTCCACCAGTGACAATAGCAGTGGTACAATCAATCTCCTAAGGTGCTGCCAAAGGTGTTGGCACTGACGTTGCTGAAATGTTAGAATGAAGTTCTTTTTTTTTTTTTTTTTTTTTTTTTTTAAGACGGAGCCTCGCTCTGTTGCCCAGGCTGGAGTGCAGTGGGGTGATCTTCGCTCACGGCAACCTCCGCCTCCCAGGTTCAAGCCATTCTCCTGCCTCAGCCTCCTAAGTAGCTGGGATTACGGGTGCGTGCCACCACTCCCGGCTAATTTTTGTATTTTTAGTAGAGACGGGGGTTTCACCATGTTGGCCAGGCTGGTCTCCAACTCCTGACCTCGTGATCAGCTCACCTCAGCCCCCCAAAGTGCTGGGATTACAGGCGTGAGCCATCGCGCCCAGCTAGAATGAAGTTCTTTTCATCTTCACTTGTTTTATTAGTGATTCTTTGCTGTAAGATTCAGGCTTGGATTCAAGGGGGGCTGGGCCAGATGATACCTGTGGCATGCACTCTGGTGGGTTAATAATGTAGCCAAGCTCCTTACACAGGCTCAACTGCCTTTGAGTCAAGTTATACGACACTCTTAAGTTTAAACAATTTATTTCCCAGGAGGCTTCTTGGTGTTTATGCCTTATCAAACATCCTGATTGGCCCAGACAGTTGTGAATGATTTTTAGAGTAAAAATGACTTAATTTCATGATGGGGTTCTCTGTTTTGCTAGGATGGTCAGAAGACAGGAAAAGGGACAAGAAATTGAAGTTCACTGGACAGTTCAGTTTGTCAGGCATTTGCTGAGCACCCACTGTGTGCTTCACAACAATCTTGCAAAGCTGCCATTATTATACTTGTTTTGCTGGTAAAGAAACTGGTGCTCAATTGGTTAAAGTAATGAGATCAACATCATACAGACAGTAAATGACACAGTTAAAATTTGAAACCAGGTTTTCCCACTTCAATTGTCTCTACCTGGGGTAATATTCTGTGCTTTTATCACAAGGAATAGTTATATTTGGCGCTAGGGGATTAGGGTTAAAGGTAAATGATTAGGGTTAAATGTAAATGTAAATGATTCTTCAGCTAGGATTGGTATGCATTTGCATGTTTATTTTTCTGGGGAGAAGACCCATAGCTTTTATCATATCAAATATAATTAGGGCCGGGCGCGATGGCTCACACTTGTAATCCCAGCACTTTGGGAGGCCAAGGCGAGCGGATGACCTGAGGTCAGGAGTTTGAGACCAACCTGGCCAAAATGGCGAAACCCCATCTCTACTAAAAAAAAAAAAAAAAAATACAAAAACTAGCCTGGCATGGTGGTGGGCGCCTGTAATCCCAGCTATTTGGGAGGCTGAGGCAGGAGAATCGCTTGAACCTGGGAGGTGGAGTTTGCAGTGAGCCGAGATGGCGCCCCTGCACTCCAGCCTGGGCAACAGAACAAGACTCCGTCTCAAAAAAAAAAAAAAAATAGGAATCACTGATATATTTACTGTCAGATGGACTTAGATTTACATTCCACCTCAGACATTGATCACCTGTGTGATTTTGGCCAGTTAGTTAAGCTCTTGGAACCTCATTTTTCTCATTAGTAAAATGGTGTACATGAGACCATCTCCTAGAATGTCATTCCCTAATTGTGTGAACCTACTTGTTATTTTAGATCTCTCAGAGGTTTTTCCTAGCTTCTGTTCTCTCTCTAGCCCCTTAAATCAGTTTATCAGGCATTTGTGACTACTGCTTATATTCTCAGACTGCATTTGTGCCTGGACCTTCTCACCAGCAGGTGGATGGTTGAAGAAACTGTGGTACATTCATACAAGGAAATACTACCTAGTGACAAAAAGGAACTATTTATCCATGTGACTTTGTACATAGATCTCAAGAGCCTTAGGCTGAGTGAAAAAAAAAAAAAAAGTCACTCAAAAAGCTACATAATGGCCAGGCACAGTGCCTCACGCCTGTAATCCCAGCACTTTGGGAGGCAGAGGTAGGCCCATCGCTTGAGCCCAGGAGCTCAAGGCCAGCCTGGACAGCATAACAAAACCCCGTTTCTACAAAAAATATAAAAATTAGCTGGGTGTGGTGGTGCATGCCTATAGTTCCAGCTACTCAGGAGGCAGAGGTGGGAGGATCACCGAAGCCCAGGAGGTCGAGACTGGTGAGCCAAGCTATGATCATGCACTGTACTCCAGCCTGGGTGACAGAGTGAGACCTTATCTCAAAAAAAAAAAAAAAAAAAAAAAAAGCTAAAGACTATATGATTCTATTTATATGACATTCCGGAAAAAACGAAACTACAGGGACAGAAATCAGATCGGATGTTACCAAAGGCTGGAATAGAGGCATTGATACAAAGTGTGTGAAATGCAGAATTTTTGACCCTATGACCTTTACTACTGTTGTTATGCCCATGAATACATTATGTTACATGGCAAAATAGACTTTGGACATGTAATTAAAGTTACTAATCAGTTGACCTTAAAATAGCAATATCATCCTGGATTATCCAGGTGGGCCCAGTGGAATCACATGACCTTTTAAAAGCAGAAGTCAGAGAGGTCTGAAGTACAAGAAGGATTCAACTCACTGCTGACTTGAAGGTGGAGAAGGCCAAGTGTCCAGAAAATGGGGACCTCAGTCCTAGAGCTGCAGGGAACAGAATCTGGCCAACAGCCTGAACGAGCTTCTAAGCAGATTTTACTCAGAGCCTCCAGAAAGGAACTCAGCCTATGCAACACTTTGATTTCAGTTTTGCGAGATCCTTAGCAGAGAGCCCCACCATACTGTCCTAACTTCTGACATACGGGAGTGTGCTACAGTAAAATGGGTGCTGCTTTCAACCACTAAGTTTGTGGTAACTTATTATTCCAGTAACAGAAAACTAACACAAAAGGGCATGAAGGAATTTTTTTGATAGTAGAAATACTCTGTATCTTTATTATGATGATGGTTATACAACTGAATAAGTTCGTTAAAATTCTTTGACCCATACATTTTAAAAGACTAAAGTTTACTTTATGCAAATCATACCTCAATAACCCTAAAAAAGGTAAAACTCATCAAATTGCACTTTAAATGGGTAAATGGGTAAATCTTATTGTTTGTAAACTATACTACAAATAAAATGGATTTAAAAAGAAACAACAGGCCAGTACAGTGGCTCATGCTTGTAACCTCAGCAATTTGGGAGGCCTAGGTGGGAGAATAACTTTTTTTTTTTTTTTGAGACTGAGTCTCACTCTATCACCCAGGCTGGAGTCCAGTGATGGAATCTTGGCTCACTGCAACCTCTGCCTCCTGGGTTCAAGCAATTCTTGAGCCTCAGCCTCCCGAGTAGCTGGGATTACAGGCGTGCACCACCACACCGGCTAATTTTTGTATTTTTGGTAGAGACGGATTTCACCATGGTGGCCAGGCTAGTCTCGAACTCCTGACCTCAGGTGACTCAACCGCCAAGGCTTCCCAAAGTGCTGGGATTACAGGTGTGAGCCACCATGCCTGGCCTGTTGGAGGATTACTTAAAGCCAGGAGTTGACAAGAATGAGCAACAAAGTGAGACCCCCATATCTACTAAAAAAATAAAAAAAATTAGCTGGGCATAGTGGTGCCTGTCATCCCAGTTACTTAGGGGGCTGAGGCAGGAGGATCACTTAAGCCCAGGAGTTTGAGTCTGCAGTGAGCCATGATTGTGTCACTGAACTCCAGCCTAGGCAACAGAGTGAGACCCTGTACATACATACATACATACATACATACATACGAATTAAAAGAAACAACAAAATTCTAGTTCAAGAGTGATCTATTAGAGTTTTCCCTTGCTCCCGTTTTCCCCCAGTAGAGATAATCAACCATGCATTTTTTCCTACTATGACTGTACTTTATTATTTACTTCTATTTTTCTCCCAAGACTATATTGTTATTTTGAATTATATGTGTGTTGCTAGTAGACTCCCTGAGCAGCGGGACCATGTCTTCATCTCTGGATCATGAGTGCCTAAAATACAGTAGGTGCTATATCATTTTTATTTGATTTGCATGATTGTACATGAATATATCTAAAACTTTCTAAATGTGTCTTTCAAAATTTTTCTGGCTGGATCTCTTCCCAGTGGTAATAAATTGTATATATTTATTACTGCATAAAGCATTGCTATTTTAAAATTCAAAACCACTTCCTTAAACGTCAAGGGAATCACAACCAATTTTTAGTATTCTTGAATATAGTGAAATTGCTCATGTGTACATCACCTCTTACACTTCATTTGTAGATTTTTATGGCATATCCCTTTTAGATCATTTTTTTTCTAAAAAGGAATCCAGCTTGAAATGCTATTTCAACAATACAGATGGTCCCTGACTTATGATTGTTTGACACAGGATTTTTCAACTGTACGATGGTGCAAAAGAGATACACAGACAATAGAAACTGTACTTTGAGTACCCATACAACCATTTTATCTTTCATTTTCAATACAGTATTCAATAAATTACATGAGATATTAAACAGTTTATGATAAAATAGGGTTTGTGTTACATCAGCCCAAATATGCTGATGTAAGTGTTCTGGGCACATTTAAGGTTGGCTAGGCCAAGCTAGGATATTCAGTAAGTTAGGTGTATTACATGAATTTTCAACTCACAATATTTTTAACTTATGACAGGTTTATCAGGATGTAACCCCATCAAAAGTCGAGGAGCATCTGTTTATATTTCCATTTATATCATAAATATTTACACTTTTATTTGTCAATTATACCTTAATAAAGCTGGGGGGAAATATATATGTCCATCACAGGTAGGATTGCCAAGTAAAATACATTATGCCCCATTAAATTTGAATTTCAGATAAACAACAAACAATTTTTAGTATAAGTGTGTTCTGTGCAATATTTAACTGAGCATCCTTTGTTGGGAGGGTGGCTGACTCTGGCAATCCTAGTCGAATGGTACACATGACCAAGTTTAAGGCTAAATCAGGAAGAGATTGAAGCATCCTTCTTTAGATTGTGGTTAAGAGTGGTGAAAATAAGTTTTGATTAAACAGTAAAATGACACCAAGTAGAAACGGGTGTTATTTATTAAGCAAGACATTGTTTTGTGTAGCAGATGCCTCATGAAAACACTCTAGCTCAGCTAGATGCTTTTTGTTAGAGACCTGGAAAAGTAGGATTGTTGCCTTGTATTACAAGGGCATTTTAAAGTTGTGTTCTATAAATTATAAAACTTGTCTGGGCCCACATTCTACCTCAACATCTGCCTACCCCAGGCTTCCTACCTCTTCAGGACGGGTGAGATGCCTCTAGTCCTTAGATAGCAAATTCTTGTCACACCTGGTGCCATTCTCCCAACCAAGGCAAATCATCCCAGCTTACAGTACAATTTATCTACTGAGCCTGAAAACAGCCTCAGAGTCTTTCTTAGCACTGTGTGTTTTTTTAAAACAGCTATTATTAATTCATTAGAATTTGCACCAAAAATTAAACCTGTTTAGCATCACTAGTCTCACAGCTGCCATGTTATTCACTGCACAAGGGCACCTGAATTAGAGAATAAAATGGGGCAATACCCAACTCATGCTCTGTACATCATGGTCTGGGGCTGCATTCCAAGAGTCTTTTTCTAAATCACATAAGGCACAGACTAGTATCAGCTCTGTCTGTTCTAGGGGAATAAGCAGGGGGTTACTTGGTATAATTGGTGAAATTGATAAGGGAGAGAATATTCCGAAGAAAGAGAGATGAGTTGAAGCATCTATAGTTGAAGAATGGCTTGAACCTTGGCTTCTGAGCATGCTCAACAGTACATGCCCTTCAGTTGGAGAAACTTCAATATAACGTTAAACCAGCAGGGCATGGTGGCTCACGTCTGTAATCCCAGCACTTTGGGAGGCCAAAGCAGGTGGATTGCTTGAGGCCAGGAGTTCTACATCAGCCTGGGCAACATGACGAAACCCCATCTCTACAAAAGAATATAAAAAATTACTCGGTCATTGTGGTGCATGCCTGTCATCCCAGCTACCCCGGAGGCTGTGGTGGGAAAATCACCTGAACCCGGGAAGTTGAAGCTGCAATGAGTCATGATTGTGCCACTGCACTGCAGCCTGGGCGACAGAGTGAGACCTAATCTCCAAATATATATATATATATATATATACACACACACACACACACACACGCACACACACACACATATGTGTGTGTGCGTGTGTGTGTGTATAAAACATTAGACCAAAAGCAGTTTTCTATTTAATGATTCATTTTTGTTGTTTGTTTAGTTATGTTCTGTATTAAAGAAATACATACATGACATCCTGATTTTCCACAATAGAGAAATTAAGTGATAAATGATTCATAGATCTATAGTTCCCCAGGTGATTCTGATGTACACAACTTAGTTGAGGCCCAGGTAGCCTAAAGAGTATGACAATTGGCCTGGGGGGAGAATCAAACTAGAACCCGTATGAACATAAATAAGACTGTTCACCTGCCCCTTACCTGTAGGTAAGGGCATCCTGACATTCACCACTCTGTAATGAGAAGCTCCTGGTAAATGGGGATGTGTGGGACTGAAGAAATTGTCAGAAATTCAAGAAATTGAGTTAGAGAAAATAGAATAGCCAAACTACAGCCCAAGGATGAGGCCACTGGAGATAAAACTGTTTAGGACATATGCTCTGGCAAGATACCAGTAACAAAATCTGGCAGCCACACAGCTCTCTGATGACGCTTACCTTTAGCCAGTTTTAATATGAAGAGTTATCATTTTATATATAGCTTATATCCCGCCTTGCTTTCCGTCCCCTTCACCGTTTCAGTTGCTCGTCTCAGGGTCTTCTCCAACTCTATTATTCCTGTCTTGTACATAGACCAGAACTACAAAAAAGAGCCCGGATGCAGACACCTCAAGGATTTACAAAAAAAAAAAAAAAAAATAGAATGACTGCTTACTGGTTTTTCCTCCAATTTTTCTTAATGATGTTCAACATTTTCCTGATTATTTTGACCGAAACAATACTTGGGCAGCTGTCTTCAGGAGAGAGTCTATAAAGGACCCTTGGCACCCTTTCCAGGGATGACAACTCAGAACTTGTCATTTTAACATATGCTTGAAGAAATCAAGAAGTAAGGAGATTTTAGGGGTGGAAATATAGATGTGATTTGAAAAGCCAATATGAATAGAGATAAGTTGTTGGGATGGGCTTGTATGGTAGGAAAAAAAAAAGAGTAGAGGCCAGGCGCAATGGCTCACACCTGTAATCCCAGCACTTTGGGAGTCTGATGCAGGGGGATTTCTTGAGCCCAGGAGTTCAAGACAAGCCTGGACAACATAATAAAACCCCCTCTAAAACTAGCTGGGCATGGTGGCACTTGCCTGTAGTCCGACATATTTAGTAGGCTGAGGCAGGAGGATCGCTTGAGACAAAGAAATTTGATGTTATGGTGAGCTATGGTTGTGCCATTGCACTCCAGCCTGGGCAACAGAAAGAGACCCTGTCTCAAAAAAAAAAAAAAAAAAAAGCAATGGGTAAAGATGTATAACTGCCTGGGGAGTAATTCTGTCTAGCTAGAATATAATGTGAATAAAGTCATGATGGATGCTGGGGTTATAAATGTGGGTTGGGACCAATGTACTCATGTACTTTCTCTTCAAAGATAATTTGTGAAAATGATAATTTAGACCAATCTCAAGGCTAATTTTAAGAAGATTCTGCCATTAACAGTTAAAATATCTCTAAAATGGCATAATAGAATCTGTTCTATTTTCCTCACCAGAATACTGTGATTACCAGATGGCACAAGGGGTATGGAAGACCTTGGGTAATTGACAAGTTGTCAATTACAATTACAGAGTGGTCATATTGCCTGCAAAATTCCCCATCAGCTCCTCCCACTCATCTCTAAGCTCTTACATTACATGTCCTGCAATGCTATGTGGACTGTAATCAAAACTTTTTGGTTTAAAAACTTTCAAAGGTGGTTTTTTTTTTTTAAATTTAAAGTTCTTTTGTCTGAGGCTCCCACTTTTGTATCTACTTTCTACTTATCCCAAACTCTAGTATAGCATGATTTTCTGTTATGGAAATCAAGCAGGTTCTCTCCATTAAGTTCTGTGCTTCTGTGTTTTCATAATCCTAATGTTTACTCTCCATTTAACCAGATTACTCAATGTATCATGAGACTATCTGGAGTCTGTAGTTTCCAGAAGCCTCTCTGGAGGATTTGTCTTGCATTTATTCTGAAGAATGCTCTGCCAGAAATAAAAAGTTGACAGACAGCAGATTTTTAAGAGTATTGGAAGGCATAAAAATATAATGGCTAAGAGAGGAGTTGGATTGCTTCAATCTATAATCCTGGCTTTATCTCTTTCCTCTCTATAATACAGGGTCGTTTCAACTGTTGAGTTAGGTAACATATGGAAACTGCTTAGCACCAGGCATGATGTATACGGAGTGCTTAATTAGTGTTACCTATTATCATCATTGTCAACACTATATAAATAACAAAGTTGACATTTGATTTGTAAGTATTCTATATGAATATGTATGCAAAAGCATTTCAATCTAATAAGCAACCACAAGGCTAATCTTCATCTCATATGTGTAGTCAAAGTACATAGATTCATGGTTTATGCCTCAGATAATTGAAAACCCACCACTTTCATTTAGGTGGCTGTTTGGAGAAAATATGTCACATTTGCATAATGCTTTATGATTAAAAAGAACCTTTTAAGCATATTTGCACTTAAGCCTTATAATAAATTATTAGAAAGATGACTGGACTTTTCCAATACTACACAATAATTGTGCAATAAAACTGATATTAGAACCTAAGTCTTGATCCTTGTATCATGAAAGGCTTCTTTATTATTTGTTAAGATCCCCTGGACCATCTTGACATCACAAAACAAGTATATGTTAGAAAAGTTTTTATTTTAAGAAAAATATCCAAAAGTTTGCAGCCAGACACAGTGACTCACGTCTATAATCCCAGCACTTTGGGACGTTGAGATGGGAGGATTCATTGAGCCTAGGAGTTCAAGACCAGCCTAGGCAACACGGTGGAAACCCCATCACTATGAAAAAAGAAAAACATTTTAATTAAATAAAATAAAAATAAATAAAAGTTTGTATGGCAAATTTATAAAGAAATTTATAAGACCCAAGGTGACCAACGGAATAGGCATAATAGAATGCCCATTCCCCTCAAAGCCTGAAAAAAATGTAGGACTTTCTTTATGACTGCCCAGATTGTAAATTTCATCATGTTTCAGGCTCTCAGACCTCAATGGTCAGAGATACTCAAGGGGAATTTTATTTAAGACTATTAAATGTAAAAAGTAGCTACAGATGGAGTACTTCTATAATTCTACTTCATCCTTGGTGAAAGATATTTTCATTCCATGCTGAGAACTGTTCTTTTTCCATCACTCAGATTACTTTATGAGCCATTTGCTTTGCCAGTAACTACTTTTTTTCCTCTTTTAATGGAATGAAATGGACAAGGTTAAGGCTCATTATCAAATTGGAATGCAGAAGCAACATTTACCATACTTCAAATTTGCCACTGTAGAAACTGTAAAAAATATATGTATATTCTTTGTATAACATTATGTATGTTAATAATATCAAAAAATAATAAAATAAAATCCCCAGAATTTTCTGCTTTCTCAAATAAATTCATTAAGTGTAAAGAACTGGTTTTTAAGATCTTCTGATTTAGACATTCAAAGTATTGAAAGGGTAGATTCCAGATTGATAACCATAAGGGTCTTTAAAGTGGCATTTTTAGGCAGGGCGTGGTGGCTCATGCCTGTAATCCCAGCATGTTGGGAGGACAAGGCGGGTGGATCTCCTAAGCTCAGGAGTTTGAGACCAACCTGGGCAACATGGAGAAACCCCGTTTCTACCAAAAATACAAAATGAGCAACATGGAGAAGTCCCATTTCTACCAAAAATACAAAAAAAAAAAAAATAGCCTGCCATGGTCACGTGCCTGTGGTCCCAGCTACTCAAGAGGCTGAGGTGGGACAATCGCTTGAGCAACAGGGAATATATATATATATATTCTTTTTTACAGTTTCCGCAGTGGCAAATTTGAAACACACACACACACACACACACACACACACACACACACACACATAAGTTTGTTACCCACTGAAAAACTCTGAAGAGACCTTGATGCATTCAAAGCTATGAAGTTTAGTGAAATATTTAAACTCGCTAAAAACAAGCAATTGAAGCAAGATAGATCATGTTTCTTAATATTTTAATTGTCCAAAAGGTTTTGAATTCTCAGAATGTAGAGTTATTCTATCTGTACATGAATACAAAATCAGTTACCAGTCATTACATAATAAATATATTTTATTTTTATTTCAATCCTCCTTCTTCTGTAACAAACTAAATATCAACAAATTTTAGGCTGGGCATGGTGGCTCACATCTGTAATCCCAGCACTTTGGGAGGCTGAGGCAGGCGGATCACCTGAGGTCAGGAGTTCAAGACCAGCCTGGCCAACACGGTAAAACCCCATCTCTACTGAAAATACAAAAATTATCCAGGCTTGGTGGTGGGTGCCTGTGGTCTCAGCTACTCAGGAGGCTGAGGTACAAGAATCACTTGAACCCGGGAGGTGGAGGTTGTAGTGAGCCAAGATCATGCCACTGCACCCCAGTCTGGGTGAGAGAGGGAGACTCTGTCTCAGAAAAAAGAAAAGAAAAGAAAACAAAACAAAACAAAACAAATTTTATTTCTGGATATGAGTAGGTGAATAGATCACACTGATAGAGAGAATGGGGAAAAAGGAATGATAACTGTGTAGCACAGCATCTATTCTAAGGTTCATATTCTATATGGAACAGGGCATACTACATCACTTTTTGTTATTTTCAAAAAATATAAAGGTACTCAAAGTTCAAGATTAATGATTTTATACTATAACACCTCAATGCACTAAAGAAACAATTACAGAGAAATCAATATAACATTATTGGTAAGACATGCACACTGACAACTTGGCTATCTGCTTGATTGAGTATAAAAGTGTGGTGTATGTGCCTTCAAAACAGGGCCTAGATGTTTAGCATAAGAATAAAACTGCAGATACTTTTTTAAAATGCTACTTTATTTATTTATTTATTGAGATGGAATCTCACTCTGTCACCCAGGCTGGAGTGCAGTGGTGCAATCTCAACTCACTGTAACCTCTGCCTCCCCAGCTCAAGCGATCCTTCCACCTCAGCCTCTTGAGTAGCTGGGACCACAGGCATGCAACCATGCCTGGCTTTTTTTTGTTGTTGCTGTTGTTGTTTTTGTATTTTTGGCAGAAACGAGGTTTCTCCATGCTGCCCAGGCTGGTCTCAAACTCCCGAGTTTAGGAGATCCACCCGCCTTGGCCTCCCAACATGCTGGGATTACAGGCATGAGCCACCACGCCCTGCCTAAAAATGCCACTTTAAAGACCCTTATGGTTATCAATCTGGAATCTACCCTTTCAATACTTTGAATGTCTAAATCAGAAGATCTTAAAAACTAGTTCTTTCTTTACACTTAATGAGCTTATTTGGGAAAGCAGAAAATTCTGGGGATTTTATTTTATTATTTTTTGATATTATTAACATACATTGTAGATAGATCTACAATGCCAATTTATAACTAAGGCAATTATCTGAGTCAGACCAAAATATCCACTCTTACCTGCATTTATGAAGTGTTTTGCTCTGCTCTTCAATGCTCAAGTTGCAGCACTGAAGTGGTGTCTCAAGTGATAATAAAATTGATGTTAAACTCTCTATATATCTTAAATAATAAGTCTTAGAAGCGGAACAGGAGTGATCCTCTGTTAACCACCTACTTTACTAAATGAGGAAACTCAAGCCGAGAGAGGTGAAGTGGCTTGCTGCATATCGTGAAACTAAATGTTGGCACAGCTGGAGCACAACTAGGTCTCCAGTTTTACGGTCTAGTGTACTTCTGACTTCAAGAGACTGACTCAGGCCGGGCGTGATGGTTCATGCCTGTAATCCCAGCACTTTGGGAGGCTGATGTAGGAGAATCACTTGAGCCCAGGAGTTCGAGTTCAGCCTGGGCAACATGGCAACACCCTGTCTTTATCAAAAAAAAAAAAAAAAAAAAAAAAGAAAGAAAGAAAGAAAAAATAAGAGACTGCCACAAGTTTTAATTGGTTGCGCCCAAAAGTATAAGATAAATTAATCAGGCAGTACATCTCCATGCATACCAACCATACGGGAGTTCATTCTCAGCAAGGCTGAAAAAAAAAAAGTATATAAAGATTTCTGTTTAATGGAACTTTCTTGCTTTTAAAATGATAACAGAAGTGGCTGGGCGTGGTGGCTCATGCCTGGAATCCCAGCACTTTCAGAGGCCGAGGTGGGTGGATCACTTGAAGCCAGGAGTTCAAGACCAGCCTGGACAACATGGTGAAACTCCGTCTCTACTAAAAATACAAAAATTAGCTGGGTGTGGTGGGGTACGCCTGTAGTCCCAGTTACTCAGGAGGCTGAGACAAGAGAGTCGCTTGAACCCAGGAGGCAGAGGTTGCAGTAAGCCAAGATAGCACCACTGCACTCCAGACTGGACGACAGACTTATTATATCTGGTAGATTTTTTTGTAGATTCTTCTCTGTAGAAGATCATGTTATGTGTGAATAAGGAGAGCCTTAACTGCTTTCCTTCCAGTCTGGATGCCTTTTATTTCTTGCCTTATTACACTGAGTAGAACTTCTAGTATGATGTCGAATAGAATTGGTGAGAGCAAACCTCCTCATCTTGTTCCTGATCTTAAGAGCAACCCTTTCACTTTTTTCCCCTTTATTGATACATAATATTTGACATATTTATGGGGAAATTGTGAGTGCTTCTTACATGCATAAAATGTGTAATGATCAAGTCAGGGTACGTGAGGTATCCATCACCTTGAGTATTTATCATTTCTATGAGTTGGTAACATTTCATGTCCTCTTTTCTATCGAAAAGCATTCACTTTTTTAAACCATTAATGTGATATAGGCTACAAAGATTTCATGGACAACTTTGGCCAAATTGAGAAAGTTTCTTTCAATTTCTAGTATCCTGAGATACTAGACATGACATCTTTTAAAACTTTTGTAGGTTTTTGAAGGTTAAACAAAAGATGAAATAATCATCATAAACAGAAGGACATCAATGTTTTTCCATTAAAAAGATTCCTGAGAGGGCAGATGTTATATATGAAAGAGCCTAAATAGAGTTCTTTTTATGAGACAGGGTCTTCCTCTGTTGCCCAAGGTGAAGGGCAATGGTGCAATCACTGCTCACCACAACCTTGACCTGCTGGGCTCAAGTGATCCTCCCACCTTAGCCTCCCACCTTGCCTCCCAAGTAGCTGACACCACAGGCGTGCATCATCATGCCTTTTATTTTATTTCATTTTTGTAGAAACAAAGTCTTAATATATTGCCTAGGCTTGTCTTGAACTCCTGGCCTCAAGCAATCCTCCTGCTTTAGCCTCACAAAGTCCTGGGATTATAGGTGTGAGCCACCGCACCCGGCCTAAATAGAGTTCTTATGCATTTCTAGAGACAGTTCAGGCACTTATTGTTGCATGTCCTTCTGCAAATGACTTCAAAAGAAGAGGGTGTAAAAATCATATTTTTAATAAAAAAGTTGAAGAAAGTACAAGAAATGTTTCAAAAGCAATAATTTTTAAAATATAATGATTTTAAAAGTGATTTCAACATCACATATGTCTGCCATAATGGAATTATAACCTTAATAGGAAGATGTCTCAAGTTTTGTAAAAAGGTTTTCTTATGACACAATAAAGCAAATACTAAAAATCAGTAATATTTCCTACAAGTTTTGGTTGCATACCTGGGTGTGGTGGCATGTGTCTGTAGTCTCAGCTATGCTGGAGGCTGAGGTGGGAGGATCACTTGAGCCCAGGAATTTGAGGCTGCAGTAAGCTATGATCATGCCACTGCACTCCAGCCTGGGCAACAGAGCAAGACCATGTCTGGAAAAAAAAAGTGTGAAGAAGATGTATTTTTTTTGTTGTTGAAACGAGGTCTCACTCTGTTGCCCAGGCCAGTCTTGAATTCCTGGTCTCAAGCGATCCTCCCACCTCAGCCTCCCAAAGTGCTGGGATTACAGGCATGAGCCATGATGCCCAGCCTGAATTATGAACTTTTCGTGCATTTGTGAACCCTCTGATGGACGCATGAATTGAATGTTCATTGAAATGATCAGAACAGGTAAAGCATCTGATTTATATATTTTGGGAAGTGAGAGTCTTTAATTACAGGAAAAGTCCACATGAGGTCTACATACTTATTTTTCAAATTGATGTGACTCAGTGCCATAGACTCCCTCCCTCCCCCACCCATTTATACTGAGCCTTCATATTCAGAACAGCAGAAAATTGAGGCACTTAAAGTTGAAGCACTTATCTGAATGATTAAACCCAGATCAACAAGTGAAGAGCAATTGTAACAGCACAAAAAGAGGACCAAAAAGGGGCTTTTTGTTCACTTTTTTTTTTTTTGCAGAGGGGTTCAGGGCTTTAAAATAATTCATTTATGAACTGAATGGTCTTCTTCACAGAAGATCTTTCCATTCATTCAAAAAAATCTCATATGCTGAGGAGACATGC
This sequence comes from Homo sapiens, assembly GCF_000001405.40. Taxonomy (NCBI): domain Eukaryota; kingdom Metazoa; phylum Chordata; class Mammalia; order Primates; family Hominidae; genus Homo; species Homo sapiens. The sequence goes on from NC_000023.11 coordinate 115,528,405, forward strand.
AGGAATGGGAAAAGATGAAAACCCAGGGAATAAAAAGCAAACCTGCCTCCTAAAAATTAACCAGTCAGCTGGAATATTACATAATCAAGCATGGTTTTCTAAGGTTAAGGTTGCTAGATATGGCATGAGGCATACTTATACTAAAAAAAATTATTTGTTGTTTATCTCAAATTCAGATTTAACTGGGCATACTGTAATTTTATTTGCTAAATCTGGCAACCTAATAAGGTGTTATACCCTCACGTCTGTGGCATTTAAAATTCAGAGCTGGGTTTTATAATTTAACGTCCTTTAAAAAACAAAGCATTTTTACACCGCTGTGTGCAGGGGTGGGGGCGGGGGAAACTCTTTCTTCCCTGACTGTAAAAAAAATTTTTGAAACCTAACTGTTCCATGATTTTCGTAAACGTTTTGCAAAATTTATTTACAGAAATTAGATTCTAAGTTCCTATACGATGTCAACATCAATGTAAGACAAAGTTCTAGGATTGTAAGTTTTCCAGTTATCCGTGGATGCACTACCTTCTCAATCAGAATGTTGTATTTATTTATTAATGCCAGACTTTATGTTTCAGTGAGCTTGGAGGAAGGGGAAAAATTCAGGAACACCACTTTGCTATTAGTCCTGGCGCAGTGAGCACAATGTAGGCTCTGTATCTGCTTAGTACTTGCTGAGCAACAGAGGGTTAACATCTTTTTCAATGTTGCCACTCAAATTGCTGCTTACCATCTAAAGTACAGGGTACAGAGTGGAGAGAAAGGCCACAAGGGTCATTATGCTTTGGTGGAAAAAGACGTATCATTATTTTCATTCTATACAATGCCAACAACTCATTTATTAAAGGACAAAATTGGAAATTCTCCACTTTACTCTTGAGGACTGTTTTATTTCCACAACCTGAGGAAAAGAAAGAAGGCTTTACAAATGGATCGCTGCAATTGTCAGGACCTTTTGATGCCAACAGGCGGCCCTCATCCAATTACACTATGCTCATTGTTGAAGCAATTGAATTTCATTTCTTCCTTATGTTGAGTTTAAATTTTTTTTGGATGTTGTCTAGCTGCTGCTGTAGAGTTGAAATATTTTAACATCTGGTAGCTGAGGCTTGCTTCATGAAACCGACATATTATTTGGTCAGTCACTGAAGGAAATTAATTACATAAGGTTTCAGCCTGGAGAAATCTCTCTCTTCTGTAAAGACATATTCTATTTCATTTGTACCACCATGTGTCGTTTATTCCTTCTTGCTGTGTATTATAGTTGTGTGCATGGTTCATCTCCCCTATTCAACCATGTAGTTTGCTCATCTTAATCTGCTCAGCCAGAATTTTATATTATACACCACAGTTTCTTTTAGTTTAGTTTTTTGTTTGTTTGTTTGTTGTTAATACAGACACTCTCCCTCTCTTGCTCAGTCTGGTCTCGAACTCCTGGGTTGAAGCCATCCTGCCGCTTCGACCTTCCAAAGTGCTAGGATTACAGGGGTGAGACACCATGCCCAGTCACATCACATCATAGCTTTTGTTTTTGTTTTGTTTTTTGTTTTGTTTTGTCTTTTTTTGTAGGGGAAGTGTCATAGGTTTTCGATAAATATTTGTTGAATTTGGCCAGGCGCAGTGGCTGATGCCTGTAATACCAGCATTTGGGGAGGCCAAGTCGGGAATTTGAGACCAGCCTGGGCAACACAGTGAGACTCTGTCTCCAAAATAAATAAATAAATAAATAAATAAATAAATAAATAAAAAGTAGCTGGGCGTGGTAGCCTGCACCTGTAGTCCCAGCTACTTGGGTGGCTGAGGTGAGAGGATGGTTTGAGCTCAGGAGTTCGAGGCTGCAGTGAGCCATGATTGATGCCACTGCACTCCAGCCTGAACGACAGAGCATGACCGTGTCTCAAAAATGGATAGATAGATAGATAGGTAGGTATATATATAGATAGATAGATTTGTTGAATGAATGAATGTGTGAACTGTTTATATATATATATTTGTGTGTGTGTGTGTGTGTGTGTGTGTGTACAATGATCAGAGGCATACCCAGATGTGTGGGGCTTCCAAGCAAATATCTCCAAAAAGAACTTCTTTCCTTTTATTAACTTGAAATAAAAGACTTTAGATTTCTGTTATCCAGGACTACTTGGACTCAGAGAGAAGGAGGAGAAAGGTTTTAGCATTTTCCCCATAGACAAAATCTAAACTTCTTGGTCCCCTATGGGTAGATAGAGAGGTTTAATTATATTAAATAAAATTAAATAATAGTGGTAAGAAGTGAGTGTTAACTCTAAGTGCAGTGTATTCCAGAGTCTTAAAGCAGGTCTTTTATCCATCATTAGTTGGATTTTAGGTCAGTGTATTTTTGCATATCTGGAGGATGACTTGAATGTGGCCAGAGAGGATGACAAACACTGGAGGGCTAGAAATGTTACTCTGGAATGGGGAAAAGTGATGTGAAAAAAACCTTGGATACAACCATGGGAAGAACAGTGCATAGTAAGAAAAATGAGGAAGGGGCCAAGTGAGAAAAGTTGGAGGCTAGTTTAGAGATTCCGCTGAGTAGAAGACCAGGAGAATATATTCAGTATTCAAGAGGCTAAGGACATAATTTTGAATCCAGAGTACATTCCAGATCAAAGGCAATGCTCTTCCTTAAAAATACAGGTGGGAGGGAAGGAGAAAACATGAAAGACAAAGAGAATGAAGAGATAGATGATGAGACAAGCAAAAAATGCTAAAACTAGTGAGGAAGAATTGAAGACCCCACAGAATAAGGCTAAAGTAATGAGTTTAGGCACTATACTGGAAAATCGGATAAGACTTATTGAAATTTGATCAATCAATTTAAAAACGATACTGGTCCTTACTATGTACCAGTCATTGTACCAGGTTCTTTTTCTATTATATCTTATTTAATCTTCAAATAACTATTTATTTGAAGTTAATAATAAATAGTAACTTATTTATTATATCTTATTTAATCTTATTTAATCTTCAAATATCTATTTAAATAAAAATGTTTATCTCCATTTTCCAGATTTCAAAAATGTGGCTCATATACATCATATTCAAGATCACACACATAGTGGGAAATTGAGAAAGAATTCCAACTCAGAAATAATTTAAGGGGTTCCTGACAGACTTGAATCCCACATCTATTCCACTTAATGAATGGAGCTTGCCTCAGAAGGGTTCAAATAACTATGCATCTCTATATTTACTGCTATATAGTTTCTTTGTTACTCTCTGAGATTTGATGACACTGGAATATAGTAATTTTGTAATAAATAAAGGCAACTGAAATCCTAAAGAGAATGGAGGTCAGAAGGGAAATTACATTGCTCAGAAAGCATATTTCCCCTTTCCTGAAGGTGTGACAACAGAAAAATACATGCCTTGACTCCCTCCACCACCTCTCAACCCCCATATCCCTCAATTCCCTAATTCTAGGAACTAGTTTTATGTAGTCACCTCTTACAGGTGTGCCCTCACTTCATGCGCCAACCCAATCCAGACTCTAAATGGGGGAGGGGAAAGGCAAAGCAACTTGGTGGCTATTCATATCACTCAGTTCACATCACATCACATCACATCACATCATATCACATCACATCACATCACTCAGACTGAGACATTTTGTTCCACTTTTGATGTAGATCCTGTCAATAACTTGTGCTCCTTCTGACTTTAACAGCTCTTCAACTGATTTCCTGCTTTCTCCCTCCCTTCTCCCTCCCGCTACTTCAACTCATTTCAGGGGCTGTATTACTTGGCCTTAAACTCTACACTTGTCAACACTGACTCACTGGTTCCTGGTGCCACTCCTTCCAGATGCTGACCACTACTAGCACTTCCTCCAATTCTATTATTAACAATAATAAAACTGATGAAGCACTGTTAAATTTGTTCTTTTACCTGGACCTTACAATCATGTATACTTGGGTGCATGTATATCTTTTTTTAAATTGTTGTTGGGACCTTACACGTCATGAACGTAGCTAACTCATTAAGCCTAATCAGATACGTAAAAGAAAAAGTTAATGATCACAGTCTAAAAATAAAATCTGAATTCTAGAAAGTCTTAATTTGCAATACAGAGCATTGAGGTCCACAGAAATGGCTTATTACAGAGGATTCTTTTCCCAAATTAAGAAAAACACTATATGATTCCTTGGCACAGAATTAGACCTTACAAAAAGAAACTCCTGGTACATGTATTTTCTTTTTTCTTTTCTTTTTTCGAAACAGGGTCTCATTCTCTTGCCCAGGTTGGAGTGCAGTGGCCATCACTCCACCTCCAGAGCTCAAGTGATCCTCCCACCTCAGCCTCCTGAGTAGCTGGGACCACAGGTCCCAGGCACACCACCATGCCTGGCTAATTTTTAAAATTTTTGGTAGAGATGGGTTCTCCCTATGTTGCCCAGACTGGTCTCCAACTCCCAGGCTCAAGTGATCCACCCACCTCAGCCTCCCAAAGGGCTGCCATTACCGGTGAGAGACATCACAATTACAGGTGAAAGCCACCACAATTACAAATGAGTTCCTTATCCTCGTTTGAAGGATAAGGAACTTGAAGGATTGTGAGTCGTTCTCAGACACGAGGTTAGCAGAGCTCCTTTTTCCGATTAATAGACCAGTACTCTTAGACTTAAGCCCTGTTGTATTCTGACTATTCCTTTTCCTATTAACTGATACACTGTTTTTTGTTTTCTTTTGTTTTTTGTTGTTTCTTTTCTGAGACAGGGTCTCACTCTGTCGCCCAGGCTGGAGTGCAGTGGTGAGATCAGAGCTCAAAGCCTCGACTTCCCAGGCTCAAGCAATCTTCCTGCCTTGGCCTCCCAAAGTGCTGGGATTACAGGTGTGAGCCAACGCACCTGGCCCAGATCTATCTTTGAACTCAAGTCCTCACATGTTTGTGTTTTGTCCTTTGCCTCCATGGGTGTTTCTCTTTCACCTAGAAATTCTCAAATTTTAGAGGGCACCCAAATCACCTGGGATACTTGTTAAAATGTGGATTCAGGGACCTCAACCCTGAGGGATCTGATTTAGTATGTCTGGAGGAGGGACTCAAGAATCTCCATTTTAACAAGTATCCATGTGATTCTGATGCAGGGAGTCCAAAGACCACCCTTTGAGAAATGCTATTTTAGCTAGTTTGAAACAAAGCTCCAGTCAAATAATTCTGAAAGTGAAAATGCTGGGGTATTATTCAATTTGAGTGTTGTGTTGCCTTGAGTTATAGGGCTCTTACACAATGTGAAATGAATAATGTGGAATGCTGTTCACTGCAATAAAATGTCAACATTTCAAGTATTTTTTCAAAAGACTTCTTAAGAGTTGCTCTTTCCACACACGGCCCTGTTTAAAAGGAATTACAGCTGCTCCTACTTTTATAGCTAGCACATCCAAATCTGCCTATAAAATATTTAAAATGAACAAAGTACAATTACAGCTATATTTACAGTTGTGTGGAACAAATCCATTGCCTTCAAAATTATAAGTCTGGCTAAGTAAAACCAACCAAAAACTCTACTGAAAACAATGGAATTTTTAAGCACATAAGCAATGGAACAAATCACATGTGGAAAATCAATAGATTTAGAATACACAAAAATGGAAAAAGTTGAAGCTCAAAAACCATTACTAAACAAGAAAACCTAAAACACAAGCCACAAACTGGGAAAATATTTGCAACAAACATTAAGAAGGGTTGATAGATTTGAAATATAAAAAAGCTCACGAAAGTCAAAAGGGAACATGGATAAAGAACAAGAACAGAGATAAATACATATGGGAAAGTTTAAGAACTTTATGGTATACATATTTTTTAACATTCAGCGTTTTAAAACACCAGTGATATATACCATTTTTGTCAGTCAAATTAAGAACGTTTAAGGGATTGAGAGAAATTTCAGTAAAATGGATAGGTACTCACAAACACTGCTAGTATAATAGATGGACAAATTGGTGTAAAGTTTTGTTTTGTTTTGTTTTGTTTTGTTTTGAAACAGGGTCTGTTGCCCAGGCTGGAGTGCAGTGGCACAATCACAGCTCACTGCAGCCTCAACCTCCGAGGCTCAAGGGATTCTCCCATCTCAGCCTCCTGAGTGGCTGGGACTACAACAGGCCACCATGTCCAGCTAATTTATTTTTTATTTATTTATTTATTTATTTATTTATTTATTTATTTATTTTTGTAGAGTTGGAGGACTCACTTTTTTGCCCAGCCTGGTCTCAAACTCCTGGGCTCAAGTGGATCCTCCCTGCCTCAGCCCCCTAGTGCTAAGATAACAGGTATGAACCAGTAAGCCAAGCCTCAAACTTTCTTTAAAACAATTTAAGAATTCTTACTATGAATGTTTTTTGAAAAAAAAAAAAATCACACACTTAGTCTCAGTAAATTCCTAAGACTCTAGTCTAATCGGAAATTTAGAAAAAGGACTAAGAACAAAATTATTATTATTATTATTATTATTTGAGACTTGAGTCTCACTCTGTCGCCCAGGCTGGAGTGCAATGGCACGATCTTGGCTCACTGCAACCTCTGCCTCCCAGGTTCTAGCAATTCTGCTGCCTCAGCCTCCCGAGTAGCTGGGATTACAGGCGCCTACCATCATGCCCAACTAATTTTTTGTATTTTTAGTAGAGACAGGGTTTCACCATGTTCCATCATGTTGGCCAGGCTGGTCTTGAACTCCTGACCTCAGGTGATCCACCCACTTCAGCCTCCCAAACTGCTGGGATTACAGGCATGAGCCACCGTGCCCGGCCCATAATTATTTTTAAGATGGAAAAATTGGAATCAATCTAAAGATGATAAAAGAATGATTAAAGAAACAATCCATGGTATATCCACATGACAATGTTATATAGCAATTTAAAATGGTTTTTTCAAGCACTTAATGGTGCTTAAAATGTTTCAGATACAAGGATGCTTTGAAAAGCAAGATATGGCATTTATATATAATATGATCCCAATTTTCTTTTAAAACATTTTTACATGCATATAAAAAAGCTGTAAATAAATAAATCAAAATGCTAACAGCTGTTATCTATGGGTGTTAAGGTTTTTATTCTTCTTTTAGTGATTATCTGTGCTATCAATTCTCTACAATGACCATATGTTACTCTAATAATCAGAAAATGCAATAAAAGGTACTTCAAAAGTCCCTCTGAAAACATAACATAAAGAAGGAAAAGTTGTCAACTTAATTAATTTATAGTTTGCAAGTGACAGAGAACACTCACCACTTATTTCTGTAGCAGGCACTGGAATCCATTTATGGAATGCCAGTGACCTTATATTCTCAAGACAACTGCTTATCTGTCTCTCTAATTGGAAGAGGGGGATATGGAGAAAAGACAACAGTCTCTAGGAACAGATGTCTGAAGGGAGTTAAACCAAGTATCAGGGTAAAGTAAAAGGAAAATTTTACTAACAATCCTTAGTCTAACTATATTCTAATTTAGAACTCTTAGCCCAAAACATTTCTCCTTGTACAAACTGGTATACCAACTGATCAACATAACTAACACCATTAATATTTGAGTGTTTTTTAAAAATATATAGGAAAGGCTTTCCTGCATGAATTTAAAATTGCAATCATATGAGTAATGTAATTTCTTCCTTAAAGGTTAGATGATTGGATAGGGGTTAATTTTGATAATGAAAAGACTGAAAAGGAATATGACACATGCTGGATTACTTCATCCACCCTACCAGAGACCAACTTTGTATGAGAAAATACTAAAGAATCTTAGTCAGGCCTCCATATTAATTTTGTATTGGTAATGCTTGATAGAGAGATCACGGGACATAGATAATTCCAGTACACTATGTTCCAGCTGAATACCCAACTAGAACCCAAATGTCTTCATATTAAAATCAGTATGGCAAATGGCCCCTTCTTGGTTGCTAGGCAAACAAAAACAAACTGGGGGTCGCTTCAGGGAATCTGGGAGGAAGGCAGAGCCAAGGTTTTCTCCCAGGTCCATGGGAGGTCATGACTTGAGCATTCCCAAACTGAAAGGGGGAAATTAGATTTGGTGAATTTCATTCTCCATATTAAAAGGATAGGTTCAAAATTGAGAGATTTCATAGGTTGATGCACTATATCTAACTGATCAAATCTCTGCCCAGGACTAGATATGCCAGCTGACAACTGGGTAGCCACTATATACAATGTATATTGTAGCTGGATTAAGGCAATGAATGAAAGAACTAGCAAAGAGTTAGCTAAGAACACTTTAGCAAAGATGAGTCTATTTTATTTAAACCTATCCTTTGGAAGTTAGCAAAAGAAAGGAGAGACTAACAGCACACATGGAAAGGCAGGTATTGTAAGGATCTTGTGAAGTGTGGGGAGGAGGGTTACTCAAATAACAGAAGAGAATGGGTGAAAGAGCCCGAAAGACAGATTTTTCTCTATTATCAATTCTGTAGACATTTTTTGAGCCAGGCATTGTGTCGGTCCTGGAGATACATAGAAAGAGGGCCTTTCCTTAAAGATTTCATGGTCTAACAGGGCACAGTGGCTCATACCCATAATCCCAGCACTTTGGGAGGCAGTGGTATAAGGATCACTTGAGCCCAGGAGTTGGAGACCAGCCTGGTCAATATGGTGAGACCTTGTCTCTACCAAAAAAAAAAAAAAAAAAAATTAGTCGGTGTGTGGTGCACGCCTGTAGTCCCAGTTACTCAGGAGGCTAAGGTGGGAGGATCGCTTGAGCCCAGGAGGTCAAGGCTGCAGTGAGCTGTGATTGAGCCAGTGCACTCCAGCCTGGGTGACAGAGCGATACCTTGCCTAAAAACAAAAGAAAAATGGATAAAGACTTCATGGTCTAGTGGGGAAGATAGATATGTGAATTACAAAGTATAGTCAAGTCCTACATACTGGTAAAAACTCTGGCAGACAACTCAGTCTCTTCATCTTTCATCAAACATTTATTTGCTCTATTGTATACCTGGGACTTAGAAACCACAGATACAAAGACCAATATGATAGGGTCACTGCCCTTAAGGAGGTTATTATAGTCTAGTTGGGGAAATAGACATATCAACAATGGCAATGGCAACAAAATGCTATGAAAGCTAGGTATAAGATGTTATGAGACTGAGCTGAGCAGTGTCTCGAGCCACCACTTTGTGAGGCCAAGGAAAGAGGATGGCTTGATCCCAGGAGGTCAAGACTGCAGTGAGCTGTGATCGTGCCACTGCACTCCAGCCTGGGCTACACTGTCTCTTAAAAAAAAAAATGTCATGAGACTCTTAGCTCTCTACAGTTATGTTTGGCCTCACCTGTGCAACTTTCTTAATGGGGAGAGAGAGATCTCTTGTAGCAGGACGAGCTGCAGACAAAACTCCTCAGACACCGAGTTAAAAAAGGAAGGGGTTTATTCGGCCGGGGGCATCCGCAAGACTCCTGTCTCAAGAGCAGAGCTCCCTGAGTGAGCAATTCCTGTCCCTTTTAAGGGCTTACAACTCTAAAGGGGTGCACATGAGAGGGTCGTGATCGATTGAGCAAGCAGGGGGTACGTGACTGGGGGCTGCACGCACTGGTAATTAGATCGGAACAAAACAGGATAGGGATTTTCGCAGTGCTTTTCTATACAATGTCTGTAATCTATACATAACATAACCAATTAGGTCAGGGGTCGATCTTTAACTACCAGGCCCAGGGTGTGGCGCCGGGCTGTCTGCTTGTGGATTTCATTTCTACCTTTTAGTTTTTACTTTTTCTTTTTTTGGAGGCAGAAATTGGGCATAAGACAATATGAGGGGTGGTCTCCTCCCTTATTCACCCACTTTGAGACTCTCACTCAATAGTGGGAGTTCTCACTTTCATTTTTACTACCTATGTCTTCTTGCAAGACAGATTGATAGTGATTCATATAGTACACTTTTGCTGAAGCATTTTGGTGAACTAAGGTAGCGATGAAGCTTTTTACCATTTGAAGAAGTACAGGTAGCAAACAAGGGAGCAGTAAGCAGGTTCCTATTACTATTATAACTCTTATTATAAGAGTTTTAAATTCTCCTAGCGCTGGGAACCATTTTGAAAACATGGCCCCAGGATCAAATCCATGCCACACTTGCACGGGCACATGTGCCAGTTTTGTCATATCTTTAACTGTGTCTTCAACTACTTGCCCTTGATTATCTATGTGTAGGCAGCAATTAGTAAGGTTAAATTTCCTGCAGACCGCTCCTTCAGCTGCTAGCAAGTAGTTGAGAGCTAATCTATTTTGATAGATAGCATTTCTCATCTGAGTTTCTTGCCAGGCCAGAATAGTCAAGGCTTTGCTGGTTTTATTAGTGATTATTTTTAAGACAGCTTGTAACTGTATGATTCGGTTGATCATGTAAATGGGGGTCTGGTATCCCTACAAGCTGTCTTGTGCCTAAGTAGCAGGCCTATAATATTGTATGATTTTCTCAGGGGGCCATTTATCATTTTTTTAAATTTCCTATAGCTATGCTTCTCTTTTCACGGGAAGCATAGACAGCGAAGCCCAGGAGTTCGTCTGTTTTTATGGGCAGTAGGACGAAAGATGGTTTAATAATGCCAATAACACTACTACCTGCCTACTGGTCAGGTAATTTGACGTAAGCTCTATGCCTACATATCCAGTATAATCTAGTGGGGGCTGTCCAGTCCCGGTGGGACTCCGGGTGGGTCCACACGGTTTGCAACTTTGGGAATTTACTAAATGGATTTCTCTCTGTGTGATTTGAACTCCACGAAGTGACTGTTTTTGTGGTACCATTATACAGTTTCTGTCCTAGACAACTAAGTCGTCTTACGGGGTGAGTGAATTCTTTTCCTTCTCTAGCTATGCAATATTGTCTAATAATTGAGGCTTTTAGGAGCTAGAAATTATCGGGGTGATTCTTTTGAGCCGGGAATTCATCAGGAACTGGGTCCATAGGTACTAATTCTAGGGCTTCCCATGGCCATTGATCTCCTATTACAGTTCCTCCACATACATAACATGAAGTGACATTGAGAGACTGGGCTACATGCTCGGCTAATTGCAAAAACAAATTTCTTGTTTTTCCGGTACTGGCACATTAGTTCATCATAGAAAGTTTGAAACACTGGCTCAGGAGAGCGTTTGTAAACTTCTCCTCAAACTAAGATATTTACTCGAGGATCCAGTCCGGTCCCGTCGATTCCTAAGGTCACACACTCCTCTTTTTTCTAGCAAGGATCAAGGGGATTGGTTGTTACTACCTCTAAGGGGTTACATTGTCCCTTAGTGCAGGAAGGGCCATTTTTTTCCTCTCTAAAGTGGACTGGATCCTTTTCATTTTTTTTTATCCAAGTGGCCTAAATGACACAAGATCAGTATTTACATTTATTTCCACACAGTCCTAATTTATGACAGAGGCACTTATTTTCTGCCGTATAGCCTCTTTTCTAATTAAGAAAACCACACCTTTTTCCTAACTCATTATTATTAATGACAGCACAGGCATCAAATTTTAAGGTGACTTGTTTGGGCACCTCTTTTTCTTCTTTTTTGGCTAACACTTTACTTGTATCATTTATGAGCCCTCACCAGTCCTCAGTCCATAATCTTGTTTTAAAAACTGTGGTCATGGGAGGCTCAGATGGGTCATAACACACATCCGGTTGGTCATTTCCTGAGCTACATACCTTATATAGAGTAACGTTATACAAACAAGTTCTTTTTAGAGTTCCAGTACACTTATAATAACCATAAAATAATAGGACCATAACAACCTTTTGTCCTACCTCAGTGACTTGATGTGTACACTGGGAACAGTCCTCAGACTGAGGAAGGTCAGTTGAAGTCCTCATGGTACAAGTCCAAATTTTAACGAAAATGAGTCCTGTGCTGAGTTTTCTCATGCTTCGGCCATGCGTGGACCAGTCAGCCTCCGGGTGTGACTGGAGCAGGGCTTGTCGTCTTCTTCAGAGTCACTTTGCAGGGGTTGGCGAATCTGCTCCCGTCCATGTACTGCTCACAGTCTACTGATGTTTAAGGATGGTCTCGGAAGTTGAGCCTGCTAGAATAAACTAAGCCTAACACCTCTACACAGTGATGTTCAACTGGGCTCTCTGATACCGGGAGCAAGATGGTGGGGTTTAGGGTGTTGCAAACTTCAATGGTTATGAGGGGATTTTCACATAGCAAGCTTTGGTACTTGGTTAATCTAGCATTTGTTAACCAATGATGTCCTTTGGTAGTCATTAAAGTTACCACAGCATGGGGGGCCTTTATATTCAGGTTTTGCCCAAGGGTTAGTTTATCTGCTTCTTGTGCTAACAGGGCCATTGCTGCTAGGGCCCTTAGACATGGGGGCCAGCCTTCGGAAACCCCGTCTAGTTGTTTTGAGAGATAGGCCACTGGCCTTGGCCAGGGCCCCACAGTCTGGGTTAAAACTCCAGCTGCCATTTTTTCTCTTTCTGACACACAGAGTGTAAAGGGTTTTGTCAGGTCAGGTAGCCTCAGGGCTAGGGCCGACATGAGTTTTTCTTTTAACTCATGAAAGCTTGTTGCTGTTGGTTGTAATAGATGTAGTTTATCTAATCTACATTTTTATTAACTGTCACCTACCAAAATACTGACTCAAATCCTGCAGCTATTTGATTTCAAGCTTTAAATTGATCTGGTATTCTTCGTGGGACTCCAATTACGTCTAAATAGACGTGAGAGTTGAAAGACCTATAAGGGCCTTCTCTCGCTTTACGATGTCTTATTTTTTTCCTTCTGGTTGATGAAATGCCAGGGTGAAAGGGATAGCCAATTGGACTAAAGTACAAGTGCCACTCCAGTTATTTGGCAGAGTGCCCAGTAAAGGTCCACTCTTGAAAATTCTTAAGCTCACTGCATCCCTTCAGGTCTCCAAGGAATGCTAAGCTTCCTCCCTGTCGTGAGAGACACGAAGTGAGCTTAGTGTTGGGAGACGGAGGCTGCATGGCCCTAGGGGGCTGACCCACAGGGTGCCGAACTTTGGGATATAGCAGAGAGAGCTTGGCACGACTTATTACTCCAGGCTGTAGAATCCTGGAAAAGAGCTACCATGCAGCCTATACCTGGTCGACTGGAGGACCACCTTAGTGGAAAGAGGACAAGCTGGGCCTCTGGCCTGCCATGTGCACAAGCATAACAACTGCTTTTGTTTAACATGCGGATGGAATATTTGATCCATTTTAACCAGGCATTTGCATCTTGGTATCCTGTCTTAATTGCTAAAGTTTGTTTTGTCTTTAACTTCTATGATCCTCTAGTAAAATGAATGTATGGTTTTAGGAAATTACAAAAACTGGTTGGGGCAGTCTATCCTTGCTCTTTAGTGGTCCACAGAACATTGGACCAACTATGGCATGAAAGCTGTACATTGGGGGGCAAGACTCCTGGTTGGAACTGGGGTCTTTATCGAAATCTCCCCGGGTTAAATGGTCCTAGTTTACTAATGCCCAGTCTGAGGAGAGTCAGGAGGGACAGAAGTACTTTTCTAAAGTAGAAAGCTGTCTTTGACTTGGCAAGTCCCCACAGGGTATAACAAGGCAAGCATTAAATGCAATAGTTCGAGGTGAAATTGACTTGGTTATGTTAACAACTAGATGGTCAGCAATAGAATAAGGAAAGGAGAAAGAGTAATAGAATAGATTAAAAGACTTAAATTTTTCTTAGCTTTAGTTTGGTAGGGTTTTCCCCTGGGACTATGGCCCACGATTCTGGAGGGGGTGGCGCTTTCTTGACTCGGGTGTGATGAGTCTATCTTTTTTTTTTTTTTTTTTGCTGTACGAACAGCACTCTTGGTGGTTAGCAGCACAAGGTGGGGTCCTTCCCAGGCTGGCTCAAGTGTTTCTTCTTTCCACCCTTTGATGAGAACGTGATCTTGAGGCTGGTGCTGGTTTATTGGAAATTCTAGGGGTGGTACATGTGCTAAAAGACTTTTAGTTTTTGAGAGAAAGTAAAGTGGACGATAAATCAAGTACATAATATTTAAGAAATTGACCTTTTGCGGGAGATCGAGACCATCCTGGCTAACACGGTGAAACCCTGTCTCTACTAAAAATATTTTTAAAAATTAGCCGGGCGTGGTGGCGGGCGCCAGCAGTCCCAGCTACTTGGGAGGTTGAGGCAGGAGAATGGCGTGAACCCGGGAGGCAGGGCTTGCAGTGAGCCGAGATTGCGCCACTGCACTCCAGCCTGGGAGACAGAGTGAGACTCCGTCTCAAAAAAAAAAAGAAATTGACCTCTTGTTTTAAATATGGGAACCTTGGCAGTGGAGTTTATAGTCCTTAGTGCTTTTTTACTGAGAAATTTCCTTTAGCACCTATTTTTCTTAGTTTTTAAACTAAAGAAAGCCAAATACCATTTTACATTTAACAATGCTTCTTGTATGATTTTTATACCAGATAAGCTAAATTTTATCTTCATATTACTGTGTTATTAATGTTAAACTTAATTTTAATAAAACCTTGTAGACATATTTATCTAATTTTTAATGTTTGACCATAAGGTAAGATTTTATAGACTTTTTTTAACCTTTTAAAATTTTTGCTAAAGAGCAAGTTGGTGCTTTAAGAAAAACCTGTTATGCTTTTACTTTAATGTCCAGTTCACAGAAAAACTGGATGATACTTCTTTAACTTTAGCTAATATGTTTACACACAGAATTTCCTTTACAATTAACGTTTTAAAACTTGCTTAAACCTTCAAAGCAATAATTTTTTCTAACTTTTTAATGTAGGTAAAAATGTACATTCTTATGCCACCTTATAATCCTTTTACCAAAGGTATATTTTACTTTTCTTATACACCTTGCACATAAACTTTTTTTTTCAATAGTTTTACATTCAGGATGCCTAGTTACTTTTAAATTATACAACATTTTTTCCAAAATTCTTTTTTATAACATTTTTCTCTTTCATGACTTTTGCAGACAATTCTTCAACATGCCTTAGCTTTGTGACTTATTACAAATATTTCTTTCTTTAAACAACCAGTTTATTTCAGGACAAGAATTTACCATATAATACTCTTTTTATATAAATTCCACCCCCCCTTTTTCCCCCCTTTCTTTTCTTCAGGATACTTCTGAACTGGTGAGGTGTGTTCACAATGAGGTTTCCTCTAAAAGTTATTTTTTTACCTTTTTTTGTTGTTAGCAAAGCAGTTGCTGCTACAGATTGAATGCATTTGGGCCATCCACGGGTTACTGGGTTAAAGATTTTTGATAGGAAGGCCTCAGTGTTTTTGGGATACGCCCTTGTTTACACTGACAAGAAAGTGGTATTGGAGTGTTATAGGGTTACGGAGAATACCTTCAATTATCAATTATAGGTATTAAATTTACCTTGTCTTTTAAAGGAATAGGGTACACTTTTTTTTTAACTACTTGAATATCTCTCTTTCTCTCTTTGACTTTGTCTCTCTCTTTGACTTTCCTTTTGCCTCTGTCTCTTCTTCTCTCTCTCTGCCTCTCTCTTTCTTTTTCTCTCTCTCTCTCTCCTTGACTCCCTCTTTGTCTCTTCCGCTCTGTCTCTTCCTCTCTCTCTTTGCCTCTTTTCCTCTCTGTGTCTTTCCTTTCTCTCTCTCTCTCTGCTGGTCTTTCCTTGCCTTTGCCAGCCGCTTATGCTGCTGTTCTCTCAACCACTGTGTGTTGGGGGTAGGGGGTCTAAAACCATCTGTAACCAAGTGTCTATGTATGGGAACTGGTCTGGGTTCCCTGGCTTACAGGTTACCTTGTGCCATACCTTTGAAACAAGGGACCTGTCCAGGCTTCCTTCTAATGGCCAACCTACCTCTAATGCTGGCCAGTCTATCTTACACAAAGTTTTAAGTTTTCCTAGTGTCATAGTACTCCATAGTCTCCTTTAAATTCTTTTTTGAAATTTTTCAACATAGTTCCTAGTAGGGTGGGCTTATTTGTGCCTGACCTATGCTTCTTCGAGACAAAACACCATGCTCACACCACATGCACACCACAAAACAAAGAACGGGTAAAAAAGAGCACACACACACTTTTGCAGTTTGCACCAAACCAAAATCAAAACCAAAATCAGAGTATCCAGAAATCCAAGCCAGGTCAAAACCAGAACCAAAGTATCATGCAATCCAAGTCAAGTCAAAAACAAAAACCGAAATGCCGGTATAGGCACACCGTGGGTGATCAGGCCATGCTTCCACTTAAATGGAGTAGGCAAGTTCCCAAGACCAATCCTGTCAAGCAATTCAAACCAAGTCAAAACCAAAACCAAAATCAGAGTATCCAGAAATCCAAGCCAGGTCAAAACCAGAACCAAAGTATCATGCAATCCAAGTCAAGTCAAAAACAAAAACCGAAATGCCGGTATAGGCACACCGTGGGTGATCAGGCCATGCTTCCACTCAAATGGAGTAGGCAAGTTCCCAAGACCAATCCTGTCAAGCAATTCAAACCAAGTCAAAACCAAAACCAAAATCAAAGTGCCGATAAAGGCACGCCGTGGGTGATCAGGCCACGCTTCCACTCAAATGGAGTGGGCAAGTTTCAAAGACTAGTCTTACCAAGTTTTAGATGTCCAGACTCCAAGTGCCTGTTCCTTCCTGGTGTTCAGCCACTGCATTGATCCTCCATGGGGGTCTGCCACACACTGCTCTGGTGAGGCATCCCACCGGGGCAAATGCCGCCTACCCGGGAGCGCTCTCAGGATCCGGGTCGCTCGGGCTGGTCGGAGTCTCCAGCAGGGATGTTCCACAGGGCAGGCTTAAACCGCCTAAGGAGCTGCCTCGGCCATCCACCAATAACCTCGCTTCCCGGTCAGGGAACCAAGACATATAGCAGGACGAGCCGCAGACAAAACTCCTCAGACACCCAGTTAAAAAAGGAAGGGGTTTATTCGGCCGGGGGCATCCGCAAGACTCCTGTCTCAAGAGCAGAGCACCCCAAGTGAGCAATTCCTGTCCCTTTTAAGGGCTCACAACTCTAAGGGGCTGCGCGAGAAGTTCATGATTGATTGAGCAAGCAGGGGGTACGTGACTGGGGACTGCATGCACCGATAATTAGATCGGAACAAAACAGGATAGGGATTTTCACAGTGCTTTTCTATACAATGTCTGTAATCTATAGATAACACAAGCGATTAGGTCAGGGTCGATCTTTAACTACCAGGCCCAGGGTATGGCACCGGGCTGTCTACTTGTGGATTTCATTTCTGCCTTTTAGTTTTTACTTTTTCTTTTTTTGGAGGCAGAAATTGGGCATAAGACAATATGAGGGGTGGTCTCCTCCCTTACTCTTTGGGAACTCAGATTGGCCTTATGGTGGCCTCTCTTTCCTTGAGGGGCACAACAGGTCCTGGATGGGGGGAAAAAAGATGTTATGAGAATGCAGACCTAGAAGCATTAGCTTTGCCTGGAAGGGTTAGAGAAATCATTTCCAAGGATATGCCATTTGATGTGGGACTTGAAGGATAGTTAGGTATCTGCTAGATTAAAAAGGAATGTGAGAGCAGGCCTCAGAGAGGAACAGAGGGTAAATCATGAGTTACTGTTTACCAGTAGTATGTGCCAGGCACTGTATTAGGTGGTTTATATGTTATATTTTATCCTTCACTCAATAACAATTTATTGAGCATGTGCTATATACCTAGCACTATGTTGAGGTGCCAATTGTCTGAATTTTCCCATGAAGATACCAAGGCACACAGAGATGAAGTGACTTTTCCAAAGCTACAGAGATAGTAAGAGATAAACACAGATTTAAACCAAATTCTGACTCTCTCCTAAACACACGTTTTCAATTCCACTCTCCCAAGCTGGATTATATAGGTATACAGGCAAATTTGGGAAATAATGAAATATCTGGTGTGGCTAGAATATATAAGGGAATGTGGGAGTTGAGGGAGGGGGTGAGGAGCAGCTGCAGAAAATCTGTGGAATGTTTCACTAATTTGCATGTTAATGTTTCAATATCTGATCATTTGCATTTGATTTTAGAAAAAGAAATAATTCCCTTTTTCCTGCCTTTCTGAGAAGATCCTGGAATAGGTACAATAATAACTTAAGTTTTTAAAAACTTATGACCCCATAATGTGGAGGGGGAAAAACAAAACAAAACAAAAAGGAATTAAAATCAATTATCAATGCAATCATTTTTTACTTGCAATTACTTTAAAACATCATAAGTCATGAATATTTATCACCTTGCTTTCCAGACAATATACCAGGACCCAACCAATGATAAGAGAACAGCTGTCTGAAGCAAATATGCAGAAGAGTACGAAATAAAAACGACAGCTTTCATGTTGAATCATAACTATATTGTGTTTGGAGAGTTCCATGTTTTCTTATTCCAGAAAACATTGCCAAAATCTGCATATACCTTGAAAACTCATTACCTATAAAATTAAATCTTGTTAAATGATCTATAAATGTGTTGAGTAGTGTTACAAAATAAAAGGAAGTGTTTTGCAATTAAGATTGAATTTTTAAGCAGTACAAACCAACAGTGATTTCACGATATTTCTTTTCTTTTTTTTAAGTAGGAGTCTCAGGCTGGGCATGGTAGCTCACGCCTGTAATCCTAACACTTTGGAAAGCTGAGGTGGGTGGATCACTGAAGGCCAGGAGTTCAAGACCAGCCTGGCCAACATGGTGAAACCCTGTCTCTACTAAAAATACAAAAAATTAGCCAGGTATGGTGGTACAAGCCTGTAATCCTGGCTACTGGGGAAGCTGAGGCACGAGAATCACTTGAAGCCAGGAGGCAGAGGTGGCAGTGAGTCAAGATCACACCACTGCACTCCAGCCTGAGACGCAGAGCGAGACTCTGTCTAAAAAAAAAAAAAAAAAGGAAGGAAGGAAGGACGAACGGAAGGAAGGGAGGGAGGGAAAGAGGGATGAAGGAAGAGAGAGAAGAAAGAAAGAAAGAGAAAGAAAGCAAGAAAAGAAGAAAAAAGAAAGAAAGAAAGGAGGGTGGGAGGGAGGGAAGGAAGGAGAAGAAGAAAGAAAGAAAGAAAGAGAAAGAAAGAAAAGAGTCTTGCTCTGTCACCCAGGCTGGAGTGCAGTGGCTCTATGACAGCTCACTGTAGCCTCCAACTTCTAGGCTTGAGGGATCCTCCTGACTCAGCCTCCTGAGTAGCTGGGACTACAGGTGTGCACCACCATGCCCTGCTAATTTTTAAAATTTTTTGTAGAGACAGGGGTCTCATTTTCCTGCACAGGCTGGTTTTAAACGCCAGGCTTCAAGCAATCTTCCCCCTTCACCTCCCAAAGTGTTGGGATTACAGGCGTGAGCCACCTACTGGCCTCCTGGTATTTCTATAAAGCCTTCAGGGCAATCATTGAAATTACCTATTTTAGGGATCCTGGAAAAGAACTGTACCTTGCAATGAGATTTAAGATATTGGTTTTAAGTTTGTAGATGTTACTGTTTAAGCAAATACTTTCCATGGAGTACCAAAGCATTACAATTAATTTGATGGTTTATAATAGGAATAAGTGAAAATATAAAAATTAGCTATGAGCATAGCACTTTCATTTTATATAATTTTTAAATAATTAAAAATCTGTGTATTTCTTGAATTTATATAATACTTTACGCTTTCATACACATTATAAATTATGTATCAGTTTCCCTTTTAGAAATGAAACTCTTATTTCTAATTATTTATAAAATGCTATAAGGCATCTGGAAAAAATTACAGTACTACTGATAAGCATTCAATTAGCCCAATTTTCTGACCTGCACTTTGGAAGCTGAGCTGTTCCAAATCTTCAGAGCCTTTTCCTTCCTCCACAAAAAAAAAAAAAAAAAAAAAAAAAAAAATGGGTTGATATAAATGTTAATGAAGGTATTGATTCATTTTTTAAAAATAATATATTTAATTCAAAATGGAAAACAAGGCACAGGAAAGACCTTAATGTTCTGAATCATTTCCGGTAAAAAAAAAAAGATACATATTACTATTTTAAATATTGCAAGAGAAATTCAAAAGAAGAAAGAATCCTTGACAACTGGTTCTCATCTTGCACATCCATTCTGTGCATCTGGGGAGCTCCAATACATAAGTATACGTTGCTGGGAGCTAGGAGAGGCTGGTATTTACATTCAGATTTAAGGGAAGTATTGCCAACCCTTTGCAATCTGTTACCTATGCTTCTCTCCTTTGTGGGATTTCTCTTCTGTAAAAGCTGAAATTCACACTAATCCTGAGCGATTATGCCATTTTAATGAGCAGTACCTGCTTTGATGAAGGTAAAAAAGAAATTGGAAAGGTTATTAAAAAGCTGCAATTTATTTATCAGCTTTGATGAAGAGAAAAGAAAGGATCTGTTCCTTTAACAGAACAAAAAGATCGTATATACTCAAAGATCAGGTAAGGGAGAAAGGAGACTTAAGGAAGCAAAGCAAATGAAGCCTTTCCATTGTGTGGCAGAATTACCTGACAAGGGACCTCTTTGCAGACATTGAATTGTTCCTAATGATGTGAATAATTTACTCCAGCCTCCCAAGGAATAATAGAGTGACTTTCATGTCTCTTACAATCAGAGTTATTAATTAGACAGCAGGTTCAAGGAGCAGCTCAAATAAAGAATCTTTGCATTCTGTGATCTGTCTGGGGTACTGTCTCAAAACTAACAAATCATCTCTCCACTGAGGTGCTATTCAGATTTTCTATGCCTTACCTTGCTTCCTCATCAACCCCTTATCTTGGATTAGATCCTTAAGGCTTGGATTTTTCATTTCCTTTGGTTGACAAGGTTCCTGACCTTGGTCAGTCCAGTACTGGCCCTATACTTCTGCGTAGGTGCAAGACTTTGAAACACACTTATACCCTACTGAGCCAGTACCCTACTGTTGACGTCACTTCTATAGAACACTGACAGCTGAAAGGGACTCCACCCTACTACATGACATCCGTTATGGAAATGTCTCTGAAGTGCATCATTATGTAGTATATTTGCAAAGCCACATTTAAAAAGGAAATATATAAAAAGAAAATTATAATCCTCAAAAGGCCACCTGTTAAAGTAACTTTATAAAAGGACTTGAAAAAGCAAAAGATTAGGGCAAGTCATTTTGCTGTTGCAGGGCTCAGTTTTACTCATCTGTACTGTGAGGGAAGTGGTCTATAATATTCCTTCTAATACAAATATCCCATGGTTTTAATTATCAAATTATTTTACTTTTAAAATTTGATGCTTCAAAAGACCCTAAATTAAGTAAAATTGAATGAAATGCCAGCCGTATGCTTTGAGTGTTTTTCTTTTTATAACACATTAAATTTAGAATAAATTTAATTGGTTTAAAACTACCCCTCTAAAATGGTTTATGTGACCCATAATTCAGAGTTTATCAGGTAGAATAAGTTGGGCTATAATCATGTATTTTCTAAAAAAAAAAAAAACTGGATAAATTGGCCGATCATGGTGGCTCACATCTGTAATCCCAGCACTTTGGGAGGCTGAGGCAGGCAGATCACTTGAGGCCAGGAGTTTGAGATCAGCCTGGGAGACATGGTGAAACCCTGTCTCTGCTAAAAGTACAAAAATCATTAGTCCAGGCACGGTGGCTCATGCCTGTAATTCCAACACTTTGAGAGGCCGACGTGGGTGGATCACCTGAGGTCAGGATTTCAAGACCAGCCTGCGCAACATGGTGAAACCCCATCTCTACCAAAAATACAAAAATTAGCCAGACGTGGTGGTGCGTGCCTATAATCCCAGCTACTCAGGAGGCTGAGGCAAGAGAATCGCTTGAACCCGGGAGGCGGAGGTTACAGTGAGCTGAGATTGTGCCATTGCACTCTAGCCTGGACAACACAGCAAAACTCCATCTCAAAAAAAAAAAAAGCGAAAATTGGATATATTAAGCCTGCCTTTTAATACCATCTTCTGCTATTTTCTCATACCATATATTCTAATACAATATCTTCTAATATTGTCATCTAGGTAATTAGGTTTCAGCATATGAATTTTGCGGGAACATAAACATTCAGACCATAGCATGTAATAAAACATACGTGCTTATCTAAGAGATTTATCACCAGCGAGCCAACCATTTTTTCAAGGAAGTGAGAAGAAAGGTGCAATCAATAATAGTGTTCCTTTGCCTTATTTTTTTAGATAAAAGTACAGTGAATGCTTCCTGTAAAATCCTTTGGTTCTAATCACAAACTGTAGAGTCAGACAAGAGATGGAATCATCCCACACACTCAGACATGTCAGCTCCTGCATTACCAGCAAAATGATCTTGGGCAAAAGTTACTTATTCCTTAAATCTTAGTTTTCTCATCTGAAAATGGGAAAAATAATGCTTTCGTTAATGAGATAGTTATTAGCATTAAATGAGATCATGTATATAAAGTTTCTAGTACAAGGCCTAGAAGAAGCTCAATAAGCAGTAGTTATAGTAGTTGCCATTTTATTCCTCTTCACTCCCTCCCACCCGCAAATTCGGCCATTGTGATTACATTCAAATTTGAAAGGCAAAAAAGAAGACAGAGTAGACAGCCATCCCATCAGTTGCTTGGTATGAAAGATTGTGAAGACCTAAGATTGTAATAATGAAAGAGTGCTAATTTCAATCTGTTTCATATCATCAGTCATAAACCAACTCCTAAATACCTCTTTGAGAACACAGCTCCATCCAGATGACAAGATCATATTGGAGCAAGAACAGTAATCCAGACAGGAGTCGACAGACTACAGCCTGACAACCCAAACTGTTGTTGTCCGTTCTGGTAAGTTTTATTGGCACACCATCATGCCCGTTTGTTTATTTATTTATTTATTTATTTTTGAGACAGACTCTTGCTCTGTCACCAGGCTGGAGTGCAGTAGCGTGATCTCGGCTCACTGCAACCTCCACCTCCAGAGTTCAAGCGATTCTCCTGCCTCAGCCTCCTGAGTAGCTGGGATTACAGGCACGCGCCACCATGCCCAGCTAATTTTTTTGTATTTTTAGTAGGGATGATCTTCATCTCCTGACCTCGTGATCCGCCCACCTCGGCCTCCCAAAGTGCTGGGATTACAGGCATGAGCCACCGTGCCCGGCTTTATTTATTTTTTAATTTATTTATTTTTGAGATGGAGTCTGGCTCTGTTGCCCAGGCTGGTGTGCAGTGGCGCGAACTCAGCTCGCGGCAACCTCCGCCTCCCGGGTTCAAGCGATTCTCGTGCCTCAGCCTTCCGAGTAGCTGGGACTACAGGAACGTGCCACCGTGGCTGGCTAATTTTTTTTATTTTTATTTTTATTTTATATGTATTTGTTTTTGAGACAGAGTCTTGCCCTGTCGCCCAGGCTGGAGTTCAGTGCTGCAATCTCGGCTCACTGCAACCTCCGCCTCCTGGGTTTAAATGATTCTTGTGCCACAGCCTCCAGAATAGCTGGGACTATAGGTGCAAGCCACCAGGCCCAGCTAATTTTTTGTATGTGTAGTAGAGACGGGGTTTCACCATGTTAGCCAGGCCAGCCTCGAACTCCCAGCCTCAAGTGATCCGCCTCCCTCAGCCTCCCAAAGTGCTGGGAATACAGGCATGAACCACCATACCCGGCTGTTTGTTTATTTATTTATTTTTGAGATGGAGTCTTGCTCTGTTGCCCAGGGTGGAGTGCAATGGCACGATTTCAGCTCACTGCAACCTCTGCCTACGGGGTTCAAGCGATTCTCCTGTCTCAGCCTCCTGAGTAGCTGGGATTACAGGCATGCACCACCATGCCCTGCTAATTTTTGTATTTTTAGTAGAGGAGGGGTATCGTCATGTTGGCCAGGCTGGTCTCAAAATCCTGACCTCAGGTGATCCATCCGCCTCGGCCTCCCACAGTGCTGGGATTACAGGCGTGAGCCACCCGCCCAGCCTGTTTATTTAATTTTTATGGTTGCTTCCATAATACAACATCAGAGTTGAGTAGTTGCAACAGACACTGTATGGCTTGTATGCAAAAATATTTACTATCTGGCCCTTTACAGGCAAAGTTTGCTAACTTCTGACTTAGGATAATCTTAGGCATATGATCGCATTTCACGTGGCGTCCTTTCCAGAGGACTCCCAAATATTTAAAACTTTTTATAAAGCCTTAATTAAACATAGTTTTAGGCCTACCCTATTCCAACCACCAAATGGGATTTAAGCTATGATAATGTTGCTCAGTGTATGAAAGGGAATGCCTCCCTGAATGAACAACTTTACATTCTATTTTCACCCTTGTTCAGGTGAATCTATGGCATTGATAAAGAAACAAACCAGTGAAAACATTATTGGTTCTGAATTACCAAAGAGATGTGTGTTGATTCAGAATGAAACTTCTTATCCTGAAACCTTCTGTGACACTTCCTAAGGAATTTCTTGGTTACTTAAACCAAATGTCCAATTATCTTTATAACCGCAAGTATTTATGAAAACTGTGGCATGATTTAAAAAACTGTGGCACCAATTTAGTCATATGGTGATTCAAACCTTTTTAAAAGTATCAGAGAAGCACTAGATCACCTTTTACTGCCTAGGTTCCGTTTCTGGCTGATTTGATTTGTTTGAAATTTTTTTTTTTTGTAATGTTTAATTTACATCTCTTTTGTAGTAAGTTAAAGCACTATGTTATTCTTTCAGTGACAGTGACAAAAATGGGAACATGCTAACCAAGAAGTGGATGAATTTATCTCCCAAGGCCCTTTTGATTGCATGAGTTTAGTTTCTTCCTTGCAATTACAGATCCTTTCATATCATATCCTCATTAGTATGGTTTTCCTTGTGCTTAATAGCCTAATTCTGTCAATCTCCTTCTCTTTTTGAATAGCAGCTATATAGAGATATGTTAAATCAAACTAAAATTTGGCCTGAGAAAGTCTTTGTACTTGTACACTCGAATTCTTAAGTATAAACTGCAACCTAACTTAGTAGGTAAACAAACTGAAAACCTAATTTAGGAGTAGGCTTCTATAACAATAGCTGAGTCTCAGCCAATCACAGCCGCCATACTTAAACAACCACTCACAGGCAGCCAGCTGTTCAAACCCTGCTCAAATAAGGCAAAGGCCCAGCTGTTTCTGCACTCGCTTCTGTTTTCTGTATGTCATTTTCCTGATTCTGTCCATAAATCTCCTCTGACCATGGGGCAGCCCCAGAATCTCTGAATCTGTTCTGATTCTGGGAGCTGGCTAATTCTCGAATCGTTTTTGTTTTTCTTGCTCAGTTAAATTCTGTTAATTTTAACTTGCCTAAAGTAACAGATCTAATTCGCATACCATATAGATCACCAATTAAAATTGTACAATTCGATAGTTTTAAATTTATTCATATAGTTACGCAACCGCCACTACAATCTATTTTAGAATATTTTCGTTACCCCAAAAAGGAACCCTACTAGCAGTCACTCCTCATTTCCCCCCAATTGCCCATACCCCCAGTCCTAGGCAACCACTAATCTACTTTCTGTCTCTATGGATTTTTCCCTTTTTGTACATTTTATATAAATGGAATCATACAATATGTGGTCTTTTGTTACTGGCCTCTTTTCACTTAGCATAATGTTTTCAAGGTTCATCCACGGTGTCACACTGTCAATCTCTTTTTAAAGTCATTATTTTGCATACTTAGTAAACACAGACCCAAATATTTAACTATAAGCATTCTTGGTAGAATAATCAGTTATAGCATTTAAATATCTGATCATATTCTCTCTCTTTCTCTCTGTCTCTCTCTCTCACACACACACACACACACACATAATGCAGGTAGACACTCATAAATTTACCAAAATTTGGCCTCACATATTCAGAAATCAGTTAAACGCAATAGACTGGACATGACTGTTTCTTTAGAAGTCTGGCTAGTGCTGTGGAGAATTATGGATAACCCTTATAAATTTTAAAATGTGCGCTACAATTTATTCTGCAGGGTTGTTTGTATATGTTTAAAAGACTTTTTTCATAGGAAGCCTCCAATATTTCAAATTACATTCTAATAAAGGTTGAGGTTGAATATTTCACCAAAAAGAATGCTTTATAGCCCAGACACACAAAATGATAACATCAAGTTGTACGTGCTAGTGCACTCACCTACCTTAAATTCTGTGTAAGTTACAGGCATGTTATTAATAATACTTCCTTAAAAGCAAAATGTGATATGTGCCAATTAATTATGTAAATCTCATTGAGGGAAGGATTATTATGGCTCTAACTAAAGCAACTGTCAAAATTACTGTAACCTGGCCAGGCACGGTGGCTCATGCCTGTAATCCCAGCACTTTGGGAGATGGGTGGATCACTTGATATCAGGAGTTTGAGACCAGCCTGGCCAACATGGTGAAACCCAGTCTCTACTAAAATACAAAAATTAGCCGGGTGTGGTGGCGCACCTGTAATCCCATCTACTCAGGAGGCCCGAGAGTCGCTTGCACCCAGGAGTCGGAAGGTTGCAGTGAGCCAAGACTGCATCATTGCACTCCAGTCTGGGTAACAGAGCGAGACTCCGTCTTAAAAAAAATTAAATTAAAAAATTAAAAAAAAAAACCAGACAAACAAAATTACTGTAACTAAAAGCAAGACCTTCTGTAACTTGGCAGTTTAATTAATGTAAGACAAGAAAGATTCACAAGTCTTTTCTTTTATTTTCCTTCCCTCCTTCCCTCTCTCCCTCCCTCTCTCCTTCTCTTTCTCTCTCTCTCTTTCTCTCTCTTTTTTTTTTATTATTATGCTTTAAGTTCTAGTGTACATGCACACAACGTGCAGGTTTGTTACATATCTATACATGTGCCATGTTGGTGTGCTGCTCCCATTAACTCTACATTTACGTTAGGTATATCTCCTAATGCTATCCCTCCCTCCTCCCCCAACCCCAGGACAGGCCCCGGTGTGTGATGTTCCCCTCTCTCTTTTCTTTTCTTTCTTTCCTTTCTTCCTTTTGCTTCCCTCTTTCCCTCCCTCCCTCCCTCCCTCCCTCCCTCCCTTTCTTTCTTCCTTCCTTCCTCCTTTCCTTCCTTCCTTCTTTTCTTTCCTTCTTTCAACAGGGTCTTACTCTGCTTTCCGGGCTGGAGTTCAGTGGTGATATCATAGCTCACTGCAGCCTCAACCTCCCAGCCTCAAGTGATCCTCCAACTTCAGCCTCCCAAGTAGCTGGAACTACAGGCATGTACCACGACCATGTCCAGCTAATTTTTGTATTTTTTGTAGAGACTGGGTTTTGCGATGTTGCCCAGGCTGGTCTCAAATTCCTGGGCTCAAGTGATCTACCCACCTCGGCTTCCGAAAGTGCTGGGATTACAGGCATGAGCCCAGCCCACAAGTCTTTTTAATCACTAAAGTAAGTGTTAAAAAAATATATTTTCTCTTTTAAAAAGATTACGTTAGTGAGATCCCAAGCAATCTTCCTTCCCATTGATGTTATCACTGCACCTTTGTGGTAGGCAAATCCTCAGTTTTTCTTTTGCAGATAAGGAAGTAGAAGCCTGGAAAGAAAGCCCAAACTCAGAAACTTACCTAAAGCGCTCCCATTTTGCTTTCTTATGTTAAATTAAGTTTAGCCTGGTTGGGTGTGGTGGCTCAGGCCTCTAATCCCAGTAGTTTGGGAGGCCCAGGCAGGTGGATCACTTGAGCCCAGGCGTTCAAGTCCAGCCTGGACAACATGGCAAAACCGCGTCTCTACCACAAAAAAAAATTAGTTGGGTGTGGTGGCACGAGCCTGTAGTCCCAGCTGCTTGGGAGACTTGCGGTGTGAGAATCACCTGAGCCTGGGAAATTGAGGCTTCAGTGAGCCATGATCGTGCCACTGCACTCCAACCTGGGTGACAGAGCGAGACCCTGCCAAAAAAAAAAAACAGTATTTCCATACATAGTGAACTGTAACCTAAACAGATGTGTAAACACACTGTAACCCTCACTTGTAAAAATTACTGAGTTTTGGCCAATAAAAGCAGCCAATTGTTCAAATTGAGTTCAAATAAAGCAAATGCCAAGGTGTAACCAATCCAGCTATTGCTGTACCCCACTTCCATTTTCTGTATGTCACTTTTCTTTTTCTGTCCATAAATTCTCTATGAACATGTGGCAGCACCAGAGTCTCTCTGCACCTAGTCTGGTTTGGGGTGGCTGCCCCATCGTTCATTGCTCAATTAAACTATGTTAAATTTAATTTGTCTGAAGTTTTTCTTTTATCACTTCCTAGGAATGAAAATGGTTTTCATTTCTACTTGCCTATATCAAGTCTTACCCATCTTTGTCAAGCCTAGCTCAAGTTCCATTGCACAAAGGATGCCTTCTACAACTGCTTTAGCCCTATTATTCTCATTCTTTTCAGCCTACCTACGGTGCTTCTTATATATTCTATCTTGAATTGTTTTCTCATTATTACAGTTATGTGGACTTTGATCTTGAATTAATATTAGACTATTAATTCGTTGTGTTTTGAGACCATACTTTTTCTATGTTGCTTATAATAGTTATCTGATTGATTAATTAGATATTTAACACCCAGAAAGTCGGGAGAGGGGAGGGTGACACTTTAATTTTGAGCATTTCCAGTGATGATAGTGATCTTTGTTAAATCTACATATTATAAAGTCCATACTGATTAAATATGTCCTAATCCTATTAAAGAGACTTCAATTAATTTTTTGTTTTTTATTTTTTAATTTTCTTATTCTCAGATACTGATAATTTTTTTTTTAACAAGTGAAAATCTGAAATAAGCTTGGACATGTCAGAGTAATTTCTTTATGTGAATGTGCGTGTAAGATAGTTGGCCTGCATTAGCAGGCATTCACATTCATAATAATCTTTAGGTTTGAAAAATATTTGACAATTGCCTATTCACTATTAATATTCATGTCCTATACATGTGTACATTTTGAGTTGGAAACATAAAAACACTCCACTAATAAACAGTGGTAATAACTGTTCAAATCTGTATCCTATGGATCAAAAAAAAATTAATAATTGTCCAGGTCTTCCAAGATTTCCTCTATGCCAAATATTTTAAGTATGAGAGAAACCTTTAAAATCATACTTAATTTTAATAAAAATGTCATCTCACAGCACACTGAATAAAAAGAGGGATTAGGATCAATCCAAGAACCTAAAATATCACAACATGGAATAGAATTATCCATGAATTAAAAAGATGATTTAAAAAAGGATAATTCCTTGAAAATAATCTGATAAAATAAAATACAATTAATTAAAACAGATTAGTACACAATTTTACATTTAGAGACTGAGAAAACAATTAGGTGTGTTAGAAAAATGATTTAGTATTGAACTGATCAAGATTCTTTAAGTTATTCCTGGCTTATATAAAGTTTATGCAGCAAAATCATTTTTTAATAGACTACAGAAAGGAGGTTTTAAAAAAAATGATAAAAATTATCTCAGACGGGGTGAGGAAAAAGAAGAAAAAATAAAATAAAATAAAATAAAATAAAATAAAAAATGGATAAAAAGTTCAAGCCAGTGGTCAGGCACGGTGGCTCACCTCTGTAATCCCAGCACTTTGGGAGGCCAAGGCAGGTGGATCACCTGAGGTCAGGAGTTCGAGAGGAGCCTGGCCAACATGGTGAAACCCCATCTCTACTGAAAAAACAAAAATCGGCCGGGTGTGGTGGCAGGTGCCTATAATACCAGCTACTTGGGAGGCTGAGGCAGGAGAATCGCTTGAACCCGGGAGGCAGAGGTTGCAATGAGCTGAGACTGTGCCGTTGCACTACAGCTGAGGTGACAACAGTGAAACTCTGTCTCAAGGAAAAAAAAAAAAGTTCAAACCAGCAATGACATGTTAAGAATAAAGAATTAAAAATGGATAGAAGAGGAAACTGACAACTTACTCTAGGAAAATTTCAGGGAAAATTTTAGACTATGTACACATAATACATTGTGAGCTAGACTGGGGAGAGTGTTGGGCAGAACAATAGGAAAAAGAGCAAGAAAAAGGGGGATGTGCGTATCAAAAGGAGGAAAGAAAAGTAGTTTGGACAGACAAAAAACCTAAGAGAGATATTGGCGCCTTCTTATGATATCAGCGGAGGACAGGAAGAATAAATGGTTTTCAAAATTTTGTGATATTGACTTTAAGTGATTTATTACAAAGGCATTAGGATCGAAAATTGGAAATGGAAGGAAAGGTAAAAACTCTTAGGTTACTGATTCACAAGGTCTGTGAGAATCCTATATATATTAATAGCTTTTTGTTGCTGTTGTTTAACAAGAATAGACATAAAATAACCATTGGTTCAGCAAACATTTACTGAACTCCTATGTGTCAGGCACTATGCAAGTCACTGTCAAAATAAATTAAAGCCTATAAGCAGGTGGAGGGAACCCTGACAAACATCTGTGCAGGCTTTTTGATACAGATAAGAAAACAATCAACTTTGGGTTACTTCGTGAATGATCCTCTATGAGGTAAATTGATGGCATGAAAAATTATAAAGAAATGCTGTTTAAGAGCTTTGAGCCTGAGGATCCTTTCTTCCAGCAAAATGCTAAATTTGAAAAGATCCTTTAGATTCTGGGCAACACAAAGGTAGCTTAGTTACATCAAACTGGCTGGGTATCTTAATAGTATTCATTAAAATGGAGTTCTACCTGGATTATATAGTGGAGCTTGTTAAACAGGAATCTCAGCTAGCATCCAAATAGGTGCTTCTGTGTTTAGGGTGTGTTTTATCTGTTGGAAAGTTACTGAGGCAATGAGAACTAATGCCATCAGCTAGGTACACTGCAGCTTTGAAACTATGGACTATTGCATTTCAATTAAAATGACATTTCTTGACTGAATTCTGACATCCTCAGTGATAGTGGTGAATGAAGACTTTTATCAAAGTATAGATTCTATTAAGCTTTTAAAAAATTTTATTAATTTTTTTTGTAGAGATGAGGTCTTGCTATGTTGTCCAGGCTGGTCTTGAACTCCTGGCCTCATGCAATCCTCCCACTGCACAGCCTCCCAAAGTGCTGGATTACAGGCGTGAGCTACCCTACTCGGACCAATGTAAGCTTTTTTGAATTAAAAACAGGAACTGTAAATAGCATATACGTAGGATTCTTAATATTTTTACTTTAAATTCTAGAATTTGAAAAATAAACTAAAATTGAATACAACGTAATTGAGACAAATATATCTGCACTGGAAAATTTAGCTTACAGAGTCCCTTCATGCTATTGCTCAGTCTGTAATTTTAAGTTTAAGAGCAGGTGGAAGCTCTTCAGCGGTGACCGACAGACACCATAAAAGGTAGAAAACTGAAAAAGCCTATTTCCTGTATCTAAAAATTTTTTGTAAAGAATTCCAGAAGTCACACCAAACCTTTGGCCAATTACTGAATGCTAGAAATCTCATTTGGGAGCTTACTGTAAATGTGTGTGGCAATGCACTGGCTCCATGTTCAATCCAACGCCAACATGTTGAAATCAGTATTTTTGTGCTGGCCCAAACCTGAACCAGTAGAAAATCTCCCATAACAGAAATTCAATGTTTGTGAAAGCATGATTGCCCTCCCATTTCTTTTTCACCTTCCTGTGCCTTTCATAAGTTCTTCCAGTTGGTTAATCATTAATTAATATTTAACAAGGCTTTTTCCTCGTGCCAAGTCCTCTGCTAGTCTAGCCTTTAGGCAATATATGAACTCCCCAAGTTCTTCCCTTTTAAGAAGCCTTGGCACTCACTACGGATTAATTTCTCTAAGGAAATTCATAATGGCAGATGAAATAGGGGTTCCTTTTCAAGAACATTCCATTTTAAAGCCTCTCAGCATTTTTTCCTGGTACATGTAAAATGCGACTTAATTGAACTAATTTTAAATGTTGACAGAACTTTCCAAGCACACATTTCCTCAACAAAATGGTTACGACTGGAACAGGAAAGGGCTTAGACTTTTTCTTCTACAGCTATCCCACAAGTCAGTCTCTTGACCTGACCCTGCAAAATCCCTCAAACTCTGGCTCTCTGAGTTGATTTTGGATATACGATGAACCATAGGTTTGGAATGCAGATAACCTCCACGTGTATTAATGAAAGAGGTCAGCTATGACGTGGAAGCCATCTCCTGGGCAGAGAAGGAGAAGAAATGGCAGTCTGGGGAGTAGTAACATGTCTCCAAATTTTCTCTGGTGAAAGGAGACTGATGAGAATTGATACCCATTTCCGGTCAAAAGAGTGGAACCAATGTACTTCCAACCACCTCCTCTCAACCCCTCTCCGCATGGACAAACATACCAGACAGGTGATGTGGGCTAACAATTTACTTGGCATGAGGCCAAAGGCTTGAGGGCCCTGCCCTGCCCATATTCTTCTCCCTTGACTTCTTAAGGAAAGGAATGATTGCTGATGTTTCCCTCTGCACCCTTTGGCACCTGGACTGATTGTTGCAGATGTAATTAGGAATGTTCCCCAACATGCCGTTATTCTTCTCACGATTCTGGGAGAAACTGTACCCCTCCCCCATAGACTTATATAGGTGGCATTCAAATTCTTGTTCCCAACTTTTTCATCTTTTTATTAATCCCACAAGATTGTGTGAATGTGTACTCCGAGCCAGGCACGTTGGACTTCTAACTTCCTCTTAGCCCAAGTAGGAAGGGGAGACTCAGGCGCTGGGGACCATTCTCCTCTCCCTGCAGCAGAGTTGCAGTCCCTATCCCTCCTGGGTGCCCATCCCCGTGCCTATTTTCCTGGATCCCCACCCAGTTGATGTGACAGGCTCGTGGCCCAATCCCCTTCCTGGTTCCCAGGCCGACTGCTAGCACCACCCGAGCCAATGGCGGCGGCCGAGGGGCGGAGGGGGCTGGCAGGAGGGGAGGGAGCGCTGGCTTTAGAGCCACAGCTGCAAAGATTCCGAGGTGCAGAAGTTGTCTGAGTGGGTTGGTCGGCGGCAGTCGGGCCAGACCCAGGACTCTGCGACTTTACGTAAGTGCTTTGTAGGCGCCGGCGGGCACTAGGGGAGCGGGTTTCCTGGGCGTGGGCAGGAGTGGGTCCCGGGGAGAGCATCTCGGTTAAGCTCAGCAGGAACGTGCGGCGCACCGTGGGGCGGGGGTTGGGGGAGAGGGAGGTCGGAGAAATTTCAGTTGGAGCCCTCGGGCGCCCGGGCGATCGGTCGCAACCGAAATGGGTGTGAGTGACGGGGAGTTTCCCTACTAGCATCCGCCGCAGACACGTTTTCTGCACTTCACTGTATTAAGTGGTGTTTTCTTACTAGTTGCTCTTAACTTGTTGCCAGTCTTGGGCTGGAGTCCTAGACGCCAGCCCTTGCCCTGATTCCCCTCCGCGGCTGCGGCCCCGAAGTGGAAAGGGAGCGCACAACTTCCCTCTGTCGTCCTTCTCCAGCTACTGCCATCCCCTCTTCCCTCCCGCCCGGACTCAGGAAATCCCGGAGCCAGCAGCCTGCTACTCCTCCAGCCCCCACACGCCCGCCTCGGGTGACCTGGCTGGCTTAAGCCGACCCTGGGGCTCTGGAGAGGGGGGGCCGTGGCCGAGGGAAGGCACGAGGTTTGGGTTGCCTGCCTTCTGCCTGCTTCCCTCCCTTGTCCTTAGCGAGGGCGTCGCGAACGCACCTAGTCTCCCTATGAGTAAGCACTTTTTTTCCTTTCAGTAGGAGAACATCTCTGGGCTAGTAGGA
This sequence comes from Homo sapiens, assembly GCF_000001405.40. Taxonomy (NCBI): domain Eukaryota; kingdom Metazoa; phylum Chordata; class Mammalia; order Primates; family Hominidae; genus Homo; species Homo sapiens. The sequence goes on from NC_000023.11 coordinate 115,561,970, forward strand.
CAGTACCTTTCCGTTCTCCCCTGGCCCCACACCCCCTGTCCTTTTTTCAGCTCCTTTGACTTTGCGGCCCCGGGCGCGCGGTCGGGGCGGCGGCAGTCCCGGACCTCTCCCGACTCTTGGAGAGGGAGAGGCAAAGGGGCGACGGGAGGGAGGTAATAGTCTACCCCCCCGCCCTTTCCCCGCACAGCTGCACTTGCCTGTGTTTACTTTTCTCCACCCGCAGTACTTAAGCGCTGTAATGAGAGGCCCGGGGACGCCGACCACCCCCGCCCTGGCTTCTCGCCAGTCCCAAAGTTGCTGCCGCCGTCGCTGCTCCAGTGTGCTGGCGGTTCCGACCGCCGGGCTCCGGGACGTAAGATGATCCCAGCCCGGGAGGTGGAGTGGGGGTTAATGGCATCTGACTCTAGCCTTATGCGATGCTCCTTGCCTCTCACCTGAGCTGCACGATATCCCCAGTGGTGCAGAAGGTTGAACTTTTGCAGAAGGTTGAGCTTGGAGCTAAGTGGGTTGGAGAGCCTCGCCATTTAGCGTCAGACAGACGGGATGCTGGGGGCGCCCGGCCTGTTAAGAGGGATTGGGAGGAGGGAAGGGAGCCTGGCTAACAGTAGGTAGAAAATGTAGGGAAAAGTAAAAACCATTGAGGGGCAAGCACTTACTCCACTTTGCTGGATGTCACAATGGACTGGGGAGCCTAAACTTGATCCTCGAGATGCAGTTCATGGTGAATTCCAACTAAGTGGCTGGAGCCCCACACATACCAGTTGGAATCACGTGCCCCAAGTCTCTGATGGTCACATGACGTCTTTTTACTTTAAAGCTGGAATGTAATGGTTGAGGCCCATATTCCAAAAACCACCTCTACGTTTGAAAAAAAAAAAGGTGGGGAGGAGTGTGAACTAGCTTCTAATCAAGGAAGTCTACTAGGATTTTGGATGAGGGGACCAGAAAGGGAATTTGGTGCTCAGCTTTTATCCAAAACAAAAACAGGAGCTGTTTTTAAAATAAGGGATTGAAATATATGTGAGCTGGGACATGTATCTCCTCTCTTCTTCAATCTCATGGTTTTTCTAAATTTAAAAAACATCTTACTAATTATTTTCTAGGGAAGTCATCCTATTACTCATGCCTCATTTTGTCCCTGAATACTAGATTTGAAGCTAAATCCCACAAGATAGTGTTAAAAAGTAAGGCTCTGTTCATCTTCCTTGGTCTGGCCTATATTCTAATTGAACTGTTCCCTATTTTAGGCAACTACTTAAAGGTAGTAAATAACCTCTTGACTAAAATTAACCACCAGTTATTTGTGGTTTTCAATTAACTGGATTAGAAATCATGCACAAAAACAGTGGATAGTAAATTTGATACATCGAGTTGGTTGGGTTTTTGCCTGTCAGTGGTTTGGTAGAATAATGAGAGGACACTGAAACAACTTTCCCATATTGACCTATACCCGCCCAAGTGGCCCAAGTTAAGGTTGCTTCTGGGAAAACGTGGCAATTTGGCTATTCAGATTATATATTACAGAGTATAGAAGAGAGGCAGAGGAGCCTCTGAGGTCAGGAGTTTAAAAGCTTTGCTTATCTGAAAAAAAAAGAAAAAACGGACCTGGTTGATGCATATTCAGTCTTGAAAACAACTAGGGCAGAAGATATTTAAGAGATTCTGACTTTGTATTCTTTTGCCAAAAACCCTTTGTCTCCTGCAGCAGCCTCTGAATGACCGGAGCACTCCAGTTTCTTGCTGTTCATCCGTTTCTGAGCCTGAAAACTAGAACAACCTTAAAGCACATTGTTCTGACCCCAAGGCTAGCCTTGTGGCACAGATGAGCTGGAAATGGATTTAAGGTGCACCTGAGTTACTAGAGTTAACTACACTGGTAGATAGACCCCTCTAGTGGAAGTGAGGTGATAATATAATTTTAGATCGAAATAATAAATGTTTAACCTCAAAAAAAGGAAGTTATTACCACTCAACTAGGTTACAGTGGTAGGGGGATAAGTTCTTTTTTAAGTATTGTGAAATCATGTCTAAACAGAATCATCGCTAGGCTCTAGTCCACAGCTTTTCATTGTCTTGGGATGCCTACTCATTGAACACCACCCCCAATATTGCTGACTTTTTTTGGTGGTATGATCTAATGAGCCCAAATTTTTATTGAAATTAGGGGGCTGGGAGTCAAATTCTTGATTTTTACTGTTAGATCTAGCAGATAGCAACCCCTTTACCTGAGGTGGGGAGCTATTAATAAATAAATAACACTTTGCCTTGACTTAATACAGACGATCAACATTGAAGTCCAAAGTCTCTAGTCTGATGTAACCATTTAGATTCAATTGATAAAAATGACTAGGCTTATGGCATTTTGGGTAGAAGGATTAATTATAACTAGTGAGTAATAATTTGGGTGAGATTAAGCCTCTTCCACAAGTGGTTACACGCACATTAGACTTTGACTGTGACTGTTTATACTGGCAGAATGTCAGTATCTAGGGCACTATCAGAAACCCAATGAGATTTTTCTCCCAGGAGAACAGAATTCTGTTACTGAAAATAAAAGGGCAGCTTGGCCATGGTGCTTGAGCACCAAAGTGGTTCTTTTTGGTGACACTGAGAGGGTACAAGAAGAAAGTCCATTTGCCATTATCCCATATTCTGTTTTAGGCATTATTTCTACTTGGATTTTCATGAAATGTACTGACAGTGTTCTTAGCACATATGATAAATTCATGAGTTTGCTGTTGTGTTTGATCTAGCATAATCTATGTGGAATGTATAAGCTGAACTGTTTCTTTTTTGATGTTTGGTACAGATTATGAAAGTAGCTGGTATAAAATAAAATTTGAAAATGAATATCTCTCAATACATGACAACAATGGGGTATCTGTTTTTAGAATCATGTTGTCTTTGGTCATATGGCAATTTTTCTTTTGGTGAAGAGTGATCCAGAAGGCAAAATTTTTGATCTGTGAAAATAATACAACTCATTTAGAAGAAGTCAGCTGGGTCATGTTTTGAGTCTGTATTATTTTAGACAGTGATATACCATATAATGTATATTCAGTGTGTTGGAGGTTTCAAAGCTTTTTGGATACATTACAATGTTGGAAGATTTTTATATACCAGTGGTCATGACTAGCTGATTTTAGTTATGAGAGCGCTTTGGTTAAAGTTATGGAAACAGTCTAATCGTGAAATGTCAGTCTTAGAAGATCTGATCATACTTGGGCCAATTTATTTTAGTTACGGAGGTGAGACAATTTCAGAAGATTCACGATAAATTTAATAATACCAAATTTTGCCTTAGTCTTGACACTTGGAAGATAAATATTAGTGAGTATAAACTGTTTTAGGGATGAAGAAGTATTGTTAGTATACAAAAATGAAAATACTAATTATTTTAGCATGGGTCTTTTAGTCCTTTGCAGTCTGGACAGATAGATTATCTTAAGTAAATCATTGAACTTGCCCTCAGAGGAATTAGATTCTAGATAGTGCTCTGCCATTGACTCATAATTTGACCTTCGGAAAGTCATTTAAAATTATTATATTAATAACTAATTGAGTACATACATGTGCCAGACACCATTCATGCTTTTGTTTATAAAAAGAGAGGATTGCTCAAGCTTTTTGGTTTGCTGGGTTTTATTTTTTCAAATATTCATAATCTGGCTTATTTCACTTATCAGTTGACTTTTCAAACTTTGATGCAATTGCATTGATCCAAGCTAAATACTTTGTTGGCAAATTGATGACTATTCAGGAAAGTGATCACCAGTGGGTTATTCCATGACTAATGTTAGTTCTTTAAAATAAAGAGGTGCCATTTATTTAATTCCTTGACAGGGATTTTTGGTGCATTAAGCCTACTGATTTTATAATATGAGAAACCTTACATTTTCTTAAAAGTTTAGAAACGTATTTGATAATAAGGAGGTAGTGTTGTTTATTGGAAAAGCATTGAGCATAGAATTTAGGGTCTTTTAGTCCTTTGCAGTCTGGACAGATAGATGATCTTAAGTAACTCATTGAAATTTTCTGTGGTCATATCTGGGTTTCACTTTATTTTTAAGCCATGTGATTCCAATCTACATATTTCACAGGCATGGTAAAAGGATAAGTGAGAAACGTGAAGCCTTGGCTTTTAAGCAGACAGGTGCTATATAAATTCAAAGTACTGCAGCAGTGTATCATAGAAACACTAAAGCTTTAACAAGAGTTTACAGAAATGGCAGGGTTCTCATCACGTAAGTCTTGCCACATTTTTCTTTGTCTGTAAAAGTTCTGCACCCATCCAATTTTTACAAGCAAAGGAAAAATAAAGCCAGACATATTATAATGAAAAATAAGAGACTAGGTTGATAACAATAGAATAAAAACCTACATGTGATACTTTCTTCTTCTTCTTTTGTTTTGTTCTGTTTTGTTTTGTTTTAAAGACGGAGTCTTGCTTTGTCGCCCAGGCTGGAGTGGTGCAGCGGCCGTGATCTCGGCTCACTGCAAGCTCCTCCTCCCGGGTTCAGGCCATTCTCCTGCCTCAGCCTCCCGAGTAGCTGGGACTACAGGCGCCCGCCACTGTGCCCAGCTAGTTTTTTTGTATTTTTAGTAGAGACGGGGTTTCACCGTGGTCTCGATCTCCTGACCTCGTGATCCGCCCGCCTCGGCCTCCCAAAGTGCTGGGATTACAGGCGTGAGCCACCGCGCCCGGCCCGTTTTGTTTTGTTTTGTTTTGAGATGGAGTCTCGCTCTGTCGCCCAGGCTGGAATGCAATGGCGTGATCTCAGCCCACTGCAACCTCTGCCTCCGGGTTCAAGTGATTCTCGTGCCTCAGCCTCCTGAGTAGCTGGGATTACAGGCGCGTACCACCACGCCTGGCTAATTTTTGTATTTTTAGTAGAAATGGGGTTTCACCATGTTGGTCAGGCTGGTCTAGAATTCCTGACCTTGTGATCCGCCCGCCTTGGCCTCCCAGAGTGCTGGGATTACAGGCATGAGCCACCGCGCCCAGCCCATGTGATACTTTCTTCTATTTCTTACCTCAAATATTGTGCAAGGTAGCCCGTTAAAGCCATTAATTGGGTGGTGTTTTTCCCCTTTTTAACTAACTACTGAGTAGAATTTTGGTCTTCAGTGGTAATTGTTACAGAGTCCATTGGCTTACCATACCTCATTTTTAGTTTTGTGATTGCCCATAATGGGAGGTTTCGTGTAAAAAACCTCATAAAAAATCAAGTTTTTCCTCCTCATAATTGCAGTCTAAAGGAGGACAACACGCAGGTCTGGGAAACTGCATAGTGGAAGAGATAATCTATACATTTAAGTAGCATGCCATGAATAACACAAAAAATGGCCTGGCACGGTGGCTCACATCTGTCATCCCAACACTTTGGGAGGCCGAGGTGGGTGGATCACTTCAGGCCAGGAGACCAGCCTAGCCAACATGGTGAAACCCCGTCTCTACTAAAATACAAAAACTTAGCCAAGCACGGTGGCACGGGCTTGTAGTCCCAGCTACCCAAGAGGCTGAGGTGGGAGGATTGCTTGAGCCTGGGAGGCGGAGGTTACAGTGAGCCGAGATTGCGCCATTGCACTCCAAGCCTGGGCTACCGAGTGAGACCCCATCTCAAAAGAAAAACAGAAAAACAAACAAACAAACAAAAAAAAACAGAAAATGTGGGAAGTTAAGTTGAAAAATAAACACCTTCAAAGCTATTAACTTGGATTTTCTTTTCTTTTCTTCTTCTTTTTTTTTTTTTTTTTTTTGAGTCAGGTTCTCACTCTGTCGCCCATTCATACTCTGTCCAGTTCATTGAAAATACAAGTCTGATTCCCTTGAGTTGTGATATTCATACACACACGAGTATATATACACTTATGTGTGCATATGTATATTATATAAAGTTTTACGTGATATATAATATAAGTTTTTACTTTCTGTAAAATAAAATTTGTTAGGGCCGTATAATAGTTTTGAATATTCATATTATTGTGTTCCACATTATAAGCTCTAATTACATCGTGTTGCACTCAGATTGACATTCTGCTGTTGACACTGAAAATAACGCTTTCATTCATAGATGAATGTAATTTTCAAGCTTTTTTTCTATATTTCTTAACTTGCTTGAATGTTCCCATTTTTGCCATTTCTTGTTGTTCATTTTAACATTTTGGGGCTTGTGTTTCAGATCAGGAAGAATCACCATTATAGGGTGCAAAGAGTTTGCTCAGAGGTGAAAATGATACGAAATTGTCCCTAGAGCACATCCTATTGCTATACTATTCAACATGTATGAATTAATCTACTGGGAAAGTGTCTTGTGTAGTGTGTACTTTAAAGATGTTTTCAATCACTTTGCTTTGGATTAGAAAAATTCAAGGTAACTATAATTTTAAATGCTCATATTTTTATGTTTATTTTATATGTAGGAAGAGAAATTTTTAAAAATTGGAATAACACTATATCCCATTCTTTTCATTTATTACATTATAAACATGTTTCCAAGTGATCAAATATTTTTAAAAATGTTTAAAATCACTGCAGTATATTTTATATAATGGCTGTTTCATAATTTATTTCACTAATTCCAAGTTGTTGAACATTTGTTTCCATATCTTACAGATAATGCTTCAGTAAGCATTCTTGATCGAACATCATTTTGCACTCTATCATTTTTTAGAAGTCACCAAGAATGTTTTAAAGATGAATTCCTTTGATAGTCCCTGAAATTTAAACATTGGCTTAAACAAAAAGATAGCCTTGATTTCAGTGGCATTTAAAAAAAGAAGGCTGGGCATGGTGGCTCAGGCCTGTAATCCCAATACTTTGGAAGGCCAAGGCAGGCAGATCACTTGAGGTCAGGAGTTCAAGACCAGCCTGGCCAACATGGCAAAACTCCGTCTCTACTAAAAATACAAAAAAACTAGCTGAGCATGGTGGCGCACGCCTGTAATCCCAGCTACTTGGGAGGCTAAGGCAGGAGAATCGCTTGAACCCAGGAGGTGAAGGTTGCAGTGAGCCAAGATTGCACCACTGCACTCCAGCCCGGGCAACAGAGCACGACTCCGTTTCAAAAAAAAAAAAAAAAAAAGAAGAAGAAAAAAGAAAAGGCCATTCTTTATATAGTGTATTGTATCATATGTGACTCTAAACTGGAACTTGTTTAGGTAAAGTATATGTCTTGGAAGTATTTTGGTTTTCTCTGATCTAGTTAGCAGGTGCAGAGCAGGATGAGGTAGGATTCTGTGCTGTGTACAATCATAGGAAGTTCTGTTTTTTGAAACGGAACTGTTAATGGGGGAAGGGAGACACGTTTGTTTTTAAGAAGCCTTTATGTTTAATATTATTATAAAACTCAGTTCAAGTATACAAAGCTTATTTGTGCCTATGAACATTCAGTATCCTAAAGAAACATTTAATCCTGGTGTTGGCTAAATGACTATTTGCTGATATGCCCTTTTATCTCAAGGCTATTAGTTTCTTAAAGTACTTTGATATCACTCAATAAACTACAGTTAAACTCAGAGTTTTACATTTCATTCAGGTTGCTTAAATAATATAACTAAACATAGGTCCAATAATAGTAAAAATTCTGATGCTGTCACTTAATTTGTGCCTGGTTTCAGTATATGGCGATTGCTTAAATTACAAGCACTTGAATTTACAAATATTTTGTGTATTTAAATGGCTCATTGTACATTACATATCCCTCCTGAAACTTAACCCATGCCATTTCACAGACCCTTCCATGGTGTTTTTCTCTTTCCTCCAGTTCACTAGCCTCACTCACCAAAGACTTTATTGGTCTGGGAATTCTATTATGACCCAGAAGTGACTTGGAAGGTTCCTTTCACCCAACAACACATTCTCACTACCTTTCTTTTCTTTTCAGGGGCATCATTTACATGCTATGTTGCACAGTCAGAATGGATTTTAGCATAAAGTATGGGTTCCAATAGCTCTCGCATTTTATTATTTATTTATTTGTTTAGAGACAGAGCCTCACCTTGTCGCCCAGGCTGGAGTACAGTGGCACAATCTCGGCTCACTGCAACCTCCATCCCCCAGGTTCAAGCGATTCTCCTGCCTCAGCCTTGTGAGTAGCTGGGATTATAGGCTCCTGCCACTGTGCCCGGCTAATTTTTGTATTTTTAGTAGAGATGGGGTTTCACCGTCTTGGCCAGGCTGGTCTTGAACTCTTGACCTCGTGATCCACCTGCGTTGGCCTCCCAAAGTGCTGGGATTACAGGCATGAGCCACCGCGCCTGGGCCAGCTCTCCCATTTTATATCTCTGTGGCATTGAGGAGGTTTCTTAACTCTCTGAACCTCAGTTACCCCATGAATAAAATGAAGATAATACACTCACTTTTCACTTTGTTCTCATAATTATTATATGAGAACACTTATAAAGCAACTAGCATATGGTAGGTGCTCAATAAGTATTTTCATTTACAGGTTGATTAATGTTGCCTTAGATGATTTTTGTCAGGCATCTATATCTACCTCTTTTTCTCTAATTTGAGTACCTTCCTACCTTCCTTTTTTTTTTTTTTTTTTTGGACAGAGTCTTGCTTTGTCGCCCAGGCTGGAGTGCAACTGTGCGATCTCAGCTCACTGCAACCTTGACTTCCCGGGGCTCAAGCGATCTCCGTGCCTCAGCCTCCCGAGTAGCTGGGATTACAGGCGTGTACTACCATGCCTGGCTAACTTTTTTTTGTAGTTTGTTTTTTAGTAGAGATGGGATTTCCCCATGTTGCCCAGGCTGGCAAGATTTTAGAAATTAGTGGGGTTTTTTGTGTTTTATTTAATGGTATTGGAAAAACACTCCTTTTATTGTTTTTCATTGTGAATGTGAAGGATTCTAGCCATGTTTCAGGTTGAAGAAGCTTCTTCGCTTAGCTCAGAAACCTGTTTATCGTTTAATTTATTCTTTTTTTTTTTTTTTTTTTGAAACGGAGTCTCACTGTGTCGTCCAGGCTGGAGTGCAGTGGCGCGATCTCAGCTCACTGCAACCTCCGCCTCCGGGTTCATGCGATTCTCCTGCCTCAGCCTCCCGAGTAGCAGGGACTACAGGTGCCCACCACCATGCCCTGCTAATTTTTTGTATTTTTAGTAGAGACGGGGTTTCACTGTGTTAGCCAGGATGGTCTTGATCTCCTAACCTCATGACCACCCACCTCGGCCTCCCAAAGTGTTGGGATTACAGGCGTGAGCCACTGAACCCTGCCATTTAATTTATTCTTTTGTGAGGATATGTGGAGAACTAGCCAAGACCCGTCACAGTGGTTTACGCGTGTAATCCCAACACTTTGGGAGGCCAAGGCGGGCAAATCACTTCAGCTCAGGAGTTCGAAACCAGCCTGGCCAACATAGCAAAACTCTGTCTCTACTAAATATACAAAAATTAGCCAGGCGTGTTGGCCCATGCCTATGTACCCAGCTACTTGGAAGGCTGAGGCACAAGAATCCCTCGAGTCTGGGAGGCGGAGGCTGCAGTGAGCCAAGATCGTGCCACTTCCCTCCAGCCTGGGTGACAGAGCAAGACTCTGGAAAAAAAAAAAAAAGAAAAAGAAAGAGAGAAAGAGAAAAGGAAAGAGGAAAAGGAAAAGGAAAGAAACAAGAACTCACCTTCAAAGGAAAATTGGAAACATGGCTCAGTAAATTACAGACACCGTTATAAACTCAAGGCCGCTAACAAATACAGCTTAAATCAGAATGAAAGGTAATAGGTAGTGTTGATACCTGACTTGTGGAGGAGGAAAAAAAAGTAGGGGCAAAGAGAAAATATATTATTGAAAACTTAAAATGCTGAGGATGGCAGAGGGTTATAAAGTAAACCAATATGTTTTCATGATGACATGTAGCCTTTAAAAATGGCTGAATCTAAAACATACTTATGATGCCCATTATTTTATCTAGTGGAAATTTTCAAAAGCAAAAACCAGGAAATGATGAAGGCTATTGACACATTCAGAAAATATTCTGAGCAGTTTGTGGGTCTCCATTGTAAAGCTACAGTTGAATCATTTTTACAAGTGGGTATGAATAATTACAATTTTATATTTTGTCCTGTGGTAATTAAAAAGCAAATAGAGCCAAATTATCATTAAGTGTAACTAACAGAAAAGTAATATTGATAGATTTACATGTTTAAAAATATAAGCCAACCCATGCATTCAGTATTTTATCCTCAAACAAGGTGTTCCAGCTTTAGTTGACACTCAGATAAAAAGCAAACTAGTGGCTGGGCATGGTGGCTCACATCTGTAATCTAAGCACTTTGGGAGGCTGAGGCAGGAGGATTGCTTGAGCCCAGGAATTCAGAACCAACCTGGGTAAGATATCAAGACCCTGTCTCTATTTTTTAAAAAATAAAAATAGAAAATAAATTTTAAAAAAGCAAACTAGAATATATCTAGTAGGTGCTAGCAGAAGGGGAAAAATTCTCTAAGCAGAGATTTGTGTAAAAATGAAGGGAAGGTTAATAAGTATCTAGAAACTGTAAGTGTTGTATAAAAGAAGGCTTATAGACCATTGGTAAATAGATGTAAAACTCAAGGAAACTTTTAAACGTGCCCAAAGTTCTTAAGTATATATTAAGATGGTACAAACTACAGATGAAGTAATAGTTAACCAAATATACTAACATGCACAATTGCTTAATTAGTCTATTTGTGGAATGGTTTCATTATTCATTCAACTACCATAAGTTTAATGCAGACTGTTAGGTGCTAGGGCTACAAAGACGGATAAGATACTCCTCCAGTCTAGTAGAACAGAAAGACACAAAAATAATCTTGGTTCTCATGAAACCTAAAAATATTCATAAATGTAGAAAATGAATTTAGACCGTGCCCGGTGGTTCATGCCAGTAATCCCAGCAATTAGGGAGGCCGAGGCAAGTGGATACCTGTGGTCAGGAGTTCGAGACCAGCCTGGCCAACATGGTGAAACCCCGTCTCTACTAAAAATACAAAAATTAGCCAAGTGTGGTGGCAAGCGCAAGTAATCCCAGCTACTTGGGAGGCTGAGGTGAGAGAATTGCTTGGACCTGGGAGGCAGAGGTTGCAGTGAGCCGGGATTGCGCCATTGCACTCCAGCCTGGGTGACAAGAGTGAGACTCCGTCTCAAAAAAAAAAAAAAAAAGAAAAAAGAAAGAAAGGAAAAAAAAAGAAAATGAATTTAAATACAGCCTTTTTTCTCAGCATAAAATAATTTCTAAATATAAACCTTGTGTGAACAAAGAAATTCACTTATAACCCAATATAATCAAATCTAAACTAAGAACAAATCTCATTTAAACATTGTTATTTCTTTGCAATAATTATTGCATACCAAAAAAGAGCCCACTATGAGTTAATGTTACTTAAATAGAACATTGCTCAGCCTACAAATGAAGGTCAGCAGACACCAGTGTCTTGGAATAAAATAGCCCTTTGGCAAGAAAACGAGCCACACCCCATTTAGTTTTTACAAAAATAAAATTCTTTCCAGCTTTACTAAATTGTAGATGTTGCGCCCAGCATGTACTTCTGCAGTAGTTGATTCTGCAGCTGTGGAAATATTCATGTATGCAGAAGTCCCCAAAAACATCTATTCACCATTACTTGCACATGCAGCTCTTATACTTTCTGTAGTAAAGTATTCCGTTAAGTTTTATTTTGACTCGTGGATAATAGCAAGCAACTACAGGTATAGCTGACACCTTAATTTCCTGCCTTGAACTTCTGGCCACAGACTTTATTTTTTTATTTTTTGAGATGGAGTATCGCTCTGTTGCCCAGACTGGAGTGCAGTGGCATGATTTCGGCTCACTGCAACCTCCGCGTCCCAGGTTCAAGCAATTCTCCCGCCTCAGCCTCTTAAGTGCCTGGGATTATGGTGCACACCACCATGCCTGGCTAATTTTTGTATTTTTTAGTAGAGATGGGTTTTCACTGTGTTGACCAGGCTGGTCTCGAACTCCTGGCCTCAAGCGATCTGCCCACCTCGACCTCGCAAAGTGCTGGGATTACAGGCATGAGCCACCTTGCCTGTCCCATTGTCACAGAATTCAAATTGAGCAGGAATACGTAGGATTTCAAATCTAACAGTTGTTTCATTTGGTGGGATAGCATCAAAGCCATGTACTGTGACCACTGTATATGGTTTTCTTCAAGAGCAGCAATAAATTTCTGCCATGTACCATGGGAAAGAGCTGTACTTTTAGGGAGAAAGGAAATAAGCCCTGAGAAAAAGCCCCATTTTCCTAGTTCCTTTCACAGTTCACCTGGCACACAACGGGTCTTGATATTTATATTTGAAAGAGTGAAACATGGATGGCCATAAATGCTCCTTGCTGATAACGATTGAATTGGGAAAATCTAATCAGGAAATCAGTGATTTATGAATTACATTGCATAAAATACATAATGATGGGAGCCTGTAAGAAGACTAAACAAATGGCTTCCTTAGTTTATTTTTCCTTTAGGTTTTAGTTGTTTTCAGTGAATATTATGAGTGAATGTTATCGATAGTGTTTTCATTGTGAGAACTGCTAAACTGTAGAGTCAAAGAAGAAATTGGGACATATTAATATTTTGACTTTTATGCCAGCTTTATTGAGACATAATATCATACTTTTTTTTTTTTTGAGACAGAGTTTCGCTCTTGTTGCCCAGGCTGGAGTGCAATGGCACGATCTCGGCTCACCGTAACCTCCGCCTCCCAGATTCAAGCGATTCTCCTGCCTCAGCCTCCCTAGTAGCTGGGATTACAGGCATGTGCCACCACACCTGGCTAATTTTGTATTTTTAGTAGAGACAGGGTTTCTCTATGTTGGTCAGGCTGGTCTCAGACTCCCGACCTCAGGTAATCCGCCCACCTCGGCTTCCCAAAGTACTGGGATTATAGGCGTGAGCCACCGCGCCCGGCCCCATACCATCTATTTTTATAGATTTTAGTATATTCACAGATAACATGCAACCTTCACCAGTCAATTTTCAAACATTTTCATCACCTCAGAAAGAAACCCCATACACTTTAGCTATCACCTTCCACAGCACTCTACCCCTGCAACCCTAAGCAACCACTGAACTATTTCCTGTCTCCATTGAGTTCCCTGTTCTGGACATTACATATAAATGGAGTCATATAATAGGTGGTATTTTGTGACTAGTTTCTTTCACTTAGCCTAACATTTTCAAGGTTCACACACCTTGTAGCAAGTATCAGTACTCTATTCCTTTTTATGGCTGGATAATATTTCATTGTACACCATATTTTGTTTATCCATTTGTCCATCGATGGATATTTGGGGTTGTTTCTACACTATGGCTATCATAAATAATGGGACATGCAAACATTAAGTGTCTATCCATGAGTCCCCTAATGAGTTAGAGGTGGTGCTGACAAGATAACATTTCACTTATTACCACTCTGCTCTTAATATAAATCCTTGCTTTGATTAAGCACTACCGATTTTTCCATCTAAGTTTTTTTGTTATTTTTTGTTCCTTGAGACGGAGTCTGGCTCTGCTGCCCAGGCTGGAGTGCAGTGGCACCATCTCGGCTCACTGCAAGCTCCGCCTCCCGGGTTCACGCCATTCTCCTGCCTCAGCCTCCCAAGTAGCTGGGACTACAGGCGCCCGCCACCACACCTGGCTAATTTTTTGTATTTTTAGTAGAGACGGGGTTTCACCGTGTTAGCCAGGATGGTCTCAATCTCCTGACCTCGTGATCCACCCGCCTCGGCCTCCCAAAGTACTGGGATTACAGGCGTGAGCCACCGCGCCTGGCCTCTATCTAAGTTTAGCTATTTTTTTTCTTGTTTCCTGATGCTTATTGGCTTATCATCGACTTGTTCTCAATAACGTTTTCCTTAGTAGTATTTATACTGGAATAATAGAAAGCCTGTAAATGCTGTATAATCATCTTTTCTAAAACTTATTGTATAATAAACATTTAGCACAGTTTTGTTTAATCACATTTTTTGAACACTAAGGAGCAAAGGCAAGCAGTATTAAGGAGTACAAAAGTACATGATAAATGCTTTGAAATGCAATGGGTTCAATCAACCAAAAGCATTATTGAGCACAGCTAATATATTTACTTTTAAATGTACTATTCAAGTGTGAAATATATCCATATAGAACAAAATTCAAAACTCACAAAGGGCCATAATGATAAGTAAATTAGCCTCTAACACTTAATATTTTTAAGAAGACATTAGTGTTTTACGTTTAGGTATTTTGACAGTAAGTTTGAGGGAGTCTTTATCTTTTGACCTTTTGGGGTGAATATGAGAATGAAGGAATATAAAAAGATGATTAAAAGAATCACCAGGCCGGAAATGACGGCTCATGCCTGTAATCCCAGCACTTTAGGAGGCCGAGACAGGAGAATCACTTGAGCTCAGGAGTTTGACACCAGCCTGGGCAACATAGCGAGACCTCATCTCTACTAAAAATAAAACAAAATTAGCCAGGCATGGTGGCGTGCGCCTATAGTCCCAGCTACTCAGGAGGCTGAGGTGGGAGGGTTGCTTGATCCCGTGATCACGCCTCTGTATTTCAGCTTGGGTGAGAGAGATCCTGTCTCAAAAAAATAAAATAAAATAATATCCTGCAATTTCAGATTATTCTTTTAAGCACCCTTGACCCCAGATTCACCAGATCAAAACAGCTAATGACTCATAGAACTTTACTCTGTCATTATTTTCCAGATTCAACCCACAGCGAAATTTTTGGGATCCAGTCTCCTTACTCTTATGGGCAGGCGGAACCTTGCAGATCCTTTAGGAAAGGATAGGCTTCCCTGAGAAAGGTGGGCTGGAGTTAAGTCAAAAAAAAGGTGCAACTTTCTGGAGTCCCATTTAGAACTTCCTGCGTATTTAATAGGCCTTTGCTAATTATTAACAATGTGCCTGGCACACTAACATAAATAAAACAGTGTGCCATCGTTTGAAGAGCTGAGTCTAATCCACCTACTGATTTTTACAAAGGAGGCAACTGAAGTCTGATTTTGGCTTGCCTCAGCATAGAGTGCTCCAGGACAATGGTGGAGGATCAGGTCGCCATCACTGGAGACCCAGATTGTAGTAATGGAACTGATCCATCATTCTTCTCACTATATATTTAAACTCCATGTCCAGGGTCAACTTTGTTTAGTAGCAGTGCCTCTTCCCTGAATCAGTTTGTATCTACACTTAATTTCTTTCAGAGATTAATAAAATGACAAATGCTATCTCAATAAAGTTACCATGAACTCTCTGAAACTCATATCACCCATGACTAAAGCAACTTGCTTTGAGTCTGACAAGCTCTTCCCTAGCTAATGGAAATGCATTAGCAATAGCTTTACAGTGGTAAGCTATTTTTCTAGGTCATATTCAACCCAGAGTAGTCACATGCTGACAAAACTTCAATCCTAAACACTGATCATAAAGAGTTTCCTATATTGTATGTAATATATCCAAAAGTTTTTGAAAACTCTAATTCCAGTATATTGAATATACATTATAGGGTTTATCACTCCTGATTTTTTTTTTAATTGAGACGGAATCTTGCTCTGTTGCCCAGGCTGGAGAGTAGTCCCGTGATCTCGGCTCACTGCAGCCTCTGCCTCCCAGGTTCAAGCAGTTCTCGTGCCTCAGCTCCCCAAGTAGCTGGGATTACAGGCGTGCACCACCACGTCTGGATAATTTTTGTGTTTTTTGTAGAGATGGGGTTTCGCCATGTTGGCCAGGCTGATCTGGAACTCCTGACCTAAACTGATCCTCCCGCCTCGGCCTCTAAAAGTGCTGGGATTACAGGAGTAAACCACCATGCCTGGCCCACTCCTGATTTCTTCTAAACTGGATTTTATCATTCTCAGAGTCAGTGTTTCCTCTCTGTATTACTCCTTGCCTAGAAAAAAAAATGTCCATTTCATTCATCTATTCATTGACTTATTCAAGTACTTACCGAGCACCTTATATATGTCAGATACTATTCTAGGCACTGGGGATTACAGCCGTCAATGAAACAGACAAAAATCACCGTCTTTATGAAGCTTACATCCTACTAGGGGAGAGATAGAAAATAAACAATGATTTTATATATTATATGCTAATGTGTTATGGAGAAAAAGTAAGATTAATGGTATAGGAAGTGGGAAGAAGGGTATTGCCATTTCAAAATATGTGGTCACAGAAGGCATTACTGAGAGGGAGATATTTCAGGCAAGATATGAAGGAAATCAAGGAGTATCCATGTGAATGTTTGGGGAGAAGTGTCACTTGAACAAGTAAAAAATATTTCTAATAACAGATACCTAAATCATCATACATTGATGTGTTTCAGCCCTGAAATTTTCCTTTATGACAACTCCTTTTTATTTTGGTATTGAACAGAAAAAAATAACTTTCACCCAGATCAAACACTCTAGTGGAGTCATGAACTGACTATATATGCTAAGAATATTGTGTCAGAAGTTATGTCAAAAAAGTTTTGAAAAGATAAAGCTAGGCGTGGTGGCTCACGCCTGTAATCCCAGCACTTTGGGAGGCTGAGGCAGGCGGATCACGAGGTTAGGAGATCGAGACCATCCTGGCTAACACGGTGAAACCTCGTCCCTACTAAAAATACAAAAAATTAGACTGGCGTGGTGGCGGGCGCCTGTAGTCCCAGCTACTCGGGAGGCTGAGGCAGAAGAATGGCGTGAACCCGGGAGACGGAGCTTGCAGTGAGCCGAGATCACGCCACTGCACAAAAAAAAAAAAAAAAAAAAAAAGATAAAGTGGGAATAATGTTTAAAGCAGGATATAGAATTAATACAAGTAAATGTTCTTCATTTTCCCTATTAATTTAATTATACTATATTCTGTGTTTAATTCTGAATTAGATTTTTTAATTAAACTTTTTATTTTGAGATAATTGTAGATTCACACCTACTTGTAAGAAATGGCACAAAGAGATCCTGTGTACCTTTACCCAGTTTCTTCCAATGGTAAACTCTTAAAAAACCATAGTACAATAGCAAAACCACAATGTTGACACTGATACAGACAAGAGGCAAATGAGTTTCATTACCAGTAGAATCCCTTTTATTGTCCTTTGATAACAACACACACCTCCTTCCTCCCCTGACCTCCATTTTTGACCCCAGGAAACCACTAATCTGTTCTCCATGTCTATAATTTTGTCATTTAAAAATATTATATAAATGGAATGATATATAGTATGTAGCCTTTGGGAATTAGCTTTTTTTCTCTGAGCGTAATTCTCTTAGAGATTCAACCTAAGTTGTTGTGTATGTCAATACCTCGTTCCTTTTCATTGTTGAATAGTATTCCATGGTGTGTATGTAACAAAGTTTATTTAACCATTCACCCATTGAAGGATATCTGGGCCATTTCCAGTTTTTTAGTTATCACAAGTATTTGTATACAGGTGTTAGTGTGAACTTCAGTTTTCGTTTCTCTGGGATTAATGCCGGAAGAGTGCAAATGCTGAGTTGTATGAGAGTTGCATGTTTAATTTTATAAGAAATTGCCAAAGTGTTTGCCCAGAGTGACTGTACCATTGTGTGCTTCCACCAGCAATGTATGAGTGATCCAGTTTTTCCACATCCTTGCCAGCCTTTGGTGGTGTCACTGTTTTTCATTTTAGCCATTCTGATAGGTGTGTAGTGATAGCTCATTGTAGTTGCATTTTCAGTTTCATAATAACTAATGATGTTTAACATTTTTTATGCACTTATTTCCCATCTGTTTGCCCTCTTCAGTGAAATGTCTGTTCATGTCTTTTACCTATTTTCTTTCATTTTTGAGACAGGGTCTTGCTCTGTTGCCCGGGCTGGAGTGCAGTGGCGCAATCACGGCTCGCTGCAGCGTCAACATCCTGGGCTCAAGTGATTCTCCTGCCTAAGCCTCCCAAGTAGCTGGGACTACAGGTGCACACCACCATTTTATTTTTTGTAGAGTTGGGGTCTTGTTATATTGCCCAGGCTGATGTGAAACGTCTGGCCTCAAGCAGTACTCCGCCCTTGGCCTCCTACTGTGCTGGGATTACAGACATGAGCCACCATGCCTGGCCCTTTTGTCTGTTTTCTAATTGGATTATTTGTGTTTTTACTGTTGTGGAATTTTAAGAGGTCTTTATGTATTCTAGAGTCTAATTCTTTATCAGATATGTGGCATACAAATATTTTCTCCTCGCCTGTAGCTTATCTTTTCATCTTCTGAACAGAATCTTTCATAGAACAAAAGGATTTATTTGGTGAGGCCCACTTTATCAGTATTTCCTTTTATGGATTGATTTTTGGTGTCATGTCCGAGAACTCTTCATCAAATCAGGTTCCTGAAGAATTTCTCTTTCCCCCCTAAAGTTTTATAGTTTTATGTTTTACATTTAGGTCTGTGATCTGTTTTGAGCTAACTTTTGTGTAAGGTGTGAAGTTTGGGTTGAAGTTTCTTATTTTTTGTTTTGGACTGTGTTTGTCCTCGTCTACTGACATGGTTTTTTGCACCCTTGTGAAAAATCATTGAATATATTTGTGTAAATCTGTTTCTGGGTTCTCTTCTGTTCCGTTGTTTTGAGTATCTGTTGCTCTGTCAGTATCACACTGTCTTGATTACTGTAGCTACATAGTCTGACTTAATGCCAGGTGGAGTCTATTCACCTTATTTTTCAACAGTTTTAGATGTTCTAAGGCTTGTTCCTTTCCATGTTAATTTTTAAAAGAAGCTTGTCTATAACTACAAAAACTGTTCTAGGATTTTGAGAGGAATTGATTTAATGAATTAGACTTTTGAAATTGCATATGTAATGTTAATAAAGTTAAAAATGGTAATTCTGTTAAGGAAAACAATTTAGTTCCTTCCAAAGTCTAACGCTAGTTCTTATTTTCTGAAGAAATGTGTATTTTTATGATTTTGAAATTATTGAATGAATATTAATTAGCAGTTTCTTTTTTATTTTTTAAATTTTTTGTGTGGAGATGGGGTCCCACTATGTTGCCCAGGCTGGTCTCAAACTCCTGGTCTCAAGCAATCCTCCCGCCTCAGCCTCCCAAAGTCCTGGTATTACAGGCGTGAACCACCATGCCCGGCCAGCAGTTTCCTTTCAGCCATAACATGAATGACCTTTTTTAATGGCCAAAATTGAAGTTTGTCAGGTTCTAAATCACTAATATGTTTTTGAATTTAAAAATTTTTGAAGGTTTACTTCTGGAATTTTTAAGACCAACCATTAGATTTATAAGGCTGTTAATAAGATTCCTAAACCTATTGTTTTGCCTTAAGGAAAGTATGGTTTACCTTTTGTGTTATCCCAAACAAATTCATCTCCCCATATAGCAAAATGGAATATGCTACTAAATAGTTGAAATTTAGGGTAATGGAGTTTGGGATATGTTTATTATTCATGAATAGTAAGTCAAAAGTTTTTAAATGAAAACATTTGTGTATTCTCATGCTTTGATTGTTGATTCTGCAAAATAAAATCTTAAAAATTACAAAAAGCATCTGATAAACTTCTTAATTTAAAAGAACACTCAGAAATTTACTTTCAGGTATTTAAAAAAAGAGGGAGGCTATCAAACTGATTAGGACTGAAGAAGAACTGAAGAGATAATGTCACCTTGTTGGTTTTGGGTGAGGGAAAATTGAATGAGATCATGCTTTCTTTCTGTCTTGCTTTCTCAAGATAAAGCTTTTCCACTCTTCTGTCTGCTTACTGATTCAGGGTGGCAGGCACAAAACAAAACGTTCCGGTTATATTTTCCATCCTGTTTATATTTAAATTGGCTGTTTATTCTTTAATAAAGTGTATAACTGTTGGTCTATAACATTATGAATGTGGGATTAAGTGGTTAGACTTAGCAGGAATTTGAAAATCAGGGTCCAAATGTACTACCCTAAGTACAGTAGCAGAATTACTTCTATAAAGAAAACTTCCCTAAGTTACAGCATCTGGCTCATAGCATTATCATTACAGTGAAGTTTACCATCACTCATATTAGTGATGTGTTACTTCCCACTTACTCCTAACCCTGCTTAGGTAATGCAAAACTATAATTTAGAAAGTGTGATTTAAAGAAGATGCAATATAATGGTACTCATTGTAAACATATATCCAGATTTCTTTCTTCACATATAATTTATCTGTATTTTTAAATTTATTTTGTCTAATGAAAGACTTTTAAAAGCTCATTCTCTCGAGCAGTGAATTCTCAGCTAGTGAGCCAGGACAGTCTGCCTCATCAAAAGAATTCTGCTAATTGCTTTAGCCAATTTCTGAGGTAATAAGCTGGGAGAGGGAAGAGGTTGGTTACTCATGCATAGGTGACTTTTTGCTAACAGTGTGATTTTTAGGAAGTGAAGACCACAAAAGCTTTTTGACTTGTGGCAGAATTCATTATGATGAGACTTTAGCTGTACCAGGTAACAGATTGCCAAATAAAACACCAAACAAGCAAGATTGGTCAGTTACAATCCAGTCTGTAGTAGTCTGATCCAGCATAGTGTTATGTTTATGGATTCAATTCCCTCCTCGAAGTCATACAATTGAGGCATCTCAGTAGAAATAAAACAAAATAAACAAATTTTGTAGGGAAGCTCCTATACATTTGAATGGTAAGGGCATATAACTATTAATACTTTATGAGACCATGGTATTTTGCAGCCAATCTTAAGGATAAATCTACATTGTGTTCAGGATTCTGTGTTGGGCCAGACTTAACAATGACCATTATGTGTAGAAAATAGCAACCATTGTTGCTGAATTAAACTCTCTCTGGAGATTTAAACATTTTTTTAAAAAATTAAGCTAATAGGCCAAGCGTGGTAGCTCACGCCTGAATCCCAACACTTTAGGAGGCCGACGCGGGCGGATCACTTGAGGACAGGAGTTTGAGATCAGCCTGGGCAACGTGGCGAAAGCCCGTCTCTACTAAAAACACAAAAAGATTAGCCAGGCATGGTGGTATGCATCTGGTCCCAGGTACTCGGGAGGCCGAGGTGATAGGATCACCTGAGCCTGGGGGAGGTTCAGGCTGCTGTAAGCTGTGATTGCACCACGGCACTCAGCCTGAGTGACAGAGGGAGACTCTGTCTTTAAAAAAAAGAAAAGAAAAGAAAAAGCTAATAAAACCTTGATGACAACATAGCCAAAGAAATTAATCAGAGAAGAGTGGTGATTAGAAACAGAAAGCATAGTGGAATAGATGAATTACACCTGGCAAAGGAACTCTAAACTATATTATGTAAAGCTCAGGACAGTCTACTTGTCTGAAAAAGAAATACCAAAAGTATACACATGCAAAAATTTGGATTTTTCAGCTGGACTTTTTGTGAAAGGTTCCCTCCCACCCCAAATTCAAAAGAAGTATAAAGCAGGCCATTCATGGCAAACTCCCAATGAAATGGAATTAATTTGTATTGTGTTTTGAAAGTGTATATATGTGCTTGCAGGAATTACATGGAAGAATTATACTGACATAGAGTGGCTCTCAAAGTGAATAATGGAATCTTAAGGATGTTTTATTAAACAGCGAGTCAACTATTTTTCTCCGTGAATGTGACTCCACAATGATAGTGGAAGTCAGAAAATATTTCACATGCAAATATATCTGAAATTCTTCATGGATGTATTTAACGCTTTGAAGTGATGGCAACATCTGGTAGCAAGTAGAAGCCAGCGTCTTAAAAGCTATGGCTTCATGTTACTACTTCATCTGAATTAGTCATTTAAAGGGGATTTTATATGTCTTCCTAAAAACTGACGAGGTTAATCTTAGACTAGGGCAGGCTGGCAGGAAATGCTAAAGCGGCTCTTTCTTTTGAAGGTTTTGTTATTCCTTGTGAGGTCAAAAAGTAGTTGTTTTAAAGTTTGGAAAGCTAAAGCAGTGATGTTTTGACTCTTGACAGTGAGATGTTTTTCTTTTTTTTTGGGGGAGGGTGTGTGTGGCAAGTTTGAGGAAAAACTTGATACACTGAGAGTTCTTTATACTTTCCACTCCACTTATTTTCTCTCAAATGAATTTATTTTCTAAAGGTGCAGAATTTAGAAATTCGTTTCAATTACCAAATCTGAGCATGGATTTGGTGCTATTAGAAGATGTAACCACCATGTGTTTGGCCAGATTAGCTTTCAGGAATGATCGTATCTTACAGAGTTAGCCAATGGAACAAGAGTAGATGCCTTTTATCCTTATTTATTTGCTTTGCATTAAAAAGACAAATGCTGAAAGTTTATTCTTGACTATGAAATAAACCACTATAATATATGACACTGAGTTAATTCCTTTAGGATGCTATGTCTTCCACATACATCCATTTAATAAATATTTGTTGAGTGCCTACTGTATGCCAGGCACTGTTCTATAAGCTGAAAATAGATTGCTGGACAAAACAGACAAAAAATCACTGCCCTCTTAGAGCTTATTAAATACGAAAACAGTAGAGCAATTTAAAATTATTTAATGCTATCACTCAGCTTTTAAAGATCTTCACTGAATGAGTTTTGAGAACTTTTGCACATATTATCTACAGCTTGAATAGGGAAAAAATGACATTTTGTTTGAAATCTAGTTCAAGAAGCTAGAAGCTGATAAGTAAAGTAAATATTTTATTCTGTGATGATCATTTTCAGTTTTCATTTATCAGTGTTATACTTAGGCCTCTTGAGGAATGTTACTAGTTTAACTTGTGGATTTCCTCCTGAGGATGGGCTTAATTTGTATTGGGGGAGGTGGTGAAAGGACCTAGTAGCCCTGGAATTTAATGTAAAGTCGTGGCATTTGTAAAACTATCTTCTGTCATTTGAAAAATTATAGAATACTTAAATGTATTTAATGCTCCCTGTGGAAAATGAATGTATTGCTCAGTTATTTTTGCCTATGTGAGTAGTACAAGAGCTGACTCAAAGGAGATGACATGATGGTTCCTGTCCTGAAGTGAAATAAGATGATGGGTTGTGGTGGAAAAATGATGTGGTCATGCCCATATTTGCTCACATCTCTTGTTAGTTTCCTTTTATAGAGGGAAACCAGGGAAAGTCTCATTTCTTATTTTTTGTTTCCTTTTTGTATTTTCTTTCATACGCCATTTCCCTTTCTTTTTTTCTTAAAATTGCATTATAGTGACTTCCAATTCAATTGGATCAAGTTGTACTTGGTAATGACATAAAGAAATACCGCTTAGAAAGGTCATAGTGGAAGCATTATACCCATTTTAGGGAATTGATTATATATATAGACACAGCCACTCTGAGCCCCTTGAGGATATGAAAAGCATGTTGCAGAAATCCTCATATTTCCTGATGCCAACTAGTATAGTGCCTTTTACAGAATATATGCTTAATCGGTATTTATCTATTGAACAAATATGAGCCATGAAATTTAATTTTGCTCTCCAAAATCCCAAGTCCTTTATATAAGTAGGCAGAAATTTTAAAAAGTCTTTTTTTTTGTTTGTTTGTTTTTTGAGACAGAGTCTTGCACTGTGGCCTGGGCTGGAGTGCAGTGGTGCAATCTCAGCTCACTGCAAGCTCCGCCTCCTGGGTTCAAGATTTTCTCCTGCCTCAGGCTCCTAAGTAGCTGGGATTACAGGCACCCGCCACCACGCCCAGCTAATTTTTTGTATTTTTAGTAGAGACGGGATTTCACCATGTTGGCCAGGCTGATCTCAAACTCCTGACCTCGTGATTTGCCCTCCTCAGCCTCCCAAAGCGCTGGGATTACAGGTGTGAGCCACTGCACCCGGTCTAAAAACTTATTTTTATGGAATTATTCAAATACATAATGTAAAATAGCATTAAAAACCCCCAGCTTTAACAATTACCAGTATTTCATGTTCTTATTTCATCTTTGCTCTCCCCTTTTTTGAGATTTGCTTTAAAATAATCCGCATATTGTTTTACCGATAAATACTATAGTATACTTCTTAGTTTTTAATATTTTAAGATAGTAGTGTTTGCATTTCATATGGAGTTTTACTTTTAAACCCTTTCTGTGCTACTTTATGCAAGAGAAAGAAATTCTTAACCGCTTATCAGAAGAAAAATCTAATTTTTTTTTTTTTGACGGAGTTTTGCTCTTGTTGCCCAGGCTGAGGTGCAATGGTGTGATCTCGGCTCACAGCAACCTCCGCCTCCCGGGTTCAAGCCATTCTCCTGCCTCAGCCTCCGAATAGCTGGGATTACAGGCCTGTGCCACCACACCCGGCTAATTTTGTATTTTTACCGGAGACGGGGTTTCTCCATGTTGGTCAGGCTAGTCTCGAACTCCAGACCTCAGGTGATCCACCTGCCTCGGCCTCCCAAAGTGCTGAGATTACAGGCGTGAGCCACTGCGCCCGGCCAAGAATAATCTAATTTGCTGTGTATGAGTAGGATGTTAACTCATTTTGTAACATATATTTCCTTTCTTAATCTTTTAAAAAATTTTATTAAAAGTTTCTAAACAGGCCGGGCGCTGTGGCTCACACCTATAATGCCAGCACTTTGGGAGGCTGAGGCGGACAGGTCATGAGGCCAGGAGTTCGAGACTAGCCTGGCCAACATAGTGAAACCCGGTCTCTACTAAAAATACAAAAAAAAAAAAAAAATAGCCATGTGTGGTGGCAGGTGCCTGTAGTCCCAGATACTTGGGAGGCTGAGGCAGGAGAATCGCTTGAACTCGGGAGGGGGAGGTTGCAGTGAGCCAAGATTGTGCCACGCACTCCAGCCTGGAGGATGGAGTGAGACTCCGTCTCAAAAAAAAAAAAAAAAAGTTTCTAAACAACATTGTACATGTTATGTCATGACTGTCATGATAAAGTCTTGCCTTTTAGACATGAACCTGATTCAGCAAAATGTGCTTTGAAGTAGATAAGCTGTAGATTTTTGTCTTGCCTGAATTGATATTAAAGAGATGTTTTTTCTTTTCACAGTTCAAAAGTACAGAACTCAGGTTAAAACCTAGATATGTAATTTTGTTAATTTTATTTTCAGTTTGAAAATTCTTGTTAAAACCTGCATACTTTATAGGTTTGCTGTCTCTAAAATTAGATGGCTCCTTCATAAATATTACTGAATAAAGCACCAGTTTTCAAAAAGTGTGGCACATGGGCTCATGGGGGTTAAAATTACTTTCATGATAAAACTAAATTGTTATTTGTTTTTTCACTGTGTTAACATTTGCACTGATGATGCAAAAGCAGTAGTGGGTAAAGCTGCTGAATCAAGATAGTGGCCCCACACTGTAGTGATAGCCACTGTATTCCTCAGCACCATACCATCACCTTTAGAAAAAAATCTTACAACATGCATTTCATTTACAAATGTACTTGATGAAGCAGGAAAAAATAATTGTATTAAATCTCAATTCTTAGGTATGCATCTTTTTAAATATTGTGTGTGATGAGATAAGACATACCCATAAAGTATTTCTGCTGCATATGGATATATGACGATCGTCTTGAGGGAAAGCACTTGCGCAGCTGTTTGAGTTGTGAGCTAAACTAGCTGCCTTTTTAAAAATAGAAAACCAGGCCGGGCGCGGTGGCTCACGCCTGTAATCCCAGCACTTTGGGAGGCCGAGGCGGGCAGATCACGAGGTCAGGAGATCGAGACCATCCTGGCTAACACGGTGAAACCCCGTCTCCACTAAAAATACAAAAAATTAGCTGGGCGTGGTGGCGGGCACCTGTAGTCCCAGCTACTTGGGAGGCTGAGGCAGGAGAATGGCGTGAACTAGGGAGGCGGAGCTTGCAGTGAGCCGAGATCGCGCCACTGCACTCCAGCCTGGGCGACAGAGCGAGACTCCGTCTCAAAAAAAAAAAAAAAAAGACAACCAGTTTTACTTTGAAAGATTGAATTAACTGATTATTCAGACCCGAGTATCTAACAGATACTTTATTTTTAAAAAATGAACCAAGTGTGCCTCTCACTGCAAGGGAAACAACTAAGAGTATTTGTTGCCAATGCTAAAATTAGAGCTTTCAAGCAAAATTCAAATTTTTGAGAACTTGCATTGGTCACCATTTTATCCGATCAATACTTAGGCTTTTCTAGTGAAATCGACAGTATAATTAATGAAAATAATGTGTTAGATTTTGTATAATGAAATGTATCAGCATTTGGAAGACCCACATAACTTACTGAAACAATATTTTTCCAAATAACTAATGTATGATGTTACAAAATCAAGCATGGGTAAAAGGCCCATTCTAAGTGCAAGACAGACAAATAGATTTTGAAAAAATCATTGATATTGTATCAGACTCTACATTGCAACCAACCTTTGAAAAACTACCACTTCTCTCGAGTTTTGGTGTAGTATTGAAGAATATCTGTAAGTATCTGGAAAGCCTCTTAAAGTATTTCTTTCTTTTTACAACAGTTTATCTGTAGGAGGCCAGATGTTCTTCATGCACTGGAACCAAAACCGGTATTGCAAAAGATTGAATGCAGAAGCAGATATGAAAACCCAGCTTTCTTGTTCTAGGTTAAACATTAAAGTGATTTGCAACAATGTAAACAATGCCACCCTTGTCACTACACTTTTTTTGAAAATATAGTTATTTTTCATTAAAAAGCTTATGTTAACATGTAATGGGCTTATTCTTATTTTTAAACAAATAAATATCTTAAAAGTTTCGTAGTCGCAATTTTTGATGTGACAAATACACTGATAGATCTAACCCATGTGTCACCAAACTCTTTGGGATCCTCAGATCCTGAGGCCAAAAAGTTTAGGAACTGCTGAGTTGGGTTTTTTGTTGTTGTTTCCCTCCTTATCCCTTTGCCCCACCCCTCCACTTTTCTCCTATTCCCCTCTCCTTTCTTTTCTTTTTTTGAGTGAGAGAGAGACCCTCAGGATAGAAAATTGTAGAGCATGTGAGTTATTCCTTTGTATGTTTTTATTAGCTACGAACTGAACATGTATGTCTTTTAAATTCATTCATTGCCCCATGTGTAGTTCGATGTATTTTGACCTTTTCTTTTATTTATTTTAAAATTTTGATTACTTAGTTACACAAATAAAGAGCTAATAAATACTATCAGGGAGACAGCCCTTGGAATATTGAATTTTATATTTTCTTCTGCGACAGTCTTGCTCTGTCCGTGCAGTGGCAAGATCACAGCTCACCTCCTGGGCTCAAGCTATCCTCCTACCTCAGCCTCCCAAGTAGCTGGGACTACAGGCGACAGCCACCATGCCCAGCTAATTTTTTTGTATTTTTTTTGTAAAGACAGGGTTTTGCCATGTTGCCCACGCTGCTCTCGAACTCCCGGGCTAAAGTGATCCACCCACCTCTGCCTCCCAAGGTGCTGGGATTACAAGCACCAGCCACCACGCCTGGCCAGAATATTGAAATTAAGATATATTCTGACTTATTTTTCCCCAAATATGAAAAAAATGATTACATATATGACTTGATTATTAAAATTGACACATCCATGCAACAAGTTTATATACCTAATGCTGTGCCTGGTATGAATTTCCTAAACTTTCCAATATAGTCCCAAAATTACAGTAGTAGTTTCTTGAATGTAAACTTGTTGCCTGTTTTATATGTTAGATCCCTTTGCTTCTATGCTTCACTCACTATGTTTGTTTGTTCGCTTTGTTTTTATAAGTCATGAAGATGGAAAAAAAACTGTTTCATGAAAGGAAAATAGATGAGTGTTGTTGAGGTGTGTCATTAAGCACAGTGGGAGAGGCCTCCAATGTACGTGTCACACATGGAAAGTATACCTAGTACTGGGTGTGGTGGAGAGCATGACGTCTGGATGAAAGTTGTAAGAGACTTTAAAAATACTATGCCTAGCTTTTGTGTTACAACTACATATTCCACTGATACTTATGTGAAACTCCCATAACTTTTCGGGTTGTACCTCTTTTTTCCACCCTGGGGTGGGAGTGTGTCCACAAGTGCATGTGTGTGAACTCTTAACTTTGTGTTTGTATTTTGAGATGGAGTCTCTGTGGCCCAGGCTGGAGTGCAGTGGTGCAATCTCTGCTCACTGCAACCTCCACTTCTGGGGTTCAAGCTGTTCTCCTGCCTCAGCCTCCCAAGTAGCTGGGACTACAAGGGCACAACACCAATCTGGCTTTTTTGAATTTTTGGTAGAGACGGGGTTTCACCACGTTGGCCAGGCTTGTCTGGAACTCCTGACCTCAGGTGATCCGCCCACCTCAGCCTCGCAAAGTGCTGGGATTACAGGCCTGAGCCACCGCGCCCAGCCCGGCCTGAACTCTTAACTGTATGGTTTCTGTTTGTAACATCTAGAGAGAGTGACAGTGAGAATTTGGTTTCCGTCGGCTTTCCTTAGCATTCATTTTGATGAATTTGGGATGCAATTTAAAAGCTGTTTTCATTCTGTGGCCTGCTGATGAAAATGTAGAATTTATTGCAGAACCCTTGCCACCGTCTTGCATTCCCAAACCAGTGTTCATTACCCATAGTAAAAACCGAGATCCTGTTCACACACATGCACATACACAGACACGCTCCCCACCGCCCCCGTCACGCACACACCCACACACACCTCGGATGGTGAGTGAGATAGAAGTTTAGTTTACATGCTAAAACTGGTTAAATTACTGATGTGGTAGAACTGTCTTTTAGCCCGGGCACAGTTGCTCACACCTGTAATCCCAGCACTTTGGGAGGCCAAGGTGGGTGGATCACCTGAGGTCAGGAGTTCTAGACCAGCCTGGCCAACATGGTGAAAACCCGTCTCTACTAAAAATACAAAAATTAGCCGGGCATGGTGGCAGGTGCCTGTAATCCCAGCTACTCGGGAGGCTGAGGCCAGAGAATAGCTGGAACCCGGGAGGCGGAGGTTGCAGTGAGCTGAGATCGAACCACTGCACTCCAACCTGGGCGACAGAGCGAGACTCCGTCTCAAAAATAATAATAATAAATAAAAGAAACAAAAAACTGGCCGGGCGCGGTGGCTCGCGCCTTGTAATCCCAGCACTTTGGGAGGCTGAGGCGGGCAGATCCCAAGGTCAGGAGATCGAGACCATCCTGGTTAACACGGTGAAATCCCGTCTCTACTAAAAATACAAAAAAATTAGCCGGGCGTGGTGGCGGGTGCTTGTAGTCCCAGCTACTCAGGAGGCTGAGGCAGGAGAATGGCATGAACCCGGGAGGTGGAGCTTGCAGTGAGCCACGATCCCGCCACTACACTCCAGCCTGGGTGACAGAGCGAGACTCCGTCTCAAAAAAAAAACAAACCAAAACTGTCTTTATGTCCTACCTAGCATTTACTAAGTAGAAGATGTGCCCTTTTGAAGGGCATGTCTATTCCTAGAACTTTAACTACAATGCTTTGCAGTAGAAATATATGCTATTGTATTAAGGTGAAGTGACTTTAGAATTAGTAACTCGGTGTTGACAGATCATGCTGATCGAAGATTAGCCTTGGAGTTTGGAAAGCTGGAGAGCATGTATATTCCAGATGACCAGGAAAGGAAAAGTCAGAAAAACAGTTTTTAAGTAGTACTGTTATAACGACCTGTAAAACTTGAAACGAGAGAAAGCTGTCTTCTAAAATGAAGAATTACATATTTAAAACATTAATTTCCTCAATGATACTGCTACATATCTGAAAAGGGTGGTTACGTAGCATTTGGGACAGACCCGTCTCAGTGGTTTGAGGCAACAGGTGTGGCTGAAGAAAAGGTAAGGCTGGGGAAAAACCAACATTTCTGGTCTAAACTGATACTGTCTTCTTACCTGAGGCAGTTTCCTATGCCCTGGTTTTCTCTGTCTGAAAAATGCATGATAACACATACTCTTCAAATTAGCTCAAAATGCTTGGTAGTTACCTACTATTCCCTGACAGGCCACAGGCAGATAGTTCTATGCTTGTTTTAGAAATGGAGAATTTGGTACTCAGAAAAGTTGAAGAAGCTTCATTTCATTCACATAGTGAGTCAGCAACAAAGACAGACGGAAAAACATGTCCTATGACTCCTGCCATTGTATTCCTTCTCTTCTGCATTGTGTTGCCTTTTGATATTTCACGAAGGTTTTGTGATTGGTGAAATAAATTAAAGCACTTCCATGAAGGAGACAAAATGTAACCCAGTGTCTGCTGATGGTGGTTAGTGACGAGGACAGGAGAACACTGCCTCATAATGGGGACTATCCGGTGAGGGCTCCTTTTCACAGGTGCCCACACTGTGAGTCACCTCCTTATGCTGAGAGTTCGGTATGCTATCATAAAATACTTTGTTGTGTATTATTTATGAAGGACTAGAGTATCTATTGTCTCACTTTCTTTCATTCTCATGAGGTAGATTACAGCAGCAGATGGCATTATGCATGCTTTATCCCAGACACAAGAAAATAATATCTGCCACTTACTGAGTACCTTGCTGGACCCAGACACTCTTACATATTTATATCTTCCCATTGGGTCATCCCGTGGACCTTGTGAAATATGTGGAATAGCTCCATTGTTATAGATATGAACCCAGGGCTCAGAGAAGCTAAGTAATTTGTTCAGGGTCACACAGACTTACAGGTCTGTCAGACTCCTAAGACCCTGATGCTTTCATTGTGCTGCATTTCCTTCAAATTATGAACTTGCCCTATGTCAGCACAGAAACGGCCTCTTCAGCCTAGCCCAGTGCTCCAACTGATTGTTCTCTCTCATAAAAGGCACTCACAACTAACCACTTGCTTGATTTAGGAATTCACTGATTAGATTGCTAGACCAGTTAAAGGCAAATTTCAATAATGAGAGCAGTTATCACGTATCTAGTACTTACCATGCGCCAGACTATGATCTAAATTTATGACACATATTAAATCATTTAAGCCTTACAACCATGTATAAAATAGTGAACTGCGATATGATGGAGTTGCTCTTATCTTCATCCCGGGATGAGAAAATAGAGGCAGAAGAGTTTTAAGCAATTTGCACAGTTAATAAAGTGTGGAGCCAGAATTTGAACCCAATCTGGCTCCAGACCTCTTTACTACAGCTCTCAGTTAGAAAATTATTTCTAACTGAGATATTTCGGTTCAGCAAGTGTTGGCTTAGTTCCTGTGTGCTATGCCAGCAGAAAATATAGTTCCTACACAGAAGAGCTTACATTTTTGACATAAATCAAAATGTATATACTTGAAATAAATGCTACAACACCTTAGCATATGGGGTGTAAATGTTGTGTATGGATCAGCATGAATAATAGAGACTGTTAGTGAGTGGCTTGAGAGTTAATTTGCCTTCGCAAGTAATGTTCTTGACTATGGACGAGTGACTTGGGCACTGGGGAGAAGCTGTTCCATGTGTTCTAAAATAAGCAGGTTACTTGGCTACTGTTCAAACTCTAAATAGGTATATGGGTTGTAGCTATTTGACCTGAACTAACTTTAAATTCCCCTGAGTCCTTATATGATTTTGGGGAAAAAAAAAAAAGGAAGAAGAAAAAAGAAAACTTTTCTCTGTAAATGCTGCATTTAAATTAGAATTTATTAAATTCTCTGCAAAATACCGCCAGGCTGACAGGAAGGGGATTCGTAAGTATTGTATCATTCTTTTGTCAGGGTGTTCTCTTTTTCTAGCAGGAAGTGTTGTGACTTGCTCTCTAAAGTTGCAATTGTAAGAAGAATGTTGGGTTTCCAGATTGCTCTTCTGGGCGTGGGAGAAGGTTCTGTCTATCAGTGCTGCGAGAAAGGAAAGAAACAAGTTTGCTCTCAGCGGGTAACTATTTTAATATTATTTTGACAGGCTCTAACTTTGAGATTACTAAATCTAAATTTAAATACTAAATGATTAAGCAGGAATTTACGTCAAAAAGCTTGAAATTCCTGTTATTTATTTGGGTAAACATTTGGAGTCACTTTAAAAATATTATTTATTCAAGTAGAATAAAATTTTTGTTAAGAGAAAATTTTGAAGTTTAGATTCTAACCTGTTCTGTGTGTATTCTGTATTTTTCTTTATTTAGAGAATGTTTAGGGAGTTTATACTTTTTAAAAATGGGTTTTGAAATCCTAATTATACAGCCGTATTTATCAAGTTAAGTATCTAAAACACTAAATAATAGAAATTATTGTCTATATTTGTGGTGGGGGTGGGATTTCAAATGCTTTTGATCCCAGTTACATGGTTTTTCAAAATTCTGTAAAATGGAGGTTGAGGTGGCTGTCATGACAGAACATGTCACGATTAGATTGATATTATACTCTTCCTACGTGAGTTAAATCAAACAGTTGTCTTAGTGTTTATAATTTACAAAATAATAAACATCACTGGTGATTAAATTTTGATGGCGTTATTGGTACTTGGCAGCAATAGTGATTTCTGGTGCTCACATACATTAGGATTTTCCATCACATGGTTGTCATATAAGTTTAATTTCCCCATATTTCTGGCAAAGGGAAGTATAGCTAGTTATACAGTCAATCCTCACTCTGAGTTGAGTCACCTCTCGGACTGGTTGTACTTAATATGCGCATATGAAGTAAAAAGTGAAGCATGAAACAAAACAAACCAGTTTTTTCAATTAACAAGTGCTGTATTTGCTAACATATAAGCAAGGTATATAACACTGCAAGAGGCATTTTCAGTGACTTGCCGATAGCTTTCTGCTTCGTGTATATAGTGATTTGAGTTGTAGGTCACAATATTTTATGGCATTTTTATTTTGAATTGAAGTGAAGCATGGTAACTAGTCTGATCTTGCCTAGCCTCTCTCTCTCTCTCTCCCTCCCTCTCTCTCTCTCTCTCTCTCTCTCACACACACACACACACACACACCCCACACACACATATCCCTGAAAGTTGCCCTTGGCTTCACTCAAACATATGTTAATTTTCATAAGAAAGGAAACTGGTGGAAATACTTCTTAGGTATGAAAATTAATTAATTTCATTAGCAGCAGATTTATTTTCCCATAAATTATTCAGATTTTGGGGGTAGATGTAAAAGTTTACTTAGGCATGGAAGACATTAGACCTTTTAAAAGCAAAGTGGGCTATTTCAATCTAAGAAGTTAGTTAATGTACCTTAGCTTTCTGAAGCTAGGGGAAGGAGAGGTGTCTTTTTGTTGTGTCTTTGGGTTTGAAATAGTATTCTTCATCCTAGGAAAAAGGGCTTTTAGACTATAATTGAGACTTGCATTAAATAGCTGCAAAATTCTTGCCTGAGAAACGTTTAAATGATGTCTTTAATCTGACCAAATTGAATTGAATATTTCTATTATTGGAAAAAGCTACGTATTAATTTATTTTTAAATAGCCATTGCTTTCAGATCTTATCTTTGTTTATTAAGTATAAAAAGAGGAAAGGAAACTTTTACCTAAAATGGAGGTATTTGATATTCCTCCAGGAAATGACACAGGATTGGGCACCCTTTGGGGTTTAAGTGACTCATAGATATTGGTACTGAAAACAAAACAAAACAAAAGATCAGTTAGAATCTAGCTAATGATCAATTATAGCACAGAATAGAAGTATTTCCAGAAAAATGAACTCATTTCTTAATAGCTATGTAGGGGTGAAATCACAGGATTTCTGAGATTTGCTTTAAAATAATTCATGGAAGAGAGACAGGGAAGGAGGGAGGGAGAAGAAAGGACAGGAAGAGAGAATAGATGAACCAAGCAAATGTGGGGAAATCTGGATAAATGTAGAATCTGTGATGGGTTTATGGGTGTTTTTTGTGCTATTTTCTCTTGTATATATTGAAAATATTGACAATAAAAAATGTTAGTAGACCTTTAGTTTGGGGCAATTTATATTTATTTTCTTTCTTTTTTTTTTTTTTTTTTTTGAGATGGAGTCTCACTCTGTTGCCCAGGCTGGAGTGCAGTGGCACGATCTTGGCTCATGCAACCTCCACCTCCCGGGTTCAAGCAGCTCTCCTGCCTCAGCCTCCCGAGTAGCTGGGATTACAGGCACCCACCACCACGCCCGGCTAATTTTTGTGTTTTTAGTAGAGATGGGGTTTCACCATACTGGCCAGGCTGGTCTTGAACTCCTTATATTTACTTCTAAATGTCAACTTTTATCTATAAATTGCAGGCCTGTCAAAACATGATGTATGCATGATGTGTATGACTGTAAAGGTGAAATGTGCTGCTTGAATGCCAAAATGGTTGAAAGTAAAAACTGCTTCTGAAAAGGTTTATTTCTGTTTGATTTTCAGCTAAATTCAAAGGACAGGTCACAAACATCTTGAAGAGTTTTTTAGTATCTTGAAGTATTAAACAAGGGTAGTTAAAGCATGATAACAGGCCAATTGTATGTGAAGAATGTGAAGACGTTATTGAACTTGACTATTTTGTTCACAGCTTTCTCCAATAGAGTATGTGTTTTTAAAACCACGTGAGAGGACTATATAGCCTGCATGATGTATAGGTCTGCGCACTTTCCCTACTCACCTCCATCGAAGTTTATTTATTGAACAAACATTCGGTAGGTGCTTGTGGTGAGCCAAGATACAAAGTCAAATAAGATACCAACCGTGCTTTTAAGGAGCTCACAGGCTCGTGGAGGAGATAGAGAAAGAAATAGATGTCATCACGCTGAAAGCTGAAAAGGGCTATAGGAATATGGGGAAGGGGAGGAACGGGTTAGCAACTATGACCCTATGACGCATCTCCTTTAAAATAATACAAGGCTGGGCACAGTGGCTCATGCCTGTAATCCCAACATTTTGGGAGGCCTAGGTGGGCAGATCACTTGAGGTCAGTAGTTCGAGACAAGTCTGGCCCACATGGTGAAACCCCGTCTCTCCTAAAAGAATAAAAACTAGCCAGATGTGGTGGCGCATGCTTGTAATGCTAGCAACTGTGAAAGCTGAGGCGGGAGAATCGCTTGAACCCAGGAGTCGGAGGTTGCAGTGAGCTGAGATAGAGCCACTGCACTCAAGCCTGGGTGACAGAGCAAGACTCTGTCTCAAGAAAATAATAATAATATAAAATAAGGCTGGGTGCGGTGGCTCACTCCTGTAATCCCAGCACTTTGGGAGGCCGAGGCGGGTGGGTCACCTGAGATCAGGAGTTCGAGACCAGCCTGATCAACCTGGTGAAACCCCATCTCTAGTAAAAATACAAAAACTAGCCAGGCATGGTGGTGGGCGCCTGTAATCCCAGCTACCCAGGAGGCTGCGGCAGGAGAATCACTTGAACCCAGGAGGTGGAGGTTGCAGTGAGCCAAGATCATGCCATTGCACTCCAGCCTGGGCGACAGAGTGAGACTCTGCCTCAAAACTAATAATAATAATATAATGTAATATAATACAGACAGAAAATTGGAGATGGTTTAATTGGTTGTGGGTATTACAGTGGTAGAAGAGGGCTAAAATGGCTTAGTCTAACCCCATGCATAACTTTGCAAATAACTCTTCTGCTCTCATCTCTCTTCCCCGCCCTTCTTAATAAACCTTTATATCTTTCTTATGCATCCACAGGGGTTATTGGAGCAGTGTACGTGCAGAACAGAGCAATCTCTTCTTCACATTAAAGAGTAGACTGATGTTTAAGTCTCCCTTAAAGGTTTTAGATATATCCAAGGCCGAATTATAGTTATTAGGTAGGCAGCTACTTGGAGTTGGATAAAGGGTAGAGTTAGCCTTCAGTCACAGATAGAGCCTTCTAAAGTTCATTTCTCAATTGATTTGGAATTTGAAACATATTTTGTCATGGAAATAGTAGTAGGGTTTTTCAGGTTACTTTACAAGTATTCCTGAAATTTTATATTATGTTATCTGGCATGATATGGTTTTGTTCTATGATATCTTATTTTATTTTCATTGTATTCTATGTGAATTGTAGAAGCACAGTTGCTAAATATATCCAGATTTATGTTCCATCAGCCAGTTACTTTATTCTCTAGTTCCTGATACTATACAATCTAATCAGTGTATATAATAATGCCTCATGAGAAAATACTGTCAATTTTATTTGAGGTACCTAATGATGTCCTCTGTTTAGTTGTACAATTTGCAGCTGAAATGTTAAGTAGAATGAACAGAAGAGCTAGACCTGAAAAATAACTTTCCGAAGTAAAGTCTGCTATACGTGGTGATTATTTCTTTCATAGATGTTTGCTCACCACATTGACTATAAGAAGAAATTTTTGGCTGGGCATGATGGCTCATACCTGTAACCTCAGCACTTTTGGAGGCCAAAGCAGACAAATCACTTGAGCCCAGGAGTTCAAGACCAACCTGGAGAACATGGCAAAACCCCATCTCTCCAAAAAATACAAAAATTAGCTGGGGTGATATTGCGTGCCTGTAATCCCAGTTACTCAGGGGGCTAAGGTGGGAAGATTTCTTGAGCCCAGGAGTTGGAGGCTTCAGTTACCATGACACTGCACTCCAGCCTGGGCGACACAGCGAGATTCTATTTCAAAAAAAAAAAAAAAAGAAGAAGGAGAAGAAGCAATTTTTGATAATGCTGATGTGCTAGAATTAATGCACAGTAAAACACTTCACCACTTTTTCTTCTGCTTCAACCTTTCCTAGACTTTTAGGACTAGGAACCTATGACACACGTGAGGGCATTTAGGTTTTGACTCCCTTATTTTGACTTTCAGAGCAACAAATCATTAAATAAAAATTATGCATATAGCCTCTTAAGCCTTTACAATTACTCCTTTACCAAGATTCCGTGAAAGTTTTCTAAAATGAGTCAAGCAAAATTCCAAGCCACTTGTTCTTGAGAAAAATCTTGAAAGAAAAAATTTTTAAATGAAAAGTAAATCACATAGATACTTGAGTGTTTGTTTTATATTAAGACTAAGTTATTAGCACTGATACAATGGGAGTGGTTGTTCACAATACTTAGCATTCATGAGGCTGAAATTAAGCAGTATTAACAAAGAGAAGCAGAAGCCTGTCATATGTAGGAATGAATGTGTCATAGGAGAAAGTAAGCGTTTGTGTGCTTTTTTTTCAGAATATTGCCTGTTTTATGATCAGTGCCAATTTAACACCAATGTTTTAAATAAATGACTTTTAGAACTCTGTATGAGTCTTTACTGAACTCATTGTCTATATTCTGTATGTTTTATACAATTAAAGTTTTGGTTATTTTAGTTCAAGGCTTAAGTGAATCCCTTATCCTTTTAAATAATGAAAACAAGTTAGTATTAGCTGGAGGGGGTTACTATCTCCATTTTCTGGCAACTGTTCTTATTTCTCGATATCATGGTCATATTTGTTAGGAGCTTTTTAAGTTATTTTCCAAAGGCTATATATACTAGGCATGGACCTTCTCTCTGCAAAGCAATGTGTAGTCTCTTTGTTTTTGTTTTTCTGGGAAGAGTAGTTAATTGGCTGGGCACTGCAGCTCAAGCCTGTAATCCCAGCACTTTGGGAGGCTGAGGCAGGAGGATCACTTGAGCCCTGGAGTTTTAGACCAGCTTGGCAACATAGTGAGATCCTGTCTCTACAAAAAAAAAAAAAAAAAAGAAATAAAAATTAAAAATTAGCCGAGTATGGTGGTGCATGCTTGTAGTCCTAGCTACTGGGGGTGGGAGGTGCTGAAGCAGGAGGATCACTTGAGGCCAGGAGTTGGAGGCTGCAGTGATCATGCCACTGCACTGCAGCCTGGACATCTCAGCAAGACTCTATCTCAAAAAAAAAAAAAAAAGGAAAGAGGGAAAAAACAGTTAATTACCTTTCCTCCAACACATGCTTTTGCTTTTTTTTTTTTTTTCCAGCTATGCTTGGAGAAACACATTATTATTATTATTATTATTATTTTGAGGTGGAGTCTTGCTGTGTCGCCCAGGCTGGAGTGCAGTGGTCCAATCTCGGCTCACTGCAGCCTCCGCCTCCTGGGTTCAAGCAATTCTCCTGCCTCAGCCCCTTGAGTAGCTGGGACTACAGGCACGTGCAGCCAGGCCCTGTTAATTTTTGTATTTTTAGTAGAGACGGGGCTTCACCATGTTGGCCAGGATGGTCTTGATCTCTGACCTTGTGATCTGCCCGCCTCGGCCTCGCAAAGTGCTGAGATTACAGGCATGAGCCACTGCGCCTGGCTGAGAAATACATCTTTTTAATTGTGCTTCACAGCTTTGTGTCCTGGGCAAAGTCAACGACTATCCCAGGCACTTGTTTATTCCCTAATACAATTTAGGGAATGAAGTTATGGAACTCTACAGACTTCTTAGCTTTCAAATTCTCATTGCTGTGATCACTGGATATTGGGAATACTGGGAATTTTCACTCCCTCTAAACATTGCAGTTGGTTGGAGTATTTTATTCATTTTTTATGTTTATTTTTTTAGAGGCAGGCAACCATAGCTCACTGCAGCCTCAAACTCCTGGGCTTCAGTGATCCTTCTGCCCCAGCCTTCCTAGTAGCTAGGACTACAGGCTCAGGCCACCATGCTGGCTGATTTAATTTTTTTTTTTTTTTTAAGAGAAGGAGTCTCGCTATGTTGTACAGGTTGGTCCCAAACTCCTGGCCTCAAGCAGTTCTCCCACTTCTGCCTCCCAAAGCACTGGGATTATAGGCATGAGCCACCACCCTCAGCCTCAGTTGGTATATTTTGTAAACCATGCCTGTGTAACCAACATCCAGCAATGAGAGTAAAAGGTGAAGTTTAGACTGTTCTCCAGAAACAAACAATCATGAAATGAGACTTGCAAAGCAAAGAATTACACAAGTTTTTGTGTGCTGTTCGTGAAAGAAGGATTTTCTTTTATTGAAGAAGATTGTTCTCTTTGACCAAGTTTAAGAATCTATGTAAAGAAGGTAGATAAACTGAACCAAGTAGGACAATGGAAGTCCCAGTTAGACTGACTGTCCTCATATCCACTTATGTAACTATAGGGAGAAGTCTATAATTAAATTTCAAAATTTTGTGGCAAGATTCTAAATTCTCTGGGAGTTGAAGAGAAAGATCAGTGGGAGGTGGAGTCATTGGGAAACGTGCTTTGGGAGAGGATGAGGCTTCTGAACCTTGCTTGAAGGGTGAGTAGAATTTGGATAGAGAGAGAGGAAAAATAGAGGAGAGTATTCTAAGCATGAGACGCAGATAGAGAGAGAGGAAGTTCTTAATGGAAGACAGGAAAAGCAGAAGAGACCAGAATAAAACAAAAGGTACTGATAGAGGAGAATCCAGAACCAGCTGTAATAGAAACACAGTTCTGTGAGAGTACTGGGAAGATAAATTTTATCTTGGGTGCGGACAATCTGAAGATACTTCCTGAAATAGGCTTTTGAAGTGTCTAGATAGATGGGTGAAGAGCATTCCACTGGAGAGACCCAGTGGTCTCTCCAGGGAGTGGAAGAAGCGGGAAAATACATGGCCTGTTTGGGGAATAAGGTCTCTTGAGAGTGTTGGGTTCAAGGGTGTAGTACATATAATGGGAAGTAGCATTGGAAAGATGGGCAGACATAAAGCTAGAAGTCAAGTCAGAAAAGTGTAGGGCCTTGAATGCTGTCCTAAAAAGGTGGGACCTCCTTTTGCATGGAATGTTTATAAGATCCGCTCTTCAGGAGATTATCAGGAGATTAGCAGTGTAAAGATTGCACTGGAGGAAGACAGAACAGCAGGCAGATCTGATAAAAAAAAAAAAAAACTTTTGTGGGGTTGGGGGAGGGGGAAGGGATAGCATTAGGAGATATACCTAATGTAGATGACGAGTTAATGGGTGCAGCACACCAACACGACACATGTATACATATGTAACAACCCTGCACGTTGTGCACATGTACCCTAGAACTTAAAGTATAATAAAAAAAATATATAAAAAGATAAAAAAAAAACTTGTGGAGTAGGCCAGACATGAGGTGATAAACAGATATGACGGAAGAATCTCAGATATTGCAAGGCAAGAATCCAGAGGGATGGGTGGTTGACTGATCCTCCCTTTGTTTTTTATGGTCAAACTGCAGTCTGGAGACAGAGGAAAGTGGGAAAGTTGAAAACGAGACCTGATTTGGCAGAAGAAAGAGTTAGAAAAAAACAGGGAAAATAATGTGGCAGTAAGTTAGATTGGAGACACTTAGACTTTCCTAACTTGAATCGTCCTCACTGACTTTCCTTCTCCCTTGGCCACTTCTAAATTGGACCCTGATCTGCTGCTGCGAGTGTGTCTGTCACTAACACAAGGCACAATACCCTTACCAGTGATGTCTCTCTGAGAATGCCCTTACTGGGGATGTCTATCTGAGAAAATCCTACTTGCACTCAAAGACAGAGTTCAAGCCTCACCTCGGAAAAAACTTTTCTGACGCCTACCATTTAGTATATATGACTGTGATGGCATGATTGCACTAATGTTGTATCTTTGTTTTTCCATCTGTTTCCCCCACTAGACAGTAAGCTCTTCCAGAAAGAAGGGGATTTGGATCCTAATTGTCTCTTATCTGGAGCACCCAACACAGTGCCTGGTACATACTAAGCCTTAAGTTAATGCTTGATTAATATAAATAAATAAGTGGGTGAGTGTGGTAGACATTCAAGCTGGGAATCTTCTAAAGTCATTAGGAAACATGAGACTGGAGCTTTAGTAATCATAGTATGAATAGGTGAGTTTTAGCCCACAGTGTTGCACACCCATCTAAGCTAGAGACTAGTGTTGAGCTGTTCACTTACCTAACTAGGGAGGTGGCAGGGTGGCAGTTTCTATTGGTAAAGGTAGGTATGCAAAGTGTGGGTGTTCAAAAGCACTGCCTGTTTTGGATGGAGGAAGGTGACAACACCCCTTTTCTGATCATTCTTGAACTGTTCACACATAATGGTGGCTAACTTGTTTATTTTCATTTATAGTGAAATAATGTATTTCTTCCATGTTTTGTCCCCTCTTTGTTGCTTTCTTGTTCATTTTAGGACCTCAAGTATGTGTTGCCCAGTCTCTGATTTAAGTAATGAGCTTCTCTTTTCCAATTCTATTTACCATACTAGTGGCTGGGATGAAGCCTGTGGTGAATATCCTGTTTTTATCTTTTGGCTGCCTTTCAATTTAAAAA
Source organism: Homo sapiens (assembly GCF_000001405.40). Lineage (NCBI taxonomy): Eukaryota > Metazoa > Chordata > Mammalia > Primates > Hominidae > Homo > Homo sapiens. The sequence continues at coordinate 115,602,870 of NC_000023.11, forward strand.
AAAAAAAAATCAAGTTTATGATCAAAGTTGGTTACCCCCAGATGAGTTTCCCACGTGCATTCTCTTTCTCCTGGACCTCATGGTACTGAATGACACAGATGAATAAGTAGATTATTCAGTCAGCTGCATTCCTAAAGTGAGTGAGTGCTTTAGGAGATAAAATAGGCACCCCCGTCCCCCTTCAAATACCTTTCAGAATTTGAATAATAGTTTCAGGTAGTTGTAGGTATACCTTTCTCAGCAAAGATCTGTGTTTAGGGTTTATGTATAGTTAAATGAGCCGGTGGAGTGGTTTCATAATTGCAGTATTGTTAGTCAAACTCTGTAATTAGAGATGACTTCATAGGCATAAGATTCTTCTATGGGTGACGCCCTGAATTCATACCCAATTGTACACTATATCCTTTTATGAAAAAACAAACAAACAAGGTTTTGTTTGCTTTTGTTTTACTCCCTTATTTGAAAATCTGTTTTCCTGTGTCTTATATGTTTAGTGAAGAAGGGCTGGCTTTTTTCTACAGCTTTCCCTTTTCCTTTACAGAAATGGCAGGCATAGGAGCTAAGGAGGAAACAGAATTTGGGACAGATCAAAGTGCTTTGCAGATGAGCGAATTCAGAAAAACGTAGAGACTCCAGGAGGTTTTATTTTTGATAAGTATTAAAATTGCTGAGTTTAAATGGAGGAAAAATATATCTCTATTTCTTTGAATGTCAGTTCTCTTTCTCTCTCCCTCTCTCTCATCATGTAAATAAAGTCCGCTTTTGCTTGGTGGCACACATCTGTATTCTCAGCTACTCAGGAGGCTGAGGCAGGAGGATTGTTTGAGCCCAGAAGATTGAGGCTGCACTGAGCTGAGATTGCACCACTGCCTGGGTGACAGAGTGTAACCCTGTCTCAAAAAGAAATAAACACATAAAGTCCACTTTTGTGGGAAGACAGACTGGGAAAGAGGACATATTTGAAAATCAGGGTTTTTTTCCTTTTGCCTGTCAATCACATATTGTGAAATCGGGGTTAAACTTTTATTCAGCAAGTAATACTTTCTCTTCACCTTTTTCTAGTACTCATGAAAAAATTTGCAAATTAGGAGGAATGTGACAATATTGACAAGCTGTTAGCTATTTTGAAAAGTGATCCTAAAATATTTAAAGAAAAATTGTTGTTTGTTTGTATATCTCCTGTCTGCTCTTTAAATTGTGTTTAGAAACTGGCCTTACGGAGGAACCAAATTGAGTCATGGATAAAAAGTGACTGACAGGTTTTCCTTTAGGCCCATCCTTCTTAAATTACTTTGACTAAAGACTTGTAATTTTTATATATGAGGGAGACCTATTATACTCTGTAGTCAGTAATTATAGGGAGATGAGATAACTTTTCATTTATCCCATGTAAAAGGCTATTAGTAGAACTAATGCCTTATATTTATTTATACAGCTCTTCACAATTAACCCAAGCATTCATTTATTCCCTATTTTCTTTCATGAAGGATTTGAAGTTGCTATGTAATACTTCATAGTTCACAATATGCTGTCATACATACCATCTGTAATCTTCATTAGGACCTGGGGGAAGTAGGTATTATTATCACTATTTTCAAATGAGGAAACTTAGGCTGAGACAGATTAATTAAACTTGCTCATGGACACATTACTAGGGAATAGCAGAACCAGAGCAATAATCGATGCCTTCTAATTTCACGTCCAACATCTTTCTGTTAAAACATACTACAACCTTGGGCGCGGTACAACAGCTTGGTGTACTGGTACTTGAGATTAAATGAAGTGTCTACAGGGCAGTATTGATGTCAAATCTTGTGTTTTGCTTTGTGAACCCATCCGGGATGTTTTAGTAACTTTAAGGGAAAAAAGTCCTATAGTACAATGAATGCCCCATGAAGAGGAATAGAGCTTCTGTTATTTTAATTTGTAAGATCTTTATTTTTTAATATCTTCACTCATTTCCAAGTTACTTAATGTGATGTTTTCTCTCAAGATAGTACTTTACTGCTTGACTTCCTTAAAGACACCATCAAGTACCTATGAGTAGTCTTAAGGACAGACCATTTTTTAATTCATAGTGGCATAAAGAAATCTACATTAAACAACTTTATTTTAAGCTTCAAATGGCAAAATGTACAATTGTATCAGCTAGAGCATATATTGTGAGCTTTTTAAATTTGGCTTTATATTTTTTAGTCTTGGCCCAGGTACTTCAGAGTAGCATTTCTTTATTTCCTTTCAAATAACTGTCAATAAATGAATATGGGTTTATTTAAATTGGAAAGTCCTGCATTAAACTATTCTGTTATCCTGAAACAACCTTGTCTGGAAATACGGTTTTAAGGATATGTGCATGTTCCAATTCCTTCTTTTTGTTCTCATTGAAGTGTATCTCTTTAATGTCTCTGATAGATGGGAAATCTGAGTTACATATGCAAAGTCACTTTAGGCTTTTTAAAAGGCAATTAGAAATAAGAAACTTGAAAATTTTAAAATATATGTTTAATGCACTGGATTAATTTTTGGACTAAACTGGTGCCCTAAAATTATTTCTATGAGATCTAAGCATTTCTTAATTCATTTTTATTTTTTACTTTTTTTATTGAGACAGGGTCTTGCTCTGTCACCCATCCTGGAGTGCAGTGACGTTCTCATGGCTCACTGCATCCTCTACCTCTCGGGCTCAATCGGTCCTCCCACCTCAGTTTCCCAAGTATCTGAGACTACAGGCATGTGCCACCACCCACGATGCCCAGTTAATTTTTTGTATTTTTGGTAGAGACGAGGTTTCACCATGTTGCCCAGGCTGGTCTCGAACTCCTGAGCTCAAGCGATCTGCCCACCTCCACCTCCCAAATTGCTGGGATTACAGGCATGAGCCAGCACTTGCTAATTTTATAGGAAGAAAAAAAGAACTGCGTTTCTGGCCACTCTGAGAAGAAATTAATAATCCTTAAAGTCTCTAGAGACTTTTTTCTTCTAAAAAAATGGATATTTGTACCTTTTATTGCAGTCACTAATTCACTTTATGTCATATTGTAATTATTCATGTTTGCTTCGCAGATTGTAAATTCCTTGAGGGCAAGAACTAGGTGTATAGCAGATGTCTAAAATATTGGTAAAATTGTTTGAGAAGTAGCGGGGAGGGGCAGGTTGGGGAGAAAGAGATTTCTACAGGATTTAATCAGAACCCAACTGGTCAGCAGGGATAAGGGGGGCGGGGGGCAGGAATGGTTTATGTCCAGAACCATCTTATCTAATTTCTTTTTTTTTTCTTTCTTTTTTCTTTTCTTTTCTTTTTTTTTTTTTTTTTTTTTTTTTGCAGTGATGCACTGATGGCTCACTGCAGCCTCGACCTCTCAGGCTCAAGTGATTCTCCCACTTCAACCTCCAGAGTAGCTGGGATTACAGGCACGCACCACCACTCCTGGATAAGTTTTGCATTTTTGGTAGAGACAGGGTTTCACCACGTTGGCCAGGCTGGTCTCGAACTCCTGGGCTCAAGTGATCTGCCCGCTTTGGCCTCCCAAAGTGCTGGGATTACAGGCATGAGCCACTGCACCCAGACCTAATTTTCTTTTGCATAGAAGTGATATGGTAGTGTGAGAGTAAGCTCAGTTGTATAGGTTTGTTTTAGTTGTTTTTTACCCACATACTTTAAATTATTACTGACTCACTATCTGCCCAAACTGGAAAGGACCTTTAGAGATAAAGGAGAGAGGCCACATGTTTTAGATTTCTGAGATGGTCTTACTTTTAAATTTTCTGTGCCATTGTTCTCCTTGGTGTGTGATTCATGGAGATGTGTAATAATTCTTTATTAAAAACATGATTGCTTAAAAGGGGTGAAGAAAATTGGAATAAATCCTATGTCGTATTTTTGTAATGGGGAGTGTTGAACATATTAGTGAAACAGAATATTTTTAGAATTACTACTATTCGTTTGCATTTAACTTACGAATTTTAAAAAAAAATTTTTTTGGAGGCGAGGTCTCACTATGTTTCCCAGGCTTGTCTTGAACTCTTGGCCTCAAGCAATCCTCCCGCAGTGCTGGGATTGCAGTTCTTTTTATTCTTAATCTTTAAAATGCCTAACTTCAGGCCTGGGCGTGGTGGCTCATACCTGTAATACCAGCACTTTGGGAGGCTGAGGTGAGTGGATTGCTTGAAGCCAGGAATTCAAGATCAGCCAGGGCAAAATGGTGAAACCCCATCTCTACAAAAAATACAAAAATTAGCCAGGCATGGTGTCCCACGGCTATAGTCTGAGCTACTTGGGAAGCTGAGGAGGGAGAATCACCTGGGAGGGAGGAGCCTGGGAAGTCAAGGTCGCAGTAAGCCGTGATCTCACCACTGCACTCCAGTCTGGGCTACAGTGTAAGACCCTGTCTCAATAAACAAACAACAACAACAACAACAAAAAAAAAACCCACAAAGCCTAACTTCATTACTAACTGAAGAACTTTCTTTCCCTCATAGATCCTGAGATTACTCTGAAAGGTATTTTCATCCAACCTGTCTACTGAGAAGTTATCCATCTTTAGTGGCATCTTGATATCATACATAAGAAAAGTTTATGAATAGGCCAGCTTTGTTTTATATCTTTTTTAAAGAGTCTAGTGTTATTTAATTTTTTTTTTTTTTTTTGAGACAGAGTCTCACTCTATCACCCAGGCTGGAGTGCAGTGGTACGATCTCCGCTCACTGCAACCTCTACCTCCCAGGTTCAAGCGATTCTCCTGCCTCACTCAACCTCCCGAGTAGCCGGGATTACAGGCACCCGCCATCACACTTGGTTACTTTTTGTATTTTTAGTAGAGACAGGGTTTCACCATGTTGGTGAGACTGGCCTCGAACTCCTGACCTCAAGCAATCCACCCGCCTCCACCTCCCAAAGTGCTGGGATTACAGGCGTGAGCCAGTGCGCCTGGCTGATGGTTTTATTTAATTTTTAAAACACCAGTCACTGTATGTGTCTGTTACATTATGGTAAAAACTTAGCTAATAGCATCATATGGTCATTTTAAAACTTCTCCAGGATTTGAGAAACCTGAGTGTGAATTCCAGTCCTGAGAGCCCAGGTCTTCTAATAGGAAAAAAAGGAGATTAGAATATTTAGCTCATAGGACTATTGTGAGGGTTTAGGAAATTAATATGCAAATGAATTTGTATAATGTATTAATAATACTTGGTGCATAGTTGTTGAAGGGATTAATTTTATTAAAGTTCTGTTTTATTGAGTGCCTTACTATGTGCCAGGGGCTGTGATAAATTCTAGAAATAGCAACAATTCTGTGAAAAAGATAGATGTAGCCCAGCTCTCTTATGAATCCCTCCCTACCACTTCCAGCCCCTACCTCTCTATACTGAGTGTTACACTTCTTGGCCAAAACATAAGTTGGTGAGTAATTTGTTGCCTTTTAATAAAATGTCTAAAAGGGATAAATGTAAGATCTCAAAATGTATTTTGTATAGTTTGTGAAATTTAACCCGTAGTATATTTTTTTGGAAAGGCAACATCTTTAGGGCAGTGGAACTACTCTATGTAATATGTTAATGGTGGATACATGTCATTATACATTTGTCCAAACCCACAGATTATACAACACTAAGAGTGAACCCTAATGTTCACCAGAGTCTTAGGGTGGTAATGATGTAAGTTCATCAGTTGTAACAAACGTACCACTCAGGTACAGGATATTTTGGTCAATGACTGATCGAATGTATGATAGTAGTCGCATAAGATTATAATACTATATTCTTACTGTACCTTTTCTATGTTTAGATATACGGATACCATTGCATTACAATTGCCTACAGTGTTTACTACAGTAACCTGCTGTGCCATTTGTAGCCTAAGAGGAATAGGCCATACCGTATAGTCTAGGTGTGTAGTAAGCTATACCATCTAGGTTTGTGTACGTGCACTCTTTGATGCTTGCACAATGGCAAAATCACTTGACAATGCATTTCTCAGAACACATCTCTGTCTTTAAGCAACACTTGGCTGTATTTGGGAACTCTCTGTAACTTCTGCTTGATTTTGCTGTGAACCTAAAACTACTCTAATAATAATGTCTATTGGCCGGGTACGGTGGCTCACACCTGTAATCCCAGCATTTTGGGAGACCGAGGCGGGAGGATCCCTTGATCCCAGGAGTTAGACACCAGCTTGGGCAAGGTGGCAAGACTCTGTCTTTACAAAAAAAGAGAAAGAAATAAAGAAAAATAAAGTCTACCAAAAAAATAAATCAGAAGAGAGAAAAAACCCAAAACAAAAAAGGAGAAAGGAACATGTAATCATTTTCATTTTTCTTTGTCCAAAATTATTGTTATAATAGGTTTGCATTTGGAAATTATCTACTGTGATACAGACCTCCTCTCTTTATTGCCAGGATCAGCAAAGTTTTTCCATATAGGTTCAGATCATAAATATTGTGTGCCAAGAGGTAAAATCAAGAATATTATGATATTAATATCAAGGATATAATATATTATTTCTATCAGTTTTTATTGACAAAATTCAAAATATAATAATTGAGTACAATTTTTTGGTAATACAATTCTGATAAGAATAGAATTCTTTTTTTCTGGGATAACATTTCACTTAATTGGGTTCAAAGTTAATGTGCCCCCATCATCAAAATGGACTGCAAAAATTTTCCTTTAATAACCATATCCAGCTTGAGGTCATACAAAAACAACTGGTGATCCAGTTTTGGCCCACAGGCCATATGTAGTTTGCCAACCTTTGTTCTGTTAGTTAAATAGATCAATAAGGCCAAATTGGAAAGGGTGTATACTCAGATAATATAATAATTTACATGCATAAGAATGTGTATATTAGCACACATGTGCATTTTTATATCAAAACCAGCTATAATTTGTTTTGTTTCCTCTTTATTCTTCCTTTAATGAGAGTGATTGATAGATGTCAGTATGCTATTTGAAAATCAATGTCTTCACAGTGAATGATTCTAAAGTGGCTTAATGGGAAAATGATACTTTCCGTGAATCATTGGTCACATAATATTGACCTTTAGCTTTGGCTCATATAACCAAGAATTTCTATTATGTAGCTTTTTCCTGTCACTGCTGGGTACTTTGGCCCTTCCTTAAACTTTTTGAATGTAATTTAAGATTTTGTCCTTAGAAGGAAAATTCAGAAATATTTTTTCTCAATAAATTTTGGTAAGTGATGACTTCTCATTTGTTTTCTTTATTAAAGCTGTATGTAGAGACATGGTAACCTATTCAGATTGTTTTGATAGTTTGAAATTCTGTTTAAATTATCCCTAAGATGAGAACTTAGCAAGAGTGCTTATATTTATCACAATTTTTTAAAGTCTGAAACGTTTTTGGTTTTTCTTTAGATCTTTAAATGGATGAGATGGCTACCACTCAGATTTCCAAAGATGAGCTTGATGAACTCAAAGAGGCCTTTGCAAAAGTTGGTGAGTATTTTTTGTAGTAAAACTATAGGGAAGCAATATTTATTTGGTCTCAAAGTTATTTCTCTATAAATATCACATGAATGGTTAATCAAAAACATTAGGGCAAGATAGTTAAAATAGATGGGATAAAGTTTTGGAAGCTATACTTAAAATTGTTTTATTTCTTTTTTTTTTTTTTGGTCGAGTGGTAGCTGATATTATTTCCAATTTTATGTAGTATTTAATATGGTCAAATTTTTTAGACCACAGTTCCAATCCTTAACTGGTGACTGTTATGTATGGTTCCTGAAATTTTCATGCCAAATTTTAGTTATTATTATATTTTGTATCTCATATCTTTCTGAAGAGGTTTGAAACTTTCACCATATTCTCAAAGGGATATGTGACCCTCGAAAACATTAGATGATGTTTTACCCTTCCTTAATTAGTTTGGCGTTATTGACTTTTTTATGGGTTTTCTGTGCCTTTGGTTACTGCAGATCGTTCTACCTCGCCACGTTAAATTATAGCTTCAGTATAAGATGAGAAGGCATAGCATGCTATTTGATTTATCCTTTATCATCATATAACATGCCTTACAATTGAGCAGCTATGGAAGGTAAATATGGAGTATTTACATTCCAAATTTTAGTGCTTGGGTCAAGTCTATAGACAATAATGAGAAAACAGGGTGAGAACAGCCTACTTATGTAAATACATGAATCAACATGTGCTTAGAGAGGTAGATTATTATTATTTGGTATCTCCTTGACTGAAGGGTACAGAATTAGCTCATATGATGATTTGTTATGTAAATCAGAATTTGCCGTTAGACCTGTGTCGAAAATCCCATTAGTGGAAAATGAGGAAATATACATTTCTGTTCCCATATATTTATGATCAACATTTTCTATGAAGGCATTCAGTAGTAGCAGTGTACCTTGGGAAGAATAATGACCCCAGCCAGAGTGACCATTCATAATCCCATCAAAATTTTAACTAGAAAAAACTGAATATTCCTGAATCTAACATGATCGCGCGCACGCGCGTGTGTGTGTGTGTATAAAAATAGCAGTTAATTACCTTGCCATGGATACCACTTACTGTAAGAAAAATGCTACATAGTTTAATATATAACAGCAAGTGAATTCTTGGCTGCAAGAGTTTTTTTTTTTCAAAATGACTCTCATTCAGTCAAAATAGTCTTATAATTGTTTTAGGAGTGCATTTTTGAACCTTTTTTAAAATTAATATTCATCTTTCAGCATTAGCAGCAGCTTAATTTGTTATTTATGAATAGAATTTCAGAGTAGGCACCATGCCTTATTAAGTACTCATCTCCTCAAGTAAATGCTGAATACAGGTCTTGTCCTCATGTGCAGCATCTTGGAAATAATTACGTGCAATATTCCTTAAAAATTAAAGTTAATTCAGATATTGTTTACCTGATGAGACTTGGAATACATTTGACGAGTAAAAGAACTTCATTGTCCCTTAAAAGCTTAATGACATAAAGAGGATTGACCAATTATCTTCATAGAGGAAGGAGTTAAATTGTATTAAGTAAGGGATCAATGAGAAGTTTGACTGCAAGAAAAGGTCATTGTGGAGCTATTGTTTAAGTAGAGTTTAAGATAGGCGTACAGTTTGCCAAAGCCCCTGCCAGGCATATGTTCCTAACATACTCAGGCTCTTATTACTATATATGCTGTAAAGAATTCTGGAATCCAGAATTTCTGCCTATTGTGAATATTATTCTTTTGTAGTCTCCACTCAGTATCTAGCATAGTGTTGCACACATGTTAGGTTCTCAGTAAATATTTCATTGATTGAAACCCAAGGAACTATATACATAGCCTTTTGATGTACTGGGATTTTTGTCATTATCAACCATACATTCAGAGGGCCTTTGTTGTGAAGATTTTCATTACAGTGGAATTTATTATTAAAGGTTTTTGCCATTAAATTGTAGCATATAAAATTTATATATATTTTTCAGCATAATAAAAGCTTGTGTGTACACTCCATCTTTTAGAAACTCATTTAAGGACCCAGCCGAGTCTTTCGATTTTCTTTAAAAAATCTTTGTAGTTTTAAGTTGTTGTTACTTACAGAACCCTCAGGCAACCGTCAAAGGTGTTATAGAATTTTTTTTCTAATTCAGGGACACTTTATTTTAAAAACAAGCTCTATAACTTATTATCCTGTGAAGGACAGTTTTTCCTTTTTGTGGGGGTGGGTTGGCAGAGAATAGGAAAGACTACTTTGTCTCAGTTCAATTGCGACAAAATATGGAAATCATTAGATGATTTTCCCCATCTATTAACAATAATAGCCTTGATTATCTCCTTAGAAATTCAGCAAAATCATAGCGTGTGGAGAAAATCTCTGTAATTACTGCTAATCATAGGTTTTGTTCAATCAATTAATAGTGCTTTGAAACTCTCTTTACTAGCAATAAATTGAGTATTAGAATTTAAAGTTCTCTTTTCACTCACTTTCTGCACCTGCTTAGTTTTAAGCTCCAAGCTCATGTAATTATTTTAATTTTCTCAACAATTGTTTCCAGTGCTTCCCAGTAGCAGAAACGTTAGTTATCAGTTTTTGTACTTCATGATGTTTCAAATTTAATTTAAATGCTGTAATACATAACTATTTCTAAAGAAGAATAAATAAAACCTTTCAAAACACTTAGGTATTAATATTTTACCATCTAGAAACTGTCTTTTACATTCTAAGCCTTTAATCTTGCTATGGAAACTAGTGGTCATTTGGATGATTACTTGTCATAAAGAAAAATTCATGTAATGTAAACCTTTGCAGAGTTGCTTTAGTACTGCAAACACTTACCTTGCCTTGCCTTTTTTCCCTCCTGAGCACTCACTACTGAGGTTTTTTAAACATGAATTCAGCACTTTTGAAATAAAAGAATAATGGGTTTCTTAAATGACTAGGAATAGTATGGGTGTATTCCTTTGAGGTTTCCCACCAAACTAAGCAAAAAAAAATTGGTTGTGGTGATTGTAGCTATACCAGACTTCTCTCATCCTAGGAAGTTGAGTTGTTTCAAATTACTTGATATTCGCTAGTATATAAAAACCACATCAGGATGATGCCACAAAAAAAAACAGTGCTTTAGTTTAATTTACTTTCAGTATTCAATAAAAGAACACCAGTGCATATTTGTTTAATTATGCCTTAAAACAAAAACAAAACTATAGCCCGTCTAAAAAAAATGAAACTAATCAGTGCTCTTTCATTGTGCCATCTGGTTAATTATATATGGATTATTAGAAGTGGAGGTCTCGGGATAGTCGGAAAACCATGTTTCAAAGGTGTGGAAGCTAGTTAGGAGTACACATGTGTGGGTGCATGGGTAAAAGCAATTTTTATTTTTATTTTTATTTTTATTTTGAGACTCCTGGGCTCAAGTGATCCTCCCACCTCGGCCTCCTAAAATGCTGGGATTACAGGCTTGAGCCATGGTACCTGGCCAGCCAGGTATATTTTGCTTCATGCACTAGATGCGTTCCTGAAAATCAGCAAGCCAACTGTAAATGGATTTTATGTAGTGGGATATATTTTAAATGTAAAGAGAAAATCTTATTTTTTTAAGTGAAGCCTGCTTTGAATTTTTTTATTTTTTTATTTTTATTTTTAATTATTTTTTGTTTATTTATTTTTTTTGAGACGGAGTCTCGCTCTGTCACCCAGGCTGGAGTGCAGTGGCGCGATCTCGGCCACTGCAAGCTCCGCCTCCCGGGTTCACGCCATTCTCCTGCCTCAGCCAGGTGGCAGACTACAGGCGCCTGCCACCACGCCCGGCTAATTTTTTTTTTTGTATTTTTAGTGGAGACGGAGTTTCACCGTGTTAGCCAGGATGGTCTCGATCTCCTGACCTCGTGATCCGCCCGTCTCGGCCTCCCAAAGTGCTGGGATTACAGACGTGAGCCACCGCGCCTGGCCTACACACATGTATTTTTAAAACGAGAGTTGCAGCAGGGGAAAAATGATGGCCAAACTGCTGGAAATTTTGAGTCAGAAAAGGACTGATAAACATTTTTGATTGCCTGGTCTCACCCTCTAAACTTGTCCAGCCTTCTGCTGTACTTGACCTCCATCTTTGGAAATCCACTAGTACAGTGAATTCTAAAGCAGCAACCTCCAGTCTACCCTTAGCTGGAACTCATTAAACTGCCTCTTATATTTGCTGCAGTGAGCTACCTCAAAAGGTATAAGCTGTGAGAAGCAAACCCCATGTTTAGCTAAGCATCTGGAGATGTTTAGCAGCTGCCTTTTCTAAGGATTTAATGCCTAATGAAAGCTTGATTTCACTGCTTAGATCTTGGGATGGAATATAGTTTAAATTCTTCTGCCCAAGTCTTTTGACCGAGTCTTTTAAGTCAGTATTTTGTGAGCTTTCATGGGCATTCAGGATTGTGTATGTGTGTAAACCCATTATTGTTAGATAAATAGATTCCTTTTGTCATTTCTTTAGTGCAGAAAATTTGTAGAATATGTTGGTCAAACCAAATTGAACTTTTAAATCCAGCTTTTCCAAAAGGATATGCATCTGCACTTGCTAGGCTTTCTTCTTTAAGTCCTAATGAGCACTGTCCTGAGTGGGCTAATAGAGAGGTCGCATGTGTATTCCAGATGAGGGCACACAATATGTGACCTCTTCATAAAGAAAGACACCAGATTTAGACAGATTCAAGGATGTTTAAAGCAACACACACACACACACACGCATACACACACAACCCGAGCGTCAAAGAAAATCCTAGTCTTTCTTACTGTCAAATTTATGAGACAAAGTAGCACCCCAAAAGACGCTTTTGAAGTGATAGATTGCAGCACGTACCACCTGGACATGGGCAGTGTAAAACAGCAGCTAAAATCAAAACCACTTGGATTCTGGCTTAGCTTTCTCCAGACAAGTACTTAAAATAGCTTAAATAACAGGATGCAAGGGGAGGGAAAACATTTCCTTTTAAGGATATGCATTCTTGGTGTGATTCAAACTTCTGCAGGAACATGGCTGTGTAATAAGTTTATTTACTTTAAGGTTTACTTAGGGGAGGGCGGCGGGGGAGTTAAATAGTATTTAAAATAATACTTGGTAAAAGAGAATAATGAGATTTCCTTTAAAACAAAATGCAGATGTGAACCTACACGTGTCATCAGAGAGAGAGAGAGAGAGAGAGAGAGAGAGAGAGAGAGAGAGAAAGGAAACAGTCCTTTTAACAGTTGATTCTTTTCTTATGAATTCAGTCAGTGGCCAATATGAAAAATGGGCCTGTCTGGTGCAGCACTGGGAGCTGCGTAGTGATTTTTTTTTAAGTATCATAATTTTCTTCTTTTAAAAAAAAACGCTTTGTCAATTTACTCAAATTTAGCCCTTTACTTTCTGCCAGAATTGTGTTCAGTGATAAGGTAGAGTTTCCTTTATCCAGCTTCTCCTTAATGTCCAGCCATACTGACCATATTTTCTAAACCAAAAGGTTGAGAAGTGCTGGCATTGAAACTGCACTGCACAATATAGGCAGTATGGTAATTTATGTCTGCTTTATCAGCTGGTTGGAAACTATGATGCTGAAACAGAAGAGTCTTCAAAACACAGAGCTTTTCCCACTCCATACCAATGTATAGTTAATGAGAAAATGGCAAGTGAGCCAAAAAGGTGTTGCAGAGTATTGGCAGCATGAATGAGAAAATAAAGGACTGCCATCATTCCTGGTGGTTGTGATTTTAGTTTCCAGTTGTTAAAACGACTTCCAATCTAGGTATGTTATTTTGGGTCAGTTTATTATTAAGTTCTCATGTTTATGTCAAAACTCAGAATAGGAGAAATTCACCATCAAACATACTGAACAGCAACATTCTAATTCCAATGCTCTGTTTTTAAAGTGGACACTGTAACCACAAATAAGGACATAGTCTTATGATTTCAAAAAATTAAATTGTCTTTTTGAAAAACCTTGCCACATTATTCTTATTCTCATTTTGCTTTTGAATAACAAAAAATTATCCAAAATTCATTTTGGGTTATTTGGAAATCATTCAGGTACCTCAGCTATTTTATTTTACACATAAGGAAAACATGACTCAAAGACTATCATTTAGCCAGTTTGTAAAACGAAACTACTTTTCTCCGATGTAGAAAATTAGATTGAATAGTCATCAGCATTTATGTTTATTTTTTAAAATTACAAGTTAGTCTTAGAAGTAGACTAAAAGTTGTGAGCACCTGATGAGATGGAAGCTTTCTAAAATCCCATTATGCTACCTTTTTACTGGCCTTCCAAACCACGTTAGATCTTTGATATTGTTTAAGGATGTGTTTTTGGTTTTTTGACTGAGGGTTCGAAATAAAATTAGCATAAAACTCTTTAAGAATAATTGCATGCTATTTTGTCTCTCAAGTACTTTACCAGCTGGGAGGTTTTGTAAAATTAATTGCTAGCTGCATTTTTAGGCTCCCTCTGCCTTCTTGTTTAAATTGAAATTATTTTCTTCAAAATATATGATTTAAGAGCTCTAAGAAAGGCTTGATAAAATTGACTCTAACTAACACTAAAATGCCTTTGATCATGGGAGGTAGTGTAATTTGGACTAACACTGGGGGCTAAACTATGGGAAAATGGCAGAATAGGTAAAACTTTTAGAAGACGACGCACATTCTTGTCATCCAGGAAAGCCTAAGGATATGTATTCGAAGTGACTCAAAATTTTTACAAGGATTTTGTAGCCACAGTTTCAAGTAAGACCCAGGGGTTCCGTTTGATTCATTTCTGTATCTTTGGTATGTAGCCCAGTGGGTGTCTTCCCACAGGGTAGGTACTCAGTTTGCTCTGGAGGGTGACTCATACCTAAACAAGTGCACATCTCCTTTCTCAGTAAAGCCAAAGCAGGTTTCTACATTTGGAACAAAAGAGATCCTGACCAGAGAGCTATCACTGGTGGTCCACTTGGGCCCTCCTTGATGGGTGTGTTCACTTAGAAAACCAAATTACAGATCTGAAGGCTGCTGGGTAGGGACAGGATTAGAACAAAGGGAATGAGATTGAATGTTATTTAAGGGATATTTCTGTCAAGTTTTGGTTTCTCGATGAATTGCCATTCAGTCTTTGAGTGCTATTTCTGTATTTCTGTCATTGTTGTTTAGTTTTGTTTCTAAAATGCTCATCTAGGATTAGAGCATTCTTTCTTTGGTCAATTCCTGAGAATCAGTGATTCTACAAAAATAATTTTTTTCCATTGCTTATTATACACAAAAGATTGTGCTACATATTGGGGTGGGAGATACAAAGATTTAAAAGAATCTTTATCGGGAGATTTGCAGCCTAATAAGGAAGTTTGTCATGTAATGACAAATTCTTATTCCTCCAATTTCCTTTAAAATTTTCCTGTCCCTTTCTAAAAGCATTTCTTACTACTGCCCTTACTTCAAAATGAAATTTCCAAATGTGGTTATTTTATGTTAATTATGTTTTAGGGTGGCTACTTCCTGGCATCTTTTAATCACATCAGTGAACTGTCTTCTAATTAATGTTCAAGAGAGGTTATTTCAGGGAGGATACAGGCAAATAGTAATTTCTCCCTGCGACCCAAACTTCTGGAGTTTTTTGTTTTTGCTTTTGAGACAGTGTCTCACTCTGGTGCCCAGGCTAGAGTGCCATGATGCCATCATAGCTCACTGCAGCCTCGAAATCCTGGGCTCAACTGATCCTCCTGCCTCGGCCTCCCAAAGCGCTGGGATTACAGGCATGAGCCACCAGTCCCAGCCACCAGACCTGTAGTCTAACCTAATACAAATAGGCAGCCAGATAAACTTTCTGGGCCTTAGTCAGTTTCATATAGCTTTGAATCCACTGTAGTTCTCCCACATCTAATTTAAAACATCTCTACCTTCCACTTCCATTATAACACTGAGAATACAAAAAGAACAAATCCTGTTACATACCTGTTATATACTCCAGTCTAAACTAGAGTCAAAGCACAGTGGCTCATACCTGTAATCCCAACACTTTGGGAGGCCAAGGTGGAAGGATCATTTGAGGCCAGGAGTTTGAGATTAGCCTGGTCAATATAGTGAGACCCTGTCTCTACAAAAAATACAAGAAACAAAAAGTTAGCTGGGCATAGTGGTGAGAGCCTGTAGTCTCAGCTACTCAGGAGGCTAAGGTGGGAGGATTGCTTAAGCCCAGGATTTCAAGGCTGCAGTGAGCTATGATTGTGCCACTGTACTCCAGCCTGGGCAACAGAATGAGACCCTGTCTCTAAAGATACTTTTTTAAATTAAAAAATTGGCTGAGCTTGGTGACTTATGCCTATAATCCTACCACTTTGGGAGGCCAAGGTGGGAGGATCACTTGAGGCCAGGAGTTCAAGACCAGCCTGGCCAACATGACGAAACCCCATCTCTACTAAAAATACAGAAGTTGGCCAGGCATGGTGGCACTGTAATCCCAGCTACTCAGGAGGCTGAGGCAGGAGAATCGCTTGAACCCAGGAGGCGGAGGTTGTAGTGAGCCAAGATCATGCCACTGCACTCCAGCCTGGGTGACAGAGTGAGACTTAGTCTCAAAATAAAGAAAATAGCTTAAAAGAAAAAAAGAACCCACTGAAGTGGACAACGTTTTGATAGTTAAAAGAATAAGCTATCTCTTCCTCCAAAGATATCATAAAAATGAAAGAATATTATACTTAGGTAATAAGGTGCAGTAGTGATCAGAATGTTATCACTCTGTATCTGTATTTAATATGCGTTACTATTCTATCTCCAGGTTTTAAAAGTGTTTGTGTGAGGGGAGGGTTGTGAAGTCTTGTGTATTCTGATTTAGAATCAGTGTGATAGAACCAAAAAGGAACTTTAGAGATTATGTGGTCCAAAGCACTCCTTTTACAGATGAGAAAACTAGGACCTGAAGAGGTAACTTGTGCAAATTAATAGCCAAGTTGAGATAAGACATTGTTTCACATTATTCCCACTGTGTGTCTCTTCAAGCATGTATGCTGTGTTTCTTTCACTATGCCACACTTACTCTCTAGTACTGAACTCCACTGTAATTTTAGAAAGGATGTAGGAAAAACAAGTTGGTATATGCATGGGAGCAGGTGTATTTAAGCCCAAGACATTCATAAAACAAGAGCCACTAAAATTTTGCCTCAGTGCCATGGGGATTACTTTGTTCTTTTTAGCAACTGCAGACATTATTGATGGATTGATTTCTACATAGAAATACTTTACATGTAGAAATAAAGAGTTTGATGTATGACCTTTTATAAATCCAAAGCAAAGAAAGTGAATATACATCCTAGGGAAATTAAGTGCTTTACCTCAAAGGAAATCTAAGTGATTTTCACACTAAGTATTGAATGGTTTGTTATTGATGTTTTAAAAGTACAGATATTTTAATTAGCCAGGCATGATGGTGCCCACCTTTGGCCCCAGCCATGCCGGGGAGCTGAGGCAGGAGGATTGCTTGAGCCCAGGAGGTTGATGCTGCAGTGAGCCATGCTCGTGCCACTCCAGCTTGGGCAAGAGAGACCCTGTCTCAAAGAAATACAAAAGTAAAAATAAAGGTACAGATGTTTTAATTCATAGATTTAAAATGTAGTAATCAATGTTTAAGAAAATTTAATACTTAAAATAGACTGCATTAAAACTAAACAGAATTTCATCAGCATTCAAAATATTTGCAAGATGGTTCCATGCAGTATACTTAATATTTTAATTTAATTTAATTTTTAATCCCCCAGAGCATTCTTGCAAATTGCAATTTTAGTAATTGACCAAAAATTGGACAATGTGAACTACACGTAGATCACACTTAGAAAGAAATGTCAGTGTATTCCATGGAATACATTGGCCTAGCAGAGCTTATAAGATCAGCTAGCTCCCCGACCTTATCTCTCATTTTCCCCCTTGTTCACTCTACCCAAGTCATATTGGATCTTTACTTTTCCCGAAACACACCAGACACACTGCAGCATCACTGACTTTGCATTTGCTATTTTCTCTACCCGAAATCTCTTGCCCCAGATAGCCACATGATTTGCTTCCCTTACCTCATGGAAGTCTTCATTCAAATATAACCTCATCAAAGTGGCCTTCCTTACCCATTCTGTCTAAGTAGTAGCACCACCACCATCCCTGCCCCCCAATATCTCTATAACCCAGGGTTACTCAACTTCAGCACAATTGACATTTTAAGCTGCATAACTCTTGTGTTGTACATACAAGGAAGGGGTCATATCCATTGTAAGATATTTAGAAGCATCCCCAGCCTCTACGCACTGTATGCCAGGTGCTTCCAGTTATGGCAATCAAAAATGTCCCCTGGGGGCAAGATAGCCCCAGTCTAACCCCTTATGCTTTTTTCTTTTTTTTTTCTTTTCTTTTTTTTTTTTTTTTTTTTTTTTGAGATGGAGTCTTGCTCTGTCACCCAGGCTGCAGTGCATTGGTGCAATCTTGGCCCAGGTTCAAGTGATTCTCCTGCCTCAGCCTCCCGAGTAGGTGGGACTATAGGCGCCCACCACCATACCCAGCTAATTTTTGTATTTTTAGTGAAGACGGGGTTTTGCCATATGGGCCAGGCTGATCTCGAACTCCTGACCTCAAGTGATCCGCCTGCCTCGGCCTCCCAAAGTGCTGGGATTACAGGCGTGAGTCACTGTGCCCAGCCTGCTTTATTTTTTTATTTTTTATTTTATATATTTTTTTGAGACGGAGTCTCACTCTGTTGCCCAGGCTGGAGTGCACTGGTACTATCTTGGCTCACTGCAACCTCCGCCTCCCAGGTTCAAGCGATTCTGCTGCCTCAGCCTCCCGAGTAGCTGAGATTACGGGTGCCCGCCACCACGCCCAGCTAATTTTTTGTATTTTTAGTAGAAACGGGGTTTCACCATGTTGGCCAGGCTGGTCTCGAACTCCTGGCCTCAGGTGATCCACCCGCCTCAGCCTCCCAAAGTGCTGGGATTACAGGCGTGAGCCACCGTGCCCGGCCACAATACATTTTCTTAAATGCGCTAAGGTCATCTTGAGTCATTTCTCTGTTCAGGTTGTTTCCTTCTATTATAATTAAGTTTACATATGAAAATCAGTGAGACCTAAGGAACAGAAGATATTTGAAATTACTTGTGAACATCAAACTTTATTCACAGGAAAATATATACTCAAGTGGTTACAACCCTCAGGACATTAGCCTTTTTCTCAATAAATTAACTTTTGGTCATTGATCAGGTTTTTTTTTTCTATTTTTAAAAGCTTCAGAATAAACATCATTCATTTAATCAGCACTTCAAGACATACTCTGAGAAACTTCAGTAGTACAAAAATTAAAAGGTTATTTATAGAGTCATATTAAATATCTGCTTTCCTCAGTAGTGCATTTATTTTTATAAACTCTATATTTGTCTTGAATTAATGTTTGTTTACATTAACTCTTAAAATAATTGGCACTGAACATGACTGCTTAATTTCAGGTGTACTTTGAAACAGAATCAGCATTAAGTTCATATAAGTTCTTTTTGGAGCAATGGAAGAATAAGAAACACAAAATTCCTATACTTACAGTAGAAATTGTTCTATACCATGGAAGTGTTTTGTAGGTTTACGATCTATTAGTTCTTTTTTTAAAATCCTATTAGCGCCAAGTTAATAATAATTGTATTAGCCAACTATGCTTCCTTGAACTTAGGGATGCTCTTTTTAAGTAAATCTACTTACACATTGCTTAAATCACAGGATACATGATGTAAAACCTTGCTTTTTCCATTTAAATGTCCATTTCCCTTTCAAACAACTTTATGTTCCCCACAATAAGAAAATATTTTATGTAAGTGAGCTTATGAACTGAACCTCAAATGAAGGGAAATACTCTAACTTCTGTCTTTCAATTTTTTTTCCTTTTTTGCTTGCTCTCCTTTTTTACAAAGATCTCAACAGCAACGGATTCATTTGTGACTATGAACTTCATGAGCTCTTCAAGGAAGCTAATATGCCATTACCAGGATATAAAGTGAGAGAAATTATTCAGAAACTCATGCTGGATGGTGACAGGAATAAAGATGGGAAAATAAGTTTTGACGAATTTGTTTATGTAAGTATGTGAAAATTCACAATTATTAGAAGTAGTAGATGTTCCCTCGTCTAGTGGGATGTTATAGTATTAAGTACTGTTATGTTAAGTTCTTAAATATATCATATTAGTACTGTTATAACATTTCTGTCATCCTGCCCACTAAATGTACTTCTTTTAGCTGCTGGAATATCTTAACAAACGAATTGAGAAAAAGAGCACTGCAGAAACAAAGATATAACATGATAAGATGTTAAGGTGATAAGTTATATAAGGCGAACAGTCTCCTTTCATGTCATCATTAAAGGGCAGTTATCAAGGTGCTAAGTGACATCTTTGAAGTGTTCTCTCTCCCGTGGTGAACAGTGTGCTCCAAAATTTTAATAATACACCCTGACTCACAGTCTCGGAAGCTTCCTGAGCTGAACTTTCTCATTAAAAAGTTGTTTTCCACTCTTGTGGTAGGGGTATTTAACTGAACCATTCTCTCTAGGATGATAATTTTGATAATTAAAAGTTTGAAGCATATCTTTTCAGTCCATTGGAAGAGGCATTTAACATTTTTGTTTTCTTCTCTAGTTTCATCAAATATTCTTCAAGGTTAGGGGCTGAGTTTTTAATTCTTTCACCCCCCCACCCCACTCCCAGAACTTAGTTTGGTGTTCTCTACTCAGTGCCTGGAAAATGTATACATGGCACATGGTTCTTCAATGCCTACCACTATTGGCTGCTAGCAAGTGAGGTCTAGATTTTTTAGACTTATGCCATTTTCAGTCTGTATTTATTGACAGTGTATTTGAGATACGTGTTAAAAATAGCTGGCTGGGTGTGGTGGCTCACACCTGTAACTCCGGCACTTTGGTAGGCTGAGGCAGGAGGGTCTCTTGAGGCCAGGCATTCAAGACCAACTTGGGCAAGTTAGGGAGAACTTGTCAGCTTGGGCAGCTTAGGGAGACCCCATCTGTACAAAAGAAAATTTTTAATTAGCCCAGCCTGGTAGCTCGAGCCTATAGTCCTAGCTACTCAGGAGGCTGAGGCAGGAGGATTGCTCAAGCCCAGTAGTTTGAGGCTGCAGTGAGCTGTGATAACACCACTGCCCTCCAGTCTGGGTGACAGAGCAAGACCCTGTCTCTAAATTAATAAATTAATTAATTTTAAAAATAAAAGAATAGTTGTTGCTTCTTCCCTCAATTAAGGATACCTTTAAGATTTTATTGGTGTATTTATTATTAATTTAAGGCTGAGTTTGACTAGATCTTACTAGGGATTCCTTTCAGTATATCACAAACTAGTTATCAGTGCCTAATATTTATCACAAATGTCCCAGCGCTCCTATCCTCCTTTGTCATGGTTTATTTTTCCCCAAGACAACTGAAACGATAGCATGTACTTCCATCAGTAACTGTGGCTCACCATAGCAAGTGAAATTTTGAAATGTTCTTTCCAATTAGAATTAACACCTTTAGAACACTGTAGTAGTCCAAGAAGCAAATTGACTAAGTAATGATGCCTACTCAGCTGACAGCATTTTGTGATTGTTTTTAAAATGCACACTTGTCGGCCGGGCACGGTGGCTCACGCCTGTAATCCCAGCACTTTGGGAGGCCAAGGCGGGTGGATCACGAGCTCAGAAGATCGAGGGCCATACTGGCCAACATGGTGAAACCCGGTCTCTACTAAAAATACAAAAACTATCTGGGCGTGGTGGTGCGTGCCTGTAATCCCAGCTACTCGGGAGGCTGGGGCAAGAGAATCGCCTGAACCAGGGAGTCGGAGGTTGCAGTGAGCCAAGATTGTGCCACTGCACTCCAGCCTGGTGACAGAGTGAGACTCCGTCTCAAAAAAAAAAAAAAAAAAAAAAAAAAGCAGACTTGTGTCATAATTATAATGATATCGTTCCTGCCGTTTTCTTTTGAAATACTGATTTCCTCCCACCATTTTTTTGTCTCCAGTTATGGCCAAAGCCTTTTGTTTTGAATTCTATGTTCAATAGTAAGTTGCAGTTTATTTGCAATTTGAGCACTTGCATGTTTTCTGATGTATCACTTGCTCCCCTTTTAACTGCATGGTTAATTGTGAATTTAAAGTAGCGCAGAGCAGCAGTTAACTATGATTGGCTGTTTTTGATAAAATGTATTGCTCAGAATTTTTTAATCTATTAGAAAGAACAGACCAAAATCAATAGGATTTGCAGTGTGTCATTATATTAAGGACAAAATTGTAAAAGTGTCTTTGAAAATGATCTTGGGGAAATTGTTAATTTTGTAGATTTTGAAATGTAGTTTTTACACAGCTATTTGTGGCTTTTAAGGGAGGAGGTGTGATTACCTTAGTATATTCTTTAAAAGTAAAGAACATGCACAATAATTTTGGCAACACCAGGGCTTTAAGAAAACAACATTCGTGAGGACATTTTAGGTTAGAATATACATTTTAGAATTGGAAGGAATCATTATGTTTACACTCCTACACTTTTCAAATGAAAAGAAACAAACTTGGATTTCTGAAAAAGGAAGTGACTTTTCCTTTTTGCCTAACATTACACAGAGGACTAGTGGCTTTTTCCAGTACCTCCCTGCTATTCAAGAAATTTGAAATATCAAGGACAGTAAAGTAACCTACCTGAAGTTTTCAGATGCTACTACTACTATGACTGTATTAACCAAATGTCTGTCCGCACCCATCTGCCTTGTCATCAGTGAAACATCTTACAAATTGTCAAACAAAATATGGGTAGAGCTTAGTTATCCAAGAAATAGAAATCATGTTATTCCTGTTAGATATTGGCATAAGGAAATAGATACAAACATGTTCTTGCTTGTTAGGTTTCTGCTTTTTCTTTGAATTGTTGCTTAAGGGGTGTTAATTGCAAACCAGACTACAAACAAAAACAGTTTATGTTAATTTCAGAGAAATGTCTGTGTGTGTGTGCGCGCGTGTGTGTGTGTATGGCAAAAAACAGTCCCAAAATTATATGTATGTAAACTTTAAAGGTGAAAATTAAATTTAATACCCTGCTTTTTAAAATTCTAAGCACTTCAAAACTAAAAATACTGGATTTTTATGCTTACAAGATAATGGGACTTTTTTTCTTTGATTGTTAAACTAGTATGGCACTTTCAGCAGAGAAGTAAGCTGCCCAGAACAGTCTTGGACATATAGTAAATACTATATAGGTGTTAGTTGCTGGGGTAGTTCTTTCTTTAAAAAAAAAAAAAAGAAGTTATGTTTTTCAAATATTACTAAGTTTAGGCCTACAAGACATTCCAAAATAATGGAAAAATTCAATCCTGCCTCTTTGGAAACATTTTGGAAATAAGCCCCAAACACTGGAAGCCAGTCAATTCTTTTTTTGCAATTCTTTCTGAAATCTTTCTTTCTTAAGTCATATGCCTCTGGATTGTTTTGGTTTGGCCACTCGTCCTGTGTTGAGCTAACTCTGGGGTCAAAAGAAGTTAGCCGGTTGCTGAGAGTCTTTGAGAGAAAGAAGGCGAAACTTAATAAAAGGAATAAAAAACATATATATTCCATAACGGAGACTGAAAAAGATGTATAGATCAAGAGTGGTTATGGCTTCCTGAAAAAAGTACAGCAGGAGTTAGCTCACAGATGATAAAGCAAGTCTTTCCTTGTGGAGAGAAAACAGCACAAAACAGTGAGCTCATTAGTATCACAACGGGCAGCTTTGAAAAGATTCATTGAGAAGACTCCAGCACAGTAGTCAGCCTTGTGCTATCTCTGATTTCAGAGATTTCTTGTCAAGCCAAAGCTTGTACTCAAATAGTTTTATCATCCACTTAAGCGATTTCTTTACTAAAGTAGAAAGTAAAATGCAAATTCTTGTGTAGTGAATCAATATCATAGACACAAATCTTCAGTTCTTTCTTATCATTTTTACTTTTTTTTTTTTTTTGAGACGGAGTTTCACTCTTGTTGCCTAGGCTAGAGTGCAGTGGCGTGATCTCGGCTCACTGCAACCTCTGCCTCCTGGGTTCAAGGGATTCTCCTGCCTCAGTCTCCAGAGTAGCTGGGATTACAGGCATGCGCCACCACGACCGGCTAATTTTGTGTTTTTAGTAGAGACAGAGTTTCTCCATGTTGGTCAGGCTGGTCTCGAACTCCCGACCTCAAACCATCCGCCCACCTTGGCCTCCCAAAGTGCTGGGATTACAGGTGTGAGCCACCATACCTGGCCCATTTTTACTTTTTTAAAACCAAGGGAATAGAGGAAAATACTATGAAACTAAAAGTTTAAGCTTAGCTGGAATAATTTATTTGAAACAATTTAGAAAATGAAGGTCATGTAACTTTTGCAAGACCTTTGAAAATTAACAAACTTAATTACAACTTTGCATTTCATTGCCAAGCATAAGAAGGAGTTTTACTAAAGCTATGTAAATAATTGCATTAGGATATATAGCAGAGACATTCTATATATATGTATATATATGTTTAATTTATTTTCCTTTTTTTTTTTCTGAGACAGGATCTTGCTCTGTTGCCCAGGCTGAAGTGCAGTGGCCCATCTTGGCTCACTGCAACCTCCATCTCCCGGGTTCAAGTGATTCTCATGCCTCAGCCTCCCAAGTAGCTGGGGTTACAGGCATGCACCACCACGCCCACCTAATTTTTGTATTTTTAGTAGAGACTGGGTTTCATCAAGTTGGCCAGGCTGGTCTTGAACTCCTCCTGACCTCAAGTGATCCACCCACTTTGGCCTCCCAAAGTGCTGGGATTACAGATGTGAGCCACCGTGCCCAGCCTACTTTTCTAGTTCTAGTTATTAGTTCGAATTCCCAGACGTTCTCTTTTTTAAATATGAATTAATCCTTTTTTCTGTGACATAAACAAATTTGGATTTATTTTTTAGCTGAAATCATGATCATTGAAACAACCTAAGTTTTAGAAGTAAATGATTCTTGAAGCAGAAGCACTCGTAATAAGAAAAATAACTTTACATATCTCATTCTGAAGCTGTAACACTTTTGTCATTGCAGGGACTTGTGGTATGTTAGGCATGAAGAAATGCACACCTTTCAGATTTTAACTTATTAGACAATGAAGTAGAGTTCAGAAAGAAGTAGACTAGTGACTATTGTCTTTTCACAGAGCAGCTGCGTTGTTATCAAAAGGAGAGCTATAGGATCAAAATGCATCACAGTTAAGGCACAGTTGGACTAAAAAATCAGATTGTAAATAAAAATATTTTAATCATTTGAAAACTGCCTGAAGTGTGTGCGTAAGCTCCATACTGTTGATACTTAGTGAAAGTCAGTATAATGGCCATAGAGCAGGAAGGGTGATTTCATTGGTTGTGTTTAGTATTTAGAGTAGTGTGTATGTGTGTGTCTGCATACATATACAAACATAGACACACACAGACATTTATTCTAAAATTCCACCTCCAAAATTACTGGTAAAGCTAGCACAGAATCACAGGTATGGAAATACTGAGTAAGCTTGATTTTGTAAAATTTAAGTGCTTACTAACTATTCTCTCAAACAAAATTTTATTTGTAAGTCCAAAGAAAGTTAGGATTTAATTTAAGAAAGGTAACAGGAAAAAATGACTAAGTAATAGGGCCACTGACAACACATACAGCAACTTTTCTACCAGTTACTAAAAGTCACTTTCTCTAGATGGATTAATTACAAAAAGGTACCCTCCTGGAAAGACAAAATACAACAAGGCACTCCTTTCGGTCTGACACAGTCCTGTGCGAGACACAAGGCTTGGTTAGTATAGCTTGGGCTGGATTTCTGCTTCTGCTCGTGCCTGCTCTGACACATACAACCTGAACTGTTATGTATATTGTAACCCTGTTCTATGAACCGCAGACATAGGCTGCATCTTCCTGAGATGTGTGTGTGAATACATATCTGTCACGAATGTTAAAGGTCTTTGAATTGCATTTGTTCAGCAACTTTTCCATTAAGTCTTAAGTTTTCTTTCAATGAATCCACTTAAATGGAATTCTAAACGCCATTTAAAGAAAGTTGTATACGGTTTCTACATCTTGCTCCTGTTTTACTGGCTTTGACTAATTTAGCCACGCACATTGGTGGATCAGGAACACATTTGGAATTAGGTACATTCCAATACCTCAGAAAAATATAGACAGATAGAATGTCCAATCAGATAGCTACACAGTACTAGGATGTGAAACTTACTGTGTTATAACTTGCTTTTGTACAATTAGAATGTTCCTTACTGTGAAGAGAAGCTGGACTTCATAAATGCCCCAATAAGACAATCACTGAAAAGCCTCTTTTTGGTGTTTATTCTTGATAGTCATCTATTACTACCAGCTTAACACATTTTTTAACTGCATTATTCTGTAACTTTTGATTTAATGAATTCTTAATGAGCTACCCCATTATACTGTAAAATAGTTTTTTGGTTAAATCATAAAATTTTATCTTTCTTTGCATTAAGAATTTTTATTAAAGTAGGGGGATTCTTCAATGTTTTCTCTCCAGGAAAAGAATAAAGCCTTCCTTGTTTGTAGAAAATTAACAGATTTACCTGTGCCTTTGAACCACATTAGTTTTTGGCTTAAAGTGAGTTCAATGCATGTAGCGCTTAATGTTTTTGACAAGTGTGTGCAATTGACATTCTGGTGCTTCATTTTCAGAAGGGGTATTGTAGTACTTGTTTAGCATTTCAAAAACTCAAGCCCAGTTTTTTGTATCTTTTAACATCAGCTATGGAAAAAATGTAAGTGATCAAGATATAAAAGAATATAAATATGCTTATTGTGCATAGTTTGAAATTAATTGTGAATCAACAAAATTACTTTAATTAATAGATTTTTCAAGAGGTAAAAAGTAGTGATATTGCCAAGACCTTCCGCAAAGCAATCAACAGGAAAGAAGGTATTTGTGCTCTGGGTGGAACTTCAGAGTTGTCCAGCGAAGGAACACAGCATTCTTACTCAGGTAATCATTTTATATGCAATAGGTTAACACAATGTGCTAAGTGGGATGGTTGCTGTAATGTCAAGGACGGGCTCTAGAAAAACATTACCTTCTAATTAAGAATACAGTAGAAGTCCTTTGTGACATGTATTTAGGCTTGAGACTAATACTTGTCATAAAGGCATTATAAGTGTTTATTGTATGGCTTTGTTAGCTTGCAAGAGACAGGATACAATCCATGTAATGACAGGCTTTATTACAGTGCATTATACAGTAATATAAATATAATTTTTAAGGAATTTTGTAACTTTTCTGAGGACTGGTTAACGTGTTCTATTCTTTTTCTTAATTTTGTAATTCCTAATAACCACTGTGTTGCATCCAAGTGTCTGGGTTTCCACACAGAATAACCACATGTTTCTGACACATTAACTTTCAGCACTACTGCACAACTATTTTAGGCTTTGGAGTCAAATATTTAATAAGTTAGAGTATGAACTAATGTCTTGTTATTTAACATAATTTTAGAGGAAGAAAAATATGCTTTTGTTAACTGGATAAACAAAGCTTTGGAAAATGATCCTGATTGTAGACATGTTATACCAATGAACCCTAACACCGATGACCTGTTCAAAGCTGTTGGTGATGGAATTGTGCTTTGGTAAGATGTTAGCTTGTTTTATATCCAGATATCCAAAAATAGCCTTCCATATAATTGATATATTTGTTTCTGCATGCTTGACAGGTTCACCTCAAGAAATAACTAGAATGGAAAATTATCCAGGTTCTGCCTTTTTCATTTAATCTCTAGGTCTGTCCATGAATCTAAAATTCAGCCATAAATCGACAACCTCTTTATAGGGAAGCTCTCAGCCTCCATTTTCTTCTCAACACCAGGCCAGCAGAACATTACAACTTTGTTGAACTTAAGTATGTCAGTGTCTCTTTATTCTAAAGTACCACAGCTTCCAAAAGAAAAAAAGAGGCTACTCTTCAGTTCTCACTCTCCAATGACCTATTTCTAAAAAATGCTTTTGTCACTGCTGCTGCCCCACAGCCAACAGCATCTTGGCAGACATAACACAACATTATCAACACTGCCAGTCGATGTTCCAATTTATAGAGGCAGTGTCACACAGTGGTTAATAGCATGCTCCATAATCAGTCTGCCTGACTTCTTTCTATTCAGTCCTGCCACTCTGAAGCGGTACAACTGTGATCATAATACTCAACCCCTTTGCATTTCAGTTTCCATCTGTTATGATCTCCACATTATTATACTTATCTCACAGGGCTTTTGTGAGCATTAAGTAAATTACTACATACAAAGTGCTTAGGGTAGTGCAACTGACATATTTCAGATAACTATATATATATAAAATATATACATATATATGTATATATATACATATATAAAATATATGTGTGTATATATATTTACACATATATATTTTATACACATATATACAAAATATATATGTATATATACAAAATATATATGTATAATATATATAATACATGTATATATGTATATATATGTATAATATATGTATATTATACATGTATATATGTATATATATGTATAATATATGTATATTATACATGTATATATGTATATATACAAAATATATATGTATAATATATATAAAATATATATTATACATATATGTTATATAATATATGTATATATACGTATATAAAGTATATATTATACATATATGTTATATATAATATAACATTATATATATATATATATGTTGTGTGTGTGAGATGGAGTTTCGCTCTTGTTGCCCAGGCTGGAGTGCAATGGCGCAATTTTGGCTCACCGCAACCTCCGCCTCTGGGTTCAAGCCATTCTCCTGCCTCAGCCTCCTGAGTAGCTGGGACTACAGGCATGCACCACCACACCCGGCTAAATTTTTTTATTATTATTTCTTTACTTTTAGTAGAGATGGGGTTTCTCCATGTTGGTCAGGCTGGTCTCGAACTCCAGACCTCAGGTGATCTGCCCGCCTCGGCCTCCCAAAGTGCTGGGGTTACAGATGTGAGCCACCGCGCCCGGCTGACAGTATATATTATAGTATACACAATTCTTCTTTTTGCAGTAGGGTCATTTTGGTTGTTTGAAAAGCTGATATTAAAAATGTAAGATAGGCTGGTCATGGTGGCTCACGCCCAGCCCTTTGGGAGGCAGAGGCAGCAAGATCGCTGAAGACCAGGAGTTAGGTCCAGTCTGGGCAACAAAACGAGACCCTGTCTCTACAAAAAAATTAAAAATTAACCCAACATGGGGTTGCACCCCTTTAGTCCCAGCTACTTGAGAGGCTGAGGCAGGAGGATCACTTGAGCCCAGGAGTACAAGGCGGCAGTGAGCCAGGATTTGCACCACTGAACTCCAGCCTGGGTGACCCTGTCTGTCTAAGAAATAAGAATATATATATATACATTTCCTTTGTGTTCTGTTTACAAGCAGTGAAGAAATAATTTCCCATGTGTGTGTTTTGTTTTTGTTTTTGAGATGGAGCCTTGCTCTGTCGCCCAGGCTGGAGTGTAGTGGCGTGACCTCTGCTCACTGCATCCTCCACCTCCCAGTTTCAAGCAATTCTTATGCCTCAGCCTCCCGAGTAGCTGGGACTACAGGTGCTCACCACCGCACCCAGCTAATTTTTGTATTTTTAGTAGAGACAGGGTTTCACCATGTTGGCTAGGCTGGTCTCGAACTCCTGACCTCAAGTGATCCTCCTGCCTCAGCCTACCAAAGCGCTGGGATTACAGGCATGAGCCACCGTGCCCGGCCTCCCTTGCATTTTAATATAGAGAGAAGACTGCAAGTTTCCCTCTCTGGGGACTCACCCTGCAGAACTCAAAAAATCTATAAATTGTAAAAATAATAAGAGATAATCATATTGAACTAACTAAGATTTGAATTTTGCATGGAAAGAAGCATGGCTTTCTTTCTGTAGAAAAAAATTTATTAGGGCAGTATTATGAACATCTAATATGTTAGAGCCAGGCATAGTGGCTCGCACCTGTAATCCCAGGTACTTGGAGGCTGAGGTTGGAGGATCCCTTGAGCCCAGGAGTTCGAGGCTGCAGTGATTCGAGCTACGATTTGGGCCTCTGTACTGCAGCCCAGGCGAGAGTTAGACCCTGTCTCTAAAAAATAACAAAATAAAAAATAAAATGTTAAAGTCTAAATCTAGATTTTACCAAATGAGATTTTTCCTAATGAGTCACAGACTATAGCCTACCTAATCTTTCTCTCGCCACTATACTGCCAGCACCAAATATAGTGTCTGGCTCATTGTTGAGGCACTCGGTAAACATTTGGTGAATGAAAGAATCTCATGCTCAACTAATTTTACTGTTTTGTGGAAAAGACTCATTTCCAATGCAGGATTTTATCTGTCTTTAAAATATATTCAATAAAGTTCCACCCCCCACTTTTTTTTTTTTCTTTGAGACAGGGTCTTGCTGTGCAGTGATTCAATCATGGCTCACTACCGCCATGACCTCTTGGGCTCAATCAGTCCTCCCACTTCAGTCTCCAAAGTAGCTAGGACTACAAGCATGCGCCACTATGCCTAGCTAATTTTTTTTTTAACTTTTTGCAGAGATGGGGTTTCACCATCTTGCTTAGGCTAGACTTGAACTCTTGAGCTCAAGCAATCTGCCTGCCTTGGCCTCCCAAATTGCTAGGGTTACAGGCGTGAGCCACACTGTACCTGGCCCAAGTTTTGTTTTCAATATCCAAGTTATTTTCTTTCATAAAAGAATGAGAAAAAATTAAAAAAAATTGAAAGAGAAAGCATGCTACAATCCTCTGCTCAGAGATACCCAACTACTATGCACATATTTTGGTCTTTTTGGGTTTTTTTTTTTTTAACGGCATCTTGCTGTGTTGTCCAGGATGAAGTGCAGTGGCATGATCTCCGCTCACTTCAACCTCCGCCTCCCAGGTTCAGGCAATTCTCCTGCCGCAGTCTCCCGACTAGCTGGGACTACAGGTGTGTGCCACCACGCTGTGCTAATTTTTGTATTTTTAGTAGAGACGGGGTTTTCCCATGTTGGCCAGGCTGTTTTCCAACTCCTGACCTCAGATGATCCACCTGCCTTGGCCTCCCAAAGTGTGGGATTACAGGCGTGAGCCACCATGCCTGGCCAGGGTTTTATTTATTTATTTATTTATTTATTTTTCTTTTGAGACGGGGTCTTGCTCTGTTGCCCAGGCTGGAGTGGAATGGTGTGATCGTAGCTCACTCTAACTTTGAACTCCTGGGCTCAAGCTGTCCTCTTTCCTCAGCCTCCTGGGTAACCTGTACTACAGGCACATGCCACCATGCCCGGCTAATTTTTTTATCGTTTTTGTAGAGACAGGGTCTCACTATATTGCCCAGGCTGGTCTGGAACTCCTGGCCTCAAGCAGTCCTCCTGCCTCAGCCTCCCAAAGTGCTGGGATTATAGACATCAGCCACCACATCAGGCCTTGGCCTTTTTTATTTTTAGTTTTTATTTTCCATATGTGTAGTTTATTATGATCAACATGATAAAAGTCATCTAGCTGCATTTTTTAGAGTACATGAAAGAGATGTTATAGTAAGCTTTAAAATATTTGTAAATATTTACAGCCACTTTATAAAAGGAAATCAGCTCTTTTTTTTTACATCAGCCTTTTTTTAAATTTTTGTTTCAGTAAAATGATTAACCTTTCAGTTCCTGATACCATTGATGAAAGAGCAATCAACAAGAAGAAACTTACACCCTTCATCATTCAGGTATGCATTGTTCTCCCCTCCCTTTAACATGAAATTACTGTTTGAGGACCTGTTCTGCAGACTTCAGCCTCTGCACTCTGTAGGCTCCCAATCAATCCTTGTAAAAACTGTTGAGTGTGGGATTGTTATCCAGATTATACAGACAGAACTGGGACTCAGAAAGGTTTCTGAGCTTGCCTGAGATTAATGTTGGAACTGAGGTTCAAATCCCATTCTAATTTCAAAGCCCCATGTTCTTTTCATTTCATAATGTGTTCAAGCACTACAGAGATAAGCAGAAGTATATAAGCTCTTAATTAACTGGCGTGCTTAAGAAATGGAGCATTTTTTTTTCTATCAAGTGAATATTAGATTATTAGCAAAATTCCCTCAGAGAAGAGCACCTCTTGGGATGTGGACATTGATAACTTCTAAAACTCTTTTGGGCATATGCAGTACTGTTGGTCTCTCACCCATTTAGGCATTTTTGGAATTATAACACTTTACTCACATGGATATATTTACTGTGGTACTCAGCCTTTTCATTTAGTGCCAGCATACTTCAAAAGGTACCAAATAAAAATACAAAGTTAACTTCTCATGAGATTCTGCAAAAGGCAATAGCAATAAGGCTGAAATTTGTCTTAGCTAGGCTTTCTAACACAAAACTCTGGAATTTGTTTTTTGTGACACATATATGGATGAAATTAATACAGGGTATTAATTTCCTCATTGAATGTTATTTTCAGTGAAGGGAGAAAGTAGACTGCTAAAAAATGGAAAGGTCAAGAAGCAAGTGTGTAATTTGGCTGTCTTGCAGGAAAACTTGAACTTGGCACTGAACTCTGCTTCTGCCATTGGGTGTCATGTTGTGAACATTGGTGCAGAAGATTTGAGGGCTGGGAAACCTCATCTGGTTTTGGGACTGCTTTGGCAGATCATTAAGATCGGTTTGTTCGCTGACATTGAATTAAGCAGGAATGAAGGTAATGGAACACAGTCATTCTGGCAGTTGTTTATTGGTTATTTTTTTCTAGTCATGCAGACTTTCGTGCTCTCACTTAATGGAGGTGATTAAATGGTGGTAACTAGAATGAACATAAGGTAATGCTATAGAGTTATTCAGGAAAATAGCCTAATTACATGACTCTCTTCTTTACTAGTAATTCACATTTGTCTGGCACTTTACAATTCATTTTGCAATAATGACACAAAAGCACAGAGAGATTAAGGAGCTTTCCTGAAGTCCTCAAACTTGATTATCTATTTTTTTCTGTTCTGCCTACACAACTTCTACCCCGTTGCCACCCTCAGCTCCACCATTTTGCACCATCTTCTTTTTTG
The DNA here is from genome assembly GCF_000001405.40 of Homo sapiens. Taxonomy (NCBI): domain Eukaryota; kingdom Metazoa; phylum Chordata; class Mammalia; order Primates; family Hominidae; genus Homo; species Homo sapiens. The sequence goes on from NC_000023.11 coordinate 115,635,405, forward strand.
GAGACAGGGTCTCACTCTGTCACCCAGGCTGGAGCGCAGTGGCACAATCAGCCTGGCTAACATGGTGAAACCCCGTTTCTACTAAAAATACAAAAAATTAGCCAGGCGAGGTGGCACGTGCCTGTAGTCCCAGCTTCTCCGGAGGCTGAGGCAGGAGAATTGCTTGAACCCGGAAGGCGGAGGTTGCAGTGAGCTGAGATTGTGCCATTGCACTCCAGCCTGGGCGAAAGAGTGAGACTCTGTCTCAAAAAAAAAAAAAAAAAAAGAAAGAAAGAAAAAAAAAGAGAGAAAATGTAAGATTGCAACCGGGTGTGTTGGACCATGCCTGTAATCCCAGCACTTTGGGAGGCCGAGACAGGTGGATCACTTGAGGCCAGGAGTTGGAGACCACCCTGGCTAACATGGCGGAACCCCGTCTCTACAAACAATAGAAAAGTTACCTGGGCGTGGTGGCATGTGCCTGTAGTCCCAGCTAGTCAGGAGGCTGAGGCAGGAGAATCGCTTGAACCTGGGAGGCAGAGGTTGCAGCGAGCCGAGATCATGGAGGCAGAGGTTGCAGTGAGCCGAGATCACGCCACTGCACTCCAGCCTGGTCAATAGTGCGAGACTCTCTCAAAAGAAAGAAAAGAAAAAGAAAATATAAGGATGAATTATATTTCTGTTAAAATAGGATTGAGCCTTCAAGAGTTAATTGATTAATTTTACTTAAATACAAATACCACCGTGTTTCTAGACTACTTTAATCAAAAGGTTAAGTAAAAGATTCCCAAATTGTAAACATCTTTCCCCCAAATCCCTGACTTTTTTTTTTTTTTTTTTTGAGACGGAGTCTCGCTCTGTTGCCCAGGCTGGAGTGCAGTGGTGCGATCTTAGCTCACTGCAAGCTCCACCTCCCGGGTTCACGCCATTCTCCTGCCTCAGCCTCCCAAGTAGCTGGGACTACAGGCGCCCGCCACCACGCCCGGCTAATTTTTTGAATTTTTAGTAGAGATGGGGTTTCAGCGTGTTAGCCAGGATGGTCTTGATCTCCTGACCTCGTGATCCGCCCGCCTCGGCCTCCCAAAGTGCTGGGATTACAGGCGTGAGCCACTGCACCCAGACCCAAATCCTTGACTTTAGAAGTGTTAAATAAGAACAACTTATACAAACATATGACATAATGTGAAGCTTGCATTAAGCTTAAAGGCCATAACCTCATTTGGTATTTGAAATGTGAAGAATAACAGAGAAAAGAATAAATTGTAGTATTATGTTATTATATCTGTTATATATTTATCTTTTTTAGTAGATTATGAGTATCTTGAAACTAGGAACTATGTCATAGTAGTTTTTGCACCTCTATTACTTAACAGTGTCAAAAGACTGAATGAACTTGGCATGACCATTATTGTGTCATATAATAACTGTGGGATTTTTTTTTTTTTCTTCTAGCCTTGGCTGCTTTACTCCGAGATGGTGAGACTTTGGAGGAACTTATGAAATTGTCTCCAGAAGAGCTTCTGCTTAGATGGGCAAACTTTCATTTGGAAAACTCGGGCTGGCAAAAAATTAACAACTTTAGTGCTGACATCAAGGTAACTGTTGAAAGAATCACAACATTTTGGGGGGATATAATAGCTGGAAGATTTCATCCCAGCTTAACAGAGAGAAAATCCTAACACTGTATCACCAAGCCTTGTTGTCTCTTGGCCCTGAAGGTAGATTTTAGAAGAGTAATAGAGCCAGATAAGGTACATTAGCACCTATGTTTTATTTTGTGGGAAAAGGTAAAAATATTATGCTAATTTATCATATTATAATGCTAATTTGTTATATCCTGCCTATTGGTAAACATGGAGTATTAAAGAATAGGACATGACTATTCTATTCTTAACTGCCTTTCCCAAGCCTCAGTGTACCTGTTAGTAAACACACCTAGAAGAGATAGGAAGGGCCTCATGATTTCCTCTTCACCTTTTTTATTTGGCTTCTCTCCTGTCATTTTATCCTACCTTTAGTTGTGAGTTCCTCGAGGATAGCAATGAGCTCTTATTTATGTCTGTGTATCCTACCTCAGCCCCTGCTCCAGGGCCCTCCTACTAAAGCCAACTTAAAACATAGTATGTGGCATATACAAGTCCCTCATATTTCTTGCATTGAATTGAATTTTTTTTTCACTCACTGTTTATCATGAGCAGTGGGGGAAAACTAACAATGGAGGAAGACATTTATTACATGTTGCCTTTGGCTTCTCATGCAGAGGGCCAACATTACCATAGCAAACATTGTGTGGAGTTCTCCTTAACTGCCTCAATTCTGTGTGACATCCAGATGTTGGTACACAGGGAATAAACTTAAGGATCTTCATCAGATGTCACTGACCAGCAAGGCTGTGAAAACAATACTATGTGATGATATGATTTTGTTCAGTGATGAGAGGAAGCAGTGAGTTGCCTGTACTACTGATTTCATCCATGAAAATTAAGAGTAGCCCCAAAATTATAAGACCAACTGACCCTGCCCTCTCTTTTAATTACACAATATGTTTGGCCAGGTTTGTTGTTGTTGCTGTTGTTGTTGTGACAGGGTCTCACTTCGTCACCCAGGCTGGAGTGCAGTGCTGCTAACATGGCTCACTGCAGCCTTTACCTCCCAAGCTCAAGCAATCTTCCCACTTCAGCCTCCCAAGTAGCTGGGACTACAGGTGCACACCACCAAGCCCGATTGATTTTTTTTTCTTTTTCTGAGATGGAGTCTCCCTCTGTCACTCAGGCTGGAGTGCAGTGGCACTATCTCGGCTCACTGCAACCTCCGCCTCCCAGGTTCAAGAGATTCTTCTGCCTCAGCCTCCTGAGTAGCTGGAATTACAGGCATCCACCACCACGCCTGGTTAATTTTTGTATTTTTAGGAGAGACAGGGTTTCACCATCTTGGTCAGACTGGTCTCAAACTCCTGACCTCATGATCTGCCCACCTCGGCTTCCCAAAGTGCTGGGATTACAGGCATGAGCCACTGTGCCCGGCCTGATTTTTTTATTATTTGTAGAGATGGGGTCTCACTGTGTTGCCCAGGCTGGACTCAAGCTCCTGGGCTCAAGTGATCCTCCCACCTCGGCCTCCTAAAATGCTGGGATTACAGGCATGAGCCATGGTACCTGGCCAGCCAGGTATATTTTGCTTCATGCACTAGATGCGTTCCTGAAAATCAGCAAGCCAACCATAAATGGATTTTATGTAGTGGGATATATTTTAAATGTAAAGAGAAAATCTTATTTTTGTAAATGAAGCCTGCTTTGAATTTTTTTATTTTTTATTTTTTAAATTATTTTTTGTTTATTTTTTTTTTTGAGATGGAGTCTTGCTCTGTCGCCCAGGCTGGAGTGCAGTGGCGCCATCTCGGCTCACTGCAAGCTCCACCTCCCAGGTTCACGCCATTCTCCTGCCTCAGCCTCCTGAGTAGCTAGGACTACAGGCACCCGCCACCATGCCTGGCTAATTTTTTTTGTATTTTTAGTAGACATGGGGTTTCACCGTGTTAGCCAGGATGGTCTCGATCTCCTGACCTCGTGATCTGCCTACCTCGGCCTCCCAAAGTGCTGGGATTACAGGCATGAGTCACCGCCCCCGGCCATCAATATTTTTAAAAAGGAAATAATTGTTTGGTAATGTGAAAACTAACTTCCAGTTTATCTGTATTCAAGTTCAAATTTTCACCTGTAAAGCCCTTTTCAGGGTAGTAAATACAGATTTTGCTGGGTCTGCTCTTTACTTGTTCTTCTCAAGAGCATAGGTTTATTATAAATTGTTTGTGTAGCTTTAGCAAGTAATTGGAAGTGAAAGCACTTTCGCAATTGTAGTACACTATTCCTTAAGAGGTAAATGCTATGCCCCCAAATGATAGAATCGGAGTTGGCATTTTATGAATTGCTCTGAAATAGCTTTCAATTACCTGATTTTCCCCATTCTTAGAATCATTTATGGCACCAAGTTTCAAACTCACCTGGGTAACTGGTTTAAAAGGCACCTTTCTGGGCAGCTCCCAGACATTTATATTTGGTAGCTCAGGAATTGGATTCAGTAATTCACATATTGAGTAACTTCCTCAGGGGTTAGTATGCACATAGACTATGAGAAACACTCCTTCATAGCCTGTCTGGACCTTCAAAGCCCAGTAACAGGAAACTATTAATATCGTAGCTGGAAGGTGGTCTTCACATATGGCAGGATTAAGGAATCTTGACTCAAATTCCGGTCCTCTAGCATTCCAAAGATGCAGGAATTTACTTGACACGTGTGTAAAGGTTCTTAATAAGCGTTTGTGCAAGTACAATAGTTTTCAAGCTGTGTTTTGTGGAGTTGTCCACACAACCTGAATTCATGTTGACTGTGAGCCAACCCCATTGTTTTATGTATTGGGATTCTAAGAAAACAACATTCAAGTGATTTAGTCCAGGGGTTTAAAACGAAAAGAGACCTTTGTTTTGTTAAGTACATTCAGATCATAGAGGGTTCAGTGTTATTTTAGCAACTAAAATGTTTACCATTTAATGCTTTTGTCATTTAAATTTACAATTAAATACATCTTTAACATAGCTAATCTCTTCTTCGTAGGTTGTGGTATATGCATTGTGCTTTGTAATGATATAACCTGTTTATTTTCTCTTTCTTCTATGCTTCCTGGATTTCTGCTCTCCTACTTTTTTAAATGCTTGTTTTGTCTGTCAAGCTTATTGACTTCAGTAATTCAGTGAAGGTACAGAACTGGTTATATGTTTATTAGCATTATTGTATTGATGACTTTAATAATTGCGAAGTCATGTCAAAATCCAGTTCATCCATATGCAAGACAGATATAAGGCAGATAGATGGACTTTTCTGGGGAAAACACCTGTTAAATTAAAAGGCAGAGATTTGTGCCATTTATTCTCAAAAAATCCAATGCAAATAGCCTTCCAAACATGGGACAATAGGATACATTCATTCCTTGTAACTGTGATCTCACTGACATTTTCAATTCTTTGTAGGATTCCAAAGCCTATTTCCATCTTCTCAATCAAATCGCACCAAAAGGACAAAAGGAAGGTGAACCACGGATAGATATTAACATGTCAGGTTTCAATGTAAGTATAAGTGCTCTTTTGAATTCTACAATCTTGCAAAATTATTGTCAATTTCTTATAAGTACAATAATTTTTATAATCGTATGAAGTAGAGTTGGCAATTTTAAGCATTATTTTAAAATGTATTACTGTACATGTAATTCAGAGGCCAGAAAACTAGCTTTGATTTATTTTGATTGTTAGTGAATTCCATCGTTGTTGTGGTATTGATTTATATGGATGGCATAAAATATTCAAAACAAGTATGGGGAAATAAGTAACTAGAAGCTAACCTTTTCCAAGTATTTGGATTACAACCACAGTAATAGATTTAGTGACTATATGAAAACCTTTTCCAAGTATTTGGATTATAACCACAGTAATAGATTTAGTGACTATATATTCATATTCCTGTGTTGAGAGTAATGTGATTATGTTTTACAAACTCCCAATCTATGAAATCTAATTTAGGGAATTACTCTCAGAGACCATGTTCCCTGGTTATGTCACTAATTTGTTTAGTGACATTGGACAAGTTCCTTCTCAAAATTGGATTTCACTTTGTTCATCCATAAAGTAAGGAGTTAGAGTGAACTATTTAGTCCCAAGTTTCTAGGAATCTGTGGTTTTTGTACCCATTAGATATGGAATGCATGCTACTAATTAACAAAATCCACATATCTAGCCTATTATGCCATAGGATGGAGTGGATTACATTGGCTAAACCATTTTTCTTCTCTTTCTTTTTTTTTTTTTTTTTTTTGAGACAGAGTCTCACTCTGTTGCTGAGGCTGGAGTGCAGTGGCACCGTGTCGGCTCACTGCAACCTCCATCTCCTGGGTTCAAGCAATTCTCCTGCCTCAGCCTCCCGAGTAGCTGCGATTACAGGCGCCCACCACCATGCCCAGCTAGTTTTATATTTTTAGTAGAGATGGGGTTTCACCATGTTGGCCAGGCTGGTCTTGAACTCCTGACCTCAGGTGATCCACTCGCCTCGGCCTCCCAAAGTGCTGGGATTACAGGTGTGAGCCACCGTGCCTTACGTGGCTAAACCATTTTTATGCTGCCCTTATCAGAACTGAATTTGTAACTGACTTGTGTGCTTATATTTCTGTCTGTATGTTAAATGCAAAACTCTTCAGCTCAGGTCACTCTTGGTAGGGATGAGGGGCCATCTTGTCCAAGAAGGGAGCTGTCTGGGTTGGCTAGCCATGTGATCTGATACCAGGGTAAATGGCATCAGTATGCTAACCGATTCTGATACACCCCTTCTCTAGTCAATCCTTTCCAATTGATCTTAAAACACTCTTTTGTCTCTTCCCTCTTCAGAATCCGACAAGGATTCTTCTGTTGACTCTAGAATTCAGTCTGAAATGTTCTGCTTGGCACTCACCCTACAAATCTTGCTCTAAAATCTAGCCAGTGTTATTTCCCCAAAAGTCTGTGTTCCCCACCCCAACCTTCCTTCCCACCACCACCCAGGTGCCTTTGCTCATGCTGTTCTCATGGTTTTCAGTGTCCTTCATCTTTTTCAGCTTTACACCTTCTTTAGGGTCTTTTTTTTTTTTTTTTTTTTTTAAGAGACGAGGTTTCGCCATGTTGGCCAGGCTGGTTTCGAACTCCTGGGCTCAAGCAATCCTTCTGCCTCGGCCTCCCAAAGTGCTGGGATTACAGGCGTGAGCCACCACGTCCAACCAAGGCCTAATTTTAACTCTGAACAGTTTTACCTGTTTTTTATTTCAATTTAACTTTTTTCTCTTCGTCTTTGTAATGGAAAAAATCCCTTCCTTTCGTCCTAACTTTTTTAATCCTTCAATTCCCTGAGATTAATCCTTGGTCTTGCCTTCCACCATTCTCCCTACGCTCAAAAGAAATCAGTGGAAATAGATTCTCTGCTTCTCTTCAATTCAAGCAACAGTTCACAAGCATTTCCCTTGGGATTTGAGCATGACATGAATGAAGGTGTCTGTCTTCTCCCTCAGCCAGGGAAGCCTACTTCCACAGCTCAGCACAACTTCCTCTCTCTCTAGCTCGCTCTCCAGCAGTGCCCTCCTTTCTAGTTCCTTCTGCTGCATAACACAGCCCCAGAGGTTCCAGGGTTCCAAGGAGTCCACTCTGTCATGAAGCTCATTGACTTAATGCACAGTACCCAGAAGCCTCAGTGAAGTTCAGCTGAGAGCCAGTAGAAAAAAGGAGAAACTCCAAAGCAGAAAGTAGTAAATCAGCAAAATAAAATAAAATAAGCCAGGTTGAAGAGAATGAACCCACAATTTACAGAAAATGAACACCATTTTCTAAAGGAGACTTAAGTAGGACTACAGTTAATACCCTTTCACATTTAATAATTAATTGAGATTCATTGTAGATAAAGTACATTTGAAAAAAAATTTTAACATAATTCTACTGAAAATATCTGAATATTTAACTTGAGGTGGCTTAAAAGGACAATTGAAGCTGTTTTCCTATTGAGAAGGAAAAAAGGAAAAGTGGAACCAGAGAAAGTGAAGATGGTGAATGTATATTTTTCTCTACAGATTTTCAAACAAAATCTGGGAGTTTCCCCCAACCTTTTACGTAACTTCTTTCTTAATGCAATTTAGTTAAATGTACTCAGTAGTTTGCTGTGTGATCTGGCGCCATCTAGTGTATATTACAGGTACTGCATCTCCAAGAGGGCCAACCTTTTTTTTTGCATTCAAAACAATTTTATAATAAGTACCATATGTTAGCTAAAAGAAAGTAGAACTGTATACCCAGACTATGACAGTGGGGAAATTTTCTATATTTTTAGTGTGGCCTTTGACAAAGTCTTCCGATTTTGTTTCAACAGGAAACAGATGATTTGAAGAGAGCTGAGAGTATGCTTCAACAAGCAGATAAATTAGGTTGCAGACAGTTTGTTACCCCTGCTGATGTTGTCAGTGGAAACCCCAAACTCAACTTAGCTTTCGTGGCTAACCTGTTTAATAAATACCCAGCACTAACTAAGCCAGAGAACCAGGATATTGACTGGACTCTATTAGAAGGTAACTAAAAACCTCAATTTCGAATGTGTGGGACTATAGAGTAGAAATACATAGGCCACAATGATTTTACAATCTAGACTTAATAAGTTTTTTTATATCTACAAGAAGTAGATGGCAGATGCTGAGTAAAAACTGGCAGGAAAGTACGATACAAGTGAACTTTTAAAGTAAAGTAGTCGAGGCCGGGCACGGTGGCTCACAGCTGTAATCCCAGCACTTTGGGAGGCCGACATGGGCGGATCACCTGAGGTCAGTAGTTTGAGACCAGCCTGACCAACATGGTGAAACCCCGTCTCTACGAAAAATTAAAAAATTAGCTGGGGCGTGGTGGCACATGCCTGTAATCCCAGCTACTCGGGAGGCTGAGGCAGGAGAATCACTTGAATCTGGGAGACGGAGGTTACAGTGAGCCGAGATCGCGCTATTGCACTCCAGCCTGGGCAACAGAGTAAGACTCCATCTCAAAAAATAAATAAAAAAAATAAAAAGTAGTCGAGTCGCTTAATGTAAAGCCACTTAGTAAATCAGTATTTAGTTTTAATATTTAGGGTTAGACCACTTTTTAATCCTCTCACCAGGAAAAAGTGCACATATGCATTCAGTTTGACCTGTAAATTTAGCATATATTTATGTTTCATTCATCCACAGTCAATGTAACTGGAACTAACCCCAACTCCTTTCACCTTTACCTCCTCAAGAAACAAATGATAATATATACTAATTTTTTTTTAAGTTTTGGAAAGGCAGAGTTTACCTTTTCCAGATTATATATGTGTGAAGCGTAGTCTATAAAAATTAAGAAATGCAGCCAGGCGCGGTGGCTCACGACTGTAATCCCAGCACTTTGGGAGGCCAAGGTGGCCAGATCACCTAAGGTCAGGAGTTCGAGACCAGCCTGGCTAACATGGTGAAACCCCGTTTCCACTAAAAATACAAAAAATTAGGCAGGCATTGTGGTGCGCACCTGTAATCCAGATACTCGGGAGGCTGAAGCAGGAGAATCCCTTGAACCTGGGAGGCAGAGGTTGTAGTGAGCTGAGATCGTGCCATTGCACTCCAGCTTAGGCAACAAGAGCAAACCTCCATCTCAAAAATAAATAAATAAATAAATAAATAAATAAATAATGCAAATAGTAATTCATTGAGTGTCCACTGATATTTCTATAAAACCAGTAACTTAACTGATAACATCAGTTACTTTGAGGGATGCAGATTCGAGGAAATATTGGAGAAAGATTTGAGAAGGAGACTATAAAAAGTTCATAAACCTCTAAATTGCTTAACTGGTTAGAATAAGGTTGTATTCTTTAATTTTAAAATAAATTCAAATTTTAAAAATAAGCCTGTACCTAGAGAGAATGTATGTACTTAGAAGAATGCTTGGAAACTCGTATTATCGAAAAATTCTAGATCTGAATAGAGAGATAAAATAATCTAATATGTGTATTGGCACTATATGCACATACATAAAGTGTTTAATGAATCAGTAAATTTTGTGAATATTCTTAACAGGAGAAACTCGTGAAGAAAGAACCTTCCGTAACTGGATGAACTCTCTTGGTGTCAATCCTCACGTAAACCATCTCTATGCGTAAGCCTTCCTACTGCTATTGTAAACAGTTACGAATGTCATGAATGGATGTTAAATAATGACAGCTCTAAAGATTTTCTAGATATTAATTTGTAGCTATTATTTATATTGGAAAATGTCAAGTGGTGATTTCCATCATCATTTTCCAAATACACAAAAGCTTTAAGTATTCCTTTACATGATCGTTAACTGTAAGTGATAGAATATATAAATGTCTTTATAGTACCCTAGGGAGCAAATACTTTATATTTTGAAACAGCTGTTTGGGAGGTTGAGGTGGGGGCATTGCTTGAGCCCAGGAGTTTGAGGCTTCAGTGAGCTATGGTTGTGCCACTGTACTCCAGCCTGGGCAACAAAGTGAGATCCTATCTCTAAGAGGGAAAAAAAAAGAAAGGTAAAAAAGAAAGAAACAGAGACCAGGGAATCCTTTAAGTAGACCATCCACAACAACTCAGGGACTTTGGTTCATTGTTCTCTCAGCCTGGAACGTTCTTTGCTCGCATATAGTGGCTCGTATCCTTACTGTATTCCAGTCACTGATTCAAAGATTTCCTGACTACCACCTGCTACTCTCTAACCCCTAACCCTAGTTCCTTTTTTTCTTAATAGCACTTACATACACCCCTAAAATTGTTTGTTTATTGTCAACAAACCAATACCCCCCGTATTGTTTGTTTATCCATGTACTTGTTTATTGTCTATCTCTCTGACTCTAATGCAAGGACAGGGATTTTTGTCCTGTGGGCCCAGCCTCTAGAACAGTGCCTTGCTTACAGTAAGCTCTCAATAAATACTTATAAATGAATGGGATGGTCTTAGCTCTGTTTTCAGCACAGATTGATAGAAAATATGAGTCTTGGGTATTATTTATGGTTTTATATATCTTGTTTGACAATGTAGTGTTACTGTTTTTAAGGAAAGTCAAGTCCCAGCTTCCTGAAAACACTGATTACATTATTTTTAAATCATTAGTGACCTGCAAGATGCCCTGGTAATCTTACAGTTATATGAACGAATTAAAGTTCCTGTTGACTGGAGTAAGGTTAATAAACCTCCATACCCGAAACTGGGAGCCAACATGAAAAAGGTAGATAATTAAGTTGCTGTATATATTTGTTAGAGTATTTTTATTCTCGATTAATTTCTTTTGTTTCTAAAACTCTTGACGCTGAGCTTCTTGAGGACAAAACTGTGTCTTATTTGTTTTTGTGTGCTGATACCTAGCATTATACAAGACACACACACACGTATGCAGATTAAACAAATGGAAGTCTTTAACCATTTACTCTTGTGCCTTTGCAGCTAGAAAACTGCAACTATGCTGTTGAATTAGGGAAGCATCCTGCTAAATTCTCCCTGGTTGGCATTGGAGGGCAAGACCTGAATGATGGGAACCAAACCCTGACTTTAGCTTTAGTCTGGCAGCTGATGAGAAGGTATAGTACACAATTTTAGCTGTTTAGTCTTTACTATCATACAGGTCTGTGATTTAGTCCTTACTGTGTTTAATAAGTGGATATGTCGATAACTACACTTTTGAAATATGTTATATTTACACTCCGAAATGAGTTTAATTAATGAATATATGTTGGATGTTAAGTGGGAGATGCTTCCTTGCAAGTTAGGCAGCAGAACTATGGTTAGTCCCTTTTTTAAAAAATAGGAAGCCTGACACACAGATTTCGGCCTCGTTTAGTGTCAGTGAATTAAAAAATTGTCAGAACAAAATTATGAACATCTTCATGCTCATTTGAAAATAAAGATCTCTCTCTGTAATGCTGATGAAGATCACTATAATGCTGAAAAGCATTCATTATGACTGGGCACCAGCCAAAGCACAGCTTATTTTATGCCATTACCGCTATTGGAATAGTACAAAATGTGCCTACAGTGGGCTGTTGGACCTGCTCATTAAAGCACTGTCAATCTGCTCCTCTCTCACCACTACAAAGAGTAGATCAGTAGCAAGCCACTACTGCTTGAAATATTTTTTTCACATAGTGTGAATCTCTTTCCATGAAATCTTTAGTCCTTGAAATTTAAGGAATATAGGGGCCAGGAGTGGTGGCTCACGCCTGTAATACCAGCACTTTGGGAGGCCAAGGAGGGTGGATCACGAGGTCAGGAGATCAAGACCATCCTGGCTACACGGTGAAACCCTGTCCCTACTAAAAATATAAAAAATTAGCCGGGCGTGGTGGTGGGCACCTGTAGTCCCAGCTACTCAGGAAGCTGAGGCAGGAGAATGGTGTGAACCCGGGAGGCGGAGCTTGCAGTGAGCAGGAGATTGCGCCACTGCACTCCAGCCTGGGCGACAGAGCGAGACTCCGTCTCAAAAAAAAGAAGAAAAATTTAAGAAATATAAAAAGTGGAAGATAAAGCATCTTTCTGATGTTTGCATTTTTCCTCATAAAGTAGATGGTGACGTTTTCTTCTGCTGCCTCTCTTAGATATACCCTCAATGTCCTGGAAGATCTTGGAGATGGTCAGAAAGCCAATGACGACATCATTGTGAACTGGGTGAACAGAACGTTGAGTGAAGCTGGAAAATCAACTTCCATTCAGAGTTTTAAGGTCAGAATCCATATTTGACTATTAAATATTATGTTTGCTGGATAACATCTATCATTTGGGAAGGCAACTTTTGGCTTCTTTGTGAGTGAGAATTAGTGTTGGGCTAATGGCACAATTCTTTACGAATTCACTGGGCTTTGTTTTTGGCACTTGATATAAGTAAGCACATGTTAATTTGTATGTATCAAAATTCTCAGATTTGTTCTCCTTTCACACTAGGACAAGACGATCAGCTCCAGTTTGGCAGTTGTGGATTTAATTGATGCCATCCAGCCAGGCTGTATAAACTATGACCTTGTGAAGAGTGGCAATCTAACAGAAGATGACAAGCACAATAATGCCAAGTAAGGGAGACTGCTAATAGTATGAAAAGAACGCAGCTTTGTAGCTGGACAGATCTGAATTCTAATTCAGGTTCTGCCATTTAAGAGTGGTGTCACCTTGGGAGAAACCTCTTGGAGCCTCAGATTCCTCATCAATAAACTGGGGGCAATAATACTTACCTTAGATTTTATAAAGATTAAATTTTTAAAAATTATAAGAGCCTAGCCTTGTGCTTGGCCTACTAGGTGCTTAGTCGGTTGTTGCTTCAGTGGATTACAGAAATAATGTAGCATGTATTTTAATGCAAATCAGGTAAAACTTTACAAGGAAAATAAGAGCTTAGGGTGTTCATCTGTCTGTCTCATTCTTTTTTTAAAAAACGCATTATCCACTTATGTCTCTTTTACTATACATAGATCATTCTTACTACATTTATTGAATTTATCTTCATCAGTTCCCATATTAACAGAATGCTTGCTAGCCCTCCACAGAAGACTATGCCTTGAAAGTTTCTTGCATTTCAACAATATTCAGAAGGTCTTTTCCACCAGCCTATTTTCTTCTTCACCAAAGGCCTAGAGTGTGACCTGGCTTCATGGGTGACCCATGAAAACCTTACTAGTTAGACATTGAAAATCCATCCACAGTCCTGCATTACCGAACAGCTAAGAAGCATTCCTGCAAAACTTTGGAGTTAGGCACATTATTTCTTTTTTCCTTGAAAAATATTTCTAGCAGATATGACAAAGGTCTAATATCCACAATATATCAAGAACTCTTGAAATCTCTTTTTCTAGAAACTCGATGATTTAATTATCTTTAAAGATTCTGGTTCCAACACACCTAGAAATACTTCACGGATTAGTTGAGATGTGTTCCTGAAAATTTCCCTACCTGGACATCTCAGTTCTTCTGTCCCTTCGTCTACCTTTTCTAGTTTTTGGTCCAGCCACTCTGTCCACGTACCACGTAGACTGTCTCCCCTCTCATGAATACTTGGAAGTATTCATTGCATCTGCCTAACAACTTGGGTTTTGCATCTAGCATGATTTTCCACCTCATATCTCTAAGATGACTTGAGTGTGTGTTATTATGTGTGCAATGAGAATATTAACATGGATTGTATAGACAGCCTAGGTAATTATATATATAAAGTTGGTGCTTCAAGCTTAATTCTCACCTCACATTGGAGAAAAAGAGTGAATAAATATTATTAGCCCCAAATAATAGAGCTTAAAAACCTACTGTAACTTCAAAGTGAAATCAAAACCCAAATCAAAAGAAAACAAAAAGCAAAACTGTTCTAATTGGAACTATCAATATGGAATTTTTGCATCCCAGCATAATAATTATATATGAGGAAATAGATGTCTTACGTGGTGTCCTTAACTGACAAGAATTTCATCCTGATTTTGTTTCCCCCTAAAATAGGTATGCAGTGTCAATGGCTAGAAGAATCGGAGCCAGAGTGTATGCTCTCCCTGAAGACCTTGTGGAAGTAAAGCCCAAGATGGTCATGACTGTGTTTGCATGTTTGATGGGCAGGGGAATGAAGAGAGTGTAAAATAACCAATCTGAATAAAACAGCCATGCTCCCAGGTGCATGATTCGCAGGTCAGCTATTTCCAGGTGAAGTGCTTATGGCTTAAGGAACTCTTGGCCATTCAAAGGACTTTTCATTTTGATTAACAGGACTAGCTTATCATGAGAGCCCTCAGGGGAAAGGGTTTAAGAAAAACAACTCCTCTTTCCCATAGTCAGAGTTGAATTTGTCAGGCACGCCTGAAATGTGCTCATAGCCAAAACATTTTACTCTCTCCTCCTAGAATGCTGCCCTTGACATTTCCCATTGCTGTATGTTATTTCTTGCTCTGTTATCTTTTGCCCTCTTAGAATGTCCCTCTCTTGGGACTTGCTTAGATGATGGGATATGAATATTATTAGACAGTAATTTTGCTTTCCATCCAGTATGCTAGTTCTTATTCGAGAACTATGGTCAGAGCGTATTTGGATATGAGTATCCTTTGCTTATCTTTGTAGTACTGAAAATTTGCCGAAGTAACTGGCTGTGCAGAATGTAATAGAAGCTTTTCTTATTCTTTTATTCTTAAGATCAGTATCTTTTTACAGTATTCTTTCTACATGATCCTTTTTTGTACATTTAAGAATATTTTGATTATATTAAACAAGACTGCTGATTTTGCTACTTTTTTTAAGGGGTCTTCAAGTAAGTAAAACATACATCGTAGCTAGAAGAAAAATGTACCTTAAATTTGCATCTTCCCTCTCATACCCAAGCTGTAAACAATTGAAATATTTTGTCTTAAATCACTTGGTTCAATACATGCTTATTTGTTTTAAAACCTGTATCATCAAACTCTCTCTCTAAATTTAAAATGCTGTTGAATATGATACTTTTGAGGAGAGAGTGTGCTCAGAACTTAGACGGGATTTGGTAGGCCAAGTATGCTAAGTGTACAATATATTTTTTAATTTTACACCTGAAACAAAGAAATGTGGTCACTAAAAATAAAAGTATATATGTAGGAATTAATGTACTCTTGCTTTGTCAAGCTGTTTGCTATAGTTTCCAAGGTATTATGTTACTCTAACTCTGAAAAGTGATGTAATCTGGTAGCAATGTAGTAGTTCAAATAAAGGCATTTACATAATAATTAGTCTGTTCTTCATGCTTTTGTCTCTTAGGAAGTATGCCAATGTTTGTCAGGATTTTTTTCTTTTTGTTTTTCTGATGTATTCTGTAAAATGGTGTTTGTTAAATTTGAGTTTTGGGAGCTGAATTAGAGGTACTGAATTAAGGACAGTACAAATGAAGTAAAAAGGTTTTCTCCAATTTACCAAAATTTCTTTATCCAGTTCCTGCTTTTTTCTTTCTTTTCCACCTCCCTCAGTCTTTTCAATGTTCTATGATATACATATCCTGAAACAGTGGGGATCTGAACAGTCACAGAGGAGAAATGGTTCATAGTAGATCTTCTCAATCTCATCCATATATGACATTTTTGGCTGGATAACTCTGTTGGGGTGGGGAGAAGGGGCTACCCTGTGCATTGTAGGAGGTTTAGCAGTATTACCGGCCTCTACCCACTAGATGTCAGCACATGCCCGGTGGTGTTGACCAAAATTGTCTCCAGACATAACCAAATGTCTCCTGGGTGGCAAAATCATCCCTTGTGGACAATCAGTGCCCATTTAAGCCTTTGTGTGAATGAGTAATATAAGGTGTAGTCTACTGAGGATTTGGTTACATAGAGATACTATATAATACTTTGCATTTATAATCTGAGAGATGGAAAGGCCTTTTTAAATATCACCTGAATTCCAAAGACATAAAATTAAAAAAGGATATATTTGACAACTCTACTTTTGCAAATATATATGTATAATAAAAAAGATCAAAATATAGATAACTAAAAAAGTGAGTTCAGTCTCAGATTATAGATTCTTTTAATATAAAAATAGGATTTATGAGTGAAAAAAAGACAAATCTGCAAACATACTAGGGTAACTGATGAAGTAAGGACAATTACATCTTAAGACCTGTCTTATGCCTTGAATCTGCCATACTCATTCACGTTCATCTTCGTCGAAGTACAAAGGTTCTTCTCTGTAAGCCCTAACGCCTTGAAGTGCCTCTTTAACAAGATAGGAAAGATATATTACATGTGGCCCTTTCTTCAAAAAAGGAGCTGATTTCTTGGGTGGTTCACTATACAGGGCCCACAGCCTGTAGGAGTGTACCATGGGATAGTTAAGTGTTCATATAAAGCAGTGGACCTGACACACAATTTTTTTCCTCCAAAAACTAATTTCAACAAATAAGAATGTGGACCAAAATTAGCAACACATTCAGAATTCTGCTGGGCGTGGTAGCTCATAACTGTAATCCCAGCAATTTGGAAGGCTGAGGCAGGTGGACTGCCTGAGCTCAGGAGCTCAAGATCAGCCTGGGCAACACGGTGAATCCCCATCTCTACCAACATGGTGAATCCCCCATCTTTTCCCCACACACCTGTAACTTCAGCACTTTGGGAGGCTGAAGTAGGAGGATTTCTTGAGGCCAGGAGTTTGAGACCAGCCTGGACAACACGGGGAGACTCCGTCTGTATAATAAAGTTAGCTAAGCATGAGGCTGGGTGCGGTGGCTCAAGCTTGTAATCCCAACACTTTGGGAGACCAAGGTGGGTGGATCACCTGAGGTGAGGAGTTTGAGACCAGCCTGGGCAACATAGTGAAACCCCATCTCTACAAAAATACAAAAATTAGCCAGGCATGGTGGTGGACACCATAATGTGTCCCACCAGCTACTCGGGAGGCTTAGGCAGGAGAATCACTTGAACACTGCGGGCAGAAGTTGATGTGAGCCGAGATTGCGCCACTGCATTCCAGCCTGGGTGAAAGAGCTAAACTCCATCTCGAAAAAAAAAAAAATTAGCTGAGCATGGTGGTGCATACCTGTGGTCTCAGCTACTTGGGAAGCTTAGGCAGGAGAATCACTTAGTTCAGTTGATCAAGGCTGCAGTGAGTTGTGATAGAACCATTGCATCCTAAACTGGGCTGCAAGACTCCATCTCTTAAAGAAAATAAAGATGATATTCCCCCTCTATCCTAATATGCTGAGAGATTGATTTTTTAAATTTTTGTCATGAATGGGTGGGTAGATTTTATCAAATGCTTTTTCTGCATCAATTTATATCATCATAAAATTTTCTTCTTTACCCTATTGATACGGTGGATTACATTGATTAGTTTCCAAAGATTAAACAAACCTTGCATGCCTGAATAAATCCCACTTGGTCAGTGTATAATTCTTATTCATTGTTGAATTTTATTTGCTAATATTTTATTGAGGATTTTTGCATCTAAGCTCAGAATGACGTTAATTTTTATTTAAATGTTTGGTGCAAGTCTCCAGTAAAAGTGTCCAAACCTGGAGATATTTCTTTAATGGTTATGGGGCTATTCAGATTATCTATTTAATCTTGATTGCGTTTTGGGTGGCTTTTGAATTTTGAGGAATTTGTTCACTTCTTCCATGTTGCTGAATTTGTGACCATAAAGTTTTCGTAGTATTTCCTTAATTATCTTTTTAATAGCTGCAGGATATGTAATGATATCTTCAGTTTGATTCCTCACAGTGGTGATTTATGTCTTCTCTCTTTTTAACCTTTGTCAGTCTTGCTAGAAGTTTATCAATTTCATTACTTTTTTTAAGAACTAGCTTTTTGTTTCTTTGTTTTTGTTTTTCTATTTTATTGATGTATGGTTTTATCTTTATGATTTCCATCTTTCTGCTTTCTTTGAATGTGTTCTGCTCTTTTTTTGTTGTTGTTGTTGTAGCATCTGTCCAAGACAACCGTAAAAAGCCACTAACCTCAATAAACTACCCATACAGAATTATCTATTTCTCCTTTCAGCCATATCAGTTTTATTTTGTTTTTTGTTGTTGTTGTTGAGACAGAGTCTCACTGTGTTGCCCAGGCTGGAGTGCAATGGCGTTGGCTTGCGGCAACCGCCTTTTCCGGGTTCAAGCAATTCTCCTGCCTCAGCCTTCTCAGTAGCTGTGATTACAGGTGCCCACCACCACTCCCTGCTAATTTTTTTTTTTTCTATTTTTAGTAGATACAGAATTTCACCATGTTGGCCAGGCTGGTCTCGAACTCCTGACCTCAGGTGATCCACCAGCCTTGGACTCCCAAAGTGCTGGGATTATAGGCATGAGCCACCATGTCCGGCCACACCCTGCTCAGTTTTTATGTATTTTGAGACTGTGTTGTTTGGTGCTTACACATTTAGGGTCACCATTTCTTTTTAGCTAATTGATCTTTTTCTGATTACATAATGTCACTCCTAGTCCCCAGTAATTTTCTTTGCTCTGTATTCTACTTTATGTGATATTAATATAGCCTAGCCATTCCTGCTTTTTAATGTTTACATAATTGTCATTTTCTATTCTTTTATTTTCGAGCTGCATTCATTATGCTTGAAGTGAGTTTCATGTAGATTGCATATCGTTGGGTCATGTGTTTTTATCTGTGTTTTAATTTTTTGCTTGTTTGTTTGTTTTGAGATGGAGTTTTACTCTTGTCGCCCAGACTGGAGTGCAGTGGCGCGAGCTCAGCTCACTGCAACCTCCGCCTCCTGGGTTCAAGTGATTCTCCCACCTCAGCCTCCTGAGTAGCTGAGATTACAGGCATGTGCCACCATGCCCGGCTAATTTTGTATTTTTAGTGGAGATGGGGTTTTACCATGTTGGCCAGGCTGGTCTCGAACTCCTGACCTCAGGTGGTCCACCCGCCTCAGCCTCCCAAAGTGCTGGGATTTCACAGGCATGAGCCACTGCACCCGGCCATTCCTTTTTTTTTTTTTTTTTTTTTTTTTTGAGATGGAGTCTCCTCTGTTGCCCAGTCTGGAGTGAAGTGGTGTAATCTCGGCTGACTGCAACCTCCGCCTCCCAGCTTCAAGCGATTTTCCTGCCTCAGCCCACCACGCTCAGGTAATTTTTGTATTTTTAGTAGAGATGGGGTTTCACCATGTTGGGCAGGCTGGTCTCGAACTCCTGACCCCAGCCTCCCAAAGTGCTGAGATTACAGGTGTGAGCCACCATGCCCGGCTGTTAGCCACTGCACCCGGCCTTAATTATTAATAGTTAGACATTATTTACTTTGAAAGTAATTATTGATATGTTAAGGCATAAGTGTGCCATTTTATTATTTAGTTTATGTTTGCTTGCTCCACTTTTTGTCCTTCTGTTCCCTGCCTCTTATCTTTTGATGAGTCACTTGAACGTTTTTTAAAATTCCATTTTGATATGTCAATAGTGTTCTTGAATATAGTTCTCTTTTTATTTTTATTTTTTGAGACAGTCTTGCTCTGTCATCCAGGCTGGAGAGCAGTGGCACTATCACGGCACCACTGCAGTCTCAACCTCCTCCCGAGCTCAAGTGATCCTCCCCGCTCAGCCTCCCGAGTAGCTAGGACTACAGGCTCATGCCACCACATTCAGCTAATTAGTTTTGTTGCTGTTGTTGTTTGTTTGTTTTGGTAGAAACGAGGTTTTGACATGTTGCCCACGCTGGTCTCTAACTCCTGGGCTCAAGCAATCTTCCTGCCTTAGCCTTGCAAAGTGCTGGGATTACAGGCATGAGCTACCTCGTCCGGCCAAATATGTCTTATTTTTTAAGGACTTGCTCTAGGTGTTAGTATATACATATGTACCATATCACAGTCTATTACTAAGCAAGATTTTAGCACCTCAAGTGAAGTACCTCACTTTCATTTAGATCACTTGACTCTCTCTACCTGTTAAATAAATATAAATGCTTTAAGCAGTTTCTCTACATACATTGAGCACCGTGTTAGATGATATAAATTTGGCTTCAACTCTCAAATAGTACCTTTAAAAAGCATGAAGAGAAGCTTAGTTTATTATATTTACCTCTGTCATAACCATTCTATTTTTCTTTCTTTCTTCCTGGGGTCTCAGCATCCTTAGGTTATAGTTTCCTTTCTCTTTGGAAAACTCCCTTTAGCCTGTTAGCCATTGTTTAATAACAGGTCTTCTAGTAAAAAATTCTCTGAGGTTTACTTCATCTGAGAAAGCCTTTATTTCCCTTTCCGGGACTCTTTTTACAAGGTCCCATGAGTTGAGCCTTACTTGCTACTAGACCTTGGTGAGCTTATCAAGAGTCTAGACTAGAATTTTACCTCTCACACCAAGAAATGTCACATACTTGATAAAATTTAACCTTCTTAGTAAGTGACTTTGTGATCTGATTCCTGTCTAGCCCTGTCTCTTACTACTCAATGCCATTCTCAAATTGTGTACCCACAAATATACAAGCACACATTGTTTACACATGCACACACACACACATACACATATATTTTGACTAAATGAGATGCCAGTAAATTTGAGCTACTTTTTTTAGCAAGAGATATGCAAAACACACATGCTCACACTAACTCTGAATTTATACTGTTGTTGCCTATACCTTGAGCTGGAGTTGGAGGATGAAATGCAATCACGATATGGTGTGAGGAACCAAATGGCCAACAATTTAAATATGCACAAAGGTCTCTCATTTATTCTAAGCAGAATGTCTGCTAATTCTGTAAGAATATATGTGTGACTTGAATGGTTTGCATCTCATTAAATTTAATGTATTTGGCTGATCATTCTCCCTGGATCACACATTATTCTCCAGCTACTGCCACTTTTCTCTACTCTCCCTTCCATAAAAACTTCAAAAATTAGTCTTTACTTTCTTTCTTTCTTTTTTTTTTTTGAGACAGAGTCTTGCTCTGTCACCCAGGCTGGAGTGCAGTGGCATGATCTCAGCTCACTGCAACCTCTGCCTCCCAGGTTCAAGAGATTCTCCTGCCTCAGCCTCCTGAGTAGCTGGGATTACAGGTGCATACCAGCACACCAGGCTAATTTTTGTATTTGTTTTAGTAGAGACGGGGGTTTCACCATGTTGGCCAGGCTGGTCTCGAACTCCTGACCTCTAGTGATTCACTCGCCTCGGCCTCCTAAAGTGCTGGGATTACAGGTGTGAGCCACCTCACCCAGCCTGAAATTAGTCTTTACTTTCTATTTCCATTTCCTCTACTCTCAATCTCTCTTGGATCCACTATAATTAGGTATTTTTCCCTACGTTAACAATCATATAGCATGTATCAGAAATTGTGGGTGCTCAGTGACCATTAAGTTCATACGAGAGAAGAAAGGCTGAATACTAATGAGCTAAGCATCCATTTTTTTAGGTTAAAAAATCATAACTGCAAAGGAGGGAAATAATAAAGCAGAAAATAATAAAATAGGAAACGCATGATAAAGCAGATGAATAAACCAAAATTTGGCTCATTGAAAACCTTAATGAAATGTATAAACCTTAGCAAGATTGATCAAGAAAGAAGAGGAAAAGCGTGAAAAACATTAAAAATAAAAAAGGCTGGGCATGGTGGCTCACGCCTGTAATTCCACTACTTTGGGGACGCCAAGGTGGGAGGATTGCTTGAGCCCAGGAGTTCGAGACCAGCCTGGGCAATATACCTCATCTCTACAAAAGATTTGGAGAAATTAGCCTAGTGTGGTGGCATAGTCCTGTAGTTCAGCTATTCAGGAGGTGGAGGTGGGAGGATCATTTGAGAATAGAAGGCAGAGGCTACTATAAGCCAAGATCACTGTACTGCACCTCAGCCTGGACAACAGAGGAAGACTTTGTCTCAAAAATAAAATTAATTGAAGTTAAAAATTTTTTTAAAGTAGATATGCAGATACAGTCGCTGTTTGAACTGGTAATAAGATATTATGAAAAATTCATGATAGGCTGGGCGCGGTGGCTCACACCGGTAATCCGAGCACTTTGGGAGGCGGAGGCAGGCAGATGGCTTGAGGTCGGGAGTTTGAGTCCAGCCTGATCAACATGGCAAAACCCCGTCTCTACAAAAAATACAAAAATTAGCCAGGCATGGTGGCACACATCTGTAATCCCAGCTACTCGAGAGGCTGAGGCAGGAGAATTGCTTGAACCTGGGAATCGGAGGTTGCAGTGAGCCGAGATCACGCCACTGCATTCCAGCCTGGATGACAGAGTGACACTCTGCCTCAAAAAAAACACAAAAAATTCATGATAAAATTGCAAATTTGAATGAAGTGGACAAATAACTAGAAATGCAACATACTGTAAAAGACTCAATAAGTAATAAAAAATGTGAACAGTTCCATAACTCAAAATTTTAATCTGTATTAAAAATCTTCCAACAAAGAAAAGCATGGCGACCATATGATTTTACTACTGAATTTTACCATTCAAAAAAAATAATAATTCTCAGGCCGGGCATGGTGGTTCACGCCTCTAATCCCAGCACTTTGGGAGGCCAAGGCAGGTGGATCACCTGAGGTCAGGAGTTCGAGACCAGCCTAACCAACATAGTGAAACCCCGTCTCTACTAAAAATACAAAATTAGCTGGGCGTGGTGGCGCATGTCTGTAATCCCAGCTACTCAAGAGGCTGAGGCAGGAGAGTCACTTGAACCTGGGAGGCAGAGGTTGCAGTGAACTGAGATTGCACCATTGCAATCCAGCCTGGGCAATGAGCAAAATTCCGTCTCTTAAGAAATAAATAAATAAATAAATAAATCTCATCTTTAACAAAATCTTTCAAAGTTTCAAAGTCTGGAAAGACAGGTGAAAGTCCCCATCTCATTTCATCAGGGTACCACGTAACCTTGTTAACAAAGCCAGAAAAGGAAAGTATGAGAAAAGAATTACAGGGTAATCAGACTTATACTTGTAAAAATTCTAAACAATATTGGCAAACCTACTGCAGAAACACTTTTTATTATAAAAAGTGATGTGAAGTACATCATGACCAGAGTGGTCAGAATAAGTATTTGCTAAAGTTCAAAATCCAGCAATTAATGGTTTAGAGGAATAGCTCTGCTATGGAATCCAGAGATCTTGCATATCTCCTCATAGACCTTATATGCAACGTGCAACCACATTCTGACCCAAAACTTGCCTAGAACATGGAAAGATAGTCTTCTAAAGAGCTGTCACAAGGATATTTCTGTTCTCTCTCCTTATCTTGTGAGAGACTCCCTATCTTGTGGGAGGCTGCTATGAGCAGTTTTTCATTCAATTTTCTGGTTCCAATGAAGCATGGGATTTTCCACGTTAATCTCTTTTAAGGTACAGTGGAAGTCTATAAGACCACTTAGTTGCATTCTAGAGTCAGCTCTTCAGCAACATAGTGACCTGCCACTCCTGTTGTCTGTTGCTTGGCCCTCTGGTTCAATATTTTCCTGTGGAACTGGGGTTGCACAGAGCTAAGACCATGCCAATTGCTTTTGCAGTCTGTGTAAGTAACACATTGTCTGAATCTTTTAGGGCTCATTGTCTCTTTATTAGCCAAATCTGTAGAAGTGTGATAAGCCTACCTAGCAGCTGTTATCAGCTGGTGCTTAGGAAATGCTTGATTTCTTGACACATGATGATGGGAAAGCCTGGGAGTGGTGGCTCAAGCCTGCAGTCCCAACAATTTGGGAGGTTGAAGTGGGAGGATCGCTTGAGCCTAGGAGTTTGAGAACAGGCTGGGCAACATGGCGAGACCCCATCTCTACTAAAAATACAAAAATTAGCTGGGCATGGTGGCACCAGCCTAGAGTTCTACCTACTCTGGAGGCTGAGGCAGGAGGATCACCTGAGCCCAGGAGGTGGAGGTTACAGTGAGCTGAGATCATGCCACTACCCTCTAACCTGGGTGACAGAATGAGACCCTGTCTCAAAAAAAAAAAAAAAAAAAAAAGGCCAGGTGCGGTGGCTCACGCCTGTAATCCCTGCACTTTGGGAGGCCAAGGTGGGCGGATCACAAGGTCAGGAGTTCGAGACCAGCCTGGCCAACATGGTGAAACCCTGTCTCTACTAAAAATACAAAAATTAGCCGGGCGTGGTGGTGCATGCCTGTAATCCCAGCTACTCGGGAGGCTGAGGCAGGAGAATTACTTGACTCCGGGAGGCGGAGGTTGCAGTGAGCCGAGATTGCGCCATTGCACTCCAGCGGGGGTGACAGAGCAAGACTCCATCTCAAAAAAAAAAAAAAAAAAAAAAAGAAAAGAAAAAAGAAAAAAGTGAATATCTAAAAGGCAAAATTATAAATGTACTTAAATATATGGGAGACGTAGGAGCTATGGCTAAACATCATCTGGATTTGATCATTTGCCACAAGCAGGATGCTATGTGAAAAATGTGATGGCAAGTGTGTGATTTGTGACTCCTATAGGTGCATCCTTGCACCCTGGTGTGCATAGGTGATGAATGTAAGTATAGATCTTACCAGGGGCATTGTGTGATCTGTGGAGGTCCTGGGGTTTCTGATGCCTATTGTTGTAAGGAGCTCACCATCCAGGAGAAGGATAGAGATGTCTGCCCAAAGATTGCCAATTTGGGGATCTCTAAGACCTCTTCTATGAACGTAAAAAATGTGACTTCAAGAAGAGGTGATTGGTGGGTGGCAAGAGGTGATTGTTGGTTGGCCCCTTCCTCCTCCACATCAAGCTGCTGCAGCCGGCAAAAAAGACGGCTACTATTACCAGCAGAAAGGGAGTGGAGCCCAGGGCATCAGGAGAAGTGCCTGCTAGTGTACCAGCACCTTGCCACTCCTTTTTCTCTCTTCAGCCAGATGTGTGGTAGGGATGGAAAAGAATTCTCCACAGAGCACTCTGGTACACTGTTATCAGAGAAAAATTGACAGATTCGTTCATGGGTTTTTTTGAACTTGAGAAGCAAAGCTCTGTTCTCCATATTGATATGTTCACCCTAAAACAATATCTTCTAAAAAGAGATAATATTTCAGTCTTCTGCTTGAGGAGTTGACTGTGAAGCTATGCCCAGTGAAAAACGTGTTCTTGCAGCAGCTCTTGTGGAAGTTGTCCTTGAAAAAACTTTGGTGTGTGGTCGGAAGCTATCAGATCAGGAAATGTGGACATTTAATCTTGTAACACTTACCAGGCGGTGTTGGTTTCATGTTATTTTCCTTCTGAGAAATTGGAAGCCCTTCTGTTGCTATTATATTAATTAAAATTGATGTTTATTTGCTGGTAAAAAAATAAATATGCAGGAGAATATCTTGCTAACATTGGAGGTAGAGAAAGATTTCTTAATACACAAAATTCACAAGCTGTAAATACTAAAATTTATATTTTTGTCTGTATTTACATCTTCTCTTCTACATTTCTTTTTTTTTTTGAGACGGAGTCTCACTCTGTTGCCCACGCTGGAGTGCAGTGGCACCATCTCGGCTCACTGCAAGCTCTGCCTCCCAGGTTCACGCCATTCTCCTGCCTCAGCCTCCCGAGTAGCTGGGATTACAGGTGCCCGCCACCACCCCCAGCTTATTTTTTTGTATTTTTAGTAGAGACGAGGTTTCACCATGTTGGCCAGGATGGTCTTGATCTCCTGACCTCGTGATCCGCCCACCTCGGCCTCCCAAAGTGCTGGGATTACAGGCGTGAGCCACCGCGCCCGGCTACATCTTCTCTTCTTCAAAAGACATTATGGAAATAGTGACAGGACAAGGCAAAAACTGAAAGGATATATTTTCAAATAAACTCCAAAGGATTAGTATTCAAAATATAAAATGAGCCAGGCGTGGTGGCTCACGCCTGTAATCCCAGCACTTTGGGAGTCCGAGGCGGGCAGATCACCTGAGGTCAGGAGTTTGAGACCAGCCTGGCAAACATGGTGAAACATCTGTCTCTACTAAAAATATAAAAAAAGTTTAGCCAGGCATGATGGCTCATGCCTGTAGTCCCAGCTACTCGGGTGGGGCACGAGAATTGCTTGAACCCGGGAGGCAGAAGTTGCAGTGAGCCAAGATCACACCACTGCACTCTAGCCTGGACAACACAGTGAGACTCGGTCTCAAAAAAAAAAAGACCAACTGATAGGAAAAATGGGAAAAACCCAACGTGGGCAACATGGCAAGACCCCATTTTTTATAGGTATATATATATATATATATATTTAGCTGGGCTTAGTGGCACGCATCTGTACCCCAGCTACTTGGGAGGCTGAGGTGGGAGGATTGCTTGAACCAGGGAGGTTGAGGCTGCAGTGAGCTGTGATTGCCCCATTGCACTCCAGCCTGAGCAACGGAGTGAGAATCCATCTCAAAAAATAACAAGAAAAGACAGAAAAAAATGAGGAAAAAATTTGAATAAGGTCGTTATAAAAGAAAGAGAAGGACGGGCATGGTGGCTTATGCCTGTAATTCCAACACTATGGGAGGCTGAGGCAGGCGGATCACCTGAGGTCAAGAGTTCAAGACCAGCCTGGCCTACATGGTGAAACCCTGTCTCTACTAAACGTACAAAAAAAATCAGCCGGGCGTGGTGGCATGTGCCTGTAATCCCAGCTACTTGGGAGGCTGAGGCAGGAGAATAGCTTGAACCCAGAAGGTGGAGGTTGCAGTGAGCCAAGATCGCACCACTGCACTCCAGCCTGGGCAACAGAGTGAGACTCCGTCTCAAAAAAAAAAAAAAAAGAAAAGAAAAGAAAAGAAAGTTTCATCTGCTTGTCTTTGTCCATTTTGTGCTCATGAGAAAATGTTTAACTTAGGAATCAGAGAAATATAAATCAAAGCTCAATAACGTATTAGAAGAAAATGAAAACTCTGAGGCCGGGCGCAGTGGCTCACGCCTGTAATCCCAGCACTTTGGGAGGCTGAGGTGGGCAGATCACCTGAGGTAGGGAGTTCGAGACCAGCCTGACCAACATGGAGAAACCCTGTCTCTACTAAAAATACAAAATTAGCCGGGTGTGGTGGCACATGCTTGTAATCCCAGCTACTCGGGAGGCTGAGGTAGGAGAATCACTTGAACCTGGGAGGCAGAGGTTGTGGTGAGCCGAGATCACGCCAATGCACTCCAGCCTGGGCAACAAGAGCGAAATTCCATCTCAAAAAAAAAAAAAAAAAAAAAAAGAGAGAGAAAGAAAAGAAAATGAAAACTCTGATAATATAAAGTATTGGCTAAGATGTGGTGCAATAGGAACACTTATATTCTCTGATGGCAGTGCAAATTTGTACAACTACTATGGAAATAAATGGACATTATCAAGTAAAGTTGAAAATGAGCATACCGGCTGGGCACAGTGGCTCATGTCTGTAATCCCAGCACTTTGGGAGGCCAAGGTGGGTGGATCCCAAGGTCAGGAGATCGAGACCATCCTGGCCAGCATGGTGGAACCCCGTTTCTACTAAAAATACAAAAAAAAAAAATTAGCTGGGCGTGGTGGCAGGCACCTGTAATCCCAGCTACTCGAGAGGCTGAGGCAGGAGAATCGCTTGAACCCGGGAGGCGGAGGTTGCAGCGAGATAAGATCACACCACTGCATTCCAGCCTGGATGAGAGAGCGAGACTCCATTTAAAAAAAGAAAAGAAAAAGAAAAAAAAGAAAAGAAAATGAACCTACCCTATGACCCACAGTTTCACTTCTAGGCATATACCCTAGAGAAATCTTATACATGTATACCAAGAAACATGCTATGCTATGCTAGCATTCATAATAGCAAAATAACTGGCAACAATCCAAGTTTCTATCAGCAAGAGGATGGATAAATTGTGATTTACTGAAATACTCAAATACCATACAGCAATGAAAAATAACTAAACTGCAGTCACATGCATTACTATAGATCAATCTCAATAATGTTAAAAAGTCACAGAAGGCTGGTTGCAGTGGCTCACACCTGTAATCCCAGCATTTTGGGAGGCCGAGGCCAGTGAATCATTTGAGGTCAGGAGTTTGAGACCAGCCTGGCCAACATGGTGAAACCCCGTCTCTACTAAAACTACAAAAAAATTAGCTAGGCATGGTGGCACACGCCTGTAATCCCAGCTACTCAGGAGGCTGAGGCACGAGAATCGCATGAGCCTGGGAGGCAGAGGTTGCAGTGAGCCCAGATCACGCCACTGCTTTCCAGCCTGAGTGACAGAGTGAGACACCATCTCAAAAAAAAAAAAAAAGTCACAGAAGAATCCACATACTATATGATTCCCTTTGTATAAAGCTCAAAACCATGCAAAACTAAGAATCGCATATCAGTACAGATATAGCCATAGTCAAACTATAATGAAAAACTAGGGAATAAAAAAATTAAGAATAATAATTATCTGGTTGGGGAGGGGCCTTCAAATAAATGTATGGGTAGTGTTCTATTTCCTAAGCAGGGGTCATGGGTGTTTGTTGTTTTGTTGGTTTTTTTTAAAAAAATCTTTTTTAGAGAGTAGGTATCACCATGTTGCTTATTCTGGCCTGAAACTCCTGGGCTCACGCGATCCTCCCATCTCAGCTTCCCAAGTAGCTGAGAGTACAGGCATGTACCATCACACCCAGTTTATACTTTTTTATTATTACTCATTAAAATATACACTTTGGGCTGGGCACAGTGGCTCATGCCTGTAATCCCAGCACTTTTTTTTTTTTTTTAAAGACAGAGTCTCATTCTGTCACCCAGGCTGGAGTGCAACGCCACAATATTGGCTCACTGCAACCTCCGCCTCCCAGGTTCCAGCGATTCTCCTGCCTCAGCCTTCCTAGTAGCTGGGATTACAGGTGCCCACCACCATGCCCAGTTAATTTTCTTTTTTTGTATTTTTGGTAGAGATGGGTTTTGCCATGTTGGCCAGGTTGCCCTCGAACTCCTGACCTCAGATGATCCACCTGCCTCAGCCTCCCAAAGTGCTGGGATTATAGGCGTAAGCTACCACGCACCAGGCCAATCCCAGCACTTTGGGAGGCTGAGGCAAGTGGATCACTTGAGCTCAGGAGTTTGAGATCAGCCTGTACAACGTGGTGAGAACCCATCTCTACAAAAAATACAAAAATTAGCCGGGTGTGGTGGTGCACACTGGTAGCTCCAGCTACTTAGGAGGCTGAGGCAGGAGGATCACCTGAGCCCAGGGAGGTTGAGGCTGCAGTGAAGTGTGATCGTGCCACTGCACTCCAGCCTGGGTGACAGAGTGAGATCCTATCTCAATAAATAAATAAATAAATAAATAAATAAATAAATAAATAAATAACATGTACATTTTGGTTGAAAAAGTCTTGTATATGTGATATTTAATAAAAATTAAAATAAATTACAGTTGATTCTTCCATAAACTAGAATAGTATGAAGCCTCTTAAAAGTTATATTTTTATCAATATTAGTGACATTTATATGTGCCCCCATAGATTGTAAAATCTCATTTTTAAAAGATAAACAGCCCTGCTCCATCTCCTGCCACTGCTGCCCAGGCCCAAGTGGTTCACTGCACTGTTAAGACAGATTCCAGATGCCGGGAACTCGTGCCTCCAATTCCAGATGCTATGTCCAGCAAAGGCTCTGTGGTTCTGGCCTACAGTGGCGGCCTGGACACCTCCTGCATCCTCGTGTTACTGAAGGAACAAGGCTATGACATCATTGCCTACGTGGCCAACACTGGCCAGAAGGAAGACTTTGAGGAAGCCAGGAAGAAGGCACTGAAGCTTGGGGGCAAAAAGGTGTTCATTGAGGAAGTCAGCAAGGAGTTTGTGAAGGAGTTCATCTGGCTGGCCATCCAGTCCAGCGCACTGTATGAGGACCACTACCTCCTGGGCACCTCTCTCACCAGGCCCTGCATCGCCCGAAAACAAGTGGAAATCGCCCAGCAGGAGAGGGCCAAGTAAGTGTCCCACAGCGCCACAG
This sequence comes from Homo sapiens, assembly GCF_000001405.40. Classification (NCBI taxonomy): domain Eukaryota; kingdom Metazoa; phylum Chordata; class Mammalia; order Primates; family Hominidae; genus Homo; species Homo sapiens. Next base: position 115,665,253 of record NC_000023.11, read on the forward strand.
GAAAGGGAAATGATCAGGTCCAGTTTGAGCTAAACTGCTACTCTCTGGCCCCCCCAGATAAAGGTCATTGCTCCCTGGAGGATGCCCAAGTTCTACAACAGGTTCAAGGTCCGAAATGACCTTATGGAACACACAAAGCAACACGGGATTCCCATCCCAGTCACTCCCAAGAACCTGTGGAACATGGACGAGAACCTCATGCAGATCAGCAATGAGGCTGGAATCTTGGAGAACCCTAAGAACCAAGCATTTCCAGGTCTCTCCACGAAGACCCAGGACCCGGCCAAAGCCCCCAGAACCCCTGACATTCTCGAGATCGAGTTCAAATAAGGAGTCCCCATGAAAGTGACCAACGTCAAGGATGGCACCACCCACCAGACCTCCTTGGAGCTCTTCCTGTACCTGAACGAAGACGTGGGCAAGTACAGCTTGGGCCGTATTGACATCAAGGAGAACCACTTCACTGGAATGAAGTCCCCAGGTATCTATGAGACCCCAGCAGACACCATCGTTTACCATGCTCATTTAGACATCAGGGCCTTCACCATGGACCGGGAAGTATGCAAAATCAAATAAGGCCTGGGCTTGAAATTTGCTGAGCTGGTGTATACCGGTTTCTGGCACAGCCTTGAGTGTAAATTTGTCCACCACTGCATTGCCAAGTCCCAGGAGTGAGTGGAAGGGAAAGTGCAGGTGTCCGTCTTCAAGGGCCTGGTGTACATCCTAGGCCAGGAGTCCCTCTGTTTATCTACAACGAGGAGCTGGTGAGCATGAACGTGCAGGTTGATTATGAGCCAATCGATGCCACCAGTTTCATCAACATCAATTCCCTCAGGCTGAAGGAATATCATCATCTCCAGAGCAAGGTCACTGCCAAATAGACCCCTGTACAATGAGGAGCTGGGGCTTCCTCAATTTGCAGATCCCCCAGGTACAGGTGCTAATTGTTGTGATAATTTGTAATTGTGACTTGTTCTCCCCAGCTTTGTTCCCTGGTCCCCCTGAAGCCTGCCAACGTGGTCATCAAAGGGAAGGGTGGAGGGGCAGCTGCAGTGGGGAGCTATAAAATGACAAAAGATGCATTCGTTAAAAAAAAAAAAAAAGATAAACAAGCTAGGCGTGGGGGCTCATGCCTGTAATCCCAGAACTTTGGGAGGCCAAGGCAGGAGGATTGCTTGAGCCTAGGAGTTTGAGACCAGCCTGGGCAACACAGTAAGACCTTGTCACAATAAAATATAAAAAATTAGCCAGGCATGGTGGCACCCATATTAGTAGTCTCAGCTACATGGGAGGCTGGGGTGAAAGGATTGATGGAACCCAAGAGGTCGAGGCTGCAGTAAAGTATTATCTTGATGCCTGGGTGACAGAGCAAAACCCTGTATCGAAAAAAAAAAAAGAAAGAAAAAAATAAATATGTATATTGAAGAATATACAAAAACCTTTTGTTAGTGATTATAGCTGGTGGGGAGATAACAGGGACCTTTCATTTCAAACTCACATATTTCTGTAATATGGGGAAGATTTTAAAAGAATGTTTATTACTTTTATAACATCATAAGTAGCAAATATGTGTAAAAGTCTATCAAGATAAAGGTAAAGGTAATGGTCCCTAAATTTTTTTTTTTTTTTTTTTTGAGACGGAGTCTTGCTCCATCGCCCAGGCTGGAGTGCAGTGGCACAGTCTCAGCTCACTGCAAGCTCCGCCTCCTGGGTTCACGCCATTCTCCTGCCTCAGCCTCCTGAGTAGCTTGGACTGCAGGCACCCGCCACCGTGCCTGGCTAATTTTTTGTATTTTTAGTAGAGACGGGGTTTCACAGTGTTAGCCAGATGGTCTCGATCTCCTGACCTCGTGATCCGCCCATCTCGGCCTCCCAAAGTGCTGGGATTACAGGCGTGAGCCACCACGCCTGGCAGTCCTAGGTATAAATTAATAGGCCTAGGTATAAATAAGTCCATGGTATGAATTTATGCTATTCTGTAGGCGTATAGACTTCTTTTACAATGTTCACGTGGAAAATTATTAAGGTTCTAGGAGTGTCTTGCCTTTCAACCATGACATAGCTTCTTACTGGAACCGCCCAAGCATGTGCTTTTGTGATCTGACGTCTGCCTTATGATCTAACTTGATCACTTGCTGTTTCCCTGTCTTATTATGGATTCCCACTTCCACAGACCATATAGACTTTTTTTTTTCCAAGATGGAACATAGCTCTGTTGTCCAGGCTGGAGTGCAGTGGCACAATCTCGGCTCACTGCAACCTCCGCCTCCCAGGTTCAAGTGATTCTCCTGCCTCAGCCTCCCGAGTAGCTGGGATTACAGGTGCCTGCCACCACCTCCAGCTAATTTTTTTTGTATTTTTAGTAGAGACAGGGTTTCACTGTGTTGGCCACGCTGGTCTCGAACTCCAGACCTTGTGATCTGCCCACCTAGGCCTCCCAAAGTGCTGGGATTACAAGTGTGAGCCACTGCGCCGGGCAATTTTTTTTTAAAAAAAAGATCATATTTTTATTACCAGGTGATATGTCAAATAAGTCGGGTGCTGAGGATGAAATAGGGTTAGGCGTGGTGTTGGGCATCACCTGGCAGACAGACTACATTTACACAAAAAGGGCCCACAGTCATCTAAGCAAAGTATCTAATCATTCTATGAGAAGCCACTTATAATTTTACTTTCCTTTCTTTTTTTTTTTTTTTTTTTTGGAGATGAAGTCTCGCTCTGTCACCCAGGCTGGAGTACAGTGGCGGATCTCGGCTCCCTGCAACCTGTGCCTCCTAGGTTCAAGCAGTTTTCCTGCCTCGGCCTCCAGAGTAGCTAGGATTACAGGCGTTCACCACCATGCCCGGCTAAATTTTATTTTATTTTTTATTTTTTTATTTTTTTTGTATTTTTAGTATGACAGGAGTTCACCATGTTGGCCAGGCTGGTCTCAAACTCCTGACCTCAAGTGATCCACCCACCTTGGCCTCCCAAAGTGATGGGATTACAGGCCTGAGCTACCACACCCAGCCTATAATTTTACCTTAATAGAAAGTTTTATCTGCTTGTCTTTGTCCATTTGCTGCTGCTGAAATGGGGCAATTTATGAAAAACAAAAAACAAAACAAAACAAAAAAACAGAGATTTATTTCTCATAGTTCTGGAGGATGGGAAGTCCAAGATCAAGGTGCTGACATCTTGTGAGGGCTTTGTGTTGCTTCATTTCATGGAGGAAGGCTGAAAAGGAAGAGAGCATGAGAGAGCAAAAGGGAAGGATGCCAAACTCATTGTTTCATGAGGAACCCAATCCTATGATAATGGCATTGATCCATTCATGAGGGCTCTGCCCTCTTAAATGTCCCACCTCTCAGCACTGTTGCATTGGAGATTAAGTTTCTAACACGTGAACTTTGGGGAACACATTCAAACCATGGCACTGCTTATAAAATGTTTTAGTTTTCTTTTTTATTTTATTTTATTTTATTATTATTATACTTTAAGTTTTAGGGTACATGTGCACAATGTGCAGGTTAGTTACATATGTATACATGTGCCATGCTGGTGTGCTGCACCCATTAACTCATCATTTAGCATTAGGTATATCTCCTAAAGCTATCCCTCCGCCCCCCACCCCACAACAGTCCCCAGAGTGTGATGTTCCCCTTCCTATGTCCATGTGTTCTCATTGTTCAATTCCCACCTATGAGTGAGAATATGCGGTGTTTGGTTTTTTGTTCTTGCGATAGTTTACTGAGAATGATGATTTCCAATTTCATCCATGTCCCTACAAAGGACATGAACTCATCATTTTTTATGGCTGCATAGTATTCCATGGTGTATATGTGCCACATTTTCTTAATCCAGTCTATCATTGTTGGACATTTGGGTTGGTTCCAAGTCTTTGCTATTGTGAATAGTGCCGCAATAAACATACGTGTGCATGTGTCTTTATAGCAGCATGATTTATAATCCTTTGGGTATATACCCAGTAATGGGATGGCTGGGTCAAATGGTATTTCTAGCTCTAGATCCCTGAGGAATCGCCACACTGACTTCCACAAGGGTTGAACTAGTTTACAGTCCCACCAACAGTGTAAAAGTGTTCCTATTTCTCCACATCCTCTCCAGCACCTGTTGTTTCCTGACTTTTTAATGATTGCCATTCTAACTGGTGTGAGATGGTAACTCATTGTGGTTTTGATTTGCATTTCTCTGATGGCCAGTGATGGTGAGCATTTTTTCATGTGTTTTTTGGCTGCATAAATGTCTTCTTTTGAGAAGTGTCTGTTCATGTCCTTTGCCCACTTTTTGATGGGGTTGTTTGTTTTTTTCTTGTAAATTTGTTTGAGTTCATTGTAGATTCTGGATATTAGCCCTTTGTCAGATGAGTAGGTTGCAAAAATTTTCTCCCATTTTGTAGGTTGCCTCTTCACTCTGATGGTAGTTTCTTTTGCTGTGCAGAAGCTCTTTAGTTTAATTAGATCCCATTTGTCAATTTTGGCTTTTGTTGCCATTGCTTTTGGTGTTTTAGACATGAAGTCCTTGCCCATGCCTATGTCCTGAATGGTAATGCCTAGGTTTTCTTCTAGGGTTTTTATGGTTTTAGGTCTAACCTTTAAGTCTTTTATCCATCTTGAATTAATTTTTGTATAAAGTGTAAGGAAGGGATCCAGTTTCAGCTTTCTACATATGGCTAGCCAGTTTTCTCAGCACCATTTATTAAATAGGGAATCCTTTCCCCATTGCTTGCTTTTCTCAGGTTTGTCAAAGATCAGATAGTTGTAGATATGCGGCGTTATTTCTGAAGGCTCTATTCTGTTCCATTGATCTATATCTCTGTTTTGGTACCAGTACCATGCTGTTTTGGTTACTGTAGCCTTGTAGTGTAGTTTGAAGTCAGGTAGCGTGATGCCTCCAGCTTTGTTCTTTTGGCTTAGGAATGACTTGGTGATGAGGGCTCTTTTTTGGTTCCATATGAACTTTAAAGTAGTTTTTTCCAATTCTGTGAAGAAAGTCATTGGTAGCTTGATGGGGATGGCATTGAATCTATCAATTACCTTGGGCAGTATGGCCACTTTCATGATATTGATTCTTCTTACCCATGAGCATGGAATGTTCTTCCATTTGATTGTATCCTCTTTTATTTCCTTGAGCAGTGGTTTGTAGTTCTCCTTGAAGAGGTCCTTCATGTCCCTTGTAAGTTGGATTCCTAGGTATTTTATTCTCTTTGAAGCAGTTGTGAATGGGAGTTCACTCATGATTTGGCTCTCTGTTTGTTATTGGTGTATAACAATGCTTGTGATTTTTGTACATTGATTTTGTATCCTGAGACTTTGCTGAAGTTGCTTATCAGCTTAAGGAGATTTTGGGCTGAGACAATGGGGTTTTCTAGATATACAATCATGTCATCTGCAAACAGGGACAATTTGACTTCCTCTTTTCCTAATTGAATACCCTTTATTTCCTTCTCCTGCCTAATTGCCCTGGCCAGAACTTCCAACACTATGTTGAATAAGAGTGGTGACAGAGGGCATCCCTGTCTTGTGCCAGTTTTCAAAAGGAATGCTTCCAGTTTTTGCCCATTCAGTATGATATTGGCTGTGGGTTTGTCATAGATAGCTCTTAATATTTTGAGATACGTCCCATCAATACCTAATTTATTGAGAGTTTTTAGCATGAAGGGTTGTTGAATTTTGTCAAAGGCCTTTTCTGCATCCATTGAGATAATCATGTGGTTTTTGTCTTTGGTTCTGTTTATATGCTGGATTACATTTATTGACTTGAGTATATTGAACCAGCCTTGCATCCCAGGGATGAAGCCCACTTGATCATGGTGGATAAGCTTTTTGATGTGCTGCTGGATTCGGTTTGCCAGTATTTTATTGAGGATTTTTGCATCAATGTTCATCAAGGATATTGGTCTAAAATTCTCTTTTTTGGTAAAATGTTTTAGTTTTCAAATAAAAATCTAGAGACTACGGCCAGGGGTGGTGGCTCATGCCTGTAATACTAGCATTTTGGGAGGCCGAGGTGGGTGGATCATGAGGTCAGGAGTTCGAGATCAGCCTGATCAACATGGTGAAACCCCGTCTCTAGTAAAAATACAAAAATTAGCCAGGCGTGGTGGTGTGCACCTGTAATCCCAGCTACTCAGGAGGCTGAGGCAGGAGAATCGCTTGAACCTGGGAGGCAGAGGTTCCAGTGAGCCAAGAGCACACCACTAGGCTGGGCGTGTTGGCTCACCCCTGTAATCCCAGCACTTTGGGAGGCCGAGGTGGGTGGATCACCTGAGGTCAGGAGTTTGAGACCAGCCTCAACATGGATAAACCCTGTCTCCACTAAAAATACAAAATTAGCTGGGTGTGGTGGTGCATGCCTGTAATCCCAGCTACTCGGGAGGCTGAGGCAGGAGGATTGCTTGCACCTGGGAGGCGGAGGTTGCGGCGAGCCGAGATCGCGCCATTGCACTCCAGCCTGGGCAACAAGAGAGAAACTCCGTCTCAAAAAAAAAAAAAAAAAAAATCACACCACTGCACTCCAGCCTGGGTGACAGAGTGAGACTCTCTCTCAAAAAAAAAAAAAAAAAAAAAAAAAAAAAAAAAAAAAGAAAAGAAAAGAAAAGAAAAAATCTAGAGACTAAACTTCTCTGATGATGAGTTCTTTGATGTTGCTAACTTTACTGAGTCACAATGTATTCAACACAATTGTGAGGCAGAGGAGAAAATTTAGGATACCAGGTGGTCCCTCATGCTCAAGTTCAGCCTGCTATGGAAGCCTTCAATTAAATTTCTAACAGTCTTTCCAGACTTGAAAATACTCATTCATGCATGATATTTAACACTTTTTAAATAATGATTTGAGGTTGTATAGATGTTACAACTTTGGAAGATAACTCAGTTCAGTAAGAGTGGAAAAAAGTCTTTGCTTTTGACATTATAAAAGTAGAAAAAAAGAGAGCAGCAGATCTCCCAGCATGGTGCTCGAGCTCTGCTAATGGACAGACAGCCTCCTCAAGTGGCTCCTTGACGCCCATGCCTCCTGACTAGGAGACACCTCCCAGCAGGGGTTGACAGACATCTCATACAGGAGAGCTCCGGCTGGCATCTGGCAGGTGCCCCTCTGGGGTGAAACTTCCAGAGGAAGGAACAGGCAGCAATTGTCTGCATGGAGGAGCACGTTCTGCAACCTCTGCTGGTGATACCCAGCAAAACAGGGTCTGGAGTGGACCTCCAGCAAACTCCAGGAGACCTGCAGCAGAGGGGCCTGACTGTTAGAAGGAAAACTAACAAACAGAAAGGAATACCATCAACATCAACAAAAAGGACATCCACACAAAAACCCCATCCGAAGGTCACCAACATCAAAGGCCAAAGGTAGATAAATCCATGAAGATGAGAAAAAACCAGTGCAAAAAGGCTGAAAATGCCAAAACCCAGAATGCCTCTACTCCTCCAAAGGATCACAACTCTATGCCAGCAAGGGGGCAAAACTGGACGGAGAATGAGTTTGATGAATTGACAGAGGTAGGCTTCAGGAGGTGGGTAATAACAAACTCCTCCAAGCTAAAGGAGCACGTCCTAACCCAATGCAAGGAAACTAAGAACCTTGAAAAAAGGTTAGATGAATTGATAACTAGAATAATTAGTTTAGAGAAGAACATAAGTTACCTGACGGAACTGAAAAACACAGCACGAGAACTTTGTGAAGCATACAGAAGTATCGATAGCTGAATCATCAAGTAGAAGAAAGGATATCAGAGATTGAAGATCAACTTAATGAAATAAAGCATGAAGACAAGATTAGAGAAAAAAGAATGAAAAGGAAAGAACAAAGCCTCCAAGAAGTATGGGACCATGGAAAAGATCAAACCTACGTTTGACTGGTGTACCTGAAAGTGACTGGGAGAATGGAAGCAAGTTCGAAAACACTCTTTAGGATATTATCCAGGAGAACTTCCCCAACCTACCAACACAGGCCAAAATTCAAATTCAGGAAATACAGAGAACACCACAAAGATACTCCTTGAGAAGAGCAACCCCAAGACACATAATTGTCAGATTCACCAAGGTTGAAATGAAGGAAAAAATGTTAACGGCAGCCAGAGAGAAAGGTCGGGTTACCCACAAAGGGAAGCCCATCAGACTAACAGCAGATCTCTTGGCAGAAAACCTACAAGCCAGAAGAGAGTGGGGGCCAATATTCAACATTCTTTTTTTTGTGTGTGTGAGACAGAGTTTCGCTCTTGATGCCCAGGCTGGAAAGAAATGGCGCAATTTTGGCTCACCACAACCTCCACCTCCTGGGTTCAAGTGATTCTCCAGCCTCAGCCTCCCGAGTAGCTGGGATTACAGGCATGTGCCACCACGCCCAGCCAATTTTGTATTTTTACTGGAGACAGGGTTTCTCCATGTTGGCCAGGCTGGTCTCAAACTCCCAACCTCAGATGATACACCTGCCTCAGCCTCCCAAAGTGCTGGGATTACAGGCGTGAGCCACCGTGCCAGGCTAATATTCAACATTCTTAAAGAAAACAATTTTCAACCTAGAATTTCATATCCAGCCAAACTAAGCTTCATAAGTGAAGGAGAAATAAAATCCTTTACAGACAAGCAAACGCTGAGAGATTTTGTCACCACCAGGCCTGCCTTACAAGAGCTTCTGAAGGAAGCACTAAACATGAAAAGGAACAACCAGTACCAGCCACTGCAAAAACATACCAAATTGTAAAGACCATTGACACTATGAAGAAACTGCATCAACTAACAGTCAAAATAACCAGCTAGCATCATAATGACAGGATGAAATTCACACATAACAATATTAACCTTAAATGTAAATGAGCTAAATGCTCCAATTAAAAGACACAGACTGACAAATTGGATAAAGAGTCAAGACCCATCGGTGTGCTGTATTCAGGAGACCCATCTCACATGCAAAGACACACATAGGCTCAAAATAAAGGGATGGAGGAATATTTACCAAGGAAATGGAAAGCAAAAAAAGCAAAGGTTGCAATCCTAGTCTCTGATAAAACAGACTTTAAACCAACAAAGATCAAAAAAGACAAAGAAGGGCATTACATAATGGTAAAGGGATCAATTCAACAAGAAGAGCTAACTATCCTAAATATGTATGCACCCAATACAGGAGCACCCAGATTCATAAAGCAAGTTCTTAGAGACCTACAAAGAGACTTAGACTGCAACACAATAATAGTGGGAGACTTTAACACCCCACTGTCAATATTAGACAGATCAATGAGACAGAAAATTATAGTCCTGAGCCACTGCACCTGGCCTCTCATGGGTTTCAAGAGCAGAGGAGACTGCACTCTTACTGATGGATCCAGTGAACAAAAGGTTGGAAACACTCTTCATTTTGATTATTTAGACTGTGGATCCAGCCATCAGTCCCATAAATTTCTTTGGCACAGAGAGGGGAGATGGCTGTGACCATATCCATTGCCTCCCAGGTATGAGACACAGGTACTGGAAACTATTGATTCTAGTTAAAATGCCCCAATATACCTTAGGAAAGGTTAGAAAGGTGAGCCTGGTCTTAGTAAAAGAGGTTATTGGACTAGGAGCCGACAATGGTAATTTTTACATCAGGTGATAGAGACTATGAAATGCAAGATGGCATCTAATGATGAACAGAAACAATAATGTCCTGGAAAAGGGGAAATTCAGTGAATTACCACATCCAAAGTGCAAGAAACCAATAACAATGTAAAATGAAACAGTACTAGAGCAAAATGATATAAGCCATTCGTAAATTGATTGGGTAAAAATGATATATTATGATTGCCTGGAACTGTGGATTCTGTTGGCTAAATTATAACCATAGAACGAATTTTTTTTTTTGAGATGTAGTCTCACTCTGTCACCAGGCTGGAGTGCAGTGGCGTGATCTTGGCTCACCACAACCTCCGACTCCCGGGTTCAAGCGGGAGGAGGCTCCCTGCCTCAGCCTCCTGAGTAGCTGGGACTACAGGTGCATGCCACCACACCTGGCTAATTTTTTTTTTTTTGTATATTAGTAGAGATGGGGTTTCACCATGTTGACCAGGATGGTCTTGATCTACTGAACTTGTGATCTACCCGCCTCGGCCTCCCAAAGTGCTGGGATTACAGGCGCGAGCCACCACGCCAAGCCATGGAACCAATTTTTCAAGTGAAATTTTACTTAGAGGTCTGTTACGGACTAAATATTTGTATCCCCTCAAAATTTATAAGTTAAAAGCCGAAACACCTCCCTGCCATATGATGGTATTAGGAGGTAGGACCTTGGCAGGTAATTCGGTTTAGATGAGAACATGAGGGTGGAGCCCCCATCCTGGGATTAATGCCCTTAAAAGGATAAGACATGAGGTCTCTCTCTCTCTCTCTGTGTCTCTCTTTCTCCCTCTCTGCTCTTTCTACATCAACTATGTGAGAATTCAGCAAGAAGATGACCTTCTGCAAACCAAGAGGGGGCTCTCACTAGGACCCAAATTGGTTAGTACTTTTTGTTGTTGTAGATATGGGGTCTCTCGATGTTGTCCTGGCTAGTCTCAAATTCCTGGCCTCAAGTGATCTTCCTGCCTCACCTCCCAAAGTTTTGGGATTACAGGCATGAGACACCATGCCCAGCCTGGCTAGCACTTTGTTCTTGAATTTTTCCAGCCTCCGGAACTGTGAGAAATAAAATTCTGTTATTTAAGCTACCCAGTCTACGGTACGTTATTATAGCAGCCTGAGCTAAGACATGGTCTCATATAGAAAAGCCAAATTCAGGTCAGGCATGGTGGCTCACGCCTGTAATCCCAGCACTTTGGGAGGCTGAGGCAGGTGGATCACCTGAGGTCAGGAGTTCGAGACCAGCCTGACCAACATGGCGAAACTCCGTCTCCACTAAAAATACAAAAAAAATTAGCCGGGCATGGTGGCACGACTATAATCCCAGCTACTCAGGAGGCTCAGGCCTTCTGAATCGCATGAACCCAGGGGGCAGAGGTTGCAGTGAGCTGAGTTCGTGCCACTGCACTCCAGCCTGGGTGATAGAGCAAGAGTCTGTCTCAAAAAAAAAAAAAAAAAAAAAGAAAGAAAGAAAAAGAAAAAAAAGAAAGAAAAGAAAAGCCAAATTCTAATCTTTGGATAGGTTTGAGAAAAGTGCCTAGGAGGTGCAGAAGAGAAGACCCTAAAGGCATATTTTCAGCTATGTGACAGAAGTGGTTTGAAGGCTTACAATACCCTGGATGGACAATACCCAACTCTCTGGCCTTCAATGTATATTTGGACTTCCCAGAACCACCATGGCATGAGTGGCTGTTAGTAGTGCCTGGAACTACATGCCACAGTAACAGGGAATCAAATAGTGTCTGGTGTATACCTCAGGAGTCTCTTGGGCATTTAGTCCAGAAAGCCTTATAACCTCTAGGAATTCTTACATAAACTAAATAGTTTCCAAACAAAAATAAAGAAGCAGCTTGGGTACGGTGGCTTACACCTGTAATTCCAGCACTTTGGGAGGCTGAGGCGGTGGATCACTTGAGGTCAGGAGTTCAAGACCAGCCTGGCCAACATGATGAAACCTTGTCTCTAATAAAAATATGAAAGTTAGCCAGGTGTGGTGGTGCAAGCCGGTGGTCCCAGCTACTCAGGAGGCTGAGGAGGGATAATCGCTTGAACCTGGGAGGCGGAGGTTGCAGTGAGCCTAGATCATGCCACTGCACTCCAGCCTGGGTGACAGAGCAAGATTCTGTCTGAAAAAAATAAAAAATAAAAAAATAAAGGAGAAGACCCTGAAAAAGGTTCATAATTGCATGTTGTAATGATTTTGTTGTTTTAGTTTTTAAAGGGAAAGAAAATGGCTTCTCACTACTAGTTTTCTTGTATTTTATGTGTAGTGGTGGCCTTGATTTGATGTTGTCCTAGTAAGCAGCTGGCCAGAATTTCCATCTTCTCTCCATTGCTTTCAGTATTCCTGTGCTCCTGAGGTGGATTTGGTCTCTATATTCCTCTTCATTATGGCTGCAGTGGATGGAATCAGAGAAGAAACTGCTGAGGAAATACTTCCCTGGCATTCGATGTGAAGGATGAGAGTTCTGTATAGAAGAGTGTCATTATTGCCGTGGCCAACTGAATAAGGAAGGAGGTTTTGGTTTAAATGTGTGTGTATGTCTGTGGATACACACACATAGTACAAAAAGGCCAAGAAGAAGATAAACCAACATATTGCTAGTGGTTACCTCCAGGTGATAGGTTTAGAGATCATTTTTCATAATATATTTTATTATATTATTAATATATGGGCCAGGCACAGTGGTTCATACATGTAATCCCAGCAATTTAGGAGGCTGATGTGGGGGGATCGCTTGAGCCCAAGAGTTCAAGACCAGCCTGGGCAACAAAGCAAGACCTCATCTCTACAAAAAATGTAAAAATTAGCTGAGTGTGGTGCTACACACCTATGGTCCCAGCTACTCAAGAGACTGAAGCAGGAGGATTGCTTGATCCTAGGAGTTTGAAGCTGCAGTGAGCCGTGATTGTGCCACTGCACTCCAGCCTGGGAAACAAAGTTAGACTCTGTCTCAAAAACAAGAACAGGCCAGGCGCGGTGGCTCATGCCTGTAATCCCAGCACTTTGGGAGGCCGAGACGGGCAGATCACGAGGTCAGGAGATCGAGACCATCCTGGCTAACACGGTGAAAGCCCGTCTCTACTAAAAATACAAAAAAATTAGCAGGGTGTGGTAGCAGGCACCTGTGGTCCCAGCTACTCGGGAGGCTGAGGCAGGAGAATGGCGCGAACCAGGGAGGCGGAGCTTGCAGTGAGCTGAGATTGCGCCGCTGCACTCCAGCCTGGGCGACAGAGCAAGACTCTGTCTCAAAAAAAAAAAAAAAAAAAAAGAACAAATACATATATATTTGCATATATATGCATCATGTTCATAATAAGATAAAAGCAATCATTGCTTATTTAATGGAAATAGGTCCTCTGCTCTTTATATACCTATATATATCTTCCTGGGAACACTGCATGGAAAGGTACACAAAAAGGACCAATGAGGTGGAAATGACAACCCCTTACTGGGAAACAAATAGCATTTGTACAAAATTTTTATAATAAACCATTAAACACCAGGTATAGAGGCTTGCAGTGACTCATGAGGAATTTATCAGATTTCGTTCGTTTTGCAAAATGTCCCTAAGTGAAGAACTTTAAACTTCAGTCTTCTTCCTCTCTTGTCACTTTTTATTCAACATTCTTCATGTAGACTGGGCATGGTGGCTCACACATGTGATCCCAGGGCTTTGGCAGGCTGAGGTGGGAGGATTACTTGAGTGCAGGAATTCAAGACCAACCTGGGCAACACAATGAGACCCGATCTCTAAAAAAAAATTCTTTTAATTAGTCAGACATGGTGGTGCACAACTGTAGTCCCAGCTACTTGGGAGGCTGAGGAGAGAGGATCACTTGAGCCTAGGAGTTCAAGGCTTCACTGACCTGTGATCATGCCACTGCAGTCCAGCCTGAGTGACAGAGCAAGACCCTGTCTAAAAAAAAACAAAAGAAGGTACTTCATGTGGATGAAGTTTTCAAAGTCATATTTTCTGTCATGTCTTCTGTTAAAACATGTTTTATTAACAGTTAATTAATTAAATAATATTGAGTACTTTCCTGTCCCAGGCTTTTTGTCTAAGGCCTGAATAAGATGAATGAGATATGTTCTTTTCTTTGAGTTCTAGAGTAGTGTAGGACTCTAGAGGGACACAAACACCATGAAATAAAGTGTTTTGATGGAAGTTTATAGCAGGTAGGAGCACAAAGTCAGAAAGGGTACACTTTGACAGTGGTGGAATGAGCGTGGGATGGGTAGGTGATGGTGAGCAAGGTCCTCGATGTGAAAGTGATGCTTTAGCTTTAGTTTTATTACAAGTTTGACTGGAAGTTAATAGGGCCCAGAGAGGTTAAAACAAAATTCTGCAGATTTGTTCTTGTCCGGATTTCACCCGGGTTTGCTCTCTGGCTTAAAATCCTATTTCAACAGCATGATATGTTTGTGCTCACTTTGGCAGCACATATTCACCCCACCCCGCCTCCCAAAAAATACAAACGAACCATGATATGTTCATTAGATTTCACAAAAGGGGCTCCTTGTAAGTCTTGACAGCTTATACTTAAAATGCATGTAACATATCACCAATAAAACAGCATCACCAATTTTTTCTATCACAGTGATGGGAAAGAAAAAAATAATCCCGGACATGTAGGAGTTGGCGTGGCACTCACAGCTAGACTTTGTTGTTCTCCCGTGAGCATAAACAATTTCAAAGAGTACCAACATCCGGCAAGGTCCCTCTGTGATGGTAATGAAGTGAGACAAAAAGGAGGACCACTGCATAATCATGTCTGAACACAGACAAAACACGTTCAAGCCACAGAAATTAACAAATATCCCCCTCTCCTGGCTAATGTGAGTGATTGCTACTGCTTTTTGCTTTTATTACGAGGTGGGGGGCGAATTACAGCTTTAGCCTTAGTATAATCTAGCATGGTTTTATATCATTGACTGTAAATATTTCTTGTTTTTAGATATTTATGACTTACACCTTTTCTCCTTTAACAGTTATTCTTGATTTTGCCTTTCCTGAATTCACGATCTAAATTCAAAATTATAAAACTATTAAGATGTCTTTTTTTTTTTTTTTTTTTTTTTTTTGAGACGGAGTCTCGCTCTGTCACCCAGGCTGGAGTGCAGTGGCGCAGTCTCGGCTCACTGCAAGCTCCGCCTCCCGGGTTCACGCCATTCTCCTGCCTCAGCCTCTCCGAGTAGCTGGGACTACAGGCGCCCGCCACCACGCCCGGCTAATTTTTTTTTTATTTTTTTTAGTAGAGACGGGGTTTCACCGTGGTCTCGATCTCCTGACCTCGTGATCCACCCGCCTCGGCCTCCCAAAGTGCTGGGATTACAAGCGTGAGCCACCGCGCCCGGCCAGATGTCTTTTATACCTAAACCATATTTTGGGTTCCTAAAATGTTCATCAGGTAATAATAATAGGCTGAATGTTTATGTCTCCCCAAAATTCATATGTCGAACTCTGAACCGCCAACATGATGGTATTAGGAGGTGGAGCCACTGGGAGGCAGTTAAGCCATGACGGTGGAGACCTCACGAATGGGATTAGTACGCTTATCAAAGGGACTCCCAGAGAGCTCTCTCTCCCTCTTTCTGCCATGTGACACAAGAAGTCAGCGATATGCAGGCGGGCCGGGCGCGGTGGCTCATGCCTGCAATCCCAGCACTTTGGGAGGCCGAGGCGGGCGGATCACAAGGTCAGGAGATCGAGACCATGGTGAAACCCCGTCTCTACTAAAAATACAAAAAAATTA
The DNA here is from genome assembly GCF_000001405.40 of Homo sapiens. Lineage (NCBI taxonomy): Eukaryota > Metazoa > Chordata > Mammalia > Primates > Hominidae > Homo > Homo sapiens. The sequence continues at coordinate 115,680,606 of NC_000023.11, forward strand.
GCTGGGCGCAGTGGCGGGTGCCTGTAGTCCCAGCTACTGGGGAGGCTGAGGCAGGAGAATGGCGTGAACCCGGAAGGCGGAGCTTGCAGTGAGCCGAGATTGTGCCACTGCACTCCAGCCTGGGCGACAGAGTGAAACTCCGTCTCAAAAAACAAAAAGAAGTCAGCAATATGCAACCTGGAAGAGAGCCCTAACAATAACCAACCATACCTGCTCGTTGCAGTGGCTCATGCATGTACTCCCAGCACTTTGGGAAGTCGAGGCAGGAGGATCCCTTGAGCCCAGGAGTTGGATACCAGTCCTGGCAACATAGGGAGACCCTGTCTCTACAAAAAAAAAAAAAAAAAAAATTTAGCCGGACGTGGCGGCACACACTTGTAGTCCCAGCTACTTGAGAGTCTGAGGTGGGAGGCTTGGTTGGGCCTGGGAGGTGGAGGCTGCAGTGAGCCATGATCTTGACACTGCACTCCAGCCTGAGCAACAAAGAAAGACCCTGTCTTCCAACCAAGCTGGTACCCTGATCTCGGACTTTCAGCCTCTAGCACTGTGAGAAATAAATTTCTGTTGTTTATAAGCCACCACTCTATGATACTTTGTTATAGCAGCTCTAAGTAACACAAAGATTTGTTCCTCAATCCTATAAAAGATAATAAGAGTAAATTTATCCAACTATTAAGTAAAAGCTGTTATGAGAGCTTTTCTCTGCTAAACTTAGTAATAATGGTGGTGGTAATAATGATAATAATAAACTTTACAAATCTAAAGAGTTTAACTTAAGTTAATCATACATAAAGAAAATATGGCCAGGCGCAGTGGCTCAGGCCTGTAATCCCAGCACTTTGGGAGGCTGAGGTGGGCGGATCACTTGACTCAGGAGTTTGAGATCAGCCTGGGCAACATGGCAAAACCCCATCTCTACCAAAAATGCAAAAAAATTAGCCGGGCAAGGTGGCATGCACCTGTAGTCCCAGCTACTTGGGAGGCTGAGACATGAGAATCACTTGAGCCTGGAAGGCAGAGGTTGAAGTGAGCTGAGATCGCGCCACTGCACTCCAGCCTGGGCAACAGAGCCAGACCCCATCTCAAGAAAAAAAAAAAGAAAGAAAAGAAAAGAAAATATGATAATTAAATATTCCTTCCTTTACCAGAAAAAGTAAAACTCCATGGTGGCTTACCTCTTTTAGGAGATTATCTGAGTATCTGAGCCCTGGACAGATCTTCTAGATCAGGGGTGTCCAATCTTTTGGATTCCCTGGGCCACATTGGAAGAAGAATTGTCATGGGCCACACATAAAATACACTAACACTAATGATAGCTGATGAGCTTAAAAAAAAAAGCAAAAAAAAAACAAAATCTCATAATGTTTTAAGAAAGCTTACGAATTTGTGTTGGGCCACATTCAAAGCCATTCCAGGCCTCATGCAGCCCACAGGCCACGGGTTGGAGAAGCTTGATCCAGAGACTTTCTTAAATAACCCTGATTTAATTGTATTCATTAATGGTTCAAACATAAAAAGTAAAACTAAAAATTGCTAAACAAGATAACCCATCACAGACTTAAGTTTGTCCTTAAAATATAAGCTTCTCATAGAAACTAAATCAGTTCACATTTTGTATTATAAACATTTTACATTTTCTGCGTATTATGATGTTTTGATATTTTTAAAAACCTTTCTGACTAGGGGGAGACTGCCCCTCCTGGGGCTAGCCAAGATTTAAAAATAACAAAGGCCCAGCCAGGAGCATCTTTAATATGCAAACTAACCAATCCAGAGCCGTACCTCCTCTGTTTGGCCCAGATACCCCAGGAGGCCACATTCCTCTTCTTTTTTTTTTTTTTTTTTTGAGATAGAGTTTTTGCTCTTGTTGCCCAGTCTGGAGTGCAATGGCGTGATCTCGGCTCATCGCAACCTCTACCTCCCAGGTTCAAGCAATTCTCCTGCCTCAGCCTCCCGAGTAGCTGGGATTACAGGCATGCGCCACCACGCCTGGCTAATTTTGTATTTTTAGTAGAGACGGAGTTTCTCGATGTTAGTCAGGCTGGTCTCGAACTCCCGACCTCAGGTGATCTGCCCGCCTCCGCCTCCCAAAGTGCTGGGATTACAGGAGTGAGCCACCGTGCCCGGCCCACGTTCCTCTTCCTAATCATCTACTGTTACCGGAAAAAGGGTCTTGTTCCAGATCCCAAAGAGCGGGTTCTTGGATCTCATGCAAGAAAAAATTCAGGGCAAGTCGCAGAGTATAGTGAAGTTAAGATAGTTCACTATACTCTGATTAGAGACTACTTTATTGCAGAGTAGGGTGTCCTCAGAAAGCAAGGAGGAACAAAATCACCTCAAATACAATGCTTGCTTAGATAGGATAATAGAGCTAAGAATAACGGTCTTACGTGCTTTATTACAAAGGCTTGTGATCAGCTTGTGACAGGATAGTAGCATTGTTATTCTCTTTTATAACTATTGATTTCAGCAAGAATTTATGGGTATACTATTATCTTTAACGTGACATTGGCCTGGCGTGGTAGCTCACTCCAGTAATCCCAGCACTTTGGGAGGCCGAGGCAGGTGGATCACTTGAGGTCAGGAGTTCGAGACCAGCCTGGCTGACATGGTAAAACTCCGTCTCTACTAAAAATGCAAAAATTAGCTGGGCATGGTGGTAGGTGCCAGCAATCCCAGCTAATTGGAAAGCTGAGGCAGGAGAACTGCTTGAACCTGGGAGGCATAAGTTGCAGTGAGCCGAGATCACGCCATTTCACTTCAGCTTGGGCAACATAGCAAGACGCCGTCAAAAACATAGATGAATAAATAAAAATTTTTAAAAAGTGAAATGTATTCTTAAACTAAGAGTGCATTTTGTTCTTAAGATATTGGGACATCAGGACATTTCCTTAAGTTGTGGATCTTATGTAATTAGCCTCCTTAACTTGTCCCCTCAACCATAAACATCTTGTGACCAAGAGTTCCCAACCCCCTGGGAATGTAACCCAGCAGTTTTGGCTTTATTTGGCCTTTATTCAAGATGCAGTCACTCGGGTTAGGACACTTCTTTTTTTTTTTTTTTTTTTTTTTTTTTGAGACGGAGTCTCGCTCTGTCGCCCAGGCGGGACTGCGGACTGCAGTGGCGCAATCTCGGCTCACTGCAAGCTCCGCTTCCCGGGTTCACGCCATTCTCCTGCCTCAGCCTCCCGAGTAGCTGGGACTACAGGCGCCCGCCACCGCGCCCGGCTAATTTTTTTTTTTTGTATTTTTAGTAGAGACGGGGTTTCACCTTGTTAGCCAGGATGGTCTCGATCTCCTGACCTCATGATCCACCCGCCTCGGCCTCCCAAAGTGCTGGGATTACAGGCGTGAGCCACCGCGCCCGGCCAGGACACTTCTGACACTAGGGCCAGGTACCAAGCAACTAGAAACCATCCTTATGTAGCCCAAAGCCCAAGGCAGTTATTCAAACTAGCCAGTCATAAACTGTTCACCCTGCCCTGCATTGCCTATTGTATGGAAGTCCCAGTAAAGGTCATGGCCTAAATCCTCCCCTTGCTCGTGTCTTCTGCCTTCAGACCACCCTGATGTCTTTCCCATGTGGCCCTGCATGATGTACCTGGCCTCCTGTCTGTACAACCTGTGAGTAAATAAACTGTTTTATTTCTGAGCCTCTCTGACATCTCCTCCAGTGACCATACCTGAGGGATCATCTCATAAAAGAATTACAAGCCAGATGTGGTGGCAAGCATCTGTGGTCCCAGCTACTTGGGAGGCTAAGGCGAGAGGATCACATGAGCCTAGGAGTTTGAGGCTGCAGTGAGCCATGATTTTGCCACTTCACTCCAGTCTGGGTGACAAAGCTAGACCTTGTCTCTGAAAAACAACAACTAATAATTTGCAAAACAGATGGCTAAATTGATTGCCTTGGCCCAGACTTATCAACTGACAAAATGTAAAAGAAGATTTTTATATTTATAGTAAACTTGTGATTTTAAGATAGTTCATAACATCACAACGGTTTAGAAACAGAGATTTTCTGACCTCTCCAAGAACCCTCATGTCTGAAATGGTGAATTTGAAAACTTGGAGATGTTTTGCCATTATCCAAGAAGGTAATCATAATAAAAACATTTCAGCCAAAATGCTTCATAATTTCTCTCTCAGTAGCAGAGATAGATTGGCCACAATACTGAACCAACAATGGTGGGGCAATTTTGAGAGATATTGTCCAAGATATTTTCAAGGAAGTGTCCTACCTGCAGTTGTGCAATCTTGCAAGACTATTAGGGTAGGAAATGGGCAGGAAGTACAGCCTTGAGGCCCATTTTAAACCTCTCCAAATGGGTTGTGAGTGTGTTCTGGTTATCATGGTCTATTCTTATGGTTGGTTGAGTCCTCATCTTGCTATAGAACTGAATATAGTGATTTTTTTAATTGCTTGCTTTTATGCTCCTGATGTGGGAAATCTCGAGGTATCTCCCTAGTAACAGGGACACACATCTTGTTGGTATCATTATTTTTAAATCCCTTAACATATTACATTTTACTCCCTTAACATATTACATTTTACTCAAAAACTCCTCTATCCTTGCCATGCTCAAATTCATAAAAAAAATAAAGACAATTAATAGAATTCTCAAATTATAATTATCAAAGCTTTCAAAAATCCTTGGACTTCCCAGGCCCAGAGAACTGTCATTAGCCCTGATGACAATGAGATCAAAGCTCTCAAAGATCCACAGGTTATCAACTTCTAAGTTAATAAAAGCCTGCTTCATGCATTTGGGAATTTCACTTCCAATCCCAGATACTACTGATTTACAGTCTAATATGGCTGAATATTCCAAGAGACTCATATAATACCTCCAGCATTATGACCGACAAAGTGCATTTTCAAAGTATGTACCTAAACATCCTCTGCATGATCCGCAACCTGGAGATCTGGTCTTCTGAAATAGGCAACAGAAATACAACTTCCCTGAACCTTGGTTAAAAAAAAAATGTCTTCTTGTGCTGGGCACGGTGGCTCACGCCTGTAATCCTAGCACTTTCAGAGGCCAAGGCAGGTGGATCACCTGAGGTCAGAAGTTCGAGACCAGCCTGGCCAATGTGGTGAAACCGTGTCTCTACTAAAAATATAAAAATTAGCTAGGCGTGCCTGTAATCCCAGCGACTTGGGTGGCTGAGGCAGGAGAATCACTTGAACCTGGGGGACGGAGGTTGCAGTGAGCCGAGATTGTGCCACTGCACTCCAGCCTGGGTGAAAGGGCGAAACTCCGTCAAAAAAAAAAAAAAAAAAGTCTTTTCAGTACTGTTAACAAGTTGATGTATCAGTAAAACTCCAAGGTGTTGATACTTAGTGTTTTGTGTGTGTGTGTGTGTGTGTTTTGTTTTTTCTTTTTGACAGAGTTTCACTCTTGTTGCCCAGGCTGGAGTGCCATGGCGCGATCTCCACTCACCGCAACCTCTGCCTCCTGGGTTCAAGCGATTCTCCTGCCTCAGCCTCCCCAGTAGCTGGGATTACAGGCATGAGCCACCACACCCGGCCATCGATACTTAGATTTTTAAGAGTATACAAAATATTTAACTTAAAAGATATACATCACCTCTTCCTACACTAATGGACATCCATTTTATCTGAAGACCTTAAACTGAGGATTCTTAGGAATCCTGACACTGACTACAGAAGTGGACAGCTTTTGCGCCAGACAAAACTAGCTGCTGACTTCAGAAGTTCCACCTAAGACAGCGGAACAGGATTAATTTTCTAATTCTTCAACGTTCTTTTCTGTCCTTTGTTCTTCTACTATGATTACCTATTACTACACTAGGACACCCTCTAGAACACTAATATAACCCACACTTATCTTCATCCTATTATTTTGAATCCCTATGGTTGTCTTCTATCACCTCATGTTTTTCACAGGCCCTAGATACTGCTTTGAATTAAACCGATTGCTGGATCTAACATCTTCCACCAGATCCTGCTGCTAATAATCTACTAGCAATTCCTTTAAACACTTAAGAAGGCACTGCTGGGCATGGTGGCTCATGGCTGTAATCCCAACACTTTGGTAGGCCGAGGCGGGTGGATCATGAGGTCAGGAGATCGAGACCAGCCTGGCTAACACGGTGAAATGCTGTCTCTACTAAAAATACACAAAATTAGCCAGGCGTGGTGCCACATGCTTATAATCCCAACTGCTCGGGAGGCTGAGGCAGGAGAATCGCTTGAACCCGGGAAGCGGACGTTGTGGTGAGCCGAGATTGTGCCATTGCACTCCAGCCTGGGCAACAAGAGCAAAACTCTGTCTCAAAAAAAAAAAAAAAAAAAAAGAAAGGCAGATTCCATTTTATAGGCCCTTCTGTCATTTAACCTTCCCTCATATCGTTAATCCTGCAGCCTTGTATAAAATGGACTCTGACCTCAGATTATTAGAATGCCTCTGCTAAGGTTATTATAATACTATCAGCGAGACCTAGCCAATCAGAAGTAGACAATATTAGTTAGGCCCTCCTGACCACCATAGTCAGTTTATTCTCCAGAAACATGTCATTCTGCTTTGCTGAGCTGTTTAACCCAACTCAAAAATCTGTCTGCCTCAAAGGACACGAAACTGGCTTACTCCTATTGTCATACATAATATTTATACAACAGTCTAGCTCCTAATTAGGGTACTACACTTTATACGGATATTGGGCTTACAGTGGTCTGCTACATCCTAATTTATCTTGTGTATTTAGTATAATTGTGAGACACTTTCAGATCTTTAAAAGTATCATCCCCCTAGTGGATCATGTTTCCCTGGAAAAATTCTACCCAGAAACCTCCAAGACACAGAACACAAAAGCTTATTTACAATTAAACAAACAAACTCCCAAAAGACATAACTGACTCCCTTTTCGTGGATACTATGTAAGTTGCAATTCCCTCATTAAAGAATACCACTGGCAAACATGGTCCAAAACTTGCCTCATACCCTAACAAAAGTCATAACAAACGCTTCACTCTGAAAGACAAACTAGTTTAAACTCATTAGCCCAGATTGTTATGGGAAATCACATAGTCGTTGATTACCTCCTAAGCAGCCAAGGGGGAATTTATGCTATACTAAACACTACTGGCTGCATCTATATACTACAAAACAAATAGACTCATGAGTAAGCAAAAAACAAAAATGCAGATTTAACTCCCTGCCTTCTCCATTGATAAGAGTCTCCAGTAATTTAGAGTCACCATTCTTATTCTGGTGCACAGTGGGAGAAACCCTTACAAATGGAGATTTTTTATATGTATGTATTTTTTATATGTATGTAAATTTCTCCTACCAAAGGGTAACTTCTGTATTCTAAGGTTTTCGGCTAAAAAAGGTGTCGGGGGCGGGGGTAACTTCTACTCTTGCTTTCAGAGTTTCTCCTTTGTCTCTTGTTTCTCAAAATAATTATTATGCCCAACAGGCATAATATGGGGTGGCATAATCTGGTAGTCTACACTCTTATTTGGGGGAGAGGTGTTATGTCTTGAACTCCATCAGTTTTTTTGTTTGTTTTGGTTTGGCTTTTTTTGAGACGGAGTGTTGCTCTGTCCCCAGGCTGGAGTGCAGCGGCCCGATCTCGGCTCACTGCAACCTCCATCTCTCAGGTTCAAGTGATTCTCATGCCTCAGCCTCCAGAGTAGCTGGGATTACAGGCATGCACCACCACACCCTACTAATTTTTGTATTTTTAGTAGAGACAGGGTTTCACCATGTTAACCAGACTGGTCTCGAACTCCTGACCTCAAGTGATCCACCCGCCTGGGCCTCCCAAAGTACTGGGATTACAGGTGTGAGCCACTGCGCCCGGCCCTATTTTTATTTTTGAGACTGGGTCTCACTCTGTTGCCCAGGCCAGAATACAATAGTGCGATCATAGCTCATTGCAGCCTCAGCCACCCAGGATCAAGCGATCCTTCCACCTCAGCTTCCTGAAAAGCTGGGACTATCGGTGCATACCACCATGCCTGGGTAATTTTTTTTATTTTTTAGAGACAGGAGGGGTCTCACTGTGCTGCCCAGGGTGGTCTCAAACTCCTGTACTCAAGCAATCCTCCTGCCTTGGCCTCCCAAAGTGCTAGGACTACAGGCCTGAGCTGTCACCCCTAATCCCCTATCGGTTTTAAATGATATTCTGTGACCATTAACAAATCAGAGGATTCAACAATTTACCCCGCAACAAAAGGAGCAGGAGAAACTATCAATACTCCAAATTTAGATTACATTCTCTGCAAATAGTTTCTAAAGCAAAGTCTTGGCTATGGTGAAAATCTGGATATCAAGGATGAAGTTTCTGCAGGCTAACTGCATCTGCCCTTGGCCAAAAGGAAAACAGAGCAAGGCATCAGCCTTAGTGTTGCTGTCCCTGCATTCACACCTGGGCCATGGTGATCTGCTGTTGAACACGAGAAATCTCACAGAACAGCAACATCAGACAAGGCCACTCTGTGACAATGATCAATCAAGGCAAAAACAAGACCAAACTGTAATGTTTTAACAAAAACTAAATTAAACATAAACATTGTCTCAGCTACAGGAATGACCAATATTCCCCTAGACTGGCCAATATGAGTGACTACTGCTTTTTTTTTTCTTTCAGAGACAGTCTCACTCTGCTCCCCAGGCTGGAGTACAATGGCATGATAATAGCTCACTGCAGCCTCAATTCTCAATTTCCCAGGCTCAAGAAATCCTTCTGCCTCAGCCTCTGGAGTAGCTGGGACTGAAGGTGTGCGCCAGCACATCTGACTATTTTATTTTTATTTTTATTTATGTATTTTTTTGAGATGGAGTCTTGCTCTGTTGCCCAGGCTGGAGTGCAATGGTTTGATCTCAGCTCACTGCAACCTCCGCCTCCCAGGTTCAAGCGAGTCTCCTGCCTCAGCCTCCCGAGTAGCTGGGATTACAGGTGTGTGCCACCATGCCCAGCTAGTTTTTGTATTTTTAATAGAGACGGGGTTTCACCATGTTGGCCAGACTGGTGTCGAACTCCTGACCTCAGGTGATCTGCCTGCCTCGGCCTCCCAAAGTGTTGGGATTACAGGTGTGAGCCACCACGCCCAGCTTTATTTTTAGTTTTTGTAGAGACAGGATCTTGCTATGTTGCTCAGGCTGGTCTCGAACTCCTGGCCTCAAGCAATCCTCCAGCCTTGGCCTCCCAAAGTGCTGGGATTACAAGAGTGAGCCACCATGCCCAGCTGCTTTTGTTTTTTTAAACAAATTACAGCGTTAGCCTCACTCTGTATTCTTGCCTCATCCTAGATAAACTTACTAGGATTCCCAATAATAGAATTACCCTCACTCCCTCATAGCATCCAATTCAGAGCATAGCACTAATTCCTTATATCCTCTCTAAAACCACCTAATACAAACTCAAATCTTAAAATAAATCCTTTCTAACACCCTTTTCTGGAGGTGCTCCATGGTTCCTTCAGTGAACAACAAATCCCGCTTGTTTCACTGCCGAGATGTTCCTGGTATTTGACTCTGGAAACAACTGACTTCATCTCCAGATTGTTCGCGTGGAGAGCAATGAGAAAATACACTGGAATTTTCACCCCTACTTACATGCCCAAAACTAGTCTCCTCCTCTCTACTTTGTCTTTTCTGACTTTGTCTTCTCAAAAGAGGAAAATAATTTTGCAGTATACCCACTTCACTCCTGGAAGGAGTTCAAAGTACTTAGCATGAAATTAATTATTGTAAAGGTTTAACTGTGAGTAATTGCCCTAAATGAAGTTTGGATTACTTCTTCTGTTTGAAATGACCTGTGTTCGGGAAGCTTGCTGAGGATTCCTAGAGACTTCCTTTGAAAAACATTTTCCTGTAAAAATGGAGTCTCTGTATTTTCCCTGTATTTCCATAAAAAGTCTCAGATTTCTTTCCTGATTAGAGTGGTTTTCCTTAGAAGACTTAAGTGTGGAGAGAAGGTATAATAAGGACAGATATCACTATGGAAACAAGTTAGATAATCATAATTGTATTTGCTAACATCATTATCAAAATAAGAACAAATTTGAAAAGATTCATACATGAAGAGGATCTTTCACCAAACTTGGTACATTCCTTTTGCTTTGTCTGGCTGGCTGTTGTTTTTGCTTTGTTTGGCTGGCTGGTGTTAACTACTTGGGGGTTTTCTGAGTCAGCGTCATGTTATACTCATGGTGAAGAGGTCCTGCCATCTAGTGGCCAAATTGCAAAGTGCTACTAGCTTATTTAAAATTGAACCCAGTGTTCAAGGAGCGCAGCAGGTACACCGCACTCCTTGGGCTTCCATGAAATACGAACAAAGCCTCAGCTATTTCAAGATGCAAGGAATCCTTTAAACTTTTGGGAAACAGTCTGTCTTTTGTGGGAAAACAAAGTCTTCATTTGGGAAGGACTGATTTGACCTTGAAGCTGAGGTCACTTTGACCCTATCTATATATGTTTGTGAGTCTCTGTTCTGAAACCAGGAGGGGATATATTTAGGCAGCAGGATTCTGGGAGCACAACAGGTGAGAATGTGGATTTTAGGAACAGTCCTTGCCAGCCTGGGTTTCCACTACACCCTGCAAAGGTGCAGCTGAATTTGGAGTGGTTAGGGTTTGTGTTCCAGAGGGCCAGAGATAATTGTGGAGTTCCAGGGGATGCAGGGCCCAGAGAGGTGAGCTTGATGACTGAGCTTAGGGCTAGGAAGATCAAAATGTGTCAGCAGGCCAGGAGCTGGGGCCATGAGGGAAACTAATCCTCAGGGCTCTGAACAGGAGCTAAATTGGAGAGAACAGGAGCAAATTATAAACCAGGTCAGGATGGTCCTGGCCTCTAGCTGAGAAAAGAATTGGAGTATACTGAGCTTGCCTTTACTGACCTTGAAACTGGACAGGTGGCCGGGTGTGGTGGCTCACACCTGTAATCCTAGCACTTTGGGAGGCTGAGGTGGGTGGATCACTTGAGGTCAGGAGTTCGAGACCAGCCTGGCCAACGTGGTGAAACCTTGTCCCTACTAAAAATACAAAAATTAGCCAGGTGTGGTGGTGGCACCTGTAATCCCAGCTACTCGGGAGGCTGAGGCATGAGAATTGCTTGAACCTGGGAGGCAGAGGTTGCAGTGAGCCGAGATCACGCCACTGCACTCCAGACTGGGTGACAGAGCAAGACTCCATCTCAAAAAAAAAAAAAAAAAAAGAAAGAAACGAAGAGAAAAGAAAAGAAAAAAAGAAACTGGACAGGCACAGAGAAGGGGAGTTGGAGGTTGAGCTAGGGCAGGGAATCTAGAAGCATTAAATACTGAGGTTTGCAGGAAGTTGGCTTCTATGTCCTATGGCTTCAGTGTCCCTTCCAAAGCTCATGTTGAATTTTTTTTTTTTTGAGGCAGAGTCTTGTTCTTGTTGCTTAGGTTGGAGTGCAATGGCAAGTCCTTGGCTTACTTTAACCTCCGCCTCCCAAGTTCAAGCGATTCTCCTGCCTCAACCTTCCGAGTAGCTGGGATTACAGGTGCCCATCACCACACCCAGCTAATATTTTGTATTTTTAGTAGAGATGCGGGTTTCACAATGTTGGCCAGGCTGGTCTCGAACTCCTGACCTCAGGTGATTCACCTGCCTCGGCCTCCCAAAGTGCTGGGATTACAGGCGTGAGCCACCGTGGCCGGCCAATTTTTTTCTTTTTTTCTTTTTTTTTTTTTGAGACAGAGTCTTGCTCTGTCACCCAGGCTGAGTGGAGTGGCCTGATCGTGGCTCACTGCAACCTCCACCTCTTGGGTTCAAATGACTCTCCTGCCTCAGCCTCCCTAGTAGCTGAGATTACAGGCATGCACCACCACGCCCAGCTAAGTTTTGTATTTTTAGTACAGATGGGTTTTTGCCATGTTGCCCAGGCTGGACTCAAACTCCTGGCCTTTAGTGATCCACCTGCCTTGGCCTCCCAAAGTGCTGGAATTACAGGCGTGAGCCACTGCACTTGGCCCATGTTGAAATTTAATTGCCATTGTGATGGTATTAAGAGGTGAGACCTGCTGGGTGTGGTGACTCATGCCTGTAATCCCAGTACTTTGGGAGGCCAAGGCAGGTGGATCATTTGAGGTCAGGAGTTCGAGACCAGCCTGGCCAACATGGTGAAACCCTGTCTCTACTAAAAATACAAAAATTAGCCAGGCGTGGTAGTATATGCCTGTAATCCCAGCTACTTGGGTGGCTGAGGCAGGAGAATCGCTTGAGCCCAGAAGGCAGAGGTTTCAGTGAGCCCAGATTGCGCCACTGCACTCCAGCCTGGGTGAGAGTGAGACTCCATCTTAAAAAAAAAAAAAAGAGGTGAGACCTTTAAGAGGTAATTAGGCTCTGCTTTCAAGAATGGATGCGGTGCCAAACCCCTATAAACCTCAGTAGGGAAGCCACCAGGTTCAAGAGGCCAAAGAAGTGACCCAGAGCCAGCAAATGAGACTTGGGATTTTATTAGGGGCTTACATAAAAGGGAGAGAGTCCAATGGCAGTGAGCTGGACAGGAGAATTGCAACTGCTTGCAAAGACCATGCAGTTTGTAAAACGAAGTATCTGAGACAGGTCTCAATCAATTCAGAAGTTTATTTTGCCAAGGCTAAGGACAATGTCCTGGGAGAAAGAACAATGGAATCACAGAAACAATCTGTGGTCTGTGCCTTTCTCCGAAGAGAATTTTAATGTCTTCATTATTTAAAGGGGGAAAAGCAGGCCTGGCATGGTGGTCACACCTGTAATCCCAGCACTTTGGGAGGCTGAGGCGGGTGGATCATTTGAGGTCAGGAGTTCAAGACCAGCCTGGCCAACATGGTGAAACCCCATCTCTACTAAAAATATAAAACTTAGCTGGGCGTGGTGGCACACACCTGTAGTCCCAGCTACTCAGGAGGCTAAGGCAGGAGAATTGCTTTAACCTGGGACTGCACTCCAGCGTGGGTGACAGGGCGAGACTCTATCTTAAAAAAAGTGGGGGGAGATGCGTGGGGGAAGCAGGATGGAGGGGAAAGGGGGCGGGCATGGTCACATTACTGAAGGCACATGTTGCAAGAGAAAAGGAGCTGGTAAGGGAATAGTCAATCATGTATTCGTCTCAGGCTCAGTAAATCGGCACTTTACATAAGAAAAGGTGAACACTGATTAGCTACCTGTGGAGATATTTAACCTTTTATCTGTAGCTATCTGCTTAGGAACAAAAGAAAAGGCAGCTGCTTGCAACACTCAGATTTCAGCTTAATTTTTTCCTTTTAGCAGAGTGAATTGGGGTCACACATTTTTCTCTTTGTTTCAGAAGTTTCTATAGCATTTTCACGTAACACTCTCCCCTTAACGTCCTCCACCTGGTAGCCTTCATCTAGACCAAAACTCAGGGCTTCAAACCCCTATATGGCTCGTGTTCCACGGGACAGGATGGTGGCTCAGATGTTCCTCATAGACAAAGAACGAAACTCCGGGTTGGTCACTCCTGTTTTAGCAGCAGAAAACGGATTAAGACAACCCCCTAAGGTGAAATTTAAAAATCCATTTATATAACACAGAGAGAGCAAAGGATTTGCAGCATGAGAGCCTCACCTGTGTGAAACTATCCTGCACCACGCTGGTTGTTCCCCTTGGCAAAGCCACGCGGCCTCTATGGACTTTGGTTTCCTGGCACAAGTAGTTACTGAATCTGCCCACCCAGCAAATAGGACAAAAAAAAGGTGATGACTTGGTTCTTTAGGTGGGGAAATGGCCATTCCTCCCTAAAGTGAAGGAGAAAAAACAAGGAGGAATCCAGACAGGGGTAGTTAAAATTCATAGCCCAGGTCTTTGTCATATGCTCATGTTGTGCTGAACCCCTGTACACTCCAATGGGGATGAATACTGGGTTCAGTAGGCTGAAGAAGAGACCCAGAGCCAGTGAATGAGACATGAGGTTTTATTGAGGGCTTACAATTGGGGAACAAGACCCAACGACAGTGGGCTGGACAACAGAACCACAACCACTTGCAAAATAAAGTCACACAATTTATAGAGGGTTTTATTTTGAGATGGAGTCTCGATCAGTCGCCAGGCTGGAGTGCAGTGGCGCGGTCTCGGCTCACTGCAACCTCCACCTCCTGGGTTCAAGCGATTCTCCTGCCTCAGCCTCCCGAGTAGCTGGGACTACACGCACGTGCTAACATGCCCAGCTAACTTTTTTGTATTTTTAGTAGAGACGGGGTTTCACCATGTTGGCCAGGATGGTCTCGATCTCTTGACCCCATGATCCGCCCACCTCGGCCTCCCAAAGTGCTGGGATTACAGGTGTGAGCCACCGCGCCCGGCCTTATATAGTATTTTCACTTCACAGCCTCCCCCTAACAACCTCCACCTGGCAGTCTTCATTTAACCCAAAATACAGGGCCTTGAACCCCTGTATAGCCCACATTCCATGGGACGGGACGGCTGGGGGTTCACAGCTTCTTCATAAATAAGAAATGAATCTCTGTGTTGGCCACCCCCAGATTTCTTAGCTCAGAACTTCAAACACACATTCAGGATTCAGGTGCGTCTGCCATACAGGATCATTCTCAGGATATGCTTAAGTTATTACTATCAGGTGAATTTACCATACAGCTCCCATTATAAAGTGAGAAAGTTGTGGCAGAGCATTAACCCATCCTGCCAATCCACACCCCACCAATTGAAAGTAGTTGGGAATTGGGACCTATCCTGTGGAGACCTGTAATGCAGGAGGGCAGCCGCCTGGCCAGGACAAAGAACTTAAGGGGCCTCACTGTCCTCCTCCCGCTTCCCTCGTAATACCCACCTACCTCTGCCCAAACACCTAGGGGCTCTGTTAGAATAAAGGGCTGTGAGTCAGGGCCTGAGCTTAAGGTTGGAAGTAGTTTTTCAGCAGGTGCTCTTGGGGGGCCTAAGCATGGGAGAAAGTCAGCTGTGGGAGAGTGAAATGGAGGCAGGACATTCTGAGGAGTTGGGGGCGATCAAAGACAGCTGTGTGCCCTGAGGTTAATGCAGAGATTTCTTCTAAACATGTTATTAATAAATATATGAATGATTTTATAAACACAGAAAAATTAGTACACAAATACACAGCAATCTTTAAGGGCGGTTACACTGGGCAGTGGATGTGGGCAGGAGTGACTTCAATTTTTCCTTGAAACACTTTTGTATTTGTGAAGACGTTTTTCCTGAAAAAATAAGAAGGGATTACATCTGTCAATAGAAATCAAAAAGGTAGGTCCACAAAAATCTTTTCATTGTTATTGTTTACTAACTAAATGGCCAGCAAGTTACCCACGGACCTATAGAGCTCACTAGACTATTGTTTTAAAACTATATTTGTATCTCTCTGTCCTTAGGGAACAAGGTGCTGGGAGGATACACAGCCCCATTTAATACTCCTCATCTCTCATCACTGGCTATTTTCATTTTCTTCTTTACCCTGTACATGTCTCCTTAGGTGAATATTATTTTGCAAGAGGAGTGTGTTTGTTTTCTCAAAACAAAGAACATACAAATCAGGGCACTAGTCAGGTAGGGGAAGCCTGCCAGCTGCTGTCACTCCTTTGGCCCCGACACATTGCCGCCCACCTAGGCAGCATCGGCGCCACCAAGCAGCAGCCCTTAAGGTGCTGGCCCTCTAGCAGTTCCATGACAAAGAGTGAGAGGTGATAGGGCGCAGGCAGTGTCTGGTCTTGGGAACCTGCCTCTCACCTGGGGAGGGAGCAATTAAGGCATATGAATGATACAACAGGCAACATTATCATTTGAACATGTACTTATTTAAATTCTTTTTTACCTCTCAATAGGGTTGTGAATGACTCTTCTGTTTTGTTGTTAGGTCTCGATTTTTTTTTTTCTTCTTCTTCTTCTTCTTCTTTTTTTTTTTTGAGACAGAGTTTTGCTCTTATTGCCCAGGCTGGAGTGCAATGGCATGATCTTGGCTCACTGCACACTCCGCTCCCAGGTTCGAGTGATTCTCCTGCCTCAGCCTCCCGAGTAGCTAGGATTACAGGTGTGCACCACCACGCCAGCTATTTTTTGTATTTTTAGTAGAGATGATGAGGTTTCACCATGTTGGCCAGGCTGGTCTCGAACTCCTGACCTCAGGTGATCCACCCACCTCGGCCTCCCAAAGTGCTGGGGTTACAGGCATGCGCCACCGTGCCCAGCCTGTTGTTAGTCTCAATCATCCTTTGTGCACTTGCCAGCAGTTAGCTCCCTTAAAGAGAAAAATAGGTTCTCCCTGGGCAAGTGGCAAAGGATGAGAAGTTTCTTCTCTAGCTTTCTGAAGCCCGTGCCTCCCTGCCTCTTCAGGCAACAGAGATAGCCCATCAGGGACACAACACATACAATAGATTGTCATCCCAAAACCCTACTACAAATACTTCTGGGCTTACTCCTAGCCTGGAGGCCAGGAGAAAGAGAAGAGGGAGCATGAGAGGTGGTGACAACCCAGAATAATGGGACACTATCAACAACCATCCTAGTTCTGTGGCAGAATGGGCAAACCATGAAGAGTAGGGGTTACTATAGCCTTCCAGTGTCCTGTTCTAAGAATAGAACAGGATGTCATTTTGTAAAGAGTGGCTCTGTGTCCCTAGTCAACAAGAGTGACACAGTGGATTTTCTAGGGGGAAGATGGGCTGTAATTTCTAAGAGCTCTGCTGTTTGGCCTGAAGGGACTAACTTTATTTGTTTGTTTGTTTGTTTGTTTATTTATTTAGAGACAGGGTCTCCCTCTGTCATCCAGGCTGGAGTGCAGTGGCATGATCACGGCTCACAGCTTACTGCTCAAGCGATCTTCCTGCCTCAGTCCCCGAAGTGCTAGGGTTACAGGCATGAGCCTGTATAACTAACTAACTTTATTTAGAATAGAGAGTGGTGAAATCTGTGACCAGTAGAGGTCTTGGAGAATACTTAGAGAAAACCAAGAAAAGAGACAGCCAGAAAGAACCCTCTGGATCACAGTCCAGAGGTTTGGGGAACTCTGTGTACAACAGGGATGGCTGTAGCCAATCAAGAGTGAACCTTAGCCGGGTGTGGTGGCTCACGCCTGTAATCCCAGCACTTTGGGAGGCCGAGGTGGGTGGATCACAAGGTCAGGAGTTCGAGACCAGCCTGGCCAACATGGTGAAACCCCGTTTCTACTAAAAATACAAAAATTAGCTGGGCATGGTGGCACATGCCTGTAATCCCAGCTACTCGGGAGGCTGAGGCAGGAGAACTGCTTGAACCAGGACCCGGGAGGTGGAGGTTGCAGTGAGCCGAGATCATGCCATTATACTCCAGCCTGAGCAACAAAAGTGAAACTCTGTCTCAAAAAAAAAAAAAAAAAAGAGTGAGCCTTAGAGCAAGACATAGGCAAGACATAAAAGCATTTTCCAAGCCATGCACAGAGTCAACACAGAACAGAAGCTTCATTGGCATGAGGGGTTTAAACACAAAACTCTGACCAAACACTGAACAATAAGCTGCTCTGACTCAGGGGTGACTCCTAGGAAATCAAACATAAAAACAATATCACAAATACCAAAAGCACAATCAATAAAAGATAAAATATATATACTGAAACACATCAGCCAACAGGAGAATAGACAAGTACATTGTGGCATTGTTATACAGTAGAGTATGCTCAACATACATAATTCTCAAAAACATAATTAATCAAGAAAAGTTGGAGAACAATGTACATAGCATAATACTGATTTTATAATGTTTAAAAATATGCATAGCAATGCAACATGTGACTTACAAATTCATACTAGGTAGCAATCACATGAACAATACACTTGAGAAAAGTACCCGTTCAGGTGATCGTAGCTGCCTCCAGGAAGGAAAAAATAAAGAAAATGGAAAATCTAAAATATATATATATATATATATATATATATATATATGTGTGTGTGTGTGTGTGTGTGTACTATATATATATGTGTGTGTGTGTACTATATATATGTACTATATATGTGTACTATATATGTGTGTGTACTATATATGTACTATATATATGTACTATATATATATACTGAATATATATGTACCATATATACTGAATATATATGTACTATATATATACTGAATATATATATATACTATATATATACTGAATATATATAGTATATATACTGAATATATATATACTATATATACACTGAATATATATAGTATATATACTGAATATATATATACTATATATATACTGAATATATATACTATATATATACTGAATATATATATACTATATATATACTGAATATATATATACTATATATATACTGAATATATATATACTATATATATGCTGAATATATATATACTATATATATGCTGAATATATATATACTATATATATGCTGAATATATATATACTATATATATGCTGAATATATATATACTATATATATGCTGAATATATATATACTATATATATGCTGAATTTATATATACTATATATATACTGAATTTATATACTATATATACTGAATATATATACTATATATACTGAATATATATATACTATATATATACTGAATATATATACTATATATATACTGAATATATATACTATATATATACTGAATATATATATACTATATATATACTGAATATATATATACTATATATATACTGAATATATATATATACTATATATATACTGAATATATATATATACTATATATATACTGAATATATATATATACTATATATATACTGAATATATATATACTATATATATACTGAATATATATATACTATATATATACTGAATATATATATACTATATATATACTGAATATATATATACTATATATATACTGAATATATATATACTATATATATACTGAATATATATATACTATATATACTGAATATATATATACTATATATATACTGAATATATATATACTATATATATACTGAATATATATATACTATATATACTGAATATATATATAGTATATATATACTGAATATATATATAGTATATATATACTGAATATATATAGTGTATATATACTGAATATATATACTATATATATACTGAATATATATATATACTATATATATACTGAATATATATATAGTATATATATACTGAATATATATATACTATATATATACTGAATATATATATACTATATATACTGAATATATATATACTATATATATACTGAATATATATATACTATATATATACTGAATATATATATATACTATATATATACTGAATATATATATATACTATATATATACTGAATATATATATATATACTATATATATACTGAATATATATATATATATACCAAATAACATCAAAATTTAAAACTTCTATGCTTCAAAGGACACCATCAAGAAAGTGAAAACAAAATTCACACAATGGGAGAAAATTTTTGTAAATCCTATATCTAATAAGAGACTTGTACCGAGAACATATGATGAACAATTGCAACTCAATAAACAACTAGATTTAAAAATGTGTAAGATCTTTGAATGGACATTCTCCAAAGAAGATATAAAAATGGCCAATAAGCACTTGGAAATATACTCACCATCATTAGCCATCAGGGAAATGTAAATCAAAATCACAAAGAGATACCACTTCAAATCTACTGGGATGATTATAATTAAAATCAGGCCGGGAGCAGTGGCTCACGCCTGTAATCCTAGCACTTTGGAAGGCTGAGGCAGGTGGATCACTTGAGGTCAGAAGTTCAAGACCAGCCTGGCCAACATTGTGAAACCCTGTCTCTACTAAAAATACAAAAATTAGCTGGGCATGGTGGTGGGCACCTGTAGTCCCAGCTACTTGGGAGGCTGAGGCAGGAGAATTGCTTGAATCTGGGAGGCGGAGCTTGCAGTGAGCCGAGATGGTGCCACTGCACTCCAGCGTGGGCAACAAGAGTGAGACTCTATCTCAAAAAAATAAAAAATAAAAAAATAAAAATTTTTGGTGAGCATTAGAGAAATGGGAACTCTCATACACTGCTGGTAAGAATGTGGACTTTTTCTCTCTCCTCTTCTCCCTTCTCCTGAATGTAAAATGTTACAGCCACCTTGCACATAAGTCTGGCAGATCTTCACACAGTTAAACATAAAAATTCCATAACCTACCAATTTCATTCCTAGGTAGGTACCTAAGGAGAAATGAAAACATATGTCTGTACAAAAAATATACATAATCATAGCAGCTTTATAGGTAAGCACTGAGTGCATCCCTAGTGTCTAGCAAAAGGTGAAGGGATAAAGAAATTGTGGTAGATATTGTATTATTCCATCTACGAAAAAAATGTCCAAGCCGGGCATGGTGGCTCACGCCTATAATCTCAGCACTTTGGTAAGCTGAGGCGGGAGGATCACTTGAGCCCAGGTGTTCGAGTCCAGCCTTGGCAACATAGGGAGACTCTGTCTGTACAAAAAATAAAGAAAATTAGCCAGGGCATGCATCTGTATTTTCAGATACTCCAGAAGTCTAGGTGAGGATTGCTAGAGCAGCAGCGGTGGTGGAGGTTGCAGTGAGCTGAGATGATGTCACTGCACTGCAGCCTGGGTGACAGAGTGAGACCCTGTCTGTAAAAAAAAAAAAATCCTGGCTGGGCGCAATGGCTCATGCCTGTAATCCCAGCACTTTGGGAGGCCAAGGTGGGTGGATCACTTTGAGCCCTGGAGTTCGAGACCAGACTGGGCAACATGGTGAAGCCTTGTCTCTACTAAAAATACAAAAATTAGCCAGGCATGGTGGCCAGCTACTTGGGAGGCTGAGGCTGGAGAATCCCTTGAACCTGGGAGGCAGAGCTTGCAGTGAGCCGAGATCGTGCAATGGCACTCCAGCTTGGGTCACAGAGCAAGACTCCCTCTCAAAAAAAAAAAAAAAAAAATCCAGAATAGGCAAATCTGTAGAGACACAAGGAAATTAATGGTTGTCTAGGGCTGTTGAGGGTGGCAGTAGGGGGCAATAGCAAAAGGGTATTATATTGTGAAATATAAATATTTAGTCTTCGCTGGGCACGGTGGCTCACGCCTGTAATCACAGCACTTTGGGAGGCCGAGACGGACGGATCACGAGGTCAGGAGATCAAGACCATCCTGGCTAACACGGTGAAACCCCGTCTCTACTAAAAATACACAAAATTAGCCGGGCATGGTGGCATGCACCTGTAGTCCCAGCTACTCAGGAGGCTGAGCCAGGAGAATCACTTGAACACAGGAGGCGGAGGTTGCAGTGAGCCAAGATCGTGCCGCTGCACTCCAGCCTGGGCAGCAGAGCAAGACTCCATCTAAAAAATATATAATTAAATAAAAAATAAAAAAAGTAATTAAAAAAACTTAGTCTTCAAGTCCTGGTTTCCTAAAACGGCACCTAAAACCCTTCAAATCTCCAGAGTGATAAGAATGTCTTTTGTATGCTAATGAGATGACTGGTGGCAGCCCCTATGTAGCTGCAGAGTGGGAGCTGGTCACTGGAAAGACCAAGCATGATTAGAGGGTTGGGACTTTCAGCCCCACTTCCCAAACTTCAGGGAGGTAACAGGGGTTAAAGGTTGACTTCATAACCAATGGCTGTTGATTTCATCAATCATGCCTATGAAATGAAGCTTCTATAAAAGCCTAAAAGGACAAGGTTTGGGACCGTTTCCAGATAGCCTAACACATCTAGGTTCCTGGAGGGTGCCAGGAGAAGGCACAGAAGTTCCACACCCCTTTTCACATACTTTGCCCTGTGCATCTTTTCCATCTGGCTGTTCATCAGTATCCTTTGTAAAACGCTTTCTAATAAATGAGTAAATGTAAGTAAAGTGTTTTCCTGAGTTTTGTGAGCCATTCTATCAGGCCAGTATAACCCTCATATCAAAACCAGGTAAAGCATCACAAATAAGGGAACTACAGGCCCAACATGGTGACTCACACCTGTAATCCCAGCACTTCGGAAGGCTGAGGTGGGCAGATTGCTTGAGCTCAGGAGTTCAAGACCAGCCTGGGCAACATGGTGAAACCCTGTCTCTACTAAAAACACCAAAAAAAAAAAAAAAAAAAAAAAGCTGGGCGTTGTAGTGCACACCTGTAATCCCAGCTACTCGGGAGGCTGAGACAGGAGAATTGCTTGAACCTGAAAGGCGGAGGTTGTAGTGAGCTGAGATCACACCACTGCACTCCAGCCTCGGTGACAGAGTGAGACCCTATCTTAAAAAACAAACAAACAAAAAAGCCTTTCTTTGCGGAATCACCATGGCGGCTGGGACCCTGTACACATATCCTGAAAACTGAAGGAACTTCAAGGCCCTCATTGCTGCTCAGCACAGAGGGGCTCATGTCCGTGTGCTCTCCGCACCACCCCATTTCCACTTTGGCCAAACCAACCGCACCCCTAAATTTCTCCGCAGATTTCCTGCTGGCAAGGTTCCAGCATTTGAAGGTGACGATAGATTCTGTGTGTTTGAGAGCAATGCCATTGCCTACTATGTGAGCAATGAGGAGCTGCAGGGAAGTACTCCAGAGGCAGCAGCCCAAGTGATGCAGTGGGTGAGCTTTGCTGATAGCAATATAGTGTCCCCAGCCAGTACCTGGGTGTTCCCCACCTTGGGCATCATGCGTCACAACAAACAGGCCACTGAGAATACAAAGGAGGAAGTGAGGCAAATTCTGGGGCTGTTGGATGCTCACTTGAAGACAAGGACTTTTCTGGAGGGCGAACGAGTGACATTGACTGACATCACAGTTGTCTGTACCCTATTGTGGCTCTATAAGCAGGTCCTAGAACCTTCTTTCTGCCAGGCCTTTCCCAATACCAACCGCTGGTTCCTCACCTGCATTAACCAGCCTCAGTTCTGCACTGTCTTGGGGAAAGCAAAACTATGTGAGAAGATGGCCCAGTCTGATGCTAAAAAGTTTGTGGAAAGCCAGCCTAAAAAGGACACACCACGGAAAGAGAAGCGTTCACGGGAAGAGAAGCAGAAGCCCCAGGCTGAGCAGGAGGAGAAAAAGGCGGCTGCCCCTACTCCTGAGGAGGAGATGGATGAATGTGAGCAGGCGCTGGCCGCTGAGCCCAAGGCCAAGGACCCCTTTGCTCACCTGCCCAAGAGTACCTTTGTGTTGGATGAATTGAAGCTCAAGTACTCCAATGAGACACACTCTCTGTGGCACTGCCATATTTCTGGGAGCACTTTGATAAGGACTGCTGGTCCCTGTGGTACTCAGAGTGTCGCTTCCCTGAAGAATTCACTCAGACCTTCATGAGCTGCAATCTCATCACTGGAATGTTCCAGTGACTGGACAAGCTGAGGAAGAATGCCTTCGCCAGTGTCATCCTCTTTGGAACCAACAATATCAGCTCCATTTCTGGAGTCTGGGTCTTCCGAGGCCAGGAGCTTGCCTTTCCACTGAGTCCAGATTGGCAGGTGGGCTATGAGTCATACACATGGCAGAAACTGGATCCTGGCAGCGAGGAGACCCAGATGCTGGTTCGAGAGTACTTTTCCTGGGAGGGGGCCTTCCAGCATGTGGGCAAACCCTTCAATCAGGGCAAGATCTTCAAGTGAACATCTGTTGCCATCACCTAGCTGCCTGAACCTGCCCTTCAGGGAGAAGGGGTCATTAAAGAAAACTGAACATTGGAAAAAAAAACATTTTTGGGGTTGTTATTTTTTTATTTTTATTTTTATTTTTATTTATTTATTTATTTATTTATTTATTTATTTATTTATTTATTTTTGAGATGGAATCTCACTCTTGTCGCCCAGGCTGGAGTGCAGTGGCACAATCTTGGCTCACTGCAACCTCTGCCTCCCAGGTATAAGCAATTCTCCTGCCTCAGCCTCCCAAGTAGCTGGGATTACAGGTGCCCAACACCACACCTGGCGAATTTTTGTATTTTTAGTAGAGATGGGGTTTCACCATGTTGGACAGTCTGGTCTTGAATTCCTGACCTCAGGTAATCTGCCCACCTCGGCCTCCCAAAGTGCTGGGATTACAGGTGTGAGCCACCACACCCGGCCAAAAAAACCTTTTTAACCTTTGCCAATGTGATACAGGAACAAACACATTTCAGTGCTGTTTTTAAAAGACAGCCCCAGCCTGGGCAACAAAGCCAGACTTCGTCTCTACAAAAAATAAACAAAAACTAGCCAAGCGTGGTGGCACGCACCTGTAGTCCTGCCTACTTGGGAGGCTGATACAGAAGGATCACTTGAGCCCAGGAGGTTGAGGCTGGAGCGAGCTGTGATCACGTCACTGCACTTCAGCCTGGGCAACAGAGCAAGACATTGTCAAAAAAAAAAAAAAAAAAAAAGAAGAAAAGAAAAAATAAAAAGAAAACTACAAACCAATATTCCCTATGTATGTGGATGCACAAACTATCAACAAAATACTAGAAAGGTGACTACAGTAACATGTAAAAATAACTATACAATATAACCAAGTGTGATTTATCCCAGGAATACAATGTTATTTTAACATCCAAAAATGAAATTATAAAATACCCTATATCAAGAAAAAACACAAAAATCACATGATTATCCCAATAGTTGCAGAGAAAAAACTGACAAAATCTAACACCCCTTCATATAAAAATATTCAATAAACTAGGAATAGAGATAACTTCCTCATCCTCATAAAGGGCATCTGGGAAAAACCCAAAGCTAAGGCTGGGCATGGTGGCTCACGCCTATAATCCCAGCACTTTGGGAGGCCAAGGTGTGTGGTTCACTTGAGCTCAGGAGTTTGAGAGCAGCCTGGCCAACGAGGCGAAACCGTGTCTCTATGAAAAATACAAAAATTAGCCGGCTGTGGTGGCGGGCGCCTGTAGTCCCAGCTACTCGGAGAGGCTGAGGCAGGAGAATGGCGTGAACCCGGGAGGCGGAGGTTGCAGTGAGCTGAGATCGCGCCACTGCACTCCAGCCTGGGCGACAGAGGGAGACTCCGTCTCAAAAAAAAAATAAAAAATAAAATATATATTTGAGATTTACACAGGTGTACAGAGGGCTTTGGGATTATTAAAATGTAAGGATTTTCTTTTCTTTTTGGGATGAGGTCTCACATATGGCCCAATTTTTCTTTCTTTCTTTCTTTCTTTCCTTCCTTCTTTCTTTCTTTCTCTCTCTCTTTCTTTCTTTCTTTCTTTCTTTCTTTCTTTCTTTCTTTCTTTCTTTCTTTTTCTTTCTTTTCTTTCTTTTCCTTCCTTCCTTCCTCTCTCTCCCTCTCCCTCCCTTCCTTCCTTCCTTCCTTCCTTCCTTCCTTCCTTCCTTCTCTCTCTCTCTCTCTCTCTCTCTCTTTCTCTCTCTCTCTCTTTCTTTCTTTCCTTCTTTCTTTCTCTCCCTTTCTTTCTTTCTTTCTTTCTTTCTTTCTTTCTTTCTTTCTTTCTTTCTTTCTTTCTTTCTTTCTTTCTTTCTTTCTTTCTTTCTTTCTTTCTTTCTTTCTTTCTTTCTTTCTTTCTTTCTTTCTTTCTTTCTTTCTTTCTTTCTTTCTTTCTTTCTTTCTTTCTTTCTTTCTTTCTTTCTTTCTTTCTTTCTTTCTTTCTTTCTTTCTTTCTTTCTTTCTTTCTTTCTTTCTTTTCCTAAGATGGAGTTTCGCTCTGTCGCCCAGGCTGGAGCGCAACAGCTCAATCTCGGCTCACTGCAACTTCCGCCTCCCAGGTTCAAGCGATTCTCCCACCTGAGCCTCCCGAGTAGCTGGGATTACAGGCACCCGCCATCATGCCTGGCTAATTTTTTTTGTATTTTTGTAGAGACGGGGTTTCACCATGTTGGCCAGGCTGCTCTCAAACTCCCGACCTCAGGTAATCAGCCCCATCTCGGCCTCCCAAAGTGCTGGGATTACAGGCATGAGCCACCGCGCCTAGCTCCAATTTTCTTTCCTTTTTTCTTTTTCTTTTCTTTTCTTTTTTTTTTGAGATGGAGTTTCCCTCTTGTTGCCCAGGCTGGAGTGCAATGGCGCGATCTCAGCTCACCGCAACATCCGCCTCCTGGGTTCAAGCAATTCTCCTGCCTCAGCCTCCCAAGTAGCTGGGATTACAGGCATGTGCCACCATGCCCGGCTAATTTTTTGTATTTTGAGTAGAGACGGGGTTTCTCCATGTTGGTCAGGCTGGTCTCGAACTCCCGACTTCAGGTGATCTGCCCACCTCGACCTTCCAAAGTGCTAGGATTACAGGCGTGAGCCACCGCGCCTGGCCAATTTTCTTTCTAAAAGGAAATATTGTGGACCCAATTATTCACATCATCATAACAATTTTTTCTCTAAACAAGTTTTGTGGCTAGATGTGGTGGCTCATGCCTATAATCCCAGCACTTTGGGAGGCTGAGGCAGGAGGATCACTTAAGGCCAGGAGTTTGAGACCAGCCTGAACAACATAGTGGGACCCTGTCTCTACAAAACATTTTAAAATTAGCCAGGTGTGGGGTGGTATGTTCTTGCAGGAGAATATACTGGAAGCTGAGGAGAATATACTTGAGCCTAGGAGGTTGAGTCTGCAGTGAGCCTTGATCACGCCACTACCCTCTAGCCTGGGCAACACAGTGAAGCTCTGTCTAAGAACAAACAAACAAACAAACAAACAAACAAACAATTTTGCTTGTTTAATATGTTGTCACAAAACATTCAGGACAGTCAAGTAATGCCTGGGTCTTTTCCACACATGAAAATGGTTGATTGTCTTAGAAAATAAAATCCATAGAGCTGTTTTTTTCCCTATAGAGTTATTTAAAATAAAATGAGAATTTGCCAAAAAGTCTGCTACTAGTCATATTTTACTTCCGTCTAACAAGAAACTTTCCTACCATAGATCTCAATGTGACATGACACACAACACATATCTAGTTTCATTACCTGGGTTCAATATTGCTGGAGTTCTGTTCTGAGCGTCTTGATTTTTTCTTCCTTTTTTTACTTCTTGGCTTGAAGTTAGGATTGGGCTCTGAATTCTTAATTTGTCTGCAATGATCACCACCATAAATATACACTTAATAAGGTATTTTCAGGAAATCTCTAAGCAATATTACATATGAAATATATAGAGCATTTTTTGCTCCTTGAGTTTTCACACCCTCACTTATTGACTATTTTCATGATAATTAAGTACTCATGTGGGGGTGGGGCTGGTGCCGGTGGTAGAAGTGGCAGTAATGAGGAAATAGATCCCCAACTAAAGGCAAACCATCATGTTTTCATTCCTAGAAAAAAAAAATCAGCCTTGGTAACGTGGTGAAAACCTGTTTCTACAAATAAGAAAAAGAAGAAGAAGAGAAAAGAAAAGAAAAAAAATTAGCCAGGTGGGGTGGTGTGCACCTGTGGTCCCAGTTATTAGGGAGGCTAAGGTAGGAGGATCCCTTGAGCCTGGGTGGGGCTTGAGGCTGCAGTGAGTCAAGATCATGCCACTGAACTCCAGCCTGGAAGATAGAATGAGACCCTGTCACAAAAAAAAGAAAAAGAAAAACATGGGTGGACCAAAAATTTTTCTTCATTTATCATGGACATTTTAACTGTTTTGTGCTGAAATTCAGATCTTAAAAATAAACATGGTTTTTACATGTTTTATGCCATACATACACAAAGTCCTGGAAACAACCCAAATGTCCAGGAACTGATGAATGAATTAGCAAACTGTCACATATCCATACAATATAATACTCATCAACAACAAAAATGAACCACTGATACATACAACAATATGGATGAGTCTCAGAAGCATGGTGCTGAGTGAAAGAAGTCAGAAACAAATGGATCATTATTCTACGATCCCAAGTATATGATACTATAAAAAACCAACACTATATGCATAGAAATTAGATCAATGGTTGCCAGGGGCTGGAAGTAGGTTGAAGGCATTGAAATACAAAGAAACCCAATGCAACTTTCTGGGGTCATAGTATGGCATGAGACCACCACTTCTCGTGTTGTCTTTCCCAGTTTCTCCCCAACCTCCCCTTTTCCCTAGTTTATAAGACAGGAGAAAAGGGAGAAAGCAAAAAGTTGGAAAGAAACAGAAGTAAGATAAATAGCTAGATGACCTTGGCGCCACCACCTGGCCCTGGTGTTTAAAATAATAATAATAATAATATTAACCCCTGACCAAAACTACTGGTGTTATCTGTAAATTCCAGACATTGTATGAGAAAGCACTGTAAAACTTTTTGTTCTGTTAGCTGATATATGTAGCCCCCAGTCACATTCCTCACACTTACTTGATCTATTATGACTCTTTCACGTAGACTCCTTAGAGTTGTAAGGCCTTAAAAGGGCTAGGAATTTCTTTTTCGGGGAGCTCGGCTCTTAAGACGCGAGTCTGCCGACGCTCCCGGACAAATAAAAAACCTCTTCCTTCTTTAATCCGGTGTCTGAGGAGTTTTTCTGCAACTCATCCTGCTACAATAGAAAGATTCCATATCTTGATTGTGATGGTAGATAAATGACTATATGTATTTGTCAAAATTCATACAACTCTGTACACCTTCAAAGTGAATTTGACAATAGGTGAATTATACCTCAACAGAAATAAAAGCATATGTTCACACAACATGTGTTCCCACACACAAAGGTACCTAACAGCTTTATTTGTAATGATCAAAAACTGGAAATACCTCAAATGTCCATCAACAGGAAAACAGACAAACTGTGGCATATCTATATAATGGAACACCACTCAGCAACAAAAGAAATGAATCATTGATGCACTCATGGATGAATAACAGAATAACTATTCCAAGTGAAACAAGCCAGACAAAAAAAAATCACACTCTATATCATTCCATTTATTTGAAACTCCAAAAACCTATTAAATTTTTTATAGTGATATACAGCAAATCAATGACTGCCAGGGGATGGCAGGGCAGGGAATGGTATGAGGGGAGGATTACAAAGGGGAAGGAGTAGTTTCTGAGGTGTTGGATATTTTCAGTATCTTGACATGGTGACAGTATCACAGATGTATACATACATAAAAATGTATCAGATTAGAGCGGGGCACGGTGGCTCATGCCTGTAATCCCAGCACTTTGGGAGGCCAAGGCGGACAGATCACCTGAGGTTGGGAGTTCAAGACCAGCCTGACCAACATGGAGAAACCCCATCTCTACTAAAAAAATACAAAATTAGCCAGGTGTGGTGGTGCATGACTGTAATCCCAGCTACTCAGGAGGCTGAGGCAGGAGAATCGCTTGAACCCAGGAGGCGGAGGTTGCAGTGAGCAGAGATTGTGCCATTGCACTGCAGCCTGGGCAACAAGATCAAAACTCCGTCTCAAAAAAAAAAAAAAGTATCAAATTACACACGTCATTCTATTATTTATAAATTTATTTTTATAGAGTTACTTATAAATAACTTCATTGTATTTTACAGTATGTATGATTATATCATAAAAAAATATATATACACACACACACATTTATATTATTTTATTTAGAGACAGGGTTTCGCCATGTTGTTCAGGCTGGTCTGTAATTCCTGGGCTCAAGCGATCCACCCCCCTCAGCCTCCCAAAGTGCTGGGATTACAGGCGTGATCCACCATGCCTGGTCCAACATATTTCTTGAACTACTTCTCAACTGATAGATATTTCACTTGTTTACAGTGCTTCACTATAATGCTACAAAAAATATCCTGTGGTTATGTTTTGGGTCCAGAAATATAAAGTACTGTATAACTGAAACAATATTAAAAACTCTTACAAAAGAGAAAGAGTAAAATATGTGGTAAGAGTAGATTATTAAGTAAAACAATAATATCTAATATATAGGATGCTTTACCTTTTATGAACTTTCCTCTGCTGTTTTTGTTCACTTTCTTCAACTTTTGCTGAGTCCACGCAAGAATTATTAAGATTAAACAAAAGCAATGAGAAATTATGTCACCTCCTTTAGGCAAAGGTGGCTGCCAGCCGATAACTCTACTATGCAGGCTATTATTTTTATGTAATTGCCAATAAAGAGAAATTGACCTATACCACATATAAAACATAAGCTACCATATATTCTTTCTTAGATAACTTACTGAATAGAGATTGTCAAGACCAAGCATCCGTGAATGTATTTGACCACATTATCACTATTTTAAAATGATTTAACGTATGTTAAACTTTTATGATTATAGAATTCTTTAAAATTTCTTTTATAATTTATTATGGGTGACTCCATGTTTAAAATGGTTTAAAGATTCCATGTTTAAAATGGTTAAGACTCAAATGACCCTGAAACTAAAAGCAATGAGAAGAGGATACACAATAACACTCATTAACTCAGGATTCCTAGTGAAAGATTTTGCTTACATAACATTGGATC
Source organism: Homo sapiens (assembly GCF_000001405.40). Lineage (NCBI taxonomy): Eukaryota > Metazoa > Chordata > Mammalia > Primates > Hominidae > Homo > Homo sapiens. The sequence goes on from NC_000023.11 coordinate 115,710,850, forward strand.
GAGGTAGAAAGTATACGCATATAATGAAAGGAACTCAGGAACATTCAAATCGTCCAGGTGGATGCTTTTTCTTTCAATATATCTATAATTGCCTTAATAATAATTTAGTCCTGGTTAAACATAAACATGACATAGTATGACATAAATAATCTCTTTGGAGCAATAATGTAGGTTTCATCACTGTGCATACATAGGGATCCAGAACATTGGAATGTGATGGATATGTCTGCTATATTCATTGCACTGATTCTTTCACAGCTGTCACCTATGGCAATATTTATCAAATAGTACACTTTAAATAAGGGCAGATTCTTGTCTGTCAATTATACCTGCACTACTACAGCTTACAAAAAAAAAGAAAATCTGCGTGGCTGGGGCAAACAACTAAGTAGAAGAGCAGTAAATGATGAGGGCAGAGTAACCACATCTTGTTGACAACGAGTTGTGGCTGGTTCTTATTTTAATTCTAATTTTAAGGGAAAGCCCTGGAGAGTTTTAGGCAGGGGCCTGATATGATCCGAATGTTGGAAGACACAAGAATCACATATATGTATGAAATTGGAAAACACTGAGCTCTTTGGAGAGGTCCATAGGTGTCCTTGAGGTTCCTGAATTTGTGTGTACGTGCACATCTGCTTTTTATAAAAATTCCCATACCATTCACCAGCTTCTCAAAAAGGTCCTTGAAAATAAAATATTGGCCAGGAGCGGTGACTCACGCCTGTAATCCTAGCACTTTGGAAGGCCAAGACAGACGAATAGCCTGAGGTCAGGAGTTCAAGACCAGCCTGGCCAACATGGTAAAACCCTGTCTCTACTAAAAATACAAAAATTAGCCGGGTGTGGTGGCAGGCACCTGTAATCCCAGCTACTCAGGAGGCTGAGGAAGAGAATCGCTTGAACCCAGGAGGTGGAGGTTGCAGTGAGCCGAGATTGTGCCACTGCACTTCAGCCTGGACAACACAGTGAGACTATGTCTCAAAAAAAAAAAAAAAGAGAGAAAAAGAAAATATTAAGAACCACTCATTTATTGGACCATCATTTTAGTTGAGGAAATTGAAACCTAGAGAAGTAAAATGATTGGTTCAAAACCAGGGTGACAAGTTGATGAAGTCATAATAGGTTTATGATGCTGATCACCCTCTCTCACCTGGTCCCCTTATCTCTCCCTGCCCCCAATACTTTTGATAAATAAAACATAATCATAAGGACCTGGTACACAGCACAACAAGCCAATGTCTGCTGAACCTTGGCTTCAGGATTTGCCCAAGTTACCAAGAGAGTGTGTGTGCTGATCCATTCAAGATTGGAAGCCAATAGAAAGGTTTGAAAGTACTCTAATGACTTTCTCATGAAATGCATATAACTTTCTAAATTGCCCACAGTAAGCATGTATTATTAAAACCACAAAGAAGAATACATCATAAATAATAAACTATTTACCTTTGATTGTTACTGTGAGCCTACTCTGTGCTATGGAGAAAAGAATAATATATAATTGGCATGCTACAGATGTAGTTTTCTTTCTTGAAATGCACCACAAATAAGTTTATGCTGGATCATTTCCAACAGCAATTTCAGTAAGGTGTAAATAAAACTGCTTAACCAGAAGGCCACACAGCAGAGTGCACCTCACATGGGAAGGTTCACACAGCCTTCAGAGATCCCAGTGTAGAATGCCAGGAGGGTCCTTTTTTCAGTAATCCAAGGGGACAGACAGGATCACCTCAAATTGTTTCCCAGCTCTACAGTTTATAGAAATATCAGGCTATTTTGATAGCCTTGCAAGGTCCCAGGTTACTAAAATAACCCTGCCTTTCATTGCTCAATGTTGACCATTGAGAACATGGCTATGATGCAAGCCAAAGCCTAATGAACATACGGTTTCTACCAAACCTCCATGGTACCAGTACAAACTGGATGAAAACATTTCAGAAAGTTATACTTCCAAATATCAAGGCATTTAAATCTAGTTAAATAATGACCTTTTCTGGGGCTTTCAGTTTAATCTGAGTTCAGCAGTGTTAGAACTTATCAAATAGGTTATTTTCAACCCCACAGGGAGAACTCTCATGATCATCATAATTAACAACTCTAACCATAGAGTATACATGGACACAGTGCCTAACCAGATATTAAGAGAGGAAGTTCAGTGAGAGATGTACCTTTAAAAATGAGTCTATTGTACAGAAGGGAGTAAAACACAATCAAAGGACAATTGAGAATTGTGTTACATACATATCAGATGCGGGATATCAGTTTTCGATCTTCATCTGTGTTTGAAGTCTGGGTCCACACCACCACAGGGCCATACCAGCTGTAAATGATAGTCTTCTATTTTCTTAAAATAGTCTGACCTGAAAATGAAAGTATTGTTGAATTCCTTTGCCACAGACACAAACCAATTTTCCCAAGTATTCAGCAAGGAAAAACAAAAAAACAAAAACAGTATTTTTAACTATTTAAAATATAGCAAGGGCCAAGCATGGTGGCTCACATCTGCAATCCCTGCACTTTGGGAGGCCAAGACAGGCGAGCTGCTTGAGCCCAGGAGTTTGAGACCAGCCTGGACAACATAGCAAGACCTCATCTCTATTTAAAAATAAAGTAAAATAAAATAAAAACATAACAACAACAATTTAAAAAGACCTTCAAGCCACTACACACCCTGGGGAGAAATTAGCCTAAGGCTGAAGCTGGTCTGGCCTTTATAGAGACACACCTATTGTGATGTAATCAACTATGACCAATTAGTAACCTCATATGGTAATGTCTGGGATTCAGACTTGTGGTCAAAGATACTGAACAGGCTTTTCTGCTTACTTAAGCCATTGTTCCTTTTCTGAAGTTAATGAAATAAATAATCTCTTAGGTCCACATCCAAACACACGGAAATCTGTTCTCACCTGTAGTTTATTGATTCCAATCATGGTTGAGTATCCTGACATTGGGTGTGAAGCAACAGTTTGGAATTCATACAGCATTGTTACTCAAGTAGCTATAAACACCTTACAAAACTGGACTGAACCACTTAAGTGAGAGGTTATTGCAAGGATCTGTTTATACATATTCCCAAAACATCCATTTTATAGAAGCATACACAGTTATTATGCGTGGCTATAGCCTCAATTTGTTCAAAGCATCAAAGGTCTGAAACCATGTCCTAATTGTGTGAACCATGAAGGTAACTGTGGCCTTAATCCTGACCAATTCACACTACCAAACAACAACGCAGCACCTCTTGCATCAAAATTGGGGAACATTACTATTTGTCAGTGATGAATACATTGACAGGGAAAAATCCATGGGAAGCTTAGGATACTCTCTCTCATTGCAACCCCCATCCCCAGATAGCCACAGAGCTCCTACATCTCCTCCCTCAGATCTTTCCCCTGGTGTCTCCTTCTCAGCAAGCCCTTAGCAGCACAATCTACCCAGAAGTGCAAATCCCACACTCACCCCACAGTGTTCCCCTTCCCTGCTTAGTTTGCTGTGTAGCACATATGACTATAATGATACATACATATCTTATTGATCCTATTTTATCAGTCTCCTCTACTAGAATGTGACCTCCACATGAATCGGGATTTTTTTTGGTCTATTTACTGGCTTTACTTTCTACATTAAGGACATGATGAACATACACTAGGTGTTCAACAAATGTTTGCTGAAGAAATTAATGAAGGTCACCTTTGTTCACCAGTCCTAATCTTTATGCCATTCCCAGAGGTGACCTTGTCAACAGTATAGTGCACTTCTTTCAGAACTTCCTTCCACTTATTACATTCTGATTCAAAGGCCCATTAAAAATTGATACCTTGTACCTCAATAAAGCTGCTGAATATTTTTACAGTACTTTAAACAAAAATCACCTTTCTTCAATCCTCTCTTGAAACCCAAGAAATTATAGCTCTGTGAATGTGACCATAATCAACTCTTTATTTGTATTATTATTATTGTTTTTTTGAGACAGAGTCTCACTCTGTCACCCAGGCTGGAGTGCAGTGGCATGGTCTCACCTCACTGCAACCTCCGCCTCCCAGGTTCAAGCAATTACTCAGCCTCCCGAGTAGCTGGGATTACAGGTGCCCACCACCACACTCAGCTAATTTTTGTATTTTTAGTAGGGACGGGGTTTTACCATGTTGGACAGGCTGGTCTTGAACTCCTGATCTCGTGATCCACCCACCTTGGTCTCCTAAAGTGCTGGGATTACAGACGTGAGCCACCGTGCCCGGAGGTATTTTTATTTTTTTAAGACAGGGTCTCATTTCGTTGCCCAGGCTGGAGTGCAGTGGTGCAATCTTGGCTCACTGCAGCCTTGACCTCCCGGGCTCAAATGATCCTCCCACCTCAGCCTGCTGAGTAGCAGGGAACACCATACCCACCTAATTTTTGTATTTTTTTTGTAGAGATGAGGTTTCGCCATGTTGTCCAGGCTGGTCTCCAACTTCTGAGCTCAAGCAATCGGCCCACCTCGGCCTCCCAAAGTGCTGGGATTACAGGCCTCTGCCACCACACCCAGCCCAATTCTTTTATTTGTGATATTTTCACTCATAGTTCTCAATAATATACTCAAACTCAAATTTGGTTGTTCTTGTTTACTCTTTATTATGGACAATTTGAAAGCTGATAGAAGAATGTATCAAAAATTTCATGTACCCACCAACCAGCTTCAATAATAATCACCATTTTCTTTTTTTCTTTTTCTTTTTTTTTGAGACAGAGTCTCGCTCTGTCGCCCAGGCTGGAGTGCAGTGGTGGGATCTTGGCTCACTGCAACCTCCGCCCCCTGGGTTCAAACAATTTTCCTGCCTCAGCCTCCCAAGTAGCTGGGATTATAGGTGCCCGCCCCCACGCCCAGGTAATTTTTGTATTTTTAGTAGAGACGGGGTTTCACCATATTGGCCAGGATGGTCTTGAACTCCTGACCTCAGATGATCCACCTGCTTCGGCCTCCCAAAGTGCTAGGATTACAGGCGTGAGACACTGCACCCGGCCTAATAATCACCATTTTCTTGAGCAGAGATTGCACCACTGTACTCCGGCCTGGGCATCAGAGCAAGACCCTGTCTGAAAACAAAAGCAAAAACAAAAACAAACCCTAAAAAATAAACAAACAAAAAAAACACCATTTACGTTCTATTTGCTAATTTTTTGAGCTTAAATATGTAAAAATATATTCCAACTATCATATGAATTCACATATGAATTATAACAAGCTATATAATCCATGCAGTCTACAATAATATGCAATGTAAACAATAAGGACATTAGGGAAAAGTAATCAAGATGCCATCATTGATTCTAACAAATTATAATTATTCTTTAATGGCACATGAAAACATCCATGTCCAATTTCCCTGTTTGACCTAAATATGCCTCTTAAATTTTACTTGTTCTTATTAGGATCTAAAGAAGCATCAGGATAAATAGCTAATGTATGTGGGGCTTAATATCTAGGTGATGGGTTGATAGGTGCAGCAAACTACCATGGCACACGTTTACCTATGTAACAAACCTGCAATTTCTGCACATGTATCGTGGAACTTAAAATAACTATTACAGGGCCGGTCACTGTGGCTCATGCCTGTAATCCCAGCACGTTGGGAGGCCGAGGCGAGAGGATCACCTGAGGTCAGGAGTTTGAGACCAGCCTGGCCAACATGGTGAAACCCCATCTCTACCAAAAATATAAAACAATTAGCTGGGCATGGTGGCAGACGCCTGTAATCCTAGCTACTCAGAGGCTGAGGCAGGAGAATTGCTTGAACCTAGAAGATGGAGGTTGCAGTGAGCCGACACGGTGCCACTGCACTCCAGCCTGGGTGACAGAGTGAGACTCTGTCTCAAAAAAAAAAAAAGAAAGAAAGAAGAAGTATTACAGATAACATTGATTCAAATATTTCCTCTTCATCTTCTAATCTGTAATCTGTAACAACTCTCCCTGTTTTTTTCTTTGCTATTCCTTTGGTGAGAGACTAGTTTATTATTTGTCCTGTAGAATTATTCACCTTCTACATTTCACTGTATCCATTTCAGTGCAAAACATATTCCTTTTTAAGCAGAATATCTTGTAGTTAGATCTATGGATTTGGTTAGATTTGGGTACAATTTTTTTTGGCAGGAACATTCATAGTTGATACTTTGTACTTTGATTGCATGATATCAGCACTCACATATTATTATTATTTTTTGAGACGGAGTTTCGCTCTGTTGTCCAAGCTGGAGTATGGTGGCGCAATTGCTCACTGCCACCTTCTGCCTCTTGAGTTCAAGCAATTCTCCTGCCTCAGCCTTCTGAGTAGAGTAGCTGGAACTACAGGCATGCACCACCACACCCGGCTAATTTTTGTATTTTTAGTAGAGATGGGGTTTCGCCATGTTGGTCAGGTTAGTCTTGAACTCCTGACCTCAGGTGATCCGCCTGCCTCAGCCTCCCAAAGTGCTGGGATTACAGGTGTGAGCCATCATACCTGGCCACACTCACATATGTTTTGCATATATTTGATGTAAAAGATCAGTGAGTTGCAGTATTCTCACCTTGATTCACCCATATTTTAAAATTTCCCACCAATCTTGTACCTAAATTTTATTGAATCTATCTGCTGGTTTATTTTTTATTGTTGATAAGCAGTTCACGTATCATATAAATTCACCATATAAAAATGTACAAGTCACTGCTTTTCAGCACATTCAGAAAATTGTGCATCCATTAGCACAACCAATTTTAGAACATTTTTCTAAAATGAAAGCTCCCCTCCCCTCCCCTTCTTTCCAGAGTTTTGCTCTTGTTTCCTAGGCTAGAGTACAATGGTGCAATCTTGGATCACCGCAACCTCCGCCTCCCAGGTTCAAGCAATTTTCCTGCCTCAGCCTCCAAAGTAGCTAGGATTACAGGTGTGCACCACCATGCCCAGCTAATTTTGTATTTTTAGTAGAGATGGGTTTTCTTCCTGTTGGTCAGGCTGGTCTCGAACTCCTGACCTCAGGTGATCCTCTTGCCTTGGCCTCCCAAAGTGCTGGGATTACAGGCATGAGCCATGGCACCCAGCCAAAAGCTCCATCTCTATTAGTAGTCATTCCTTATTCCCCCTTCCCCAGCCCCTGGCATCCACTAATCTACTTTGTGTCTGTTTAGATTTGCCTATTCTGGCCATTTCATATAAATGAGATCATGCAATCTGCATTCTTTTGTGTCTGGTTCTTTATTATAATATTTTTAGGGTTAAATCCGCATTGTATTATGTATCTGTGCTTCATTCCATGTTATGGCTAAAATAATCCATGGTATGCATATAGCACATTTGTTTAAACATTCACCAGTTCATGGGCATTTGGGTTGTTTCTCCTTTTGGGTTTTATGAATAATGCTGCCACAAACATTCATGCATAACTTTTGTTTGAATATCTGTTTTTAGCTCTCGGGTATATACTTAGGAGTGGAATTGCTGGATCACATGGTAAACCTATATTTAACTTTTTTTTTTTCATTTTAAACAAGCAGTTTATTTAAACAAGACGCTTGACTTGAAGGGAAAAGTATCTAGGATTCTTTTTTGTTTTAGAGTAATTTATCCCTACTTAAAGACAGATTGCCCTACATGTAGCAGCTATGTACGAAAAAGTTATAAAATTGTCCTTGGTTTTACAATGATAAATGAAAATCATTAAAATTCTCCAATTGAAAAAGGTATGCAAGGATTTTTATGTTGTTGTTGTTGTTGTTTTTGTTAAAACAGTGAGAGCAAAATAACTTACTGGAATATAAAGATAAGAGCTGAATGAGCATGCCACTAATGGAGAAAGGGGGTATTTTCACAGAATCAGTATTTTTCCCCATCCCATCTCCACTTGATGTCAATCAAAACATATCATTGGCTGTTTAGTTAAAAAAAATGCAATATGCTTGTGTACATATACCAGTTACTTTATGTACAATAAAGGAATAGGGAAGGGGGAAATGAAAGAATAGAGAAAACTATACGGTAGTAGTCAGGATGTGGTGGAACCAAATTGCAGTTTTCTAATTGAGAATGTAATCTTGGTCTTTAAAGAACAGAGTTCTGGAGTAAAGAAGCAGGTTCCCTTTTCAGTAGACACCTCCCGTCTGCTGTTGGAACACATCAATTGTATCTTCATCCTCCATTTCCAACTGTGCAGGTGTGTCTGTTTCATTGATTGGTTGCCCGTCGAATCGGAATCTGATCTGCCTCACTGACAATCCCTGTCGTTCACAATAGGCTTTCATTAGTTTACTAAGTGGTGTATGCCTCTTAATCTTAAACTGCACCACAGAACCATCCTGCCCCGCCACCTTCAAATTAATATGATCGTTGTTCTCAGTCTTGACTCCTTCCTTGGGTTTTTCGTCGGCCATGGCAAGCGCCGGAATCTCCTCAGCTGCCGTTTCACAAAAGAGGTACCAGGTCCGCACCAAACGAGCACACAAGCAGCACCAGGAGCTGCAGAAGAAGGAGGCGGCAGCGATGGACCAGGGCAGAGGGTGCGCGCACGTCGTGCGCTCCCTGCCTCCACCCTGCGTGCGCGAGCACGAGCCGCCGGAGCCTCCCATTCTGTTTAACTTTTTTTATTATTTCAATAGGTTTTGGGGAAACAAGTGGTGTTTGATTACATGGATAAGTTCTTTAGTGGTGATTTCTGAGATTTTGGTGCACCCATTACCGGAGCAGTGTACACCGTACCCAATGTGTAGTCTTTTATCCCTTGCCTCCTTCCCACCCTCCCCCAACCCACATCCCCAAAGTCCACTGTGTATCTATTTTTTAGATGGAGTCTCTTTCTGTCACCCAGGCTGGAGTGCAGTGGAGCGATCTTGGCTCACTGCAACCTCTGCCTCCTGGTCTCAAGCGATTCTCCTGCCTCACCCTCCTGAGTAGCTGGGATTACAGGTGCGTGCCATCACACCCAGCTAATTTTTATATTTTTAGTCGGGGGGGGGGGCGGGTTTCACTATGTTGGCCAGGCTGGTCTTGAACTCCTGACCTTAAGTAATCCATCTGCCTCGGCCTCCGAAAGTGCTGGGATTACAATTACAGGTGTGAGCCATCCCGCCTGACCCATTGTATCATTCTTATGCCTTTGTGTCCTCACAGCTTAGCTCCCGCTTGTTAGTGAGAATAAACAATGTTTGGTTTTCCATTCCTGAGTTACTTCACTTAGAATAATGGTCTCCAATTCCACCCAGGTTGCTGTGAATGCCATTATTTAATTCCTTTTATGACTAAGTAGTAGTCCATGGTATGTATATATATGTGTGTGTGTATATATATATATATATATACACACACACATACATACACATATATTCGTCACTCATTGATGGGCATTTGGGCTGGTTCAATATTTTTGCAATTGCGAATGGTGCTGCTACAAACATGCGTGTGCAAGTGTCTTTTCTGTATAATGACTTCTTTTCCTCTGGATAGATACCCAGGAGTGGGATTGCTGGATCAAATGGCACTATGGTTAACTTTCTGTGGAAGTGCCAAATTGCTTTCGATAATATTAAATATCTATCTACATCATTTTACTTTCCCACTAGCAGTGTATGACAGTTTCAATTTCTCTACATCTTCACATACTTTTTTGTTTGTTTGTTTTGATTTTGTTTTTTTGAGACCAAGTCTTGCTGTGTCGCCCAGGCTGGAGTGCAGTGGCGTGATCTCGGCTCACTGCAAGCTCCGCCTCCTGGGTTCACGCCATTCTCCTGCCTCAGCCTCCTGAGTAGCTGGGACTACAGGCGCCCGCCACCACGCCCGGCTAATTTTTTGTATTTTTAGTAGAGACGGGGTTTCACTGTGTTAGCCAGGATGGTCTTGATCTCCTGACCTCGTGATCCGCCCATCTCGGCCTCCCAAAGTGCTGGGATTACAGGCGTGAGCCACCGCGCCTGGCCTCACACACTTGTTATTTTCAATTTGGTTTTTTTTCTAGCCATCCTAATAAGTGTGAGGTGTATCTCCTTGTGAGTTTCCTTTGTATTTGCCTATTTGCCTAAATGAATGATATTGAGCAGCAGGTTTTTTTTTTTTTTTTTTTTTTTTTTTTTAGATGGAGTTTCGCTCTTGTTGCCCAGGCAGGCATCCTGTACTGAGCTGCTTGGCCGTTTGCATGGAGAAAGCAAAGGATTTGCAGCATGAGAGCCTGGCATGTTTGGTTCCATCCTGCCACCTTAATTCACCTTGGCAAAACCATTTAGCCTCTGTAGACCTTGGTTTCCTGGCACAATGAGTGCTTATTGAATCTGTCCGTTCAGGGAATGTAGACAGAAAAAAGGCTATGACTTAGTTCTCTGTGTCAGGCGATGGACATTCCTCCCTTAAATAAAGGAGGAGAAAGACAGGGAAGTATCCAGAGAGGGGCAGCTGAGATTCATAGCTCAGTTACTTTTTGGGTAATTCCACCTGGGGTGAGGGGAAAGCTCTTTTCAGTTTCCATTTTCTACAACGTGGAGTTGTGCAGAGCCTTAAACCCTCCCCCAACTCTCCCCTTAGCAGGTGAAGGCAGCTGCCTGACAAGAATAAAGCATCACCTGTGCCCATTTATGCTCCTCCTCCCCCCACCTCCTGGTAATTCCCACCCACCTCTGCCCAAACCGCAAGGGAATGAGTAAGAGAAAAGGTCTGGGAGTATCTGGCAGCAGGTGGTCTTGGGGTGGGGGTGGCGGACTGAGAGTGTGAACGTCAGTTGGTGAGGAGTGAAATGGAGCCAGGAAATTCTGAGAAGTTGGAGCTGGTCAAAGACCAGTTGTAGTGCCCTCAGAGGCCTTAGATTTCTTTTTAAGTGTCTCTTTTAAGGTGAGTTCACTGGAGAGTGTACGTGGGCAGGAATGACTTTGGTTCCCACTGAAAACACGTTTCCATTTGTGAAAAAAAAAATTCTCCCAAAAACCAATCAAGGACTACATTGTGAAGAGAAAAAAAAAAATTCCACAACATCTTCACAGTCAAGTTTTTAAGCAACCCGAATAGCTTGCATGATTCCCATGAGCCTTGGGAACTCACCAGGCTATTATTTTTAAAGGACCTTTATTTGCATCTCCCCTCCCCTTAGGGAACAAGGTGCTGGGAGGATGCATGCCCCAAGTTAACACTCCTCAGAGTACTGTCATCAACAGATTATCTTCATTTTCCTTAATACGCTACAGGTGTCTCCATTCTGCAAGAGCAGCAAGTCCCTTTTTTTTTTTTTTTTTTTTTGAGACGGAGTTTTGTTCTTGTTGCCCAAGCTGGAGTGCAATGGCGCGATCTCGACTCACCACAACCTCCGCCTCCCAGGTTCAAGCGATTCTCCTGCCTAGGCCTCCTGAGTAGCTGGGATTACAGGCATTCGCCACCAAGCCCGGCTAATTTTGTATTTTCAATAGAGACAGGGTTTCTCCATGTTGGTCAGGCTGGTCTCGAACTCCCGACTTCAGGTGATCCACCCGCCTCGGCCTCCCAAAGTGTTGGATTACAGGCGTGAGCCACCGCGCCCGGCCGCAAGTCCCTTTTTTCAAAAGAAAATATCAATCAGAGGACTGGTCAGGCAGGGGAAACCTGCGAGTCGCTGTCACTCCTTCGGCCTCAGCACATCCCCACCCACCTAGGCGGCATACGCGCCACCAGCAGCATCCCCTGGAAGGCTGCAGAAGCAGCGCTGGGCCCCTAGCAGTTCCAGAAAAAAAGTGGGAGGTGATAGGGCACCGGCAGTGTCTGGTCTTGGGAAGACGCCTCTCACCTGGGGAGGGAACAATTGAAGCTTTCAATAACGTCAGGCATACAGATGATACAAACTTATAACATCGCCTGAAAGTGTACTTGCTTAAGCTTCTTTTTCCTCTAAACCGTTTTGTGAATGTTAAACAGTAAACTTTTCATTTTCTCGATACATCAGTCTCCTTTGCCCTCTTGCCAGCGAAGACCTTACTCAAAGGAAACAAATGGGACAAATAGGTACTCCTCAGCAATTAGCTAAGACAAGAGGTTTCCCACCCAACTTTCCCAAAGCTGCCTCTCTCCGCCCCTTCTTGCACCAGGAGCAGGCTGAGGACACCCCACTCCTACCCTGGGCGGAGCAGGCTCTAGGAAGACCGGATTCCTCTCCCTTCCCCTCCCCGGATTCTTTCAGCCCTCACCTCCCAGGAATGGGGAGGGGGCATCCTACCCCATATCTGAGGTGCGACTGCGGGACGTAGAGCGGACTGGGCCTTTCCCGTTGGCGCGTGGCCTCAATCAGGTAGGTCTCCTTCGCCTTTTCTTTCCTTTATTTGCCTTTCCTTTCCTTGACACAGGACACGAGATCAGGGTTTGTGCCATGGGCAGCCTTTCTGGTGCAGAGGACCTTCCCTGCCCTCCGGCTTCTGGGCAGCCAGTGCTGGGCGCGCGACCTTGTGCAATGGCGGCTGCAGCCGAGCTGGCTCCAGCGTCCTGCAGGCATCGGAGGGCTTTCGGGCGCGTTTTGGACGCCGAGTTTTTGCCGCTGCCTAAGTTTTAGTTCTGGCAAGTGTAGGGAGGTCCTTCTAGTAGAGCCTTTCTGGCCTTCCCCGTCGGGAGCCTGGAAGCGTCTCCTGTGGCAGGGCGGGCAGAGGGAGAAGGGTGCGCCTGCAGATTCCTTCGCCCCACTGGTGTTCTCCCCACCTACATGGCTGAGGAGGTGTGCGCTCTCGTTCGGTTTAGATTGAGTGGTTGTTAAACCACGTGGCTGCCCTGCCCACAGGCAGGGCTCCCCGTAATGTAACACTGTAGAAGAAACATTTCCTCTAACGAATAATTGAACAAAAAGAAATACAGCTTCAGGCCGGGCGCAGTGGCTCACGCCTGTAATCCCAGCACCTTGGAAGACTAAGGCGGGAGAATCACTTGAGACCAGGAGTTCGAGTCCAGCCTGGCCAACATGGTGAAACGCCGTCTCTAAACAAAAATTAGCCACGCATGATGCCGCGGGCCTGTAGTTCCAGCTACTCTGGAGGCTGGGGCGGGAGGATTGCTTGTGCCCAGGACTTTGCCACTGCAGTGAACTGGGATTGCTCCATTGCACTCCATCTTGGGCATCAGAGCCAGAGCCCTTCTTTTAAAAAAAGAAAGAAAAACGGCAATATACTTCATTTCCATATATGCACTTAACAACGTGGAAAGACAAGCCCTCAAAATTTTCAGGGACTTGCCTGGGCGAGGTGGCTCACACATTTAATCCCTGGACTTTGGGAGGCCAAGGCGGGCGAATCACAGGGTCAGGAGTTCGAGACTAGCCTGGCCAACATGGTGAAACCCCGTCTCTACTAAAAATACAAAAAAATAGCTGGGTGTAGTGGCGGGTGCCTCTAATCCCAGATACTCGGGAAACTGAGGCAGAAAAATCGCTTGAACCCGGGAGGGGGAGGTTGCAGCGAGCTGATAACCTGCCAATGCACTCCAGCCCTGGTGACAGAGTGAGATTCCGTCTCAAACAACAAAAATTTCAGGGCTTTCACATTTTCATCTTTCTACAGTTCTGTAAAATAGGATTTGAAATGGCCGTGATTATTAATGAAATAAAAAGAAGATTATAAAGAAATAATTTAAGGTATCAAAGATGATAGAAGATAGTCATAATAATACAAAATATCGATACAAGTTGGACAAATTATGTAGACAAAGAGTCAAAAAGGAAAGAAAACACAATTACATTGGTTATTTCTAGAGGGCAGTGCTCAGTGTGTGTGTGTATTTGTATGTGCATATGTTTCTTGTTACTGATACTGAGGCAAAAGTTTGGCTTTCTTTTCTCTTCCCTTCTCTGATTCTTTCCTCCTTTCTTGATAGGGAGTCTTCCTCTGTCACCCAGGCTGGAATGCTGTGGCACCTTCAAGACTCACTACAGCCTCAACTTTCTGGCCTCCAGCAATCCTCCAAACACATCCTCCAAAGTAGCTGTTATTACAAGTGCGCACTACCACACCGGGATAGTTTTTGGTTATTGTTTGGATGGGTCTTTTATTAATATTACTATTTTTTGCAGAGATGGGGTTCCGCCATATTGCTCACGCTGGCCTAGAACTGCCGAGCTCAAAGAATCCACCTACCGTGACGTCCCAAAGTTGTGGAATTGCAGTGCTTCACTGGCCCCGGCCTTATTTCCAAAATGAAATAACTCACATAAGTTCTGTGGTGACATGTAAAAACCCAATTCCCGTAACAGCTTTCCCAACGTTGATTTTTTAGACATGATGAATGTTATGTGTTCTTATTAATCCATGTCCCCTTTAAAGGCACATGTGGGCAAGAAGAACCAGACAGTCCAAGAAACCCAATCATGTTGAGACATGGAGAGCAGAAAAGGAAGCGAGCCCGGAAGAAGTGGGTGAGAGGGCGTTGGACCTCAATGTCGAGAGAGAGAGACTGACAGAAAGAGAGAGAGAGAGAGAGAGAGAAAGAGAGACAGAGAAAGAAGAAACGGTGCTGTAGAAAACAACAATGGAAAGTCCATGGAGGTCAAAGAGTCCGGCAAGGGACAGGGAGTTAGCAGCCTGGCGTAGTGTCTTCCCACTGTTTTGTCTGTCTTGAGAATAGCATTCAACGCGACTGTGTTCCCGCAGCAGACGTTAGGCCGCTGCCCACGCCTTGAGTGCCGGACGAGGTCAACATAGGCTTTCCGTCACAGAATATGTTTGGGCAGGAAGATCGGAACACTTGGGGCTGGGGCATCTACCGCTCCCCACGGCACACACGAGTCGTCAGGGAAATGCCGCCTCTGTGTGTGTGTTAGCAGCCTGGCGTAGTGTCTTCCCACTGTTTTGTCTGTCTTGAGAATAGCATTCAACGCGACTGTGTTCCCGCAGCAGACGTTAGGCCGCTGCCCACGCCTTGAGTGCCGGACGAGGTCAACATAGGCTTTCCGTCACAGAATATGTTTGGGCAGGAAGATCGGAACACTTGGGGCTGGGGCATCTACCGCTCCCCACGGCACACACGAGTCGTCAGGGAAATGCCGCCTCTGTGTGTGTATTTTTTATTTCATTTCTTGTATTTTTTTATTTTTACTCTATATTATTCCCCTGTCTTTATGTATTTTTAGTGTATTTTTTTACCGCGGCGTATAAGGAGTCTGGGCACACACTAGGATCCCAGCCCCGGCCCTGCCCCGGGACACATTGGCACTTGGGCATTCTCACGGGTCACGGCAAGGCAGCTTGACCAAGAGGTCAAAGGCGACTGGCGTCCCACTGACCGCTGGGGGTTTGGCCTCAAACTTCAGGTGAACCCACAATTCCGGAATAGCGGGACCGGCACCCGGGCCCTTCTCACGTTGGCAGCACCGGCAAGGGGCTGGTGTGAAGAGCCCACGCCAGCCTACGTCACGCAGGAAGGGAGCCAGTGGCACCCCAAACACACCTCTCCTCCTCACACCTGGCCTACGTCCAACTCTCCACGGCTCTGCCAGAAGGCTGCACGTACAACACACACAGAGGCGGGCATTTCCCTGACGACTCGTGTGTGCCGTGGGGGAGCGGTAGATGGCCCAGCCCCAAGTGTTCCGATCTTCCTGCCCAAACATATTCTGTGACGGAAAGCCTATGTTGACCTCGTCCGGCACTCAAGGCGTGGGCAGCGGCCTAACGTCTGCTGCGGGAACACAGTCGCGTTGAATGCTATTCTCAAGACAGACAAAACAGTGGGAAGACACTACGCCAAGCTGCTAACTCCCTGGCCATTGCCGGACTCTTTCACCCCCATGGACTTTCCGCTGGCATTTTAAACAACATAGTTTCTTTTCTCTGTCTCTTTCTCTTTCTCTCTCTCTTTCTCTTTCTCTCTCTCTCTCTCTCTCTCTCTCTCTCTCTCAATCTCATAATTTCTCTCTCTCGTGCCACGTTCCCACCCAACGCTCTCTCGCCCACTTCTACTGGGGCCCACTTCCTCTCCTGCTCTCTCTGTCTCAACGTGATTGACTTTCTTGTGCTGCCCAGGACTTCTTGCCCACGTGCGCCTTCAAAACGGTAAGAGCTGCAACTGAACGTGTGAGACATGGTGCAGATAGGCTGAGAGGCGGCGGGAGAGATGCCCATGAACTCAAGTACCCGGACACGCCCTCCACTTCTACCACCACGAGTAACACCGCCCCCACGGGACCGCTCTCGAGGTCCCCCAAGCCAAGGTGAGGCAAGTCCCAGTTGAATGTCATCCCGTTCCTCTTGGGCACGGCGGACCGCTCTCGCCCTTAAAGGTGCGTTGACGTGGAAGGTGAATGTCTCTTTGCGTGACAGTGCCTCAGCGCACGGGCGACGAGGGGCACACCTATCCCCCTGGCTCGCTCTCTAGCTGGATTCAGGTGGAACGGAGGACCATGAACCCTCTGGACCTTTTCTGCCTTGGTCCTATGCTTGTAAGGTTTCCGGCCTAAGAGGCCCATCGACTCCTTCTGCCTTCTTTCAGTTGATTACAAAATAAATAAATAAATAAATAAATAAATAAATAAATAAATAAAAAAGCAGGACATTAAACCTGCCACCTCCAGAGGGTCCTCTAGCTTCCTTCTCCACTCCTGAATTGAGCGAAGCGGTGCCGACCTCCACCCTTTGGGCACGAGCCCCTGCGCACTTGGGAGACTCCTGAACACCCTCGGAGAAGCCAGAAAGCCCCGGGAGATGGCTCCGTCTGCTGCTGTACCAGACCGGGTCCTGCAAAGGATGCATCCTCCGAGCCTCCTCCCTGCACGTCCAGTGGGGCCTGCCCCGATTCTACCTGAGGGACCCACTGGAGGAGAGGCACGGGGATGCTGCCTGAGCAGCGGACCCTTCTGGCGCGGAGCAGGCTGTCCCCAGGCAGAGTCCGACGGGTCCTTCCTTCTGGGTGCCCCCGGCTTCCCGGACTCCAGCAGGCCTGGGAAGGCCCCGGGCCCCCTTAGCCGATGCCCAGAGAGTCTCCATTTCTCAAGCTTTGCCACCGAACTCATCGGTCGGTGCGCCTCTGATCGCAGGGCAAGGGCCTGCGCACCCCCAAAGACAAGCGGGGTCCCCGGAAGGCCCCCAGGCAGAAATGAGCACCACGGGGAACGGCCCGCCTCCAAGACAACCTCGGGGACATGGACACAACAAGACAGGGTGGCAAGTCTCAACAAGGCGGGTGCGCGGCGTCTGAGGGTGGCCGGGCCGGGCCGGGCCTGGCCTTGCGTCCACCTCGTCAAGAACCGTCTGGGTACGGGCCCCGCGGGATGCCCCGCGGCCCACCTTCCTCCCTAGGACGCAAGGAGGAACGCCCCGGCGCGCGGCCAGCAGCGGCGGGCACCGGCCCAATGGCCACGGAACTCAGCACTGGCAGTCGGCCCTCCTCACACCGCAGGCGTGCAGTGTGGCCGACGGAGCCTCCCGGGCCGAGGACCCAGCTAGGCCGTCACCCCGGTTGCTCCCACGGGAAGGGGCACCAGGCAAACTGCCCAAGGCCCCGAGCCCAGGCTCCCTGGCGGAGGCCTCCGCTGGTCCCGCCCAGATCATGGCCGCCACCAGGCTCCCGAGCCATGGCTTCCTGTCCGGGAACGGCCCGGCGTCCTGGCTGTCCAGCTAGTCCTGGCGCCTCTCTCTGGGGCTTCCACCGCCCGACCCCGCGGCGGAGCCTGCTTCTCTCGGACCTCCAGAGACCTCGGATCCGTCCGAGCACCTGCCCTAGTCCTGCCTGGTCCCCCAGGACAGTCCCAAGCCACTCCTCCCCAGGCGAGCACAGCGAAGGGTGCGCGGGATTGCCAAGCCAGTTCCTCTTGATGGCAGTATTGCTCCAGAAATGCCCACCTGCCCTTCCCCCACGTCCACTCCCTCCGCCCTTTGCTGAGGAAAAAACGCCAACAGCGCCCCGCACATGGCGGATCAGCATCTCGGCCGCTTTGGGCCAGCCCTGGCCCACCTGCGGGACCCTGTCCTTGGCAGATGGGACTCGGCGGGACCCTTCTTACTAGCCTGCCTTCCTGACAAACCAGAAAGCGGTCCCCTTGGACCGCCCTGGGGATGGACCCGACCTAACCGCATCCCTAACGATGCGTTAGGATGGGAGGATGGTGGAACCCGCAGGGACGAGAAGGAGACTGGGCACACACTAGGATCCCAGCCCCGGCCCTGCCCCCCGGGACACATTGGCACTTGGGCATTCTCACGGGTCACGGCAAGGCCAGCTTGACCAAGAGGTCAAAGGCGACTGGCGTCCCACTGACCGCTGGGGGTTTGGCCTCAAACTTCAGGTGAACCCACAATTCCGGAATAGCGGGACCGGCACCCGGGCCCTTCTCACGTGGCAGCACCGGCAAGGGGCTGGGGGAAGAGCCCACGCCAGCCTACGTCACGCAGGAAGGGAGCCAGTGGCCACCCCAAACACACCTCTCCTCCTCACACCTGGCCTACGTCCAACTCTCCACGGCTCTGCCCAGAAGGCTGCACGTACAACACACACAGAGGCGGGCATTTCCCTGACGACTCGTGTGTGCCGTGGGGGAGCGGTAGATGGCCCAGCCCCAAGTGTTCCGATCTTCCTGCCCAAACATATTCTGTGACGGAAAGCCTATGTTGACCTCGTCCGGCACTCAAGGCGTGGGCAGCGGCCTAACGTCTGCTGCGGGAACACAGTCGCGTTGAATGCTATTCTCAAGACAGACAAAACAGTGGGAAGACACTACGCCAAGCTGCTAACTCCCTGGCCATTGCCGGACTCTTTCACCCCCATGGACTTTCCGCTGGCATTTTAAACAACATAGTTTCTTTTCTCTGTCTCTTTCTCTTTCTCTCTCTCTTTCTCTTTCTCTCTCTCTCTCTCTCTCTCTGTCAATCTCATAATTTCTCTCTCTCGTGCCACGTTCCCACCCAACGCTCTCTCGCCCACTTCTACTGGGGCCCACTTCCTCTCCTGCTCTCTCTGTCTCAACGTGATTGACTTTCTTGTGCTGCCCAGGACTTCTTGCCCACGTGCGCCTTCAAAACGGTAAGAGCTGCAACTGAACGTGTGAGACATGGTGCAGATAGGCTGAGAGGCGGCGGGAGAGATGCCCATGAACTCAAGTACCCGGACACGCCCTCCACTTCTACCACCACGAGTAACACCGCCCCCACGGGACCGCTCTCGAGGTCCCCCAAGCCAAGGTGAGGCAAGTCCCAGTTGAATGTCATCCCGTTCCTCTTGGGCACGGCGGACCGCTCTCGCCCTTAAAGGTGCGTTGACGTGGAAGGTGAATGTCTCTTTGCGTGACAGTGCCTCAGCGCACGGGCGACGAGGGGCACACCTATCCCCCTGGCTCGCTCTCTAGCTGGATTCAGGTGGAACGGAGGACCATGAACCCTCTGGACCTTTTCTGCCTTGGTCCTATGCTTGTAAGGTTTCCGGCCTAAGAGGCCCATCGACTCCTTCTGCCTTCTTTCAGTTGATTACAAAATAAATAAATAAATAAATAAATAAATAAATAAAAAAGCAGGACATTAAACCTGCCACCTCCAGAGGGTCCTCTAGCTTCCTTCTCCACTCCTGAATTGAGCGAAGCGGTGCCGACCTCCACCCTTTGGGCACGAGCCCCTGCGCACTTGGGAGACTCCTGAACACCCTCGGAGAAGCCAGAAAGCCCCGGGAGATGGCTCCGTCTGCTGCTGTACCAGACCGGGTCCTGCAAAGGATGCATCCTCCGAGCCTCCTCCCTGCACGTCCAGTGGGGCCTGCCCGTATTCTACCTGAGGGACCCACTGGAGGAGAGGCACGGGGATGCTGCCTGAGCAGCGGACCCTTCTGGCGCGGAGCAGGCTGTCCCCAGGCAGAGTCCGACGGGTCCTTCCTTCTGGGTGCCCCCGGCTTCCCGGACTCCAGCAGGCCTGGGAAGGCCCCGGGCCCCCTTAGCCGATGCCCAGAGAGTCTCCATTTCTCAAGCTTTGCCACCGAACTCATCGGTCGGTGCGCCTCTGATCGCAGGGCAAGGGCCTGCGCACCCCCAAAGACAAGCGGGGTCCCCGGAAGGCCCCCAGGCAGAAATGAGCACCACGGGGAACGGCCCGCCTCCAAGACAACCTCGGGGACATGGACACAACAAGACAGGGTGGCAAGTCTCAACAAGGCGGGTGCGCGGCGTCTGAAGGTGGCCGGGCCGGGCGGCCGGCCGGGCTGGATTCAACTGGGACTTGCCTTCACCTTGGCTTGGGGGACCTCAAGAGCGGTCCCGTGGGGGCGGTGTTACTCGTGGTGGTAGAAGTGGAGGGCGTGTCCGGGTACTTGAGTTCATGGGCATCTCTCCCGCCGCCTCTCAGCCTATCTGCACCATGTCTCACACGTTCAGTTGCAGCTCTTACCGTTTTGAAGGCGCACGTGGGCAAGAAGTCCTGGGCAGCACAAGAAAGTCAATCACGTTGAGACAGAGAGAGCAGGAGAGGAAGTGGGCCCCAGTAGAAGTGGGCGAGAGAGCGTTGGGTGGGAACGTGGCACGAGAGAGAGAAATTATGAGATTGACAGAGAGAGAGAGAGAGAGAGAGAAAGAGAAAGAGAGAGAGAAAGAGAAAGAGACAGAGAAAAGAAACTATGTTGTTTAAAATGCCAGTGGAAAGTCCATGGGGGTGAAAGAGTCCGGCAATGGCCAGGGAGTTAGCAGCTTGGCGTAGTGTCTTCCCACTGTTTTGTCTGTCTTGAGAATAGCATTCAACGCGACTGTGTTCCCGCAGCAGACGTTAGGCCGCTGCCCACGCCTTGAGTGCCGGACGAGGTCAACATAGGCTTTCCGTCACAGAATATGTTTGGGCAGGAAGATCGGAACACTTGGGGCTGGGCATCTACCGCTCCCCCACGGCACACACGAGTCGTCAGGGAAATGCCCGCCTCTGTGTGTGTTGTACGTGCAGCCTTCTGGGCAGAGCCGTGGAGAGTTGGACGTAGGCCAGGTGTGAGGAGGAGAGGTGTGTTTGGGGTGGCCACTGGCTCCCTTCCTGCGTGACGTAGGCTGGCGTGGGCTCTTCCCCCAGCCCCTTGCCGGTGCTGCCACGTGAGAAGGGCCCGGGTGCCGGTCCCGCTATTCCGGAATTGTGGGTTCACCTGAAGTTTGAGGCCAAACCCCCAGCGGTCAGTGGGACGCCAGTCGCCTTTGACCTCTTGGTCAAGCTGGCCTTGCCGTGACCCGTGAGAATGCCCAAGTGCCAATGTGTCCCGGGGGGCAGGGCCGGGGCTGGGATCCTAGTGTGTGCCCAGTCTCCTTCTCGTCCCTGCGGGTTCCACCATCCTCCCATCCTAACGCATCGTTAGGGATGCGGTTAGGTCGGGTCCATCCCCAGGGCGGTCCAAGGGGACCGCTTTCTGGTTTGTCAGGAAGGCAGGCTAGTAAGAAGGGTCCCGCCGAGTCCCATCTGCCAAGGACAGGGTCCCGCAGGTGGGCCAGGGCTGGCCCAAAGCGGCCGAGATGCTGATCCGCCATGTGCGGGGCGCTGTTGGCGTTTTTTCCTCAGCAAAGGGCGGAGGGAGTGGACGTGGGGGAAGGGCAGGTGGGCATTTCTGGAGCAATACTGCCATCAAGAGGAACTGGCTTGGCAATCCCGCGCACCCTTCGCTGTGCTCGCCTGGGGAGGAGTGGCTTGGGACTGTCCTGGGGGACCAGGCAGGACTAGGGCAGGTGCTCGGACGGATCCGAGGTCTCTGGAGGTCCGAGAGAAGCAGGCTCCGCCGCGGGGTCGGGCGGTGGAAGCCCCAGAGAGAGGCGCCAGGACTAGCTGGACAGCCAGGACGCCGGGCCGTTCCCGGACAGGAAGCCACGGCTCGGGAGCCTGGTGGCGGCCATGATCTGGGCGGGACCAGCGGAGGCCTCCGCCAGGGAGCCTGGGCTCGGGGCCTTGGGCAGTTTGCCTGGTGCCCCTTCCCGTGGGAGCAACCGGGGTGACGGCCTAGCTGGGTCCTCGGCCCGGGAGGCTCCGTCGGCCACACTGCACGCCTGCGGTGTGAGGAGGGCCGACTGCCAGTGCTGAGTTCCGTGGCCATTGGCGCGGGTGCCCGCCGCTGCTGGCCGGCGCCGGGGCGTTCCTCCTTGCGTCCTAGGGAGGAAGGTGGGCCGCGGGGCATCCCGCGGGGCCCGTACCCAGACGGTTCTTGACGAGGTGGACGCAAGGCCAGGCCCGGCCCGGCCCGGCCCGGCCCGGCCACCTTCAGACGCCGCGCACCCGCCTTGTTGAGACTTGCCACCCTGTCTTGTTGTGTCCATGTCCCCGAGGTTGTCTTGGAGGCGGGCCGTTCCCCGTGGTGCTCATTTCTGCCTGGGGGCCTTCCGGGGACCCCGCTTGTCTTTGGGGGTGCGCAGGCCCTTGCCCTGCGATCAGAGGCGCACCGACCGATGAGTTCGGTGGCAAAGCTTGAGAAATGGAGACTCTCTGGGCATCGGCTAAGGGGGCCCGGGGCCTTCCCAGGCCTGCTGGAGTCCGGGAAGCCGGGGGCACCCAGAAGGAAGGACCCGTCGGACTCTGCCTGGGGACAGCCTGCTCCGCGCCAGAAGGGTCCGCTGCTCAGGCAGCATCCCCGTGCCTCTCCTCCAGTGGGTCCCTCAGGTAGAATCGGGGCAGGCCCCACTGGACGTGCAGGGAGGAGGCTCGGAGGATGCATCCTTTGCAGGACCCGGTCTGGTACAGCAGCAGACGGAGCCATCTCCCGGGGCTTTCTGGCTTCTCCGAGGGTGTTCAGGAGTCTCCCAAGTGCGCAGGGGCTCGTGCCCAAAGGGTGGAGGTCGGCACCGCTTCGCTCAATTCAGGAGTGGAGAAGGAAGCTAGAGGACCCTCTGGAGGTGGCAGGTTTAATGTCCTGCTTTTTTATTTATTTATTTATTTATTTATTTATTTATTTATTTTGTAATCAACTGAAAGAAGGCAGAAGGAGTCGATGGGCCTCTTAGGCCGGAAACCTTACAAGCATTAGGACCAAGGCAGAAAAGGTCCAGAGGGTTCATGGTCCTCCGTTCCACCTGAATCCAGCTAGAGAGCGAGCCAGGGGGATAGGTGTGCCCCTCGTCGCCCGTGCGCTGAGGCACTGTCACGCAAAGAGACATTCACCTTCCACGTCAACGCACCTTTAAGGGCGAGAGCGGTCCGCCGTGCCCAAGAGGAACGGGATGACATTCAACTGGGACTTGCCTCACCTTGGCTTGGGGGACCTCGAGAGCGGTCCCGTGGGGGCGGTGTTACTCGTGGTGGTAGAAGTGGAGGGCGTGTCCGGGTACTTGAGTTCATGGGCATCTCTCCCGCCGCCTCTCAGCCTATCTGCACCATGTCTCACACGTTCAGTTGCAGCTCTTACCGTTTTGAAGGCGCACGTGGGCAAGAAGTCCTGGGCAGCACAAGAAAGTCAATCACGTTGAGACAGAGAGAGCAGGAGAGGAAGTGGGCCCCAGTAGAAGTGGGCGAGAGAGCGTTGGGTGGGAACGTGGCACGAGAGAGAGAAATTATGAGATTGACAGAGAGAGAGAGAGAGAGAGAGAAAGAGAAAGAGAGAGAGAAAGAGAAAGAGACAGAGAAAAGAAACTATGTTGTTTAAAATGCCAGTGGAAAGTCCATGGGGGTGAAAGAGTCCGGCAATGGCCAGGGAGTTAGCAGCTTGGCGTAGTGTCTTCCCACTGTTTTGTCTGTCTTGAGAATAGCATTCAACGCGACTGTGTTCCCGCAGCAGACGTTAGGCCGCTGCCCACGCCTTGAGTGCCGGACGAGGTCAACATAGGCTTTCCGTCACAGAATATGTTTGGGCAGGAAGATCGGAACACTTGGGGCTGGGCCATCTACCGCTCCCCCACGGCACACACGAGTCGTCAGGGAAATGCCCGCCTCTGTGTGTGTTGTACGTGCAGCCTTCTGGGCAGAGCCGTGGAGAGTTGGACGTAGGCCAGGTGTGAGGAGGAGAGGTGTGTTTGGGGTGGCCACTGGCTCCCTTCCTGCGTGACGTAGGCTGGCGTGGGCTCTTCCCCCAGCCCCTTGCCGGTGCTGCCACGTGAGAAGGGCCCGGGTGCCGGTCCCGCTATTCCGGAATTGTGGGTTCACCTGAAGTTTGAGGCCAAACCCCCAGCGATCAGTGGGAGACCAGTCGCGTTTGACCTGTTGGTCGAGCTGGCCTTGCCGAGACAAAAAAGAAAAAACAAGTGCCAATGTGTCCCGGGGGGCAGGGCCGGGGCTGGGATCCTAGTGTGTGCCCAGTCTCCTTCTCGTCCCTGCGGGTTCCACCATCCTCCCATCCTAACGCATCGTTAGGGATGCGGTTAGGTCGGGTCCATCCCCAGGGCGGTCCAAGGGGACCGCTTTCTGGTTTGTCAGGAAGGCAGGCTAGTAAGAAGGGTCCCGCCGAGTCCCATCTGCCAAGGACAGGGTCCCGCAGTGGGCCAGGGCTGGCCCAAAGCGGCCGAGATGCTGATCCGCCATGTGCGGGGCGCTGTTGGCGTTTTTTCCTCAGCAAAGGGCGGAGGGAGTGGACGTGGGGGAAGGGCAGGTGGGCATTTCTGGAGCAATACTGCCATCAAGAGGAACTGGCTTGGCAATCCCGCGCACCCTTCGCTGTGCTCGCCTGGGGAGGAGTGGCTTGGGACTGTCCTGGGGGACCAGGCAGGACTAGGGCAGGTGCTCGGACGCATCCGAGGTCTCTGGAGGTCCGAGAGAAGCAGGCTCCGCCGCGGGGTCGGGCGGTGGAAGCCCCAGAGAGAGGCGCCAGGACTAGCTGGACAGCCAGGACGCCGGGCCGTTCCCGGACAGGAAGCCACGGCTCGGGAGCCTGGTGGCGCCCATGATCTGGGCGGGACCAGCGGAGGCCTTCGGCAGGGACCCCTGGGCTCGGGGGCCTTGGGCATTTTGCTTGGTTGCCCCTTCCCGTGGAAGCAAACGGGGGTTAAGGGCCAAGCTGGGTTCTTGGGCCGGGAAGGTTCCGTTGGGCCAAAATGGCAAGCCTTGCGGTTTGTAAGTAGGCCGAATTGGCAATTGCCGAGATTCCGTGTGCCAATGGCGCGGGCTTCCCGGCGGCTTCTTGCCGGCACCCGGGTCGTTCCTCCTTGTGGGTCCAAGGAAGAAAGTTGGCCGCGGGGCATTGGGGTACCCGCTATACCAGAAGGTTCTTGACCAAGTTTAAACCAAAGCAAGCCGCGCCGGCCCGCCCCGGCCGGGAAACTTTAAAAACCGCGAACACGCCTCTTTTAAACTTGCGAAACTGTGTCGTTGTGTTCAAATG
Source organism: Homo sapiens (assembly GCF_000001405.40). Lineage (NCBI taxonomy): Eukaryota > Metazoa > Chordata > Mammalia > Primates > Hominidae > Homo > Homo sapiens. The sequence continues at coordinate 115,736,010 of NC_000023.11, forward strand.
TCCGAAATTGTCTCTGAGACGGGTCTTTCCCCTGGGGCTCAACATCGGCTGGGGGCCTTCCGGGACACGCTTTTCTTTGTGGGTGTGAAGAGCTGTCCGGGATAATAGGGCAGGAGCGAATATTGGTGGAAAATTTAGAAAAATGATATCTCGGATATCGATAAGGGGCCGCTTCTAAAATCCGGAGATCTCAAAAGCGGGCACCAAAAGAAGTTTATTCAGGTAAGGCAGAAGTACGACCTAGGGCTAAAGTGTATTTGCCTTAAATTCCCAAAGACCCGGGCATGGCGCTCTATCTTTGTATATCCAGCACTTTGGAGAGCCATGGCTGGAGGAGTGCTCAGGTCCAGATGCTTCAGCACAAGTTTCGTCTAATTCCCTGATCCTTCTTTTACTAAACTAAACAATAAGTCCTGCATCTTGTGTGAACCTGTCATTGCGCACATTTGGAGTCCTAGGCACGCAGGGTCAACCAGGTCAGCGAGGTAGATCGATCTGTGTCAACATGGTCAAACCCCGTTTCTAATAAGAATGCAACATCTAACCGGGCATGGTGGCCCACCACTGTGATCTGAGCTAATTGGCAGGATGAGACACATGGAGTAGAGGCACGGGGATGCTGCCTGAGCACGCAGACCTTTCTGGCACGCAGCAGGCTGTCCCCAGGCAGAGTCCGACGGGTCCTTCTCTTCTGGGTGCCCCCGGCTTCCCGGACTCCAGCAGGCCTGGGAAGGCCCCGGGCCCCCTTAGCCGATGCCCAGAGAGTCTCCATTTCTCAAGCTTTGCCACCGAACTCATCGGTCGGTGCGCCTCTGATCGCAGGGCAAGGGCCTGCGCACCCCCAAAGACAAGCGGGGTCCCCGGAAGGCCCCCAGGCAGAAATGAGCACCACGGGGAACGGCCCGCCTCCAAGACAACCTCGGGGACATGGACACAACAAGACAGGGTGGCAAGTCTCAACAAGGCGGGTGCGCGGCGTCTGAAGGTGGCCGGGCCGGGCCGGGCCGGGCCGGGCCTGGCCTTGCGTCCACCTCGTCAAGAACCGTCTGGGTACGGGCCCCGCGGGATGCCCCGCGGCCCACCTTCCTCCCTAGGACGCAAGGAGGAACGCCCCGGCGCCGGCCAGCAGCGGCGGGCACCCGCGCCAATGGCCACGGAACTCAGCACTGGCAGTCGGCCCTCCTCACACCGCAGGCGTGCAGTGTGGCCGACGGAGCCTCCCGGGCCGAGGACCCAGCTAGGCCGTCACCCCGGTTGCTCCCACGGGAAGGGGCACCAGGCAAACTGCCCAAGGCCCCGAGCCCAGGCTCCCTGGCGGAGGCTCCGCTGGTCCCGCCCAGATCATGGCCGCCACCAGGCTCCCGAGCCATGGCTTCCTGTCCGGGAACGCCCGCGTCCTGGCTGTCCAGCTAGTCCTGGCGCCTCTCTCTGGGGCTTCACCGCCCGACCCGCGGCGACTGCTTCTCTCGGACCTCCAGAGACCTCGGATCCGTCCGAGCACCTGCCCTAGTCCTGCCTGGTCCCCCAGACAGTCCCAAGCCACTCTCCCCAGGCGACACACAAGGGTGCCGGGATTGCCAAGCCAGTTCCTCTTGATGGCAGTATTGCTCCAGAAATGCCCACCTGCCCTTCCCCCACGTCCACTCCCTCCGCCCTTTGCTGAGGAAAAAACGCCAACAGCGCCCCGCACATGGCGGATCAGCATCTCGGGCGCTTTGGGCAGCCCTGGCTAGAAGTGGGCGAGAGAGCGTTGGGTGGGAACGTGGCACGAGAGAGAGAAATTATGAGATTGACAGAGAGAGAGAGAGAGAGAGAGAGAGAGAGAGAAAGAGAAAGAGAGAGAGAAAGAGAAAGAGACAGAGAAAAGAAACTATGTTGTTTAAAATGCCAGCGGAAAGTCCCATGGGGGTGAAAGAGTCCGGCAATGGCCAGGGAGTTAGCAGCTTGGCGTAGTGTCTTCCCACTGTTTTGTCTGTCTTGAGAATAGCATTCAACGCGACTGTGTTCCCGCAGCAGACGTTAGCCGCTGCCCACGCCTTGAGTGCCGGACGAGGTCAACATAGGCTTTCCGTCACAGAATATGTTTGGGCAGGAAGATCGGAACACTTGGGGCTGGGCATCTACCGCTCCCCCACGGCACACACGAGTCGTCAGGGAAATGCCCGCCTCTGTGTGTGTTGTACGTGCAGCCTTCTGGGCAGAGCGGTGGAGAGTTTGACGTAGGCAGGGTGTGAGGAAGAAAAGTGTTTTTGGGGTTGCCACTTGCTTCCCTTTCCTGCGGTAAGTAAGCTGGCGTGGGCTCCTTCCCCCAGCCCTTGGCGGTTCTTCCAAGTTAAAAAGGCCCCGGTGCCGGTCCCGCTAATTCGGAAATTTTGGTTCACCTGAAGGTTGAAGGCAAAACCCCAACCGTCAATTGGAACCCATTGCCTTTGAACTCTTGGTCAGCTGGGCTTGCCGGGAACCGTAGAATTCCCCAAATTCCAATGTTTTCCCTGCCCCTTCCCGTGGAGCAACCGGGGTGACGGCCTAGCTGGGTCCTCGGCCCGGGAGCTCCGTCGGCCACACTGCACGCCTGCGGTGTGAGCGAGGCGCGACTGCCAGTGCTGAGTTCCGTGGCCATTGGGCGGGTGCCGCGCTGCTGGCCGGGCCGGGGCTTCCTCCTTGCGTCCTAGGGAGGAAGGTGGGCCGCGGGCATCGCGGCCGTACCCAGACGGTTCTTGACGAGGTGGACGCAAGGCAGGCCCGGCCGGCCCGGCCCGGCCCGGCCACCTTCAGACGCCGCGCACCCGCCTTGTTGAGACTTGCCACCCTGTCTTGTTGTGTCCATGTCCCCGAGGTTGTCTTGGAGGCGGGCCGTTCCCCGTGGTGCTCATTTCTGCCTGGGGGCCTTCCGGGGACCCCGCTTGTCTTTGGGGGTGCGCAGGCCCTTGCCCTGCGATC